>NC_000011.10:81055696-82440197 GCF_000001405.40 Homo sapiens
TGCCTCCATCTTTGGGTCATGCCATTCTCCCCGCTGCCCCTGTCCTTTTCCCCTGCTCCTGTTCCCTCAGTCTAAGCCATGTGGAAATACTGGCCACTTCTTCACCATCCTACTATTTACTGCTTACAGACAAAGCTATTGGTATTTTCCATAATCCTGTCTCCTCATCTTCCACAATAATAGAATTTTCACTGGACAAATGGCCTCCAGGAGCATATACCACAAATTCCAGCTTTCTTTGCTGCTAAATGTCCCCAGATTTTGGGAGATGAGACATAAAAGAGAGTTTAATGGGGTGACTTCCCAAAGTGGTCTTTAAGAGAGAGCTAGGGTACATACTTCAACCCACCCCTTTTCCCTCCTTTTCGTTAAACTGCTGCCTAAATACAGATTACAATTTGCACCAAGAAAATGCGGGTCACACCCAGAGATAGTAGAGAGGTGAGTTAGAAAAAGTCCTGAGGACTGTACCAGCTTGAACTTTATGTGAGACAGAAATGAATGTCTCTTTTGCATAAACGAATATTATTTGCTATTTTTCTGCTAGTTACAGCTAAACCTAATCCTACTTGAAAGAGTGCCAAGCTCTTTACCCATGTGGATGTTTCTGCCTAGAATGCTATACCTTGGGTCTATTTTTCACAGAAGATTTCTACCATTTTCTATGTGGATGCAGTCCAAGTATTGCCTCCTATGGATTCCTTCCTGAGTTCCATAGGCCAGGCAAGACTCGGCAGGTACATCATCTCTGTGATGGTAATCATCACCTTGCATTTTAATGATTACTTTTCTTGTTTGCCTCCCTCTCTACACCTTGAGATCCTTAGGGCTAGGGGTTGTGCCTCATTTATTTCTTGATTACACATGCCCTTAGAGAGTCTGATCTATGGTAGGCATGCAATAAACCTTTGAATTAATGAAGTGGTTAAATAAACGACTGGAAAAAAAAAAGTAAAAGTAAAAGAAAAAGAATTACTGAGAATTTCTCTATCACTATTCAGCTAGGGTCCTCACATCACTCAATTTTTTTTTTTTATCCACTCATCCCCTCCCGCAGCAATAGAAAGGAGTTGCTTCTGCATTGAGTAACGATTGCCTTCAGAGTTTCTTAGTCACATCAGAATGCCCTCCTCCAAGCTTTGCTGTAAATTCCTATTGATTTTTCTAACCAGAAATCTCAGCTCCACTGATGTGCCTGCAAAGGAAGGTAGGAGGAACAGTGTGAAATCTATCCCCTACCTAAATCTTCATTACCTTCTGCTGTTCTTGTTCCAATATGATTCAATTACATATTATGTTCTCAAGTTTTTCTTTTTTTTTTTTACTTTAGGGCTGCTTATGAAAAATTAAACTAGTTACATGAAAGAGATTATATTGCTGTTCTTCTACATCTCAGAAAAAAATGAATCATCAGAAACTAGAAGAGACGAATACAAGTTATTTTGATTTAAATTTCAGATTAGTTCATTGGTGGGGCTTATGTGCTAGTATATTGCTAAAACAAATTTTCCTAAAATATCAATACAAAAATGTAATTAGATCTTCTTTTGAGGTCTTATTTCCTCCAATCTACAGAATATAAATTGCTTCCTAAAGACTCTCTACATTACCAAATAATCCATATTGCTTAAATTTTTGTATGTGGTAAACACAACCCTGTCTGTATTATTACAACTCAGACATGTTTAAATTCATATTCAATTGGCTTCAATTGTGGTGGCTTCAGCCAATTGAAAACGGATTTTAATCTAAAATATACGCTTTCAATGGTTCAAAGGATTTTAGAATTTAACTTTACTTTTTCAGTTGGCTCTTTAAGTGATATGGGGATGGGTGAGGAGAACACAGGCTTGCCTTGATTATAACATAATTCAAAATGAACTATTTGTAGCCATCATTCTCAAAGCCCCTAAGCAGTGCAAACTGGTTAGCATTAACTCTTTATAGACTTGGGGCAGTCTATTTATACAGTGCTTATATTTTGAGTCTTACAGTCATTAAGTTCAATTCAGTACATTTTTTGAACACCTACTTGATGTCAGTGTTTGCCAGGTAGTGGGGGAACTCTCTGAGATAAACATAGTACAGCTTGGTTAGATACAACACAGTCTGGCCAATTATGAGGGGAAAGGCAAAGTTCAATGAGCAACACGGAAAGAGCACCTAACTCAGTGGTGGCTGATTAAAGACACCCTTTCCAGAAGACCTATTATTTTCCTTGAAATTGTGAAGACACAATGCAGCTGCTCATGCAAAGCAGTAAAGAGGAAGAGTGCTCCAGACAGAAGAGGAGTTGAGGGGAAAGAGATGAGGCTGGAAATATAAGAACCTTCTAAGTTACTTAGCATCAATTCCGTTTTGTAGCTTTGTACTTGGATCAGTTTAGTCTGCAGGCCTTCTGCAGACTGAGGAGCAAGAGTCATGTTTCCATATGATCCTGAGAGGGAATATTTATGGTAAGTAGGCACGTAGACTCCACAGTCAGGCCACCCGGGTTGGAAACCCAGCTCTACTACTTCAATGATTCATTTATCTGTTCATTATTAATCAGCAATCATTTATTGATTATCCACTATGTTCCAGGGATTGTTCAAACACAAGATACAACAGTGAACAAAACTGATCAAACCCTTGTCATCATGTCGCTCATAATCTAGTAGGAGGAGGTAAACCACATGAATAAGCACAATATTTGGTACTTTAGAGCAGGATGTAACTGGGAGTATAGTGGGAGAGAGCCCTGGTGTTACAATTTTAAGTAGAGTGGTTAGGGTAGTCATCAATGAGAAGGTGACATTTGAGCAAAGACTAGTAAGAGGTGATAGAATTCACTGTGCAAAGGTCTTTTTCTTTTTCTTTTTTTTTTTGAGACAGAGTCCTGCTCTGTCTCCCAGGCTGGAGTGCAGTGGCCCCATCTCGGCTAACTGCAACCTCCACCTCCTGGGTTCAAGTGATTCTTCTGCCTCAGCCTCCTGAGTAGCTGGGACTACAGGTGCCTGCCACCACGCCCAGCTAATTTTTTTATTTTTAGTACAGACGGGGTTTCACCATATTGGCCAGGCTGGTCTTGAACTCCTGACCTTGTGATCTGCCCACCTTGGCCTCCCAAAGTGCTGAGATTACAGGCATGAGCCACCTCGCCCAGCCTCATTGTGCAAAGGTCTTAAGGTGAAACTGTGACCAGCTCTATAACCTTGGGCAAGTTGACATGTCTCTGATTCAGTTTCCTCTGTTAATTACAAACAATAATAATAAAAATAATAATGAAGTCATAGGGTTGCTGTGATAATTAAATGAGTTAGTGTATGTATCCATTCCTAGAACAGTGTCTGACACAGAGTAAGCATTTATCTAAGTACTTGCTACTATAACTGTTATTTTCATGCTATTTTTAAACTGGGTCTCTGATGTTGCTTCTTTCCTTATAAAAAGTCTGCACAGTTGCCCGTTTCCTTTCTTTGCCTCTTTGTTAGAGAGCTAGTTCAACAGCAAGACTTATCACTCATTGTCCAGCGTATGTCCCTAATCTGTTATCTTCACACCATTTCCACTGCCATTGGCCTAATCTAAGGTGTTCTGTATTACTCAAAAGCCTCAGTTTGTCTCCTTGCCTCCTTTCTTGTTCTACTACAGACAGTTCTTCATGCAGTGTTCTCTTTTAAATGTAAAGCAAATCATGTTTCTTTCCTGCTTAAAACGTTCAGTAGCTTCCCCTTGCATTAAAGATAAAATTCAAACTTATTCTTTCATTCTGCAAAGCCCTGTGTGGTCTGGTCCCTACCTCCCTCTGCTCCAGCCAAACTGACCTTCTCTTGGTTACTTGAAAGAGCTGAGCTTGTTCCTTCCCTGGGGCATTTCCTCTTGTTGTTCCCTCAATGTAGAATGGTCTCATTTATATTTGCATAGCTGATGCTTCCCTGCCATTCAAGTGTTAGCTTAAAAGTCATCTCTTCAGAGAGTCTTTCAGTGACCACCCAATCTAGAAGCAATCTCCAGTCACTATCCATTACATTAGCCTGAATTGTTTTCTTCCTGGGGTTCTCTTTCTATTTGTTTATCTGGCTCTCCACCTCTAGAGTGCAAGAATATGGATTTTATCTGTCTTGCTCATCATCATCTTCTGAGGACCCAGCACTGTAACTGGCCCTGTTGAATGAATGAATGATGAATGAATGGATTAAAGGCATTGTCTTGGCTAAAGGCTCAGAGATGGGTAAGACACTGAGGCTTCTCTCAGATCAGAGTATGCATACAAACTGATGCTGGCAATCATTACAGAGACAAGGAGGGCACCCTCATCTATCAGGGATTTAAGTTTCACAGTCACAACAGATGGCTTTGGGTTCTGCTATTCCTTACCAATGCGTATATTTAAAAATATATTTAGTTTCCTGAATGTGTTCTGTCGATTCCACTTCACTATCTTTGTACATGTTTGGAATACATTTTCCTCCTTTGTCCACCTGGAAAATTCCCAGTATTACTAAAGAACTAACTTAAATATCACCTGCAATAAAATTATTTTTCTGAACCACCTGCTTTATGGAACCACTGGAATTCCTGCAAACCTCAACTTCGGTGTTTGTCATGCCATGCTACAATTATTCATCTACAGACATTTCTTTCTATTCCAACCTATGAATGCTCTTAGAGTAGGGAACATATGTTAATAATCTTTGTATACATAATGCTTCATGTCATAGGTGCTCAGTGCTTGGTGAATGGGTTGATGAAAGGACAGATTTTTTGCTATTTGTCTCATGTACTACAATAGCATTAAAACAAATGTGCTGCTACGACCGAGTCTAGACCCAGAAACTGGAGTTTGAACAGGTGCACTGTTTTTAAAACAAAAGTCTACATATCTTTGTATTTGGAGTAGACTGGCTCTAAATAAAACTATGACACAGAAGTGGGCTTGATAGAATAGAGCTTTAAAGATTGAACTCATGTTTCATTTTAGAATGGGGTACTGTCTTCTCAATTACTTAATCAATAGATGAACTGACATGCTTCAGGAAAATTACCATTTATCCTAAAGCTAAAATTAAATATTATGGAATAAAATGTAGTTTTGTGTCACAACTGTCTATATCTGATGTAAATAAAGACATATAAATCTCTCTCTCAATCTTTAAAATGGGTCATAAAAACATGCAGTTCAAACCTAGATAACAAAAATGGAACAAAATTTATGGCATAACTAGTTTATAATATAATCTTTAAAAATTTAAGATATTTATAAGCACAAATGAAGTCAAATTTATACCAAAAATGTGAAGCATAAATTATGGCAATATTTATCAATTTTAGTCATGTTGTAAACACTTTCATTTAATTATATCAAATGTCTTTCAGAAAAATAATTTAAGGTGATTTACAAAAGTCATAATCCTCCCAAAAAAAAACAGAGTTAGAAAAATTAGAATTATGGACTTCTTAAAAAAATATTTTTAGTCACTTTGGAATTATTACTGGAGCTATGAGGTAAAAGTAAAATTTGACTGTTTTCTGTTAGCAATGACAAAAATAGTAATATAATACTCTACGTATCTCTATCAGAAAAAAAGGATGCTTGCTTCAAGAACAGAAAAAGTTTTCCTAACGTTAATTCTAAAGTAAGCTTGTCACCTATAAAAGTTGATATAAGGTGGATCATGTGGCTTAAAGGATAATGCTCTAGGAATTAATGAAGAAAAATCTTAACAACAACAATAAAGACAGCAAGGATGCAGTTTTTAGGATACTCATGTGATATCTAGCATATGCCTGGCTATATTCTAGGGACTTTATAAGACAGTATCTGCCTTTATTCTCTATAATCTTTCAAAGTCACCATTTTTAAGTGAGAAAAGTGTTCACAATGACACAATAACATTTTGAATACTTTTCTGACTCTAAGGTTTATGCATTTGCCACCATAATGTGGTAGCAACAAATGTAGAGGTGTTTCATAGTGAAGCAGGAAAAGGGTCTGGAGGCAGGGAACCTAAGGACCTCCTAGAACTCAACTAAGGAAAAACCCGAACCTTCTTCTTCTTCTTTTTTTTTTTTTTATTTTTTTTTATGAGACAGAGTATTGCTCTGTCATTCAGGCTGGAGTGCAGTGGTTTGATCTAGGCTCACTGCAACCTCTGCCTCCTGGGTTCAAGCGATTCTTTTTGTCTCAGCCTCCCAAGTAGCTGGGATTACAGGTGTGCACGACCACGCCCGGCTAATTTTTGTATCTTTAGTAGAGACAAGGTTTCACCATGTTGGCCAGGCTGGTCTTGAACTCTTGACCTCAAGTGATCCACCTGCCTTGGCCTCCCAAAGTGCTGGGATTACAGGCATGAGAGCCACTGGGCCCAGTTGGAAAAACCCAAACCTTGTAAGCCCATGTAAATAATTTTATAATTTCATATCAGCTACTGCAGGAAACATAATCTTCATTTGCATAGGGTGTACACCAAGTAAATAACTTTGTAACTGTACTTCATCCTCTTCATTTACATATGGGATACACCAAGTAACCAATGGAAAACTTCTAGAGGGAATTAAATCCCAGAAAATTCTGTAAGCAGCACTCTTGAGCTGCTTGCTCGGGCTCACTCTCACCTGTAGAGTGTAATTTCATTTTCAATAAATCTCTGCATTTGTTGCTTCATTCTTTCCTTGCTTTGTTTGTACATCTTGTCTGATTCTTTGTTCAAAACGCCAAGAACCTGGACACCCTCCACCAGTAACAATAGTTCAGATTATAAAATTAAAGCAAAAGTCATCAAGTACAACTTAACTGGGAACTATGCTAATCTATTTTAAAGTGTTGCTTTCTTCCGCTTATACGTTGCTACACAAATAATACTTAGATATCCTGTAGTATATGGATGCCATTCACCACCCTTCTCCCTTCCTTTCATGAGCAGCTGGACAACCACACACTTTGCCTGTGTACTCTGACAGCATCATGAACTGCCAATATGCAAACTGAAGCTCAGTACTGCTGCACAATCACTATGCTAGGTGTTTATATCTCATTTAACCTCACTATGAAGGGCCCTTATTCTGTTACTATTATTGTTTCAACAGATACTGAGTGGATATTTACTGTATTCTGAGAACCATACTATGCATGTAACCACATGCTTTACAAAAATGCAAGTGGAAGAGTCAACAGTTATTATAAGAGCTGAAAATCCTACCCAACAATTTAGCCATACACCTCGATTACTTGTAGAACAGTGGGCAGTTTAATCTCTATGGGAAATATTCAATAATGTTTTTGACATTTATAAACTTTTGCATAAAGTACACAGAAATGGATACATTAATGAATTTATAATACATATACTCAAACTTCCATCACTTATGCTTTCCCCAAACCACTAATTATCACAATTGCCAAACCAGAGCCAACCATTTTATACATGCTGAGACAGGACAAGTAAAAACTATCATTTATTTGAGGAGGATGACTTGGTGACATTAATGCACCAATTAACATGTTTTCTAAAATAAGACTATAAAAGGGCATGAATAATTTCCTGGTTTACTTCATGGAAGAATTAATGCTTATCTATAACAGAAGATCAAAACTTTCTAACCAAGTAATCTTCAATTGCATGGAAATTGTACTTCAAACATCATCTACCCTGGAATGTTGCAATTTGTGAAAATTGCTTTGGAGTTTTTACCATTGGGTTTGTGAAGGAAGCATCTTATAATCAGTGGTAGAAATGTGCTTCTAAAAAGCCTTACAGAAAATTCATTCTCAGGAAGATCTTAGAACAGGTAAGCTCCCCAAATGCAATTTCCAGCATTAAAGAGCATTGTTATTGATGTTTTATACTTCACCTGACTAACCACAAAAGGTAAGAACCCTTCCACCTAAAATACTCAGAGTCACTGCTCCTTGCCTCTTCTCTTTCACTTACCTGATGTGTGGCTTTGGAATTGAAGTCTAATTGTCTTCAGTTGGAAGTAAATAGCAAATTCTTTCAAGGAGGCAGTAATACTCAAAGTTATAAATGCCCGAATCTTGCACTCTCCAGCACCCGCTGCTACCTACAATAACTCCACCCTGGCTGTAATGGGCAGTTTCTTCAGAGGGCTAGTATTCTTGGAACAATATTTTTAATATATTTATCCAAAAAGGACTAGGTGGCACTGAGTTACCATTACACATAGATCACCAAAGAGGTTATTTCATAGCAGGGATTTATTTTATGTTGTCAAAATGAGAGAATAGTCTAAATAAATTGAAACTGGACTTTATTGGTTTCTCTCCTCCAAGAAGAGGAAATTATTTTGTTGGAGTGATGTAGGATCATGAAGGCAGTGTTATTACTCCTCTGGATGTTTTGTTTAGTAGTCAGGGAAAGGAATGAAATTAACATTTATTGAGTTCTGTATAGAAGCTGGGTACTGTACTAGGCATCTATATGGATTATATTTAATTGAAATTCTATAATAATCCTGAGAGGTCTGTGTCATAATTCTTATTCTCTATCTTTTTTTTTTGAGACAGAGTTTTTTTTTTTTTACATTTTGTCTGTTTTTACATCTGCTCTTGTCGCCCAGGCTGGAGTGCAATGGCACGAGCTCAGCTCACTGCAACCTCCGGCCCCCCAGGTTCAAGCGATTCTCCTGCCTCAGCCTTCCGAGTAGCTGGCATTACAGGTGCATACCACCACATCCAGTTAATTTTTGTGTTATTAGTAGAGACGGGGTTTCACCATGTTGGCCAGGCTGGTCTCGAACTCCTGGCTTCAGGTAATCCACCCACCTCAGCCTCCCAAAGTGCTGGGATTATAGGCATGAACCACTGTACCCGGCCTCTTATTCTCTACTATAAAATACTAGTAGCATCTCACATCTGCTATGCACAGATCAGCCATGTCAGTCAGTATGTTAAGTTCTTTATATGGATAACTACATTTAATTATTGTAATGGTCTGATTTGTTGAGAGTGTCTATGTATGAAAAAAAGGAGCGGTGATCACTCTTAATTCCAACAAAAATAATTTAGCAATCATTTCTAGGACCTAGGTAAGTGACAATTTTAATTTAGCAAGCAGAAACCAAATCAAGTACATTATCACCTGCATAGATAACACCTATATGGGCAAGCACAAATTGGTTAACTTAGAGCAAATTATATCTAAGGTAGAACAAAAATAATAAAGAACTGATATAATTCTGCTGTTAGGCAGAATAGTCTATGGTTTTAGAAACCTCTAACTTGTATTCCAGTGGACAGCAAGTTTTCCAGAGCAGATGTAAAAATCAATGAACTTGAGATTTAAATAAATAAAAGAAAAACTGCCAAGGGCTTTCACTATTCAAGGAATGTTGATAAAACATTTCTACTTCCACAACAAGTCTACTCTTTAAAGGCTTGGGTATCCTCAATGATATCTTCAAAATACCTCAGGGAGAGAAAACAAGAAACTTTCTTAAGATTAAATAATAACCCTGAGTCCTGAATTCTGGTTTGCCAAATAACATTCTGAAAATAAAATCCTGGGGCCAGGATCAGCACAATGGCCTGTAAAACAGCATTTCTGTCCTCAGGACAGGACACCCAGGATGAGACAGGACAACTCTCTCTCTGTCTCACACACACACACACACACACACACACACACTACACAAACCTCTGTCCCCTAGAAAGATGGCAAGACTATCAATTTGAAATCTGGGTCAACAATAACACTGTCACCAGAACTCAGATGATAATGAACTCCTCAGAGGTAAGCATTTCCTTGGATTCCTACCAAATAGCTCGCATCATCCTTGCCAACAGGATCTTGATTTTTTTTCTGCTATGAATAAATGTGCCTGAGAGGGGATGATGGGCCAGTGAGCTCCTCCCCAGACCCATATTGTGAATCTTGGTTAGTGGAAACCAGTCATAGTAACTCCCTTCCCCTTGTCTAGTGATTTCCTTAGACCCGGCAGGACGATGCAAAAGTGGCCAATATATTGTGGGAATCCCGGTGGAAGGTTTCTTGGCAGTTCTACCTGCTTTGCTAAAAAGGTACACAAAACAGATGTGTATTTTCTGTCTCTGGTCAATGCCATGTGCTCATAATGTTGGGGACAGTCACCTTGAAGCCATGCAGGGAGCCACAGTGAAAGGACAATGAAATAAGCTGAGAAATGTACAGAGAGACAGGGAGAACCTGCTTAGTGACTGATTCCTGCAGCAGCCCTACCAGCAACCCCTTGTTATGTGAGCTAATAAATTTCTGTTATTTTAGTTGGAGTATATGGCATCTGAAGTTTATTGAGAACTACCTGACAGAGGGTCCTGTTTGCCTTCCTTAGGCAGCCATCCTCTTTATCACATATGATGCAGTCCACAATTCATGTTATCTTCATTTCTCAGATGCCTAAATTGAAGAACCAATGTATAAGGGTGTTGTTAACATTTGCCAAGGGAGGTTGTAGAATAATCTAACTGAAATGGCGCTGACTCCAAGGCAATACTTTACTACTACATCATGCTTATATACACAATGAAAGGGTTGCTGACTATTTGAGGAACTGTAAGAAGTCCTAGAGTCCATAAAACAGATATAAATGTATATTTCTTTGAGAACCAAATCATGAAGTCAAAGAAATTCTAGGAGTCTCCAAATACTGGAGAGATATTGTGAACAATCCCTTGAAAATTGTGTTGTAGTAGAGATAATGTTATCTGTGCAACTTATCATGTTTTCTTCCAACATAGAAGAGGACTGCATATCCCACTCCTCCTCTTTCCTCTCTTGAGCCATGTGTTTAAAATGGAAGAAGCCTAAAATATAACAATTAGTGAAAACGCCAATTGCTTTGGAGTTACTGATTTCTGTGTGTGCAAAGGAAGTGTCTTATAATAAGTACGAGAAATGTGCTCCTTGCAGGATTACAGGTCTTATACTCTCAAAGCAGGTGATATCTCAGAACAGGTAAGGCAAACATCCTAAATACAATTATCTAGCATTAAAGAAATATAAAATTGATACTTTATTACCTAATTCTCCACATCAAATTCATTGTCAAAATTAATTTTATTCAAATAATACCAAGCTGGTTACCTTCATAGAACTTCTATTCTAATATGGTAGACAAGTAAGGAAGAAATACACAAATGTAGAATAAATTAGCTAGTATTTTGTAAAGACAGAAATTAACAGACCCAAGGTGTATCACTTGCAGAATGACAAGTACTGAAAATTTTTGATAGGGCTGCCTTGGAAATCTGCACACTAAAACTGATTTTGTTTTTTTTTGTTTGTTTTTGTTTTTTTTTTTTTTTTTGGACATGGAGTTTCACTCTTGTCGCTCAGGCTGGAGTGCAATGGCGTGATCCCGGCTCACTGCAACCTCCGCCTCCCGGGTTCAAGTGATTCTCCTGTCTCAGCCTCCCGAGTAGCTGAGATTACAGGCACATGCCACCACTCCCAGCTAATGTTTGTATTTTTAGTAGAGACCGGGTTTCACCACTTTGGCCAGGCTGGTCTCAAACTCCTGACCTCAGGTGATCCACTTCGTTTGATATCAAAGTTCACTTTGTTTGATATTAATATAGGGACTATATCAACTCCAGATTTCTCTTAGTTGGAGATTACATGTTATGTGTTTTTTTTCCTTTCAATAACTTTTAACTATGTCTTTATAGTTAAAGTGAGTTTCTTATAACAAGAGTGTGGTTTGTTCTTGCTTTTTAATGCAGTCTGACGATCTTTCCTTTTTTATTAGGGTATTTAGACCATTTAAATATAATTATTTATATGGCTGGATTTATATCTTACTAATGATTACTGTAATCCCATTGGCTTTTCGTTCCTTTTTTTTCCTGTTTTCTTGTCATGTTTTTGATTCACAAATTCATTTTGCCTTTAAGATTTTATTTTAATGATTGATTCATTAAATAAAACTCTTTGTTGTTATTGTTATTTTAAATAGTTGTTCTAAAATTTGTCATAAATATCTTTAAATTATCATAGCTTATTTTTAAATAATACATACCACTTTGTGTCTAATGGGAGATGCTTCAAATATTTGACTTTCATTTCCTTATATTTGATTTACCAACATATATAGCATTTCTGGTGCTCCTGTTTCCTTTGTGCATTTCCTACCTTCTATTTAATACAACTTTCCTCTGGTCGAAAACTTTCTGTATAGTCCTCCAAGTGTCGTTGTTGGTAATTAATTCTCTCAACTTTTCTTTTCCTTAAAATATATTTATTTTGCTTAAATTTTAAAAAGGTATTTATCTAGATATTGAATTCTAGGTTGATTCTTTTTTTAATTCAGTGCTTTAGTTCTATTGCATACTTTCAGGCAATGTCAGCATTAAGTATTTGATTTGTTTCTGTGTTCATTTTGTGTCTTTTTCTTCCTCAGATTAGTTTATTTTTTTCCTATCACTCAACTTTCAGCAATTTGATTATTAAATTCTTTGGTCTGGTTATTTTTGTGATTATTGTGTTCCTTGAACTTTTTGTACCATGGGCTTATAGTATTTTTCAAATTTGGAAAATATGTCAATCATATCTTTTCAAATATTCACTCAGCCCCAACCTCTAAACTGTCCTTCTGAGACTCCAATGTTACATTGCTTGATATTGTCTCATGGGTCACTGAAACTCTATTTATTCTTTGAATCTTTTTTAATATATGTGCTAAATTTGGATAGTTTCCATTGATATGCCTTCAAGAAGTTCTTTTCTTCAGCTGTGTCTAATTTGATATTAAACCAAGCAGTGCTTTTTTTTTTTTGCTTCAGATATTATACTACTAGAACTAGACATTTCATTGGGCATCTATATGTAGCATTTTACTTTTTTCCTCATTATATACATTTCTTTTAAATTCTGTAGCATAAATATAATAGCCATTAAAACATTTTTTGTATTAATCATGGCCTTTGTCCTTTATGAATCTTTTATATGGCGTACATTTTCTCCTAAGGGCCATATTTGTCTGCATCTTTACATGTTTAGTAATTTCTCAATAAATGTTGGTTATTTTTACATGCGGAATTTTGTTGTCTTCCTATAAGAGTATTGGACTTTCTTCTGACAGGAGTTATTTACTGTGGATCAGCCTAACTTTTTAGGCTTGTTATCACATAGACAGAGTAGTCTTCAGTCTAGGGCTAGTTTATCATTACTATTAAGGCAGGACCCTCTGGTGTCTCTAGTGAATCATCCAGGAATTTAACAAGGGCTTTGTCTCTGTTCTGTCAGAACTTGAATACCTCCTACCCACGTTAAGTTTACAACTCCATGTTTGTTCTTTGCTCTCCTGATGGCATTTTACTCTACATATGCATGGTGTCATGTGCCAGAGTTAAGGGACCCCATAAGTGGAGTTTCAGTGCTCTTTTGTTGGACAATTCCCTTCTTTCTGGGACTCTGCCCTTCATATTGCTATTGCATTAGCTTCTTCAACTTCTCATCTCTGTCTCCTCCACTTATCTAGATCACTGTGTTTTGCTTGGGATTCCAATTTTTTGCATGTGAATGTATAAAGTGTCTCAGGCAGAAAACCAAGGAAATTATACAGCTTGCCTTTTCTGTTTCTTTTCTCTCAGGGATTACAGGCTTGTTCCTGTTTATCATGTCTGAAAACACTTTAAAAAAAATATGGCCTAGTTTTCATTTCTTGTTTGTGGGACAGTAAGTCTGGTCCTAGATGTTCCTTAATTACCTAAAGCAGAAGTCTGAAAAAGTTGACTTTCAAGTGGTGTCATGGAGGGAATGAGTGAGCTAACTATGTGGATATCTGGAGAAAGGGCTTTCTAGTAATAATAACAGCAACAAGTACAAAGTACCTAAGGCATCTGTGTGCCTGGAAGACTTAAGGTAATGTGGATAGAGCAGGAAAAAGTAAGGGAGAAGAGCAAGAGTTGAGATCAGAGATTGAATTGGAGCCAAATCATACAGGAATTTGTAAGTTACTCTAAGGACTTTGGCTTTCACTTTGAGTGGCATGAGAAAACTTATGAAGGTTTTCAGCAGGAGAGTGACCATGATCTGACTTTATTTTAACAAAATCATTTTGCTACTGTGTAAATGTTAGGCTAAAATGAGGCAAGGGCAGAAGCAGAAACACCAGTCAGGAAGCTGCTGCAATTACCTGGAAAATACACGACAGTGGCTTGGACATGACTGTCATTTACTGGTTATGAAAGTTGGTGTAATATAAAAGATTTAGGAGATTTGGGGATGCATTTGCAACACTATTCTGTGCCCTTCTCCTTGCAAACACAACAAAACAAAGAAAAAATATGCTTTCGTTTCTCTATAAGGGATTTAGTTCCCTATTTAACTGTAAGATAATTTAAAAAAAACAAATCTAGATAGAGTATGACATATAGGATCCTCTCTCACTGACTTGTCTTTACCCTCCTTTTCCCACTATGAAGCCATTGTAGCTGTAGGAACGAATGTTTTGCTGTTAAAAGTTCTTTCTGTTCAATTTCCACTTGGGTTACTCTTTTAAAAAAAATAAATGGACCAGGCGAGGTGACTCAAGCCTGTAATCTCAGCACTTTGGGAGGCCGAGGTAGGCGGATCATGAGGTCAAGAGATGGAGACCATCTGGCCAATATGGTGAAACCCCGTCTCTACTAAAAATACAAAAATTAGCTGAGTGTGGTGGTGTGCGCTTTTAGTCCCGGCTACTCAGGAGGCTGAGGCAGGAGAATCGCTTGAAACCAGGAGGTAGAGCTTGCAGTGCACTCCACCCTGGAGACAGAGTGAGACTCTGTCTCAAAATAAAATAAAATAAAGCCGGGCGTAGTGGCTCACACCTGTAATCTCAACACTTTGGGGGGCTGAGGCGGGTGGATCACGAGGTCAGGAGTTCAAGACCATACTGGCCGAAATGGTGAAACCCCATCTCTACTAAAAAAAAAAAAATACAAAAATTAGCCAGGCGTGGTGGTGGGCACCTGTAATCCCAGCTACTTGGGAGGCTGAGGCAGAGAATAGCTTGAACCTGGCAGGCAGAGGTTGCAGTGAGCCGAGATCGCACCACTACACTCCAGCCTGGGCGACTGAGTGAGACTCCGTCTCAAAAAATAAATAAATAATAAAATAAATAAATGAATGTAGATGATCAGTGCTTAAAACAAATTATATTTTCAACTCACCTTTACCTTTGAGCTTGTAATATTTAAATTACTAGCCAAAGGGTCACTGTTGAGACCTAGGTTCGCGTGGAACCTAGGGCAGAAACTTCCACCATAGGTAGCAAGGATTTCACTTAAACAGAAGAATGAGACAACTGGAAATCCACTATGGAGAATTGAGGGTCAGATGCCATGGGGAACAAATGTAAAAGCAACGCCCAAAGGTCCAGTGTGGACGATTAATTTCTGAGAACAGCAAGAGTCGGGAGGGCACCTTAATGGGAGAAAGAGGAAGTTGTAGCTAGCAAACAAGTTCAATCTGAGGTCATGGAAGTAGTTGCTGAGAATAACCTCTGGCCTGACATTGTTTCAGTGGCTATAACGTGCTTTGTGGTTGTGTGTGTGTGTGTGTGTGTGGTGTGTGTGTGTGCATGTCTGCAAGGATATAAGTTTTTCTGGCTTAAAGTGCCAGTAGCAAGCCTCAAGCCTCAGATTAGAGATAAAACAGATAAAACTGCATGCCTGGTTGTTAATGCATTAATGAATATTTAAATAGAATGCACCCCAAGGAGCAAAATCACACACCTTTTACAATGTGTAATGTGGTTAGATGTGTTTCCACATTAGAGTTATACACATCTAATATAGCATACAGACAAAAAAATCAGTGTAAATGGGTAGTTCACTCATGGAAACATCTAAAACAGATATTTTATGAAACCAAGGTGGGGGTGGGTGGGTATTGGAATCCACTGCCTGCTGTTTTTCTGATTTGTTCCTAAGCTCATTAGAAGCTCTGCACCTCCTCCAGGGGATGAATCTCATCTTCAGACAATGTTAAACTCATTCTCTTGAGCAGAGGTGAAAAAGCTATTTCCCCACTGGAGTTTTCAAAGGCAAACATTTCCTGCAGGAAATCAAACAATTCTAGACTTGACAAGGAAGCTAGGTATATTCAGTTCAGCAAGTAGCTGCCCGTGGGAAACCCCGTACACCTTCATACACAGCCTCAGGCCTCTCCTGGGGATGACAAAGCCATTAGTTTTTAAAAGGACAAGGTCTTGACAAACCAGCTTGCTTGCTGCAAATGCTAGCATTGTCAAAACAGGAAGAGATAATCTTGGATGATGAAGGTCGGCGCCTAGAGCTGCTTGATTTCCGGATTAGCACATATATGAGTATGTCTATTTTCCCTTCTTCTGAAACTAACATACCTGATAACATAAGGCTCTGAATTCTGAGTTTCTGATTTTGGCAATTTGTATTTTGGGATTATTGGTTTTTTCTTTCAAATTTTCTCAGCCATTTATTTAAAAAATATTTGAATACCAAGCATCTGTCACACTTGATGGGCTTAACTATATTCTATGGGACAAGAAGCCACAAGCCCTGCCATTTGGTCTTAAATCCTAGTGCTAAGCAAAGGTAATAAATCAGTAAACAAGCGCAACACAAACCATGCTAAGAGCTATGAAGGAAATGAGAAGGGAGATGAATGAAAAAGGGAAGATTCCTTTAAGTAGGAAGGTCAGGAACAGTTTTTGAGGATGTCGCTTCTAAATTTTGATCTATGTGCTGAAAAGAACACAACCATTTGAAGAGCAGCAGGGAGATGTGTGAGCCAAGGGAACAAATGTAAAGGCTCACAGGCCGGAAGCTGAAACAAAGTCTGTGTGGTGGCAGCTGAGCAAGGAAGAAGAAGACTGGCCTAAGAGGAGGCTGGATCAAGTCCAGGGTCAGATGACATTAGACCCTTTAGAGAGTGTAAGAAGTTGAGATAGTATGCACAGAACAATAAGCAGACAAATCGTTGCAAGTAGGTAGCAATGCTTTCTGTTTACTCACTGACGCCTTGTCTTGTGAAAAATCCTTTCTCTGTTATTTTACTTTCTTTAGCCTGACCAGTCTCTCCATTCCTTCCTTAGAATAGTGATTCGCTGACAGAGAGGAAAAGAGAGTTGATTTTTACAATAATCCTGGCTTATGAGAATGAAAATGCCTTTTCCAGAAACGATAACTGAAAATGTGAATCGGGAAACAACAGGAGTTGGTAAAGATACCATTCGAAATATGATTTTGAAAAAAACAAAAAACACATTCTGTAAGGAGGCTCTTCTAACAGAACATCTCCCATTCCATACCTTTCTGAGCTCTCCAAAGATTATTTGATTTGTTGTAAATTTCTCCTTGCTCAGAAATTCCCACACTTGGCAGATCATCAGAATCTCTTGGGTACCTTAAAAATACATTTTACACACACACACACACACACACTCTCTCTCTCTCTGACACACACACGTGCAAACATACAAAAAAAAGAGGTTATTCCTGGCCTAAAAATTCTACTCCTGAGGTATTGCTCACCTTGGCTTCTATTGTTTCTGAGGCATACTCAAGGGGGATTCATGACCTCCTACAGTCTATCTGCCTCTAATCTGTTTCACCACAATCCAACCTCCACTCTGCCAACAGACTAGCTTATAAATAAGAAATCTAGTAATATTACTCATCTATTCAAAAACGGTATTTTATTCCATACAAAATCAATTCAAAACCACTTGAGAGGTCATTCTGCATAGCTCCATCTTCAACATCATCTTCATCATAGTTCATGATTATAATAAAAAAGTGTAAGAGGAAGCCTGACAGGTATTGTTTTATTTTATTTTTATTTTTATTTTTTCTCTTTGTTTAAACAGAAAAGCAGAGCAGTTAATGATAGCACATTGAGCAGTGATTAGGTGACCCGAAGCTCACATATAAAGGAATTATCTAGAAAGAATATTTGTTGATCTGAATCTGCACTTGCTTACTTGAAAAGTTTATTGGCCCAGAGTCAAACTTCTGATAATTGCCTGCCATTTAGATAATGATGTAACTTCATATATGTTTTAATTATATAAAGGGTACTCTATATATTTCTGTTATATTTTAATGCATCCTCAATATTGAAAGTTCAAGCAATATAGAAGTATATAGAACCAAGAGTAGAAGGGTACCTTATAGTCTTGCCAATTATCTCACTTTTCTTAGAAGAAATAACAAGTAAGACTTTGCTTATATCTTTCCAGATTTTTCAAAATTTACATAAATAAATATATACAATACAAATAAAATGGTCATGTTGTTTTGCTGTTTCTTTTTCCAGTTAATAATGGGTGTGTGTGTGTGTGTGTATGTGTGTCTGTGTGTGATGTATTTCATAAGGTAATATATTTCAGTCTTTTTAACTCTTTTCTATTTCATAATATGGAATATCAAAATCCACTTAGTCTTTTACTGATGGATATTAAAGTTGATTCTAATTACTCAGTATCATGAATGAACATGAATCCTTTCACATTTATTTTTATTTACACTAAAAAACAAATATTGGAATTTCTTATATATCTGTTATATCCACTTTCTTCTCCCTAGTTTTATTATTTGAATTCTCTGTCTCTCACTACTTCCCTCTACCTCTTTCTCCTCCTTTTGCTCTTTCTCATTAGACTTACGAAAAATTACCTTTAATAATTTCTTTTGAAACACTTCAAATTCTTTTATAATTTTTTCAAAACACTAATAAAAGTTATTTTATTAATCAAATATTGACTTGTTTTCTTTCTATATGTTCTTTCTTCTAATACTTTGGGTTTGTTGTGCAGATGTCATTTACTCTTTTGCTTTCTAATAATTTTATTCATCTATATTTTATTCTATTATTAATCAAATAATATGCAGTGAGCTGATTGCTTTCTATTCCTAAATAGTTGGCTATCTTTTAAATTTTGTTTTGTACCCAATTATTGTGATGGGCCTAAAAGAAAAAGTAAATTTGTTACATTTGAGTGTTTTTTTTTTTTTTTTGCCTTTTTTGGTCCATTTCTAATTTTTTCAATTTACTAAAGTATAATTGACAAATAAACATGTATGTTCCAAAATATACAATGTGAAAATTTGACTTAGATATACATAGTGAAATGATTATCACCATCAAATTAATTAACACATCCTCATCTTAAGAGATGAGGACCCTTAAGATCTACATTCTTGGCAAATTTCAAGTAAACTATGTAACATTATTAATTATTGTCGGCATGCTATGTGTAAGCCTACGAAGGCTTACTCATATTATAACTGAAAGTTTGTACCTTGTGACCATCTGTCTCCATTTCCCCAACTCTCCAGCCCCTTGCAAACTCCATTCCACTCTCTGCTTCTGAGTTTGACCTGTTTTAGATTTCACAACTAAGTAAGATCATACGGTATTTGTTTTCCTGTGTCTGGCTTATTTCACTCAGCGTAGTGTCCTACAAATTCATGCATATTGTCACAAAAGATAGAATTTTCTTTTTTATATGGCTGAATAATATTCCTCTGTGTGTGTGTGTGTGTGTGTGTGTGTGTGTGTGTGTGTATAAAATTTTCTTCCATTCATCCATTGATGGACAGTTAGGTTGTCTCCATATGTTGGCTATTGTGGATAATGTTGCAATGAATATGAGGTTGCAGATATCTCTTTTAATTTGAGGAACCTCTATATTGTTTTCCATAATGGCTATATCAATTTATATTCCCACCAAAAGTGTAGCGGGTTCATTTTTCTCCACAACGTTAACACCTTTTATGTCTTGTCTTTTTCACAATAGCCATCCTAACAGATGTGAAGTCATACTTCATTGTGATTTTTTTATTTTCATTTCCTTGATTTTTATTAATGTTAGGCATCTTTTCATAGGCCTATTGGCCATTTGTATGTTTTTTTTTTGGAAAAATGTCTACTCAGGTCCTTTGCACATTTTAAAAACTAGATCATTATGATTTGCTATTGAGTTTTTTGAGCTTCTTATGTATTTTGGATATTAATCCCTTATCAGATAAAGCATCTGCAAATATTTTCTCCCATTCTGTAAGTTGCCCTTTCATTTTGTTGATTATATTATTTGCTGCACAGAAGCTTTTCAGTTGGATATATCCCACTTGTTTATTTTTGCTTTTGTTTCCTGTCCTTCTGGTGTCATATCCAAAATAACATTGCCAAGACCATGCCAAAAAACTTTTTCATTATGTTTTCTTTTGGAAGTTTTACAGTTTCAGGTGTTGCATTTAAGTCTTTAATAAATTTCAAGTTAATTTTTGTGTATAAAAGTCCAATTTGATTCATTTGCATATGAATATTCAGCTTTCCCAAACAACACTATTTATTGAAAAAAATGTCTTTTCCCCATTGTGTATTTTTGGTGCCTTGTCAAAGTTTATTGACAGTATCTGCATGGGTTTATTTCTGGGTTCTCTATTTTGTTTCATTGGTTGGTGTACCAATTTCTAATTTTTACAAGCAAGAATTCTTACATGAAATAGGCCTAAATCCTCAATTTGTGACAATCCTACCCCCACCAGATAAAAGAAAAAAAGCAAAAAGCAAAACTTGACAGAAGATAAAGAATGTTCACTTCATTAAGATCTGATTAATTCTGTAGACATTGATAGAATAGATCAGGGTAAACCCTGACATCAGTTTTCTCTATGGGTTTAAGAGCAACTTTTTATTTCATTCTGAGCAGAGCAATGAATGGGGATTAGCCTAAAATCTTGGAAGGAGATAGGAGAATCCACATTCATTTGTGGAACATCATATAGGAAGAAATGTTGTCATTCTTTCAACAAATATTTATTGAGCGGTATGTTTCTAGACACTTGGGATTTATTAGCACAAATGGACAGAAAAATAATTCCTGTCCATATAGAGTATAGGTTTTATTAGAAAATCTATATAATAAATAATGAACAGAATACGTCAATTATAAGGTATTTTGAAAGGTGATAGGTGCTGTGGATTAAGGAAAGAGAGATAAGTATTCCTAAGTGCAATTTTAAAATAAGGCAGCCAGGATAGCACTCAGCATTAGCGTTGAGAATTGAGGAAACAAATATCTGGAGAAAGAGAATCCTGGGCAGAGGAAGAAGAAAGTTCCAAGGCTTTGTGGTGGGGGGTATTATAGAGGACCCAAGAGGAGACCAGAGTGCTAGAAGAACTGAGCAGGGCAGGACACATTGGGAGATGAGATCAGAGAGTTTGACAGGAGATGGGAAGCTATGTGAGGACTTGCATGTAATGAAAACTTGTGATCCATAAATATTTTTAAAATTAAAAATTTTTCTGAAGGTATTTTGGCACAAGCATCCCTACTTGGATTTAAATAGTAAAAATGCCTTCCTTTCTTAAATTAATAA
Source organism: Homo sapiens (assembly GCF_000001405.40). Lineage (NCBI taxonomy): Eukaryota > Metazoa > Chordata > Mammalia > Primates > Hominidae > Homo > Homo sapiens. Next base: position 81,077,022 of record NC_000011.10, read on the forward strand.
TTCAAGAATGTTGATGCTCTGACACAATCCTCCACTGAAGCCTGGGTTTTCCTATTTTCCCTTGAGCACCTTGGAGATAGGAAAAATGTGAAGATCTGCAGATTCACAAGTCTACTGTTATAGCAAAAATGCCAAGGGGTTTAGATAACAGGCCAACTTTGGCCATGAACAGTTCCAAGGGTTTCCGTACTATTTTACCTTCTTCTCTGTCTTCCCACTGTTGGCAGCTTCTCCTGTAACGTAATCATCCGAAGATGTCATACACTTCTGAAGTAGTGCCAGACATCAATATGGCCTTTTAATTAAATATGGACAATGACTTGTTTCCAGCAGTCCCACTGCAGACAACTTATTGATTTGCTTTTTACTGTAGCATTTATAAAATGTGCCAGATTGATAGCCAAGCTGACTTGAGACTTTTTTCCTTTTTCCGTGACTTTCTACTATGGAACCTACCTAGCTAGAGCCTCAGCAAATCCTTCGACTTTTCCTCAATCCAGAATACATAGTATCCACATTAAATAAAATGAGGTGTTCACAAATACAAAATTTAAAAATAATTAGTTAAGATCAGATGTCAGGTACAGTGTAGATAGGAGACTAATAGCCTCATGATGTCAGAAATTATGACTGTTTATTTCACCACAACATACAGGTGCCTACATAGGAACTGATTATATAGTTTTGGAATAAATTAATAGATAAAAAGTAGATATGTTTTTACAATAAGACAAGTGACAATTTGAGTATTGTTTTCTATCTAATTAATTCTATGACATTGGCCATTGCATATAATTTCTCTTTGGCTTAGTCTTCATCTGTAAAATGGGCATAACAGTACCACTTGATTGGCTTATTGTGATAATTAAATATATTGAATACTTTGATACATGTAGAAAACAGCCTATGCATTTACTCTTGCCACTTCTGTGCTCCATTCTTATTTCCTTGAAGAAATACCCACGTATGTCTTTTCACACAATTCTGCATGTAAAATATCTTACCGAGTGCCTTAGTGTGCTTGTTGACATCCTGTTTATTGTTGAAGGCCTGTCTCCTATGAGTGGCCTCCCCACGCCTCTCAGTGTGCCCAGAACTTCATTTGCAGCTGCCTACACTGCCTCTTGCTGGCTAGAGCCTCCTGCATATGAAAATCCCTGAAGTCAAGGTATTCTGTTGGCAGAGTTTTCCATTGGGACTTCTTTTCCTTACTCAGTATGCAGTAAAAGCAAAACAAAACAAAGTGTTAAATTAAAATAATTGTGTAAAATTATGTATGTACATCTGGCTTTTAGACTCCAAATTACTATACATTGCCCATTGATAACCAGCTTTTCCTATATCATAATCAGACTTCCATGAATCAGCTGAAAAACAGGGATTTCGAGAACATGGCAGAATATCCTGTCACTTGAACATTTATTTACTTTTGGAAGTGTCACTTGTGGGCAAGCTTTTTCAATTCAATATTCCTTAGAGTCTTGTCCTTCAAAATGAGTTAAAAATTGTACTTAATTCATACAGTTGTTGTGAGAACTATATAAGTTAATATTTCTAAGGAACTTGGAATGATTCCCAGCCCATAGTGAATACTCGTATATAATTGTTGTGATTATTATCTTTATTTGCTATTATCTTCATTTTGAGGTGAGCCTATTAAGCATTTGATTGTACTACAGCATTGTAATTAAGATTAAAGTGACTCTAACTTGTGGTTCTCTACAAATAGAAATTATTTAGTAATTGGCCAAGATGGAAAAATTGGGAAAAACTTCTTTAACAGATCAATGTCCAGCCTGATGTTGCCTGAATTCCTACCCTTGATTCTGTGCCCATTTTCTGCCCTTCTCCATATGTACCCTATGCCCCAGGCATTGTGTTTCCTAAGGAAGACTCTCATCATTTTCACCATCCATTAAGTCCATCTGATCACTCCTTACCTGTACTACAAAACGTCCTTCATGGCATTCTCCAGTGAGCCTTTTGTGGCCACCTCTATTTATCTCAGTCTCATTTTAGTGGAAGTGTATTGGTGAGAGCTCAGAGTCTGGCATTAAGTGGAAGAGGCCTCCATCCTACTTCTGCCATTTATCAGCCACATGGTGTAGAGTAAGTTGGTTAACATCTCCAAGTCTTACATCTCAATGTGTCCATATATGAAATGCACATACTTCTTAGAGTTGGTGTGAAGATACAGTGAGAGAATATATGTAAGTGCTTAATAAGATGTCTGCATAGAGAAGAGTGCTTTATAAATATTAGCCATTTAGTGGTCACTTTATTTGCCTTACTTCTTGACTTTCATAATATTTACCACTTTGCAAACACTATAATCATCCATAAGTATATCAATATATATGCCCATCTCTAATACTATCTGATATACAAGAGGCCCTTAGTAAAGATTTTTGTATGAAGAAATGAATGAATGAGCTCCCTGTCTCAATTCTGTAAAGCATTGCGGTTTGGCAATGTCAAACCTCAGGCTGGCAATGTCAAGCACTGAGACTCCTGAAGTAGAATTTTTAGATCTAGCAAATAAAAATACAGGGACTTAGCTAAATTTGAACCTCACGTGAAAAGCAAATTATTTTTAGTGAAAGTATGACCCATACAACATTCAAGATATACTTATATAAAAATTTATTTGTTGTTAGCAGAGATTCCAGTGTAACTATCTCACACTTTAATTGGCAACCCTTAACAGAAGCCAATTTCAAATCCATATGTCTTTGTGTTCCCATACCATGAATGAGAACGGGATTCAAGTCCATCTATGTGACATCCAGTTAAGTTCATGATAAACAAAAACAGGATTTAACAATATATTATCCATCTACTAGATTTAGCAGTCAGGAAAACTGTTTTTTTAGGTTGTATTTAAAAATGTTTTATTTTGTATTCAGGGGTTAAAATGTTCAGGTTTCTTACATGGGTGCATGGGTATATCGCATGAGGCTGAGGTTTGGGGAATGGAGGGTCCCATTACCCACATAGTGAGCACAATACCCAATAGGTGGTTTGTCAGACCACACCCTCTACCTCCTCCCTCTGGTTGTTCCCAGTCTATTGTTCCCATCTTTACATCCACATGTACACAATGTTTAGCTTCTACTTATAAATGAGACTATATGGTATTTGGTTTTCTGTGCCTGAATTAATTTACTTAGGATAATGGTCTCCAGCTGCATCCATGTTGCTGCAAAGGACATAATTTTCTTCTTTTTAATGCCCGCATAGTATTCCATGGTATATATGCAGCATATTTTCTTTATCCAATCCACCGTTAATGGGTACCTACGTTGATTCCATATCTTTGCTATGGTGAATACAGCTGCAATGAACTTAAAAGTGCAGGTGTTTTTTTTTTTTTTTTTTTTTTTTGGTAGAATAATGTATTGTTTAACAATTTATACCTAGTAATGGGATTGCTGGATCAAATGGTTACTCTAAGTTCTTTCAGAAATCTCCAAACTGCTTTCCACAGTGTCTGAACTAATTTGCATTACCACGAACAGTGAATAAGTGTTCCCTTTTCTCTCATTCTCTCACCAGCATTTGTGTTTTTTTGACTTTTTAATAATAATCACTCTGACTGGTATGCGATGGTATCACATTGTGGTTTAGATTTGTATTTCTCTGATGATTAGGTATGTTGAGCATTTTTTCATATTTTTGTTGGCCTCTTTGACGTTTTCTTTGAGATGTGTCCATTCAAGTTCTTTGCCCATTTTTAAATTACATTGTTTTTTGTTTGAGCATTCGTTTAAATTCCCTGTGGATTCTGGATATTAGACATTTGTCTGATGCATAGTTTGCAGATATTGTCACCTATTCTGTAAGCTATTTACTCTACTGATAGTTTCCTTTGCTGTGCAGAAGCTGTTTAGTTTGGTTAGGTACCACTTGTCAATTTTTGTTTTTGTTACAACTGGTTTTGGGGATCTAGCCATAAATTATTTACTAAATCTTACGTGAAGAATGGTATTTCTTATGTTTTCTTCTAGAATTTTTGTAGCTTGAGGTCTTACATTTAAGTCTTTAATGCACCTTGAGTTAATTTTTGTATGCAGTAAAGTGTAGGGTTCCAGTTTAATTCTTTTGCATATGAATGCAAAAGTTAGCTAGCTATCCCAGCACCATTTATTAAATAGGGAGTCCTTTCTCCATTGCTTATGTTTGTTGACTTTGTCAAAGATCAGATGGTTGTAGCTGTGCAGCTTTAATTCTGGGACCCCTACTCTATTTCACTAATCGATGTGTCTGTTTTTGTACCAGTACCATGCTGTTTGATTACTATAGCCTTACAGTATAATCTGAATTCTGGTAATGGGATGCCTAAGAGTTTGTTCTTACTGCTTAGGTTTGCTGTGGTTACTCAGGCTCTTTTTTGGTTCCATATAAATTTCAGAATAGTTTTTACTACTTCTGTGAAAAATGATGTTGGTAATTTGATAGGGATAGCATTGAATCTTTAAATTCCTTTGGGCAGTTATGGCCATTTTAACAATATTGATTCTTCCAATCCATGAGCCCATGAGCATGAAATATTTTCCCATTTATTTCTGTCATCTCTGATTTACTTCCTCAGTGTATTGTAGTTCTCTTTGTAGAGATTTTTACCTCCTTGGTTAGATGCATTCCTAGGTATTTCATTTTTGTATGACTAATTGTTCATAATTTTCTCTGAACAATCATAAAAGGGATTGTGATCTTGATTTGATGCTTAACTAGAAGATTATTAGTGAGTGGAAATGCTACTAATTTTTATACATTGATTTTGTATCCTGAAACTTTACAGAAGTCATTTACAGCTTTGGGAGCATTTTAATGGAGTCTTTGGGGTTTTCTATGTATAGAATCATACCATCTGCAAACAGAGATAGTTTGACTTCTTTTTTTCATATTTGAATGTCTTTTATTTCTTTCTCTTGCCTAATTGCTCTGGCTAGGACTTCCAATACTATGCTGAATAGGAGTAGTGAGAGTGGACATTCTTGTCTTGTTCCAGTTTTCAAGAAGAATCGTTCCAATTTTTGCTTATTCAGTATGATGTTGGCTGTGGATTTGTCATATATGGCTCTTATTATATTGAGGTATGATCTTTCAATGCCTAGCATGTTGAAGGTTTTTATCATGAAATAAAGTTGGGTTTTATCAAAGGCTTTTTCTGCAACTACTGAGATGATGATTTTTCTAGTTTGTTTTTGATTCTGTTTATGTGGTGAATCACATTTATTTATTTGCATATTTTGAATCAATGTTGAATATCGGAAATAAAGCTTGCAAGACCATGGTGAATTAACTTTCTGATGTGCTGCTGAAATCAGTTTGCTAGTATTTGGATGACAATTTTGCATCAATGTTCATCAGAGATATTGGCCTGAAGTTTTCTTTTTCCATTATGTCTGTGCCAGATTTTAGTATTAGGATGATACTGGCTTTATAAGTTAGGAAAGAGCCTCTCCTTCTTGATTTCTGGGAATATTTTCAGTGGAATTGGTTCCGGTTCTTTGTATGTCTGGTAAAATTCAACTTGAATCCATCTGGTCTAGGGCTTTTTTTGGTTGGTAGGTTTTTTATTGAGGATTCAATTTCGGAGCTTGTTATTGGTCTGTTATGCTTTTCCCTTTTCTTCCTGGTTCAATCTTGGGATGTTGTGTGTTTCCAGGAACTTTGCCATTTCCTTTAGATTTCCAATTTGTGTGCATACAGGTTTTCATAACTGTCTTTGAGGACTATTTGTATTTCTCTGGGATCAGTTTTAATGTCATCTTTGTCATTTCTGGTTGCCCTTATTGGGATCTTCTTTTTTTTTTCCTTTATTAATCTAGCTAGAGGCCTATTAATCTTGTTTATTATTTCAAAAAACTAAACTCTTGGTTTTTTTCTATTTTTTTCTATGGACTTTTGTCTCAATTTTATTGAGTTCTTCTCTGATTATAGTTATTTCTTTATTTCTGCTTTGTTTTTCTAGGTGTGATGTTGATCACTAATTTGATTTTTTTTTTTTTTTTTTTTTAGAGATGGAGTCTCGCTCTGTCATCCAGGCTGGAGTGCAGTGGCACAATCTCAGTTCACTGCAACCCCCATCTCCTGGGTTCAAGCAATTCTCCTGCCTCAGCCTCCTGAGTAGCTGGGACTATAGGCACACACCCCCATGCCCCACTAATTTTCTGTATTTTAGTAGAGACAAGGTCTCCCTGTGTTGCCCAGGCTGGTCTTGAACTCCTGAACTCAGGCAATCCACTCGCCTCAGCCTCCCAAAGTGCTGGGATTACATGTGTGAGCCACTGTGCCCGGCCCATTAATTTGACATATTTCTAACTTCTTGATGAATGTGTCTAGCACTATAAACTTTCCTCTTAACACTGGTAAACTGCATACTACATATTTTGGTAAGTTGTGCCTCTATTTTAATTAATTTCATTTTTAAAAACTTCTTACCTTAATTGTATTGCTCCCCCAAGAGTTATTCAGAAGCAAGTAGTTTAATTTCCATGTTTTGGAATAGTTTTGAGAGATCTTCTTGGTATTGAATTCTGTTTTCATTGCACTGTGGTCCAAGGGTGTGCTTGGTATGATTTTGATTGTCTGAATTTATTGACTCTTGATTTATAATCAAGCACATGGTCAATCTTACAATATGTCCCATGTGCAGAAGAAAAGAATGTATATTCTGTGGTTGTTAGATGGAGTATTTTGTAGATGTCTATTAGGTCCAGTTGGTCAAGTGCCAAGCTTAACTGCAGAATTTCTTTGTTGTTAATAGTTTTCTGCCTCGATTATTTGTCTAACACTTTCATTTAGGTGGTGAAATTTCCCACTATTATTGTGTGGCTGTCTCAGTGTGTTTGTAGGTCAAAAAAAACTTGTTTATGAATCTGGGTGCTCCAATGTTGGGTGAGTATATATTTAAGATAGTTAAGTCCTCTTGTTGAATTGAACTCTTTATAATTATGTAATGCCATTTTTGACCTTTTTCACTGTTGGTTTAAAGTCTGTTTTATCTAAGAATAGTAATTCCTGCTCTTTCTTTGTTTTCTGTATGCATGGTAAATATTTCCTATCCCTTTACTTTGTGCCTGTGGGTGTTGTGATATGTGAGATGGGTCTCTTGAAGACAGCAGATGATTGGGTCTTGTCTTTTTATCCAGCTTGCCATTCTAGGCCTTTTAAGTGGGGCATTTAGACCATTTACATTCAAGGTTAGTATTAGTATGTAAGATTTCATTCCTGTCATTGTGTTTCTAGTTGGTTGTTTTGTAGACTTGATTGTGTAATTGCATTATATTGTGTGTGGGCTATTTGCCTGAGTCTGTTTTTGAGGTAGCAAGTTTCTATCTTTCATCTCCATGTTTAGCACTCCCTTAAGAACCTCTTATAAGGTCATCTAGTGGTAATGAATTCCCTGAGTGTTTGTTTTCTGAGAAGGATTTTATATCTCCTTCACTTATGGAGCTTAGTTTGGAAATACATGAAATTCTTTATTGGAATTTCTTTTATTTAAGGGTGTTGAAAATAGGCCCCCAATCTTGTCTGGCTTGCAAGATTTCTGCTGAGATATCTCGTGTTAGCCTGATGGGGTTTCCTTTGTAAGTGATTTGACCTTTCTCTCTAAGTGCCTTTTATTTCACATTGACATTGGTGAATCTAATGATTATGAGCATTGAGAATGGTAGTATTATATAGTATCTCACATGGCTTCTCTGTATTTCTTGAATTTGTATGTCTACCTCTCCAACAAGATTGAGAAAATTTTCATAAACTATATTATCGAATATGTTTTTCAAGTTGCTTACTCTCTCTTCTCTCTCAGGAATGCCAATGAGTCTTAGATTTGATCTTTTTACGTAAGTACATATTTTTCAGAGGTTTTTTTCCCTTAAAAAAACCCTTTTTTTTTCTTGGTTTTAGTCTGTCTGGGTTTATTTGAAGAACCAGTCTTTGAGTTCTGATATACTTTCCTCAACCTGGTCTATTCTGCTGTTAATGCTTCTGACTGTATTATTAAATTTTTGTAGAGAATTCTTCAATTCCAGAAGTTCAGTTTGGTTATCCCTTAAAATGACTATTTTATCTTTCAGCTCTTGGGTTGTTTTACTGCATTCCTTGGATAGGGTTCCAGCATTCTCCTGGAGCTTGATGAGCTTCCTTGCCATCCAGATTCCAAATTCTGTCTCCCATCCATTGCTGTCATTTCAATAATGGTTAAGAACCATTGCTGAAGGTTAGTGTGTTTGTTTGGAGGTAAGGGGACACTTCAGCTTTCTGAATTGCCAAAATGCTTGTGTTAAGAATTTCTCCCTGATAGTTTTCCTTTAACTATCATGTAAGATGAGTATAGTCATTGGCTTCATTTCTGGGTGCTTTCAGAGGGCGAAGGCTCTGGGTAGGATCTTTATTTGTGGTTGAATATTTGCCTTAGGTTTCACAGGTACTGTACACCAGCAAAATATTTTTGTTGTTGTAATTTGTCGTATGATCAAGTAGATGGTGCTTAACAGTAATGGCTGTCAGATAGACTCTTACTCAGCTACATGGCTATCTTCTATTTCAATGCTTTCACAGTAGTGCTCTGTGGTAGTCAGGGAGCGAGATGACCCACTCACCAAGTCCACTTTTGGGCTTTGTAGGAGCCCCACCCTATCACTGGCACTGTACCTGAGTTTTCTTTGTTAGGTGTTTTGGGCTGCGGGGCTCCCTCAGGGAGAGGCTAGGTCTGGCAGACAGGTCACACCCCTCCCTGACCAGCCCTGTGGTAGGTGGTATGCTCCACTTTCCTGTTGGCCCATAAGTCTGTGAGTCTCACCTCTCTCAGTGTTGTAAAGCTGGGGGCTTTTCCCTTGCTTGGGTTCCATCCAAGTTGGTGAATCTTGCCTAGCTAGGAGCAATGAGGAAAACATAGAAGTTGCATAGTCTGCAATCTGGGTGTTTTCTGGGAGAACACAGAGCAGTGCCCATCTGCAGAGTTCAGGCTGCGGTGGAGCTGCTGCACTAGAAGTCTAAGTCTGTGGGTCCCGCTGCTAGGAGCAGCAGAGGTGGATATGTAGGCACTGACCGCCATCCAGGTGCTTCCTCAGGGAACATAAAGTTCTGGCAAGGTTGGGGCCACTGTGCTAGAAGCCCCAGCTAGGATTCCTGCCCAGCTAGGAGCAGTGGGGGTAGGTGGAGTAGCAGATTGCTATGTATGTGCTTCCAAGGGGGAACACAGAGCTGTGTCAGCATGCAGAGTTCTGGTAGGGGTGGCACCTCTGTACTGGAAGCCCAAGTCATCACATCCCACCTGGCTAGGGGCAGCAGGGGTTGGTGGAGTTACCAGATTCAATGTCCAGGGGACATTGTTTCTAGGGGAATAAAAGAGCTGTGTCCATTGCCAGAGAAACTCATTTATTTTGAAGTGGTCATTAATATCAAATAAACGTTCATTTCTTACAATATACTGAGGTGGACTGTGGGGTTCTTTTCTTTCTGTTGAGGCAGTAATCAAGTGCTGCATAAAAACTTCCAAAATTACAAGTGCAAGACTACGCTAGCTTCAGGGCAGAGGTAACTGTGATCTTCATTTCTCCCTTTTATTTGATCTGTCCTAGGGAAGAAGCATAGTCTATGGGCCAGTCCTGCTTACCTCAAGCCACTTCATGTGGGAAGCTAATTAGCTGGTGGGTTTATTACTCACGTCTCTGGCATCAATGACATATTCTTTGATATAATTTAGTACTCACATGTTTTCAATCTGTAAATATCCAGCATAAGTTATTGCAGCATGCAATATGTAGGTTCTACATGTGTCTTGTTTAATTGTTTACTTCTAGCTACTAGCAAAGTTTTGAGGTCAATAAATAGTCAATCAATAAACAATGGTTAAGAACTCAGACTTGGAACAGAAAAAAAAACAGATTTTAAATTTAATTCTGACTGTCATATATTAGCTAGTTGTGTGACTTTGCCAGGTTACAGATCCTCTCAATACTTAATTTCCTTGTCTATAAAATGGGGGTAAAAACAGTACCTCAGATATAGTTATGCTTTGAAGATTAAATAAAATATTGTGCTTAAGCTGCTTAGCAGAGGGCCTGACATTGTAGCAAATGTCTTAAAATGTTAGTTCAGGTTTTATTTTTGAATGCTACTGTAGACAAAGTGTTAACAAAATACCATCTCTGATGCATGATAAAATGACCTTGAGTTAATTATCCAGCTCTCTTCCTTTGAAAAACCTGATAATGCTAAGAATGTCAACATGTTTCTAGGCAACAGCTAAGAGTAAAATATAACCCTGAGCAGTAAACTACGTCTGGACTGGGAAGAATTATAAACTATAAACACATGATGGGTGTCATGTTTTGGGGTTCTCTAAGTGTTGTGTCACAGGTATCCCTTGTGGTGACTTCAGAAGCTATTCCTATGGAGTGTTAAAAGAGATATTTGACTTTCTGGGATACAGAACTACTAAGCCACGGCAGCCCTACACCCACCAATGTGGAGCTTGCTTCTTTGGACCAGAAGTTATCCTCTGGGAAAAAGACAGCTTCTGGATGGCTAAAGTGCTGCCTTGACTGCCACGGAGAGAAAGGCTTGACACAGTCCTGCCAGCAAGCCATAGCTTTTCTTCTGTCTTCTTCTTAGTAAACTCCCAGTATGCACTATGATTGTCTCAAGGGTCTCTAATGCTCACATAAGCCCGAGAAGACACCTGGTAAGTATCCAGCACTGCCCTTTGAAAAGTTAATTCTATTGTGTATCCTCAATAAATTTCCCAATGATCTCAGAATCTTAGAATTAGAAGCAATCAAACATGCCACCACCTTTGATAACTTTCCTAGTGTAGAAAGTTCTGCAATATTTGCAATTGCTGGCCAGCTGTCCCCGTCTCCGATACTTTTCAGCACAGGAAACAGATTTCCCCTTTAGGAGTCCAGTGGATTGTCAGGAACTCCTCATCGTTGTAAATTGCTTTGTCCCGGGCAGGAGTCTGCCTACCTGCAGTATTTAAGAATTAGCTGTGGGGTTTTTTTTCCTCTGTCTTGAGAGTTACACAAAATAAGTTTACATTCTTCTCCATGACCAATATTCACACAATTAAAGATAACAGTTTTGTCCTTAATTAATCTCATCTTTTGTTTGTTTTCCTGTTGAGACGGAGTCTCGTTCTGTCACCCAGGCTGGAGTATAGTGGTGTGATCTCAGCTCACTGCAACCTCCGCCTCCCAGGTTCAGGTGATTCTCCTGCCTCAGCCTCCCGAGTAGCTGGGACTACAGGCATGCACCACCATACCCGGCTAATTTTTGTATTTTTAGTAGAGACAGGGTTTTGACATGTTGGCCAGGCTGGTCTCGAACTCCTGACCTCCAGTGATCCACCTGCCTTGGCCTCCCAAAGTGTTGGGATTACAGGCGTGAGCCACCACACTCCAACTAATCTCATCTTTCCTCAACTATCCCTTATTGTCTTTTTCACCTTCCTGCCTTTCTTCCTATACTAAGACACCACAGTCATCTTTCAATTGTTTTCAGTATAGGTGGTACTACCTCAAATTCAGCGTAAGGATGTACTATTTTAAGTAAGATTATTTTACATCATAGGAGTAATACATAATTATTATTTTATACCTTGGGATAGGTAGATAATATAGAGAAGAAAACTAAAATGCTAAGACACATCACAAAAATACGTTGTTATAATATATGAATAATGATAATAAAGATCATCAGTAAAATGCCATGGCTGAATGTATGCTTTGGACTAATACCACCTGTATTCAAATCTTGGCATCACAAATTATTAGGCATGTCCATGTGGGTAAGTTATTTAATTTAGCTAAGCCTCAGTTTTCTTATCTGTAAAACAGGAATGGCAATCCTATAGATCTCAATAGGCCATTAGAAAAAACAAAGAGATAATTCATGTAAAATGCTCCTTCTGCACTTGTCTGAAAGTTACAGTATGAAAACCAGAATTACATGTTGATAAAGATTGTAAGCTGCAATCTCTATTCTACCATTCACTAACTGTGAAATCTTGGCCAAATTGTTTAACCTCACTCCATCTTCATTTTCTCAGCTGAAAAATTGAGATTGTAACAGATTATATTTTTAAAGATGGGTGCAAAAATATTTTTAGTTTGCCATCTCTTCTCATAACTTGCCAATTCTCTCAGCAAGAGGTGGATTCTATAACCCTCCCTTTCAACCTGGGTAGGCCTTTGTGATGGCATGCAAATTCGAAGGCTGGGTCATAAAAGTTGACAAAGCTTCCATTTCTCTCTCTCTTTTCCTTCCTTCCCTTCCCTTCCCTTTTCTTCCTTCCTTCCTTCCTTTCCTCCTTCCTTCTGCTTCCTCCCTCCCTCCCTCCTTCCTTCCTTCTTTCCTTTCCCCCCTTCTCTCTCTCTCTTTCTTTTCTCTCTAGACTCTTATTTTGAAATGCCATAAAAGTCTTGCTATCCTGAACTGCCGTAAAGGAGAGACTACGTAGAAAATACAGATGCCTAAATACTTGCAGCTCCTTTAGCTTTCAGCTACTTAATTCTTCCCAGCCTGGACACAGACTTGGTGAGCAAGCCCTCCAATCATTCCAGCCCCAACTATCACCTGACTGTGATCATATGAGAGACGCTGAATGAGAATATACCACAAGGTCACCTGATGCCAAGAATCATGAAGGATAATGACAAAATAAATTTTGTTGTTGTTTCAAAGTCACTAGGTTTTGGGGTGATTCTTTAAGCGGCAATAGAAAACTAATGCAAAAATAGAGTAGTGTTTGCCCTATAAGGTTTGTAAGAGTTAAATGAAATAACACATAACAATTATTTAACATTGAGAAGTGCTTCTCAAACTTTAGTGTCTAATAGGGTCAACTGAGGGCTTGTAAAAAAAACTGTGAGACCCCACTCCAAGAATTTCTGATTTAGTGAGTAAGGAATGAAGCCTGAAGACTTGCATTTCTAATATGTTCCTAGATGTTGCTGACACTGCTTGTCAGGGACCACATTTTGAAAACCGTCATATAGAACAAATACTCAATTTGTGAACTTTATTCTTATTGCCATTTTTAGTACTTACTGTTTTCATTTCATGAAATTTAATTAAGCACTGCCAGTTCCTTTGGATAGAGAGGAAATTTATACCAAGTTTCTCTCCATAACTCAAAGCCTAATTTATCTTCTCTATTTCAAGTGTTGATCACAACGACTTTCACATAACAAGTGCTTAACAATTGCTTCTGGGAGGATATGTGAACCGCTGACACTCCCACTTATGGGTTATGATATATTGAAGGTGGACATAGTTTAAGAACAGGAATAAGAGAAAGAGAAAGAGAGGAATAAAAAGAGAGGGAGACAAAGAGAGAGAGAATTTAATGCCCCTTGCTCTAAAACCATTTTGCTCCATGTAAGACAAGTTTTCACGTTGTTTTTTTCTAATTTTAAGGTGTGCATCTCAAAATAGGAGCATCTTGAATCCAAATTTTTTTAAAAAATTTATTTCAGTCCCTTTAAAATGGAACAGTAAAAAAAGATTGAAAGAGTTGGTAACAGAACTAGTAAAAACAAAACAAAAACAAACAAACAAACAAAAACTGTTACTAGACTGATGTCTTTATTTTATGGATATTACTTAGTTTGATAAAAAATGCATCAATTCTTCAGGAGTTAGAGCACTGTTTAGCTCAGGATGTTGGTACATCAGCATTCATCTTAGAGAAAGGATCTTGTAGGTATAAACATAGAAAAATGTGACTGGACAGAACCAGACTTGAGGATACCCAGGAGGGCCCTGGATTTCATACAGCTCAACTTTTAAGGATACTTACAAGATTAGTCACGTCTATACAGCCTATCAAGATTTCAAAGTACATATTTAATGTTTGGCTCCCTCCTTTCCCATTCCATTTAGAGGAATATCATGAGAACAAATGGCAGAATCTATATAAAAGTTCTCCAGACCTGGAGAGCTCTACTTACATGTACTTTAAGTAACTAATACCTTGTTTTCTTATATCTAACAACTTATGTTATATTGGGAATTCAAATGTTAGTTTGCCTACTGTGTAACTTATGTTTAATGTGTTGAAGATTATTCTATACCTGTCATTTTAAATGTTTAGGGAGATGCACGGGAAAAAAAATGTGTTCCTTGTACTTATGGAAGACACAATTTTGAGAGGAAGACAACATTTGTGAGACAACCTTTGCCTTTATCAAATATACTTGTGATCATGTCATTTTTTTTGCTAAAAGTCTTCTGACATCAGCATATTGCTTTACGAAAAAAATGGAAAGCTTATAGAGTGAATGGCAAAGTCTCTATTGGGTAGTTCATCTATCCGTTTCTGATCAGCCTCAGTTCCTTCAACTCTTCCATAGACAGCAGATCCTTAAATATATCAGTTTGTTAAATGTCATTCTGTTATAACATTGATGGAAAAAATTCAATTCCTGGCCGGGGTCACTGTGTGTGTACAGTTGGCACGTTTTCCACATATCTTTGGGGTTTTTCCCCATGTACTCTGGTTTCCTTCCAAATCCACAAAGATATGCATGTTATTGGTGAATTGGTAGTCTAAATTGTTCCAGTCTGAGTGTGAGTGCTTGTGTGCAACCTGAGATGGAATGGCATCCTGTCCAGGGTCAGTTCCTGCCTTGTACCCTGAGCTACAGGGGTAGGCTCCAGCCACCTGTCACACTGAACTGAAGCAGGCATATAGTTATCTTACTTGTTTTGATTAATCTTTCCTAAATGTATGTATAGCTCATATTTATTTCCATACTTAATATTACAAGTATTTTTAGCTTTATTTAGAAGTTTGGTAACATTTTTGTGACTGTAGGAATTTAGCTATTCTTTGTATCAATTAGCCCATGTAAAATTGGATTTTTTATACACTGTTTCATTACAAAGAACAGTTTCCAAGAACCTATGAAGGACCTTAAGTGAAGACTTACTACACCTACAATCCTCCAGCCCCCTGGGCACGGCAGGTACGACAGCGCATGACATCCCCTTGCACTTTAACATGACTTTGCATTTGCATTTCCCTTTTCCCCCAGTGATGCTTGCACAGTGTCTGATATACAGTAACCTTGACATAGAAGATTTCTATAATTATGTATTTAAGTTTTGTCATTAGTGTATTTTGTTTTATTTCACCATTGCCTCTGCCAGTAGACTGTTAGATTAATCACAGTGTCCACCTCACCTTTGAATTACCCCACAAAGCCTAGTAGAGTGTCAGGTATTGTTAATTAAACAAAAAACGGAAAGTACTCATATTCTAAACAATTAGAATAAAATGAAAACTAGAATTAAATAAAATACCAAACCCTGTGGTTCTAACAAAAGAGCCCTTGGGCAGTGATTAAACTAACAATCACTTTTAGCTCAGGATGACTTCAAGGAGGAAGTAAAATTTGATTAACTCATGTCAATTTGAGCACATGAAAGCCAGTTTATGCTCTGCTGGCAGCAAGGGCACCTCCAATTCAAACACCTACATATCTACCAACCTTATTTGTGAGAAAGAAGAAATGGGCATTGAGTTTGGGAACTCACACTTGCTAACTGTACATGATTTGTTGATATTTCACTAAGAGTTGGAACATACCTGTGAGATATAAATGTATATCCATTTTAATGGAGGAGTAATCAGAGGCTCCAAGAGTAAATAAATTACACAAAATCAAACATTAAGTGGCAGAGCTAAGATTCAAACCTGGAAGTATGCCAAAGTTCATGGCCTTTTTAATATATCACAAGGTTATTCAGTTACTAAGAGAAAGGGAAGAAGCAAAGCTTTCCCATGGTAGAATATTTTCAAGGAAACAGAGAAAACATTATTGCATATCTACTATTCATTCACTTAAGCTTTTAGTAAATCTACATCCTAGGGATGCAATGGTAAGTATGAAAATAACATACACATATGTAGTCTGTTTTTGAGGAGCTTATGTAAAGTAAGCATAGTTAAAAATTTACATAAATAAATGAGAACTTACCACTGTGTTATATACGATTTTTTGAAGAGCTATCTAGTGCTTTAAATTTCTGATAATGGAAAAAATTGATGTAGTCAGGTCTTTTCATCCTGATGAAAGATAAAAATGGAGATCTAAAAGAATAGCTGGGAAGTATCTGTTTGTGTCTTTTGCCCACTTTTTAATGAGGTTATTTGTTTTTGTTTGTTCAGTTGTTTAAGTTCCTTACAGATTCTGAATACTAGACCTTGGTCAGATGCAGTTTATGCGTATTCTCTCCCATTCTGTAGGTTGTCACCATTGTGATAGTCTCTTGCTGTGTAGAAGCTCTTTAATTTAATTAGGTGCGACTTGTCAATTTTCGTTTTCAGTGAAATGGCTTTTGAGAACTTAGTAATAAATTATTTCCCAAGGCCAATGCCCAGAATGGTGTTTCCTAGATTTTCTTTTAGGCTTCATATAGTTTGACACCTTGCCAGTGGCCAGCAAACATGAAAAAATGCCCACATCACTAATTATCAGAGAAATGCAAATTAGAACCACAATGAGATACTATCTCACACCAGTCAGAATTACTACTATTAAAAAGTCAAAAAAAAGAACAGTTGCAGGTGAAGGTGCGGAGAAAAGGAAACACTTATACACTGGTGGTGGGAATGTAAATAAGTTCAGCCAATGTGGAAAACATTTTGGGGATTTTTCAAAGAACTAAAAACAGAACAACCATTCGACTGAGCAATCCCGTTAGTGGGTATAAATCCAAAAGGAAATAAGTTGTTCTACCAAAAAGACAGCTGCACTTTTATGTTTATTGCAGCACTATTCACAATAGCAAAGACAAGGAATCAACCTAGGAGCTATCAACAGTGGATTGGGTAAAGAAAATGTGGTACATATACACCATCAAGTATTATGTAGCCATAAACTGGATTTAATACTATATTATCCGTCTATTAGATTTAGCTGTAAGTAAAATGCTCTTCCCCCAGTTTCTCAAACATGAGATGTTCCCTCTTGCTCCCAGTCCTTTTGCTTGTGCTATTTCCAATGTCTGGAAAGCTTCTTCCAAGTTCTCCTCTCTGCTGATACACACACTCAGGGATTCCAGCTGTTCTTTTATTTTTAAATTGTTTTCTTTTTTATAATGTCAACTTTTATTTTAGCTTCATCTGAGGGAAGAAACTGTGTACCAGGCCCTTCCACTTAAGAGAACCCGAAATCTGGGAAAATGGGGAGGTTTTATGTCTAGGAAAGATCAACTTTGATTTCAATGAAAGCACAAAGCTAGGCTTATTTTCTTTTTTTGTTGTTTTTTTTTGTTTATTTTTAAATTTTATTATTATTATACTTTAAGTTTTAGGGTACATGTGCAAAACGTGCAGGTTACATATGTATACACGTGCCATGTTGGTGTGCTGCACCCATTAACTCGTCATTTAGCATTAGGTATATCTCCTAATGCTATCCCTCCCCCCTCCCCCCACCCCACAACAGGACCCGGTGTGTGATGTTCCCCTTCCTGTGTCCATGTGTTCTCATTGTTCAATTCCCACCTATGAGTGAGAACATGTGGTGTTTGGTTTTTTGTCCTTGAGATAATTTGCTGAGAATGATGGTTTCCAGTTTCATCCATGTCCTTACAAAGGACATGAACTCATCATTTTTTATGGCTGCATAGTATTCCATGGTGTATATGTGCCACATTTTCTTAATCCAGTCTATCATTGTTGCACATTTGGGTTGGTTCCAAGTCTTTGCTATTGTGAATAGTGCCGCAATAAACATCCTTGTGCATGTGTCTTTATAGCAGCATGATTCATAATCCTTTGGGTATATACCCAGTAATGGGATGGCTGGGTCAAATGGTATTTCTAGTTCTAGATCCCTGAGGAATCGCCACACTGACTTCCACAATGGTTGAACTAGTTTACAGTCCCACCAACAGTGTAGAAGTGTTCCTATTTCTCCACATCCTCTCCAGCACCTGTTGTTTCCTGACTTTTTAATGATCGTCATTCTAACTGGTGTGAGATGGTATCTCATTGTGGTTTTGATTTGCATTTCTCTGATGGCCAGTGATGATGAGCATTTTTTCATGTGGTTTTTGGCTGCATAAATGTCTTCTTTTGAGAAGTGTCTGTTCATATCCTTTGCCCACTTTTTGATGGGTTGTTTTTTTCTTGTAAATTTGTTTGAGTTCATTGTAGATTCTGGATATTAGCCCTTTGTCAGATGAGTAGGTTGCAAAATTAGGCTTGTTAATTTTCTTCTCTACTTTAACCATGAAGTTTCTCACTGCATGGTGAAGATGACAGTAAACATTGAAGCCACAGATACTCAAGCTGCTACATATGATGGATTTGCTTCAGAGTGATCAATGGAAGGATTGTGATAAATAAATGGAGATTTTTGAGATATCTGGCACATTTAAGGAGAATAAGCACAATGCTTGGATTGTGGAAGATTTGGGCTCAAACTCTAATCTTTCTTTACTAACTGGGCCAGCTTGAGCAGGCAACTTAAATCTTCAGAGCCTTAGGTTCTTTATCTATAGGCTGTTGTAATGAGTAAATAGGAGAATAAATGTAAAGTGCTAAGCACATATTCAATACTCTGCCCTTGCCTTCTCCTTTCCTTCATTCATTCAATTCCATTTTATTTCCTTATACTAAGTGTATTGCTTTCTGTCTTCTGACAAAATGCTTCCTGTCCCAACTTCCTCTTTTTCGGTTTGGTATTTTTCTCTTTTATTCCTGGTGATAAATCAAAGAAGACCTTACTTTTATTACCTGCAAGCTATATCGAATCCCAAAGAGTGTTATTCCATCAAAAGCCAGGGCTAATCTCTTCTAAGTTATTTTTTTTTCCTCATAGAAATAATACTGTATACCATACTGTATAATTGCATTGTTTTTCACAGCACAAAAAGAAAATAATGCAGGCAATTGACAGTTTTGTCCATTTCAAAACAAGAGATGCTCAGAAAACTATGTTGAATCAATGACACTCATTGAGCTGTTTATTTATTTAAAAGTAACTCCTTTGCAATGAAGGTGGGGTAAGGAGTGCAAGTAATAGGTACATAAATTTGCATTTGTCACAAAGTAGTGGGTGTTTTTGGAGTAATATTTCATAAAGATATACCCCTTTCCCCTTCAATTTGCAACAAGTCCTGTTACATGAAAGCCACCACTTAAATGCGTATTTTCTTGCCATAATTTGTTCACTATTATTATTATTATTATTTTTGAGATGGAGTTTCACTCTGTCACCCAGGCTGGAGTGCAGTGGCACGATCTTGGCTCACTGCACCCTCCACCTCCTGGGTTCAAGCAATTCTCATGCCTCAGCCTCCTGAGTAGCTGGGATTACAGTCACGTGCCACCACACCCAGTTAATTTTTTGTATTTTTAGTAGACACAGGGTTTCACCATGTTGGCCAGGGCAGTCTTGAACTCCTGAGCTCAGGCAATCCACTTGCCTCAGCCTCCCAAAGTGCTAGGATTACAGGTGTGAGCCAACGAATTTGTCCATTATTAACAGCACTACAAAGACGTGTTGTGTCAGACTTGGAAATGCTAGGTGTTTTAATTGGGGGCTACGCTTGAAGATTAGAGATAACTTACCATTTCCCTTGGTTGAGCCTTTATATTAGTGCTGGAAGTAGCACTCTGGTTTTGGAAGCAAGTCTTATGCCTATAGTCAACACTGTCTTTGTGTAAATACAGGGTGGCAACGTAGCTCTGCCTCTGTGTGTTGTTACTGTTTTTAAGAAACATAGCTTTGAATAAAGGAAAGCACTGTTCTACTTCATTCTTCCTACAAATGCAGTCACCATTCCATTCTTATTTAAAACCATTTTATTGTCTGTAATACCCCAGTAGAGAGCAAGGTACTTGAGTCAAGAGAGTTTATCTTCTATGTCATTATACACCTAGCACATAGTAGTGTCCCATAAGTGAACTGAACTTTTAAAAATAAGAAAGATTGCTCCCATCTCAATACATCTACCATTTGTTTGTCATGGGTCTGAGGGTTTTTCTTTTCTTGCAGACTTTCTCATAGCTTCTCTCATAGCAAGACACAGAGAAAAACAAATTACTACATCCCTAGTATGTATTGGGTATTATGTTCTGTGTTTTCCATGTGTTATCTCATTTAATTTATATCATAGCTATCACATTTAAACAGGTTTTTCCTGTTTTTCAGAAGGGGAAACTATGGCTCAGAGAAATTGAGTGACCTTCTCAATGTCATATAGAAGGAAAGTGTCAAAACCTGGATTTGGAGACCTGGGAAAGATGGGAAGAACTGTCTGTTGGGTGTAGCGGGAAGCAGGACCTGATGCTGGAAGGGAGAAAAGATAACCATGCTAAATGAAGAAAACTGACCACAAGAATTCCAGTCCAACAGAAAATATAAGTGAATAGGATTATTTACTTTGTGAGTACCACACCTATTTGAAAAATCTCAACAGCAATTTGAACTTTAAATTATTGGATATCTAAGTATAACTTGTATTATATGTACATCAAGTTGAGAATATAGTCTACTTTTTGAATAAGAATAATACATAGTAAACTAATAAGAAGAGTTTACTTAAAACGAAATACATTTATTATTGATTTCTTACATATTTTATACAACTAGAGGGGAAAATTTTAGACTAATATGGTCTTATGCCGCAATTGCTAGGTCTGCCTGGTTTTGTGAGCCAATTGGCTTAGCATAAAGGGCACAGATTCCCTCTCAGGGCCATTTTAAGTAAAGACAATCAGGCAGTGATGCAATCATAGCACCTGCCAATATTATTGTAACCTTTTTCTAACCACTTTCTACCACTGGTGGGGATCCCAGGGAAGCAAACTCTGTAATGGAATTTAGCATGCAGGATATTTATTTAAGTGTGCCCTTGGGAACAGCACCTGTGGAAGGGATGGGTGGGAAGCAGAATTTGACAGAAGGAGAAGTCAAGCTGCAACGTGACCAACTACAGCCTCTGCCTACCAAATAGAGAGGTGTGGAGCTAGAATAGCCCCTATAAATTATCTCAAGGTAGGATTTGATGACCAGGCCTTTATATTCTTGGTGGGTTAGTCACTCAAATTGGGCCATGCTGGGACAAGACTTGATTTTGAGTGAGGCAACCCTCTGCAGCCCAAGCAATCCCTGAAGAAGCTGATAGCTGAAGGCTGTTGCCTGACAGCTCACCAGAGCTAGAGCAACATGTTTTTAATGAAAGAGGAATCTGGGTGCTTGTTCTTAACAGCATCCACCAAAAGGTCCAGTTGATAATAACACCTTCCTTGAGATGTCCTTATGAAAAGCAGGATATTCAGCTATGGGAAGGTCTTCTGTTCCTGTGAACTAGTGCCATGGTTACATGGTTATTCTAGTCTGCTTGCATTTTCTTATATACAACTTATAGTATTCCTTCAGGTAAAAAAAAAAGGGAGGGGGTTTCTGGTGAAATTTTGTTTGTTTTATTGTAGTTGAGCTTATAGACAGATCTTACAAAGTGTAGGTATTAGTCAGACTGCTATAACAATATCACCTTCTGGGTGGCTTAAACACCAGAAACATTTTCTCACAGTTTTGGAGGCTGGAAGTCCCAAGTCAAGCTGCCAGCAGATTAGGTTTCTGGGGAGGAATCTATTCCTGGCTTGCAGTTAGCTGCCTTCTAGTGATGCCCTCGCATGACCTTGCCTTGCTGTGCACAGAGAGAGACAGAAATCTTGGGTGTCTCCTCCTGTTTTTATAAGGACATGAGCTCTACAGGATTAGGCTATTAAGGGCCCACTTTTATCACTTCATTTAATCTTAATTACCTTCCTAAAGGCTGTATCTCCAATACAGTTACATCAAGAGTTAGAACTTCAACATATGAATTGAGGGGTGCAAATGAGTCCATAATACAAAGTAATTAAATTGAAAATTGTGTCTAATTTCAAGTGTTGTTCAAAATGTGAATGCTTCTTTGGTTATTGATTCTACTTTGTAGAGACTTGGTAAATTTTAACTGAGAACAACATAAATTGCCTTAATCATGTGATTTTAATTGGTTGTCCTATTTATCTTTATATTTAGGCTTCCTCTGAATTTACCCTATTATTATGTATCTGGGATGTATCTGGGATTCATGGTTCTAACCCAAAACTTACTTTCTATACTTGCTTATTTAACCTTCACATTGTTCAGGACATTCTAGAAAACGTCTAATGTTTCCTTTGGTACAGAAATTGCACATACAGCTGAGATGTGCACGATTCTGTTCTCTCATGTTAGTTGGGAAGAATAATTTATGAGAAATTGGGGGAAATTTCTGTACTTTTGATTATAATGCGTGAGCATTCCAATTATTTTATTTCAAAAAGTGTACCTTCAATAGGTGCCTACCTTTTGACCATTCAATTCTGTTTCTGCATTTTTACCCCAAGGAAATAACCAGAAATATATGTGTACATAGACGCATATGTACACACAAATACACAGAAATAAACACACACATACAAATATATTTGTTAGGGCATTATTAAATTTAAAAATTCGAAGCAATCTAATGGTATAATAAGACTCTAGTAAAGTAAGTTATGATACAACTCCTCAATAAAATAACATGTAGCCACAAAAATTGCCTAGAAAATAATATTCAATGATGATGACTACTCATATTTTAAGTAAAAATACAATTTGGTTTCAAAATAGTTTATAAAAATTTGGTTGTGTGTTTCTGAATATATCTGTACATAGAAAAATATAGAATGGCACACAGCAAGCTATTAATAGATGCTATCCTTGATTGGTGGGGATATTAATAATGTTTATTTTATTCTTGTTTTTTCACCTATTTCTATTTTTTCAAACCTCCCTAATTAAAATGTCTTAATTAGATAACTAAAAACATAAGTCTATATTTTATCAAAAATAATAAAGTATTTAAAGTATTACTCAATCTAATACTAACACAAATAATAGCTAATACTGATGGCTTACTATGTACCTATTGCTGCCCTAACATCTCTATCTACATTAACTCATATAACTCTAAAAATCTAAATGAACCCTCCATCGTGATTTTTCTTGTTTCTTAAAAACAATAAAAATGAAAGCAATAACAAAATAATTTTTCTACAGTTATTGTTTGTCTATTGTCAACTATACATCAGCTATGTTACAACAATATTAAATTATGGAACAGAAAAATACTTTTATAATCAAGGAAAATATATTAAAGAGTGAGACATTTATTCAGGTATATACATGATGAAGAAAGGCTGAAGGAAACAGAAATGAAAACATGAGAGCAGATGACGGACTCTTAGGCCTGTTTGTCAGGCTTTGGAGAGTTAATCTAGTCTTTTCTTAGATATGAAGAGAAACTTCCTCGAGGGAAAAATGAATATGCTAAGGGCATCCAGGTTTGGAACTAGAACTCAGGTCTCTACTCTCAGTTGACTGATTTTCCATTATATCAAACTACTTTTCATAATAGATCTACCCACTTAGGATTATTCATGCATGGAACATAACATTAGTCCATCTGAATTTTAAGTTATCTTCTAGATTACAAAATTCCATAAGTCTTATCATTTCAAAAGTTCTTTCACAACGTATTGGCTTATAGGCTGGCCTTTTAGTCAGTGTTGATTCTCCTTAACCACCATATCAAAATTTAAGCAATGCCAGATTTTCATATTTAATCCTGTAGGGTAGGTATTACTTCTTTTGCTAATTAAAAATATGAAGATTGAGGCTAATTTAAAAAAAATCTTGTCTAATGGTATACACATATTAAAAACTTGCTAAGGTGGGTGATATTGGAAAGTACAGCCATTTTACTGGAAAACTTTTTATTTTTGTTTTATAGCGAATCCTCTCTCTTTCTTTACTGGAATGCTTTGTCACAGAGAAAAATCACATAAAGAGCTGCAAACTAAAAAACATAAAAATATGGCCAGCTGCAGTGGCTCATGCCTGTAATCCCAGCACTTTGGGAGGCCGAGGTGCGTGGATCACTTGAGGTCAGGAGTTTGAGACGAGCCTGGCCAACATGGTGAAACCCTGTCTCTACTAAAATACAAAAATTAGCTGGGCGTGGTGGTGCGTGCCTGTAATCTCAGCTACGCAGGAGGCTGAGGCAGAAGAATCGCTTGAACCCAGGTGGCAGAGGTTGCAGTGTAGCCGAGATCGCGCTGCTGCACTCTAGCCTGGGTGACAGAGCAAGATTGCATCTCATAATAATAATAATAATAATAATAATAATAACGTGTTAATATAGAAGCACGTTCAAATTTGTAAAATTTTCTTCTAAAATATTACTACTGTAAATGAAAAAAAGATGGGCATTTTGATGTAGACACAGATCTGAAATAGGATCCATGAATAGCAGATGCAAATATTAGCTTCAGTATTTAATTAACTTATTTATTTACTTTGCAATACAATGTATTTAGAAGACTCAGGTTCACATTGTTGTAAATAGTATCTGCTATTTTAAAGTATTCCACCTTGTAATTTCAGGATACTTTTCAGTTAAATAAAAATGGAAGGAAAAATGTATTTGAAGGGTTGCATTAAATAATAATGACAATAATAATTATTAATAATAACAAAATGGAAGCCTCTTTTGTCAGTGCTTTCTCATATATTTACTATTGTATCTCCAAGGTCTAGAAAAGCATCTGGCACATAGCAGGAGATAAATAAACTTATTGGGAATATGATAATAAAGAACCCACAGAGACTTGATCTTGCTCTTTGATTTCTGCACCTTCCTCTCAATCAGTGATAGGTTAATTATCAAAAATAGGTTAGAGAAGAATTAACCATTTTGAATGTACTACTTCTACTACTAGGAATGAATAAGCGCATGTGAAACTTTTCTAATAAACGGGGTTAGAGGAGTAGTGTAATGCACTTTTTCCTTTCTTCCTTCCTTCCATCTGCTACTTCCTCTGTTTTAATACCCTGAGGTTAAGAGTGCTCAATTTAATAATGTTCCTTACAAGAAATGAACTAAAAACTAGCACTGAAAATTCTAACTTTTCTCTCTCCTCAAGCATAAATGGGGTTGGACATTCCATTTTGTGACCATAGGCAATTTTACATATCTCTAACCCCAGCTGGACCTTTGCTTCTGGGCACTGATATCTTGGACATTCCTGTTAGATCTGTTTGTGGTTGCATGACCTACAACAAGATTCGTATATATTGGGTTTGACTATATGACCTTTGTAATGAATATTCTCCATGGACACAAAGCTTATCCTGATAGTCACCAGAATCCTACAGATTTTATATCTGAAAATAGTCATTCTTCATTATTAAATTTTCTAAACTAAAGCTCTCAGTTGACACTCCCTTTACACTAATCCCTCGATTTCCAATAAAAAGTTAGAATAGAAAATTCCATGTTTAAAACTGCTTGCTAATAAATTACTAGCCATTAATTCTTCAGGGATTAATATCTTGTTCTCAAATGCCAGTGAGGATATTAGAAAGGAAATACACACACAAGTTGCTGGCTTTGCAAGAAGGCTTCTTGAGGTCACAGTGCTAGCAAGCACTGTTAGCTTACGTGCTTAACTCTATACCAGGTGAGGGGTCTAGGCCAGACGTAGAGAGCAGGAGAGAACACAAACAGCCATCAATGTCAAGGCCTTAGCAAAAATGTAACACTAGTCTTTCAAATTGTACCCATTGGGCAGTGGAAAACACTAAGTATCATAAAATAATAATGAGTTTTTTATTGAGCACTTAATTTGTGACACGTGAATCTGAGTGTTTCACATGTTTTAATCATTTACTCCTAAGAGCAATTTTATGCTGTAGGGTAACAATATAAAAGTCAAAACACAGATAATTTTAATATTCTGGCTAAGTCCTCACTCCTATAAACTGGCAGTGTTGAGATTCTCATCCCGAAAGAATAGTTCTAGGCTCAGTTGCTCATTTACTTAAATATCATGTTCCTTTAATAATATGACGTGTGTGTGAGTGTGTGTCGGGGGGGTGTGTGTTATCCTAGCTCTACCAGTTTAATACATTTTATAATATTGGACATGATACCCCTCTGAATTGGCTTTTGTTTTTATCTAAATGTTAATAAAAATAATAAATTTGAAGAAATGCAAACACACAAACATGTCTATTTTGACTATCCCATTGTATTAGGAACTCAATAAATGTTCATTTTAATATCTCTAGTTCTAGGTTTCTAGTAAATCTTGTTGAATCAATGAATACTAAATAAAATGTACAAAAGAACAAAATCATTTCTAAATTATATATATGGGGTAATATTAAAAATCATATCACCTACAAATTCATTTATAGTTCTCAAAGTTTAAAATATTTGCAACCAAGTATATATTTACTATGGGTTAGGACTACACATTTAAAAATATAGCTTATTTAATTGTAAAAGCGATTTGATGTACAACCAGAATCATTCAATCTTCACCACCTTTCTTTTGTTATTTAATAGCCCTTTTCACATTATCAAATAGAACATTATTATAACAATAAATTCCCCCAGACAAGCAAATCAGCTTCCAAAGGACTATCAAAAACATTGTTTTATTGAATATTTAAAAAATTCCTATGTGTAACAAGTGAAAAGCAAGTAAAATCACAATTAACTGAAGTATAATCCTAAATCCTGTCTTCAACAGAATTAATCCACCCTAAATTCTCTCTAGCAAACATTAGTCCAAAACACTTTTTAAGAGTCCTGGTTTACAAAGATATAGGCATTTTGTCTTATTAGATGTTACTAGAAACATGCCTTTTCAATCTGCTATGCAAAAAAAGAAAAAAAATGCACATTTTTCTTCAAAGTCCAAGGAAACTGAATTTATGTGCCTTACCTTTTTACTTACGTAACACAGATTATTATATTCTAATGAGCTTTTCTTAATGCTACTTAAAAATGGAATTCAAATGTTTTATTTTTTTCTCCAGTATAATGAACTCTAGCAAGAAAATACAATTTATCAAATAATTTATTGAGTAACTGTATAAGACAGGAACCTTCCTAGATTCTCAGAAAAGGTGAAAAATGTAATTTTAGATTGATGATAATAAAATTTATCATTTATCAAGGACTTTAGACAATGTTAAATGTGATAATGGGGTATATGAAGACATGTCAAGCAAGCAGAAGAGAAAGCGAATAGCTGCCTATTTGCTGGTGATAGGGACAGGAGGTCTTGACCGGAGCAGAGCAGAGGAAATTCCCCACTGGGCCTTGCCCCAGTACGTGGCCATGCTGTTTCATATTCTCAGCAGACCAGGTGAGGTCACCACTAAACACCGAAACACAGGTTGTTCCCAAGCTGCTTTCCCACCATATGTGGGACATTTATACAGCTAGGATTGATAACCTAAGCGAGTATGGAAGCCAATTTAGAATCTGGGTATTTTTACCTGGGCAATTTCTTTACTCATTTACTCATTCTTGTTATTCCTGAGACACACACACACAAAATTGCTAAATTCAAAATCTATCGGAATCCTAATAACCTATTTTCTATGCTAATTCTGTTTCTGAGGACACCAAAATAACTAGATTGACATGAGATTTTCTCACTATAGTGATAATCAAATGGAATATTCATTTATTATCTACTTGCCTGCTCTGTAGTCAAGAGTGCAACATATTTTCTTTTATTTATTATTATTATACTTTAAGTTTTAGGGTACATGTGCACAATGTGCAGGTTATATATGTATACATGTGCCATGCTGGTGCGCTGCACCCACTAACTCGTCATCTAGCATTAGGTATATCTCCCAACGCTATCCCTCCCCCCTCCCCCATTTTCTAATAGTACATTTGGACCTGTGATAAAATGGCCTTAAGAATGATATTCATGAAGGTAGTGAATGAAATTTTGAAACATATTATTTCAAAAATATTCTCCCAGACATTCACAACTTGTCTACTAACTGTATAGCATTTCTTTTATAAAATAGCAACAATGGAACCATTTATTACAATTTACCTAAAAAGAACCCTATTTAATATGCTAAACTTTCACAGGCAGTTTCTCTTTCAAAATAAAATTTTATCTTCAAAAATAAATAATTTAATCCAGGCACAGTAGCTCACGCCTGTAATCCCAGCACTTTGGGAGGCGGAGGTGGGTGAATCACGAGGTCAGGAGCTCAAGACCAGCCTGGCCAAGATGGTGAAACCTCGTCTCTACTAAAAATACAAAAATTAGCTGGGTGTGGTGGCAGGCACCTGTAATCCCAGCTACTCAGGAGGCTGAGGCAGGAGTATCACTTGAACCTGGGTGGCAGAATTTGCAGTGAGCTGAGATCGTGCCACTGCACTCCAGCCTGAGCAATAGAGTGAGACTCCCACTCAATAATTAATTAATTAATTAATTAATTAATTCAGCTTATAGGCAGCCAATGATTCTAAATGGGTCACTGGATTTAGACATAAGTGACACATAAATTGGATGTGCTAAGCTTGACAGTTTTAAGAATTATTGGTCTGACATGCAGAACCTTCCTATCATCCGAATTTCACAATTCAGCATTTCAAAGTCTCCTAGTTTTAATAAAAGTAAGCTACTTTTTGGTAAGGAACAATGATAAGTTTAAATGAAAAAAATGAATGGCATCTGTTATAATCAAGGACAATTGGCAGACACAGTATAGAGCAGATATTTTCAAATTTGTGGTCACTTTCCATATGTCTTTCCATGAGAAGTAGAAAGCATTCAGATACTTCAACAAATTTTGTCTCTAAAATTTTTTTTTCAGTGTAGGATCATTGTAGATTTTTTTTTAACAGTAGATATCCGGTTTTGCCAACAGAGTTTAAAAAATGTTTAGTTGCATGTTAACATCAAAAAATAAAGTGAAAGTATTTTTAAAATTAGGAATAAAGTAATGAAGCAATGGGGAAAGGCTATTTATTCATAATTTTGACAAATACTATTTGAGAGACTACTATATTCAAAGCATAGTTTTAGGCACTGGGAATGCACATGTAAGTAAGACAGAACCTACTTTCTAATGAAAGAGACATCCACAAAACAAACAAATAATATGACTTATAATAATAAAGTTTTTGTTCACTTATCCCGTATTTGCTGAGCATCTACTATGTGTCACAGATACTAGTGGGTTCTAGGCATTTTTCAGTGAATAAAACTAACAATCCCTGCCCTTATGAGGCATGCAAATTAATTTTATGAAGAAAATAAAGCAGGATGTGGCGGGACTAACGGACTTGTTTTTTATGTTGGAGGAAACAAAGCCCAAGGGAATGATATATTAATAGATAATAGAATGATAGGAAAGAGTAAGACATGGAGAAGTGGGAGGATACAATTCCAGGCAGATAAAACAGTAATTTAAAAGGCTTTGAAACAGACAAGAGCTTGGAGGATTCTAAGAATAACAAAAGCTTTGTTGCTGGAAGAGAGGTGGCGTGGAAGTGAGTGGTATAAGGTAAGATTTCAGGGAGATAAATAGGGACCAGCAAATGTAGAGCCTTCGAGACCACAGTAAAATGTCTGGATTTTGATCCCAGGATGATGGGAAGTCAGTAGCAGGTCTGAAGCTCATGAATGACATATCATTTACCTTTTAAAAACACCCTTCTCAGGAATATATAGGCATTAAAGGGGGCAAGCATGGAAACAGACAATTAAAAGGGCTATTGAATTAGAAAAAGAAAGAGGCATTGATGGCTTCTTTAACATCATGCTTAGAAAAGAGTGCTGGTTTTGAATCTGGTTAGAAGTGGTTAGATTGATATGTATTCTGAAATTAGATGACAAAAATATGTGCTGATGAATTTGAGGTTGGTTGTTACGGAAAGCAAAGATATAAGAATGCCACCTAGGTTTTTGGTCTGATCAATTGGGTAAACTAAGATGCCCTTTACAGAGGCAGAGAATAAGAGACGAGTGGGTTATTGATCATGGAATGGGACATCATAAGTGTATTTTTTTGCACATGATAAATTAGAGATGCCTATTGTATAATGAGATGCCAAAAAGGTCATGATATGTTCAAGTCCATGGCTTTTGTAAGAGTTTGGGGCTGGAGATAAATTTGGAAGTCATTAGCATTGATATGAAATTCAAAGCTATAAAACTGAGAAAAAAATCAGCTAAGGAGAGAAGCAGGATGGAAAAGGTAAGAGAACCAAAGATCGAGCCATAGGCCTCCTCAGAATTTACAAGTGGAAAGAAGAAAAAGAGTTAGCAAAAAATTTCAGGAGGGAGCATTTAGTGATGTGTACATGGATTCTAAAGTAGGTGTTAGCAGTGGAAGGAAAAACAGAGGAGCTGGATGGAAGCTCAGAGGGGAGAAAAAGCATGATCCAATGAAGGGAGCAAGGATTTCTCTATGGAAGGAAAACTGAATTCAAGGTAGAGAGAGGCTAGAATTGACCTTTGAATGGGAAGGAACAATAGTGGAAGAAAGTTGTTATAGTAATTAAAGCATGCAATCGTGATGGCTTGCTCCATGATGGTGGCGGGAGGAGAGGAACTTGACAGACAAATTAGAGATCTGTCTGAGGAAGGAGTGTCTACATTTAATGATGGTTTCATACTGGGAGAGAAGAGAGGGCGGAGTCAAACGTGAATTTTGCGTTTTTAGAGTAATTGTAATGTAGATTATTATCCTATGTATTGTACTACGTTTTAAATATTCTATAATAATTATTACTATGACTGTTAGGAAAAAAATTACCTATACCTTCAACTACTTTACCAGAAGTAATAATATTCTTTCCACATTTTAACAGTATACTTGTATATCATTATGCATGTGGCAATCCTAATATACATAAACACCTTCGTTTTTTTTTAAATTTACATCAAATCATAAACATTTCTATTCTGCTTCATGCATCTATAATTATCATTTAAGTGAAAACATATTATTTCATACACTAGAAATAATAATTTACTTTACCACTTTTCCATTTTTGAATGCTGTGATTACCTTCAGTTTCTAAGCACTGAAGCCAGCAATGCATGCTCATGAACACGGATGGACATTTTCTATTTTTCATTACATTTACAGAATATGTTTGAAGATGTTGTAAACAAACAAATATTACCAATTGCTCTCCAAAACTGTTTTGCCAGTAAGTAATTCTCTCAAGAATATACCAGTGTTCTAAGTTCACCACAATCACAATAACATTAAATAGTTTTCTTAAAGCTATCTTCGGATATAATAAGCATGAATTTTTATTTTACTGTTATTTTAAATAGTATGTTTCACTTCTAGCAAGATCATTTAGTTTATTAAATGCTCTCTTTGTTGCTAAGCATTTATTTTTTAAATTTACTTTTAATTTTTATGTATATATCATCGTTATACACATTTATTAGATATATGATGTGATATTTTGACACACACATGGAATGTGTAATGGTCAAATTGACATAATTGGAATATCCATGACCTCAAGCACTTATAATTTCTTTGAATTAAGAACATTCCACTCTTTTACTTATTTTGAAATAAAGAATAAATTAATGGTTATATTAAGCCCTTTAACTCATTTAAAATGTGTATTTCCTCAACCAGTTGTATGGGTTCTTTGTATAATAAAGTCATTAATCATAACGAATTCCCCTGAAGAACTTTCATGTAATTTAAAATTAAAAAAAAAATATATGGAATGATAAGATGAAAGTTTCTGTCTTGTTTCAGCTTTTACTAGTTAGATTTGAATCCTGGTTCTCTGGTTAATGAATTGTGCTTTAGAGCTTACTTGGGTTGAATTCCTTCCTTTCTCTGAGTCTGGTAAGGTAAATAATAATATTTTATATTTTGGCTTTTGGATTCAAATAAGTTAACACAGGTGTAAATGCCTTATTAAGTGAAAACTCATATACATTTTTAGAAATATTATTAAAACTAATAGGAATTTTGAGCATTTCAGCTGAGCACTTGGGAGGCAAGCAGTGCAATTCTTACATCATGGAAGCCATAACAGGCAGTGGCTGCCCCTTCTGGTATAAATACCAGGTCAGTCTTGTTTTAAGTGAAAAATAAAATTCATGAAATATTGATGCCATTAAATAAGTATACATAAGGATATTTAATTTTAATTGTCAACTTAGCCACCTGAAGAAAATATATCAAAAATAACAATTTTGAAACTTGGAAATTAGATGAGAATTCTCTGAAATGTGGGATACATATCTTAGATTTTCATACAATATAATGTAAGAGACAGAGGAAAATGTAAAATGTTTATAGCACTAAGTCATCTAGTATGTAAAAGATACTCAGGATTTTTGATGGCATTTTAATAATGAAAAGTAATATACAGTAATTTTTATGCTAGATTAATAACTTAATAATGAGCAAATTGGACCTTCATGACTATAATTAATTTTTAAACTATAATCTGAAAGATGTTAGATTTCACAGTTACTTAAAGACTTGATTCCAGGTAATTCAATAAGTTATTAATAAAAAATAAGAGTTTCTAACTCAGTTGATGATATAACAAACATAACAAAATATTATATTTTATAGAAAGAAATATTTCTTCACTAATAATTTTTACAATGCATGTACTCATGTTAGTTCTTAAATATTTGAAACATTTTAAAATTGCAGAAGATAAACTCAAAACTCAAATTAATTCATAGAGGTGTAATTATTATTTTCTCCTTTCTTAAGTGTGATAGCTCCCTTTTCCCAAGTATTTGTTAAATTCAGATGCTGAATTTATGAAAACTACAAGCTAGGAAATGGCTTTAGCCAAAGCAGAGAAAAATACTTTTCTGATGGTTTTACTTCCACTACGTCTCCTCTGCTTTGAAGTCTTTTATCCTTTGTTCCTCCCTTACACAAAGAATAATTCTAAACTCTGGCATGGCCAAGAAAATGTTTACAGTTACTTTTGTCATCTTAAAATTTTATAGTTACTATTATAACTTTGATAATTTAAAAACAATTAAGGAAATATAAACTATTCTCACCTCTGTTTTTCATTTAAATATAGATATTAGGTACGCAATGGGACAAATAAATTCATCTAAGTTATTTGATAGATGCTACTCAAGGGCTGTATTTTGCTATGACCTTGGAAATCTTATCTGACAAATTTAAACTAAGGGCCACTTTTGCAGCAGTGACTTTAATGGTTTGCACCTGTATTGAGAATATCATATTTCTTGTGGACTATCTAGAGCTTCATCTTCCTGTAAAACTTTTCCATTCTCTGAAATGTACATGAGCCCTAATTTCTCTTAAATCTGTGCTTCTGTCTCAGGATATGTATCACACATGTGTGCTCCTAGAGTCCGCACTTTTAGCGGTGCAAAGTTAAACAGCAAAACCAAAATCACTACATGAAATAAACGTTTCTGCTCATTGTTAATCATGAGTTTAGAATGAAAATGGTCAAAAGAGAAATATATCATTTTCTTTGACAAAATCAGCTGTAAAAAAAAAACCTATTTCAGGTAATGACATCACTCTCTATTCAGTATTCTGGAACCCAGGCATGATCTTTCCCTCCTTCCCCTCCCTGTCATTTATATAGCCAAAGTATTCCTTAAAATCTGGTTCTCTTTCTCTTTGCCTTCTGCCAGTCTTCTAGTTGAATTCCAATCACAACTCTTCAGCACTAGTGAAATAGACCCCTAAGGTGTTATCCTGCCCTTATCTTGTCCATCTCAAATCCATGTTACTGACAAATAGATTCATATAGTTTGGATTCTTTTATTTTAAAATATTAAATACTTCAAGGTTATAGGAAACTAAAGATACTATTGCAAACACTGTGTACTCATCCCTCAGACATTGTGTTTTATGGCTTCAGATCATTTGAAGTCATGGCTACTGCTTATGAAACACTTTTATGACAGTGTTAGAAGTGTTACTATTTTCATGAGAAAGGTGCTTTTGCACTTTTATTATTCCTGCATTAGTCCACTTGGGCTGCTGTAACAAAATACCATAGACGGGGTGGTTTAAACAACAGACATTTATTTTCTCACAGTTCTGGAGACTTAGAGCCCAAGATCAGGGTGTAAGCATGGTTGGGTTCTGGTGAGGGCTCTCTTCTTAGCTTGCCTTCTCACTGTGTCCTCACATGGCAGAGAAAGAGAGAAAGAGAGAGAGAGAGAGAGAGAGAGCCCCCTCTTGTCACTTCTTTTGAGGATACTAATCCCATCTTGAAGGCCCTATCTTCATGCACGCATATAAGCCCAATTATGTCCTAAAGGCCCTGTCTTCAAATACTATCACGTTTGTGGTTAGGACTTCAACATATAAACTTTGGGGTGGGTGGCAGGGACATAATTCACTCTATAACAATTCCTATTTTAGAGAAATAGGAAACGAAGGTACGGAATACTTTAGGAAAAATGATATAGACAGAGAGGTTAAATAATTAGCCTAAAAGTAATAAGTCGTAGAACTGGATTTTGAACTCAGTGACTCTAGCTCTGAAGTTTACATTCTTAGCCACCATGGTATTCCCTCGTACAGAAAAATACAATATTACGACTATTACCAAAGTTAAAGGGTTTTTTTTCCTTTTCCAGAGGCAAGCACTATTTTGAAGCTCGTATTTTCATGTTATTCTCATTTTATA
Organism: Homo sapiens; assembly: GCF_000001405.40. Classification (NCBI taxonomy): domain Eukaryota; kingdom Metazoa; phylum Chordata; class Mammalia; order Primates; family Hominidae; genus Homo; species Homo sapiens. Next base: position 81,111,603 of record NC_000011.10, read on the forward strand.
TTTATGTATACACACAGATATGTATATAAACATATACATGTATATATAGTATAGATATGCATGTATGTGTATATAGTATGATATACACATACACATATATTAAATCTATAATATATTATCTATATTTTTATTACATATGTCTATAACATATTTTTCAGTATATATACATATATACACATATATGTATATATGTATATATACACATATATGTACATATATACATATACATATATGTATATATGTATATACGTACATATACATATATGTATGTATATATGTATATACGTACATATACATATATGTGTGTATATAGACACATATATACACATATATGTACATGTGTATATATATACACATGTACATATATATGTGTGTGTATATATACACACATATACGTGTGTGTGTGTGTGTGTGTGTGTGTATATATATATATTTTTTTTTTTTTTGAGACAGTAGAGTCTCACTCTGCCAGGCTGGAGTGCAGTGGTACAATCTCGGCTCACTGAAACCTCCACCTCCCAGGTTCAAGCGATTTTCCTGCATCAGCCTCCCGAGTAGCTAGGATTATACGGGTGCACCACCAAGCCCCACTTTTTTTTTTATTTTTAGTAGAGATGGGGTTTCATCATGTTGGCCAGGCTGGTTTTGAACGCCTGACCTCAAGTGATCCACCATCCTTGGCCTCCCAGACTGCCAGGATTGCAGGCGTGAGCCACCATGCCCGGCCTATAGTTTTTTTTAATTAACATATGTGGAATCAAATTGTATGTATATTTACTACCCTTTTTCTCATTTAATATCTTGTTTTGAGCCTATCCTTATTGATGATTATTTACCTCATCTACTTCATCAATGTTTCTCATCCTCACCATTTTGTAATTTCCTCCATACCCAGCTTACATTCCATGACCCAGCATTGTGATCACTCCCTCTCATATATGCTCAACCTCCTTGCCCTTCTTCTGTCCCATCATACTTGCCTCTCATAATCACAAAACTGGTTCCATCCATCTGTCAATCTATTCTGCATATATCCCTGCACAAATGAACAGGGCTAGAAAAGATCACATATCTCACTTTTTGTTATTATATCAATTTTATATATAAATTGAGATACAACTGTAAATTTATGATTATGTAACCTCAAGTGGACCATTACTTGTAGCTTAAGAAAATGTTAGAGTTCCATACTCCATTGATTCTCCCATGTTATTCTATGACTGTTTACTATCCTCCCTCTCTTCTCAATGCTCCATTGTCCTAATTCTCAGCTAGTGATGTTGCTTCCTGTTTCCCTGAGAAAATGAAAGCAATTTACAAAAGAGGTTGCACACATTTCCATGATAGCATCTGCCCACATACCTGCACCTGTGCCAGAAACACTACTCTACCTCCTCTTCTCTTAAATAAATAAAATGCCTGTGTTTCTACCCAAGTCTAACCTCTTGGCCCATATACAAGGTTTCAAACTAGGGCATTACTGTAGCAATTCTTCTTCTCTCTTTTGCCTTTTCAATTTTCCTCCTACTGATCATTTCTTTCATCAATACAAACATTCTGTAATTTAAAAGAAACCCCAAAATACAAACCTCTCTTGAGCCCACATTTTCCTTCATTCACTACCCTGTTAGTATGTTTACTCTTGTAACAAAATGATCTGATTTCTTTTTACTTTTTTTTTGGACTCACACTGAACCAGGTTTTCATACATAGTACTCTCGTCCAATTTAGTTCCTGTCAATGTCTACAATGACTTCACATTTATAAATACAAAGGTCAATCCTCAGCCCTCTTCTTGTTTAACTTAAGTTTTAGCACAGTTGAGGACTCTCTCCTTTTGGAAGCACTTTGATTAAGTGGATTCTAGGATAGCATATTTTCATGGTTTTATTCCCATTTTATGGCAGCTCCTCAGTCTCTTGCTCATTGCTTTTCATCTGATTCTGAAATGTTAGAGTGCCCTCAGATCAATTCTACCTATACTCATTCCTTTGGTAGACTTCTATAGTTAAAACTATATGGATTTAAACCATATGGCTAAATAACTTGGACTTATAACAAGCTTTACAAAGTTAACATGCCCAAATACAGTCTGATATTTTATTTTTTTCACCAAAAGCTGCTACTTCAAGACTCTATGTATGTTCCATCTTCCAACTGTTCAGGTCTCAATATCCTAAACTCATAGGTATCTCTCTTTATTTCTCCCCCAACAATCAATCCATCAGCAGATGCCGATGGCTCTAGCATCAAGCTACAATGAAACCTGATCTAATAGGATAAGATGTATCCCAAAGTATAAAATGGGAGTACCTATTATTGTGAAGCTAATGACAATAATGTGTTTTAGTCACCCTCTATTGCCAGAAGAAGCCCAAAGTAAAGGAAGTGAAACTTGCATAGTCCTGAATTTACCTTGGACCACAAAAGTCACAAATGATCAGGAGGTTGTTGCTTTCTCAGCTCACATCCTTCCTCCTAGCCCCAAGTTTGCCACTTTTGAATTCTAATAATTATGCTCCTGGGGTTTTACTGATACACCCAGAATCTGCCTGCTTTTTGCCTTCCCACTACCACCACCTAAGTTCAAGCCACAAAATCTCTCACAATCTCTCCGCCACCTATCTCCCAAATTCCACTCTTGTCCCTCCTCCTCTATTCTCAACAGAGTAGACAGAATCATCCTTTTAACTTCAAGTAACTCAGGTACTCTTTTCTCAAAACCTTCTCACTCTGAAAAAAGGCCAAGTCCTTGATTTAGACTATATAAAACTGTGTTCTGAATAACGGATGGCACAGCAACCCCACCCTGACCCTCAGTTCCTTCACCACTGTTATTTGTTCTGACTCCACTCTAGCAATATCCTAGCTCCCATGTATTTCTCACACCTTATAAGGGCTCTTTATCTTTACTAGTCCCTTGACATAGCATGATCTTTCCCCCAAATATGCACACAACTGGTTCCTTCAACCTCCTTTAGGTTTTTGCTTAAATGTCGCCTTTTCAGTGCAGCTTTCTCTAACCACCCTCTTTAAAATTACAGTCAGCTGACCACTAGTCTCTATTGCCCTCCCTTACTTTGCCTTACTCCAAAGAACACTGTATCATCTAGTAAGGTTTATATTTTAGTTATTTATTTCCCTCTTCCCCATTAAAAGGTAAGCTCAATGAAGTGAGCAATATTTATTAATTTTGTCCACTTCTTTATTCCTAGTATGTAAAAACAGTTTCTGGCACATAATATTAGAAGCTCAAGAAACTTTGATCAGTGCATAAATTTAATTGACCTGCTATATAGTACCCCATGATACAACTATGTCCCAATATATTTATATATTTTCTTTTCTTGGACTATATCTAAGCTGTCACGTTTTTTTCTATGATTAACAATGGAAATGCATGTACTCCTCCTTGTATCATAGTGCCCGTGTATGAGAATTGCAGTAGAGCATATACCAACGACTGAGACATCTGGGTATTAGAGCAAGTATATTGTTAGCTTTACTAGACATATATCCTGAAATCATTTCAACAAAAACTCTTTACTTGTTTCCACCAATTTCCATGCATCCCTGCTGCGTATGAATATTTTGATTTCCTTGCCAACACTGGGTTGCTATCTCTTAAAATGATTGCAGGCATTATGACTATGAAATGATCTCATTTCTTTAATTTACATTTTTCTAATTATCCAGTGTAGTTGATCGTTTTCATATTTTTTAGGGCATTCAAATTGCCTGTTTTATGTATTCTATGTTCACATCCTTGGTCCTCATTTTCATTAAGCTGTGACTTTTTTACATTTTATTTTTATAGGATTTGAAAAATATAGATTGCAAATGCAAGTATGCAGGTAGTTCTTTTTTCTTTTAATATTTTTAATTTTTTTGTTTTGTTTTAAATATTATACTTTGAAGTATTCTAAATTTTTGGTCATATTCTTCGTGATTTATATTTATCAAGAGGCTTGTTTAACTCCTCACTTCTCACATACCCTAAATCATTACTTGTATTTTTATATGAAAATATTACAATTTTTATGAAAAGAGAAACAAATTTATGAAGTAAAAAACAAATGTTTTCAACGTAATCTATGTAATAATTCAGCGTTTTGCTGTTGACTTGTAATGCACCCTAGAACACTTATCAAGCTTCTGCATGCCATGGGTCTGCTGCTGAACTTTCCAGTCTTGGTCTATGTTTCTCTGTCTGTGCCAATGCCTATTTTGTTTATATTACTACTGCTTCATCATCATAATTGACACCTGGTGAAGTAATGTCAAAATATCTGCAATTTGAGGACACACACTTTTTCATATACATTTTAGTGATTTGTTAGAAAGTTACGTAAACGTCCTGCTGAAATTTTTCATCAGATTTGATTAAATCAAATTAGATTTTGATTATCTGCATGCCCTTATGATTTTGATTTCTTCAACAGTTATTATATGCCCTTCTACTCATTCCAGTCTTCTTTTATGATTTTTAATACATTTAAATAATTTCTCCATATATGTCTTGCACATCTTTTATTAATTTTTTGTACTTTATAGTCAATGAGTTTTGTAAATACAATTCTAATTTCTTATATCTAATATATAGGATGACTATTTTTTTAATGTAGTCTTATTTCAGCAATCTTGAACTCTCTTCTTTTATATTTTTTAGATATTGTTATATCCCCCTTGCATCCACTACTATTGATAAAATTGTATTGTCTGATGATAACACTTTTTTCTTTTCTATCCAATTTCCTCATTTCTTGTTCTTGACTAATTTTGTTATATCATTCTTATATGCCTAGAATAACATTTTCAATATCATGCTTTTTAAATGCTGTTACATTCCTTTTATTATCTTTTATTGTTTTAAAAACTATGTTTATTTAATGAAAACAGACTAAAATTTTATTTTTGTTTCAGGAAGTTGCATAGTGTCTTTGCCCAAACTTACCTCTGCCATATTACTTTAAATTTAGATTCGTGTTTTTAAAGTGAGAGTGTGTGTGTCTGTATTCAAACACGAACTAGTCGATCTTTCATTTCTTCTATGGCAGACAATTAATTGGCACTCAATATCCATTCTCCCTTCTTTATACTAATAATATATATGTGTCTATTACCATAAAATATTATATATGTGTATGAATATATATAACATATACATATTAAAATGTTTATACACAAAAACACACATAAATATATACACTGAGGTATCTAGAATAAACAATACATGTTTTTTCAGATTCTCTTGTAGATAAGTGTGCACAATTGACTAAATTTTGGCCAAATGAAAGTGGAAGTGATGTGTGCAACTCCTAGGAAGTTTAAGTATGTGTCTTACCTTACCTTCCTTTCTTATCCTTGTGGACTTTAACAGTCATTATATCTGTTTGTTCTCTAATTACTTAGAGAGCAGTGTTGTAATTCCTAACTTATTGGATTTGCTCATTTCCCCCTTAAGTACCATCAATTTCTGGGTTATATACATAAAGCTTTGCTATAGATACATACACATTTTAGAATTATTATGATGTGATGAGTTGACATTTAACATTAAGCAGTTAAGTGAAAGTTGCAAGCTGATACAATATAATGACATTTAGCATCATGAAACAACCCTCTTTATCTCTGGTAATAGTCCTTGTATTGAGATCTATTTGGTCTTCTATTAACATAGTTATATTTACCTTCATATGCTCAGTATTCGCAAGGTATATAGTTTTCCATCTTTTTATTGTCCTTTGGGTGTCTTTATATATAAAAGCCATTTCATGTGAACAGTACATATTTGGCTCTTTTATAGATTTTTTTAGATTTTTACATGCAGTATGAGCCTACCATCCTATTTAATTATTGATTTGTTTGAGTTTTATTCTATAATATGTCTACTTGTCCCCTATTTTCTTTGTTCTTTTATTTCTCCTTTCCTGTGTTCTTCAGGTTTATAAATTATTTTTTAGGATTTCATTTATTTTTTGGTCTTCTCTTTGGTTTTTAGCACACATTTCCTCTCTTTACCCTGTGTGTGTGTGTGTGTGTGCACGCGCACACACACGTGTGTGTTGGTGGTATGGTCCATTTCTCAGTTAGATTGAGTCAGGGTGCTCTCCTTGGCAGCATTTTCTCTAGTGGTACCCAGGAATATGGGTTCCTTCTGTCTTGTAACATTGCCATTTTTAACACAAGATCATACAGGACATTTTATGGCCTGGCTTGGAGTTGGCAAACTCCTTCCCCATATTTCATTTCCAAAGTCATATGTCCCAATATAACTAAGCAGGAGGCTAAGAAACGCTGAGTGAAATTTAGATAAGGTAGGAAAGAAAGAAAAAACTAAAGAAAGAACAAAATAATGAAAGAATAAAAGAGGAAGGAAGGAAGGAAGGAAGGAAGGAAAGAAAGAAAATATCCCAGGTAAAGAAAACAGCATGAGCAATAAACAGTAGATAATAATGTGGTATTGGCTGAGCATATAGATTATTAGTGGCAACTAATGTTGAGTTGATAGGGTATAGCCAGATTATAAAGGTTTTCAAATTCAGTCAGAAACACTGGAACTTAGCTATGCCTTTGGGAATCAGGTAGATTACATAGTTCACAGCTATCTACTCCCTTACCTGTTAACAAAATCATCTGCGCACCCTGTCACAAGTGACTTGCCATGCCTTCCAGCAAGTAAAGCATACTTCCCTGACCCCTGTATGCCATGACCATGTGATTTTCATTGGTCAATGTAATCTGAGGATTTTTTACATTTGATCTTAAATTTGATTGTATGGCTGTGTTAGGCCTCTTGAGCCTCTAACATCTGTCATGAGTAAATCACTCTCCCATTAGACTCTCTTCCTTATTCTGGGTCCTAGAATAAGAATCCACTGGCAGAAGGTCACCACAATCCAGGGCAGAGTTGCAGCCAGTCTTTAAAGCGCATGCAATGAGGGTGATACAAAAGTGCTAACGTTTTGGGCAGAAGCTTATTGGTATAGTAAATACAAAATATAGTTTCTAACGTAGGACAGGGGAGATAGATAGCAGAACATAACTAGCAGTGGCATAGTATTGTAGATTAGTATATGGGCTTCAGAAATAGATAGATGTTAATACTACCATTCTATTCTCCCACCTGCCATTTAGCTAACCACAGCCTTAGGTTTTGTATGTCTAAAATTGGCATAATAATCCATATTCCATAGGGTTTTAGTGAAATATAAAATAAATGTATGCATGGTTCTTAGTACTTAAAATGTGTATAAAAGTTGCTGCTGCTAAAATATAAAAATTACAGATATATATTAAGCCAGGTTCCTGATCCATGCCATATGCTTGAGACTGAAATGTGGCCTGATAGAAAGCTTGCAAGTATGCCCATCCTAAAGATGGGGTTTACATTGGTAACGCTTTGCCACTCTGGCTTCCTTTTGCAAATTGTTTAAGTCTTAGTTTCCTTGCCTCCAAAATGGAAGAAAATCATACCTACTTCTCATAGCTATAAGACATAATGTGAATCACGTGCCCAAAAATCCTATTTAATTCAGGGCAAAGAATGTAGTAGATGCTCCAAAGTGCATTTGCCCTTATGAAGAAAGTCACAGGGGAACAAAGTATAGAAATTAAAACACCGGATGAGAGTCATTTAATCACCTTGGGATGCAGAGATCTCAACTGGAAAACTGTGATGCTACTTCAAAAGTATTTTATGAGTTGACTAATTTATGATCAGGAGGCACTATAAAACACCAGGCATTCAGCTTCATAATAGCATATTAATAGCAATAAAAACTAGCATGCTATGCAAATTCTAAGTCTAAAACACATTCTGTATAAACTCCCTTGGCAGATGCGTTCGGCCATCATAGAATCGTTCATTTTCCATCTTAAGATGCAGTTCAGTGTCACTCTGGCTTATCATGTAACTATTTTATTCTCCATCAGGGGAGAACACTTGAGTTAAATGAAATGATCCCTCTGTGAGGTTACTGTATGTTTCTTAGTTAAACTGGTAGGCATGGAAAGGTTTAATTAACAACTTCAAAGCACTTTGAAGATCTTCAGATAGACATTTATAGGAATATTAACTTGTACTATGATGTTTGAAATTTAATATTTACTTATTAACGGTATAAGAACCTTCCCTTTTTGAGAATTTCTGCTTTTAGTCACCTAGAGAGGAAAGTGAAGATGGGTATCTCTGAAGGAAAAAAATATTCTAACGTCATCATGTCCTGTTTGATTATTTTAATGTGTATATGTTTTTATACAGATAAGACATAAACATTTTACAATAAACAAAAGATACATGAGATTATTAAAAGGTAAAGAGAAATGTGAAATAATATACATCTGTTTGTTAATAAAAAGTGCAAAGGCTGAAAGTTTTGTGGACAGAGAGAGTAACGGTGTGAAAAGAAAGAGACAACCAACATTGAAATAAAAACTGCATTAAAAAAAACTCTGAATGTGGGATATGATAGTTGCTATATAAAATTAAATATATACTTACCTATTAATAGAAACAAATTAGAAAAAGTTTTATATCTTATTGATTTGTACAGAACATATATCACTCAAAAAATATGAAACCAAATCATATGTATATAGTATGATTTCACTTAGGTGTAAACAAAAGAAATAACAATAATATCTTATCTATATGAGTATATATACTGGCATACATCTGTATGAATGAGGGAAAGTATGCATATCAACCTTTGAAAAGTGGCTTGGGTAGATGAGGGTGTGTAAAGATAGAGGGCAAATAGGAGATAACCAGCCTTTTTCATTGTTTCGTTGTGCTGCTTTGTTTGTCGCAAGTAGGTGCAGATTGAATTTGTGGTATGTAAAATACCAAATGATAAAACATTTAAAGCATTCCAGTATTTGCCTTCTTAATAAAGCCTTCTCTTCATCAATGAGCGCTCTTCAACAACTACCCTATTCTTTAATCTTCTGCACAACCAAGATTTTCAAACAATGTTTCTGTATGTGCTGCTTCCATTCATATTCCTGATCCTTTCACTCTTTGCTCTCTCCATTCATTTTTGTAAAATTCTCTTATGTAAGGTCACCAATAATCATCATCTGCTGATTCCAGGAGGCTGTTTGCAGACCTCCCCCTCTGTCATTTAGACAACTGGCCACTTCCATCTTCCTAGAACTTGCTGTTCTATTGGTTTCTATGGCTCCAATAATTTTGTCTTTTTCTTTTATCTTAGATCGGCTTTCCTTACAACCTCTTTTTCCTCCCACTTGACCCTAAGTCTGATGTTGTTCCAGGGATTATTTCCAGTCTCATTTCTTTTTTGTTCTAATTCTACATTCTCTCTTTAGAGAATCCTATCCACATTTTAAATATAATTCATATTCCAATGATTCTCAAAATTAAATTTACAGTCCGGATTGTTTATCTGAACTTTCAAGCATATATACATACATATATGTATGTATATATAGGATGTATATGTCTATATGTCTATATGTATACATATACTATACAGACATATATAGTATAAATATATATACTCTATGGGAGAAGATACCTGATCCATCCATCTCCCTGGGTCATTCTTATGTTCAGAAACTTGGGATCAGTCTTGCTATATTTTTTTCTTACCTCTCTTATCAATCATCGTCAAAGTGAAAACTTTCCAATAAATATAAAACTACATGCTATTATTGTAAAATAGCTAAAATAATCATTGTATTTATGCAATAGGCATAATGCCATAAACATTCCCTGCATAATTTTGGTTGTTGCTTGTAACAATGTAATGAGATAAGCACTAGTATCAGCCCAATTTTACAAATGAGAAAATGAAGTCTTAGAAAGATAAAGTTAGTTGGCGAAGGACAGAACCCTTATTGTTTAATTATAATTCTACTGTCCACCTCTCTTGGGGAATTTTCTGCAGCAGTAGGAAAAATTCAAAACTCATTTCCCTGGAAAGGCTCTGCATGATCTGGTCTTTCTGTGTCCGTTTTCCCCCCTTTTCCATGATCACTATATTCTGGGCCTAGTAGACGCAGTTCAGTTCTTTGAAAACTCCAGGCCCTGTCTTCTCCGGGCCTTTGTGTACGTGATTTTCTCTGTCTAGATCACTTTTCCTCCATTCTTCATCTGGTTAACTTAAATATATTCTTTACATCTGATTTTTTCTTTTCTTCCTTTCTTTTTTTTTTTGAGACAAAGTCTTGCTCTGTCACCCAGGCTGCAGTGCAGTGGCATGATCTCGGCTCACTGTAACCTCCACCTTCTGGGTTCAAGCGATTCTCCTGCCTCAGCCTCCTGAGTAGCTGGGATTACAGGCAGATGCCACCACGCCCAGCTAATTTTTGTATTTTTAGTAGAGACGGGGTTTTGCTGTGTTGGTGAGGCTGGTCTCAAACTCCTGACCTTGTGATCTGCCCACCTCGGACTCCCAAAGTGCTGGGATTATAGGTTTAAGCCACCATGCTGGGCCTTACATCTGAATTTTAATGACAGGTTAAGCCAGACCACATTTGAGCCAGTAATGAAATTAGCTATCTCTTACTGTTTTTTTTTTTTTTTTGGTCATTTTTTTTTGCAGATTATACACCTGGATTATGTATGTTTTATAGGGCATAATTTATACATGTTTTTGTCTGTTCATTTTTACTTGTAATCTTAATGAGAACAAGAACCCTTTGGTTTTTTAATTTTTGTACTGCCAAGATCAAACACGTTTCTTGGCTTCTCTGCCAGCCACAATCACCTCACAGATAAAATTGTCTACCAGAATATCTCAGAACACCGAAGCAGTATTCTCTTAGAACTTTGCTTTCCCTGGCTGACTCTCTTTTTGGACTTAGCCCGCCTGCACCCAGGTGAAATAAACAGCCTTGTTGCTCACACAAAGCCTGTTTGGTGGTCTCTTCACACGGACTCGCATGAAATTTGGTGCCGTGACTCGGATCGGGGGACCTCCCTTGGGAGATCAATCCCCTGTCCTCCTGCTCTTTGCTCCATGAGAAAGATCAACCTACGACCTCAGGTCCTCAGACCAACCAGCCCAAGGAACATCTCACCAATTTCAAATCCAGTAAGCGACCTCTTTTTACTCTCTTCTCCAGCCTCCCTCACTATCCCTCAACCTCTTTCTCCTTTCAATCTTGGCACCACACTTCAATCTCTCCCTTCTCTTAATTTCGATTCCTTTCATTTTCTGGTAGAGACAAAGGAGACATATTTTATCCGTAGACCCAAAACTCTGGTGCTGGTCACGGACTCTGGAAGGCGGCCTTCCCTTGGTGTTTAATCATTGTGGGGACGCCTCTCTGATTATTAACCCACGTTCCATTGGTGTCTGATCTTCGTGGGGATGCCTGTCTTGATCATTCACCCACGTTCCCTTGGTGGCAAGTCAATTGCGGGGATGCCTGCTTTGGCTGTTCCCCACCCCCTTCTCCGTGTCTCTACCCTTCTCTTCAAACTTGTCCCCTTCCCTATAGGCAACCTTCCACCCTCCATTCCTCCTTCTTCTCCCTTAGCCTGTGTTCTTAAGAACTTAAAACCTCTTCAACTCTCGCCTGACCTAAAATCTAAGAGTCTTATTTTCTTCTGCAACACTGCTTGGCCCCAATACAAACTTGACAATGGCTCTAAATGGCCAGAAAACGGCACTTTCAATTTCTCCATCCTACAAGACCTAAATAATTTTTGTCGAAAAATGGGTAAATGGTCTGAGATGCCTGACATCCAGGCATTCTTTTATACATTGTTCCCTCCCTAGTCTCTGTTCCCAATGCGAATCATCCCAAATCCTCCTTCTTTCCCTCCCGCCTGTTCCCTCAGTCCCAACCCTAAGCATCACTGAGTCTTTCTAATCTTCCTTTTCTACAGACCCATCTGACCTCTCCCCTCCTCCCCAGGCTGCTCCTCGCCAGGCCAAGCTAGGTCCCAATTCTTCCTCAGCCTCCGCTCCTCCAACCTATAATCTTTTTATCACCTCCCCTCCTCACACCCCGTCTGGCTTACAGTTTCATTCTGCGACTAGCCCTCCCCCACCTGCCCAGCAATTTCCTCTTAAAAAGGTGGCTGGAGCTAAAGGCATAGTCAAGGTTAATGCTCCTTTTTCTTTATCCGACCTCTCCCAAATCAGTTAACGTTTAGGCTCTTTTTCATTAAATATGAAAAACCCAGCCCAGTTCATGGTTCGTTTGGCAGCAACCTGAGACGCTTTACAGCCCTAGACCCTAAAAGGTCAAAAGGCCGTCTTATTCTCAATCTACATTTTATTACCCAATCCGCTCCCAACTTTAAATAAAGCTCCAAAAATTAAATTCCAGCCCTCAAACCCCACAACAGGACTTAATTAACCTTGCCTTCAAGGTGTACAATAATAGAAAAACTTGCAATTCCTTGCCTCCACTGTGAGACAAACCCTAGCCACATCCCCAGCACACAAGAACTTCCAAACGCCTGAACCGCAGTGGCCAGGCGTTCCTCCAGAACCTCATCATCCAGGAGCTTGCTACAAGTGCCGGAAATCTGGCCACCAGGCCAAGGAATGCCCGCAGCCCAGGATTCCTCCTAAGCCACATCCCATCTGTGCAGGACCCCACTGAAAATCAGACTGTTCAACTCACCTGGCAGCCACTCCCAGAGCCCCTGGAACGCTGGCCCAAGGCTGTCTTGACTGACTCCCTCCCAGATCTCGGCTTAGCAGCTGAAGACTGATGCTGCCCGATCGCCTCGGAAGCCTACAGGACCATCACAGACACTTTAGGTAACTCTCACAGTGGAGGGTAAGTCCGTCCCCTTCTTAATCAATATGGAGGGCCTGTTTCCCTTGCCTCCATAACTGTTGTGGGTACTGACGGCCAGGCTTCTAAACCCCTTAAAACTCCCCAACTATGGTGGCAACTTAGACAATACTCTATTAAGCACTCCTTTTTAGTTATCCCCACCTGCCCAGTTCCCTTATTAGGCTGAGACACTTTAACTAAATTATCTGCTTCCCTGACTATTCCTGGGCTACAGCCACACCTCATTGCCGCCTTTTCCCCCAGTGCAAAGCCTCCTTCACATCCTCCCCTTGTATCTCCCAACCTTAACCCACAAGTATAGGATACCTCTACTCCCTCCTTAGTGACCGATCATGCACCCCTTACCATCCCATTAAAACCTAATCACCCTTACCCCGATCAATGCCAATATCCCATCCCACGGCAGGCTTTAAAAGGATTAAAGTCTGTTATCACTTGCCTGCTGCAGCATGGCTTTTTAAAGCCTGTAAACTCCCCTTACAATTCCCCCATTTTACCTGTCCTAAAACCAGACAAGCCTTACAGGTTAGTTCAGGATCTGCACCTTATCAACCAAATTGTTTTGCCTATCCACCCCATGGTGCCAAACCCATATACTTTTCTATCCTCAGTACCTCCCTCCACAACCCATTATTCTGTTCTGGATCTCAAACATGCTTTCTTTACTATTCCTTTGCACCCTTCATCCCAGCCTCTCTTCGCTTTCACTTGGACTGACCCGGACACCCATCAGGCTAAGCAAACTAACTAAGCTGTACTGCCACAAGGCTTCACAGACAGCCCTCATTACTTCAGTCAAGCCCAAATTTCTTCCCCATCTGTTACCTATCTTGTCATAATTCTCATAAAAACACACATGCTCTCTCTGCTGATCATGTCCGGCTAATCTCCCAAACCCCAATCCCTTCTACAAAACAACTCCTTTCCTTCCTAGGCATGGTTAGTAAGGTCAAAATTCTTACACAAGGGCCAGGACCGCGTCCTGTAGCCTTTCTGTGCAAACAAGTTGACCTTACTGTTTTAGCCTAGCCCTCATGTCTGCGTGCAGCGGCTGCTGCTGCTTTAATACTTTTAGAGGCCCCAAAAAGTCACAAACTGTGCTCAACTCACTCTCTTCAGTTCTCATAACTTCCAAAATCTATTTTCTTTCTCCCACCTGACGCATATACTTTCTGCTCCCCGGCTCCTTCAGCTGTACTCACTCTTTGTTGAGTCTCCCATAATTACCATTGCTCCTGGACCAGACTTCAATCCGGCCTCCCACAGTATTCCTGATACCACACCTGACCCCTATGACTGTATCTCTCTGATCCACCTGACATTCACCCCATTTCCCCATATTTCCTTCTTTCCTGTTCCTCACCCTGAACACACTTGATAGTAGTTCCACCAGACCTAATCGCCACACACCAGCAAAGGCAGGCTATGCTATAGTACAAGCCACAAGCCCACCTCTTAGAACCTTCTCATTTCCTTTCCATCCTGGAAATCTGTCCTCAAGGAAATCACTTCTCAGTGTTCCATCTGCTATTCTACTACTCCTCAGGTATTATTCAGGCCCCCTCGCTTCCCTACACATCAAGCTCAGGGATTTGCCCCTGCCCAGGACTGGCGAATTGACTTTACTCACATGCCCTGAGTCAGAAAACTAAAATATCTCTTAGTCTGAGTAGACACTTTCACTGGATGGGTAGAGGCCTTTCCCACAGGGTCTGAGAAGGCCACTGCGGTCATTTCTTCCCTTCTGTCAGACATAATTCCTCGGTTTGGCCTTCCCACCTCTATACAGTCTGATAATGGACCAGCCTTTACTAGTCAAATCAGCCATGCATTTTTTCAGGCTCTTGGTATTCAGTGAAACCTTTATATCCCTAACGGTCCTCAGTCTTCAGGAAAGGTAGAACGGACTAATGGTCTTTTAAAAACACACCTCACCAAGCTCAGCCACCAACTTAAAAAGGACTGGACAATATTTTTACCACTTTCCCTTCTCAGAATTCAGGCCTGTCCTCGGAATGCTATAGGGTACAGCCCATTTGAGCTCCTGTATAGATGCTCCTTTTTATTAGGCCCCAGTCTCATTCCAGACACCAGACCAACTTGGACTGTGCCCCAAAAAACTTGTCATCCCTACTATCTTCTGTCTAGTCACACTCCTATTCGCCGTTCTCAACTACTCATACATGCCCTGCTCTTGTTTACACTGCTGGTTTTCAGTTTCTCCAAGCCATCACAGCTGATATCTCCTGGTGCTATCCCCAAACTGCCACTCTTAACTCTTGAAGTAAATAAATAATCTTTGCTGGCAGGACTACGCTGAATCTCCTTAGGCACTCTCTAATTAGATGTCCTGGGTCCTCCCAATTCTTAGACCTTTAATACCTGTTTTTCTCCTTCTCTTATTCCGTTTAGTTTTCCAATTCATACAAAACCGTATCCAGGCCATCACCAATAATTCTAAATGACAAATGTTTCTTCTAACAACCCCGCAATATCACCCCTTACCACAAAATTTTCCTTCAGCTTAATCTCTCCCACTCCAGGTTCGATGCCACCCCTAATCCTGCTCGAAGCAGCCCTGAGAAACATCGCCCATTTTCTCTCCATACCACCCCCAAAAATTTTCGCCGTTCCAACACTTTACCACTATTTCGTTTTATTTTTCTTATTAATATAAGAAGACAGGAACGTCAGGCCTCTGAGCCCAAGCTAAGCCATCGTATCCCCTGTGACCTGCACGTACACATCCAGATGGCAGGTTCCTGCCTTAACTGATGACATTCCACCACAAAAGAAGTGAAAATGGCCTGTTCCTGCCTTAACTGATGACATTATCTTGTGAAATTCCTTCTCCTGGCTCATCCTGGCTCAAAAGCTCCCCTACTGAACACCTTGTGACCCCCCCACTCCTGCCCACCAGAGAACAACCCCCCTTTGACTGTAATTTTCCTTTACCTACCCAATTCTTATAAAACGGCCCCACCCCTGTCTCCCTTCGCTGACTCTCTTTTCAGATTCAGCCCGCCTGCACCCAGGTGAAATAAACAGCCATGTTGCTCACAAAAAAAAAAAAAAAGAAGAAGAAGAACTTTTCTTCTTTCCCTTCTGTGTTACTGATTCATACACCTGAGTGTGTAAAGTTACACTCATAGAATATAAGCATATTCTTTATGGTCAGTTTATGATACTACAGGGCCTGCCATGAATACTTATCCGTAAAATGGAATGGTGCTGATTCTTGAACAGGACTATTAAATGGATTCAATAAGTTAATATTTGTAAAATTCATTTCAGTATCTTTGCAATTTGTGATATTTATTCACTATTTTCCAGAGGGCCTTAGCGTCTTTATGCATGAAATAGTGGAGTTTGCAATGGGAATCATGGCTGCACTGGTTACCAGATGTGCAATCCTGGAAAAACCATTCCCTTTTCTAAACGTTTGTTGCTCTCTTTAAAATGTTTGTGATAGTAACATCTAACTCTCCAGGCTTAAGGAACGAAGGAGACAGTTTGCGTCAAAGTGCTTCAGTGAGGCAAAAAGGTCATAAAATAGTAAATGTTATAATTTATCTACATATCATAGAAAAATATTATGATGTAATTCACACTAAGGAACATAAATAACTGAGAAAGCTTAAGAAAGTTTCCATTGGTACATGCATTTAGTAGTAATCAAAACCCATTTTTGTTCTATTGCACACTAGGTTGAAGGGATGTTAATATTGTTAACATATTATTTGACAAGAAACTCTAAAGTTAAATATATCTGGACTACAAATTCTGATAAAATACTCATCTTTTGCTCCCAATTATGCTTATTCTGAAGATACAAGAATGAACAAAAATGACATGGGTCTTATAGAGCTTGCATCTTACAGAGCTTGCATGCTCATGTAAGAGACAAAAGATTAGAAAGCCAACAAACAAAAATAATTGTAGCTTGTGATAAGAGCTCATAAATAAAGTGCTTTGGCAGCAAATAACCAAGGACAGTGGGCTACTTCAGATGAGGTGGTAGGAAAGAGGTCTCTGAGATGTCAGATGAACCGAGGCCCAAAGACTGTAAAGGAAGTGGTCATATGTGGAACCAAGTGAAATTTATTTGAGATGGATGGAAAAGCAACTATAAGCGAAAGCAACCTGAGGGAGAAAACGCCTGGGTCTTCTGGCGGCATGAGAAGATCAATGTGGCTGAAGCATGGTGAGCCAATGGGGAGAGGAAAAGAGCTTAGGTGTAAGGGCTGCTTAAGGCCAAATGTATATTCTAGGCTTAGAAAATCTTGGTAAGGCATTTGAAGTTTATTAAACAATCCAATGGAAACAACTATATGGATAAATCTTAAAAATATTGTGGCAAAAATAAAAAAACCTTAAATACATAAAACATAAACACTACTATAAAAATCCTAGAACAGGCAAAACTGATGGAAAAAATATCACATCAGCAGTCACCTCTGATGGAGTAGGGATGGAATATTTGTGAAGAGACAAAAATGACTCTTTAGAGTGATGTTCTGTTTCTTGACAGATGATTGGGTTATATAGACCTATGCAAGTCTAACTCATTGAATACACACTTAAAAGTTGTTCATTTCCTTATATGTAAAATGCACCTCAAAGGAAGAAAAAAAAATCCTAAGCAAATGTTGAATTGCATGCATGATATTTGGGGATATATGTATGTATGCCTGCAACTTACTTAAAATATAAAAGAACAAAGAAGGCCATGGAATGATGGGTAGCTGAAAGTTTGGGAAGACATATAATAAAGCAACTATGATAAAATGTTATTGGTGTAATCTAGATGGTGGTTATATGGGGATTCTTTATAAAATTATTTCAACTTTTCTGAATGTTTAACATTTTTCATTAGAGGAGAAAGAGACATACAGAATACAGTGGAAAACCATTGAAAGTAAAAATTTCTAGACTGAAGGACTTCTAGAGCTCTTCAAAAATGAACATGAAGTTTGAGTCTTTCTTGGGGGATAGAGATGCAGTCATCCAATTGCTAAGTATTTATCTGAGTAGCAACCATAGTTTCTGTTACTGAGAAGCTTTAAATTTGTTGAAGAACTATTTATAAGAGAGATAAGCATGCTTATGAAGACTTATAGCACACTATTATAAAGCACTATTTATTATGGCATACAACTTTATAATGTTATAGACCTTATTATAGCGCTGGAAATACAACATTTGGATACAGGCATAGTGCTCCAATCACTGTAATGTAGTAAGTAGCCACCAGCCCTTAACACAGAGGTGGTGATTTTCTCTGCTCATGCTCATGTGTCAGACATCCCTGTTGGGGTTATTTCCTTGTTTCTCCAAAGTTGAAATAAACTAGTATCTTTGAAAAATGAATTCCCAAAGGTTGTAAACAAGTCCAATAAAGGTTATTCAGATGAAGACAGACGTAGGTGAAGTGAAAAGCAATCCGTCTTTGAAAGAGGAACAGATGAAGGTTAATGTAAATGTTAATGGCAGAGCTGCTGGTGAAGGTTATCTGACAGCTTACAGATGAAAAGCCAGAGCGAGAGCCTGAGAATCTGAAATTACACCTTGCATTACATGTCAGAGAATTTCAAAATTATGATTATAGGAATTAGAGATAGTTGGGGAAACCCAAATCCTTGAAATTTCTACCCAGAATATTCTACCTTATAAAGACGGTATATGAAACATTTGGTATTAATATGAGGGCAGCTGGTGAAAATGTGGTTAGTCAATTCTACCTAATGTGAGATAGATATACATTTTTCAGAGAAATTTTTTAATATATATTAAACTTTTAGGACCTAAAAATTGAAACCTCAATCACCTCATCTAAAAATTTAGGTTAGTATCATTCTACCTCCCAAAGTTGATTTGAGTATCAAGTTGATGAACACATATTAGTATATTTAAAATGCAAGATATAATTTTTATAAGATGCATTAATTTCTGCCTCTTTTTACATCTTTTCACATTTGCCTACTTTTCACATGTTGATTAGGGAAGTAAAAGATTAATTCCTTTTCACATTCAATAAGAACTATTAACTATATTCTAGTTCAATCTATAATTGTCATTGTGGGTGAAAGTCACTTTGAACTGTATTTCCATCCTGCACCCAGAAGTTACTTTACCTATCTTCTAAGCTCTTTATTCCTCACCCCAGCCCCTACCCCACTGGTTAGCATGAGTACCAAACAGGATAAAGGAAGCACTGCCATTTTGACTTGCAGGTCTGAAAATGCAGTAACCTATACATACCATGAAATGGTTATGGGAGGGAGATAAGGGATTTAAGAATTGCTCCAGGTTCTTCAGAGAGAACTGAGCCTCTGTTGTCTTTACTCAAGAGTTGATCTCTAGTTAGAGAATGGCATTCATTCATACTTTCATTCATTCAGTTATTCATTCCTTCAACAACTTTTGGAAGGTACTTTCTGTGTGACAAACACATCACAAACAACTGTAATATAGGCTGCAGATACGAAAACATATTTGCTGCCATGATGTAGAAAAAATCACTGCAAACATTTTAAAAGTTTGGAAAATATAGCTCAGATTGAATTTTTGCCCTAAGATAAAAAAAATCATTGGGAGATAAAAGCAATATATGAACATGGAGTTAATAGATTTTTTCCCTTTTAACATAGATAACAGTACATAGTGATTCATTTGTCCTCTGTCATTTGGTCTTGAGGAACACTAATGCCCTAATATGTGTAATGTTCAGTAACAAATGCTAAATAAAAATACAGGAATAAAAATCCATTAAGCATGTATTTAATACTGTGTAACACTTACTGTATCAGGTCCTGGGAATGCAGAGATGAAGACCTTTGGCATCAACGAAATCATGATTTTATAAAGGAGCAAGGAATGAACTATTTTTAATACAGATTTTCAGGGATTGTAGAGATTTGTGCTAGTTACAATGTTGGGCAAAAGTAGACAAATAATGTTGGGATGTGATGGTCAGGAAAGGCTTCGCTTAGAAAACAATAGTCTAACTAGATCATGAAGGATGATGACAATGATAATAGTAGCATCAAAAATTTGCTATTTGCCAGGGACAATTCTAAATGCTTTATCATAAATGACTTAATCTTCATATAAACCTGCAAGGTAGGTACTATTTATAATTCTACTTTATAGAGAAGGAAACCAAGGCAAAGGGAGGTTAAGTAGGTTTACTAAAGTTTTACAGTAGGTGCTGGACCCAGCATAAAAACACAGGTACAGAGAAAAAAAACATTGCTCTGGATGTTACTATACAGACGTGAATAAAGTTGGCCAAGAGCAGAAAGGTTTGTTAAACTATTGTAGTAACTTAGGCATTATAAAATACAGCTTGGGCCAGAAGGAGAAAGCAACAATGTGACGTTTATTGTACCATGTAGATGTATTTTCATTTGTTTTCCTGGACATCTAGTGATCCCGTTTAATCAAAAAGCAAATATTTTTCTGACATAAAAAATATCTTAAAGAAACCTATTAAAAATCCCATCTCCCATTTCTTTTCATCTTAATTTTTCTGGTTGTGGTGTTCTGAAACTCCTAATATTTGATGTAACTGTCTTCTAATTTTCATACATATTCCTTTTAATTTGTGTTCCCTTTATTTTGTGTTCTACTTTCAGAGATTTGTTTTCCAAATTTATATTTGAACTTTTATTGAATTTTGACCTTAGAAATTATAATATAGTTGTGTTTATATCTACAGCCATAAAGATGTATGCTATTATATGAAACAAAAATCATCATGATTTATATAAATATAAAAGGCCCACATATAGTTATTAAGAGTTCTTTGTTTCCTAAATGTAACTTTTTATTGCATCCTATTGTGTAATAGACTCAGTATCTTCTCTTAGTCCTCTGAGGCTGTCAATAAACATTTTTACCTTTTAAATATTTTTCATAATTTTAATTTATTTGGAAGTATTTTTGCTTTCTGTTTGTTCTTGATTCTTTAGTTGCTTGTGACTTTTGGTTATCTGTTTAAGAGTTGGAAATTAAAAGGTATTTGGAAGTTTTGAGCCAATGTGTGTGACTTGTAGGTTATAACTTGTAAAGTTATTTACCTATTTTTCTTATTTTATGACTTTCCTTATGGATTAGCCAGCTTCCCCTGAGAGGGAATTTCCAAATTTTTTCTTGAAGCATACCTGGAAGTTACTTGAGAGAAGAGGGCTGCATGTCTCAAAATTTTTTGGGTAAACACACCCTTAACCTCTCTGTTTTCAGTATGGTACCCCTCCAATAGCTAAGGCTGTTGACTTCTGTCCAAAAAGCCCTGCTTTTTTTCTCTTTAGTCTTTTGGTAGTCATAAGACAGAGTGGGGGAAGTTACATCAGGATATAACTGCTTCTCATATTGATTGTCAAGAAGTCC
Organism: Homo sapiens; assembly: GCF_000001405.40. Taxonomy (NCBI): domain Eukaryota; kingdom Metazoa; phylum Chordata; class Mammalia; order Primates; family Hominidae; genus Homo; species Homo sapiens. Next base: position 81,132,780 of record NC_000011.10, read on the forward strand.
TTTTTTTTTTTTTTAACCATTTTCCATTCCCAAAAAGTACCTAATAGCAAATTCCTATACTGTTTGTTGTTGTTGGAAAGGGTTTAATATGCATTATATATTCAATTGCTTTTTAGCTTTTCTCACCACCAGTTTAGTATTCCCTTTCCTAGGCCTGTTGCCTGTCAATTTCTCAGCTCCCAGCACTTACTGCTTTTATCTCCTCTCTTTATCTTATTTCCTCTGTGGGTTTGTGCAATTTAACACATCTTTCATTTTCACTTTAGGAATAAAGGTAAAAGTGCTTTTACTCTACCATCTCTACCCAGAGTTCATTAAAATTAGGTTAAAGTTAAGCTCAGCAAATGTAAGTAGTTGTTTTATATTCTCAAGGCTAATAATTGTCAGTCAGGATTCTTATCCAGTTTAGGATGACTCCAAATTTGTGGCTTTTCCTGCTCAAAGTTGCTGCCTCAGTTTTCACCCTTGTTTACAGTGGACCAAATGCAAAACTACTGTTCTCTTGCCGGGAATGCTTAGTGGCTTATCACGGTCCCTCATGTCCTGCACACATCCTATTGACTCTGTCTTCTCACCCTTACAAGCAGACAAGTCTGCAAATCTCCACTTTCCAATTAGTCAAGTTAATGAAGCTCTTTAAAGAAATCCATAAAGCCTGCCTCCATGGCCCTGACATTTAGTAACTTCTGGATAATGCTCTCTAGGCCCTTCTCCATTAAAATATTGTATTGTGAGCCCTGAAGTGCTGACTCTGAGAGTTCCTTAGAATAAAATGAAGAGGGCTTCTCTTTGAGCCTTCCAAAACCCCAGGATAAACACAGAAATGGCACTTTTAATACTCAAGCTAACGGAAAGGCCACCTTAATGCAGTTGCCTCCTTTCAGGAAATCTATGACATTTTTAGTGAGGTGGATTGCCTGGTGGCAGGAACAAAGAGGAAAGAGAATGAGTCTGGAACTGTGCGTTTTGATAGACAATACAGGCCTGCACTCAAAAGATGCTTCAATATAGTAAAAAGCACATGGGGTAGGAGCTGAACTCCTCAAACCCCAGGGCAATAAAACCTCTTGGTGCCTCAGTTTTCTCTCCTGTGTAACAAGGATAATAATGTCTTGCTCTTAATTCAGTCTTGTGCTAATATCCATACATGAGCTAGGGTGGGAACATGCTATCCTTATAGAAGAATTAAAAATTGACACAGCGATGTTCAACCCAGATAGTATTTGATAGGTAAGATGAACCTCAGGTTTCTAATACTTTCTTCACAATTTGTTCCCTCAGCCCTTAGCCCTTTCTATGATATACCCTGCCCAAAATGTACAGCTTGCAGAAAATGTGCTTTGATTTTTTCTTATTGATTACTCATTTTGCTTACTTAATACACTTATCTATCTGGCTTGTATTATATTCATCTAAAGCTAATTAAATGGTGTATTAAGCATAAACTATGTTCAGCTATCTTCTGACTACATGTATGATTTGCTTTTCTTTACTTTATCAGAAGAAATGGCAAGTCATTGGCTATGTCACCTCCTGCCATTTAATACCTATGCTGATGCTACATATTTCCATTCATTTCTTCATGTTAATATTTCCTGATCCCTTCTAATGTTCTAGACACTGGATTAGGTGCAAGGGGAAGAAGGAAAACATGATGCTAAATTGATATATTATTGAGAGGGAGAGTCTCAAATTACTTCTGTATTCTGTGACCTGTGGACATATGTACCACAGTGGGATTAGAAATAAAATATATCTCTGACCTCAAGGAACATTTTCCCTATAGAGCAGAAGCAGAGGCACATGTTATCATTTGCAACATAATGTGATTTGTTGAAAGTTGGAGGTAGTCTTAGGAGACCCGTGAACACAGGGGAGGAGCTTCTGCATGTTAGTTTCCAGCAGTAAGTCGCCTTGAGCAAATGATAGCAGCACAGGGTGGAGACATTTAGTCAATGTTCCTGGCTGAGTATGGCTGCTATCACCCCTTGTACCTTCATTGATGCTGGCATTTAAACTAATTCCTTCTGCACTTACAAGTTGCTGAATCACTATCTATGGCCTTCAGAAATCTACTCTAGAAAGTTAATTCCTTTACCTCTTCTTTGCTACTAGCACAGTGGAGCTAAGATGCATCTGGTTTGAAGTATATAGTATTAATCTTCCTTTGAATACACAATTGTATTGTCTATTATGTGCTAGGCATTTTTCTAAGTTTTTTTTTTAGTGGTGAACAAGACAGACAAGCTTCATAGTCCTCACTGAATTTATATTTTAACTGGAAGTGGTATGCAAAGGGGGAAAAATTTTTAATAGAAAAATTTTTTAAAACATAAGATATTGAAAAGTATACTCAGATAACTTTTAAAATGGTGGTATGATCAAAAGTGAATGGGGCTAGTTTTGACTGGGTGGTCAGCAAAGCTGCACTCATCAAGAGAGTGGTTTATGCGATGTTACAGTAACAAAATTCCAGCCACATAACACTAAAGGTCTATGTGTACCTCACAGGACCTATCTCCTCAAGAATCAGGGATGCAGGCAGTCTGAGTGTCCTTCATTTTTTATGTCCAATGTCTGGAACAAAAGCAGCCTCATGGTTTGTCATGTCAGGGGAAGAAAGGGACCAACTGCAAACAGGCAACTACATCGCTTCAGCCTCGAGGTAATACAGATCATTCCCACTCACATTTTTTGGTCAGAAGTTGTCATTTGCCCTGGTTAACTTGAAGGGCCTGGAAAAGGTGGGGAATAAACTGGAATAATGAAGCACATTTCTGTCCCTGCTATGGGAGTCCTTTCTTGGTGATGGGATGTAAATTGAGCTCTGAATAACGAGAAGGAATCAGTCAAGTGATAATGAAGGTAAACGGTATCCCAGACATAGAATATAGCTTTTGAAGAAGTCTAAGGCTGAGAAAGACCTTGACGTGTTCAGGAAAGAGAAGAGGCCAGTGTTGAGGAAGTACGAATGGATGATTTGGAAGAGGAAGAGATAGAACTACAGAGGTCGGTAGAAATAAGGTCTCTTAGTTTTGTTTTTAATAAGCATTCTATTTTAGTTTACAGACAATTTGTGAAGATAGGATACAGAGTTTTCATAACCCACACTTAGTTTTCTAGTACTATCTTACATTAACATGGTATACTTGTCACAGTTAATGAGCCACTATTGATACATTATTATTAACTGCAGTCCATGTTTTATTCAGATTTTCTTAGTTTTCACCAAGCCTCTTTTTTTTTTTTGCATGTTTCAGAATCACTTCCAGGATATCATATTAAATTTAGAGATAAGGCCTCCTTAGGCTTCTTTTGGCTATGACAGTTTCTCAGACTTTCCTTGTTTTTGATGATTTTGACAGTTTTGAGAAGTACTAGTCAGGCATTTTGTAGAATATCCTCAACTGGGATTTGTCTGATATATTTCTCATAATTACATTGGGCTTATGGGTTTTAGGAAGGAAGATCACAGAGGTAAAGTGCCATTCTTATCAAGGGTATATGTTATCAACATGACTTATGATGTTAATATCGATCACTTGTCTGGGTAGTGTTTTTCAGGATTCTCCACTGTAAAATTCTTCTTTTTCCTCTCTTCCACACTGCACTCTTTGGAAGGACATCACTATGCACAAAGATCGCTCGGGGAATGGGAGATTATGCTCCACCTCCTTGAGGATGGTGTATCTATATAAATTACTTGACATTCTTCTGCGAGGAAGATTTGTCTGTTCTCCCTCATGTCTTTATTCAATTACTTATTTATACTAATATTATCTTATGATGTTTTATTTTGTACTTTGGGTTATAATTCAGTAATGGTTTTTCCTTTCATATTTTTCTAGGTTTGGCCATTAGGAGCTCTTTCATTTGGATCCTGTGTCCCTTTTATATACTCTCTCATTGTGATTTTTGAGAACCTCCTAATTTTCTGGTACTACAAGATGTTCCAGGGTCATCTTTAAAATTTCCTGTCCCAATTCAAGAATGAGCCATTTCTCTAAGCAGTCTTGGTTTGTTTTACTGGAGAATAGTATTAGAAACCATGTTCTAAATGCCAGGTATGCTCATTGCTACTAGAATGTGGTTGCTTCTAGGCCCTCTCATCTTATAGAGCAAAAGAATATATGTGTGTAAACTACCTATGCAGTATGTATACACACTTCTATAAATGTTTCTATATGTTTTCATCCATGTCTATTTTAAACTAAATATGAGTTCATACTGATCCATACATTTATGAGGCTTTCCATCCTTCTCCCCTTATTTGTAACCCCCATTCCAAAAGTGTGATCTCTGAGTTTCAGCATCTATCACCCATTTACTTAATTATTCAATTCTAGTACAATATAGTGCTTTTAGAAAGTGGTTCAGGAAGGAGGGAGTGTCCTCTAGGTCAACTAAGGTAACGCTAGAGGACACATTTGAATTGACAACATGGCAGGAGAAATCTCAGTGAAGTGTTGAGAATGGAATCTAAACTGGAGTGGATTGAGAATAAAATTGGAGTTGAGAAGTGAGAGATACTGAATATAGCAAACTATTTCAAAGAGATTTACTATGAAAGATGGAGCAATAAATGGAGGGGAATATGGATAAATGTGGAGGACTCTGGAAGAGTATAAGGTGCTTTCTTGGCATCTTAATGAATGTAGAAATTCCTCCTACAATATCTCTTAGAGATATTCATCTGAAGGATCAGTTATCCTCAGTAACAAAAAGCTAACTCCCCCTAAGACAGAACATTCCCTGGTGTTGTAACTCTTGTTAGTTGAAAATTTGTTTGAAATACTAAACTAACATGTACCACTGTACTAGTTTCACCTATTGGCTCTTATTTTGGTTTCTCAAGCAACCTAAAATGGTCTTTTGCCCAAGACCTTTTTCTTCTTTTTTTTTTTATACTTTAAGTTCTGGGGTACCTGTGCAGAACGTGCAGTTTTCTTACATAGGTATACACGTACCATGGTGGTTTGCTGCACCCAATAACCCGTCACCTATATCAGGTATTTCCCCTAATGTTATCCCTCCCCTAGCCCTCCACCCACCTACCGGCCTGGTATGTGATGTTCCCCTCTCTATGTCCATGTCTTCTCATTGTTCAACTCCCACTTATGAGTGAGAACATGCAGTGTTTGGTTTTCTGTTCTTGTGATAGTTAAAGCACATGAGATTTGGCTGGGCACGGTGGTTCATGCCTGTAATCCTAGCACTTTGGGAGGCTGAGGCGGGTGGATCACTTGAGGTTAGGAGGTCAAAACCAGCCTGGCCAACATGATGAAACCCCATCTCTACTAAAAATATTTTTTAAAAATTAGCTGGGCATGGTGGTGGGTGCCTGTAATCCCAGATACTCGGGAGGCTGAGGCAGGAGAATTGTTTGAACTCGGGAGGTAGAGATTACAGTGAGCCAAGATTGTGCCATTGCATTCAGCCTGGGTGACAGAGTGAGACTCTGTCTCAAAAAACAAACAAACAAACAACAACAATAGAAACAAAACAAAAAATAAAAACATGAGATTTCTGGCTAAGGCTTAGGGATATAAAGGATATTTCTTCTCATTATCAATTTTGTATTACATACTAATTTCTTTCTGTTGCATCACTCTTCATAAGTCTGACCCTAAGAAAAGGGGGATGACCATAAAATTATTCTGGACCAATAAACAAAGTTGAAATGCATGGCATCAGAATTTTAAAACACAAGCTATGAAGCCTTACTCTTTGCGATGCCTAGGCTGCCATACTAGATGAGGAAGACTCACATTTACTGGGTGTACACTGATCTAGTTTCTCATATCCAGATCATATTTGATACTCATCTCAGCCCTATTGAGCAATGAGTGTTATACCTATCTTTCAAATAAGTAAATTGAGGCTCAAAAACATTTAATACATTCCAAAAACTTACTCAGCTCATCAGTCACAAAACTTGGATTTACACCTCTGACAAACCTTTAAGCTTATATTCTTTTTATCATATCATGCTTTTGTCTTTTCTATTAAAATATACTCAGAAAAATTTATCTCCTTATTATCCACTTAAATATTCTCATCCCCAAAGCCTCAGTCTATGTTAGCTATAGTCTATATTTTTGACTACCTCAAAATAAATGATGACACATGCCTTTCATGTTCAATTGGAAATTCTACATATGATGGAAAATATATATGATTGAACAAGTTTGCAGATACATAGGTGCATCTGCAAGTACTTTGTAATATTTGTGCTTGCTTCCATCTCAATGATCTGCATTTAATCTATGCTCCAATGGGTTGTTTCACTTACAGTCTGATTTTTTGAATTTTCTGCATCATTATTTCAAAAGCTTCCATTACATACAGAATAAAGTCCAATTCCAATTACTATGTTATATATAACATATATAACATATTGTTTCCAACTAATCATTCCAAAGCCATCCCCAGCTGCTGACACCAAACTTACTCTCATGGCAAATATAACAATCTACACCTAGCACCTTATCATTCCTCGTGTCCCATGTGGTTCCCATAAACAACCTTCTCTGTCTTGCTCATATAAGAACTGTACTTCTCCTTTTTCCACCTGTTTTAGGTAACACATTGTTTCCAACTAATCATTCCAAAGCCATCCCCAGCTGCTTACACCAAACTTACTCTCATGGCAAGCTGTACAATCTACACATATCACCTTATCATTCCTGGTGTCCTATGTGGTTCCCATCAACAACTTTCTCTCTCTTGCTCATGTAAGAACTGTACTTCTCCTTTTTCCACCTGTTTTAAGTACTACTTATGCATGAAAACTCAGATGGGGAGGAAACTCTCTTCTTGTCCCAGGGTAGAGGAAATAGTTAGCTTGGTGTATGTCCACCACACTGTGAACAGCCACTGAACTTAATTATTTTTATCCCACTAACCTGGAAGCTACTTGAGAGCAGAAACACCATCAAATATATCTTTGGTCCTTCTGTCCATCACCTAACACAGTACTTAGCCTATAGTTGGCACTCAATAAATATGTGTCATGAAGAAGCATCTGCTAACACTCATTTCCACAGAAAACTGAAATTAAAATTTACTAGAGAATGTCATTCTCTTGATAAGATGTAATTCATATTCTCAATCCATTATTATCTATGTAATCTGGCCCCCAAACACTTCTGCAGTTTTATTTTTTATCTCTCTGCCTCTCACTCACTGTTTTCCAACAACTTTGTGAGGTAGGTACAGTTATTTTTCTACTCTATAAACACAGGAACTGAACCTCAAGCGAAGTATTTTATTTGATTATATGCATCCCTTTGGGCAGCAACAGAATGATTTGCACCTGACTTTTCTGCCTTTAAATCTGGTGAACTTCCCACTAGATTGTGGCCCCTGTTGACACTCACTTTAATCTGTTAAAAGCCTGTGCAGCATTTAAAAGTTAATTGAGATCTCCCTTAAATCATGGAGTTTTATAACAGCACTCCAGTCACAGAGACGACTCTGTATTCTGAAATAATCAACAATCAACTAGATCACTGTACATCACCTACTACTCATGGAGCCTCTCCTATGTTTACATATATTTTTAAATAAAACTATGGTTAAGTAACCTCTCATAAGGTTATATCGTTTCTCTCCTATTACTTTCTCTAAAAATTGATAGGAGTCTATATGTAGAAATTAGCCCATTATTTTGAATTTAGTGGGTGCTGATCTGAGACTATTTCCTCAGGTACCAATCTTCTATTTACAATGGGCTTACAAGATATAGTTGGGATCCTGAAGACTTGTGAAGTGATATCTGAATGATACATAATTAATGAGATTCAGGAAGGAGAATTGGGTGAGGGGAAAAGGCCCAGAAACACTGATATTAACATTCCCCTGTGTTTATTAATATATCTATTTTCAGTCCAATTAATCCTCCATGCCAGAGGTTAAAGAGAAATATTTTCTTTTATTGAAGAATTCTGGAATGATAGTTAAACATAGCCCACACTTATACTTAGGGAAAGTTCTTCCTTTGTTTCTATTCCCTTGTACTGGGCTATAAACACAGTAACAAGGAGGAGTCCCTCCCTCTCATTCTTACATTCATATTATCAAAATATGTCTCATGTATAACAAGTTTTTCATTACAAAAATTAATGTTCACTTTAAGTATTGAAAAACAAAGAGAAGCCATAAGGTGAGAATGAAAACTGTCTCCTAGTCACACCATTCAGAAATAATCACGGTTCACATTTGACTGTAGCATTTGTACGAAGCCCATGTGTAACTCTTTTGTTCATTTTATGAAATTGTAAAGTTTATTCTACTGGGAAACAACTTGTTTCATTTAACAATGTACCATGAACATTTTTCCATGTAATTAAGCATTCTACAGTATCATTTTAATGATTACATGAATACTGTTTTATGTATTGCAGGAGTATAATAAGCCAATTCATTATTATTAGATATTTAGGCTCTAATATTTTGTTTTGCCATTACAACCAAGGTGAAACCTTTAGCAGGTTTTTTGACTTCTCTGTCTCTCAGTTTTTCACATTTAAAAAAATGAGAACAATAATGGCGCCTACTCCAAAGGTTGTGTGGTGGATTAAATGAACTAATTTAAAGCAAATCACGAGTCCAGTGAGTATTGCCATCATTCTTATGTTGCAATAAACATCTTACAGATCATTTTTTGTACATTTTTGTACACTCTGATTTCTTTGGAATTTTTAAATTAATGATGTTATATTTTATGCCCTTTGATATATAGTGGAAAACTCACTCTCCAAAAATTTTACTAATGTATATACCTATTAACAAGGTGTAAAGTATTCATTTCTTTACATCTTTTGGGACTTGGCTCTTATAGCTATTTAGTCTTTTCTAGCATGATGGATATAAAACTGTTATCTCTTGGCTATTTTAATTCACAATCCTTGGTAGCTTAACATGTTTATCTAGGTTTATTGATCATTCCTAAGTCTTTTTTCACGAATACCAGTTACTGTCTTTTACCCCGTTTAATGAAGAGCTTTTCATCATTGTTTTTATTGAGTTGCAAAATATGTTTATATATTCAAGGTAACAACTTGTTTTTCTTACATATCATTTTAAAACTTTTATTGTGTATATTCTTTTACATTCATGCAGAAGGTGTACAATTTTATTTAACTATAGTCATAAATCTTTTTTCCTTCTCAGTCAAGTTTATAAAGTTCTCAAACATTCTAAGACAAGGTAAATACTCAAGAATACATTTTCTTCTAGAACTAGTATTGATTACATTTTCATTTAGCCTTTTAATTAGAGCTTATGGTACAACACAGAAATCTGTCTTTATGTATTATTTTTCACAAATGATAAGCTAATAAGTTTAATAGACTGGGTTTTTATTAGAAATTATGCTTTTATCATATATTTTCTGTCCAGTCATTACTGGTAATATACTCCTAAATGTTTTAAAGCTGGTAATGCATTAATAAAATGTTTCTTTTCAATACAGTTTAAAACAATTTTCCAATTGTACTTTGAAAAGTAAAATGGTATTAGTATTTTTGCACTGCATTAAAGTTTTAATTGATAATGTAAATGTGAAGTCTTGTGTCAAGTTTCCCAGTTAAACTATGTTAAATATATCTCTTCATGGAGTCTTTCAGTAGTATTTTAGAGTTTTTCTTGGTATTGACACTAAATATTTCATAGGTTTAGTCATATTTTATGAATTTTTGAAATTAATAGCATTTTTTCTTCATATTGATACAAGCAATAACCAGTGACTACATGTATAATCTTTCTTTTGTAATCTTCTAGTTGACTGTAATTTTTTTCTTCAGAAACACTGGGAAAGTTTTATTGAAATGTTTTGTGTTCTCTTTTAGCCAACATCAAAAGGAGAGAAATATTTTGCTGTTCCACACAAACGAGTTGTTTCATGGAGGAGCTGTGATGCATATTTGGAGCTGGGAAGTGGATATCCCACCAGACACATCTTTTCTTCTTGTTTCTTAAAACCTCCTAGTTAAATTTCTTGGCCATTTCAGGAAGAAATCACATAAATTATCATTTTTTAAATTTTAGCATTCATAAATTCAAATTTTTCTTATTTTATCGCATTGGATAGAAAGTCCATTCTTTTTATTCATTGGAAGTTCCTGTCACCCTACATGCTGAAAATATTTATATAGTTAGGAATTCTCTGGAACTACAATACTACTGGCTCACATTTACATAGCTTCTTTCAGTTCTCAAAAATCCATTAACATGTCTTACCTCATTTTTTTCTAACAAGTCTGTGATACAGGAAGGTTTTATTTTTTCCTCATTTAAAATTTGGAAAAAATAGATTTTAAATAATTCCTACAAGGTACTGAAGCTAGTAATTAAACAAACAGAACAGACTATAATTCAGATTTTCAGTTTCTAGGCCAGAGTCTAATACAGCAGATCAGCTAGCTTCCTCCTATTATAAAAATCTTTTGGAAAATACTCACATTTTGGGTATACTAAAATATTTCTCATAGACAATTGCCTTATATGAGATGTTATTAGGAAACTATTACTCGTTAAATATCATGCACATCTGTTTCATTGGACAGTATGTAAAATAACTAAATTACTGCAAGTTGACATCAATTCAGAAATTACAATTACAGACCAAAGACTGAGGTACTGGGATATAAGAATGTGCAAGACACAAGCAATGCATTAGTGAGAATAGGTTAGATTTTGCTGCTTTTAAGACCCCACATTCTTGTGGCTTAAAATTTTACCTCTCTATAAAACAGCATGACCCATTTTGGTGAACGGGGGTGTGTTGTGTTCATTATAGTAACTTAGAAATCTCTGTGTGTGTGCGCGCGCGCGTGTGTGTGTGTGTGTGTGTGTATTTCAACGTACATTTTAGATACAGGGGTAGATGTGCAAGTTTGTTACATGAGAATATTGTGTGATGCTGGGGTTTGGAGTTCAGATCCTGTCTCCCTGGTAGTGAGCACAATTAACATTTTTACTTGTTTTTTCAACAATCTGTGTGGCAGAGGAAAGGAATATAACATATTAACCTCTGGTTCTTAAAGTCTCAGGATATAAATAGCACAGATCTCAATGCTATACCTAATTTGAAAAGGGGTAGAGAAGTGCAATTCTACCATGTGCTTGGGAGGAGGGGGCCAGAATATTTATAAAGAGCCCTAATGATTCTCAAAATCTTTGTCCTCAGCTATATATAATATGTTGAAGAAGCTAGAAAAAGTAAATATATAATTGTAGTAATTACAATATAATATGATATATTGAACAAAATAAATGTGGGGACAAAGCATTTTGGAGGAACAGAATGCAATAACTAAGTGTGCTTGGAGAAGATAGAAAATACTTTTTTAGGAGAAAATGCCATGTGAATTGACCTATAAAGATAAATTTACTGGATAGAAAAAACAGGAGAGTGGTGCTGTTACTTTCAATGGCAAAAACCACAGTTACTTTTGCACCAACCTAGCTTATAAACCTTGTATTAAGTTCCTTAGAGAAATAGTCACTTAAACAGGCATAAAGGTGGGGAGTTTCAGTGGGCTAATCACATTAAGTTACATGACTTTAGATAAATTATTTTACCTCTCTATACTTCAAGTTTCATGACAATTTAAGGGAATTGGATTAAGATTCTCTTAAGCTCTAATAGTCTATATTTGAATTATTTATTTTGGAAACTTATTGGTAATTTGCAGTTCTAATACTTTGTCAAGCATTCCATGTCAAAGAAGAGCAGATGGCAGGGATGGCAAATGGTTTTTCACTTTGCATACCAACTCTGATTTTTTAGAAGGGCCTCTCTAGAGCAATCTGCTGAGTGAGAGACAGTCTGAGAAAGAATTATTATGAAATTTGCATTTTAGATTGAAATATATAGGTAAAATAAGATCCCAGTATAAAAATTTTTTGCATCTGTCCAGTGGAAAATTCCTTTTCAGAAGTAAGCTACCATGCAAATGTATTTTTCTGAAACATTTTTTCACCTTAATGTTTATAACCATCTACTCTTACCAAGTCCTTAGAAATTCAAGACTTGTGTTGTTGATTACAACTAAATCAACTGTGGAGGGAAATAAGTGAAAAAAAAAACTGGGATGAGACGTGAAATAGGTGGCTAAAAATAGTATATAACAGTGGAATATTGGAATATCTAGTTTTAATTGCCTCAGCCTAATACTAATTATTTCAATCTAGTTTGTGACAGAAATCTAATAAAGGATACAGAATATTTTAATTAACCTATCAGAGTAAAAACTTGCTTAAATTATTCTTCAAGTATTGGTTATAAATAGATAATGTTTAGTTATGTTGACATAGGTGAGATAGCTATATCTAGAAATGATTGAACATAATTAATAATTATATGCCATAATTATATCCAACTTGATTTTACATTTTTCAAGACTTTGCATTCTCTTCTGCTCTTTATACTTAACATAATCACCATACCTGATTCCTACACAGCTTAGGAAAATTAATCAGCATACTCTCTATCATTATATGAAAGTAAAATGCATTTGGATGTTTGTTATTGTTTTATTTTCTTATTGTTTACCTGGATTCTTTGTTTGTTCTGCCATTTTATGGTATCTACCAATACCTCCATAACCACTTGTATTTAAGGATAACCCTTCTTGACACCAATGTATTTAGATTTATGCAGTAAATCACTGTGATATATCATTTATACATATTACTTCTCCAATTCTCCTAACAATTTTTTTGCTGTTAATCTGTGAGGAATAAAAAGGATTTTTATTATTATTATTATTGTTCTTGTAAAAATGAGAAAACTAAAGCTTAGATAAATTAAATAAATAATTTAGTGTTATCCAGTTTATGTGATTTTGGATTTAAAACAAGGTTTACCAACTTATATGACATTCATTCTTAATATAGGAGAAAGTTATTGCAAGTACACTCATAGAGAAAAATATGGTAGACAGAGTAAATCAGTGTAAAAATGAAGAAACTTTAAATGGCTATTGGAGATGTTTGCCATTAAATTAGGATGTCTAAACTATTCCCAACTGCCTCACAAGAAATCTACTCATTTTTAGTACTTTTAAACTATTGCTATGGACCAGCATGATTCAATATAATAGCCACCAGCCACAGGTAGCTATTTAAATATAAATGTAAGAATTGACATAAAATAAACTTAAAAATTTATATCTCAGTTGCACTAACTACATTTCAAATGCTCACGTGCTCAGTAGCTATATGTGGCTGGTGCTTGTCACATTGGACAGCACAGATATGTCCATTATTACAAAGGTTCTTAGCATTTATCTAGAGAAATATGTGAGTGAATACTTATTGGTCATCACATATATAACTTTATGATGTTTCATAAGATACATCTACATTTTCTACTTCTCACATATGAGATTATGGTTGATTGGTGTACACTAGTCATGGGTTCTAATATTACACAGAGTAGGGTACAATATAGGCCTTTAATAGACATTTGTTGTCACATAATCAATTAAGACTCCATAAAGTAGTTGACAGCTTTTTTATTTTTAATTCATGGGACCTGGATTTAAATCCAAGCTATTGCACTTAGTATCACACAGCCTTTAACGGTTATGCATGTGTGTGTGTGTGTGTGTCTGTGTGTGTTTAAAAGTGCTTGAGAGAGTGGCCAATAATGCTTAGAAAACAAAACATAAAAGCCAGTAATTTTGGATCAAGGGTACAATGATAACCCTTTTTTACATTATATAACTCATAACCTCATAACTCTCAATAACTTAATGAAGGTTACTTGAAACACGAATTCAAAGTTCTTCAAGTTAAATACATAGAAATTCTAAGTTAAGGAAGCTAATTCTTTACCAATATATTTACTAATTTCTCTGCTAACAAATTTTTTAAATTCAACTCCTTTCTTGTGGGTTTAATATTTTTCTTCCTTAAGAAATCAGTTAATGGATCTTTTTAATGTCAAAGATAAATTCACTCTCTCAATCTTTTCTAGTCTTAAAATGGCCTTAAGTATTACATTATTGACTAATACCTTATTGTAACAATCTCAGTTGACCATTATTTTCCTCCAGTACTTTGGATATATCAATCAATAGTCTTGTACCATATATTATTGCTTAAGAGAAGCCTATTATCAAATCTATTTCCTTATTATTAGTACTGTGAATTAGTCTTAATAGTTAAAATGTTCTATTTTTTGACATTACACATTTTTACTATGAGGCATCTGGTGTGAATTTGTTTTTTTTCTTCTCGGAATTCAATGTAATTCTTTTATATTAGGAATTATGTCTTGTTCAATTTTGAGAATTCTTAGGCATTCTATATTCAAATATATAGGGACTTTTCATTATATCTTTGGTGCCTCATAATTTTATTCACATTTTCTATTTTTTTATTTCTCTGAATTACATTCTGATCCATTTCTTCAGTTTTAACATTTGTTTCAGTTAATACTTCTAGATCTATATACGGTTCATCCTTTAAATGACTAATTTAGGCTATTATTTTTTTCAAAAACTATTCATCTTAAAGTTCCACTTGATTACTGCTCATATTTCCTGACTGTTTTTCATTCTATTCTTGCTTGTTTCTATTTTTTCTTTAGCTATTTGAGCACTTTCAACTATCTTTTACAGTTTATTAGTTTTACTTATATTGTAAATTCCCCTCTTTATACAATTGACTGATTCTCTCTCATTGTGGGTTGTTGCACAGTATATTTGTAACTTTTTACTGTGGTCTCATCTTCAGAAGATTTTCTTCTATTGTTATGTGTTTGTGCATGCATGTGTATACACTTTCTACCCAGGATTACTGAAGGAGAGTTTTTGATTTGCCTCAGTTCAGGGCCCAAAGTCTTCATTAGTTCTTGATCACTGTTTATGTTGACTTTTTATCTAGTGACTATGTATAGAATGATCTAAAAATTTATTAACCAAGCAGTACACTTCTGAAAGTAAACATGGCTTTATAGCAGACATAAACCAAGATTGGCTTACATCAGCTAGGACATATAATTTTATTCATGCACCATGAAAACAATGGGAGTATGAATATTATAACCATTTGTGAAACATGCATAGTATAGTGATTTTTGTTCCCTTAGGTGATAAACGCTGGGACAATGGAAAGTTCCCATGAAGGTATCTTCAGCCACTGAGAAGTTTTCAAATCCAGTTACATGGACTAGACAAGTTCTAGTCCATTGACAAGTATCTTTTGGTTTCATGCAGGTAGTTCATTTCCTGTTACCAGGATTTGTTATACATTCTGAGATTTACATCCCTAGCTTCAGTTCTTAAAAGGCTTACGTCTATCTCTTATCAGCAAATGAATGATTCTGCTTCACATTCAACTCATGTCTCTGCCCCTGGTTATTGTCCTTATTTGGAATTTGTAGTTATATGAAACATAAAGTTCCATTTAAAATTTTTAAAACTAATTGTTATTCATCATTATTATATATTTGCTTGGAATAGAAGTAGGCCTGTTTTGTATCAACTTAGTTCATTATATTTGTAGTATCATTTTAGGTAGATTTTTAAATCTAAAAATATAACAAAAATATAAATAAATGTCTAAAAATCTAAATATCTAAAATATCTAAAAATCTAAATATAACAACTATAGATAAGTATTCTATTTTTAATACACATTTATTTCTATTTGTGTTCTCGTCAAATAATTCCAATAATTTTTTGTAATGTATTAACTAGTTCTCCATCTCTGTCATCTACATTCTTCCCCTTTCTTGATTTATGCTTTTCCTCAATATGGTGCCATTTCAGATATAAACCAATAATGGCAGATTCTTTACATAAATAGAGGTCTATGATATTGCTAAACATCTGAAAGAGAGGATGACCCATATCAGAAGTTAGCACACTAATGCCTGTGCACTAAATCCAGTTCGTTTATTGATTTTGTGTACCCTGTGATCTAAGAATTATTTTTACCTTTTTAAATAATTTAAAAAATCAAAAGAATAATTTTTTGACCCATTAATAAAATATGAAATTCAAATTTTGTTGTTTATTTTAAAGTTGAATTAAGCTAAGCCACACACATTCATTTATGTATTGTCGGGGTTTTGTGGTTGTTGCTGTTTTTTAATAGAGACAGGGTCTCACTATTTTACCCAGGCTGGTCTTGAACTCCTGAGCTCAAGCAATTCTCCCACCTCATTCCCCCAAAGTGTTGGGATTATAGGTGTGGGCCACCGCACCCAGCCAATTTATGTATTGTCTATTGCTGCTTTCACATTACAATGGCAGAGCTGAGTATTTGTAACAAACATCAGATCCATACGTTTAAAATAATGTCTTTACTTCACAAAAATCTTGCTGAACCCCTGGCCTCTATAATTAAATAAACAAGGTAATGACATATTCATTTTAATCATTTCAGAATTTCTGTGATTAACATCAGTGGGTAGATTTTAAAGGAATTAGTAAGATAAATCTAAGTTTATATAACATTTTGCTTTAGAGATTGGCAGAAGGTAGGTGGTATCAGAGTGATGTTATGTAATTTATCAGAACACAAATATTGGTACTCGCAAAAGGAAAAATAAAAACAGGAAATTGCACATAATGAAAGAAAAGTAATGGTAGAAATGTTATATTGTACTTGAAAGTTCAGGTTTATTACAGAAGAAGTTTTCTAATAAGAATCAGCCTGTTAGAGCACAGATATATATAACAACAACAAAAAAGACTGACATTGTGAAAAAAAAATTCACCATGTAAAATCCTGATACTTTGAATCTTGTGACTTCATAAAGTGCACACAGATGAACAAATTTGAATGTATCAAATACAGTTCAACAATAATAGTTATAACTATCTTACTAAGAGATGTAAGCACCATATGCTCATCTATGGAAAAGCTAACAGCAATAAAAAATAAAGAGAAAATGGATATTAGCAAAGGCAACTAAAAGTTTTCTCTCCTAAGAGACAGATGAGTTTCTATTACATATCAAGGTTACTTTTGTATCAGAAAATAACTAATTGAAACAACAACAACAAAAATAAGTATGATATATAACTAATAAATATTGTACATAATTAATATGCATACTTCTATATCATCATTTAATAGGATACAATTTATGAGCACTAACACATTTCAAATAATGAATTTAAAATTGCTAAGGTAGTTTTTAAAACCATCTTTTATTTAAAAATCTGAAGAACAAAGCAAAGTGAAAACATATTCTTATTTTATGTGCTCTTGAATTTACAAAGATATTTTTTAAAACATTTATTTATCTATGTTTAAATTCCTGAGGAAATGTACTTATTGGCAGGTCCATGGAATCTGAGAAGAAAACTACCTTCCTTGACAAATGTATAGTAAGTGTCCAATGAGCAACTTGTCATAATTGGATCCGCAGTTTCAGGCTGGGTTGAGGGAAGTGAAAAAGCCTACAGGGAGTGAGCATTATGTTGTAAACACTGTGTTAAGTGATTTACATGCGTTATTTAATGTGATATACACAAGACTTTGACAAGTTACTCTGCTTTATGCATGAGAAAATTGAGATTCACAGTCAATAAGTTATGCGTCTGTTTCCTAGTCAGTAGAAAGTTGCAGAGTGGAACTTAGGAGCGATACTTGTTTAAACCTAAAACATGCTATTCTCAAGAAACTACTCTATATTTATGTCAGGATAATCCCAGGACAGGATATAACTTTAAAATATATCTGAAAGGTAAAAAGCACAGACTTGGGACTCAGATAGACCTGTATTTCATATTCAACCTGGATAATTTCAAGTGCTCATTGGGAAAATACAGAACCTTTTAAACATCAGTTTCCTCATATGTGAAATGGGTGTAAACTCACCTATTACGCAGAATTGTTATGAAGGTCAAACAATGTAGGTAAGGCACCTAGCACAGTGCCGGGCACTTAGAAAGTGTCCCCTATGCAACAACTGCTTTCATTATCAGTGTCAACTCTGTCATCATCACCACAGTTTCTGTGAGGCTCCCTATTCTTTCCACAAGTAGATTCCCCTCTCTTTATGTCGTAAACCTTACCATTATTACAGTATTTATCACACTGACCTTTAATATTGGTAATAAGCGTAAAATGTAACATTCTAGCAGATCGTAAAGGTAATTACTATAATAGTAACAAATATTATTTCATTTAACAAATGATTTTATTTCATTTCATTACTTTATTAACTTGTTCAACAATAAATGAAGAGCTTTGGTTTGCAGCTCTAAAGGTTTCTTCCCCCATGCACACAGATAACACATAATTCACAAACAAACAAAACCAAATAATTTCAGGTAATGACAAATATTATATAGAAAAATAAAATAGAGTGAAGGGAGATATTTTAGATAGGCCATTTGAGCATTCGCTCTTCTGAAGGGACCCTTGAGAAGAGACTTAAATGAAGGCAAAGAATGAGCCAAGCCCATGTCCAGGAAAGGTCTACAATAGGCAGAGGTAACAGGTATAAAAACCTGGGTGTTGCAAGGGTAGTGAGCCAGAAGGAAGAGAGAAAGAGATGAAATTCAGAAGATGGATGGTAGAGTTCAAACTTAGAAGTTTGGATGGTAATCTAAATGTTACGGGCATCTGTTGGGGAATCTTGAGTAGTGAGGAATACAATTTGATTTATATTTTTTAAAGCCCCTTCTGGCTCTTCTTTGAGAGAGAAGAGGAAGGAAAGAGGTCAGTCATAGAGCAACATGGCTATTTTCCAAGACACATAAAATTATGGCTTTGACTAGGGACTATAAGGGGATGACAAGTACTCAGATTTGGGAAATATTTTGTAGGTAAACATAATAGGACTTGTTGCTGGATTGAACATGAGATTTCAAACTTATCCTATATTTCTTCATAAAAAGACTGTTGATCTCATTGTGTATACAGCAACAACTGAGAAATTTATCAAAGCAACAAACCACTATGACTAAGCAAAAGTTTGTGAAAAAATGTTTTTTGTTAAAACATGACCATATAATATATGCAGAACCATATATACTTCTTATAAATAGTTTAAATGATATGCAAAGTTAAAATAGCTTTTGTAAGTTAAGCTCAAGGGGGCCTTGGCAATATTCATTATGAAATGTTTGATCACCTACCTCCTGCATCTCTTAGTACCAACACCCCCTCTCCTGCTATTCTTTAATACAGACAATTAACATGTTTTTCTACCTTCTGTAAAATGTTTTACTAATACTGTTTTCAAGGCCCGGTTCTCCTTCTAATCAGATTGTCATACAGCCTGCGTACTTTCTTTTTTCTTTTTTTTTCCCGAGACAGAGTCTTGCTCTATCACCCTCCAGGCTGGTGTGCAGTGGAGCAATCTCGGCTCAGTGCAACCTCTGCCTACTGGTTCAAATGATCCTCCTGTCTCAGCCTCCCAAGCAGCTGGGATTACAGGCACACCCCACCAGGCCTGGCTAATTTTTGTATTTTCAGTAGAGACAGGGTTTCACCATGTTGGCCAGGGTGGTCTTCAACTCCTGACCTCAAGTGACCTGCCCGCCTTGGCCTCCCAAAGTGCTGGAATTACAGGCGTGAGCCACTGTGCCTGGCCCAGCCTGCATATTTTCTAAAAATCAACTCAAATATCCATTTGTTTAAAAGACTATTTAAATATTTTTGGTACATAGCATATACTTGCTTGATATTTGGCTAAAGGGATGTCCACATGAAATCGAGGCTCACGATTATCTTGAGAAGAGCCACTCTTTAAAAGCAATTAAATAGAAAAATGGAAGATAATCATGTGATGCTAGTCAAGCCCTCTTCCCTTCCTAGATGGCTGCACTGGGTAGACAGAGATTCTTGGTATGTTAGGGCAGTAACTGTGTTCAAGGAGGAAAATAGGTACTAGCCTGTCAGTCTAGTAGAGGAGATGGCTGAAAGAGATAATACATCTCAGTTCATGGGTCTGCCTTAAATAAGAACTCTGGAGCTATCCCTGTGTCCCAAGGAATTAATCTCTCTATTTCAGTATGTGTGTTCTGATCAACTCATTGTAGCTATTATTCATCTCCAGCTATCAATTGGATCACTTGAGGTCATCTCTGTATCTGGAATGGTAAGTCTGGGTAGGCAAAGTGCCTTTAAGTGAATTCTACACTCAGATATGGGTAAAATGATCTAAAGATTCCTAAGTCAGTTTGAAAATAGAGGTTGGGATGGAGGGATTTCTGACTCCTTGTAGGATCTGGGGCTCCCTGATGCCAGAAGTATCTCTCTGGTTTTGTGAATTCTGGCTTCTAAAGAGATAGCATCTAAGTTCCCACTGCAACCTAGCTTCTCCCTTTATCTTAGGTGTCATACAAGAAGGGTCTTGGCGGTGGTCTGACCTGCCATGGACTGTCCATCTGCCCGGACTACAGCGAGGTAAATAGGCTGCCATCCTTCCCTACATGGCCCTCTCCCAAACTTTTCACAGGGTACACAGCCTTGCCCGTGTCCAGGGGCCTCTGAAATACTGTATTTTCCCAAAATCTATACTCTCCTGATTTCAAACATTTGTCAGAGGTAGCGTACGAGAAAAAACAAACAAAAACTTTGAAGTCAGCCTTCCTGCATCATGGTCTATACACTCACCAACCGATTTAATTTACCTTAGGTAAGTGACTCAACTCCTGTGATGCTCAATTTCTTTTGAAATAAGGATATTACTATTCTGAGTTCACAGGACTTTTCTAAAGAGTAAATCTACTTAAGCACATAACCCACTGAGCTCATGCCTAGCACAGTGTTACTGCTCAACAACACTTTTTTTTGTTGTTCTGTATAAATGACAATGGAGAATAGTCTCCTAAGTAGATTGGGTGGTCTTCATGAAATCATTATACTCATCTGTGTTTATTGGTGGAGCAAACAAATGAAAAGCAAGCCCTTGGAAACCTTGGGGGAAACTGTCGATAACAACATTTATCTAAATCCTTAGGAAATACACGTAAGAAAAATAAAAAGAAAGATATATTTACACAAATGTTTCTCCTATTGATGAGGAGCTTTATAAACGAGGATACCATAGCTTATTTGTATTTGAATATACTGAAAACATAGAACCATGTGAAATACCCTTCAAGGACTGTATGAGGAAATGAATAAGTGCATTTTTGTTATTTAATGAACTAAGGTCCTATTGAGCAGCAAGGGTAATTTACCAAACAGAGCTAGTGAATATAGTTTAAAATTCTATTTGGAAGTGTTGCTTGGCACACAGAGGCTCTCAATAAAGGCTCTGCCTAATGATGAATGAGTGTCGTTCCCTAGCTCTCTTTAAGACATGTCAGATTGTCTGGTCACAGATCAGCAGAGAAAGTGATTTGATCTAACTAACTAATCATCAAAATCTACCTAAAATATGTTTCCAAATTTTTATTTTGGAAGATGCAACTTTAGTCACTGCAACAGTTTGATACGCTGTAATTAAAATCCTGCTCTCCTTCTTCCCAATGTTGTTCTCGGTGCAGGGTACTAAGTAGTATATAACTCTACCATGACTATAGAGTGGGGCAGGGAAGAGCTGAACCATTAGTATTTTCCTTAGGCTAGAAAGAGGATGAAAGTCTGTGGTGATCACTCTACACAACTTGTTAAAAACAGTCACAGACAAACAGAATAGCTCAGATGAGAACAAAGGCTGGATGCCTGTAGCTATACTAAAAAAGCAGCTGCTTAAGGAAAGACAACCCTATATAAGGGTTGCTGCTGACCTAAAAGATACTTTTGTGCATGTTAGAAAAAGGCATCATTTACTGAGGCACACTTTAAGAATTTATACTCTTTTTTTTTTTTTTTCATTTTTTCAACAGTTCTGTTCAGGAAAATTTTTCAGTGTCCAGTAAGCAGCACACTGACTGTGATTTGAGTATATATACCCAAAATTTAGCCTTCCCATACATAACCTGGATACCATAAGGTCACACATGCCATTAGTACAGAACATGTTCCATGTCCTTCCATTCGTCACTCAGGTGAAGTGACTGACAGATTCAGAATTCGATGAGGGAGAAGAGTCAGGCCTGAGACCAGTGCGAAGGTAAGAGAAAGCCACCTCAGGGTACATCTGAAGCACAGCTGAGACAAGCGCGGCTGAACATGAATGGCTACAAGCTAAGCTTATGCAGGGATTCTCCCACTGCTCCACAACTTGGCCTGGAAGCTCAGAAACTCCATGTCTAAGATATGAATGGCATACCCCTTAGGTGTGCCTTATTTTTATGGCATACAATTTGAATACCCAGGCGCTACAAAAGTGTGTGTGAGAAAGCACAAGACATTTGCTCACTTACCTCTGATGTCCCACAGTTTGTGACTATGCCCAGAAACCACCAACTAGCATGGTTCAAGAAAGAAAAAAGGTAATCCAAGATTGTCCAATAGATGCAAAGTATGCGTTTGAGAAATACATCATCCATTATATAGGGACATTTTTTTCTTCTGAAACTTTTAAAATTTCCATTTCTATACACTTTCTATAACTTGGCAAATTATTTTGTCACATACAATGTTGGAACCACACAAAGATTTAGAGATAATGAATTTTTAGTTACTTCATTTAATAGGCGAGCATGATATTCAGTATGGTTTTCAGTATGAGTCTTTATAGTCATTAAAATTATTTATTAATTTCATGCATGAGTTAAATAAGTATTTTGTTTTTTGCTATTCATGCCTTTGGTCTTCCTTTTCCACTTTATCTTTTATACTGCTATTGCTATGGTCATTCTAAACTGGAAATAGCAGAAGTAGGATCATGCAAATTGCTTGCCTGGAATATTAGTATGTTTCTGCTCTATATGTATTGATTTATCCATTCTTTCAAAATATATACAAGATTCTGGTTACACATTAATGAAGAAGATACGCATGGTCTCAGATCTCCAGGTATATCTGGTGAGACCTGTACTTTGGCAAAAGAGCAAGATACTATAAAAATTAATACAATTTTAAATTTCATTAGTGATAAGAAAAGTAGGGGCTTCTAAAGTTGATTGTGCAAGAGACAGAGGGGTTCACTAAAGAGACAGTCATTTAGGTGAGAAGGATGGGCCAACTGCAAAGGTGACAATACCAATGCATTCATGAGCTATGGATTCCAACTTCATATTAATTCTCATGCTTGCAATCTGATCCCCTTGTACCTTGTCAGATTCTTCTCCATCTTTTCTCCTTCTTGCTTCACAAAATGTTTATGCACGCCTACTTAAAATCTTTTTTTGTTTTCTCTTTCTGGCAATATAATTTGGCCTCTAAGATCCAGTTCAAAAAAATTCCTTCTGCTCTGACAAACCTTTAGTCAGAACGCAATATAGTTTATCGAGTGGTCACACATACTTTGCACAGATTTATCATCGGATACTTTGCAAATGTATTTGCACTTGTTTTTATCATTAGTCTGTGAACTCGACAAGAATATTAACTATGTTTTATTCATTTTTGCATTCTCTTAGATGATATTTAATATACATTTGTCGAAATGAACCAATGAATTACTGAGTTACATTCCCCAAGTCATATGGTAACAAATGAGCTGATGACAGAGTCAGTACTACGTCCCAAAACTCCAAATTCCAAACCCAGACCCACTTGGCATTCTACACATAACAAACTTGGGTTTGACTTTACAACACTGCGTGGTATCAAAAAGACAAAGTCAATGTACAGTGAGTTTGAAGAGGGAGATAATATTGGTTCTGTCCATGAAAATTCTAGGAAAATGTATTTGGAAAATAACATTCAATTTAGAGCACTACCAAACTGCACAAACATGAGGACACAGAAAAGAAAAACAGAATGAAGGTGTTAAGTAAATGAACAAGTTGGCTTATCAAGGAATCACAGAAATTCACACCTGAATTTGCTACTTGACATGAAGGAAAGGAACAGGGTAGCATATAAACAAGAGAATAAAATACTGGATGTTTTATCAATGGATAAAATAAATTATTAAGCCAAGGTTAATAACAATTAATTATCATTGTAATAAATAAGTATATACAATAGGCATAGTTCTCAAAGCATTTTTATATTCACTATCCCATAACTGCATAGTAACATAAGATTAACTTGTGTTATCATCTTCATTTAACAGGTTGGGAAAAAGGCTCTGATTCACTAATATGCAGCTAGAGCTAGAGTTAGTACAAATCGTTACGTTCTAGAAGAGTGTGCTCACTACTATAACGCTATGGAATCAACTATCTCAGTGGCAGCTTGAGTAGACTAAACATGAGAAAAAAGTCCAGGAGTAAGAGGCCCTGTCCTTGGAATGGGGTGTGACAGGTCCACTCCATGTCCTGGTGCAAAACATCGGCACATCTTACTTTAGACAAGGATATGTCCTTCAAGAGTTCTGAAGAAATCATATATTTAAAAAATTATATTATAAATTCTTTGAGATATCTTATTATAAAGAGAAAACCTAAAATATAACCTTCTGCAATATAATTTTTGAAAACCTCTTTATTCATTTTTATAATCCAACCTCTTTGTCACTTGTACAGTCTACAAAGCAGGTGCACCTTTGATTCACGTAATTTCCTTACGTTTTCTTTGTATAGCACCATTCTGGAGAAGGTTATTTTATCTCCCTCCTGTGCCCTCTGCCTTGTACCTTCAAGCTCTCTTCCTTTTTGTCTGTTTCTAAATTTTCCCAACTAAGAAACCACATGATTCTTATTCTGTCATTAACATACTTTTGAATTCTACTTCTTTTTGAGAAAAACTTTGATAATTTAAAAAACAGATAGGATATCATGGTATCCTCTCTGATTCTTGATCTTTTGCTCCAAAACAAGACGATAGAGAATGCAGTCCTGATTATTGCAGGGAGGTAGGAAGTGGAATTGTCATGGCTAGTGCTCATGTTGACTAGTGGCATGACCTTGAGCAAATTCAGTCATGTTCTGTGCCTCTTTAAAGGTGGTTTTCTTAACCTTCCTGTGCTGAAGAAGGTTGAGGTGTTGACATAAATAACCTTGAATTAGGTGGCATTTTTCTGATTGATGTTCCCCCACCAAATCCTCCCTCCAGGACAGGACCAGTTCTTTTGGCACTCAGCTGAAGTGATGAACAGGAGGTAACAAAGTTGTCATTATTTTGAATTTCTATTACCAGACATAATCTTTTCTGAACCATGCAGCACTGCTGAAATCAAGAGGGTTCTGCTTATCAGAGCCTTTGATTTGCAGTGACAGCTGTCAAAGCGCTCTGTTCGCGACTGGATTTTACACTACAGGATTGATGAACAGTCTCCCCATTCCTTGTTTGCTTCTAGTTTTATTTTATTTATTTATTTTCTGATTTTAATTTGAAAATTCTAAATTGCATTTCATGGTTCAGAGAAGATGGAAACAGAGCTCAATTATTCTATGTTTATTTATCATTTGTACCAATTGGATAAACTGGCATATTCTATACTACTAAACTCACACAGAGATTTTAGGATATTTTGCAATGTTTAGTAGACTACAACCAAACAAGTTAACTTCAGGTCAGAGGACTCTGTCGCTTTATGGGTAGCTTGGATTCTTTAAATTCCTTATCACCTGACAAAGCTCAAGGGCAGTTTATGTATCTTTCTCACTGGAGCCTTGAGATCTGTTATTAGACTTAGAGATTGACATAGTCGGAAGAAAATTCACAGAAATGCAATAGTGAGCAATTAGAAATACAGTACTCACCATCATAATCCAGAAAAGGAGCCAAATATAAACTTACTCAAGTGTATGTACAATTATACACTAAATTAATTGATCTAAAGAAAAATATCAGGTTCTAAGTGAGAGTCTAATATGGAAATCTAATATAGATTGGAAATGTAAAGACTTTTCTCATTGAACAGTCATTTTATCTTAATAACAGTCAAATAGCTGAATATCATGGCCACATTTTAGGTAAGGAAAAATGGCTTAGAAAAGTTAGGGAAAGTATAATTAGCAAATAAATGTAAGAACTCTTAATCAATCTAAGATCTCCCCTCAACTCCCAAATCCAGTGTTGCTTCTAAAATCTGTGCAGATTACAGGTCAACATGGTAAAGATCTCTTTGGTGTGCCAATCTGACTAAAGTTCCCAGACATTCAATCAAACACAAGGTGAGGTGCTACTGTGAAGACATTTGATTAAGGTCCATAATCAGTTGGATTTACGTAACACAGATTATCCTAGGTAATATAAGTGGGCCCAATTCGATTAAAAAGCCTTAAAAGCAGAGCAGGCCTTGAAGGAAAGGATTCTACCTGTGGACACCAGCTTCAGCTCATGCCCCAGAATTCCAACTCAGCCTTCCTGATAATCCATTTTGTGGATTTGGGGTTTGCCTAGCAAGCCTCTTAAATCATATAGCCAGTTCCATGCAGTGCACCTTTAGTATCCCCTTACTGATTATTCTCTTGTAGAACTCTAACTGATATAAATATTCAAATTTGTACCTGAATCAAGGGCTATGTAGAAAGTTCATCAGGTGTCAGTGAGATACATTTGGAAAAAATGAGTTTAAATAAATATTTAAACCTTTTTTCCTAAGGAATTTAAAAAATATGTCTATTTTAAGTGTTATTATTTATTTCTTTTTCAAAGACAATTTTTCCAAGCTTCCAAGGAGCCAAGCTGAAGAAAGAGTGAAACAATGGAGGCGCCTTTCTTTCTTGATCTTGGGAGAAGGTATTAAACTAGAACTCAGAAGATCTGGGCTGCTACTTTCTAGTTCGTCACCTCATGCAGGATATGTAGCTTTTGCAAATCTTGACTTTCCAAATTTCAAATGAAGCTCGTGATTTGTGTCTTGAGTACATAGGGACTTGCTATGAGCATTAACAGAGATTACGAATGCAAAGCACTTTGCTTATCATTAATTTTTTTTTCTTTTTTTTTTTTTTTTTTTGAGACTGAGTCTCTCTCTGTTGCCCAGGCTGGAGTGCAGTGGCACCATCTCGGCTCACTGCAACCTTCGCTTCCCAGATTCAAGCGATTCTCCTGCCTCAGCCTTGCAAGTAGCTGGGACTACAGGTGCACACTACCACGCCCAGCTAATTTTTGTATTTTTAGTAGAGACATTGGCTAGGATGGTTTTGATCTCTTGACCTCGTGATGCACCTACCTAGGCCTCCCACAGGCGGGAGCCACCAAGCAGGCTGCTTAGCATTAATGTTTTTAACAAAATAATGAGTAGAGCTACATGGCAGATTCAATTCTGATTCTGTGTTATATGCTTGATCTGTAGCTATGCCTCAGCAGCTTTGCACAGCATAGGGGCACAGATGCTTTCTTCTTATTGTGACTTACATGGATTCAAATTGTAGGTGACAGAAAAATGTTGGTATTACATGTCAAACACAAAGGCAAATAGAATAAAAAGGTTATAATCAAGCTGTAAGCTGCACGCTCTATTCAGTCTTCTTTCTCTCTGAAATATGTCAACTACTATTTCCTGAGATATGAGGCACTTGATGATTGAGATGATTAAAAAATACATCCACCCGAAGTAAGCATCAATTACACAAATTTACTAATAAGAAACAATCAAATATGCCTCCACATGAATGCACACAACACACACACACATAAACAGATTGTTATGAATTATTCTCCAGATTTCTACTTGTCACTATTTTATTAGGTATACAAAGAATATTTTATATATCACTTTGCTCTGGGATTGAGAAACTTTTGCTTTAAGGTTTTATTTTATTTTATGGTTAGAAAAGAAGGGTCATTGAACTATTATAAACCAGTGATGTTTCTAGAGTTTTCCTCCAATTTCATCAAAGAAGGAGAAACAGATATAGTGACCTAACACGTAGTTTTTAGAAACTGTTGTTACAGAGTTAAGAGCTGAAACTTTCACAAGTTTTTAAAACCAACAAACAAGCACAAGAAAATATAATATTTTCTATACAAGGTATTCTGATGATATAATAGTTTTATATTCATTCATCTTATTAATCAAAGATGGAAGTAAACAAAAGAGGTCATAGATGTTTTTGCTAATAAAAAAGAGAGGGAGTTCCTTACTTTCATTATTTAATGTTAATAATAATCATAATTGGAAAAAAAAAAACCCATAGATTCGAAGTTAAGTGGCTTGCCCAAGGTCAGGTTTACCAAAATATCATTTATTCTATATTCAAAGGTCTTTCACTCAAAAGACTCATTACCTGAAGTATTTTAATGAAAATATTATAGAATTTAATATAAAAATAAACTATTAGAAGATGGAGAGACAAGGCTTCAGGAGTACTCTCAGTGACATACCGAGTAAAACTTTTCTTCTTTAGAGACAGCCTTGTAAAATGGCATTTTGTTTTACTTAAAATTTTAATCGTCTTTCCGTAAAGTAAACTGTTGAGGACAGATTATACCTATACTGAAGCTCTTAGTATAAAGTACTTATTTTTTCCTTACCATAGGTTTGTTAATTTTTTAAAACTTTTAGTTAACATTTGTTATTTCTGATCATAAATGTAATGCAAAAAACGTTCCTGAAAACTGAAGTATAAAGTATTTGTTCCCTTAAAGGTCAGGGACAAGATAAAAATATGTGCTATCATTGCAATTGTTCAAAGAGTCCTGGCTGATATAACCAGATAAGAAAAGAACGTTAATAATCTGAAGATACATGATTATCTACAATGGAACAATTATTAGAAATCATAGTTTCAGAAAGGTTGCCAGATATAAAGCTAATATTCAAAAAATAAATTACTGGTCCCTTTTCAAAGACAAGTCAAAAACTTAAGAGAAAATAAGATCATTTCCTTTAGCAACAAAACTGTAATGTGTCTGTAAATTAATCTATCAAGACCTTTATAGAGAAATTTATAAAACATGATGGACATAATAGAAAATATAAATATATGGAAAATTACACCACAATCAACATTATGACTTAGTATTATAAAGGTTTCAAAACTATCCTAATTAGTCAATAATTTGAAAATGACTTCAACAAAATTAACAATATATTTATAATATTAATAAGCTAACTTAAAATTTTATATAATAAATAATTGGAAATATTCACTTAAGTATATAACTTCAAAGCATGAGGTTCGATCAAAAGTGCAATCCTAAAGAATTTTTGAACCCTCTCAACCCTATGTTATAGGAATGCTCTCTGACATTGGGAACTTCAGCCTGTTCCAACCTGTTTGCCTCCCAGATGCACCTTCAAGACAAACTAATTATCTTGGGGAATTAGATAACAGCCTGATACTTTCATATTCCTGTTTCCAAATTTTGATCAATGTGCAAAATATATTTTTGCCACCACTTATATAAATCTTAATATTATGGCCTAATGCAGACATGAAAGTGTAATGGATTCCTGAATACGACTGCTTATATTCAATCCTCACCACCATTACTTAGTGCTTGTGCCTTGGACAAATTACCTAACCACACTAGAACTTGTTATTCTTAATTATACTATGAAATTAATGATAGTATCCTCATAAGGGTGGTGGTGAGGATTCAATAAGATGATTCATACAAATAATTTAGTAAAGGGTCAGGCAGATGGTAAACACTTAATACATGTTAGAAATGATGGCAAAGAGAAGGAGAGTGGTGATGATGATGAAAGTGATCATAATATTTGACTACTGAGTTGAGCAAATTCTTAGTGTAGGGCTATGTACCTCTTACTAGAGGTATGATACTTTGCACAGCGTAAGTCTAACAACAAATATATAACATTCATGAACTCACATTTGAACAAGAGTTGGATGTGTTTATGGACTTTATAATTCTTTATATAATGAATAATGTATAGCAATTTTATATACTTTATATAGATACAGCAGTAGTTTGGGATTGGAACTGTTGCTGATATACTTACTGATTAACTTACTGCTGATTTGGGAATTTTAAGACTTGAAGGACACCATCAATGGTTCTTATATACAGAAAGGCTGAAAAAATGTGAAATTACATTTAGTAAAGGAATAGGAAAGTGAGAAATGTCATTTATTAAAATTCTACTATGTGCAAGGTACTGGACTTGGACAATCTCATGTTTCAAATCACCTAATCTTCACAGTCTACTATTGTCTGTGAGGCAAATATGTTTATTAACCTCACATGGATGAGAAAATTAGACTGCAGATAAAGGTTTCAAACCTTCTGTAATATCATGTATATATTAAGGATATGGAGAAAAGATTCAACATCAGATATCCACTGCAAAGGCAGAACTGATCTCCTTCATTCCCCTACTTGAATTATTGCCTTCACCTAAAGAAGACAGAAACATGAAGAGTTAATAGCAGGTAGCTTCTCTTTAAGAAAGCTGCTTGTAAGTGACTTGATAATTTCCCAGTGAAAATGACATTTATCTTGGAAAAACGGGGTCCAAACCCAGTGACATTTTAAAGTTTGTAATTGGGTTCAAATGTGCGCATGTACAAAACTATGCCACCACAGAAAAAGCTGTCTTCTAAGGGTGCCAAGGAAGCGATTGATTAAATTTGAGATCCATGCTTGACCTAGGCAATTTGCCTAGTCTTTTGTAGTCACAGTGTTCCCATTTACAAAATAAGGGCTATTTAATTTAACAAATGATTATTAGGCTTGAAATAAGTAATAGAGTAGAAAGTGCTGATAAACTCTTAAACATTATACAAATGACAGCTATTATGATCATATCAGCTCAAGACAGAACTAGAAGCTAAAAAATTCTTATGAAGATTAAGACCTACTACATTTATCAATCCAGTGAATGCTAAAATACCATCTTTTTATTGTAAACATTGCTCAGAAATTTCTATAATATTGTTCTTTTTATTGATTTACTGTAAAAGCATGATCATCCTTGTGTCCTTATATTATCTGAAAAATTAATAATTACTTGTTTATAATTATATAGTTGATCACAATACTGGTCAGTAATTATATAATATCTTCCTAAATTTTCTAAGCCTTACACAATTAAATATGCTTATTTCAAGACAGATTTGTAAAATATACTTCCTGCTGTGATACTGAAGCCCAGTAACACAAAGTAACTAACAGTGGAAAGTGAAGACTATTATATAATGATTTTGGTCACTATGAATTGGAAACAGAGATACCATGGGGTAGGGAAGAGAAAAGGGAAGATGGATGGTAAAGAAAGACTGCACATGTTTTAAAAGAAACCTTAGAAGAGGAGAACAAAGAAGGAGGAAAAAAAAAAAGCCCTGGGGTCTTGGAAACACATCCCTGAATATATTCAGCATTAAGGAGCTGAGATGTGCATGAGAGGCTGATGAATTCCAGCCAGAATGGTCCGTTTCACCCAATTATCCTTCTCCATGGCATTATCATAGCTGCAACTAAAATTAGAAACAATGCTATGATTCATTCCAATGTAGGCAGGTAAACAAATTTTACTTTAAACTTTTTTCTTTATAGAATTCCCAAGATATTTAGTATCTGTGGAATCTCAAGAATAGCAGCATATTTAAGAGTCTAAAGTTAAAAAGTATTTTAAAAAGTCTTCATTCTGATCTTGAACTTGTTTTTGAAGGGCAACAGAATTAACAAATTACAATAGGTGAATTTAAGAAAGGTTCATTTAGAATCTGAATATATATAAAAATTTCTCAATAGATAGGTTTTGGTCATGTGAAGGTATGTGTGACCACCCGGGACAAGAGATGAAAGTACGAGTCAAATATAAAAGGAGCAGAAATGTTTTACCATTTCACAAAAATATGTCTTCAACAATTACTCAGGATTAGCATGTTCTATTGAAATTGTACTGTACTTTACACTGGTTTCTTGTATTTCCAAATGTTTATTTTTGTGATTTAGTCTAGTGTTGACCAAATGAAGAAAAAAAAGTCTTAATAATCATGTCTAAAAAAATCTTAAATCTAAAGAAGACAAAACCAAATGTGATTATTTCATTAGTCCTTGAAACAATGTATTATTTTAGTATAGTTCATTCAGCTCCACAGATAATGCCCCTCACATACTAGACATTCAGTAATCGCAAGCTCTAAGAGAAAACTTTTTCTTGATAAAAATAAAGGCTACCCACAATCAAGTACTTGTAACACCTGCTTCTTTAGGACAATGGTACATGCTCATGAAGATTTTTTTATACAAAAATTACAATTTGAATTATTTTCTACCATAGGAAATATTCAAAAAGTCTTCCTGTTAGACATACAGTATATGGCAAAAGATAGGTGAGGGATCGTCTCTGGGAGGCAATGTAGGAATGACTGACAGAAGAATATAGATGACCTGACATTGTCCTTTCTTTCATTAAAAAAAAAATTAGTTTTTATTTTTCTCCTAAAATCATTCGTGTCGACATGTATAATCTGCCTCACCATGCAATCTGTTTCTGTGTGGTTTCCTTCTTAGAACTTTTTCAATCTCTTTGAAATCCAAGAGAAAATTACAATTGCAGTATATAAAGGAGAATGGCTTCAGGTGTAAAAAAAAAAAAATTGAATAAAACTTTCAAACTCTCTGAAACATAATAACCACATTTCCTCATTAAGTTTATGTCCTCTGTCTCACCTTCCCTCTTTCCCCATCCATACAAACACTACTCAGCCATGAAGATATTCTTATTTGCTGCCTCCCAGTGGAAAAGGCAAGTGAAGCTTTCTTTTTGAGGTCACAGAGGTGCTAAAAGCTAAACTCAGGCTCCAAACCCAAGATTTTAGCTCTAGAAACGGGGCCTTTAACCAGTATACAGAGCTTACTTTAAAAAAAAATGCAGATAAGGGCACTTTGCTTTTCTTTTTTAAACACATACTCTAAATGGTGGTTTAGAGTAGCTTTTTTGTATTAATAAATCATCTAAATGGTTCTGTTAATTAAAAATCTGAACGGCATTTGCTACCACTTAAATCTAACAAGTTTTATTTCTATCTAGTGAGGATTACAAAAGGTAAGCCTGTTTCAGAATTTTCATTTTATTTTCTTTTTAAATGGTAGACTAACATTTTTTCATTTTTCCCACCCCCAAGACCATGGCAAAATCTGGTAAGAGAGTGGATTTTATGTGTTCTTACACCATCTCTCCCTCCAACACACTGTAACTATGGGCAGTGATGGATGTATTAATCAATTTGACTATGGCAATCAATACACAGTGTCTACATATATCAAGTGACCATGTTTTATACCTTGAATATATACAATTTTTGTTTGTCAGTCCACTATTTTAAAATTAAAAAGTGGACTAAACTAAATAGAGATTTATGGTGAGTTTTTGTGCGTTTCTTGTTTGTTTCACAGGCGGTATTTAACTAATTTGGCCAAAATAAAAATATGTATTATAAAAATGTTAATAATACTACTGCTCTTACCACATAGTATTTATTTACTATTTTAAGCTTTTAAAATGTCTTTGATTTGTAGCAATCCCCAGAAGACACAGATGACCTCTTAGGAATGGATAAGGAGAGTGTCATCTTCATTTTATATGTAAGGGTATCAAGCTCCTAAAATTTTTGGTGAAATAATCAAGATCACATTCCTAGTTTTATGATGGGATCTACACTAGAATTTATATGTTCTTAATCCCAGTCTAGTGTTCATTCTGCTATATTATGTCACTCTGAATGCTTTCATAAAACTCAAAAGCAAAAGTAAAATGAGGTAAAATAAGCCCTGCATTATACCATACCAGTTCAAAGATGTCCCTTCAGTGATGATAATAACTGAGAAGAAACATAAATTCCAGAAATATTTCCCATATTAATCACATGCTAATTTTTAATACTGTAAATTAAATTACAAATAGTGTTACATAAACTCATAAAAATTAGACCCCTAGGAGTAGCTTACACTCTTGACAAAAATACCTTGCACTATCTTGTACCTTTGTGAAAAAAAAAAACCCTCAAAAATATGGGAACATTTGTACAGTAACAAATGCTTACTTATAAAATGTTCATAAATACAGAACACGCAGCTCAGAAAAGATAAATAAAAGAAATCTCTTTCCTGTAACAGTAAAGCCGATGAAGAAGCACACAGAAATTTAAAAGAGCAAACCTTCTTCAGAAAATGGCAGTAATATAAATAATGTATAAGTGCTTTTCACAGATGAATGAGAACAGGAAAAAAGAATTAAAACATACTCTATGGTGGGACACAGTTATTTCAGCACAAGAAAATTTGGGTTTAAATGAGACATAAGGTTGATTTATTTCATTCTTTCAAATAGACATTGTATTTTCATAAAGATTTGTAAAGACATGTTTAGGATTTATATACCAGAATGCCTATACATAATCAATGGAGCTAATTTGTATCATTTTAGATGGTTTGTTAGTACTTGTGTTTTAAGCATACATGTACATATTCTTTTACATTTAAATTTTATCCATTTATTGACTTCTTACTCTCATTCTTGGTCCCCTGCACTAATTTTTCCATTGGTGAAATGTGCTTATTTTTGTTTGCTTTTTTGTAACATGGTAATTGAGAAAATGGATTTTGAGTAAGAAAACATAACTTCCAGCCATATCTCTATTACTTATTAAGTCTGTGATCTTAAATAAATTATTTAACATCTCCAAATCTGAGTTTTTACCTCTTTAGAATGCCTATAATGAAACTCCCATGTCTCAGCTGTTGTAAATATTAAAATGCATACTACATATAAAAAGTACCATGCCTAGTACGTAGTGAGTGGTCAATACATGTTAGCTATCACTAGGAGTACTAACATTTACATACTGTTTGTTATCATTATTGTGATCTTAAAGTCATATTGTTCTTGTTAGGAATTTGTTGAGATAAATTTGTTCACGGCTCAAACCTTTGTTGAGTATCTATTCTATATCAGGCATGAATCTAGATATTTTCTATAGACAGTTAAACAAATGAAATAAATAAGAAAATGCTTAACACTAATAAGTGCTACAATGAAAATAAAGCATATGATATGACAGAGTACCCATGGAATTTCTTGATGTTGTGTAGTCTTAAATTTCTTTTTAATGGTGATATTTAAGCTAGACTTAACATTAAGAAGCCAGCTATATAAAGATATAGATATTGTGAACCAGGGGCAAGGGTAATAGGTAATCGAAAAGCTCCTTATTCTAGAATTATAACGATATCAGTAAAAATAATAGTAATAATTATAGCTAACATGTATTGAATAATTACTTTGTGACTGGTACCTTGAACTCATTTAGTCCTCACAACAAAAACTCTATGACATCGAGAGCATAATTTCATGGATAAAGAAATCAAAACCACAGAGGTTAAATATTTGCTGAAAATTACAGCAAATTTTGTTTTATGTTTTATGTAAAGAATTATGTTTTTACAGCTATGCTTTTAACCACTAAGTTATTCATTGTGCTGTCACTGATGATTTGGAGAATTGCGAAGGCCCATGTGGCAGGAGTGTACTGGGCTAGGAGAGAATGTTACACAATGAGATTAAAGAAGTAGGCAGGTACTTGCCAGGAAATTTATGATTAAAGTTAAAGCTCAATTGTAATAACACTCTTATCCTAGTTTTCTCTCTCCTCCTTGGTTAATGTTTTTCAAATTTTAATTTAATTGCCTTATCTTTTTCTTTTGATTTTTCATAATAATCTCATAAGCTTTTTCTAAGTACCAAGTTTTATAAATTTAAAAACTACTAAAGTAGATAAAAAAATTATTTGGTCATATTATCACAATGATGTTGCCTTATTATTTGTACCTTCAGGTAGTATGAAGCTGGCAATTGGGCTGATTTAGAGGGTCCAAGAAAAATTGTTTACATTTTTGTGTCTGGGCAGACATGGCAGGAAGGCTGAGCACAGCTGGGGCTGTCAACAGGAGTACCTTTATGTGATCTCTCCAGCAAGAGTTCTCAGGGTAATTGGACTTTTTACAAGATGGGCCACAGCTCTAAGCAATTGTTTGGTGAACAAGTCGAAAGCTGCCTGGCTTTCTATGACCTAGCCTTGGAAGTGTTCCACTATACTCCAGTGGTCAAAGCAGTCACAAGCCTGCCCAGATCCAAAGGGAAGAAGTAGACAGATTCCAACTTTTTTTTTAACCTTTTATTTTAGGTTTGGGATACATGTGAAGATTTGTTACATAGGCAAACTAGTGTCACAGGGGTATGGAGTACAGATTGTTTCATCGCCCATCTATTAAGCCAAGTACCTAATAGTGATCTCTTCTGGTCCTCTCCTTCCTCCCACCTCCATCCTGAAGTAGAACCCAGTGTCTGTTGCTTCCTTCTTTGTGTTCTCATCATTTAGCTCGCACTTGTAAGTGAGAACATGCAGTATTTGGTTTTCTGTTCCTGTGTTAGTTTGCTAAGGATGATAGCCTCCAGCTCCATCCATGTTTCCACAAAAGACATGGTCTCATTCTTGTTTTAAGGCGCATAGTATTCCATGGGTATATGTACCACATTTTCTTTATCCAATAAACCAAATTGATACGCATTTTGGTTTATTTCATGTCTTTGCTATCGTGAATAGTGCTTCAGAGAACATTCACATGCATGTGTCTTTATGGTAGAATGATTTATATTCCTCTGGGTATATACCCGGTAATGGGGTTGCTGGGTTGAATGAAATTTCTGCTTTTAACTCTTTGAAGAATCACCATACTGCTTTCCACAATAGTTGAACTAATTTACATTCCCACCAACAGTGTATAAGTGTTCCCTTTTCTCCACGACCTCACCAGTATCTGTAATTTTTTGACTTTTTAATAATAAGCCATTCTGACTGGTGTGAGATAGAATCTCATTGTGGTTTCATTTGCATTTATCTAATGATCAGTGATGTTGAGCTTCTTAAAATATGCTTGTTGGCCCCATGTATGTCTCCTTTTGAGAAGTGTCTGCTCATGTCCTTTGTCTACCTTTTAATGATGTTGTTTGCTTTTCTCTTGTAAATTTCTTTAAGTTCCTTATAGATGCTAGATAACAGAGCTTTGTTAGATGGATAGTTTGCAAAAATTCTCTCATTCTGTAGATTGTCTGTTTACTCTGTTGATAGTTCCTTGTGCTGTGCAGAAGCTCTTAAGTTAAATCAGATCCCACTTGTCAATTTTTGCTTTTATTGGGATTACTTTTGGTGTCTTTGTCATGAAATCTTTGCCCATTTTCATGTCCAGGATGGCATTGCCTCAGTTGTCTTCCAGGATTTTTTTAGCTTGGGATTTTAAATTAAAGCCTCTGATCCATCTTGAGTAGATTTTTGTATATGGTGTAAGGAAGGAGTCCAGCTTCTTAATAGATGGAGTGACAAAGAATATGTGGCCATGTTTCAAAACCACTGCAATGAGTTAATTTAAATTAAAATGAGATTTGAATAACTGTTCTCAGAATGTACTTAGAATCTTTGCAGTTAGTTGTCTGCAAGTATCAGCAGGCTAGCCAACCACCTCCATTCTCTGAATTCTCCCTCATAAACCATGGTAAAATTAAACACTTTGAAATTATTTTAAAATATAGCTCTCAGATCAATTTATAGCATGCCCTGAATATGCATCTAATCTTTCTGAATATGACATGAAATTATCAAGTGTTCCTTCAAACACAGAAGTCTGTGTCATCATCTTTGGCACAGTTTGAAGAATGTACCTGAAGTCTTCAACATCCATTGATTATTTGAAGATTCTATGTCTGTGTCAAGAAAATAGGCCATCTGCCATATATTGCCTGCTAGAACAATACTGTTCTTGCTCAGCAGCAAGAACATTCTCAGCTCCCAAAAATCTGGCCCAAAAGTCTTTGTATGGTGACATAAATCGTTCAATTCATGGGATTATCCCTTTGGTATTAAGACCAAAGGAGGCTTATTCTTTGCTAAATGTAAAAGAAATATATCAAATAATTTTCAGACACCAGAATATTCTGGAACACAAAGCAGGGGGAGTACAGCATGTATGTGAGGGGTCAAAATGAGGCTATTTTGGGCAGCCAATCAGTTGATATTGACTAAATAGAAGCGGTCATGGACTAGGAAACAAAAAAGTTTAAGGAACATAATAATCTTCTCAATATTAAGGAGAAGAAAAGAAAAAAAAACTAATAGAAAGTTAGTATTTACTACATATTCCTCACATGCCAACATTCATGATTAGTTTTCTACAGACATATGGTGTATTAGTCAGGGTTCTGTAGAGGGACAGAATTAATAGGAGATATATATATCTCCTATATATATATAATTGCTTCTATTTAGTCAATATATATATAAAGGGGAGTTTATTAAGTATTAACTCACACAATCAGAATGTCCCACAATAGGCTGTCTGTAAGCTGAGGAGCAAGGAGAGCCAGTCCAAGTCCCCAAACTGAAGAACCTGGAGTCTGATATTCGAGGGCAGGAAGCATCCAGCACAGGAGAAAGATGTAGGCTGTGAGGTTAGGCCAGTCTCATCTTTTCACATTTTTCTGCCTGATTTATATTCTAGCAGCACTGGCAGCTGATTAGATGGTGCCCACTCAGATTAAGGGTGGGCCTGCCTTTTCCAGCCCACTGACTCAAATGTTAATCTCCTTTGGCAATACCCTCACAGACACATCCAGGATCAATACTTGATATCCTTCAATCCAATCAAGTTGACACCTAGTGTTAACCATCACAAGTCTACCCCTTGTCAACATGAACCCACACACATCTCCTGAGATCATACATAATCTTCAGAGAAAGACAATAATAAGGTCATAATTATGCCTAACATAATACAAGTATTCTTTGTACAATCGGAAACTCAGCTATCCCCAATCCGAATACTATTTTATAAAGTTGACGATGCTTAAATGTTGATGTGAAGTCGATAAATGTTATGTCACATGATGAAGGAAAAAGGAAATAAAATGAAGATATTTTCTTAGTACAAGTGATTACATGCACATTTTATTAACAAAAGAAGGAGGAAATACTCATGACAGTTACAGTCCTCATTTCTGCAGCTGGTCACATGGTAGTAGCTGGTATTGATTACTACCTTCTTCTACTAACCATTCTGTATTCCCTTTGCCTTCAGCAAGTTCTTCAGCAGGTCATGGTCTTTTCCTGGTGGAGTGATTCAAACCTTCATTCCTGAAGGGTCTGGGCCATTTGGAGTCAGTCCTTCCTGGATTGGGCTGTTGTCATTTCCCATTGACCTTAATCACAGGGCATGGTAATACTAAGACATCCTAATTGATCTCCTGTATTCCATGCATAATCTTCCTTACCTCCATTGTGGAATAGTAGACCTATTTCATCTTGATAGACTGGTTCAAACACTCCAGCCAACACTGTAACTCCCTTCTTAGCCTGTTGACTTAAAGGTAGGAGGAGCCCAAAGTGTCTAGGTGACAATCTTAACCTCCAGTTTAATGGAATCATTGTTGTTTCTCCTGGTGGCAGCATTCCACCCTTTGGAACTAAGACCTCTAGGCCAGCAGAGCGTTAATGTCAAGGGAACGGGAAGCAAAAATTTTGCCTCTCACAAGCGGTAAGTCAGGAGTGTCAAATGCATTTATTTTGCATAGCTCTCTAAACAGTTCATACCAAGGACTATCAGTGTTCTGCATACTCCTGGAAGAGGAGTCCTTAGCATTTTGGGGTTTAAGCATATTAAACAGCCAACTCCAGAAACCCCAAAATCAACAAAAGAACTCCATCCTTAATATTCTGTTCCTCTAGAACCACTCCTGCTACCAAAATCTGTATTAGTCAGGGTTCTCTAGAGGGACAGAACTAATAGTATGGATGGATAGATAGATAGATAGATAGATAGATAGATAGATAGATAGATAGATAGATAGATAGATATAGATAGATAGATAGATAGATAGATATAGATAGATGATAGATAGATAGATAGACAGATTGATTATTAACTCACACAATCACAAGGTCCCACAATAGGCTGCCTGCAAGCTGAAGAGCAAGGAGAGCCAGTCCAAGTCGTAAAACTGAAGAACTTGGAGTCCCATGTTCAAGGGCAGGAAGCATCCAGCATGAGAGAAAGATGTAGGCTGGGAGGCTAAGCCAGTCTAGTCTTTCTACATTTTTCTGTCTGCTTTATATTCTAGTGGCACTGGCAGCTGATTAGATGGTGCCTATGCAGGTTAAGGGTGGATGTGCCTTCCCAGCCCACTGACTCAAATGTTAATCTCCTTTGGCAACACCCTCACAGACACACCCAGGAACAATATTTTGTATTTTTAATCTGATCAAGTTAACACTCAATATTAACCATCACATATGGTGACCTATTAGGTGACTTTCATCATGTGTTTTAATAGAAAGAAAGTATGGAATTGCAACCTAATTTCTTCAAGGACTTCAAATTCTAGGTGAAAGTACCAAAATTTTACCTCAGGGTTGTCTGCTTCCTTAAACACTCCACCTACTTTGAAAATCCTATGCCATTTCAAGTCTTAAAAAACTAGTATAATAAACAGTTTGGGCAAAATACTCTGGTAAAGAGCAGATTTTTCAGAAGGTAACAATTTAAATGTTCTTTAAAGGATGCTCAAGATTTTTCTAAGTAGGGAAAGAAGGGAGACATGTAGAAAGGAATTCTTGTAAGCAAACATCAGAGGTGTAAAGTTTGGTACCTTGCAGCATATGTTGTGTATCTAAATATAGCAATAAGAAATCAGTCTGAAAAAGGCACAGGACATTTTGGGAAGTTGTCATGGTTTGGAATAAAATAGAATAAGTTGAAGCCATAGTCATATGTCATCTTGAATGTTTGATACACAATCCATGTGAAGTTAAATTTTCCCCACCTAATTATTTATTCCTTGTTTCATTATCTCAATAAATACTCATTTGAATGCTTACTATATGCCAGAAAAAGAACTAGTTATTAAGAGTACATTTGTGAGCAAAATAGACACCATCTCTGCTGATACGGAGCTAAAAGCCTGATGGAAGAAATGAAATTTATTAAAATAATCACCAAATATATATTAAAGCAGTGTGATTTATTATATTAAATTATATATTAAATATATATTTTTATTTATTTATTATTTTATATATATTTTTATTTATTTATAAATATAAAAATATAAATATATATTTTTATTTATTTATTATTTTATATATAATATATATAATTATATTTATATATAATATATAAATATATATAAATATTATATATTTATAATTAAATATATAAAATATATAATAAAAATATATTTTATATATTTAATATATTAAATATATATTAAAGCAGTATTATTATTTTATTAATAAAAATAAAACATATGGATTTATAGGATCTAGCCTGGTGGGTTGAAGAAGACTTCCTTATGGAATTTACACTTTAGCTATAATCTGAAGACTAAATAGGAATTCATTAGAAGAAAGGGCAAAAGGAAAGGTAGGAAATGAAACAATTTTGGAGTC
The DNA here is from genome assembly GCF_000001405.40 of Homo sapiens. Lineage (NCBI taxonomy): Eukaryota > Metazoa > Chordata > Mammalia > Primates > Hominidae > Homo > Homo sapiens. The sequence goes on from NC_000011.10 coordinate 81,174,122, forward strand.
AGTGTGGGTGGAGTACAGAAAGTAAGGATAAAAAAAGACATGGAAAAGTTTTTGTAAAATTAGTGCCATGTGAACACATTCACATTTCTAAAACACCTACAGATGCATTGGAGATGACAAAAGTAGAGCACGGAGCACCAAGGAGAATCCAGCAGAAACTCTGGGAATAGATGATGCTTAATTAGAAAGATAGAGTAATGAAAAAATTAAATAGCAATAATAATTTCTACATTACTTATTCATTGTGAAGATAAAAGGAAGTTACTATACAAGTGAAAAGGAAAGCTTATGACACAAAGTATACTATATAAGAATAAAATGTATTAGAATAAAATACATTAGAATGCAAAGACTTGTTCACTCAGAAAGTTTTACATGCAATGAAGTCTGAGGCATATGTTGAAGGGAATTTGAAAGCAAAGACTCACATAGAGTAGACTGATGTACTTAGATCAGAGTGTTTTGGAAAGATATTAAGGAGGAGTGTCAATGGTGCCTAGAATAAAAGAAGTAAGGACAGCTCCTTGGAAATAAGTGGGAACTGTGCTAGGGCAGGGTCTGTGGGAATGAAGAGGAATGAATAAATAACAGGTGTTTTATACATAGACTCATCATAGCTTGGTGACTGAGTGTGGAAAGGCAGGAGGAGTGATAAATGGGTTCACTTCAGTTCAGCATGTTATGAATAGTGGGATTACTATCCTCAATACTATGCTGGATTTATTTGTTGACGTAAAGATAAATATTAGACATTCTAGATCCTTGAGTCCATAGTTCAGTAGGTGAGTGTTATAAATATCTTCAGCCCTTCCCTAAGCTTAAAAGTTGCTAAGAATTACACCCGCCAGACTCCTTTGCAGCTTGAGTTCCACATAAAAATTAGATTCTACCCCTGAGTGGCAGTAGCAGGAGATTTAGAAAGCAGAATTGCAACAGAAACTCTTGCTGCTGCTATTGGTTCTGGCAAGCAAGGTCCTGAAACAGGTTATTGGAAGTTCCTGGTGATGGCAGCCATTCTCTGATTTCTTGCATTGAGCTTCCAGTTCTCATGTGTGACAGGCAGTTGGGAAAGCAGCTGGTGGGGAATGCAGCAGCTTCTTGACAACCGAATCACAGCTAGTATGATGTATCCTTGAACTAAACAGTCCAGTGGTCATCCCCTGACTGCTGCTGCCCCAGCTCATCCAATCATTTGGTAAGTACCTTTTATTTCCTATATTAAATCTCTTTCTGTGTAAAATAACTAAATTATTTTTCTGTTTCTTGAATTAAAGCATGGCTTTCAGTGAGTCAGACACATAAATAGATCACTTATACAATATTCTAAGTGCTATAGCAGTCAAAAGCATAGGGACAAGACAAGCGGATTTTGCTTTTAACTGACCCATGGATTGTAGGACTGAGAACCACCAAAGAGTTTGTGAAGAGGCAGTCAGACGAACAGGGGTGGCAACAAGAAGAGCATAGTTATTGAGACTAAGAGAGGATATGATAGTAATTGTCCTTCCATCTAATATTACTCTGACCACCCCTGCCAAAACCACAGGCTTCTTTGGGCTTGTATTTTAGTAGATACAAAACCACAAGATTAAACTAAGTTTCCTCCCTGCTCTACTATTCCATAAATCTATGAGAACAATTTATTGTAGTTTTAAGAACACATTTTCAAACGTATCAGAATTTCATAAGATATTTTCTTTCCTAAGGAATAACATGAGTCTTGACTTGACTCTTACAAGGATAAATGTCAAATTAGTTGTATAATGGGAGGAAATCATTTAGCTACTTGGGAGTATTCAGGTTCTAATCAAATTAGGATAAAATTGATATGTCTTCTGTGTGAACAATGGTACACAGGTGTGAGAGAGCTATACCACTAGAAAATATAGAGTCAGATAACTAAGTTTTAACTTTTCATCACGACACAAGCTCCCTGTTCTCATCACCAATTTATTATTTAAACCTGAGAAAATGAGCATCTCAAATTCAGGAACAATTTATATCGTTATTATGAGACAAGAAGATTGAGAACAAAAAGATACTTTTATATTTTTCAGGCACCAGAATTTTAAAGAAATTTTGAAGAGCATCAACATGACACTTGTCATCATCTTCCACCTTCAACTATAAGTGATTCATGAGCAGAAATTATTATTCAATAGCAACTTCTAGAAGCGCTGAAAAACTAGCTTTTCAGTTCCAACTCTCATGTACTAAAAGTAATCATATAACCCAAAGGAATATTTTTCTATTAAAAAAAAGTACCTCTAAAATTGCCACTGGTGCTGTTGACCCTTCAATACTGGGTTTTTAAAAATTCTTCACTGTCCTCTGGTCTGCATGCACCAGAATCTCTGAAACAAACCTCAAACAAGCTTAGCTTTTTAGTGAGATAAGAGAAAGATTGTTCTACTTCCTGCAGTAAGTTTCTTTGAATCAGTGACTTTCTGATTTAGTAGCGTGGCAGGGCAACATGTGTGATTTGTTAGTGTTTTCTTCTAAGCAGTGGTCCCCAATCTTAATGGCACAAGGGGCTGATTTCGTGGAAGACAATTTTTCCATGGACAGGGCTGGGGCGGGGTGGTTGCTTGTGAGATGAAACTATTCCACCTCAGATCATCAAGCATCCATTAGATTCTCATAAGGAGTGGGCAACCTAGATCTCTTGCATGCACAGTTCACAATAGGGTTCAAGCTCCTATGAGACTCTAAAGCCGCTGCTGATCTGACAGGAGGTGGAGCTCAGGAGGTAATGCTCATTGGAGGCTCCTCACCTCCTGCTGTGTGGCCCTGGTTCCTAAGAGGCCACGGACCAGTACTGGTCTGTAGCCTGGGGGTTGGGGACCCTGTAAGGAACAGGAAAGTTGTCACATTCTGTTTAGATCAGAGTGACATTCCCTAGATCTGAAATCCTTCCCACACCCTGTCTACTCTATGTTTTGTTGTTGTTGTTGAGATATTGTACTGTACTATTCTCTAATAGCAGGAGAAGGAGAGAGAGCTACTTAAGAGCAGGGGCAGTGTATTTCTCAGTCTCTCTGAAACCTAGCATAATGTTTGGCAATTGAACAAAATTCAGTAAGTTTGGACTAAATCAACTTGAAATACATATAAGTGCAAAGTTAAAAGAATTTGACAAATTTAAGAAGTATAATAAACCTAAAGAAAAGAGATAAAGTCTTACCAAAGAATTTTACATAAAGAATGAGTGAAAAACTAATTAAGTCTTAGAAAAATGATGCAATTTTAAAAGAATCCTTGATTAGATGTGTAAGAAACTGAGATTATTCTGAATAATAGAATATAACTAATTAAGATTATTACCTGGTTTATAACAACTCTGATTAAAAAAAAGTAAATGTGAAAAAAATCTAAATGTTTTAGTACAATACACTTATACATAAGGGCATATAAATTTTTGTAAACCTCAAATCAAAGCCTTAGTTCTAAAGATAATAATTAACTTTCTGTGTCAACTTGGCTAGATTATAGTGAGCAGTTGTTAGGTCAAAGGCAAGTCAAGATGTTGCTTCGAAAGTATCTGTTAAGTATCTGATAAGCAATTGAATGTAAGTAAAGCTGATTACCTTCCATTATGTAGGTGGGCCTCATGCAGTAAGTTGAAGGTTGTAAGAGCAAAGATAGAAGGCCTTCCCAAAGAATGAGGACTTCTGCCTGAGGATAGCAAATACCAATTCTGCATGGGTTTCCTGGCTTCAGACTCAAGAATGCAATATCAACTCTTACTGGAATTTCTATCCTACCAGCTTGCCCTGCAAATTTCAGACTTGCCAGCCCTTGCAATTGTGTGAGTCAATTCCTTAAAATCTCTTTCTCTCACTCTCTGTCTCTCTGTCGATTGATACTATCATCTGTATGACTTAACTATCATTAGTTCAGTTTCTCTGGAGACCCCTCACTAATATAGGGGATAATACGGAACAGGAGCAGAGACACTTAAGGACAGTGAGGTCCCAAGCAGCCTATACACCTAAAAGTCCATCAATTTCAGCTGGTGATAACTGAAGTTTGCCATTAACAAGTTTTAGGTAACTTCTGAAATAGTCCTTCTTTTGTTGCTCTTTTTTAAAATTGGAGACTATTCTTTTGAACAGCATTAGGTTCAAAGCAAAATTGAGAGGAAGGTACAGAGATTTCCCATATACTCCATACCTTACACATGCATAGCAACATCCCCTACCAGAGTGGTACATCTGTTAACAATTAGTCAACCTGCATCAACACATCATAATCACCCAAATCCATAGTTTACATTAGGCTTCATATTTGGTGTTGTACATTCTATGGGTTCAGGACAATGGATAATATGTGTCTGCTGTTATAGTATCTATATAAAGTATTTCACTACCCTAAAATTCTTCTGTGCTCTGCCTTATTCATCCTTCCTCCACCATTCCAAACCTCTTCTAACCACTGATCTTTCATTGTCTTCATAATTTTGACTTTTCCAGAGTTCATATTGCTGGAATCATACAGCCTTTTCAGATTGGCTTCTTTTAGTTAGTAATATGCATTCAAAATTTCTCCATGTCTTTTCATGGCTTGATAGCTTGTATCTCTTTATCACTGAATAATACTCTATTGTCTGGATGTAACACATAAAGCAGGGGTCCTCGATGCCTGGGCTGTGGACCAGTATTTGGTCTGTGGCCTCTAAGGAACCGGGCTGCACAGCAAGAGGTGAGCCACAGGTGAACGGGCATTACTACCTGAGCTCCACTTCCTGTCAGATCAGTGGTGGCCTTAGATTCTCATAGGAGTGCAAACCCTGTTGTGAACTCTGCAAGTGAGGGATCTAGGTTGTGCTCTCCTTATGAGAATCGAACTGATGATTGATGACCTGAGGTTGAACAGTTTCATCCCCAAACCATCCACCCTACCCAACCCTATCCATAGAAAAACTATCTTCCATGAAACCAGTCCCTGATGCTGGAAAGGTTGGGGACTGCTGACATACGGTTTATGTATCCATTCACCTACTGAAGGACTTCTTGTATCCAAGACCTGGCAATTATGAATACAGCTGTTATAAACATCCATGTACACATTTTTTGTGTGAAGGTACCACTTATTTATTTTTGGGTAAATACCAAGAAGCATGACTGCTGTATCTTACGGTATGAGAGTGTTTCCTTTTATAAGAAACCACCAAACTGTATTCCAAAGTGGCTGTATCATTATGCATTCCCAAAGCAATGAATGAGTTTCTTCTGCTGCACATCCTCTCCATCATTTGGTGTTGTCATTGTTCTGGATTTTGGGCATTCTGAGGTATGTAGTAATATCTCATTTTTGTTTTAATTTGCATTGCCCTAATGACATATGATGTGGAACATCTTTTTCTATGCTTATTTGCTATTTGTATATCTTCTTTACTGAGGTGGCTGTTAAGGTTTTTTTGGCTTATTTTTTCATTAGGCTGTTTATTTTCTTACTGTGGAGGTTTAAAGAGTTCTATGTATATTTTTGAGAACAGTCTTTTACCAGATGTAACATTTTTACAAATATTTTCTTCCAGTCTGTGATGCCTGTTCTTATTCTCTTAACATTGTTTTTAACAGAGCAGAAGTTTTTAATTTTCACAAAGTCTGGCTTATCAGTTCTATCTTTCAAGAATCATGTTTTGTGTGTGTGTTATATCTAAAAAGGCATTGCCATACTGTCAGAGGTGTTTGAACCAGAGTGACTCCATCTTGAATGGGGAGTGGGTAAAATAAGGCTGAGACCTACTGTGCTGCATTCCCAGGAGTTTAGGCATTCTAGGTCACAGGATGAGACAGGAAGTTGGCACAAGACACTGGTCACAAAGACCCTGTTGGTAAAACAGGATGCAGTAAAGAAGCCAGCCAACACCCTCCAAAACTAAGATGGTGACAAAAGTGACCTCTGGTCATTCTCACTGCTCATTATATACTAATTATAATGCATTTGCACGCTAAAAGACACTCCCACCAATGCCATGATAGTTTACAATGCCATGGCAATGTCAGGAAGTTATCCTACATGGTCTGAAAAGGGGAAGAACCCTCACTTCTGGGAATTGCCCACCCCTTTCCCAGCAAACTAATCCTTCTACCTCTTGTTTAGCATGTGATCAAGAAATAACTATAAGTATAGGCAGTTGATTAGCCCATGCTGCTACTCTGCCTATGGAGAAGCCATTTTTATATATCCTTGCTTTCTTAATAAACTTGCTTTCACTTTACTCTACGGACTCACACCGAATTCTTTCTTGCATGAGGTCAAGAACCCTCTCTCAGGGTCTGGATGGGACTCCTTTCTGGTAACAATACCTAAGACCATCTATGTTTACTTCTATATTATCACCCATATTTATAGTTTGTGTTTTACAGTTAGGTCTATTATCCATTTTGAGTTAATTTTTAAAAAATGTATAAGGTCTATGTCTAGATTCATTTTTTTGTTGTTGCATGCGGATGTCCAGTTTTTCCAGCATTTTTGTTGAAAGGAACACCTTTGCTCCATTGTATTGCCTTTGCTCCTTTGTGGAAAGATCATTTGAATATACATGTCTATTTCTGGGCTTGCTATACTATTCCATTGATATAATTGTCTATTCTTTCACCAAAACCACACTGTCTTGATTACTGTAGATATACTGTAAGTCTTGAAGTTGGGTATTGTCAGTCCTCCAACTTTGCTTTTCTCCTTCAATTTTGTATTAACTATTCTGGGTCTTTTTCCTCTCCCTATAAACTTTGAAATCGGTTTATTGATATCTAGAAAATAACTTTCTAGGATTTTGATTGGAATTGCATTGAACCTATAGATCAAGTTTGGAAGAAATGACATCTGGACAATATTGAGCCTTCCTAACCATGAACATAGAACATCTCTATATATTTAGTAACTTTTAAAAATGAGATTCAGATATGAACCGCTTGTTATTTTTTTTAAGAGGCAAGATCTCATTATGTTGCCCAGGCTGGTCTCAGACTCCTGTGACCCTTCCATCTCAGCATCCCAAGTAACTGGGATTACAAGCACACACCGCTGCACCCAAAGTAGTCATTTTTGAATCAGCCTTGCATACATGGAGGGACCAATCTCATCAAGTCATGGTGTATATAATTATTTTATAAGTTGTTATATTTCCTATTAATATTTTGTTGAGAATTTTTGCATCTATGTTCATGAGAGATATTAGTGTGTAGTTTTCTTTTCTTATAATGTCTGTTTCTAGGGTAATGCTCACCTCATAGAGTAAGTTATGAAGTATTTTTTTCTCTGTCCTCTGAAAGAGATTGTGGAGAATTGGTATAGATTCTTTCTTACATGTTTGGTGGAATTAACCAGTGAACCCGTCTGGGCCTAATGCTTTCTGTTTTTGAAGGATATTAATTATTGATTCCATTTCTTTATACATATATGCCTATTGAGATTGTATATTTCTTCTTTTGCAAATTTTGGCAGATCATATTTTTAAGGAACTGATCTGTTTCATCTAGGTTATTAATTTTGTGGGAATAGAGTTGTTCATACCACTCCATTGTTATCTTTTTAATGTTATGAGATCTGTAGTGATATCCTCCATTGTAATTCTGATATTAGTAATTCACATTCTGTCTCTTTTTTTCCTATTCTTGCTAGAAGCTTGTCAATTTTATTGATCTTTTCAAGGAGGTAGCTTTTGGTTTTGTTGATTTTCTCTATTGATTTTCTGTTTTCAAATGTATTGATTTCTGCTCTTTTATTATTTATTTTCCTCCACTTACTTTGTATTCAATTTATTCTTCTTTTATTCATTTCTTAAGGGCAGAAACTTAGATTACTGATTTTAAATTTTTGTTCTTCTCTAATACATGCATTTTAAATGGTTCCTTTTCTTCTTACTCCCCTAGAAATGACACAAAGTGAGCACATGCTGTTGGAAAAATGGTGCCAAAAGATTTGCCTGACAGAGTTACCACAAACCTTTAACTTTAAAAAAAATGTGATAAAGCAAAGCACAATAAAATGATATATGCCTATACCTCATGGTTGCAAGTAAAATCTACCCACAGTGTAATTCCTACTTCACTTCCTGGTAGAAATACTTATACTTTCTTCTATCGGCCCACGTCTTTATAAAAGTATTCCATCTTCACAACAGCAATTGTCAAAAAATATGATGATTGGCTTCTATATGTATTCCCTATTAGACTTTGTCCTCCATGAAGATAGAATCTCTATAGTTTCTTAGTTGTATTTAAAGCGCATGTCCCAGTGCATTACCTATCAATGGCACTTATTGAGTTTTTGTTAAATGAGTGATGATACAGATTTAAAGAGGTTTTGCTAGTAATTGGCTACAGTGTAATTCAGAGAATTCCTTTTTAGTTGTTTATTCAGAAGCCAAGACCATTTCCTTTATTTTCATTTTGTAATATGGACTCTGAAAACCTAACGAGTTTACTTTTCAATAGCTGAATCACATCAATTTGGTGGACTTATAATGGGTTTGTTTTATTCATCGCCGTGTTTTATTCACCATTTTTAGTTGTAAATTCTTTTCATGGGGTTTCAATGGCTTAATGATAACCAGAAATGACTCATGCAGTTAAAAAATTCACTTCATTAGTGCAGAGTGTGCTAATTTGCATCACAAAACAATTCATTTAAATACAGAAAGCTTTTCTGCATATCTCTTTTTCATGTCTAGTATAATTTCACCTTTATTAATGCAAAGTCTCAAGGTATCCATCTTAACTGGCTTGTTCTCCAGCTATCAGGGATGGTGAAGACCTATTCTCTCCGATGCTTTTAGTGACAATAGTCCAATGATGTAAAGTAAAACTCTGTGCTAATTAAGTGTACAGCATTTATTTTTGCATGAAATAAAAGTTTTGCATGAATGGCCCCTGATTTATAGTGGCAGGACCATGGGAGGGACCTGAATTCAAATTCTATTTGATTTGAGTTAATTGCTCTTTATTTTATAAATTCACATAGCTTATACCAATAATTTCTCAATCTCTCTTTCTCTCATTCCTCTTCCCCTCTCTCCCGCTCCTTTTCCTTTTACCCCTTCTCAGGTTATTCAAGGTTTTCAAAAACAAAGATGTTGTAAAGATATATGCAATAACTATTACTAAAGCATAATATTATAACATTATTTAAAAAGCATGTGCTTTGAAGTCTGCAGACCTAGAATACAGTTCTTCTCTATCACGTATAATCTATGTATTTTAAATTTACTTCTTATTAAGTGGTTGTGAGCATAAAATGAGATGGTGAATACTGCTGTTGACTGAATGCTTATTTCTCCCAAATTCAATGTGAAAATCCTAACCCCAGTATTAGAAGGTAAGGCCTATGGAAGGTAATTAGGTCATAAAGGAGGAGCCCTCATGCATCGTGTATTAGTTCATTCTCATGCTGTTAATAAAGACATACACAAGACTGGGTAATTTATAAAGGAAAGAGGTTTAATTGACTCACAGTTCTGCATGGCTGGGGAGGCCTCAGGAACAATCATGGTGGAAGGCATCTCTTCACAGGGCGGCAGGAGAGAGAATCAGAAGTGCAAGCATGGGAAATGCCAGACACTTATAAAACCATTAGATCTTGTGAAATTCACTCATTATCATGAGAACAGCATAGGAGAAACCACCCCCATGATTCAATTACCTTCACCTGGTCTTACCCTTGACACATGGGGATTATGAGGATTACAATTCAAGGTGAGATTTGGAGGGGACACAAAGGCAAACCATATCAAATGGGATTAGTGTGCATATAAAAAAGACAGAACTTATTCTCTCTCTCTGCTTTCTGCCATGTGAGAATACAATGGGAAGATGCAATGGCCATATGCAAACCAGGATATGTGCCCTCACTGAACAATGGTGCTAGCACCTTGATCTGGGAATTCTCAGCCTTGAGAACTGTGAAAAATAAATTCCTTTTGTTTATAAGCTACTCAGTCTATGGTATTTGTGTTATAGCAGCCCACCCAGATTAAGATGCCTTGTAAAGTGAGGTTCATGTGAAAATTCCGAAGCAATTTCTATACCACAAGTCTTTATTTTGGATGTACTCTTACTCTTCAGAATTAACTGACATTTTTCTGATATATAATCATCTTCTCACTCTGAACAGAAAATTATCCGCTACAATCACGTACATTTTGATTGATATTCATTCATAGTAAACTTAGCTTCTCTGTGTTCTGAGTGAATCTGGAAAAGACATTGGATAGAATCAAAGCTATTGTAGATAACTGCAAGAGGGATGCAATCCAGGGGATGCAGCTAACATTCCATTTACATGTGGCATGCTCTGTGATGAATGCTGTCTGGGGATGGTCTCTAAGTTTCATAGCTGCTATGAAGGCTAGCATTACAATATATAATTTATATATGAGAAAATTAAGTGTCAAAGAAATAAGTTATCTGATCAAAGACATGGAATTAGAAAAAGCAATAAAATCCATATTTTTCATGTGTTTCTAAAGGCAACATGTTTTCTAATGAGTCATATTTGCCTGTCATATCTAACAGATGATTACGATATGTTGAAGAGAGAATCTGATCATTTTAGGAAAAATGAAGTCTGCATATTGGACTTGAACACCCATTGTTTAAAGCTTCCAGAAAAATGTTCAAACATTGGTTTTACGTGTGGGTCTTCTCTCCCTCACTTTTTAACATTTATTCGGTCCCTCTGTGGAGCCCTGAGAAAAAGCTAAAGATGGAAGCCCACATACCATATTTCTAAATATTTAAAAATTATAAATCAACCTATGACATGGCTAAAGGTATTCTTTTTAACCTTAAATGCCAAATGAATATAGAACTATTGCACTTTTTGGAATTCTGAGCTGAATGTATTATTGAGAGGAGGGCCTGCTCCTAATCCTCAATCTCCAGTCTCAAATTTGCAACATCGCCCCTTCCCTCTTACCACTGACTCATCTCAAACTAAGAAGGGCTCTGGAGAATCCCTTCTCACACATAAAAGCTCCATCCATATTTCCATAGAAAACTATCCTGTGTTTGCTTGTGCCTGGGATGTGTACGGTGCTGCTACACCTTCAGGGGCAGACCACAGAGAAAATCTCAAAGACAATTATAGCGTGGATTCTGGAGTCCCAAGTACCCAGAGGATACCCCTCTAAAAGGCATTCATGAGTTCCACATAGGCATATCTCTTTGACCCCATGGGATTGTCACATAAAGAGATGTGTGTTGGGAAGAAGGCTAGGTGCCCAGGTCAGGAGCTCCTCGTATCCATCCAAGACTTAAGTTGGTTCTTTGTTTTGACCTAAAATACCAAGCATCCAGCACCAGTTCTAATCATAGTCTCAGCATTCCATGTGTCACCATCTCTGTTGGAAGTTCTGTCACCTGTTGTAACTTGAAAATCGTTCTGCTTTTTGTCCTTCTTCCCTTTTTGCCTCCCCTCGTTGCTCTCCATTCTTTTCTTTATTTCTCTGTCTCTGTCTCTCTCTTCCTCTTCTCCTCCTACCCCTTTTAGTCTCTCCTTCATTTCCTCTCTGTTTTAGCCTCTGGAATCAGACAGTCTAAGTTCACATACTGGTTCCTCACTTGGTTTGGATTATTCAAATGATCTTGGATTAACATTTGGTGTCTATGTATTACAAATTCCTTATCTCTAAGCCTTAATAATAAGAGCTCCAATCTTATTTGGCTGTGGTGAGGATTACAGAAGTTAATGTGTGTGAAATGCTTAGTTCAGTGCATTTTAGTAGCTCAATGAATGTTCGCTTCCTTTTCTTCCCTCCTTCCTTCCATCTCTGCCTCTTAACCTCCTTCCTTTCACTTTTTCTTGATTTTTTTCTCCCCTGTTTGCTACTTTTGTTATTTTTTCTCTTTGTTTCTTATTTCATCATTGACTAATCTGTGACTGCTACAGTTCTGAGAATAACAGCAATTCTCACCTGAGGATGCTTTTTATCAACAGAGGACATTTAGCAATGTATGGAAACAGTTTTGCTTGTCACAATTAAAAACATGATAATGGCATATGGTGGGCAGAATTAGGGATATTGCTAAACATCTTTGCTGCCTAGGCTAGAACCCCCACAATGAAGAATTATCCATCCCCAAATAACAATGGTGCTGAGTTTGAGACTCCTGTTCTAGAAGTTCAGACATAAATTAAGTATCATCCTGAGAGTCTCCAGGGATCACAGGAGGGGCAGACTAAAAGCCAATCTTAAATAGTGGGTACAGGGTACTGTATAAGTAAAATGGAGATGCCAATTAATTAATTCTACCTTAAGAGAATACAGAAAGCATATAAAAAACAATATTTTAGATGAATCTTAAAGAATACTAAAAATATAACAGAAGTTTCCACTGAATGAGTGCTTTTAAGGTACCAGTCATTGGGCTAAACCCTTTCAATATATTATGAGAGAATATGTTGTTTATGAGCTTTGTGGGAGGAGGATCAAGATCTATAACCTCAACATCTATAACAATGCAAGGTACCTTTTAAGCCCTCAATAACTACATACTGGATAAACAGATGAATAGAAATATCTTAGTTCTGTGTTTAGAAAGTAATAAATATTAAATAGTATTCATTGTTAATATGTCTTTTAGCACTAATATATTATCAGGGGAACCCACCCCCAATATTTCAGTGTAGGTTCTTTCTATTTTCCCTGTGTCGGCCGGCTGAGAAATAAAGAGAAAGAGTACAAAGAGAGGAATTTTACAGCTGGGCCTCCGGGGGTGACTTCACAAATCGGTAGGACTGTGATGCCCACCCGAGCCACAAAACCAGCAGGTTTTTATTAATGACTTCAAAAGGGGAGGGGGCGCAAGAACAAGGAGTAGGTAGGTCACAAAGATCACATGCTTCTGAGGCCAATAAAGATCACAAGACCAAGGGCAAAGCAAAGATCACAAGTCAAAGGGTGAAATCAAAAACTCCTGATGAGGGTCTATGTTCAGCTGTGCACGTATTGTCTTGATAAACATCTTAAACAACAGAAAACGGGGTTTGAGAGCAGAGAACTGGTCTGACCTCAAATTTACCAGAGCGGGATTTTTTCCCCACCCTAATAAGCCTGAGGGTACTGCAGGCGACAAGGGCATATTTCAGTCCTTATCTCAACCACGTAAGACAGACACTCCCAGGGCGGCCGTTTACAGACCTCCCCCTAGGAATGTAATTCTTTTCCTAGGGTCTTAACATTATATTCCTTGCTAGGAAAAGAATTTAGTGATATCTCTGCTACTTGCACATCCATTTACAGGCTCTCTGCAAGAAGAAAAATATGGCTCTTTTTGCCTGACCCTGCAGGCAGTCAGATCTTATGGTTGTCTTCCCTTGTTCCCTAAAATCACTGTTTTTCTGTTCTTTTTCAAGGTGCACTGATTTCATATTGTTCAAACACACATGTTTTACAGTCAGATTTCATATTGTTCAAACACACATTTTGCAATCAATTTGTACAGTTAACGCAATCATAGGGTCCTGAGGTGACATACATCCTCAGCTTATGAAGATAACAGGAATAAGAGATTAAAGTAAGACACGTGTAAGAAATTATAAAAGTATTAATTTTGGGAACTGATAAATGTACATATTAAAATGAAATCTTCACAATTTATGTTCAGAGATTTCAGTAAAGACAGATGTAAGAAATTATAAAAGTATTAATTTTGGGAACTGATATACGTCCATGAAATCTTCACAATTTATGTTCCTCTGCCGCAGCTCCAGCCAGTCTCTCCATTCAGGATCCCTGACATCTCACAACAATATATGTTATATTAATTTTACTGGGCCATATACTCATAAGTTTTAAAACAAAGTGGTTTTGATTTCAAAGTTCAAGTTGCTAACAGTTAAGACTCAGAAATTTTATAAGAAAACAAGCTAGGAACAGGTAAAGGATAAAGTATTACAAATGAAAAAAACACACAACATAGGGCAAGTCATGAAGATAATAAGGGCTGTTGTGGGGTAGTCATGATTAGACTGCACCAGGACAGCATACATCAAAGGGCAGAACAATAACAATGCATCTGGAAAGGCAGGCTTCCATCCACTCACAGAGACCCTTATATACACTGCTAAGGTGTGCCTGGAATCAGGCTGTGGGAGGATTTACAGATGTGTTTCTTCTGCAGTTATTCCTTCTGTCTGTAGACATGGAATAAGAAACATCTTTGTCTCTGCTCAAGGCACATTGAGCAAGTAGTAAAAGAAAGGCAAGTGGGAAAAGAGGAAAAAAGGAAAATAAATGAGTTTAGATAGGACTTGCACGATAGATGTCCTGAGGGACAGGGAAAAGTAACCCTGTGTAAAAAAGCAAACTAAACTAACCAAACAGAAACAATGCACCCAAGAGCCTGACTATATAAAATACCAAAATATGTGATGCAAATATCATTGTCTAGTATCTTTCTTGTAACCAGTAATTCAGTATTAAGATTTTTCTACATTTTCTGTCATTATCACCCTTTGTGCTAACAGTGTTTTTCATGACACAGGTGCTACAGGTGCAGACGTTTTGGCACCAAATAGTTAAGATGGTTGCCAGAAAGTCTTGCTACACAGCAAGCCTCCTAAGCTCAATCAGAGTCTAATCTTGACTTTTGACACTTAGCAAGTCTCCTTTTTTGTGAAACTCTTCAACTCCTCTTCACAGATGAAACCCTGAAATACATAATTTCGGCTTCACTGAATAGAGCCAATGACCAGAGGATACCAGTCAAGTCCATTTCTGATTTCTCTGTCTCAATTCTAATTAATCCTCAAGGACAACCTAGAATATTAAGAGGTTTCATGTGTTATGTAGTTACCGTGTAACAGGAACTTCATAAGTGATTTAAATATATCTCATGTAATCTTCTCCACAACTCTATGACTAAGAATTCTTCATTTTTTCTAATGAAAAAACTAAGTCTTAGAAATTCATTAATAACTAAGATTTATTGAATAGAAAATATGTGGCTACAGGCATTTTGATTTTTTTAATGTATTATTTTATTGTATTCTATACCTTTTCTGTATACTCATCTTAACTATCTTCTGACATATCTCTACTGAAGTCTTGCACAAAACAATTTACCTTCTACCTCCATTCTCCCAGGTTCTGAGCACCTTGTTCGTGCTCATGGAACCGTTATGAATAAACATTAGGAGTCAAGAAGGAACACATAAGAAAAGGAAGGAATTGGTTGGTAAGAAAGGATAGAAAGAAGAAGGTAATTAAGTTTATAACAATTTAGTGGAAAAGAAAAATAGGTAAAATAATATGGGAAGCTCAATGTGGTCAGCTTTACTATAGAAGTAAGCACAAAATAAATAATACAGCAAAAGTAAAAGGCATTTACATCAGTCTGGGGATTCATGGAACACTTCCATGAAGATGCTTTGCCTTGGCTAAGTCTTACTATGTGAACAGTAGTTGCCTAGACAACAAAGAGGGAAGAGGTCATGGTCCACATGTTTGAATACAGTAGTAAAAATTCGAAGGTATTCATTAAATCTGAGAGCATTCCAACAACCATGCCTGTTGTTCAAGTGAAGACACCATTTCTACAGACCTCGGACTCACTTCTTAATCCTAGTAAACTAATGAGTAGGACTCAGTTATGAGGCACATTCAGGAGGGGATTTAGGTGAAGATACACAAAGAAAAAAGCCCATAAATTAAGGATGGGGCTTCAGCCAGATATGAACACTTTAGCACTTGGCCCTTTATTTTTTCAGCATCTCAGATTACAGCCTGAAATGCTGAGTATTAACTACAGCATGGTTCCTACTAAAAATCTCCTAGTTGGCTTGTGGTTTC
Organism: Homo sapiens; assembly: GCF_000001405.40. Taxonomy (NCBI): domain Eukaryota; kingdom Metazoa; phylum Chordata; class Mammalia; order Primates; family Hominidae; genus Homo; species Homo sapiens. The sequence continues at coordinate 81,189,924 of NC_000011.10, forward strand.
AATCCTGGTGGAACAGGCTGCCTTATGAAGACACTTCTTAGAATCATCAAAAAATGCACAGAAAACTGGTTATTATCAACGGCCTAACATTGAAAAGTGTATTGAAGTTATTTATAAACAGATGTTAATTCTTCAGCAAAACAATAAAGACCTTGAGGTTTGGGCCCAAATTTACACATCTCTTTCCCCCATGTTGCAACATTTGGTGTCATGTCCCTAGTAAAGTCTTCGAGAATAAATGCTTCCTTAATTAATTAAACATGAAGAGGTTGATTCTTCTCTCTCCAAACCACAGTTTTCTAAAAGGGTATAATATGCTTTTTGCTCACTTACTACAAAGGTTGTATAAGACATTTTAGCCAAAAAATAAATAAATAAAACTAGCATAAAAATTGCTTAAGGAAAAAAGATATAAAGCCATTACTCAAGGAGTCACAACAATGGTAGTAAAGGCTAAATATTGGTGGAATATGTTAATCACGGAAATGGGTACAGACAGACCAAGGATTAGAACAAAAAAACAGAAGAGCTGAGGGAGCAAAAAGAAGAAACAAAGAAAGCCAGCTTGTTAGAGTCAGTGAAAGATTATAGTACTACTGAACATTGAAATATTTACTATGGGATTCATGACCTTTCCCCCATGCTATAGACATATTTTATGCTTAGGACAAAATAAGAGACCACAGTGATACAGGAGCCTTAAGAAAAATGCAATGGATCAAAATTTAAGTTAGCACTTCAGCAAACATTTATTATGTATCTACTCTGGACTGAGAACTGTGTTAGGCTGTAAAAATACAAAGATGAATGGGACAGAGACAAAGAAGCTCATAGCTTACTGGGGTGAAATGACATGCACTATAGCTTTTTGTTAACAGTGTGATAAGTGCAATAATAGAAGTATATGTGCAGTGCTTTAGAAACAATGAGCAAAGAACAGTTTAATCTATCTGGGGGAGTCTAGGGAACAAAAGGTTAGAAAAGCAATGGCATTTGCACTTTGTCTTGAAGGTTGAGAAAATGTTTTCCCAGTGGACAATGGGGATTGAGGGGAATATTTTCTAGGCAAAGTCTAGACCATATGCAAAAGCGATGAAGCATACACGTTTGGTGTGTTGGAAAAGGCTGTTAATAAAAGTAGCAGAATATGGCTGAAGCATTTGCTACTTACAGTTTAAGAAGGAAAAGTAAGTAAGCAATAGCTGGGTTATAAAGGCTCTAAGTAACGTGTAAAGGAATGTGGACTTATATTTTTTCTCTAGTCAAAATATTAGAAGCTTTAAATTGAGAAGATGTGATCAGAGTATGCTTTAGAAAAAAATACTATAGTGCTTTGGTAAAAATAAACTATGCTTGGTGAGGTCTTAAGGAGATGGAGGCAGGGAGGTCTCTTAGGTAATCTTTTTTAGTAAATTCAAACCAAGAAAAAAGGGAAACGAATGAAGATCTCCGCAGAGCCATTTATGACACTGGCTACTGCCCTTTTAAGAAAACTCTAGGTATTTAGTTTTGTAGATATTTGTAGATAACACTATGTAAATGCACTTGTGGCCACCACTATATAAAATGCGTGTAATTTGAATGTTTTATAAAATGGTTTTGCTTTCATCTCATTATTCCTACCCAGCATATAAATATCTAATAGATAGCTGTTGTGTAAATAAATGCAAGTGTCCATATGAAACTATGCCCAAAGATTTTGCTCTGCGAGCACGAATACTAGACAATATGAAGAGACCATTTACATTAGAGACACCTATGTTTGGTGGACACACTGAGCATGTGAAATGCCAGCAATAGCTGAGGTGCCTGATTTTTGTCAATAGCAATACCTTTTGAGTAGAAAAACTAAGTATCACATATTATAAAGACTAGGTGAATGGAGTGCTAAGCATTATTTTTAAAAATGTATCAACTCAACAATTTGTTCCCGTGGACTAAAAATCCCATGGTTGTGAGTAGTATTGCCTTAAATGAAGAATACACTGGGTGATAGATACCACCCTTGGTTCCACTTTAGCATACCCATTTAAATTAGAAAAAAAAATGCACTTTATTTTCATCTTAATATATAATTTACCATGGCTTTTTGGTTTTAGACCATTTTTATACAGTGTTCTTTCTTGGCATAATATTCCCATATTTATCAACATGAGAAATATTATGAAGCCAAGTAGAACTGTTTACAAATCCCAGGGATTCTCCTCAACAATTGTTTGACCTAGAGAGTGACTAAATTTCTTTAACTCTAAGTTCATTTTCAGCAAAGTGGGACTTACACCGCACGCCCATTTTTGGAGACAGCAAATGAGATAATACAAGGAAAATGCCTAATACCCTTCTTGTGCACATGTAAGGGTTTAAAATTCTTCTTTCTCCCTTTTCCTCTTTCATTGCTCTTATTTCCCTTCATGCCTCCCTACATGTATGTCTTTTCTAAAACAAACAGCAACTGGAAAGCAAAATTGTCATGAAGTTCAGAGAAAGTTCAAGTAATTAGACTGTGCTTATATTTGACCTCAAATTAAAAGCCCTGACTTCTTGAAAAAAGCCCCGGATATTTGAGAAATAATTCAAATACCTAAAGCTTTTCCTGGCTCAGGTAATAGATTTTACCAAATAATGATTTTGAGGAACAAAGTGCTAAGACTCTTTATGTATCTGCCTGATCAATATAGTTATGTTAGGACTTTGCATTTCAGGAGCAAAATAAACTTTGGAAGTCTCAGTTCAGCCAAGAATAACACTCCCAAACTATCCACTGACCAATAAATTTGCTTTGCCAGGTTCTAAACAAGAGAGCAAATATGTGTTCTGCTTAGCTATGAGATAACTTTCTCTCTGACCTGGAGATAGCAGTGGAATTATGGTCTCCAAAAGCCTTGTTAAATACCTTCCAATCCCTCAAAGCATTTGGTGTGGCATGTTTGTTTAATTTGATTTTAACCCAGTGTTAATGGTTTTGTTCCAATCCTAGTGGCTCAAATCCTTTAGCCTGAACTTGTTTATTATAAAGTGTCTGTGATCAATTTTGCATAGAACCACTATTTAAAGTAAGAAAGAGCTGGATCCCATAATGACATTGCTAATCTACTAGTTAAACTTTCATTCAGTAATATTCAGTTGGCACTTTCCTAATGTCACCCTGACAGTAAATCCTATACCACTGCTAGAGACCTAAAAGTCCTTGAAAGTGTATTACATAATCTTTATTTCTAGAAACATTTCTGTTTTTGTCTAAGAGAAAGAATAAAATTATTTCAAGAAAAGTTACAGCTGAGTTGGGAATTGAAGAAAATCTGGCCTTGATGTGTTAGTAATGATTATCAAAAGAAACTGGGGACTGGAAGGAAATAAAGTGAGAAAAGATGGTAGAAAAAAGAATAGTTGTTTTCTGAAATTCATTCTGAGGTGAGGGGGAAAGCTGACGAGAAATATATTTAGTTTCTGGCAGACAATTGTCAGCAGAGGGGAAGAAGCTGACTATGCCATGAAAAATGATGTTGCTCAATTTTAATCAGAATGGACCTACAGCAGACACTGTTAGGGCTGATTACATAAAATTATTTGCTATCTCTTCAAGGCCACTCCCTAAAAACCTGCTCCTAGTTCCACTGTCACTCACAAGGGCATGTGGTAATGATATCCCCATAGGTTCCCAAACCAGCCATCTGGACACATCCCTGAGCTTTCTCCCTCTTCTTCTGCATCCTGTCATCATCAAGTTACGTTGAAATAGTCTAGAATACTTTCTAGAATATTCTCAAAACCTATTCACTGTCTGATATCTCCACTACTACTGATCTAGACCAGTACATCATTACTTCTTGATCAAATTATTGCAGAAGCCTTGTATCTTCTTGTCTATTCCAACCAGCTCTGATACAGAGCCTGCAGACAGAGTAGCCCTAAGTACACCTAGAATTATCTCAGTTTTCTTCTATTTATGACCTGTCAACACCTTCCAATTTATCTCAGAATAAAGTCTAATGTCTTTAATATCATTCTGCATTATCTGGCTAAGACTTCCCACCCTCATCATGAACCTTCACAGAAATTCACACTATACTAAATTTATTTCACCTCTTTGACCTCTCCATAAGCTTTCCTTTCTCTATGCCTTTTTGCATGCCTTTCCCTTTGCCTGAAACGAAACAAAACGAAACAAATTTCTTCCTTCCCCATGTCCCTCAGGTCTTAGCTGAGCCATCAATCACTCAGAAAAACCTTCTTGACCACACCAGATCTGGTCAGTTGTTCTTCTGAGAGGCTCTCACATTATCCTATACTTCCCTTAATTAGTATATAACAAACTTGTTTATCCTGTTGCAAGTCTACTCATCTGTATCTTTCATTAACTACTAAGCTCTTCAAGAAAAGAAGCTAAGTCTATTTGTTATTATACCCTCAACAATTAGAACAGTGCCCGGCACATAATAAAGTTTCAATAATTATTAGTGAAATAAATGACTAAGAAAATCCTGTGTACTAGGCTTCTGGTAAGATAAACTGTGCTTGAATTCATATGGGAATTTCTATGTTTATATATGGCCAGGCTAAGTAGATTATAAATAGATAACCTAAAACTTTTATTATCTCAAAACTTTGAACTTGTAGATAACTCTGCTTTTTTTCCCAACTACAAATGTATGCAGTTTAACCATATAATCTTCTCTGATCCATAGAAAATATCTAGGCCTATTATTTTTTATTTATTTATATTTTAGTTTTTTTAACTTTTATTTTAGCTTCAGGGTTACATGGGCTGGTTTTTTATATAGGTAAACTTGTGTGACAGGTGTTTGTTATGTGAATTATTTTGTCATCTGGGTACTAGGTCTAGTAGCAGATAGTTATTTTTTCTGATCCTCTCTTTCTCTTTCATCCTCCACCATCAAGTAGACCCCAGTGTCTCTTGTTCCCCTCTTTGTATCCATGTGTTCTCATTATTTAGCTGCCACTTATAAGTGAGAACATGCAGTATTTGGTTTTCTGTTCCTGCATTAGTTTGCTAAGGATAATGGCCTACAGCTCCAACCATGTTCCTGCAAAGAACATGATCTCATTCTTTTTTATGGCTCCATAGTATTCTATGGTGTATATGTACCGCATTTTCTTTATCCAATCTGCCACTGATGGACATTTAAGTTGATTCCATGTATTTGCTATTGTGAATACTGCAATGAACATACACCTGTGATATGGTTTGGATCTTTTCCCCCACCCAAATTTTATGTCAAATTGTAATCCCTAATGTTGGAGGGGATCTCCATGGAGATGGGGTCTGGAGGTGGGGTCTGGCAGGAGGTGAATAGATCATGGAGGTGGGGTCTGGTGGGAGGTGACTAGATCATGGAGGTGGGGTCTGGCAGGAGGTGACTAGATCATGGAGGTGGGGTCTGGTGGGAGGTGACTAGATCATGGAGGTGGATACTTCATGAATGGTTTAGCACCAGCCAATTGCTGCTCTTCTCAAGGTAGTAAGTGAGTTATTATGAGATCTGTTGTTTAAAAATGTGTAGTACCTCTGCCCTGTCTCCTTGCTCCTGCTCCAGCCATGTAATATATGCCTGCTTTCCCCTCACCTTCTGCCATGATTGCAAGTTTCCTGGGGCCTCCACAGAAGCAGAAGACACTATGGTTCCTGTACAGCCCACAGAAACTGAGACAGTTAAACCTCTTTTCTTTATAAATTACCCAGTCTCAGCTATTTCTTTATAGCAATGTGAATATAGACTTAAAAAGCATGTATATGTCTTTATGACAGAACAACTTATATTCCTTTGAGTATGTACCCAGTGATAAGGTTTCTGGGTCGAATGATAATTCTGTTTTTAGCCCTAAAGAATTGCCATACTGCTTTCCACAATGGTTGAACTAATTCACACTCCCACCAACAGTGTGTAAGAGTTCCCTTTTCTCTACCACCTCACCAGCATCTGTTATTTTTCTGAGTTTTTAATTATAGCCATTCTGACTGATGTGAGGATATCTCATTGTAGTTTTGATTTGCATTTCTGTAAGGATCAGTGATATTGAGCTATTTTTCATATGCTTGTTGGCCGCATAAATGTCTTCTGAATATGACTCATAAGTATGTCTTCTGCATATGGTTTCAATCTTCTGCATATGGCTAGCCAGTTATCCTAGCACCATTTATTGAAAATAAAGTCCTTTCCCCATTTCTTGTTTTTGTCAGCTTTGTCGAAGATCAGATAGTTGTAGGTTTGCAGCCTTATTTCTGGATTCTCTATTCTGTCCCATTGGTCTATGCATCTGGTTTTGTACCACTACCACACTGTTTTGGTTACTGTAGCCCTGTAGTATAGTTTGAATTTGGGTAACATGATGCCTCCAGCTTTATTCTTTTGCTTAGAATTGCCTTGGCTATTCCAGCTCTTCTTTGATTCTGTATAAATTGTAAAATACTTTTTTCTAGTTCTGTGAATAATATCATTGGTAGTTTGATAGGAGTAGCATTGACTCTGTAAATTGCTTTGAGCATTATGGCCATTTTAGTAATACTGATTCTTTCTGTCCATGAGCATGGAATGTTTTTTCATTTGTTTGCATCATCTCTGATTTCTTTGAACAGTGTTTTATAATTCTCATTGTAGAGATCTTTCACCTCCAAGTTTAGCTGCATTCCTAAGCATTTTATTGTTTTTGTGGCAATTGTGAATGGAATTGTGCTCCTAATTTGCCTCTCAGCTTGGCTATTAGTGTATAGGAATGCCAATGATTTTTGAATGTTGATTTTTGTATCCCAAAACTTTGCTAAAGTTGTTTATCAGCTTAAGGAGCTTTTGGGCCAAGACTGAGGCTTTCTAGATATATGTGAGAAAATATTTTAAATGGTCCACTTTCAAGGCGTGATAAATCTAAGCACAGCAAGCCAGGCTGCAGATGTAACACATCTCATGGCTCATGCTCCTAGAAAGTCATGATAAGTGAACAGAATATAGAGGAGGCATCAGCCCATAAAAGAAAAGAAAGTTTTGTTATTGGGAAATCGAGAGTTAAGTGGGGAAGGGGACCAGGATATAACCTTATAAGGAGGATAATAAAACTTAGGCAACATCTAGGAAGATTGTAACCCTATAGTACTCAGCCAATGAAGAACTAGGGGAGGGACTTGTGTGATAGGCGATAAATTACCTGCTGTAAGTGCCTTGGGTGTGCCTGCCTATCAGACACCTGATCTTGCAAGGCCCCTACTAAAAGTCTCACTTTTGCTGTTCTTGGTGCCTCTGAGTCCATTCTTTGGGTTTGGACAAGTGAGCATGTCTCTCACAAATCTGGAGTCCCATCCGGGATTTCTGTGAGAGGGAAGATGCATCCCACCGGATTTAGGTGACCCACTCTCTCCGGGTGTCCCAGCTCCCCTCAGAGGCCATAGACAACACTGAGACTGTTATTCAGGAGGCAATGGAGGCAACACAGGGAGAAAAGCGGCACCGCAGCACCAGGCAACCTCATGCATGAGCCAAGTTAGGAAAATTGTACTGAGAGTACTACTTTGATGGCTGGGCATTTTCAGAGGTTGAGTGTGTGTGACTCAGATGTATCCAAGGTATGAAGTGTAGAGTCCCAATCTGTGGTTTGGTTCTCCCACAAGGGAAATGGCTGGAGATGGACGAAGCAATTCTCGAGGTGTGTAAGAAACCTCCAGTAGGGGGATTGAGTACACAGGCAAAAGTTCAGACACACAAAGCGATTTTTGGGGTGTGCAAGAAACCTCCAGTAGGGGGGAGTTGAGTACACAGGGAAAGGCTCAGACACAGAGACTGATCAAAATGGGAAACAGGAATTCTAGGCCTAGGGAACAAAGGAAAGAGGGAGCCAAAGAGACTCCCTCTGACATTCCCCCAGGTAGTCCTTTGGGGAGAATGCTGCAAGTTTGGAGGGACAACCCTCACACCAGGGAAAAAGAAAGCAAAATATGATAAAGTATTGCTGTTTTATCTGGCCCAAAGACCCCATTTGTTAGCCTTCAGTCTTTTGGCCTAAGTTTGGCTCAGATGAGGATTGGGTTTGCCAAGGTTTAATTCTCTATGTGAATGATAAAATCCCATCCCCACAAGAAGAGATAGGTTATGCTCTCTACTGGATCAAGGAATTAGCCCCCATGTTCCCCCACAAAGAAGAAGAAAAAAAGCCTAGTGAAGAGCCCTCACCCAGTGAAAAGCCCTGGGACCCCCATCATGCTTGCCTCTGCCTACAGCTCACAAAACAGCAGACAAGAAGATCAAGGGGCAGCAGGAGGGTTAGAGGAAGAAAGATCTGGTGACCATGGGGGAGCCAAACCAACTGTTTTGCTCCTTTAGATTCTTATCCAAATTTAATAAAAGAATTAGAACAGTGTAAGAGGGATATTCAGAACTTCCCTATCTCTTCCAAGCAGCAGACATCTAGCATATTTCCACTTAGGAAAGTTCCCATGGGACCAGGAGAGATTGGCTTTGTAAATGATCCTCTTAAGTACTGAAGTTAGGAATTTCAAGAAGGAAATAAAACTACTCATAGAAGATCCCCTCTGTTTAGCAGACCAGCTGGACCAATTCCTAGGACCCAGCTTTTACACCTGGGTTGAAATGATGTCTATCATGAATGATACCTATCATGAATGTTCACAGGTGAAGAAAGGGGAATGATTAGGAGAGCGGTCATGACCATCTGGAAGAGGCAACACCATCCCAGGCAAAGAGTCTTGCCAGCCGAAAAAAATTTCCAAATGTCAATCCTGAATGGGATTATAATGATCCTAGGGACTGGGCCCAAATGCAGGACCTCAGGGAACTAACTAAAGGGATCAAAAAGTCCACTGTTAGGACACAAAATGTCTCAAAGGCATTTGAGATTCAACAAGAAGAAAAGGAAACTTCCTCTGCATTCCTGCAGCAGCTCAGAGATCAGATGAGAAAATACTTCAGATTCAATCTAGAGCATCCAGTAGAGCAAGGCCTTTTGAAGGTTAATTTTGTAACTAAGCTGACCTTGCAGGCCAGGGAGTGCAGCTGCAGGCATGGAGGCAACAAGAGCCACATAGCCAGAGTAGACAGCAGAGATAAAGGTGGACAATGTAAAGAGCTAGTGTGAGTACACCCCTAATAAGAGAACTAATGTCTATATTACACAAAGGGAGACACTGGGGACCCCAGGCCCTGTGTAATGTAATACTAAGGAATTATGGGTGTATAGGGATTTATACTCTTGTTAAACAAGTATATGGAAGTTGTGTAATTTTTCAAAGGATAAACAAAAAGGTGATTAGAAAACAGACCATGAGAGGAAGACCTCCTGGACTAAGACCATTTCAAAGCATTCAAGTAAATTTCACAGAAATGCCCAAAATAGGAAGACTAAAGTATTTACTGGTAATTATAGATCACCTTTCTGGCTGGGTGGAAAACTTTCCCCTTCCAATAGCCATGGTGAATTATGGTCAAAATACTTGACCACTGTGAATGTGGTCAAAATAATATTACAGCAGATTGTACCTAGATTTGGCCTGGTGGAAAGCATTGATTCAGGCAATGGGAGCCACTTTACCTCAAGGATGTTAAGGGGAATTATGAAAGTTTTACAATTTGGATGGGATTTTCACACTCCTTGGCATCCCCCTTCCTCTGGAAAAGTAGAAAAAAAATGAATCAAACTCCCAAAAAGCATATCACCAAACTAATCTTAGAAACTGAAATGCTTTGGACCAAATGTCTCCTAGTAGCACTCCTTAAGATTAGGACAGCCCCAAGAAAACACTTGGGATTGTCCCCCTATGAGTTACTATATGGACTCCCATATTTGGGCATGGCCACAGATCTTCCTACTATGGAAACCAAGGACCAATTCTTAAGATATTGTATACTGGCCATAACCTCCACCCTGTCATCCCTTCGGTTAAAAGGATTTCTGACTCAAACTCTGCCTCTCGAGTTTGCAGTTCACCACTTCTAGCCTGGCAACTTGGTGGTGATTAAGAGTTGGAAAAAAGACAAGTTCCACCCAAGCTGGGAAGGTCCCTATCAAGTGCTCCTGACCACTGAGACAGCCATGCAAACAGCTGAAAGTGGGTGGACTCACTCTACTGCAGTCAAGGGACTGGTAAAAGACACCGTGGAAGGGAGGGGGACAAAAAGTGAAAAGTGCACCAGTCATCTGAGGAACACTTCAAGCTAACTCTGAGAAAAATCTAAAAAGAAAACATGAGCTGGCCCCATTTCTGAAAGTTAATATGGCTGAGATGGGCTACTATACAAAGAGCAGAGGGTCAAAATGGAAACTGATAGGGGACTCCTCCCTGTCCAATCAGGTTGGTAATTAATGTAACCAAGATGGCGGCACCCCAAACTATAAGATTAAATGCCTGCCAATTTTTACCTTGTGGGATTTTAGAAAATCAAAGACAGCTCTCGCAGGCAGATAAATATCTTTGCTCTGAACCAGATACAGATTACATTAGGGAATCACCACCCTGCCCCAGCTGGAATAATGTATGGTGGACTACCCAATTTCAGGGTTGGATAGTAAACATGGGGTTGGTAACTCCAAGCTGGAGACCCTTCAAGAATAAACTACATCTGTCCAAGGGCTCCCTGCCAAATAACTGCCAGAATTTAGAATGCAATCCTATACTCATCACCATTGATAATCCAGCCATTCTAAACCAAGAACCAAAAGTAGAGTCTCAAGTATATGGGTGAGGGGCAGACATCACAGGGAAAGACCCCCTAGGGTGATTTGTCTTCAAACTAATCAAGAACTGAACCTCCCATTTCCTTGGGACTACTCCAACCCCAGACCCTAATAAACACTAAGGTAAAGGATTTAAGGCAAATTGAGACAGGATATGGGGATGTGAATACCTGGGTCAAATGGGTCAAATTTTTGGTACAAGCCCTCAACAAGAGTAACCACTATGCATGTGCTGAGAGACGACCTCAGGCACAGGTGGTTCCATTTTCCCTAGGATGAAATACCAATCCTAAAGGAATGCATTGCATGTTGGCTCTATACCAGGACAAGAATGCATGGGGGAAATGAGACTTGTAAGAGTCTGTCATTGCTCTTTCCTGCATTGTGGAGGTCAGATCCCAGAGCAATCCCCTCGTTCTCTATAGGGAATATGAACCACTCCTCTTGCCTCTGTAGGCAGTGGGCAGCGTTCAATAAGCCCATGGGAGAACTCTGGACTTGCACCCACATCCTAAACATCACTGGTGAGTCAGGCAATGCAATTACTCAGCTCTCCGTATGCCCCGGGCTGATGTCTGGTGGTATTGTGGGAAAAGGAACCTCCATGTCCTGTTACCATCCAATTGGACTGGGACTTGTGCTTTAGTCTAATTGGCCATTCCCTTCACCTTGGCATTCCATAAGACACTTGAAAATACACATGACCACCCAAACTGGAAAGATTTAACAAATCCTTTTAATCACAACATATATGGTGACTGGATAAGAGTTTCTAGGGGGTGCCTAATAAATTTAAGGCCAGAAACCAAATAGCTGCTGAGTTTGAGTCAGCACTCTTCTGGTGGTCAACTATTAATAAGAACGTGGATTGGATTAACTACGTCTATTATAATCAGCAGAGATTCATCAGTTATACTTGGGGCATCCTCAAAGGGGTGGCTAGCCATTTAGTTGCCACCAGCTGAATGGCCTGGGAAAACACGCTTGTGCTAGATATGACACTAGCAGAAAAAAGGGGTGTATGTGTTATGCTGGGTGGAAAATGTCGTACTTTCATTCCCAACAATACTACCCCAGATGGGACCATCACAAAAGCTCTACAAGGACTGACAATTCTACCCAACAATCTGACAGAAAATGCTGGAATTGATAACCTATTATGGGTTGGCTAGAAGGTTCATTTGGAAAATGGAAAGGCATGGTAACTTCAATCCTTACATCTCTCATAATTGTGGCAGGAGTTCTAACAGCAGTGGGATGTGGTATTATCTCATGTGTGAGGTGACTAGCACAGAGATTAATTGAAACAGCTATTAATAAACAAATGCCCATGACTTATCAGCAAAATAACCTGCTACTATTAAAAACCAAATTAAACTCACTCTCTTATGAGGAAGAAAGTAAACGACGTCTAGCGCAATTCAAGGACCAAAAGGGTTTAGATGAAAATGAGGCCAAAGGAAGTAAATAGAAAAGAGGAGGGAATTTGTGAGAAAATATTTTAAATGGTCCATTTTCAAGGCATGATAAACCTAAGCACTGGCAGCCAGCCTGCGGATGTAACAAACCACACAGCTCATGCTTCTAGAAAGTCGTGATAAGTGAACAACAGAATGTAGAGGAGGGATCAGCCCATGAAAGGGAAGAAAGTTTTGTTATTGGGAAATCGAAACTAAAGCAGGGAAGGGGCCCAGGATATAACCTTATAAGGGGGATAATGAAATTTAGGCAACATTTGGGAAGACTGTAAGCTGTAGTACTCGACCAATAAGGAACTGGGGGAGGGACTTACATGCTAGGAGATAAATTACCTGCTGTAGCGGCCCCGGGTGTGCCTGCCTACCAGACACCTGATCTTACAAGACTGCTACTAAAAGTCCCACTTTTACTGTTCTTGGTGCCTCTGAGTCCATTCTTTGTGTTTGGAAGGGTGAGCGTGTTTCTCACATATAGAATCACATCATCTGCAAACAGGGATACTTTGACTTCCTCTCTTCCTATTTGGATGCCTTTTATTTCTCTCTCTTGCCTGATTGCTCTGGCCAGGACTTCCAATACCGTGTTGAATAGAAGTGGTGAGAGAGGGCATCCTAGTATTTGCCGGTTTTCAAGGGCAATGCCTCCAGCTTTTGCCCATTCGGTATGATGTTGACTGTAGGTTTGTCATAGATTACTCTTAATATTTTGAGTTAGAAATATTTTTAAATTATATTTTACTGTTGTTAAACCAATTGCTGTAGGATCAGTCTTATCTCTCTTACATATTAATCTACAACCTAAATTACCACCCTAAATAGAGCAAAGGAGTATACACTTGTTATTTAGAGAAAGTCATGCATCTTGGGGATGTTTACTTTTTAAAAGCCAAAGTTTATTCTGAGTAAAAGAATCAAGGTTAAGTCTAAGGGATAATTGTGCCTAGATAGAGGAATGATTCATGACCAGAAGTTCATTAGGATGAATTAAATTATGCCAAAGGTCAGACATTCGAGAAGTAAGAAAAGCAAATGTAAAAATCATTTGAACTTGTAGCCTAAGCTATCAACCTGACAGAAACAATTGTGTTATTTTGAGCAAGACATCCTAGCATTTGGTTTACTTCATCTGTAAATTGGGGCAATCTGCCTCACCATGCCTAATCCACAGAGTTTTGTAAACTCTGAAGGTTGTGCTGTTCTCCTATACTATCTTACCAGGAGGAATTGTATACTCTAGGAAATCTGAAAGCACTCTCCCTGGTGGCTTATAAAGTGCCTAGAAAATACTGTGTGCTCAATAAATGTCTGTTAAATTAGAAGAGAGAGAGAGAGAGAATTTTAAATGTGTACCTTTCCTAATACAGGGATATCTATATATATCTACATATATATATTTTGGAGAGAGAATTATAAGTAGCTAAATTAAGTAGAGTACATTTCAAGGAAGAGGAGAATGGATCTTCTATGTAATAGCTACCCACATTGTTGCAGCTTCTATGTTAATAGCTTTCGATATATTGTTTCATTAGAGCCTCTATTTCTGAAAGGAGTTATCAACATTTTACCGATGAGGCAACTGAGGCTCAGAGAAATGAAAAGAACTTTTTCAAAACTAATAAGCAGTAGAACCAGGATTGAAAACTGAATTTACTGTTTCCAAATTCTATTTTTCTATACCATTTTAGTTATTGATAGAGGTAGGATTCCCAGGAAAGGATGAATATTTTCCATAGCTTCCTTTTAAAATGTCTATAGCTACTTACTTTTCCAAAACGCAGGTAAACCTCATAATAGCTCTTTAGAGATAATGGACGTTTTCATGATTTCCCACTAGAATGGTGAATCACACTGTTTGGTCAAAAATCAAAGGATAAATTAGGTTCCTTGCTGCAGCACATTTCCTTGATGCATATGTAATATCAATCAAAATCTTTCTTGATGACTCAGTGGGAAAGAACAGCAGGAACATCTTCAACACTCAGCAGGAAGTTTGGTCTGTAGCCTGTTCCAAGCATTTTTTTTTTTTTTTTTCAGAAGAAAGAAGTTTGCAGGAGGGCACAAGATTAGTGTTGATACTAACCAAACTCTAGCTAGGCTGAGATCAAACTTCCCTAACTTATTTGGATGTGTTGCATTCCCAGATTACCAATACAAATTCAGTTAAATCCATTCCAAAACATACATGTTCAATATTTATGTGCTGCATAAGCATCATTTTCATTGTGAAGAAATTTCTTCCCATAAAAGAGGATAGCAAAAGGAAAAAGATGACATTAAAACTCCTTTCCCCCTCTAATGGCACACAGAAATTAGTTCCAATGTTAAATGTGTCAAAGTGCTCAGTGATCCAGGTGAAGTATAGCTCAATTCTTTCCTCTTGGGGTCTCTGACCTCAGTGGATTGCTGTGAGAAGATTTGCAAGACTATCTGTTGGTGAATCCTGCATCTAGTTTCAGCCCTGATATTCCTTCACTGTGAGCCCTTGGGAGTTCTCCTACAATAATAATTTAAAACAACCATCAGGTTCTGCATGTTTATATAGATGCTGCTCATTCTTCAAGATTCGATTTAATGTTACACTCTTTAGGAACATACATTCTATGAGAAGAACTTTCTTATCTATTTTCAAATTGCCCAGGGCCTGTTTATCACAGGACCTGATTTATACCAGGTATTTTGTATGTATTTGTTAAATACATAAATGTGAAGCAATTCCTAGTTTCTCAGGGTGACAACTCCTCTGTGGCCCTCACTTTATTTTATATCTACCTCTGCCACAGCACTGAGAGTATTGAACAACTTATATTTACTTAGGTATTTGAACTCCCATTAGACTGCAAAATGTTAGTTATCTTTTACCACCACTGCCTAGAACTCTATATGACTTTAAATATATTCTTGTGCATTGCATTATTTTGTGATAATTAAAGCAAGTACTTCTATTTCTGAAAGTCTTTGCTTTTACTAGAACCCATTCTGATTTTATTCTTCTTCAAACTTATCTTGCTTTTACTCAGTAGTAGCTTGTAACAAATATGTATTGAATTCCTACTATGATAAACATGATAGCAAACACTCACATGGAGCTTATGTGCCAAATGATGTATGTATGTATGTATCTATCTATCTATCTAATCTATCTATCTATCATATATCATCTATCTATGTTAATTTGATGTATTGATTTGACTGGGCCTCGGCTAAGGGAATCCTAGACAGAAGATAAAATATTATTTCTGGGTGTGTCTCTGAGGGTGTCTCCAAAACAGATTAGCATTTGAATCAGCAGACTGAGTAAAGAATATCACCCTCACCAATGTGAGTGGGTGTCATCCAATTTTTTGAGGGCCTGAGTAAAACAAAAAGGGACTACGGGTAATAGCAAATTCTTTCTTTTGAGGTGAAACATCCATTTTCTGTTGATCTCAGAAATCTCTGCATTCTGGTCCTCCCATCTTTGGACTCAGACAGAGATGTACCCCATCAGCTGTTTTGGTTCTCAAGCATTTAGACTAAGGCTAAATTACCCCACAATGTTCCCTGGTTCTCCAGCTTGTAAACAGCATGTAGTGGGATTTTTTAACTGTAGAATTGCATGAGCCAATTTTTATAAATATCTATCTATGTATCTATCTATCTCCTGTTTGTGTTTATCTAGCGAACCCTAATACACATCAAGTATAATCTATCGGTGTGTGTGTGTGTGTGTGTGTATTTAATATCTCAGTATCTGTGGGTAACTATTATTACTATTCCCATCTTCTAAATGTAAAAAATGAGGAACACAGAGATTAAGGAACTCACCTGAAATCACACACAGTAAATTGGCAGAAACAAGATTATGAACTAGATAATCTATTTCCAAAGCCTATGTTCTTAGTCATTACTCTATATTGCCTCTCTTTGAACTAGGAATGTATGTATATGTTTTGTTAATCTTTATAATAATTTTAGGCTGGGCATGGTGGCTCACACTTGTAATCTCAGTACTTTGAGTGGCGAAGGCGGGTGGATCACCTGAGGTCAGGAGTTTGAGACCAACTTGGCTAACATGGTGAAACCCCATCTTCACTAAAAATACAAAAATTAGCCAGGCATTGTGGCACACACCTGTAGTCCCAGCTACTTGGGAGGCTGAGGTAGGAGAATTGTTTGAACCTGGGAGTCAGAGGTTGCAGGTGAGCCTAGATTGTTCCACTGTACTCTAGCCTGGGTAACAGTGAGACTCTATGGCAAAAAAAAAAAAAAAAAAAAAAAAATAGAAATAAAAAAAATTATACTATTGTTATTACTATCCCCATTTAACCAATAAGAAATAGAAATGCAAAGGCATTAGGTAACCCACCCTCAAATCTCACATCTAGTAATTTTCTAGGGTTAGAATTTGTGTTCTTTTAACATGTTTTAATTTCATGTCTAATACTCTATGTTACAGATTTTAGGTATTTTCTATTTCATACCTTTTCATCTGTTTCTTCCAACTAGATTTTAAATGTCTTATAGAAAATTATATATATAATATTGGTATATCTTTCTCAACATCAATAATAATTACTGGCATATAAAATTAACAATAAGTGTTGCCCTATTAAATGGGGCTTGCAGAAGTAATTATGTCCCTATGCATGTCAAAAAACTGGAATATGAGGAAGGTACAAAGATGAAGATATGGACTATGCCAATGGAATTTTAAGTAAGATGTAACTAAAGATTTTGTTTTGAAAATTTATGACTTTGGGTTACTATTCACACACCATAAAATTGAGAATTAATTTGGTCTTGTGGGTAAAACACAAGAAAGTCAAGAATTGTGGGCTCTGCTTTAAATATAATTACTATGTGACTTTCTTCACATAACTTCTTAGTCTATGAAATGGGGATAATTTAAATGTTGTCAAAAAGAAGGAGCAAATTTTCCACTGAGTAGTCCGTATAAAAAAGCATTAGACAAATATCTATTACTCATAAGAAGCTTAAGCCATCTAGCTCTTTGCTACTCAAAGTGTGTCCAGAAACCAGCAGCATTAGCATTATTTTGGAGCTTGTTAAAAATGCAGAATCCCAAGCCTTATCCCCCCACCTATGGGATAAGAATCTATAATTTGAAGAAAATCCACAGGTGATACACATACACATAACTGATATGCAAGATTACTTATACCTCAGTTTCAATATATACCCCTTGACTTTGCTAACTTTCCAAACTCTACAACCCTCCATCAATTTGTTTCATCTTTGTTTTGTTCCTAAGCATAGGTTTGGTCTTATCAACCATTTTGTTATTGTTGTAAGAATACCCCCACGAGATTTCCTTGAGGCCAGTAGTGAGAGGTGACAGCCTGCTGGCAGCCCTCGCTCTCTCTGGGTGTCTCCTTGCCCTCCGCGCCCAATCTGGCCGCGCTTGAGGAGCCCTTCAGCCCGCCGCTGAACCGTGGGAGCCCTTCTCTGAGCTGGCCAAGGCCGCAGCCGGCTCCCTTGGCTTGCGGGGAGTTGCGGAGGGAGAGGCAGGGGCGGGAACCAGGGCTGCACGCAGCGCTTGCGGGACAGCTAGAGTTCCGGGTGGGCGTGGGCTTGGCGGCCCCGCACTCCGAGCGACCGGCCGGCCCTGCCGGCCCAGGCAGTGAGGGGCTTAGCACCCAGGCAGTGAGGGGCTTAGCACCCAGGCCAGCAGCTGCGGAGGGTGCGCCAAGTCCCCCAGCAGTACTGGCACACAGGCGCTGCACTCGATTTCTCGCCGGGCCTTAGCTGCCTCCCTGCAGGGCAGGGCTCCGGACCTGCAGCCCGCCATGCCTGAATCTCTCACCCCACCCCCGCCTCCTGCGCGGCCTGAGCCTCCCTGACAAGCGCCACCCGTGCTACAAGGCGCCTGGTCCCATCAACCGCCCAAGGGCTGAGGAGTATGGGTGCACGTCGTGGGACTGGCAGGCAGCTCCACCTGCGGCCCAGGTGCCAGATCCACTGGGTGAAGCCAGATGAGCTCCTGAGTCTAGTGGGGACTTGGAGAACCTTTATGTCTAGCTAAGGGATTGTGAATACACCAATCAGCACTCTGTATCTAGCTCAAGGTTTGTAAACACACCAATCAGCACCCTGCGTCTAGCTCAGGGTTTGTGGATGCACCAATGGGCACTGTGTATCTAGCTAATCTGGTGGGGACTTGGAGAATCTTTATGTCTAGCTAAGGGATTGTGAATACACCAATCAGCACTCTGTGTCTAGCTCAGGATTTGTAAATGCACCAATCAGCACTCTGTATCTAGCTAATAGTGGGGAGGTGGAGAACTTTTGTGACTAGCTCAGGGATTGTAAACACACCAATCAGCACTCTGTCAAAACAGACCAATCAATCAGCTCTCTGTAAAATGGACCAATCAGCAGGATGTGGGTGGGGCCTGATAACAGAATAAAAGCAGGCTGCCCAAGCCAGCAGTGGTAACCCGCTTGGGTCCTCTTCCCTAGTGTGGAAGGTTTTTTTTTTTTTGCAATAAATCTTGCTGCTGCTCACTGTTTGGGTCCACACTGCCTTTAAGAGGTGTAACACTCACTGGGAAGGTCTACAGCTTCACCCCTGAAACCAGCGAGACCACGAACCAACCAGAAGGAAGAAACTCTGAACACATCCGAACATCAGAAGGAGCAAACTCGGGACACGCTGCCTTTAAGAACTGTAACACTCACCGGGAGGGTCCGCGGCTTCATTCTTGAAGTCAGTGAGACCAAGAACCCACCAATTCCGGACACAGTAGTATGTAGTGTTCTTATTTCATATTTTCCCTATTGAGATTCACGTGTCTAGTAAGTTTTTAAAAATTAATTTGGGGTTAAAGTTATTAATTTACTATGCAGTATTGGGCATTACAGTTTATTTGTTTTGAACTGAATTTGGAAATTCAATGGAGAAAGTGAACTAGAATTTCTGAGGTCCCTTTTGGTTTCTGATTATGTGGTTATCATATTTTCTATTACAAAGCCAAGCCACAAGATCAGACACAGATGAATACGATAGCCCCCTGAAAATCAGAATCTTTGTGGAATATCCAGGCAGAGCACAGGATGTCACAACTTACGGAGGTGGTAGAAAATTAACATATGTGTCAGGCCACTCTGAAACTTGACAGTGACTTACTTCTAATAGGAATCCCCAACTGGTAAAACAGTAATATAAGTAGGGGTACAGATTATCATGAAGTATTTTATTAAAATTATGCCCTTGCCTTTGCATCCATTTTTTATTCTATTTTATTCTACTAAAACAAGCCAATTTACTGTTTACATAAAAACATGTATTTGAAGAATCTTTAGAAACATTGAAATTTTGATGATCCCACCACATTTATAAAAAGCTTGACTACACGTCTACCAAAAGCCACACAAAGGCTCTGTATAATAGAAAATGTCCAATATAAAACACAACCCCTATTATATATTACTTATTTAATTTACCCCATCACAAGCATAATCTGTGTTCCTCCATAGCAAATAATTGTGTCAAACTACATCTTCTAAAATCAATCTCGTTATTGCTACTTCTCAAAATCTACCCTTACCACAAAATAATAACAGAACAAAACCCAAAATACACTGTGCATTTCTCTTTTATTTCTTAGATAATAACTTCATGATATATCTAGAGGTGTAAGCCAGAAGGATAAAAGTTTACAGCGGTGAGAACTGGGTAAGGCCTGGCATCTATCAGAGAAGAAAGCCATAGGTGGGAAACTATGCACAAGCCTTCATGAGTTGGAGTTGCTTGGGCTGCACAATCTAAACCTTCGTCTCTGCTTAGGTAACTTAATCCTTTTGATAACAGCAATGCAAGTTGCCATGTCTACCTGACTCCAAAACATGTTATGTTTCTACTGTGCTAAACTGTACTTTCTGTAAATAAAACAGCCTTGAAATAATCTTTAAACAGGTCAATCTTCATCAGTAGTCTGAGGTCGGGTTCTCTAGGAAATAGACTTTGAGGCTCTAAGATTTTTATTCTAGAGGATTATTGGAAAGTACTCTTAACAATAATTATTTGTGAAGGGGTGGAGTAGAGCAGTACGGAACAGAGGAACTTAAACAGGTATGCAATCGCAATAGAGGGATCAGTAGATCCTACAGGAGCTGGGGAACTGGCTTAGCCCTTCAGATTAAACATGAATCAAAGCAAGCATCCCAATATGGGATGTATGTATATCCCACATTGACTGGTAATTAGATGCAGGTTGCCCCCAGGAAAGAGTCATAAATTTGAGCAAGGCATCTCACCTCAACAGAAACAAATTCCTAGACTGCCACCATCAGCCAGCAACAAACTGGGAAAAATGAGAAGGGCATGTCTTAGTCTTAAAGGGGGGTATAGGTGGTGGACCACAGTGTCCACTACAGTCTACTTGTTTTCCTGCTTTGGCCCACTTTCTCTATATAGAAAATTTGTCCATCTGGAAATAGTTTCTCCAAGGTTGTTGGTTTCATTCCTTGGGTTCTACCTTGGAGTTCTTTTTTTTTTTCTTTCTTTTCCAATTCTTATTCCTGAATAACCAGTAAAGTCACTTCTCACTGCTTAAGATTCAATGCATATTCTTATCCTGGACTACTGGTCTTTTCAAACACTGTGAATGGCTGGGTATAACACTAGAAGCTCTTACTTAGGGACACTGATTGCTATGTTTTAGGGACACTCTTGACTGAGGCTGTAGTGCAGCAGCAGTCCATTTGTGTTTTTGAACTCACATTCTGAGATGCCTTATCCGTGAAAAAGCTTGGACTTTTTCTTCCTCTGTGACTGATCATAAGACAAAACTCCCCATCCACTGTGCAACCAGAGGTGTAACCTGAGATAAATATACCCACTTGCTATTGATTACTAAGGGTCATTACCTGGCTTCTATTATTTGGGGATTCTATTATTTCCATTACTATGAGGAAATTCATGTCTGTGATAGAATTTCCCACTATTAGTCTTGGCTTGCAGAGGAAAGCCACCAATGAGTTTCTCAATAATGCACATTCCGTTTTACCTAAGACATTCTTTATTGCTTTGGTAAAAGTATTGTCTTTTAAACTTGCCTTTGTTGTCTTCTGGCCATTTGTACTCTTTTCACTCTTGGATGTCCATGGCTCCGAGCCATTGATCTGTTTTTTTTTTTTTTAATTGCATCATCTTCTGTGCTAGTTACGACATTCTTACTGTACATAGCTTTTCTCTAAGTCTCCAAGACTATTCGTAGCTTCATAGACCTATGACTAGCTTCAAATGCCCTTATCAGGTTGTTAAATCTTATATCATGGAAAGGTGTTCTATATCCATAAATATAAACATTGAGAAATAAGCTTTTCCTTAGCTCAATTAACCTTTCCTCCTCTCCCTTTGCATGGCATTCTCAGAACTAAGAATCCATACTGTCTACTGGTTCCTGCTAGTACATGTTGGCTAGACCTTTTGGCTACTTAGGTGTATGATAACTTTTCTCCTATAGATACAGCACCTTTCTAGTAAGATTACATTATAATTCAATCCTAGGTATTGGTCTAGCAGCCAGGAAGGGAGGTAGGAATAGATCCTGAAGTGGATGCTTCTTGTCTTGCAAGGTAATAATCTCTGCATCATCTTTAACCAGTGAGAGAGCATTAGCCTTTAACCAGAGGAGTGGGCTACTTCTGCAGGCCCAGAAATTTTAGTGCAATGTGGGATTTCAAAGTTTGTAAGCGCATTATCCCAGATCCTTTCATTGCAAGTGTCAGAATCTCACTTCTTTCTACTCAAGATCCTAATCTCGGCAAAGCTGACTTGTGGGGGTTTGAGAATTTAATCATTTTTTGGGCTCCCATGACCTATATAATTAAGTCCTTCACCTAATCCTCAATATTTTCTGCCCTTGAGATGCAGGAGATGGGACTGTTTTTATATGCTGTCAAGCAGGCCCTTTGTGGCTTTCACAGTTTGCCTTTAATTGGTGATTAAAAATTTCTAGTCTTTCATTATCTTTTCCAATTCATCAATAGCACCCAGCAAGAGCTATTCAACTGCATAGACCTTATATTTGTTATTCCTTCAAACTTCCTAAATACCTGACACAGTATACTAGCCAGTGCATTATCTTCCATGGTATCCCATTCCAGATCACCAAAAAGTTTTAGCAGTGACAGGGGTTATAAGAACTCCGTTTATCATTTCACCACCAACTGAAGAGTGACCAACTCTAAAACTCTATTTTAATATATGATTTCTAGGACTATTTCAAAAACCAATTATCCTAAATTTTCTTTCCAAGGATACAAATTATTAAGCGTGTGTGTGTGTGTGTGTGTGTGTGTGTGTGTATGTATGCATGCATAGGAGTTATTGGAGAGTGTTTGGGAAAATAATACCTGAATGGGAGATGGAGAAGCAGGTTTGGGCAGAGAGAGAAGTTAAACTGTACTGTAGTTGCAGCAGAAGTCTCAGCTTATCCCATAGAAAACTCTTGAGCTGGAAGAGTCCTTCAAAGTTATGTTGATTTAAGGCAAGAAGATCAAACCTTTGCATTTCCCGTATTAACTAATCATTTTATGTGGGCTTCCCCAGAGAGAAAGCAACTTTAGTTGTGACAACTCACTTCAGCTGAAAGCAATTCCTGTGAAGGACTCAGATATAAGAATTTAGCAACCAATACCCCTGGCAGCCCACAACTCTAAAGGTGAAATGTTAAATGCATCAATAAACACCTGAATTCTTAAGGGGGAATCTGGGCAGCATACCACAGCATCAACTGCAGGAAACAATGTGATAGAAACTAATTTATGTAGTATGATAGAAAAACCTGAGATTTTAGGTATGCAAACTTACATAAACAGGTAGAAATCCAATTTTTTACCCATGAATTGACATTATTAAACTTTATCACCAAAGTGAGGAAGACATTTAAAAATAATTCCAATTCCAGTTCTTTTTCTTTATACTGCTACTATATTTTTCTAATTTTATTTATAAAGTGTATTCATCCATTTTCATGCTGCTGGATAAAGACATACCCAAGACTGCGGAATTTACAAAAGAAAGAGGTTTATTGGACTTACAATTCCACATGGCTGGGGAGACCTCACAATCATAGTGGAGGCAAGGGGAGCAAGTCACATCTTACGTGGATGGCAGCAGGCAGAAAGAGACAGCTTGTGCAGAGAAACTCTGGTTTTAAAACCATCAGGTCTCATGAGACCCACACTCACTGTCATGAGAATAGCACAAGAAAGACCTGTCCCCATGATTCAATCATCTCCCACATGGGAATGGTAGCTACAAGATGAGATTTGGGTGGGGACACAGCCACACCACATGGTTCTGCCACTGGCCCCTCCCAAATCTCATATCCTCACATTTCAAAACCAATCATGCCTTCCCAAGAGTCCCCTAAAGTCTCAACTCATTTTAGTATTAACTCAAAAGTCCACAGTCCAAAGTTTCATCTGAGACGAGGCAAGTCCCTTCCACCTGTGAGCCTGTAAAATCAAATGCAAGTTAGTTATCTCCTAGATATAAAGGAGTATGTACAGGCATTGGGTAAATACAGCCATTCCAAATGGAAGAAATTGTCCAAAACAAAGGGGCTACAGGTTCCATGCAAGTCTGAAATCCAGTGAGGCAGTCAAATCTTAAAGCTCCAAAATGACCTCCTTTGACTCCACGTCTCACATCCAGGTCACGCTGACGCAAGAGGTGGGTTCCCATGGTCTTGGGCAGCGCCACCCCTGTGGCTTTGCAGAGTACAGCCTCCTTCCTGGCTGCCTTCATGGGCTGGTGTTGGGTGTCTGGGGTTTTTCCAGATGCATGGTGCAAGCTGTCAGTGGAGCTACCATTCTGGGGTCTGGAGGACAATGGCCCTCTTTGGACAGCTCCACTAGGTGGTGCCCCAGGAGGGCCCCTGTGTGGGGGCTCTGACCCCACATTTCCCTTTCGCATCACCCTTGCAGAGGTTCTTCATTAGGACCCCGCCCCTGCAGCAAACATCTGCTTGGACATCCAGGTGTTTCCATACATCTTCTGAAATCTAGGCAGTGGTTCCCAAACCTCAATTCTTGATGTCTGTGCACTTGTAGGCTCAACACCACATGGATGCTGCCAAAGCTTAAGATTTGCATCCTCTGAACCCACAGCCCGAGCTGTACCTTGGCCCCTTTCAGCCATGGCTAGAGCAGCTGGGATTCAGAGCACCAAGTCCCTAGGCTGCATACAGCACAGGGACCCTGGGCCTGGCCCATGAAACCACTTTTTCCTCCTAGGCCTCTGGGCCTGTGATAGGAGGGACTGCCACAAATGTCTCTGACATGCCCTGGAGACATTTTCCCCATTGTCTTGGCGATTAACATTGGGCTACTTGTTACTTATGCAAATTCCTCCAGCCAGCTTGAATTTCCCCTCAGAAAATGGGATTTTCTCTTCTATTGCATTGTCAGGCTACAAATTTTCCAAACTTCTATACTCTGTTTCCTTTTTTAAACTGAACGCCTTTAATAGCACCCAAGTCACCTCTTGAATGCTTTGCTGCTTAGAATTTCTTTCAACAGATACCCTAAATCATCTCTCTCAAGTTCAATGTTCCACAAGTCTCTACAGCAGGGGCAAAATGTTGCCAGTCTCTTCACTAAAACATAACAAGAGTCACCTTAGCTCCAGTTCCCAACAAGTTCTTCATCTCCATCTGAGACCACCTCAGCCTGGACTCTATTGTTCATATCACTATCAGCATTTTTGTCAAAGCTATTCAACAAGTCTCCAGAAGTTCCAAATTTTTCCACATTTTTCTGTCTTCTTTTGAGCCCTCTAAACTGTTCCAGCCTGTACCTGTTACCCAGTTTCAAATTCACTTCTACATTTTCAGGTGTCTTTTCAGCAACGCCCCACTCTACTAGTACCAATTTGCTGTATTAGTCTGTTTTCATGCTGACAATATAGACATACCTGACACTGGGCAATTTACAAAAGAAAGAGGTTTATTGGACCTACAATTCCACATGGCTGGGGAGGCCTCACAATCATGGCAGAAGGCAAGGAGGAGCAAGTCACATGTTACATGGATGGTGGCAGGGAAAAAGAGAGAGCTTGTGCAGAGAAACTCTTGTTTTTAAAACCATCAGATCTTGTGAGACCCATTCACTATCAGGAGAATAGCACAGGAAAGACCTGCCCCCATGATTCAATCATCTCCCACCAGGTCCCTCCCCCAGCACTTGGGAATTATGGGAGGTACAAGATGAGATTTGGGTGGGGACACAGAGCCAAACCATATCATCAAGTATATAATAAGCATCTTCTAGGCACTCTGTTATGTCAGGAAGATTCAGATAATTAAGAGCTGGACTTTGTTGTGAAAGAGTTTATAGTTTCATACGTACTTCCATGTAACAAAGCTCATTATGTATATGCCACAAGTAAAAAACTATGTCCTTATTCTGATTCTTAAAGACTTATGTTAGCTGATGTGAATATATACCAGTGGAAATATTTTCCTTCAGAAAACATAAATAAAATTTCCCAACCATTTGTTTTCAATAAATAAAAAAAATAAATTTGTACTTTGGAAAATGTGTGCTTTTTAAACTCATAAATATGAAAACAAACAAGATAAGAAGCAAATGAGCTATTTCTTTCATATCCTAGATTTATGGCAAAGATTAGAAAGGTGAAGAAGAGAAGAGTTCCTGAGAAATGGAGAATAGTATGCTTATGCCATGCTAGTAGTGATATGCATAAACTCCCTTTGATTATTAAATTTCTAAGATATTAGAATAAGAAGTACAGTAACCATATTTTATGCATGAAGTCTGGTTTGATTAGTAACCAATGTGCTCATTCAGTCATTCACTGCAAGACCATAAATTCATTAGGGCAAGACCATGCTGGTTTTGTTCACTACTGTGTCTGAAACATAATACCTGTCACATCATGGGCATCCACTACACTTTTAATTACTCAGAGATTTATGGTGTATCAAAATGAAAGAGAACTATAAACCTTGTGTTCTAATATAAATTCTATTTTTGTTAACCCTTTCTGTCCTCCCAAAACTGTCTCACATATGGATGCCCAGTATTATATTCTAGTTACGACATTATTGTAACCCCATAGTAACATGAAGTATGATATCTACAACTTAAGGTATAAGAAAGACTTCTTGAATAGATATGAATTTTCCCAAAATACATTATAATAAACAAATCTGTTAAGGGAAACCCTGATCAGACTGACCAGGCTTTTGTTATGTGGCTAAAGTTGAATTTATTCTTTGATATTTTGAATGATTCCTGCAGTGGAAGAAGCAAGGAAAATTAAGATAAGAGCATAGAATAAGAAGGCCAAAGCTACTAGAGAAGAAATGAATGTGAAGCTCCATAAATGTAATAATTACATTGACCCTCATCAAGTAGACGCCGCAGTCTAGTGAGGGGATTTTGGGCAAGATATTCTGCCCTAAATGGGGCTATATATTCACCAACAAGAAAAAGAGTAACTAGGTTTGTCATGAAACACTAAAGAACTACACTGAAATGGTTTAGGGGAAAACTAAACCAGGAACTCATTTTTCCTTTACAAAATGGGACTATTCCTATAGGATTATCACAGTCCCTGCATCAAATAGTCATAGAACGACAAAAGCCAAAATGTATTCCATAGATAGAGCCAGCTCGAACAAAGTAAAAACATAAGAATCCAAAGATATAATGCCAGAAGGTCTTAAACTCTGGCTCCTCTATTTTCCCTATTTTCTGGCTTGTCATTTATGTCAAGAAGAACCATATCTCTGAGAGCTTCACATTCCTCATCTCTAAAATAGAATAAACCACACCATAAAAGAAAACAATTATCTTAAAGAGCCAAGGAGACAATAGATGCAAAAGTGCTTTGAAAACCGCAAATCTCCCACCTATATTTATAATTATTGTTATGGTAGAGGACTTCAAATTTTCCCTGGACTGATGAGGTTACAACTCTAGTGGCAGAGGCTCAGAATTAAATATAGCCTGGCAAAGGGAAATCCAAGCATTTCAAGCAGAAAGGTGTCTATGGACAGGAGAAATAAAAGCATCCATCTTTTTTTCTTTTTAATCTATCATGTCGCCCAGAAAATCTTTCTATGGTGCTCTTTTTTTCTCTGTATTTGTTATATTTATGTTGATTTAAAAAATACATAATAGTAAATATAAAGCTTTGTATACGGAAGAATCCTATCACATTGTTACACTGCAGTAGATATGCTTTAGACCAAAGTAGCTGAAAGCATTAATTCAATAAAATACAATTATGCAGCTAAATTATCCCTTGAATTATTGATGCAATATTGACTCATTTAGTGTCTATCATAACAAACGGACAGAATAGACACTTACAGGTTAATATGCCCTACCAAGGGAAAAAATGCACAGCAGCCGAACCCATAAATTCAGTAATTTTATCACCCTATGTTTTATTAAAATCCATTAGATTCCTTCAGAGGCACAAGGTCAAAGAAGAACAAAAAAAGGTGTTCCATACTAGTTTAAACAAGTTTAAACAGATACAAAAACAAACAATGGCAATTATGTTGTCTGTCATTTTAATTACCAACATCCATTCTCTGTTAATTCTCCTTAATGCAGAGATGTGGTTAAACAACAGAAACTCTTAATAGCTCATGGAATCTTTGTCCTTGATTATCTATCTCCACATGAATTGGCATTGTTTTGCTGGAAAATTTGCTGCATTTACTATCTACCTGAGACACGCAAACAAACTAGATGTGCATGTAAATACCAATGATCCCAAAGATAATGCTGTATTTACAGTAATTGGAAAATTGTTTTTTAAATACAGAAGATTCTTACGTTCTCATTTTAAACAGTACCTAGGCCAGGCACAGTGGCTAACACCTGTAATCCTAGCACTTGGGAGGCTGAGGTGGGAGGATAGCTTGAGACTAGGAGTTCAAGACGAGCCCGGGGAATATACAGTGACCGTGTCTCTACAAAATATTAAAAAATCAGCTGGGCATGGTGGCGTGCACCTGTGGTCCCAGCTATTTGGGAGGCTGAAGTAGGAGGATCACTTGAGCTGGAGAGATTGAGACTACAGAGAGCCAAGGTCATGCCACTGCACTCCAGCCTGGGCAGTAGAGTGAAACCTCGTCTCAAAAAACAACACAGTACCTGTGTTAATGTGCTTTTACACATTTTATATTTCTCCCTAGCTTGTGAGCACCTTGAGAATAGAGACCATGTCTTTAGCTCTTTGTAGAAGTCTTGGAGGTCCTGAATATACACTAAATTCAGAGATAAATTAATATGTACAAAAATGACTTAAAACATTAAATTATCAGTTACCAAATGAAAAAAAAATTACTTTCAGAATAAAAGCAGCCTAAATATCAAGTTAAACGTAATTTTTACAACATATTTAATTATGATAAAATACTGCCTCAAAGAGTAGCAGTGAATATCTTCAAATGAGGTCTTTCTGACCAAATATCATTCTTTGGATAAGTTGTCATGTAATGAGGTTCTGACTCTTGGTAGCTTTCCACTAAAATGTTGAACTTTACCCAGTTTCCAGATAATTACTTTGAGTAAATAAGAGCTTTCTAAGTTCTTAAATGTACGAGCGAGTGTTTGGCGTTTCTGACATTTCAAGTGAATGCCTCAAACTTTCACAGAATTTTTAGGACTTGCTCTTTACCAATTCCATTTTATTTTATATTTTGGGGGGTAAGGAGCAGGATTTGGCCATATATTACTAAATGAATCTATAAAAGGAAAGAGACAGGTAAATTGTTTCTTCCCACCTTTTCCTTCAGGTTTAGTGTTTCTGCATTATACTGAATGGCACCTTAAAATACAGAGTCGAGATGCAATAAACTGAAAACAAGTGTGGTTTTATTAAGGAAGATAACATAATTGTTTAAGACATTTCATTTTACCCAGTAAGTCTCTGCTAATGTAAAAAGGGTCTTCAATAATGTCTGCTGGGATGCATTGAGAATTCTGCACTGCTCCCAGTATGCAGTATACAATATGATAGAAGGAATCCCTGTCCATCCTTCATAGACTGGAGATGTTCGGTGGCTCCACGTGCAAGCCATTGCTTCTCAGAAAAGCAGATTTGTAATATACAAATGAGAATTATCATTTTTTTCTAGCTAATTATCAGAGAAATGGGGAGCACTAAATTTGATGATTTACGTATTGCGCTTTGAGAACTCTAAGTACTTAGGGACTGGTTAGTACAGTGATTGATTGTTATATAAAGAGATATTTCAGTCAATTCTAAAGAGTTTATCATATGTTGGGGGGCAGGAAAATTTATCAGATGAAGGAAGATAAAAATAATTTAAGAATGAAAAAATAGTTCAGTAAAAGAGGGCAATGTGAACACAAATGAGCACCAAAAAAGGCTTTATGTACTTGACAGAGAAGAGCTGAGCTCAGAGGTATATGCAAACTTTTTCATCATTTTCTCCTTCTACATGCCCTTTCCCCATCAACTCACGATTAGCATTAATAGATGTATTTCAATAACTAACATTCTGAAAGATGTGAATTCATTTTAATTTCCAACACTAGAGAGTAAGTTCCTTGAAAGAGTGTCTTTTATTTTTATTTTTGATGAATTTACTTGAACTGGATCAATATAGGAAAAGGGAGACTCATCTCAAATGGAAGACACAGTATAAGAAAAAATATTTTCAGAGAGAATATACTTGCCTGCCTATTATGATCCCTTTTTATGCCCAGACTCATCCCGGGGAAGTTGGAAGTTGAGTGGGTATAATCCTAAAACAAAGATGCTGGGAGGGAGTGAGTCATCACCAGGAAACTTTGATCTAACCTGAATAATACCTTCATGAAAGTAACAAAAAGAAAATGAAGATAAAGTAACCATGGAGCAGAAAACAGTGGGGGAAATTATGTTTTAGTACTTTGTGTTTCTGAGTAATGATACTCAACATCCCTGAGCTTTCAGTTAAATTATGCTTAATATGTCTTTTCTTTTCCCAGATCACGTTGTTCATAGATCCCCCTCCCCTCTTCGTCTCTATTTGTTGTCTATTCCAATTTAGTTTGCACAGGGTACATGATTAATACCCAATTTATGTCCTTCTCTGAAATGTTCATGAAGAAAACAGAGATGCTCCCCAAAATGACCTTTGTTGAATCCCTTGATACCGTTCCCCCAAATGGATGTTTTAGCATTTACAAATAACTTTCATTTTCTCTGCGCCTGCCAGATGGGTTTGAATCTCTGCGGTGGCTTTCTTCTCCAAACACCGCGGTTTTCTAAAGGATCAAATAAAGTTCATAGTGGCTTATCTCAATTTTCCTGGGATAACTCACATTTCAAAATGAGAAAGTCAGAATAAATCAACAGCAGTAGCAAGCAGTTATGAAGGTCTCTATTCAGGGCAGTCGCCTCCTTGTCTCTATCTACTACAAAATGCATTTGAGGCATGGTCTCAAGGACATAGTTGGAGGTGGGCGGTCAGCAGTTGAAGGCTTGATGGGGGTGACTAACAGGTGAGTATAACACCACATCCAAGAAATGCAAGACTGTGAAGGACTTATTAACTTATTACATTTTCTGGTTGTGGAATTGTTATTACGGATGTTATTACAGCTGGAGGTTGGGGGCTGGGAGGAGGCAGAAACTGGAACCAGAATACCTTACATAAAGACTATCTGAGAAGTCAATGACTGAACAGGAAGGAGGCACACATTGTGATCGTTTTTGTGTTATTGTTATTGTTAATTATAACAACAAAATAGTTTTTATCATTTTTTGGTGTTTCCTATTATGCTATGCAATTTAGATATATATCCTACAACTCATGCAACCCATAAATTAAGATTATGACCATTTTAAAGACATGAAAACTATCCTGTTAATGGCCACGCAGAACAAGGTTTCAAATTATGCCTTTAATATTAAGACATCTATTTCATAAACAATATATTTTAAACAATTGCAGCTTGCTATAGCATTACTCTCCCACCAGTCCCTATTTAACAAATATTTATTGTTTGCTTTCCCTAAAGTTGTGCAGTGTGATGTTAGAGAAAAAGACCTTAGGAAAGTCCCTTAATTTATTGCATCCTCTATTTGTCTGTAAAGTTAGGTAAGAGTGTCTGTCTCATAGGCTGGATATAAGGATTTAATGAGTTAATCCAGAAAAGCAGTCAGAACAGTAGTCGACACATTGAAGACATTCCATAAATCATTACTCCGTGGACGAGGCCCTAAACCAGCGGAAGGTGCCTGGAGGTAGGGGCTGTAATAAGATGGTCTTGTCTTCAATCGGGTTATAGTCGGAAGAAAGTCCGATATATGAACAACTATTTTCTTTTTTGAGACGGAGTCTTGCTCTGTCAGTGTGCAGTGGCGCAATCTCCACTGACTGCAACCTCCAACTTCAGGTTCAAGTGATTCTCCCGCATCAGCCTCCCGAGTAGCTGGGATTACAGGCTCGTGCCACCATGCCCAGCTAATTTTTGCATTTTGGTAGAGTTGGGGTTTCAACATGTTGGCCAGGATGGTCTCAATCTCCTGACCTTGTGATCCACCTGCCTCAGCCTCCCAAAGTGCTGGGATTACAGGCGTGAGCCACCGTGAACAACTATTATTTGCAATAAGAGAGTGAATGAAATAAACACTAAAGAAAGATTCAAAGAAGGATTACAGGTGAGCTGATTAAAGTTACCTTATTGCCAAGAAGGATGAAGGAAGGGCCTAAGTTGCAGCAAATGTTGACATGCTGGCTTAGATTTTTGAGAGAGGAAAAAATATTTGCTGTTATGTGGTGGTCTAGCTCCTTCACTCACATAATCCTGAGAAGTAAGTACCATCATTCTTATTTTGTGGGTAGGGAAACTTAGACTCAGGGTAAAATACCTTTCTAAGGCTTTATAACATGTAATTACATAATAGCTAATCACTTTTGAATAAGGTCGGCCTCACTGTAGAGCCTATGTTTTGTCTTTTTAAAATATTTATTTTCCATTGATACATAATAGATGTACATATATTCAGGATACCTGTGACAATTTAATAAATCCATATAATTCATAGTGATCAAATCCCTGTAATTGGGATATCCATCACCTGAAGTGTTTGTCTTTATGCCAGAAACATTCAAATCATTCTCTTCTAGCTATTTTAAAATATACGCTACATCACTGTAAACTATATTCACTCTACCTCAAACACTAGGAAGTCGCCCTGTCTTGATACTTACTATAAAAGAGTGCACTCTTTTATAGTAAGTATCCTTGCGGGTGTGTGTGTCCTGAATTATTGAAAGGCTTCATGTGCTGCTAGACTAGAGCACAACTTGGCTAGGGTTAAACAAATGTCCTGTGAAGGAGAGCCATAGGATTCAGAAGGGAATTGAATGAAAACTCACATTCTAGATATAAAAACAAAAAGCAAATTCATTGTACAACTGTATCCAATCTCTTGATTGGAGTATCAATGGAAAATGCACAGCCTGGAGCCACAGAGATGGCTGCTGCCCTTCCCCTGCCCTGGGAGCCTAGTGTGTTAGGCAGCTGTCAGTCCCAATGCTGGCTGCTGCCCCTCCCACAAGGGGCTCCAAGGACTTAGACAGCAGACAGTCGCAGCTGTGGTGCTGGCCTCTCCACCCCCTCCAGCTCAGTAAGCTTAAGCAGATTCTAGTTGAGTGACTGTTGAGAATCTGCACAGCTCCATGATTGGGACCCTAGACCCTGGTGGCGTGGACTCACGAGTGGGATCTTCTGATCTGTGGGTTGCACAATTCTGTGGAAAAAACACAGTTTCCCAGGCTGGGTAGCACGCTCACTCACTGCCTCCCTTGGCTGGGGGGTGGGGGCTGCCCTCTCCCATGTGGCTCTCAGGTGGGCCACCGCACCACACTGCTCTTCCTTCCTCTCCATAGGTCACGCCAGCTGCCTAGTCAGTTCTGATAACAGAACCTGCATACCTCAGTTGCTGGTGCAGGATTCACACACATCATAAGAATCTACTTATAATAGCATTAATTATGCATCCAATGTTGTGTATTTTAAAAGTGATATAGTTAACAACTTAGCCATTCAATTATTAGACATTTTTTCTATTTATTATTTGTACTGACAGTAAGACCGACTCAATGATTATTTTTATGCCCACATAGTTCTTCCTTATTTTTGAAAACATTTAGAGAGATATCATTTTGAAAGACCTTTCCCACCCCAGTTTTTATCTACCATATGATCTTGTTGCACTTCATAGTGTTTATTTCATATGGCATTTGTGTTCTTGGTGTGTGTGTGTATGTGTGTGCATGCACATCTGGATATATGTGCATGTGTATCGACTTTCTACCCTGACTATAACAATGCTTGCTTCTTGAGGGCAGAGATTTTGCCTGTCTTTTCACTATTATATCCTTAATCACTCTTAACAATGCCAGGTGTATGTTAGGTGTTTATAGAGATAGTGAATTAATAAAATAATTGAATGAATAAGTAAATGGGTAGTTTGGACAACTAATAGTTACTTCTTTAACGGTAATATTTGGAATTAGTATTAATAATTTTTATACATTAAAAT
Organism: Homo sapiens; assembly: GCF_000001405.40. Classification (NCBI taxonomy): domain Eukaryota; kingdom Metazoa; phylum Chordata; class Mammalia; order Primates; family Hominidae; genus Homo; species Homo sapiens. Next base: position 81,223,656 of record NC_000011.10, read on the forward strand.
GTATATAAAATTTTAAAGTATAATGTGTTATATTATTTCTAAAACCTTTTTAAAAATAATATATAGAAAAATAGAAAGGGAACACTTCTCATTGCCAACATTAAAAATAAATATAAAGTTTCCATGGATTTTATTTTATTTCTGTTCTTTTTTGTTCACACAAATTTACATAAAATTGTGAGTTAATTAGCATATAATATACATACAAGCTAAATTTGTAAGCTTATTTCTCTTCATGTAGTGGATATATTCACAAAGAAATATTTCAAAGACTGTTCTTACATTAGGTATAAATAGTATTATGTACATCTTATTGAATTTATTTTTTTTTATGCTGCATTCAGGAAAACAAGCTGAAGGCATCTTGCTACCAACAAAGGAAGGTTAAAACGCTAAACATGGAGAATGTTATTTATATGTATTTTAATTGTTGTAGAAAAATATAACCATATATCTGCAGGCTACACTAAAAGCTTTATGAAATGAAAAGGCTTTTAAATGCCTATTTCAAGGTTGACCGTGTCATGCTATTTCAACCAAAATATCTTTTTGTGTCCATGGTGCAATGCAAAGATGCCAATAAAATTTTTTGCTCACAAAAACTCATGGGGAAATATAATAATATATGAGCTCTTAGAGATATACTCTAGCCTCTCTAATATTATCAACAAACAAAAATATCTCTCGATGTCAATATTCCCTCTTTGCTGGAAAGTATTTTTAGAAGGGAAAGAAAAATTATTTTCAATAATTATTTAAAAAGCATAGTATGATAGTCCCTTCTTATCCATGGTTTCACTTTCAGCAGTTTTAGTTACTCATGGTCAACTGTGATCTGAAAATATTAAATGGAAAATTCCAGAGACAAACAGTCCATGAGTTTTAAATTTCACACTATTTTGAAATCTCAGGTCATCTCACTCTGTCCTGCCCGGGGCCTGAATCATCCCTCTGTTCAACATCTTAATGCTGTAAATGCTTCCCACCCATTAGTCACTTAGAAGCCATCTTGGCGATCAGATTGACTGTTATAGTATCTGAGGGCTCGGGTTCAAGTAACCCTTGTTTTTACTTAATAATGTCCCCAAAGCACAACAGTGGTAATACTAGCATATTGTTATAATTGTTCTATTTTGTTTTTACTACTGTTAATCTCTTACTATGCCTAATTTATAAATTATACTTGATCATAGGTATGTATATACAGAAAAGAAACATAGTTTATGTAGGGTGTGTGTGGTACTATCTGTTGTTTTAGGCATCCATTGGGGGTCTTGGAATGTATCTCTCATGGACAAGGTGAAGGTAGTATAATTTAGCAGTGTAGAAAGGGCAGTTCTTGAAATCAGACAGACATTTAAACTCTGGCTTGAAAATCAGAGCAAGTTATTTATCTTTCCAGGCCCCAATTATCTCATTTCTAAAACAGAAAATAATGCCCCTTCGTTCATGAGTTGATCATGAGGATTAAATGAAAAATATACATAAAGTGCATAGCAGACTACTTGGCACATGATAAGCACTCCATAACTGGTAATCCTAAACTGACAGTCAATGATGAAGTCTCTTCACGAGGTAACAGAGACAACCCTACATAGCGCAACTGATCCCCAGGTTATCAAAAGAAGCCAAGTCACTACATCAATATATTCATTTGGAAAGCTTCATATATTTGCAAGGCACCAACATTTTTTGTATTAGGGATAATGTAATTGAAAATAACCACAAGAAGATAAAAAGATTCAAGCTAAACAAACTTAAAGTCAAAAATAGTCTTTTTAATTCAAATAATTGAAATTTCAGAGGCAGTTGTAACTTTAAATACAGCTTGATGTGTGTCTCAAAATCTTGCATCAAGAGGGAAAATGGTATGCCTTGCCCTATCCAAAAATCAGCAACTTAAGATTTTATTGATTCCTAATTGGCTTGGACTAGGGTCACACCCTTTCCTGACCCAATCACTGTGACATGTGGCATAGGAGAGTCTTACTGGATCATTGCACTTCACAAGACACATTTGGACCTTCGTGTACTCAGAGACAAATATTGGTAGTACCTTAAACCTACCATGCTTCCCCACCTCTGTCAAACTAGGGTGCAACTCTCAAGAGCAGAGTAAACAAGTATTTCAGTGGGAGACAATGGATTTCTACTCTAAGGGCCCAAATAAACCTAATGTAGATAATACAGATTCTTTGTAAATTCATAATGAGATTCAGATCCATAATGGAAGACATGTCTGTTTTATTGAAAGTTCAATAATCTTTATTTGAATCCTCACGTGAATTTCATCTTTAGCATTTAGCAAAGGCTGGCTAGCATTATGCTCCCAAAGTCAAACAATAATACTAAATTATTTCTTTCTATAATACTAACCATTGACCTGCTTCTTTCCTCCTTTCCCACCTCTGTTCTTTCTTTCATTTCATCCTCCCTTCATTCTTTCTCTCAAACATGTATTGACCATCCCATATGCACATCTCTCACACAAATTGATAAAAAGACATTGCCTTCTTTCCCTGATGAAGTTTGTGTTCTTGTTGGAAAACCACTACAAACATGAGTATGAAGTATTATAGAAAAACAGTGCTGGTTAGAACCAGACAGACATAACTTTGGGCTGTAGTAATAATGCCATAATGGAATTAAAACAGGGCGTGGAGGCAAAAGCCCTGAATCATATTCCTAGTTCTGCCTTTTAGCAATGTGTGAATTTTGGAAAGTCATATAAGCTCTCAGAGCCTCCAGCTTTTCATCCATATAGTAGAGATGATATTGCCTGCCTCAGAGAAATGTTGTGAGAATCAAATGAACAGCATGTGAAAGTGCTAACAGCACTCTTGGACACATAACTGCCATCACCATGTTTCTAAATAAAGTATTTTGGGTTTTCATAAGAGGCAGAAACATTTCAAGCTAGAATCAGGGAATACTTCATGGGGTTGACTTTAAAATTAATAGAATTGGATAGCACTTATGGAAGGGAAAGACTTGTCTGGTTACAGAGAGAAAAGAAGCAAAACAATGGAAAAGAAAATCTGCCCTTAAGAAAATATAGATCTTCAGGATGTGCGGTTTTACAACTCTCATCTCAGTCCCCTCATTACCTGTTGACCACTGATCTGCTCTGTCATGAGATTCTCATTTTCTACAATTCTCTGTAAAACTAATTATATAACACTTTTGGTCTGATTTTTCTTAGCATAATTATTTTGAGATTCATCAGTGATGTAGCAATAGTCTTTTCATTTTTCTTGTTGAGTACTAGTCTATTGTACGAATGTGCTACAGTTTGTTTACCTATTAACTTTTTGATAGACATTAGAGTTAGTCCTGCTTGTTTGGCTTCCAAATAGAAAAGTTATGAACATTCATATATAATTATTTATAATAATATATATTTTCATTTCTCTTGAAAAAATACCAAGGAGTAAAATTGCTGGATCATAACAGTAGTCATGTATTTAACTTTTTAAGAAATTATTCTCTGAAGATACTTTTTCAATTTATAATGCCTATTTATATTTATCAGTAATTTAAATTTTAGCCATTCTAAGAGGAATGTAGTACAAAATTACATTTTCTTAATGACTGCTCTTGTTAAACCCCCTTCATAGGCTAAAAAGCCATCTATTTTCGCTGGTGAAGTGTCTGTCCAAATATTTCATGCATTTTATATTGGGTTATTTGTTGTATTATTGTGTTTTGAGCTCCTTTATGTATTCTGATATGACTTCTTATTTTTTATTTATTTATTTATTTTTTTGAGACGGAGTCTTGCTCTGTCTCCCAGGCTGGAGTGCAATGGCGTGATCTCGGCTCACCGCAACCTCCGCCTGCCGGGTTCAAGCGATTCTCCTGACTCAGCTTCCCAAGTAGCTGGGATTACAGGCATGTGCCACCATGCTCGGCTAATTTTGTATGTTTAGTAGAGACAAGATTTCTCCATATTGGTCAGGCTGGTCTCAAATTCCTCACCTCAGGTGATCCGCCCGCCTCGGCCTCCCAAAGTCCTGGGACTACAGGCATGAGCCACTGCGCCTGGCCACGATATAACTTCTTTATCAGGTATATGATTTCAAATTTTTTGCTCCCAGTCTTGTGGCTGATCATTTTATTCTCTTAATATCTTCTGAAGAACTGAAGCCTTCAACCTTTATTAAGTGCAATTCTTCATATTGTCCTTTCATGGGTCATGCTTTTATCGTATCTGAGAAAACTTTGCCTAATCCAAGATCACAAAGGATTTCTTCTATGTTTTATTCCAGAAGTATAACAATTTTATGTTTCACATTTAGGTCTACACTTTCACTCACATGTTATTTGTAAATTTTGTATAAAGTATGGATTAAAGCATTTTTTAAAAAAATTATTTCGCAAATGGATAACCAATTGTTCAAAACATCAGTTGCTCAAATATATGTAAATCTATCAGTAGCTCATAAATGTGCAGATATATTCTGTCAATTGATTTATTTTTCTATTTTAATGCCAATACAAACTATCTTCATTACTGTCACTTTTTAATGGGTCTTGAAATTTGGTAGTATTAGTTTTCTGACTTTATTCCTTTTCAAATTAGACATTCAAATTATAGGTCCTCTGAATTTCCATATTAAATTTAGACAAAGTTTTAAATTCCTACTAAAAATTCTAATGAAATTTTAAATAGCATTGCATTATATTTTTGGAGCCATTAGTGGTATTAACGTAAAAAAATTTAGTCTTCCAACACATGAACACTGGGTCTTTCCATTTAAAGCCTGTTTTAATTTCTCTCAGTAGTATCTTGTAGTTTTCAGTGTACAGGTATTTCAGATCTTTCATCAGATTTCTAAGATTTTCATCTTTGATGCATAAGAAAGCAGTTGATTCTTTGTGTATGTATCATGTATTCTGACACTTTTAAATTTACTTAGTTTCTGAAGTTTGTTTTTGTAGATTCCATTGGATTTGCTCTACAGACAATTCTATTGCCTATAAATAAAAAATAATTTTACTTATTCTTTCAGCTGGATTTCAAAATTTTTTTTCTTGCCATATTACACTGACTGAAACCTTTAGTTCTCACTCACAGATGGGAATTGAACAATGAGAACACATGGACACAGGAAGGGGAACATCACACTCTGGGGACTGTTGTGGGGTGGGGGGAGAGGGGAGAGAGAGCATTAGGAGATATACCTAATGCTAAATGACGAGTTACTGGGTGCAGCACACCAGCATGGCACATGTATACATATGTAACTAACCTGCACGTTGTGCACATGTACCCTAAAACTTAAAGTATAATAATTATAAAAAAATAAAAATAAATAAATAAATAAATAAAAAGAAATATAAATGCTGAGAACAAACACCCTTCTCTTGCTCATGATTTCAGGAGGAAAGCATTATGTCTCTCTGGAAGATAAATTTGGTGCCTGATTCTCCACCTTAGCCAGAAGCCAAAAACTAGGTAGACTTCCTTATACATGACTATTCATCAGCATCCAGCACAGTACTCTATCTCTTAACAAGCACACAAAGTATGCTTCATATCTTTAAAATTAATACATAAAAATCACTCTATGAGTTGTAAAATGGATGAACTTGACATGTTAGCAATAGGTTGGAGATTTTTTAAAAAATCATAGCATATCAAACAAGCAAGACTTATTCTTATGGAGCAACACTAGAACTGGAGAAAATGGAGCAAATGTAAAAGATGTTGCATGAAAAAAAATCTTCATAATGTACTGCCTGGGTTGACCTTCTGAAGAGTAACAGGAGAGGAGACCACGGGGCCAAGTTTTGTACCATGCCCTAAAAGAAGTGACCCAAGAAGTCAAACCTTGCTTTTAGAAAAATTAATTAGTTAATAAATAAAAAGCATGTGAAACCTCCAGAAAGGGAAAGAAAATTTGGTGTCTGGAAAATGGCAAGTCCTACAACACTAGTACAAAGGGTAAGAGAGCAGATGCAGGAGACAGGGAGAAGTGGGAAAGACAGATTGGCCCAGACAGTGAAAATCATAGCTAGCAATGCAGTGGCATTTGAAGTATATCCTGTAGGCCAGTGGTTCTCAACCCTATCTGTACATCAAAATCACCGTTGGAGATTTAAAAAAAAATGTGCATGCCTAAATCTGTCTCTGAGAGTTATTCGTGTAGTAGTTCTGGTTCTAATGTTTTAAAATCTTAATAGGTGGGCTTGAATGCAGCCAGATTTTTATGTCAGAAAAGTACAAAATTGCTACAAAAATAAAACAACAAATATGTGTTTAAATACTTACATTGTGTACCTTTTCTAGCTTCTCATGGAGTTATAGAGTTTGAATAAAAACTTTGAAACTTACTCAGTGCAAGAATGTTCTCTAAAGTATTCCCAATAGCTATTTATTCAAAAATTTATTGAACTGGTATATTCTGGGTATAGTACTGGTCATCTGTTTCACATTATATGATATCAGATAATTATAGTTCTTTGGATGGTGGGACACAAAGACTTGAAGAGACAAAAGACAGAACTCTTTCTTACTGCCATCTCCAAATGAGATAAGGCTACTGTGCAAGACCACATGTCCAGTTACACGCCAGTACAGCGTAATAGCAAGCTGGGATTTTAGGACATGGCTTATATATGGCAGATAAGGTGGGATTAGCTAGTCTTCATGAACTTCGTGAGGACTGAGCATTTTTAACAACCTTCCCACCAAAGACAGAAGAAGCCTTCCTTGGTGTTTAGTATCTGGGGACCTCTGGCATAGGCATATGTGTATTATAACCCAGGAGTATGACAGCATCTTAAGGGAGATAGTTGGGGTGGAGGCTTAGCAAACTGCCCCCAAAGGGTAATTGAGGGTTTTCAGCCAAGACTTCAAAACTGGGTCAAGAGAGCACTTGTGAAATATTATATTACACCACTTAAAATACATCTTCAATAATCCTTACATTAAGCATAAGATGTTACAATTGTTATATCCTGTAGTTGATTTTGGGTGTTCAATAATTATATCTTTCCATATTGGAGATTTCCCCATGGTATGAATCGCAGGGAGAAGTAAGCCTGCCTCCTTCTACAGAAAGAAGAAGGCCAAGTACTTTTCTCCACTTTCTGGCAGCACAGACATGGGCATGTAGCTGAGGTTCAAACAATCAGACCCTCTGGCCTAGGAATTTGAATCTGGCCAGAGTGACACAAGTAAGTCTAATAAGATTATTTTCACTAGTAACTGCTACATCAGTTTCCAGAGTATGAGGATCAACAGCAGTGGCAGGACCAGCTATGGCAATGAATGTCCAGCCAGCGTCAGCACCAGATGATTACTATGGCATGATTCTGACTATGGTTCTAGTGCCTATTCAACCTTGGCTTTTATCTGCTCTGTTCTTTTTTAGGTTACTGTTAATTCTGTGAATTATGCAATATCTTCCATAAATTCATTTTCTTCTAGAATCAACCAAAGTTCGTTTCTATTGCTTGCAATAAAGAAATTTGACAGATAAACCTCCATTAAATATATTTAAAAAATTAAAGATCAGTGAATTTAATTCACTTGCCCAGGCTATACTGTCAGTAGCTAGCTGATAGAACTGTGATTTGATCCCAGAAGAATCTATTTCAATGACTGTCTCTTTCTGATATATCTTGCTGTTCAGCATGACTAAACTGTATTGAGAGACTGAGAAGTCACTATGACAAAATTAACCTACTTTCTTGGGAGATCCTTTTGTAAACTGAAGAGAAATATGTCTTTCTGAAATTTCTCATAGTCCATACTTCAGCTACATGATGTTCCAAGGAATAACTAACTAATTTCCTGCATATGATGGCCTATCAAATATCTAAAGCCACATCTTATATATATTTTTTTTGTGTAATTCACATATGTTAAGAAAAGGTTAATTAAATATTTACTATTTTGGAGATCCGTACTATGTATGTCATCACAGAGTTTTAAAAATGTACTTAAATTACCTATGTAAATGTTTAATCTAAAAAGTATTGTGCTGTGCTTAGGAGAGAAAATAAAAAATAAGTTCTATCAGCTGATATGGAAAAGCTTCATAGGAAATACTACAACTTTATGTACACTTTAGCAGAGATTATGTATATGTGTACTATATCATTTCTTCTTTAGGACAAGCAGAAATGCTTCATTTCTCAGTCTCTTTTATAGTTACCTTCTAAATATGTGACTGAGATCTGGCCAATAAAATATGAGAAGAATATTATAATCTACATTTTAGCCTGGTTCTTAAAAACATCACATGGCTTTCTCCAACCCACTTCCTCTATAACTTCCACAAATAGTATCACAAGGTTGAAGGAACTAGAAACACTCAATAACTGGAAGAGAGCCTCAACTTACAACCACCCAATTTTGCATGAGCAAGAAATAAATCTTTTTACATCTTAGCTATTGAGATTTAAGAGTTCGTGACTGCAACAGAGCCTATCCTATCCTGACTAATAAGGACAAACTAAGAAAACTGAGTTTAATTTTCTCTTTGCTAGTATCATTTAAATGTGGGCATTTTGTGGATGTTAGAGAAACTAAAATGAACAGGATAAATTTTCTTAACTACTAATAGCTCAAAGAGACTGATATTGTCAGAATAATTAAGCTGTTAGATTCCAGATTTAATATGTAAAGATTCCAAAAGCATAAAACTTGAACTTTAATTTTAAGGTTTTAAGAAAGAAACTGAAGTTGTTAGAGAAATCCAGTGAGCCACTCAATATAAGTAATGTTGCTAGTATTTATATTTGTAGATGAGCATTCTAGAGTTCAGAGATGTTAAACAACATGCTCAAGGTTACTTGGCCCATAAATGGAAGATATTACTTTGAATTCAGTTCTGTCTGACTGTAAATAATGCTTCAAGGCACTGTAGTCTAGTGGATATAATTATCTCCTAAAGACAGAATTAAAAGTAGAAAGATGCAATATTTTCTATAAAAATGCACAACTAAGCACCTATTTACCCCAAGCTCCTTTAGCTATAAAATTGGCTTGTTCTCTCTGCTGAGATGTTGACATAGGGGAAATTCCTGGGTATAAGAGAACACACTACAAAGTTACAGCTACTTCATTTTTCTGAAATAAAATGAATATAACTTTAAAAACTTGTACTAAATTAATTATCTTGGCAAAATCCCCTTTATTCTATATATTTACATTCTCACCTTATTCATGCACGTGTGTACATTCTATAATAGAATAACGAAAACTATTCTTTTACTTTTCAATTTTCCCTAGTCTGTATTTATAGGATTTTTAAAACATATGGTGGTGTTATATCTTGTATCTATTTATGTATCTACCATTGATATTTTCATCAATTTTCTATATGTTGAAACATTTAGTGTTTTAAGATTATTTTTAAGAATGAAGAGAGGCTTCAATGTATCATGGTTGTTATAAGTTTCTCAACAAAATAATTCAGCTATTATCAGTCTTGAAGGTTAATTTTTTTAGACAATAGCCTTTATTTTATTTCAGTGTGCAATTGTGATGATGTGGTGAGGCTGGAAACACTGCTATTTGTTATTGTGATAAATCTGAAGATAAGGCTTTCAGGAAAAGTGATAGCTCACGGACAATCTAGAAAAATGTTGCTTTAAAGCAAATTCCTCTTCATGTTGCAATGTTTTGTTTCTTTTGGATTCTTTCTTTACAAGCAATGATCTTTGCATGTTATCTATCATATTGAATATGCAGCTTATCCTTCTCCAGAAGTCAAAGAGTGACATCTATAACATTCAAAATTATTATTTCAATAAATAAAAAAAAAACTGCAGGTAGAAATATTAGCTATAGATCTATTTTGGGCCACACTTTAATTTTAATCATTATTGGATCTAGGATTAAGCCTTGTGATCTAGACCTTGCTCTGTAATTGTACAGATATGCAATTCTAGATATATCTTTAAGCATTGTCTACATTTTCTTTTAAATATATACTTGTCTATGGCCATAGAAGCATATTATATAATAAATAATACATTTTTTACTATACATTTACCATAAAATGTATATATAGTCTATTTGTGTGCATATATTTATACTTTTATAATGTATATGGAAAATCTAATGCTTATTTTTATGCATATATATTTATGTATATATGTGAACACATATATACACAGATTCATATATATATGTAAACACATGTATTCATATATATATCTGTATTCATATATATATATCTGTATTCATATATATATATATCTGTATTCATATATATATATATATCTGTATTCATATATATATATATATATATCTGTATTCATATATATATATATATATATATATATATATATATATCCATATATCTTTTGGTTGAATGCCGTGCTATGGCCAAAATAGTGCAAAGATTATATACTACATATAAGGCTTCTTAAAAAATTAGAGTCCTTTGGAAATTCAAATGCTCATAGGCTTGAGTGTAAAATACTAGAAATAACAGAATATTTTGTTTATCAAGATAGCTAATGAAATTTTAAACAAAGATCCTATTTCCATAGCAATGCTCTTGATGATAGAGATCTGAAAAGGGTAGGAAAATCACAACAATAACAAGAAACAGCAACATGGATAAGCAAATCTCATTTAACATAAAGGCAAGATTGAACAGAGAGAAACATTGTACTGAAAGACCCACAAAAGAACTGATTTCAAATTGTTCTAATGTAAATTTCTGTGATTCTGTCAGCAGAAATTATGATAATGTGTGGCAGAACTACATTTGAGGTGTCAGTGGATATTTTTTCATTTTGGTGTCTGTCTCTGGCCTCTGCAATTGGAAAAGGTACAGCTAGACAAAAGGAACAAGTAAAGCCCCCTTATAAATTTGAAGATTCTTTAGCTTTCCACCATTTAAGTATTAAGTTCACGCTTCTTATCATAGCCTATAGATCATTCAAATGCAAATTCTTCATCTCATGTCCTGCTCTTCCCTCATATGGAGGCCCATCTGCAGCCACTCTAAATATGCAATGTACAAAACACATTGTGCTGCCTCAGGTCTCAGTGCCTTTCTTTGTATATGCAGTTTCCAAGACTTAGAAAAATGTCCCTACAAAGCCTCCACACTGCAGCTTAGACCCAGTGCAAAAGCCACGTCTATGCTTTGTGAGGACATTCTCCTCGTTTCCCTAATTTCCTCTTCCCCCTTTTAAATTCGTATTTCCAAGGAGAAAGCAGAGTACTGTTTGGGAACCCAAAGCTATATATTTAAATTATGGATTTACTACTTATTGCAACAGAGAATGTAATCAAATTATTTCGTCAGAATTTCAGTTTACCTGCAAATAATGTAGAGCATGATGCAATGTAAATTATAGAGTTTTTTAGGTCTTAATGAAATATACAGATAAAATTTTTCATAAAGAGACTAATGCACAACAGATACTCAAGAAATAATGGTGCTCTTCCTTCACCCACTTCCCCCAACCTGTGAGCTTGCTACAATAGCAAGTAACTCCTCCTGCTTCTGTATGTACGTACTGACTACCTGAATTGATAGGAGGCCTAATGAGGTGCTTATTATTAATAAGGAAGACTTATTTATCTTCCTACTCTAAATCTGGCAAAATACTGTATGTCTCCAATGTTTTTATTAAATATATCAAATAAGCTAATGTTTTATTAACTATATAAAGTAAACTAGCCTTTTCCCCCAGGTTTTCTTTTGCTTTTTGCCCAAATGAATTCATATACTCAACATAAAATTTAAAAAACCCACAGATATAATTTCAAACCATGCTTTTACTTTAACATATTTCACTGTCCTTTTTGTTTCATGATCCTCTTAATTATTGCTGTGATGAGTGCTTATTATTTCATCAAGCTGATGTGTCATACTTTCACAACTTCTCAAATATTGTTGAGTGTTCAGCCTATTTCTTATTTTTCATTATTAAATGACACTGTAATGAGCATCTTCATGCATACCATACTGTTTTTTGAAAAATATTATTCATAAGATGAATAATATTCATATTCATTATCAAGATGCATTGATGAGTCAAAGAAAGTGTGAACATCCTTCTGACTGTTGAAATAACTTTCCAAATTGTTTTCAATAAGATTTGCACAGTTCATTCTGTCACCAGTGAGGTGTGTGTATGCCAGTTTGCCATTTTTACCAAAATCTAGTAAATTTCCATTAGATCTTGCAGTAAGTAGACACCTACTGTTGCCCCCATCCTTCTATGGGGGCTACTCCTACCACTACTCCAAATATGTGACTCTAATTGGAAGTCATTTGCTTACTTTAACCCTGTCTTCTTAGGCAGAGTTAATTGCTCTAAGTATCAGCAACTGGGCCAATATTCCTCACTGAGCATTTTTCAAATTGATAATGAGATAGGGACTCAATTTCTTTCTTAAGCTATGAAATAAATGTTGTAAAGCTGGAACTCTTATGTTTCTCTCCCAGATGCTTAAAACTTAACAAATTTGGCTCTTTTTTTTTTCTTTCAATATCAAGTCAAATGCCACCTCCTCAGAGAGGACTTCTGTATGTACCCTATCTAAAGATGTCCCCCTGTTCTATCATTTTCAACTTATTCTCTGTCCTAGTAGTGTATTTTTATAGAACATAACAAAAATTACTTATTGCTAAACCATTTATTTTTTCTCTCCTTATCTCCATATTCCCCATGCTCTTCTGTAATAGATAGAAGAGGAGCTTCAGGAAAGCAGGTGACTTGTTCACTGCTTCATCCTTAGCACCTGGAAAAGTATCTTGTGCACAGTAGGGTGTCAATAACTATTTGTTGAATAAATGTGTGAGATATTCAGTTCTATATCAATAAATCTGAGCTGAAATTACTTCACCAAAAGAATTCTGATTCTAATTTATACGGACCTAAAATCTAGCTTTGCTCAAAGACTATATCTGACTCAGTTTCTTTATTTGTCCATGGCTTACACAATAAAATTCAGGTAATGAAAGAATATAACCTCTTTTTCCAATGAGAAACTTGTGGGAACTTCTACAGAAAAAACAAACTCTCTTGTAATCAAGGCCTCTCACCAGGTTCCACCAGCCATTTTTCATGCCGTTAATTCTCTGCTCAATTTCATTTGGAGGAAAGGAGTTTTACAACAAAAGCTCACTGCAGAAATTAAAACTCAAACTGGTTGCCCCCTGTTCATTTGCCACACAATATAGGTTTCTGGTGACATTCAGCTAATTAATTTTCTTCATTATTAACTACCCGTTATACATGGCCATTATAATGGAAACACATTCAGCCTGTGCTGCACCCCTTACAAGCAAGGTGGTTGTGTAAAGGCTCATTAATATAAGTGAGCTGGGGCAGTCTTCTTTTATGAAGTCAGAGTAAAGTGGAGTTTGAAAAATATTGCTCAGAATCAAACAAATTGCTGAAACAAAAAACATGCTCTGCTGAACTGTAACATCATTTTTTTTTTAGGGTAGAAGGAAAAGTTACACAAAATTAGACAGTGAATGCAATATAGGCATTCTTTATTTTTATTCCTCCAGATGCACTGGAGGGATGGCAAAAGAAAAGAAGTTAAAACAACTGTCCAATTATTATTATTTTAAAATTAACACCCACTTGAATTTGTTTAACTTGTCAGAAGCCTCTGTAGAGTTTACACTGTGGAAAGCCTTTCACCATTGCTTAATCTGTAGTGACATCTGGTGGCCTGAATTACTCAAGTAGCTGGAATAAACACTTCATTATACATGTCTTTAAAGACTCCCTAGTGGATACATGTCCTTATTTGGCCACCATTAAAGATGCATTAATTTTTTCTTGGATTCTAATTTTGTGTGCATGTGACATGGGAGAGAATGAAGGTATAGCAAAACTAATATATGAAGACTACAGTAATGACTTACTTTCGTATTAAAATAAAAACAACTTTAAGATTCTTTTCCATTTTCAAAATTATTTTGTTTTACACATTATATTGAACTACATTATTAAATGCACTAAATCAGTAAAATATTTAATACCTATTAATCATCAAGGACTGTGAATACTCTACCTCTTCGAATTATGATTAATTCACTCAACAAATATTTTGTTGAACATGTAAGCTACATTATCAAAAAATCTACCTGTAAATAAATTTGATTACTCTTATTTTAATCAGTAGAGACATAAGTACGTGATCTCAGTAGATTTCCTAGCATGCCAGTAAGTATTTTAACAGTCCCAAGCACATTTTTATCTTTTGCAGCCACTAACACGTCAAATATATTTTTTGAGTATTTGGCAATTATTCAAATATATTTGCCAATTGAATGACTACTGGTAGTATTGTATATTTCCTATAAATTAGTTGATTATTAATAGAATAATGAGGCAATATATTTTTCTACCATTCCCATTATCATTAAATTGATACCCTTTCAGTCTGGTTAAACAAATCAAGAACCTGGGACATACCTTTGATTCTTCTTTTTCCCACACTCTTAAATGCAATCCATTAATAATTTGTTACTTTTACTTCCTGAATAGATTTCAGACCTCTTGAAATATCTTCATTCATCATAAGTCTAGTGCCAGTTCCCATTATCTCTCAACAGGACTACCTTCAGGGCTAATTTCCTCATATTTATGTTCATCCTTTCTCCAAACTCCTCCACATTGCAGCTAGAGTAATCTTCGAAACAAAACCATGTTAGGTCAATTTCCTTATTAAAGCCCTCCACTGGCTTCCCATTGCTCTTCATAAAAGATAAAACTCTTGACTGATGCATGGTCTTATTCAATCATACACCTTCAGCCTCAATTCACACAAGGGCCTTTAACTCTGTAAATACATCATGACTTTCCAAACCCCACAACCTTTGCACATGCTGTTTCTTCTTCTTGAAGTACTTTTTTCATCTCTCTTTACCTAAAAAACAATCTTACTCATTTTTCATACATATGTTTGCAAGTTACTTCATATAAACCTCTCCATGTCCAAGTTGACCTCTCCATGTGCATTTAAATTCCCCAAATGTATCAAGATGTACCTTTTTTCCTATTTACCAAAGTTGTAATCTCATATTTTTTGTAGAATTTGATTAATATATTCTTCCTCTCCTAGACCGTAACCCTCATAGGAAACAGAAATCTGTCTGTCTTAATAATCCTTGTATCCTTAGCACCAAAATCAGGAACTGACATATGCACTGCAGTTGCTCATGAAATATAGGCTAAAATAATAAAATATATATAGAGAGAGATAGATATACATATATATAATTAATAGGCTGGGTGTTGGAGTTGAACATGCTTGAGTTCAAATGTTGGCACTGCTGTTTTTTTAGTTCTATGAAACATGACACATTACTCCTCACCTGCAATTAGGTTTAATAATATTTACCTCAAAGGGCTGTAGTGAAGATAAAACTAAATAATGGATTTGTGAATGCAAAGTCTTTGGCAATGATAGTTACATGATAAGTGGCAATTAGTATTATTAGTAGTAGTAGTAGTAGCAGTAGTTGTAGTATTGATGCATATCTAAAGAAAAATGCCTCAAATTATAGGGTATGGGCACTCTCAACTGCCTTTGTGATTTTGTAGGGCTTGTCAGCAGGGCCTTAGAGAAGTTTATCTGAGAAACTCTACACCTCACAGCAATCTTTTCTTAGGAGATGGAAAGCATGGAAGAAAGGTGGTAGAGCAACAAGAGTAGTAGCCAGAAATTCTACCTGAGAAGTAGAGTATAATAATAGGGAGGTGCAAGAAGCAGGTGAATTATCATTTTACACACACACATATATTCATGTATGTACTCATCTTTAACTAACCATGACAGCTTTAGGAGACATTGCTCTAGAAAAAGTATTTGTCAAAGAAGAATGGATGCTGCTCTTGCAAGGCTGAAGGCTTCAGATTACTGAAAACCATGGAAGAAGACCTCAGAGGTAAGAGATTCCCAAACTAGAGACAGGTGATAAAGGAGCAAGTTACACTTTCAGGTTTCAAACATTAGGTTGGGAACTTGGGCCAGGGAATCTCTACCTGCATCCTTATGTGTGTGTGTGTGTGTATGTGTGTCTGTGCATGTGAGCATGTATGTGCATATATATATATATGTCTGTTTTAATAATCATTTTGTGTATATATATATATGCAAAAGTACATTACAAATTATTCAGATTTAGATGTTTCCTTTGAGATTGTCTGTTTTTCTTGTTTTTTTGTATTCTGTGATTAAAAAACATTGTTTAAAGATATATATATTGGACTATTTAGAAAAACATAGTAACAATATGAAAGGGTTAGATCTACTGTACATGCTTTAAAGGTATAAGAGTATAAGAACCACAATAAATTGTGATAGATATATTTATGCTTGACTCTATATTCTTCTTTCCACACTTCATTTTGGGATTTGTCCTGGTTGTTCAAAGGTATAT
This sequence comes from Homo sapiens, assembly GCF_000001405.40. NCBI lineage: Eukaryota > Metazoa > Chordata > Mammalia > Primates > Hominidae > Homo > Homo sapiens. The sequence continues at coordinate 81,240,044 of NC_000011.10, forward strand.
TATAAAAGCAAAAATGGAAAAAAGCCTGGCCACCCACAAAGATAAACCAGGGGAGAGAGAGTATTTAAATTAAATACTAATTTAAAAATCAATTACTGTGGTTTTTAGTTGAGAGGGCACAAAAAAAAAACCACATGTCTAAACCCCAACTTTTACCAATGGAAATAGAGTCTCTAGGGTATAAAGCTAGGGTGACTCCACTTTGAAGAAGTTCCTCAGTAATTTTAATGAGCATCTTTGTTTGAGAACGTAGAAGTAAAGGCCAGAAGAATTGAGTCTAGTGGGAATTATTTTCCTACCAGTTTCTTTGGTGCTTTTCAAATACGTTATGGCTTTTTTTATTTCTACATATTTTATTCTTGATGTTCCCTCAGTAGCCATTCTATTTTCCTCTCACCAGGGCTTTAAAACATCCTTTTTCTGTAAAGATTTCCTACATTCTTTAATCAGAATGAATCCTCACCTTTCTCTGTGGCTTTTGTCTTTTGATATCATTACAGCAATCATTCTACTCTGCCTCACAATTCTTATTAGTGTATCATTTGATTGTATGCTCATGTCAGGTATATCTCACCAGACCTCTGGCACAGGGCTTTGAGCACACAAAGTGCTCAATTAATGCTTTTTTTAAAAGAATGAATAAATATTTTCCATTTTCAAATTTATATTTAATGAAGTATAGCATATGAAGTATAACATAACATATATAACATATACTGTCTAGATGTTGGACTCTAGATTTAGAATGACAGGAGGCTTATACCAGTTTGGCCATCTATTAAACACCTCAGTGCCTCAGTTTTCTTATGTGGAAAATAAAGACTATAGTATCTCTAACTCAAAGGGCTGTTAGAAATACTAAACGTTAACATATTTAAGATGCTTAGATGGGCACTTGGCATGTAGAAAGCATTCAGCCAATGTTGGCTATGTCGATTGGATCACCAATCTGCAGAGACATTGCTCTGCTCTCTGTCATGATCAAAACAACTGGAGAGTACTTACAGTGTCTCTTCTTTTTCTCAGTATATATTACATTATAATAAAGTAAAATCTCAAATTGATATGATCTCTTCTTAAGGAATGTAAGTGCTTGCTAGAGATACATTAACCTTAAACTCAGGCGGCATTATCTACTTAATATTTATTAAACACCTAATGTGGAATATATAGCATACAAAAGACATGGAGAGAGCATGAATTTGGAAGAGACCCACCTAATGTTTTCCTCTGGCCATTGGCATTTTAATCAAGCATTTCAACAGGCAGTCCAGGGCTGATATTCTGAAACCACACAGCTTCTGTGAATAACAGCAGTCTCTCACATGTCCCATCTAAAGTAATTTGAGAGGAGGCTAAATGTAGTAAGAAAGCCTGAGTTGCATGGAAATGTACCTGAGTTTGAGATCAAGATCTAAAGTTGACTTTATAACTTTGAACAAGTTATTTAACCACCCTGAGGCGCTAGTTATTTCACCTTTAAAACTGAGATTACAATATTCAAATGGCAGGGATAGTGCATAGTGGATAGTAAAAGCCATTGTTATTATTTTTCAGTCAATTAATATGTTTTTGAAATACTATGCTTATAATTCCAGTGTTCTGGGAACTCATCTTAGGTTATCAGAATTAATTTAATGTTTGCATGGGGAATTAAAGTTGCTCAGAACCACAAAATCTCATATTGGTCATAGAAATGGTTGGCAGCTACACAAAAACCAACTTCAAAGCCCTTTGCATTAATAGCAGAGTCTGGTTATGGGGTGAGGCTGACGTAGCTCCCATCCATAATAAATGACCTGCAGGGCAAAGAAGAATAATCATCCTTGCAGTCACTGGCTTTGTAATGTGCCTCACCTTTCTGCTTGAGAGATTTCTTTGCCAATGCATATTTAGAGGAGTGAGAACTGAAAAGAAGATGAAAGCACATCAAACATTTATCTCAAGAGTTTCATTTTCTAAGAAATAGCAGGTGTGTCATACGATTTCTCAGAGGGGCAAACACTCCTCTAAAGCCTCTCTGGTACTCACGGAGATGGATGGCATGGAGTATGTAGCGTGGGATGAATAGCTGAAGATAAATATTCTATTTAGAGAAAATGGGGCCAGGTAGTCCATTTCTCACTGACTAAAAGTCTCAGAAACAGTTAAATTATTGTGAACAAAACAAAAGAGAAAAATCCTATAGCAGGCAGTATTAAAAATGACGTAAACTCAAGCTACAATATCTTTAAATCACGCTACTGAAAATCAAGCAACAATTGCCTCCATCTGAGACTTGTATCTTCTCTCTCCTGGGTGCCTCCACCCCACCACTGATACAAGCACATCCATACATTCATAAAAATGGAAAACACTTAAGCACGCTGCTGCTGCTGTCACTATTTTTTAATATTTATTTTTGCTATTAAATATGCTCAGTACCCACATACATAAAAAGAATAACGCATTTAAAATGTCTCCAGTATAAAGTGTTTTTAATTATTTTGTAACAAATAAAGCATCCTTCCATATATGTAGAGCAATGGTTGTCAAATGTATTTTATCTGTGGATTTCCTTCAAATAATAATTTTAATAGGCAATGTTTTCTGTACACTTATCTACTAACTAAATGTCATTCTAATTTCTTTCCAGGAACTAAATTATCTCACCCTCAGATTTTTATGAGATGAGACTATCAGCTGCTTTTAAAAAAATTATAAATGAAGAAACTGAGGCTGTGAGAGATGAAATGTCCTAGAGTTAAATAGCTAGTAAGCACTGAAGCTAAGACTTGAACCCAGACCCCAAACAGTCTATTTCTAGAAACTTTACTCCTAACACTACCTGGCCTAAAAAAGGTAAAAGCAGAGAGGTGCTGATCAATTTATTTATTCAACACATGATTATTTAGTTACTACTATGAATTATGCTGGTGTTTTTATTAGAAGTAGAGCAATGTGTACAACCTTGTTCTTCTGAGGCTTGCATTACTGTAAAAAAACAGACAATGAAACTAGCAAGAAATGGTCAAAGAAAGAAATGCATAGTAATTGTGATAATCAACTCTGAATTCTTATTTCAGACGTGTATTTTCTATACCCCAGTGATTCCTAATACAATATATATATAGTTCTATGATTCACCAAGTTTAGTCCCCAAATGTTAGAATCATTTATAACTCAAATGCAACAAAAAATTTTGTCAGCTCTATAATTATTGAAATTACAACTTCAATACAAATGGAAAATTTGTATTTTCAATCGGATGCTTTCTCAGTGCCTCTATAACACAATTCTAAAACAGGCCACAGCCACGTCTCACCTAGATCATTCTCTAATCTCCCACTGCCCTTCATGCCTTCCCTCTTTCCCTCTTCTCACATTTCTTTCTGTATTTAATGGGACACAGAGTTCTGCTTAGTCTACCTTCTGAATCACAGTCAATCTGCATTTTCCTTGTTTTTGCCCTAATTCAAGTCCACATCTTCGACTCTGTCAGAGCTAAGTCAAGGACTGTGGATCACTGCGAAGCTTAAGTGTTACTATATTAGATTGGTAAGAAAGTAATTGTGGTTTTTGCCATTAAACGAGTGGGAAAGCTGCAATTACTTTTGCACCAACCTATTATAAATTTTCCAGAAATATATGTGCAGGTAAAACACTGAAGTTTTCATAGATACAACTACCACCAAGTGGGAATAAGGAAAAAACATATATTTAAATGGTCTTCTAACTTGAAAAGGTAGGAACCACTGACTTAGACCTCTTGACTAATGGCCCTCAGTTCTTGTTTGACCCTTTTTACATCCATTGCATATTTTCTTCACTCACAACACTGTTCTCTTTCAAGTGCAGAGACCTGATAAAGTCACTAGTGTGCTAAAACATTGATGTCTTTCTATTTTTTAAGGTAAAACATCATAACTCCTTAGCCTGTTGCAGTAAGTGCTTTGGGATCCTTTTTTTAACACCATGCTCTCATTCTTGCACCCTTCCTAAGTTCATTATTATATCTGTAAATTTGCTGCTCATTAAATATAAAATTAAATCTTCATAAGGTTTTAGTTCATGATTTAGCTCTAATATTTTTGTAATTTTTAAAATCTTTTTGACAAAATATTTCAAGACCCAGCTCAACTACTATAATACTTATATGAAGACTTCCTCATGCCTTCTAGACAGATTAATTATTCTATCAGATATGCCTCTATAGTACATAGTAAGTGCTAACAAAATTAGATATATAATTGTTTCCTCCCGATAGAAAAATCTAAGAGAAGGAACTTTGAAAATTGAAAGTATCTCTGGACTCTAGCATATATTCTGATGCTTAATTGGAATGTAAATATTTGGTATGTAAATAATACCTATACTTATGTTACTCAAATTCAGACTGATAAAGTATGCAAACTATGTACTTTCAAATATCATCCCCTTTTCAATTCTTGCTTACAAATTTTGAAAGCAAGTATATTAATATTTATTAATATTAATGCCTTAACAACTCTTGATTCATATTCATTCTTAATTAGGGTAAATAGCCTCCTATTTGTTCATCTTGCCTTAGGCTTACCCTTCCCCCTTTCAGTCTCTACTTTATAGCCAAGAGCTATTCCAAAATCAAAAGTCTAATTATGTTCTTCCCTTGCTTAAATCTCTGTAACGACTGTGTGTGTCCATGATAAAGTTCAAATTCTTTGCCATGGCTTGCCAGATCTTTCCATTCTAGCCCCTACAAATCTCTTCAGTCCTATCTCTCTGCATTCTCAACTCAATCTAACTAAAACCCCTAAAATGTCATTTTGCACTCTACACCTGTCATCACTTGTTTTAGTTTCCTTTTTAGCATAGACCTTTTTGAATGTTGCTTATTCTATACCTCTTTTGTAAATATCCCCTATCATCTCCTTTCAGTTCTTTGGTGTCCTTTCAGGTTAGGGATTGGCTTAAATGTCAACTAGCCCTATATGCCTTTCTTCACCAACTCTACACTCTTTCCTCCTGCAACACAAGGTTGCTATCTTTCCTCTGGCTGCCACCACTGGTTTTGCTCCTATCATAGCACTCTCCCGGGTTCACTTTTATCTCCTATTTAACTGTGTGCATATTTCACCAAACTTCAGAATCTTTAAGTTCTTAAATAATCCAATTTATCATAGTGTCTCCAGAACCTGGCATAGCAGGTATTAAGTAAATAGTTGTTGAGTGAATGAATGTAAATTATTGTTCAGACTGTAGATTCATCCAGAATATTAAGATCAATGTGAAATCTTAGAAAATATAAATCTCAAGCTGGTTCCATGTATTCTAAGTGAGAAAGAGTCTTAAGTCAAAGATGATTCTGAGGATTTGACTGGAAGAAAGGGGTTTAACTCAGAGAAAAAGGAATATTCATGGTGAATCAGACCTTAGGAAACCAATCTGGCTTAATAAGTCCTAATCATTTTAGAGTGAAAACCTGATACCCCCCAGATAAGCCAAGTAAGAATGTGTTGGCTTTCTTTATTACAAAGGAAAGAAGACAGATTTGCAAAGGCAGAAACAAAGATTACATGCAACCTGAATTGAGCATATGAACTTAAACAAGTCATTCCCCCTCTTTTGTCCTGTTTCAGCCACAAAATAAGGGAGAAAGTTGAATTTTTCTCCAGGGTTTCTGATGACTGAATTTTGTTTAATGAGTAAGAAAACAGTCCTCATCTGCTATTATCTACTATTCAAAATCCCCTTCAAGGTTTGTCATTTTCCCTTCTGAGGCATTCTCTACAAAACCAAAATTTTGGTTTATAAAATCAAAACAAGTAATCATATCACTGATTATTTATAAATTCTAACAACACACCTACATCTCTTTGATGCTCCAGCTTAGGCATGGACCTACATCTGATCGATCAGATAATTTGTCTTCTCCCCATCAGATTAGTCCATGACTCAGGCCAGGCCAATGAGCATCAGCTTAGGACTTTGGCCAGGTTGATTAGAAAATAGATGTTTTCTTCCCACTAGTCATGCCAGGCTGGTAGAATATAAGCTTCAAAGCGTAGGTCTGTGCAAATGATAAGAGCCAATCTGTAAAGAAAGATAATACAAAGGAGAGCAGCGCAGGGAGAGAGGAGGAGAATAAGGTCTACTCCTGATACTACTGCTTGAGTCCCTGGGTTTAGTCAAGTGCTGGTGCTATACTGTGGTTGTGCAGTTTTCAGTTATTGTGAGTTAGCTTACTCTCATCTTAATAGCCCTATTATATTAAATTTAGGTTTTTAGGTGAATCTCTTAACATCTGTGTGAGGTTACCATGTAACAATGGAAAAAAATGCCACTTCTTTCAAGGTTGTTAAAATAATGTATGAGACATTGAATAGCATAATATGTTGATGTAAACCAAGCTTTCTAAAATGCTACCTTTCTTTCCTTTCTTGTCTGAATATATATAATTTTGGTGGTTCTATTATCCTTTCCATGGTAAGTCAAATTACTGTCTACATTATCAAATAAGTAAATTTCCAGGACAAAATATGTGGTTACAGTGTAGGATGAAAAGTTTATTTATGTGAATGAAGAAAGGTTTCACAAACTGGAGATGTGCTTGGGTTCTACAATCCTCTAATCCTGACGGTCTGTTGCTGAATGCTCTTTATATATACTATCATATTTAATCTTCAGAATTATCCTATGGAGGTCTTCTATTATGGCTGTTTTTACATGATAAAACTACATTAGTTTCCTTACCTTTTCCAGCTTTTAGATCCTGCTGGCATTCCTTGGTCTCATGGTTCTACATCAACCTGACTTCTGCTTCTGTCATTTCTCTGACGCTGAAGACTCTTGCCTACCACTTATAAGGAATGTTCTGATTACATTGGGACCACTCAGATAATCCAGGATAATCATCCCGTCTTAAGACCCTTAATTCAATCACATCTGCAATGTCCCTTTTGGCATGTAAGGCAACACATTCCCAGGTTCCAGGGATTAGTATGTGGACATCTTGGATAGGAGGCATTGCTGACATACTATATAAGTCAATCCTTACAGAAATTAAAGGGCATATTCAAAGCTACACAGACGGTTACTGTGAAGGCTTGGTTTCAATTTCATTGAGGACTGTTTGATTCCAAAGTGCACATTCTTATCTACCATCTCTGTGATATGGAGACACTGCTTTATGGCATACTCCCTGACGCTATAAAAATATAGAAAACAATGTGGATTTACTCTATTGTCAGTCTCAGAAATAGTTTGTTTGGTCCTGCCTGAAGCCTTTTTCTCAGTCATAAGCTGCAGCAAAGTGAATCTGTTGCGTGGAAAAGTGCATCTGTGTGCTTCCTCCAGGCAGTTGCAAGACATTTGTGTCCTTATGATTTGCATTGTATACAAATCTTGGTCTCCAGTTAGTTTCCTGTTGGCAAAATAACTTTGCTATATACATCATTCTTATCTTAAATGTTTATGAATATCAGTCAGTCAACAAGCATGTATCGAGCGCCTAAAAAAGCACTTCATATAAATCAATGTGTTATAACTCAATAAGATAATCACTCAAATGTCACCAATGAAAGTACCATTCCTCAGATGAAAATTTTCAGAAATGTACAGATTGTGAAAGTCCAAAAGACAGAGTTACTCCATGGCCAAATTATCCTTAAGGAACTGCAACGTTAAAAGAGCCTGCGATGACTCTGTCTCTATCTTTCTATCTATCTATCTATCTATCTATCTATCCATCCATCCATCAATCAATCAATCATCTATCTACTTACCTACCTACCTATCCATCCATCCCCCAATACACACACACTCACACACACACGTATGTGTCCATGTGTAAAATATTTTCAGTGAATCAGGAGTTTAGTTTTTTTTTTTAATTTTTATATAGAACACCCAGCAGAGTGATATGACCACAGTCAGTAAATAATTCAAAAAATATTTGCCAAAATAGCACCTATTATAAGTTGGACTCCAAAGTACAAAAATGCTCTCTAACATTGAAGACGTCACAGTCTTGAACAGAGACCAAAATGCTGAATTACATTATTGAAGGTATTCTTACTTAACGGCTCTTTTACACAGTATCCAATATGACTAGAATGTTCTCTCCAACCTCTTTTTCTAGTTAACTCATATCAACGGTTCAGGTGTCACCTTCTTTGAATTACTCTATTTTTAATACAATGTAGATGTCCTATTTACATGATTCCAGTGCACTCAGTACTTCCCTCTATAGTGACACAAATGACCAAATTATCTTGCTATTGATTTGTGTTTTCTACTCTACAAGGACCTGCATGAAGTCAAAACTATGTCTTACCTACTGTTTCCCAGTCCCCAACCTGGAGGCCAGCTCATATTAAAGAGAAAGTGCTATGGGAGCTAGAAGATAAAAGGTCTAATACTGAGTAGAGGCATTTGAAAAATGAGTTTTCTGCAGTGATGCAACTTTCAATGCAAGTACTACTCAGAACTATATTCCTGCTTCCCCTAAGTTGTAAAAGCTCCTCTCTGTTACTGAGATTAGTTCAGAATGAGGAAATCAATGTTTTCCTTAAATGGAAGCATATAGATTGTATGTGTAATTCTTCATGGGTAGTAGTGAAAAGTGAAAAGAGAAGTTAAGCTTTTGAAATCAGCAAGACTCTACTGTATGTGGAAAATATCACTGGCAGCTGCATGGCAGCCCTCACTCTTTATGGATTTGGATTTGGAGAGCCAAGGGAATCCACATAGGTAAGCTCCATCTATTCCAGTTCTGGGTGTCTAAATGCACTTCTAATAAGATATTCTCTATCCCTGATTAAAGAAATTAAGACTTTACTATAACTGCCTTGTAGAGTGTGTGTATGTGTGTGTGCACACGCATGCAAGTGCAGGTGTGTGTCTGGTGAGGGGGAGAGAAGAGGCACTGTTTGGTCTCTATCTGCCGAATTTGGAATGATGCAGAAAGTCAGGGGAAGTTTTACAAAGGAAATAACATTTGAACAAGAAATTCTTTAGAAGGCTAGAATTTTGCCTAGTGTGGGACTAGCTATAAGAGCCTTTGAGGTGAAAGGAAAATGTATAAAACCACGGTGAGCTTGGGAAAAAGGAGACAAAAAATGTCTAGAGCATAAAATGAAATTGGAGCTGGTAGGTGGAGAATAGGAAGGTAAGTTTGGAGAGGTACGTTGGCTTTTGACATTGAATGGCCTTGAATGCCAGTTTCAAAAGTAAATATCAGCAGGAAATGGCATAAAATCAGTTTTAATGGAATAATTATTTAATATATTAATGAGTAGTATCATTTAGGGGTGAATGTTGTTTTGTGGGTTCTTCATGCCCCTTTAGGTCTAGCTACTTCATCTTTGTCAGAATACAGTCTTTGCAATTTTCTACGCCGAAATATTCATGAGAAACTTCACAATAATGTAAAATTATTCAGGAATCAGTTAAAGAGCTACCTCATTCATGACACGAGTCCAAATTCTCACTCGTTAAATCTTCACTAGTCATCTATTTCAAATTTTGGAAACATCATAATTTATATTAGAGTTAATCTTGTTTATATCTGTCTCTCCTACTAGAATAAAAACTCCTTGATCATGAAAGATACGTCTAATTTCACCAACTCCCACAACAATGGTAATAATAATAACTGTAGCCAATAAGTATATAATGTTTACTGTGTGATAGCAACCTCTCCAAGCAGAATACAAGGATTCAGTCTTTCCATACTTTGAGACGATGAAAATGTGTCATAGAGAGACACAAGTTTGTATACCTTGTATATACCAGAATTTTCAATTAGAAATTCTGGATCTGGTGTCTTTACTATTAAACATATGCAATACTGCTCCTTTACTGAAACTAAGTATGGTGCTTTGTATAATTTAATTACGCTACTACTATTTTCTTTTTACCCAGAGTCTTACTTCAAAAATATACTCCATTAATTTATTAAATCAACAAATATTTATTAAGGTACTTTCTTTTTGCTTAGGGTTCTGCACCAAACCAGGGTGTCAGCCAAAACGTCACTTATAAGTACACTTTACTCATTTATAGCAGTTATCAATCTCCAAATTATGTCTTCATAGTTTTTAATGACTAATGTAAACCTGAAGCAGTGTTGATTATTTTAGTGCATTGATTCATCCTTTTAGACTTGTTACTGACAAGCAGCATTATGAAGAAAATGAATTTTAGTAAGAGTTGAGTGGCTGGGAAATTTTAACAAATGACTTTAGACAAATGATTTCCTTGTTTATCAGGGTAGATATATCAGAATCCAAACCAGTGAGAAATTCTTACATTACAGGAGGGAAAACTTTTAGGCCCAGGAGCAAGCCTTTGATGCAACAAATGTTGACATTTGAATTCATCATGTTATAACAGTTTGGAAAATAGCTGCTTACCTATAAAAGTTAAATTTACTCTTTTATCCATTCACATGAATTGCTTGAGTCATGTCAATCTGTTTGTCATGTTTCCAGTGTAGTACCACAAATAAGCTATTATTTTTTTCTCCTGATTCAACATTTAGATTTGAATGTTTGATATGCATTTCTTAATATGGCATTAAATGAAATGCAGAAATACTGGTAACTAAAAACAGTTGTCCTTCTGAGATACAGGAGGTGAAGGATTCAAAACATGAGGCTGCTACTCTGGACCCATTAAATGTTCAGCATTCAATAGCTGTTTAATGTCACCAATGTAGCTAGTTAATGACTAGTTCTTCCCATACTAGCTTTCAAAAGTTCCATTATAACATTTTTTTGTGGTCTTCTGTACTATGGTTCTCTCTAATGTGACAGCCAATCAAATAGTGTCCGGTTAAGGCAACAAACAGATACGCTAAATATTTTCAAAAAAAGTGCTAACATGTTTTACACTTTTCAAAAATAACATTAATATTAAAATCTACTAAATAAATATATAATCACATGACCTAACTTTCCATTTTTCAGATCGCATATTCACAAAAAAAACTAGTTTTTATAGTGAGTTGATCTCTCGCTTTGCAACCCCTGCATTTTCTACTAATTGCTTTCATTTATTTCTTTTTTCCCTTTTATTTATCCTAATGTTTCTCGGTTTGCATAGGACATTTTAAAAGTTCACAATGCTTTTACTTCAGCCTGTTCTCAACTGATACCTAGAATGTAGATTATAATTGCTCGACATTATCATATTTGCCAGTGGTGATATCAGGTAGCATTGTCTCAATAACCAAATGAATGCTTAAAGGAGATGCTATGGGAGAACAAATGTACTTTTTTATAAAATGGCAACAAGCAGATAAGGTAATATATAATGAGTGTCACATATTTTATTTCAAGTCATCAGATAACATTGTCTCTGCTATTTCAAATGTAAATGATAAAATGATAAAATGACAAATAATAAAAAATATATAGCTAAGATGTCTGCCTAAATTAAAAATACATTTAGACATTAATGGAAATTACATTTTCTGAATCATAATTTTAAAAAGTATATATATAATTTTATTTCCAATGACATTCCCAAGATATTATGTGATATTCAGTTAAGTATTTTATTATTCAATGAACAAGTGCAAACACCAACAATACCTCTTGAACAACCTACCAGATGTTATTCATCACTTAAGTAAAGAATACTATCCTTTCTGTTGTACTGGCACTCAGCTAAGTTATAAAGATCCATAGGAGCTTCCAGAGAATATATAAATTATTAAATCAGAAAATAATCTAGATTTCCCTAGGTTTATGCTAAAACCCATAACTTTGCAATTATGGTTATTGCAACTTGAATGATATGTGAATAACAAAAGAAAATACCGTCTGCCATTAAAATTATTAAATTAACTCTCAAAAAATGTGTATTTTAAAATTAACTCCCAAATAAAACTCACAGATTCTAGTAACCTTGACAATTATTAACAATTGAATTTAAAATGTATCGAAAAACATAATTGATATGTAACTCATTTTTAAATATGCATGCTGCAAACTTAGCAAACCTAATGCTTTGGTGCATAAAGGAAACAAAAATGTCATCCATTCAAATTCTAGAACAAAAATAAATCATTTATTTCCATATTTCTATGGAATAAGGTAGAAACCACATATAAGAAGAATGAATTTCAGAGGTATGTTCCATCGTTTTCATGAAGTACTAAGAAGTTTAAAGAATATAAACTCTAAGCAAGTTACATTGATTATAGAACTTACTGGCTGATAATTCCTGTTAGGTTAGTTTCCCTATCTTTCCTCTTTCCTTTTACTCATATGAACCTTTGTTTTCCTTTCAGATTTAATTCATGACTGACACAAACATTGACTATAATCCAAATAATTTAATTATTTTTTCCACTTTGCAAATTGAACTGTTTAAACTTACTGCTCAGTGAGCACAAATAAAAATAAAATATTTATCTCAGTGCTTTATCTGTAGGAAAACAACAGAATATTCCAATCCCTGTAAGTTATAGTTCTTGGTTTCCAGCTTTAAGAAGCAGAGTGTCGGGCCCGGAGCGCTGACTCACGTCTGTAATCCCGGCACTTTGGGAGGCCGAGGCGGGCGGATCACGAGGTCAGCAGATCGCGACCATCCTGGCTAACACGGTGAAACCCCGTCTTTACTAAAAAAATTTTTAAAAATTAGCCGGGTGTGGTGGCGGGCACCTGTAGTCCCAGCTACTCGGGAGGCTGGGGCAGGAGAATGGCGTGAACCCGTGAGGCAGAGATTGCAGTGAGCAGAGAGAGCGCCACTGCACTTCAGCCTGGGTGACAGAGCGAGACTCCGTCTCAAAACAAACAAAACAAAACAAAACAAAACAAAAACCAACCAAACAAAAAAGAACCAGAGTGTCAGAATAAACACAGAATCTCTACTTTCAAAAATTACATAGTTATTAATAAATGCGGTATCACTTACCAGTCAGTTTACATCTTAGCATCCATCTCCAAGCAAAATGGACACTGAAAAAATAAAAATATAAAAACTGAGTATTTCATAGTAAACTTAGACATCGTATTATATTTTTATAGCTACGTTAACTCAGCTATGATTTAAATATGTCGTATTCAGACAAAATGCATTTCAATCACACTAAGCAATTCAATTATTTGGAATGAACAAGATTCTCCATAGATAGGCAAATCTATACAAACACATTTTCAAAATATATGACAAAGGAGTAAACTGAAGGCATCAACTAGGGTTAAAGTGCATTAAAGATAAAAAATAGTTCCAATTAGAGTCTTTGCCTACTTAATTGTCTAAGCAGATGTGATAAAAATCTATTGTAGCCTTATGTCATGACAGGAGGATTGACACACTTCTCTAAAGGGGCAGAGAGCAAATGTTATTAGACATTACAGGCATGCAGTCTCTTTCCCAAGTACTGAATTATGGTTGTATGTAAGTAAATGGGTGTGTCTGTGTTCCAATGAAACATTCCTGACAAAAATAGAAAGCTCACTAGGATTCGGCTTCAGGCCAGTTTGCTGACTCCCAGCAAAACACATTGGGAGTTCCAACTCAAAAATATCAGTCTTAATACTTGATGGACAATAAAATATAGAGAACCACAGGAACTGAATTATTAGGGCCCTTAGCTTCAGAATAATCTATGTGATTTAAAATATCCTATAAAACTTGTGGAGTTCTCAGCCCAGAATGATGACATATGAGACTGAGAGTAATTATTTATAAACATTAAAAACATAAAGTACATATGAGATATATACCTAAAGGAAAAGATGAGACCTTCTACAGTTAGAGAGTTACACTGTGGTTATGGAGGAGGTTATTTACAATAACTTAAAGTGACATATGTTTATGTATATTCTATTCTTGTTATGCATAGATTTGATATTTGTAAACTTCAGATTGGCTAAAATTTATTTGTAACCCCAAAATCAATACTTGTGGCACTTTTGAGGTCATTTGTGGGTACATGCAGAATGGCAAAAATTCTGAATTACCCAACAACATATCTTCCCTGAGGCTGAACAAGGCAATGGTCTACCTTCTTGTTTCAGCTCTCATACTGGACACAAGTGTCCTTTTCAAGGTCTATTTAGTGTCACACTTTTCTCTTTTTTTGTGTTTTTGTTGATGATTTTACTGTTAAAAGTGGCTCCCAAGTGTAGGGCTGAAATGCTTTATCACACTCTGAGCACAAGGAGCCTGAGATGTGCCTTATGGAGAAAATGTGTGTGGTAGGTAAGCTTTGTTCAGGCACAAGGTATAGTGCTGGTTACTGTAAGTGCAATGTCTATGAATCAACAATATATACTAATTAATGTATCCTTACACATAAAACAAAATTTTGTATGTCAGTTGACAACAATGTTGTGATCTCAGGCTGGCAGGAACCTAGTCCTATATTTCCCACAGGAGCAATGGTTCAGTATGTGCTAATTCATGGTGACTTCATAGATATAACTACTGCAAACAGACTTGACTGTGGATATGCGTATGTGTGTATGTAAATATATAAATGTGTGTATATCATATATCTCCCTTAGAATAGTATATTAACTACATTCTCTAATAGTCTCCATCACCAATAAATTATTTGAAAAAGCCACTGCTTTTTCTAATGAAAGCCTTCCATAGATAATGGATCTTCTATAAGATGATGATGAACAATGTTCTTAACTGTATTGTTCATTCACAATCACTAGAAAGTGCTGGGTATTTCAGGTATTTTTACAAGATATTTCTTCTATTGTAACATTTAAATGAATTGGACTGGCACCATGAAATTCAGTGGGAAAAAAAGTTGAATGAATAACTTATTTATAAAGTTATTTATTCCAAACTTACTTATAAAGCTACCTTTTATAAAGAACAGTTATAAATCAGCAAAATGCCTCTTTAAAATGAGGATTATGGAAAGATTTAATGAGAAATGTGAGGAACAACTGTTTATACCTAAAATACCACTTCCTCACTAAATACCTCTTCATTTTTTGAACTCACAATACCTATACCTCATTACTCTCATTACTGTAGACTCCATTGTAATAATCGTTTTACCTTTCCTTGGCTTTGATCTCTTCTTAACCCCTACTCTGGTGTCTGACACATAAGCAGTTCTCAGTGCTCTTAGTGAACTACGATTATGGAATAGTTAAGTGTCACCACATCACAATGGAGCTTCACGGGCATTTTATGTAGACGTATATATGTATACATAATTCATAATATTTAAAACATAACATTTATCTCAGTATAAACTACCTCACACCAATTAGTTTAACTCATACTCCCTGGGGATTTCTTTTTAAAATTTCCAATCGTCACCTCAGTCTAAGCCTAGCCTAGAATCGTAGACAAAATGTGGACTTTGGTTAAATAGCAGTTCTGGCTCTGCTACTTAATAACTGCATAACATCCAAAAAGTTACAAAACTTTTCTAATTTTCAGCTTCTTTATATTTTAAGTGTGTGTAGAATAACACCCCTCTTGAGATAGTTATGAGGAGTTTACCAGATTTTATATGTTAAAATGCCTGACATGTAGTATCCACTTTGCACATGTAAGTTTTCTTTCTTCCAAGGTTGTATTTATGTGCATATCTTGAAACAGTTCAACAATAAATTTGCGTCTCATGTTGTTTTTAATTTTCAGAAGTGTAGGAATCTGGATGCAGCTGGAAGGCTGTGAGTTATCAAAAAAAAAAGCCTCTGCTATAGGCAATAATTTTAATGTTAATTAACTCCATCTGGAAGGAAAAGCAGGTGTTGAAATTGATCACTTAAGTACAGAAAGCAAGGCTGTTTACTAAACTCTCCTTAAATTAATTTGGCTGAACTTGTGGTTAAATTGCTTTCAAGTCACTTTTCTGTAAATGTCTTATACCAAATGCTGAAATTGGAAAAAAGACGTAGACCAAGCAGATTTTAATGAAATGTAACAAATTGGACTGAGAGGTCACCTAAAAATAAAAATTACATTTTAAAAATGAAAAAATGCAATAGTCAGTTTTGCTTCAACAGCAGATGGAATTTGAACAAAAAGATCTAGGGAATTTCCGTATGTGGGACACAAATCATTTGCATCAGATTAATGTGGTTTGTCCAAGAAAAGCTTTGGGCTCTTGGCCAAACATATTGAGTCAAATTTGCTCCCTAGAAATTAGCATTTTAACCACCACCCAGGTGATTTTTATTCTTACTGAAACTTAATCCTTGTTCTAAGGACAGAGAAACACCAAATCACACTAATAGTGACACAGGGCCCTGGATCTATGACAAATAAGAATAGTAGTATTCTGAGAAGGTAAAATATAGCAGAGAAACTTAGAAAATATTACTAAGAATAGGCATGCCCAAGTTAAAACTATATCTATATATATACCATTTGATAAAATATTGACATAGCGGTAGCATTCATTTAATTGTTTTGCCTTCTGCCATTCCCTAACTCCTCAATAGAAAGCCCAGGTCCCTTAAACTTTTTTTCAAATCTCTCCATAATCTGATTTGATTGTACATTCCATGTCCAGAGCATGGTTTGAAAGCAGGAACCTCAGCATCATCTAGACTACCAGAATCAGAAACTCTGGGGGTGGAGCAAAGGGATCTGTGGTGTAGCAATTCCTCCAGGTGATTGTGATGCACCCAAAAGCTTGAGAACCATTGTGCATTCATCATGGTTCAACATAGTTTAGTCAGCTGCTGTGAACAAGGCACGAGGTTGAGACTGTAATGTAGGAAACATCATAATTGGGTTTCTTGTTTCCCTGTCAAACAGAAAAAGAGATTGCCAGAGCCTGCTAGTGTCTCCAACCATGAAATAAGCAACACTTATTGAATATTTACATATTAGTGCTCTTCTGAGTGTTTTACACTTATTGCCCAATTAATCCTTACACAACCTAATGTGGGTTTAAATATTATTACCATTTCACATAATGAAACTGAAGTACAGAGAAATTAAGTGACAACCCCAAAGCCACACAACTGCTAAGGAACAGAACCAAGAATTGAACTGGGACAGTCTGACTCTAGAGCAAATGATTTTTATCACTCTTAAACTCTTAGGAAATGTCATCGACTCTCAAACACCACCTGAAGAATTCTTACCCTTAATTAAGAGAGACAATGACCAATCTTAGGAAACAAGTAGAATCGATTAACTCAGAATATTTCCAAGATTATGTCGATGATTTTTCCAACATTTCTCCTTTTTTTGACCACCTTAAAGTGTGACTATCTTTAGGCTTCTATTCAAACATCACTTTACTAGAAAAGCCTTTGGCTGTATGAATATGAAGCAAAGCATAGTGAATCAGAGCCTAGGTTTTCTTATCTATAGACAGAATATAACAGTAATATTATTTAACCATATGGAAATCATATGAAATAAAGCAATATATGTGAAAGTACATTTTTAAGTTTTAGAACATTAATTATATGCTTGTAATGTGGTGTCACAGAATTTTTGATATACAGGATTGTAAAGACCTATTAATTAGACAATGTCTACTTTAACTGATTTTTTATACCATAATTAGCACTACTTTTATAAACTATTTTCATAAAGTGCTTTTGTGTTAGCAATTCATTTACCAAACCCCAACTATCACCCTCCACTCCACAGTTAAATAATATTTTTCAAACTTTCTTGACAAAAAAATTAGCCTGAGGTGCTTTTTAGAAAGCTGTTTTCTGTACTGTCTTTCTGTAAATTCTAATTATTTGGGACTAGGGTGGGACCTAAATATAGTATCTATATATTTTAAGAAAGATACCAAGTGATTATTATGATGAACTGAGTGTGGAAAATACTACAGTCAACTCAAATTCTTTTAGATGTTTAAAAATAAAATTACAAAAAAATCCTTACACTCTTATTTAATAGTAGCATAAAGATTATTTTTTGGATGTAAGTATGCTCATTTGTTTATATACAAATGAGGATAGGCATAAGAATGTTCTGTTCTAAGAAACACTGCATATTGTTGTGTTAAAATTGCCTACAGTATTCAGTACAGTAACATGTTTTACAGTTTGTAGCCTAGGAACAATAGGCTATACAATATAGCCTAGGTATATTGGAGGCTATACCATCTAGGTTTGTGTAAGGATACTCTATGATAATTGCAAAAGGACAAAAATGCCTAAGGATTCTTTTCTCAGAACCCAACCCCATTGTTAAGTGACACATAACTGTGTTTATCTATCAAAATACTTATAGTTAAATAAATACCAGGTTATCAGTTCTTTACCTCAATATATTTGTCAGTAATGGTAGAGGAGTAATCATTTCCTAAAAGGAAAATATATTTGAAGAAGGTATTAATTTGGATAGACTAGGTTATGATACAGTAATAAATTTGACCCTAAATTTCAATGGCTTAATACAGCAAGTATTTCTTGCTCAATCACAGTACATGTCTATTGAGGAGCAGAAAGGATTGGGAAAATTAGAACGAAGAAGCTACTCCATGTGGTTACTAAGGGAACCAGACTGAGTTTCTACCGCCTTCCAGTTACAGCACTTAGAATTTGCCAGCTCTTTGATTATCAAAGTATGGGAAGGGAGAAACTGAGAAACAGCACTTGAGTGTCTCGCTGCCTCAAGCTGGAAATGACACATTTCAGTCCATAGTTCATTGGCCAAAACAGTCAAATGGCCCAGTCAAAATGAAAGGGGGCTTGGAAGTACAGAGTGACATATGGAATATTACACAAACCTTATTATCTCTGCCTCTGTCTACTTTAAGCCCAGTGAGTTTCCTAAATAATCACCTATCTTTAGTAAATTTAGAGCTACCAAGTAGTCTGGGAAAAAGATAGGCTTTAATTGAACTGGTCTCTCTCTCACCCCAATAATTTGAAATTTACTTAAGACTGTTAGTGGATAATTCATTAAATTACAAGGAGTATACATTAAACAGCTAAGTTGTGTGATACATGCTTTGATTGCAAAAAGTGAACACGTTTTAGTGAGGCAGAGCTTCATGAAAGAAATTGGATAAATTAGGACCATACGATTTAGAAAAAATCTGAAAATATGCTAGTAGAGAAACTTTGAGGGAACTATCAGAAGAAAATATAAGTCATGTTTGTGTTATTAAGATAAGCATAGAAATGAGTACATGATTTATAAAAACAAACTATGCTTTATCATTATAGGAAAGAAAAAAATCATTTTTGAGATCCATTCATATGCAAAGACTCTGCTAATGCTTTACCTATGTTATCTGTATTTCTTCACTGCAAAAAATCATTAGAGGCAAACATTCCCATTTTACAGATGAGATAAAAAACGTGAAGCAACTAGGCCAAGGTAACACAATTAGTAAACAGCAAAACTAAGATTCAAACCCATGATTGGGGGTCCATTGTTTATGTGTGGGAATGTTTGTGTATTTTTCCCATTAAGTGATGCTATGATAACCTAGAGCCTCCTTCACTAAAACACTGCCTTTATGACAGAGAAAGAATATTTCTTCTATAAAACTCTATTAGTAATTTTGAATCAAGTCATAATCTACTCCTAGCCATACTCATTGAGCCTGTGGTAATGTATGTATAACATCTCTGTACTACGGGACCTTGGACATGTAAAACAAATAGGCAAGATCATTGAGGCATATTCCTTTGAACAGCCCTTCTCTGCCTTTTTCTTCTAAATTGCACAAGAATTGGCAGCTAATTAGCAGCTGATTAGCAACATTGATAAACCATGTGACAAAAACAAATGCTGTGCTAACAGAAGGGACAGAGCTTTTCAATGAATATGAAATAGGATATAGAGATAAAACCAATTTGCCGAAACTAGCTTCCTATGCTTCTCACTGTATTTTATATTTTCTTAGTTCATTCATCCATTCAAATATTTATAACTACTATGTTCAAGACAATGTGGTAGTTTTGAGGATGAAAAAATGACTCAAACACAATCCCTTCCTTCAAGGAGCTCAGGATATATATAGCAAGATGATTAAGGAGTCTGTACAGTTCCTCTTTGTAAATGACCTTCATGAAGCCAGAAACAGATCTTTTTAGGTAAAACTTGGCATTATATTGATGCATCCCATACATGCACATCTGTGCAGCATCTGACTACACATTTGCTAGACTGCTATGAAAGTGGTCATGAAATCTATGGCTAAGAAACAAAGCAAAACATTTTATATGTATGAGAAGTGGATCTTAGACATTAGTTTGAGGTGTTTTGATGGACAAGTTTTCAGTAAATCTGAACTGCTTCTTTTCCAAGTAAAAGCATTTAATTATTCTCCATTTGCAAGACAGTTCTAATTCCTTAAATTGACATACAAGGTTTTGGCTTACATTTCTTTTCTCTTTATGCCCTTCCCTCAATCTTTTGCGGATCTCAGAACATGCCAGGCCATATCACATTTGGGCTACTTACTCCTTTTAGCTTGACACCCTACCGACTCACTTTATCTTTATAATTCTTTCTGACACATCAAGGTACAGGTAACCATCAAATGTAGAAAAAAATCTTCCTTGAACTCCAGCTGAAGTTGCTTTGCTTTCTGCAGTCCCCACTATTTGCTTACATTGAACTCATCACACCATGTAAGAGATACGTTATTTGACCCCTATTTCTCCCTTTTAGTCTTTGAGATTCTCAAGAGCACAAGTTGTGTCATCTCTGTATTTTTGGTGGCTAATACTTTGCAAGGAAATAGTATGAATTTAATAAATAGTTGATTAAGTGAACCAATAAATTTGTGTGCTATTCGGATCCAAATCTATGATAGGAATATATGAATGCTGCACTAATATGTTTCCGTCACAGGAGAATCTGCTTTAAGCTATAGCATTTTTTAAAGATATGTATAAGTCAGGAAACAACAGGTGCTGGAGAGGATGTGGAGAAATAGGAACACTTTTACACTGTTGGTTGGACTGTAAACTAGTTCAACCATTGTGGAAGTCAGTGTGGTGATTCCTCAGGGATCTAGAACTAGAAATACCATTTGACCCAGCCATCCCATTACTGGGTATATACCCAAAGGACTATAACCTGTGCTGCTATAAAGACACATGCACCCGTATGTTTATTGCGGCACTATTCACAATAGCAAAGACTTGGAACCAACCCAAATGTCCAACAATGACAGACTGGATTAAGAAAATGTGGCACACATACACCATGGAATGCTATGCAGCCATAAAAAATGATGAGTTCATATCCTTTGTAGGGACATGGATGAAATTGGAAATCATCATTCTCAGTAAACTATCGCAAGAACAAAAAACCAAACACCGCATATTCTTACTCATAGGTGGGAATTGAACAATGAGAACACATGGACACAGGAAGGGGAACATCACACTCTGGGGACTGTTGTGGGGTGGGGGGAGGGGGGAGGGATAGCTTTAGGAGATACACCTAATGCTAAATGACGAGTTAATGGGTGCAGCACACCAGCATGGCATGTGTATACATATGTAACTAACCTGCACATTGTGCACATGTACCCTAAAACTTAAAGTATAATAATAATAAAATAAAATAAAATAAAAAAATAAAGACATGTCTAAACGTTATCCTCATAAATTCAGCCATTTTAATAAGACAGATAAATAGACCATATAGAACAAAGATTTATATGAATGTCGATTTTTAACGGCTGCTCTCAATATAGTTTGTATTTGTTATGATCATATCTTAGTGACATGATTATATCTAGGAGATTCCACTAGAATTAGAGACTTTTTAATCCTCTTCTTCCACAGACAGCAGCTATCTGAGAGTTCTTTACCACCCACCTTTGCAAAAAAGCTAAAACTTAAAAAAGTATAACATGTTTTCTTCTGAACTTTCTTAAGTGCGGATAGAAAAGAAAAAATAAAAAGAGAGAGAAACAACTCCTAGGTTCAGACAACGAGAAGACGAATGCAACTTAGCAATGGAGCCTAAGACACTTGCGAAGCAAATAAGGAGGTTGAGCCATAAAATGAAAGATTGCTGTGACAATTAACCTGTGAATACCACAGTCAGTATACAGTTTTCTTACCTCCCAGTTCAGCGTTCTTTCCAACAAACCTCCTTTCTAATTTATATTTCTTATCTCAGGAGTAACTGACTTCCCAGAATTGAGAGATAACTGTGGCTATAGGGAGTCAGGCCAACTGATAGAAAAGCAGTTGTTTTGAATCTGATTTAAAGTGGCATCTAACTAGTAACCTTTGACATATCTTTTAACTCCCTCCTAATTTTTAAAATAATGACACCTGAAAAGGCAAAGGAGCAAACTTTTGAGATTGCCAAAATGAGGAATCAGGTGGTCTTAATTTGATAGAGTGTGGTGGTTAACTTGCGCCTCGCCTTATGAAGGAAATTAATTTCTCTTGCAAAAAGAAAGAAGATTCTTCATATTGGTATTACATTAACTCAGAGACGCAGGGTCCATTAAAAGAAAAGAAAAACCAGCTTTGTTGCTGTGGTGGTGGTAGTTTCGAGTGACAGAAAATAACGCAGTAAAGAATGAGATATGATTCTATTTCAGTTTAGAAGAGCTATGCCAGATGAATTTCTATGCACATACGCAATTGCCTTCCAGATGTTAAACTGAGAAAAGGTTCCCTAAGAAGGTTCCCTAAGAATGAAAATATTCAGGCAGAAGATTTAAGAGCAATCTCCAGACCCTATCTGTTGGAAAACCTCACATCTATATATCTCTATCTTTGGCTCTATTTGGAAGAAAAAAACAAAAAACTTAACAAAAAAGTATAAACAATTCTAAATATTCAAAAGACATATATTCTATGAAAACTAACATAAATTTTAACGAAAAAGGGAATTTTTATTAAAAGTCAAAAGTATTTTACCTCTTTGAGATAGGATCAGAAAAATAGAAGTTTTTAAAAGTCAAAAGAAGAATGTTCTTTTTTACTTTAAAAAAATCTCCTAAAACAGTAGTCAAAAGTGTCAAACTCATTTAAAAAGAATGCATAAAACACAAAATTATATTACCAGTGTCAAGGAGCCAATGTGAAGACACAAGTCTAATCAATAATTTAGAGTACAGTCTAAGAAATGTTCTGAGAATACAGAAGAAAAGTAAAAATGTGGCAAAGATTAAAATAAGAGAAAGATAACAGAAGACAGAAAAATGACAGAAAATGTCAGTCTTAAAATTTCAGGAGAAATAAATAAAATTTATGAAATATGTAACAATGATGAAATTGAAGGCATTTCTCAGGAAGCAAAACTATGAATATGTCTTTAAATATTTTGGCCTAAATTACATAGAAATGTTGCACATCAGGATGAGTTTTAAAGGAACAAAAATGTTGAATTTCAATGATAAAGATTTAAAAACACCCAAGCATTAAAATGGTATCTTGAAAAAAATATGGAATTAGTTTGCTTTATGCTCTTGTGCATAATTTCCAAAATATGAATTTGTCACCATCCCATGACAATAAATTTCAAAAATAATGGAACAAAATTTCAAGGATTTTGCGTCTTTATATGTATGTTTTTCCAAAGTTAATGAATATGGTGCAAATATATACTAACCTCTATCAAGTAGTTATGCTCAGAAAATGTATTTTTTTAAAGATAACTTAAAAATAGTTTTTAATCTAAGATAAAAATCAAGGACAAAAATGAGTGGGAAATTATGTTATAAAAAGCTAAGTGAAAAGAAAGATATAAAATGAGTTTAACATTTAAGTAAGTCTAAATTTTTAAATATGGGTAATGTGTTTATGAAACAAACTTAAATTTGGGTAATGTGTTTATAAAACAAATATGGTAAATGTGTTTATAAAACAAATTTAATATTAGAAATACTCAAAGATAAGCTATTTATTTAAATATATTTTATTAACATTGACAGTTGGGCATTTGATTAAAAACTAGAAATTCACTTTCATTTGGACATTTGAAGTAGGTTTTATCTTATACAGTTATTTAATTATTGATATACACCATTATTGTAAAAAACACTTAGAAGTAGAAGGAAACACACATGCCTATGTTTTTGTGCCTGCGTGTGTATATGTGATTATATACATATGGTCCCTGACTTACCATAATTTGACTTATAGATTTCTTGACTTTTTGATGGTATGAAAGTGATAAGCATTCACCAGAAACTGTGCTTTCTGTTTTGAAATTTCTTCTTTTTCCGAAATTGCGATATCCAGAATTATACTCTCTCATAATGCTGGGCAGCCACAGTAAACCTCAGCTCCCAGTCAACCACGTGATCTGAGGGTGAAACACCAATACTGTACTGTACAGTGTAATGCATTCAATAAGTTACATGAGATATTCAATACTTTATAAAGTCGCTTTGTGTTAGATGATTTTGCCCAACTGTAGGCTGATGTTAAGTGTTCTGAGCATGTTTAGGGTAGGACAGGATGAACTATGATGTTTGGTAAGTTAGGTGCATTAAACTCATTTCCAATTTATGATATTTTCAAATTATGATGGGTTTATTGGGACTTAAGCCCACTATAAGTTGAGTAGCTTCTGTATAAGTGCTTACGAAATGTGATGTTTTATTTACTCATAAATGTTAGGAATTTACAATACAGACTATTCTCAGGATGGTAACACATGTCCAATTCTTGTTGATAGTAATCAGAGAAGGTTTACTTAAAAAGAAGAAATTTCAGCTGATATTTGAAGGATTAGTACAAACTAAGATTGTACAGTGCAAGAAAAGTATCACAAACTTTATGATGTAAGTAACTTTTTAACAAACAGGCATTTATAGATCCATTTGATTTTCTTACTCCTAACATCCTTAAGCAAGTCATGTTGCCTCAGCCTTTAGAACATATTCCATCCATCCATTCTTTGCTACCTCCAGTGCTACCTCTCTTCTCTAGTCTAAAACATCTCTTGCATGTACTATTGCAAAAATTAAAAAAAAAACTGTTTTACCTCTACACATCTAAACTCAGACTCATTGTGTCTGTATCTCTCTGGGTATTCGTTCCTGTAAATTTTTAAACAATTTATAGGCAAGTTACATGTTTCATAGCCCTTTATTTCTAAATACTTCAGCATAGTTTTCCTAAGAATAATGATATTCTCTAATGTAATAACCCCACCACAACTTCAGTTAATTTTATATAGATACAAACAACACTTTTGTCTAACTTATTGTTTGCATTCTAACATTGTGATTATTCCCAATAATGTTCTCTGTAAGCACTATTTCTCCCCAGTATAGGGCCAGAAAGAACATTACTTCTCATGTCTTTTTAGTCTTCTTAAATCAGAAATGTTACCACAGCCTTCACTGACTTTTATGTTACTTACATCTTTAAATAATTCAGCCCTCTATCCCCTCTCTTTTTTAACAAATAGAAAATTCCTTCTTTAGGGTTTGTCTGAGATTTTTTTTCATGATTAGTTTCAGGCTTTGCATGCTTGGTCAGGACACTATATAGGTGATATGCCTTGCTTAGGTTTGGCGGCACACAATGTCCATTGATCCCTCACTAGTAATTTTAGCTTTTATAATATGGTAAAGGTTGTGTCTGCTTAATGGATATTGTTTATTGAATATGTATAACCAAATAAGTATTTTACAATTATGCAATTCAGACTATCAGGTTTTTTGTGTTCACATAAATTTCTACCATTGAATGGTGTTGTGTTTGTTGTGTTAGACTATGGGTAGCTACCATGATTGAGGTATTTTATTAAAATTATTAACCCTATTGTACCCTATTGTAGATACTATGGTGTGGTATCCAGAGCTGCCTTTTGGGAATATGGCTCTTGTTGTCCCACCTGCTGGGGTTGGTGGCTGCTGATGGCTCAAAGCAATTCCTCCTTGGGAATTGCTCTAGGGGAGATAGATGTACCTAAATCAAGATTATGCTCCCTCTTGATGTATGTGATGGTGGGGTGTGACAGGGCAGCCTCAAACTAATACTGGTGGATGAAGTATTATACCAGTGAAGTGTTAACAAAATCCAGGTCTCTCTGCCTTAATTTCAGTTACTCTTAAAGATTAGACCAGCTCTAGAATTGTACCCAGAACTTGGTGAGGCATCTGCAGCAACTTCTCCTTCCACCCAGTCCCACTTCCCTTATTTCCCTTACATTTCTTCAAGGTGCTATTCCTAAAAAACACCTTTCCACCCACTTTGTGAACCCCCCTCCAAAAAAATCGAACTTTGTGCTACAAGTAAATCTCTAGATAACTGAGCATCTGTTTTCTGAGTGAACTCAATCTAAGGCAGAAAGGAAGCATTCTATATGTGTGTATGTGCTTATTGATGAAACTAATATTGCAAGGCACAATTTATGCAGGATGTTCACATTCTTGCTTGAAAATAAGTTCCTGTTGATAAGATATTATCTATACTATTTTCAAGATCAACAGAGTAGAGTTTTACCTTTCTTGATAGGTTTGAATAATAGAGGCAAATCTAATTTACCTAGGAAATGAATTGACAGATAAATAGTTAGATAGATAGCTAGATAGCTAGCTAGCTAGCTAGATAGATAGATAAATAGATAGATAGATAGATAGATAGATAGATAGATAGATAGATAGATAGATAGAAAAATAGATAGAAAGACAAGTAAATGGGAGTTTTTAAAGTTTCAAAGTATAAGATTTCACTCCTATTTTATAACACTACATGTGGAAACTGCATTGAATAAACCCCTTTCAACCTCTAAATGAGTAGAGTGATACAAAGTTTTCTCATAAGCATATTTAGGTATTTTCTCATCATCAAACAAGACTCAGATAGGTATCATACTTACCAAAGGGGGATATAAAGCTTGATGAGGTTAAACAACTGGCTCAAAGCTATGTGGCAGCAAGTTGTAGAACTGGGATTTGAACTGGTATAGTTGACTTCAAAAATCTTAATCATTTACAATGTCACTACTTCAAAATATAATTTACTAACTTCTTAAATTGATGGAAGGAGGGAAGACTTCAAACCTCATCAATAGTATTTGAATTCATAACTGATTACTTCCTCTGAAGAATCCAGATAAATATTCAATGTAGTTTGAGAGCTCTGTATCCAGAGATAACTTGGCTCAAACTTGGACTTTGCCTAAGTAGCTGAATGACATTGGATAAATTACTTGCACTATCTAAATCCCTAATTCTTCATCTGAAAATCAGAATGATAATAATCTAGAGTTTTGGTGGGGATAAAACACGTTGATGAATTAAAATGCTTATTAGCGTAGTACTTGGCACATAGTAAGCACTCATTAAATGTTAGCTGTTATCACTATACCTACCTAATCTATGTAAAATTTGGAAAAACATTATTGAAAGATTGCTTGATTCTCTGTTCTTTCTTTGTATTAATATGATATTTACACATCTCAACAAATGACAAGGTATTTCAAGGTCAAACATTTAACAACAACTCATTAATTATATTATCCTTTTAGTAAATCATTATCGGAACAAGTCATTAGGTGACCTTTTCTGGTTACCGCAATCCAATAAAACTTACATTAGCCAGTGTTTCAGGAACATTAGTCTAATGTGCTTTCAGAGATCACCTTCTCTGAGCAGTATAATAAGTCTGTGTGAAAAGCATAAAGCATGTAATACATAATAAAATTTGGACTTTAATGAACCATCTTGGCAAACTGACTAGTATTATAATTCAATAGCGAGCATTCCTTAATTAATGAATTAAAAAAGCCAAGAGCATGCCCTAAATGCTACAATTGATTACAGTTTCACTTATTTTCTATTTTTACTGTATGCTCCTGATTTGTTGAGCAATAGATAGTGAATCTTAAGTGATCTCGGTAATGAAAATAAAAAATAGGAGCAACTGAAAAAGAGACCACAATTAGCAAGTTGTGTAGCTTTCAATGAATAGTTTTTTTCCTGAAAATATTAGCGATTTTGATTTTAATGTGAATGTAAATTGACTCAGGTGTTTTTCCTAACTATATCCCTCCTGGGTGTATAATATTTAAAAAAAATCACTAACCCTCTGGATTACACTCAACTACATACCAAAGTTGAAACATCTCAGGAACATTAAGTCAGTAGATCATTTCAAAGAATAACTTCATCATTCCACTTCCTATAGCCTTTGAAACTAGTTTATTACAATTTATTGTAATTATGTGTTCAACTCTCCTTCAAGGCTGTAAGTCTCTAAGGATAAGAACTTTCCATAAATGTGCGTGTATTTTTCCTAATAGTGACTTAGAAGATATTGAATGTATGAATGCTGATGAAATGAACATACGACAGACCATACGATAAATAGCAAATAAAAGTTCTTCATTTGTGTTAAAATATTTTCCTAGTAATGTACTCTAATTTTCTGAACTATCCCCAGAAATGTTAGCATGTTAGCATATTTCAACTAGTCTTCGATGTCATAAGAGGAACCATTATTTTTTGCAATAATCAGAAATTTTTTAAAAAACACTATCAATTTAACTATGACATGCCTTCATTACTAAGACAAATTCAAATTTTAGTGATAGAAAATTTGGGAATAAATGCATCTTAGAATTAATACTGCTTTTTTGGCTTTTATACTTTTATGTGAACACACTTCACATAAAATTTTTCTTTTGCTGGAAGAAAATTTAAAAAGAATAAAACAAAAATTGTTTACTACCCCTTAATAAAAAAAAATGACTTAGAAAGAGGCCACTAAGGAGATTACAGATAAGTCTCTACTCTTTAAGTATTTATTTATTTCTTTTTTTAAAGCTAGTTCTGGCAAGCTAAAAATTGTCAAGAACATTTGTGGGAGGAATTGAACTTTCTATTTCACTTAGACTCAGCCACTGTTGAAGGAACTATTTTTCCCCCCAGGGTTGGTATAAGGAGCAACAGCATGGAAACAACATTAGTAATAACTATTTCAAACCCCAGATGTTGTAGGTATTGTATAATAGAAACAATTTCATGCAGGAAAAAATAATTTTTAGGCAAATTTATTTAAGTTCATTTACATTAGTTGTAACTAATAATAGCTACAACTTGTGAACTATCACTATTTTCTAAGCCAGCTATGTATCAATGTTTTCTACAACAAAATAAATCATGTAAGCACAGATAATTCATAGAGACTCACAGTTTATGATATGTATTTTAAAGTAAATATAGAGAGGTCTGCATATATTTAAAAGAGTTATTATCTTTCTGTACTTTTGGTATCAGGAAACCAATTAATGGTGAATTTTGAAAGAAAGAATCACCTTTGGAAAATCCAATTTGCCTTGACTTTAGACCTTAGCGTAACAAAACCAGGTAAATTACATTATAACCCACCAGCTGTTTTAGAAATTTTGGAGGTAACTTACTGCATTACATTGAGATAAATAAATGCCTGAGCCACTGCTTCATTTTCTTTTACATAAAGTGGGGCTTCTTTTAAAGGGCGGCATTCTGGTTTCATCCATTTCCCTCTTGAAGAGAAGAGTTACTTTATCTAATTCCATACTTTTTCATGATAAACCTTTGACAGCCAGGGCTTAAGTTAATAGTTGTGCAGCCTTCTCCAGATTCATGTTTCTCATCTGTAATAAAAGGGAACTTCTGGTCTCCAAGCGATATGATGGAAATGAAACAAAGTTGTGAGGTCCACTAGGACCTTGCTCCTACCTCTAACCATCTTCTCTGTTAGCTGATCACAATGGCTAGTAGTCATGTAACTGAACCCTCAAAACTTTATCACATGTATTTTTCTAGGAGTACCCACTAAATTGCCTAATTGTAAAAATCATGAGTTTTTATTGGAGGGATCTATTATTATTTTTTTAAATATTTGCCTTCTCGACAGTCCTTTGCAGTGGGCCTCTCCTGACTCTTGTCTTGCTAGTTCATGTCTGTCCAGCAACCACAAGTGAAAGTGTTGCTATCTATATTTGTCAGAAATTGAAATACTCACAAGTCTCCTTTTATTGGGGGAGCCGATTATGCTGCCTCACAAGGACTTGACAATACTTAATATCTCTCACTCTGCATCCAGACATAGTGGGCTTTCTTATACCTTTCTCTCCCCTGTGATAAACAAACCCAAGACGGGACTTGCCTTCTTGTTGTATGACCACGCTAGTGCTCACCAATTTATTCAATTTGCAAATAGGTAAGCTTAATAGCCTGGTGATACCTGTCCCAATTTTGACTACCTGGCAGTGTAGATTAAATGAGATAATAAATACAAAGTGGAATGAACAGTGTCTGGTTCATAGAGTGCTCTCAGTAAATGTGTGCTAATATAATTATCACTGATAAGTGGATTTGAGTGTATACCATATCTCAGACCTATTAGCTTCAAGGAAGCAAGATGAGAAAGTTCTACTTAGCCTTCCAAAAATAAACCTTACATAGTTGCAAACTTTACTAATATCACTAACACTTCATTTCTCATCTGGCTTTTGTCTTTAAGAAGATAGTCCTTAAAAACATAGTCTTCTTAGCCTGGAACCTAAAAATAGGTAGATGGTAGAAATTTCAGACATCAAAAATTCTAAGAAGTCTTAACTATAGTTATTATTGTAGAATTCCAAACAAGTATTTGGAAAAAGTATCCCTAGATTTTATTAGCAAATAAAGATTGCTATCATCAATGGTAACTACTCAAAAGTTGCCAGACCACAGCTTAGTTTTCATAGTTAAGTTTTGATAAGAAAAAGAGGTAGGATTGATTAGGCATAACTTTGGGTGACGGTTCAAAAAGAAGTCACAACCAATTGGAAGAAAAAATAAGACTTTGGCCAAACTCAGACTACAGGTCTCTTGGTAGTGGAGAGACAATCTAAGAAACTGTAACAAGAGGTAAAGAAAGATGCCTAGAAAACATACAAATTACATTTTTGCCTACAAACAATACTTGTTTCACCCCACATACATTTCCATAAAGTTATGATACAGTGAATCATCTGGTTGCCTCACTCCAGTATGAAAAATAGCCATACTGAAAAGCTTCACCTCTGCCTACAAACATGAGTAATAAACACAGACATGTCAGCTACTTATTTTTTCATTGAAAGAGGCCTTAACCTAAACTGAGACAGAATTAAACAATGAAATAAAATACTATAAGACTGGATGGTATGCATTTTTTGGGTTCTATGTATTACATATTTTTATATATGGAGAGATAGATAATCTCTCTATATATGCATATCTAAAGTTGGGAGTCATGAGAAAAGTGTATTTCATGTGAAAGAATATTCTAGAATAAAGGTTCCACTAATTACTAGCAATGTTGCCTTAAGCAGACCATTTAATGTTGCTGAGTTCCAGTTTACCTACCTGGAAAGTGAAATTGTTATCAGCCATTCTCCTTACATTTAAATTGTTCTTTCAGTTTGATACTTCAAATAAGGTAATGCGTAAGAAAGCCCTGTGTATGCGGAAACACAGCATGTGTATGGAAGGGCTTATTAACTGTAAAGTCATATGACAAACAGCAAAGTTAAACTTTCTAGATTTTGTTGCACCGAAGGTGCAGGCATCTATCTCTTCCCCAAACACTAATCTCATTTGTAGTACATAATTGCACAACTCGGAAAGAAAAATGTTATGAAAATCCCAGGTGGTTTCTACTCACCTTCAAGAGTTATTTCTACAGTTGCAACAGAAAATGAATTGTTAATGTGTGTACTACAAATAATTGCATAAATAATGACTCTGCCAAAGAAACAATCAACCACTATCCACGCACATTTTACAACAGTCAATTCCAAGTGTAAAATGCTTGGCAACTTAAAGGAGGAAGTTGAACTTGTTAATTTTCTAGCAAGAAGGTTAAATAGAAAGGAAGCAATTCAAACATATGTGAGCAACAGGGCTCCCTGGCATTTAAAATCCCCAAACAGCTGGTGGAGAGAGAGCCTACTGTTGGAGAAGCATCAGGGCTGGGGAGGATGGGAAGAAAAGAAATGGGCAAGAGAAGGAACTACAGATGTTTTCCTAGAGACTTGTTCAATTTTTCTGTCAAAAACTTTTTCAATCACGATTGGAACTTCTGCTACAATGCTACAGCTAACATTTTCTGAAGACCGATTTTATGTTAGACATGGGTAGAAATTTTATATGTGATTATCTCATTTAATCTCCACAAACTGTAAAGTTAGTGCTATGATTCTCATTTTGTAATTAAATAAACTGAGTTTAGGGGCATTAAGCGATTTGACCAAGGTAATTTATAGAATCAGGATTGAAATCTATTGCCAGTCTGACTTTGAAGCTGGAAT
This sequence comes from Homo sapiens, assembly GCF_000001405.40. Classification (NCBI taxonomy): domain Eukaryota; kingdom Metazoa; phylum Chordata; class Mammalia; order Primates; family Hominidae; genus Homo; species Homo sapiens. The sequence goes on from NC_000011.10 coordinate 81,272,186, forward strand.
TCTTTGCATCACTTCAGATGCAAATACAGAAGAGTCAAAAGAGACCTTTAAAAGCATAAGAACTCTATACTTCTCGTGACACACATTCATGGCAAACCAATTGGGATGTATGTTATATTTTAAATTAGGTTGAACCATATGAAATTACCAAAATTAGACCATCTTTGTCCACCACAATAACAGTTTTCTGTAGTTCAACTTAATATATGCACTAAATAATTCAGCTTTTATGCTCCAATCCAAATGTGTTCTCTCCACTTTTACCACATAACCACTCCGTAGTCTCTTACTCTATTCTTCACCTGTCAAAAAGTATCTCAGCCTTTTCAGACTGAGCTCAAATATCATTTCTTTCTTTAAGCCATCCCTCAACTTCTTTAATAAGAAAATAATCTCCATGATCCTAAATAGGAAATGTTTTCTGCCTCCTTTTAAGTTTCTTGATCTGAACTCTTAAAATATTTTTCTCTTTTGACTTAGAATTGTCAATATTTTGGGCTTATATTTAATTATTTCAACAATATTACAATCTCCTTGAGAGGAAAGACCAAAATGTTCATCATATTTCAATTACTTAATACTGGAACCACAGTATAATAAAGATATATATTATCAATGACATCAAGTTTAAACTATGTATACTTGAATCTTATCACTTTTTGCATAGCTTTGAAATTATTTATTTATAAATTGCACATTGAACTTTAGAACCCTAAATGCAGGAACTTTGTGTTGCATATCTTTGAAGCATCTAAACCTATCCCAGGGTCAAGTATATAATTTGTGTTCACAGAATACACATTCCATATACAGGTGCTTCCTTGCCCCAGTCCCAACTGCACCCATTAACTAGGATAAAGTTAGCTTTGGTTCCTGTTTACTGACTTTGCATATACTCTGACACTATATGCAACCTCCCTTCATGTCTCCTGCAGTGCTATCTGTTTTACCAGTTTACTATCTAAGAAAGTCTTGTAAACAGATGGTAATGGTCTTTATTCAATCTTTAATCTTTGGAGGCATAATTTTTCAAATAATACATTTTAGCCCATCATTATTAACCTGTCCACATACTTATCTGTGAGTGAGGACTCCTTATCTTAATTCATGGCTTATCAATTTTAAGAGCAATAATTAAATTGCCAGCATGTGAATGCTACAGATGTATAACATTTTAAAAATAGGAAAAGACAAGAGTACCCACAATGTTCCATGCATTTAATTAGATGTTTTGCATCTTAATTCACATAGTACTTAAAATCATTCCATATGTGTCACACTATTAAGCCATGTTAACTATGGAATATTGGCATAAGAGAAGGCAGTAATGTAGTCAAGGCCATATAGTGAGCAATTGGTAGAGCTGAAATCCACACCAGTTCTTTCTGACTTTATAGTTCATTTTTTATTTACTTCATAATATTTTCTGAGATAACAAATTCTAAGAAAAAGGCTGACTGTAAACACTTTGGGTATTTTGATATCATTGTTTACTCTTTCAGTCATGTGTTCTCACACCACAGTCATTAAATAATCAGTATAATTGTTAAGAATCAAATAATTGTGATAGAAGGCAAGTAACCAACATTTTCTCTTTCCAGAAGGTTTCATAATTGCTACAAGAGTTTGCTTATATATTGCTTGCTATAATCATCACAATAATCCTTGGAGGTAAATACATATAACTGTCTCCATCTGAATCTCAAATAAGCAAAGAAGAGCTCAGAACTTAATAACTCCCTCAGGTCAACCGCCAGTAAGTGAGAGAGGCTGCATATAGCTCCAGGTCTAAGTGACTTCAAATCCATGCTCTACCCCAGGAGGCCACGTGCTTGCTCTCTAAGAGCAATGAAAATTCTTCACTATGGACAAGTGCACATTAGAAATTATTATGCAGCACAGTGAACCATCAGATATTCTATTCCCAATTCTAGGAATCTGCACATCATAGGGAAGCGTTTTTAAAATTATTTAGTATATTTACTTGCTTGGTTTTTTTTTAATCAAAGCCATTGGCTGCCTCACACAGCCAAATATTTTGCATAGAGATGTTGTTAAGAACATTGACTGACTTGTAAAGATCCTGAGCAGTAAAAATTCTGAGCATCAGAAATGGTGAACATTTATAACATATTTATTTTGTTAATTTTTTCTCAGAATGCCTATATATCTGGACAAAATTCTAAGTACTGATGCAATGGGTAGCTTTAATGTATGGAGTATGGATTCTCAAGGTCACCTTATGTAGCTCTGGATCTCAACCCTGGATTAGCATGAGGAACATTAGAGATGTTTGTAAAAATACAGCTTTTCAGGTCCCATGATTGATTTGGAATCTTTGGAATACAATACAGTTATATTAAACAATGGCTGTAAAATGGATTTTGCTTAACAATGGCATGGAGGATTCATGTTATATCATCTTTGCTGAGCTAGAACTGTACTTCCCAGAATTTTCTCCTTCCATGCATGGTTCCTGGTTAGTTTGGACACATTTTACATGAGACTTGGAAGAAAGGAGAGAAGCAGCAAGCATCTTATTTTTTACCTTTAAAAGGTCAGTGCAGGACACAAGGTCCTGGTGCAGCTCACAGATCTATGAGCCATATGCTAGCAGATTTAACCTTGGTGTTGTGAGGCGACAACTGGGCCTAATGAATCTCAACTTTCTGTTGCATTTCTTCATTCAGCTTCTTTGATTCCTGGGCCAGGTGCATATTTTGCTCCGTGATGAAGGACATCAACAAGTTTCTGTTGCAGAATACCCCCAACATTCAAACTGGAGTTTGGAGGTGGTAAGAAATCTAGAAGTTCCAGTTCAACTTTGAAGTTACCAGTTGTTTCTGTTTCTCATAGTTCATGTGCATATTCTATTCTGAATTGTCTACCACATCGACTTTAAGTGACAACAAAAAGACAGTGGCATTGCATACATTGTGTAGCCAACTTCCACAAGTGCATATTTCAAATATCTATAATGTATCTGTTATATGTATTAGTATGTGTGTATATGTGTGTGAATGTATATATACATATGCATGCATACATACATAGAGATGAGGATAGAGCTATGTGTGAGTATATATACACAGATATACATACATACATTCACTGTATAATGACATTTTGGTCAAAGATGGATTCGATATAAGATGGTGGCCCATAAGATTATAAAATATTTTTACTGTAATTTTCTGTGTTTACATTGTACTATAATTGCCTACAGTATTCAGTAGAGTAACATGCTTTATTGCTTTGTAGCCTAGGAGCAATAGGCTATACCATATAGCCTAGATGTGTAGTAGGCTAAACCTAACCATCTAGGTTTGTGTGTGTATACTCTGTGATATTTGTAGCCCAATGAAATCACCAAATAATACATTTCTCATAATCAAATCTTTAAGTGAGTCTTGATTGTATATACAAATATATAAATATACATCCACCTATCCATCCATCCAGAAGCATCTTAATGGTTCTGCTATTCTGATGCAACCTTGAATGTCCTGGTTCATGAGAAGTCTGGGTCAGTGGGGTAAGCTCATTGACACTGCTATTAAAGGAATACATTAAAAACTCTTGAAACCATCTTTGCTTCACTTGTTCGGCTACTTATACATAAGAACTGTTAAATGTGGCATATTTCCCAAATACCTACTGTCAGTGCCTATTACAAATTCTCTTTTTTTTTTTTTCTTTTGAGACAAAGTCTCACTCTATTTTCCAGGCTGGAGTGCAGTGGTGCAATCTCGGCTCACTGCAACCTCCGCCTCCTGGGTTCAAGCGACACTCTTGCCTCAGCCTCCCAAGTAGCTGGGATTACAGGTGTGTGCCACTATGCTCAGCTAATTTTTGTATTTTTAGTAGAGATGAGGTTTCACCATGTTGGCCAGGCTAGTCTTGAACTCCTGACCTAAGGTGATCTGCCCATCTCCGCCTCCCAAAGTCTTGAGATTGCAGGCGCCTGTTACAAATTCTTATAGGAAAGAAATAATTGAAAATAAGAAATCTGTGAATGGTAGAGGTACTCCCAGGCCCAACACCCACAACTAGTTTCCCCTCGCATTTCTGTGGTCTTGAGCAACCAAAACAAAATGCAAGGTCTAGGCTGAAACCTGAGTTCTGCTACCTGAGTTAGCTTGGTGACAGGGAAAAACACTCAGCTTCTCTAAATCTGTTTGTTTTTGATCTTTAGAATCACATGTTCTTGGGACCTCTAGAAGAGAGGAGTTTACCCAACTCACAGGTATTTCAGGGTACAAACCTATGGCTGGGCTCAGCTTTAAAAGATCTTATCTGAGATTCCTTGTCAAACAGAGTTCCATCAAAGCCAATCTAAAAGGCCTATGTAGAAAGAATTATTCTTGCTGCACTTTAAGCAAATAATCAGGCCAAATATAAGACTAAAGTCTATTTTGTACAGAACACAGCCCTATCATGATTTGTTTTTGACATAAATTAGGACTACAGAGAGAGAAATTAGGTTTCAAAACTTATCATCATTAGATTCTAGACTCATTAGTTGTTTTTAAGTTTTTGTCTACGTTTTAGACTAACCTTGCTTTTTCCTGTGAACCAAACAGCAATCTCCAGCTGCGGCTAAGAGAAAACAAAAGTTGATGGGTAATGTAAAAATCTAGATCAATATTCTAGTTCTGGGCATTTATCCTGCAAATCCTGCCAGGTGCTGGGAATAAATAGGATGCTCATCACCCAGAGGTTTCTTTTTTGGGAAAGTAAGACAACAGGGACTAACCAAAGCCAAGCCCCATGCACCCAAATCTTAGCAAGCATAACTATAGGCACCAGTTATCTGGGCATGTCACAAGATATTCTTTTCTCTCCCTTGTTGAAGGAGGACTCAATTCTACAGCTTCACCTTAGCATTCAGCTTATGATAAGGGGTCCATGCAACACCCCAACCCTGCCTGCCCGGCAAGACACATTTTTGTCACAAACTCAATTCCAAGCTCATGTCAAACGCCTAGGAAAGAAAACTGGATCTGAGGGATGCAGAGGCAGATGATAATGAAAGTTAAAAGGCACAGCATATTTGAGCATTACTAATTCCTGCCAATTAACCCAAGCTTCCCATTTCATGGATAAAGGTCATGCTAGTATCCATGGCATAAATGAGGCCTAGGAAATTCAAAGGCTACTGACAGCAGGGGAGATAGGGGGTATGTGGGTAAGAGTGGATATTCCCACCCCCTATGCCCCCCTGTTAACATGGGTGAAAGCTGCTTTGATATGCATGTGTGGCACCCTATCATGGTTGCAGGGACTCAGGGATACAAGGATGGAGGAAAGAAAGAGGAATGCCTCACTTTCCTCCCTCCCATACCCTGGGTATTTGCTAGGAAGAGAAAGGAATAAGGGATGCCTGCTCCCCTGTTTCTAGATAAGTAGCCATTCATCTTGTCTATACCCCTTTTGAATGCATCCTGAACCCCTGGGACTCCTCTGAGAAAAAAAAAAAAATACTTCTTTTTTTCCTTTTTCCTCCTCTGTCCTCTCTTCACTGATAGGTGATTGTGTCTCCATACTATGGGACACTTCTGTCAGATGCATCCTTCAAACTGGGACGAGTTAATTTCCCAAACCTTAGACTAGTTGGCTTAGGACTGGGCTCAGGGAAAAGGAACCCAGAAGCCTCACATGCCAGCAAAAGGGTAAAAGTTTTTTTTTTTTTTTTTTTTATCATTTCGAGGTTTTTGGCCTCCCTCTCTCTGTGCAAACTGGTAAAAGGCCTTGGGATGTTTGAGCTGTCCTTACCCTCCACTTCTTTTGTTTTGATACATGTTTTCTAATAACTTGGTTTGTCTCTTCTTGCCTTTAGGCCATCAGACTCCAAATGGTCATGCAACTGGAGCCTTAGACAATGGCCCCTTTTGCCAGGGACCCTTAGATAGGCCTCTTAGGGGGATCTGACTTCTGTTTTCCCAAAACAGGACCTCTTGTCAGCAGGAAGCTGTTAAGAGTGGTCTTCATCCTTATCCTTACCCTTTTCTTAATGGCAGTTAGATGTACTTCTTTAGAGAAAGGAATGTGACAGCCAAATGCCTAGGTAGATAAAAAGGGGTCCCCAGAGAATCTCTTGACCTGGCTCACAAGTGTCTACATCAGATGCTTTTGTGCAGATGAGGGAACCTGCCCAGGACTTTGTCTGAGCATGCCCACACGAGCACTGGGGGAACAGCGTGGGGCCACGAGGAGGGGGAGGAGCCTAGCCTCTTCACTTCCTGTGTGGTAGCCTGGGATTTAATCTGTGAGGTGGGGGACCTGTTAGCAGGACCCATCTCACTTTGCCGAGTTTTTTTTTTTTTCTCTTTTCACCCAGTAGAATCCTGCTCTACTCACCCTTCAATGTGTCCATGTGCCTAAATTTTCCTGATTGTGTAACAAGAACCCTGTTTTAGCTGAACTAAGGAGCAAAATTCTACAATATTGATCTCTTGCAATGTATTGACGAGAACTACATAAGAAAATGTAAAGTCCCATTATAAAACACAGCTTGGCACATATTAAGTACCGAATAAATGGTAGCTATAATTATTTTATAAGACGTCCAGATTTACAAAATAAACACTGCCACGATTTGTTATAGTTTGAAAAAGAAAAGAAAAACTAATTACACATGAACATTTTTTTTCAACCTGTAAACAAAAGTAGACAAGTGACAAGTAGCTGTTAGAAACTGTGCAGATAAGGTTCACAAGTTCTTCAGAATAATTATTTGCCTCTTTCAAGTTGAAAACAAGGGAAATCTGTTTCCCAAGTGTTTCACCCCCTTCCCCCATCCCCCATCTCTAACAATGCCTTATTTACTTGTTTTCTAATGACTTCTTGCTGCGTTTTTCATCAAGTTGTCTCGTCTGGAACAGAACATATGTACTGCAGGCCCTAATTAAGGCTAACTAAAGTACCTCTTGCTTTCGATTTAATCCAATCTGCCAGCAATCAAGAAAAACCCTGCAATGGCAGGCTGGCCTCCACTTAAGCTGCTTTGCAGAAATGGGACAAAGTGCCCACGTCAAGTGGGAGTCCGAAATGATACCTGATGAAAATGAAAAATGACAGACTCTCTCACATGAAAAAATAAAGCTTCTTAATAGCAAATAGGCACTGACAAAGCTCAGGAAAGCCACAGAAACAGTATTTGGTGGGAATTGGAAAAAGAGAGTCCTTTGAAAGCAAGAAAACATAACTTCCTGTTATATAATTTTCTATTCTCAGCCCTCTGTACAGCTCTAAAATTAAATCAAATTGAAGACATATTATTTAATTTTGATTTACTTCTGCCCCAACTTCACAACAAAGTCAGTTAAGATGGTTAATTAATATGTCTTTTCTGACCCTTGTTTAAGCTCTAAGGAAATTTATTTTGAGTCATTGCTTGGACACGCTCTGAGTGCTTTCTTCTTCTGGATAATGAGAACTATTTATTCAATTGCATGCTCCTCATAACCAACAATGAGACTCAGATACAGCAACCTACTTGGTCTGTGCCGTTCTGCTCCCCTTAAACCCAACCATTATATATTTATCTTTCCTTGGTGAGTCTGTGCAATGATGGCTGGCAAGCAATCTCTGTAACAGTCACATTGTACCTGAAGAACTTCTACAGGGACAGTTTCTTTTTTTCTCTCTTTCTCTCTCTCTTTGTTAGTTTGCCATACTTATTTTTTTTCCTTCAACTTTCAAGTTCTAGGGTACATGTGCAGGATGTGCAGATTTGTTACATAGGTAAACATGTGCCATGGTGGTTTGCTGAACAGATCAACCCATCACCTTTGTTTCACCTGCGTCCCTGTGAAGAGGCCACCAAACAGGCTTTGTGTGAGCAACAAGGCTGTTTATTTCACCTGGGTGCAGGTGGGCTGAGTCCAAAAAGAGAGTCAGCGAAGGGAGATAGGGGTGGGGCTGTTTTATAGGATTTGGGTAGGTAAAAGAAAATCACAGTCAGAGGGGGTTGTTCTCTGGCTGGCAGGGGTGGGGGTCACAAGGTGCTCAGTGGGGGAGCTTTTGAGCCAGGATAAGCCAGGAGAAGGAATTTCACAATGTAATGTCATCAGTTAAGGCAGGAACAGGCCATTTTCACTTCTTTTGTGATTCTTCAGTTACTTCAGGCCATCTGGATGTATACATGAAGGTCACAGGGGATATGATAGCTTAGCTTGGGCTCAGAGGCCTGACACTTTGTATTAAGCCCAGCATGCATTAGCTGTTCTTCCTGATACTCTCCCTCCACCGCCCCCCAACAGACCACAGTGTGTGGTGCTCCACCCATCCATGTGTCCATGTGTTCTTATTGTTCAGCTCCCACTTACAAGTGAGAACATGCACTGTTTTGTCTTTTTGTTGTTGTTGTTACTGTGTTAGTTTGCTGAAGATAACAGCTTCCAACTCCATCCATGTTCCTGCAAAGGACATGATCTACTTCCTTTTCATGGCTGAATAGTATTCCATGGTGTGTATATATACTTTCTTTATCTAGTCTATTATTGATGGGCATTTGGGTTGATATTGTGTCCCTTTGCTATTGTGAATAGTGCTGCAATGAACATACACGTGCATATATCTTTATAGTAGAATGATTTATATTCCTTTGGGTATATACCTAGTAATGGGATTGCTGGGTCAAATGATATTTCTGCCTCTAGATCTTAGAGGAATCACCACACTCTCTTCCATAATGGTTGAACTAATTCTACCTCTCCAGAGGCATGTGTCTTCATCCAAACCTCTTTGCCACACTATTTTCTTCTTCAGTCTTTATCAACTTTTCTCCCTAAAATCAGAGGAATTTGCAGTGGCAAGATAACAAGGGTATTTGCTGGGAATGTTCATTTCATTTGTTATGGAGAGGTTTTGTGGTGGAAAGGAAGAGGATGAATATTGGATCCAGACAGGCCTCGATTTACCTGTGGTTTCCCTTTCTGTTGTCTGTGTGGTCCTGGGCAAATACCAATGTTTCAGTTTGCTTGCTATCATCAGACTCTTTAAGACAACGTTATATAACACTCTAAGGATAATTGGGGATTAAGTGATAAAAATAAGTATAAAGTACTCATAATGCCTTGTATATAGTAGCCACTTAATATATAACTTTCCTTCATTTCTTTCCAATTATATTTTATTTTGTGATTTGGAAATCATTCAGCTGTCTCCCAAGTTTTGAACCAATCGTAACCCCCTATATATAGCATAGAGAACGAGTTACTAATTTCTGTTAAGCTATCCCTGACTCTCAGCTTCAACAGGCTTAATCTCTGTTGCTCTATCAAAGAATAAGTAGCTACTGCCATGGTGATAGCTTTTCAAGTTGAAGGAAAAAAAAGGAATGTGCTCTAATATTCTTCTAAGGGTTTAGAAGAATAATTCTAAGAAGGGTTTAGAAGAATATTAGAGCATATTTCTTTGAAAAGAGACAAATCTCTAAGTCATGTGTATCTTTGAGGGGTTCTCCTTTGTTTTAGAATAAAGCTCATCCTCCCTGGCATCTTATCAACCTTTTAAGTATCTGGTTCCACAAATCTCTATCTGCTCATCTTTAGCAAGTCCCACCACTCTGGGCTACTTGTATTCACCACAGTCTCTCAGTCTTTGCATTTTTACTTTTTTCTCTTTATCTAGAACTCACTTCCCATCCTCTTTACAGACTACAAATTTCTCAAGATTTAGATCAAAGATTCCTACCCCCAGGAAGCCTTTCCTTGTTGGTTCATGTCCTAAGGTCTTTCTTTTTCTGTATTCTCAAAGCTGGGCCTCATTCCAGCCTCGAGCCATACTTGCCAGAAAGCCGTCACTCAATAAATGCTTCTTAAATTAACGAATAAATGATAGTTGTCTCAATCTATTATCATTACTTGACTATTTCCTTTTATTTACAAGAAATTTCTTAAGAACAGAAGATAACTTTCTAGCTGGGCAACAACCTTGTCCTGCAGTGGGTAGTCAGTGCCTATATCTGGGAAAACTAGATAGATAATTACATAGATAAATATTTAACTTCCTCTTTTATACAGTTGTACTCCTCCTTTTTTTTTTCTTCTTCTTTTTTTTTTCTTCTTTGAGACAAGCACTCACTCTGTTGCCCAGGCTGGAGTGCAGTGGCGTGATCTCGGCTCACTGCAACCTCCACCTCCCAGATACAAGCGATTCTCCTGCCTCAGCCTCTCGAGTAGCTGAGATTACAAGCACCTACCACCACACCTGGCTAATTTTTTTGTATTTTTAGTAGAGATGGGGTTTCACCATGTTGGTCAGGCTAGTCTTGAACTCCTGACCTCAAGTGATCCACCCACCTAGGCCTCCCAAAGTGCTGTGATTACAGGCATGAGCCACCACACCCGGCCAGTTGTACTCTTATATAAGTGAAAAAAACAGAACCATATAAGGTGATGCACAAATTAACTGGGTTATCTTCATAAGGTAATAACTTTTTATTTTATTAACAATAGTTATTAATATTGTTTAATATTACACACATGACAATATACTAAAAGCTGTACATTCATTGTCTTATGCAATCATTATTACTACTCTATAAAGTAATTACTATCATTATTCTCATCTTAAAGGTAAGGAAATTAAATTTTAGAGAGGTGAGTGGATTGTCAAATATTACAACTCTAAAAAGCAATGAGAACTCAAGTCTATATGGAGTTGAAGACCAAGCTGTCAAAGACCTACTGTACAGTGACCACTCCATTTATGTTCAATACCACGAGATTGTCACTGGTATAGTAACAATACTACTGCTCTAAAAGAAACACCCTAGAAACGTAGAGAAATTAGGCAGCAAACGATTAAAACTGACTCCTAGGAAGAATTACAGCCTTCAGGGACCTTGATCTTATTAACTGTTGTTTGATGAACATGGCAAGTATCTGGTACAACGCATATAAATGCAGCATGGCGAGGGTTGCAGCATGGTCAAACACATATTGTACACAATTAGAATGCCGTGTACTGTGCTAGATGCTTTGCAAAGGTGAAAAGAGAACATATCTATTATATTTAATCATCATGATAACTTTATGATGTGGGGCATTTCATTTCAATTTCATTGATTAACAAATTAGCTCATTTACCCATGGCAAAATAATTCTTTGAAATTTAAATTTTGTTTCCTTCTCATTGTTATAATTCTAAGAAAAAGTTATCTCCCAACATTTCCTCCCTTTGCCCCAATGACCCTCTGGCTTCTCTTATCAGGGTGAGGGTAGAATATGAATAAATGTATTTGTATGTCATAAACCATTCCAAAGGCAATTATCCCTATGCCCCACATGTTCCAGGGCTTTGTATCACTGGATATGGCAATTTGAGGAGGAAGAGTTGCCACCTAAGTAGTAGGGAGATGGCTGGTTTCCTATAAGCTGAGAATACTAAGTGTTATGGGTTCCTAGAGGAGATCTGTGTGCATCACTGGTGTACAGCACCTCAGGGGAAGTAGGACCTTGAGGCAAATTGATCCCATGGGAGTTTTTGGACACCAGGACTCAGAGAGTATTCATGTTTCCAGCATGAGGAGAGGGAAACAGAACATCTTTCAATGGCCTGTGTGAGTAAAAGAGCATCTCTGATAGTGGCCTCTACGATAAATTTAAAACCAATGGGAGCTTCTTTGGTTTGTCAGGACTATGAGAGCACAGAGTTTTCTTCACGAAAGGATTTCTTGATCCTTCCCTCATCTTTGAAGAACTGAGGTCAGATTTCCAGACAAACCTAGAATATGGAAATGACTCTTATACAATTGGATATAGATGGAAAATAAAGAAATTAGTAATTTCCTGTCACTTGAGTGTTTTGGTACATATTCATGTTGACCACACACTTGTTTAACAAACCTATATTGATCACCAAAATGTTTTAGTTATTTTGCAAGTCACGAGGGGTAAGATCATGATCAAGACATAGCTCCTAATTTTAAAGGGTCCACAGTACTGGTGATACAGAGAGAAGGCAAGAAAATACTAGGTAGAAAAGTGCGGGCTCCACTCTCAAGCCTGGACCCATGCCCTAAGTGAGAATATACATTCCTGTTTTCCTGCCCAAATGTTGCCTTTTCCAAAATCACCCTGGCCTGCCATGCTCCCCATCCTATACCCATAAAAACTGCAGCTTCCACTGGCAGAGGGGCAGAGTAGAGGAGCAGTGCAGCAGAAAAGGAGAGAAGAGAAGAAGCGTCTGAACATCGAGAGGAGAAGCAGCAGCTGGACATCAGAGACTATGGTTGGAGAGGAGTTCAGCTGCTATCTTCCCACTCCATCCCCTTTCCAGCTTCCCATCCTATTGAGAGCCACTTCCACAACTCAATAAAATCTTCCACATTCACCACTCTTCAATTTGTTTGTGCAACACAATTCTTCTTATATGCTGGACGAGAATGTGCGTACCAAGAGGGCAGGTGCAAAAGTCTGTCACCCTGACCCTCCACTGATCTGGTTAACACTTAGCCACCCACAGATGGCAAAGCTAACAGAGCCCACTGTAACACATACCCCTGGGGTTCCAGGGGTTGTAGGCAACCCCTAGATGCTGCCATGGGTTTGGTACAGGGTTTATTCCTGCCAGCATCCAAAAGCACTCTTGCCCTGGCTCCTGCACCTACCTGCTCACCTGCCTTCTCCCCCTCCTACAGGGGGTTTTAGAGCTGCTAGCTTAGAAAGTGAGCCACCCCTTCACAAGTCCTGCAAAGGGGTCAAGGGAACCATCCCATCTCACTGGTAAGACAAAAAAAGTAACTGGCAAATTGTTGTGGGAAGTCAGGGACCCTGAATGGAGGGACCGGCTGGAGCCACGGCAGAGGAAAAAAAATTGTGAAGATTTCATGGACATTTACCAGTTCCCAAATAATACTTTCATAATTTCTTACACCTGTCTTACTTTAATCTCTTAATCCTGTTATCTTCGTAAGATGAGGATGTACGTCACCTCGGGGCCACTATGATAATTATGTTAACTGTACAAATTAATTGTAAAACCTGTGTTTGAACAATATGAAATCAGTGCACCTTGAAAAAGAACAGAATAACAGTGATTTTAGGGAACAAGGGAAGACAACCATAAGGTCTGACTGCCTGCGGGGTTGGGCAAGAAGAGCCATATTTCTCTTCTTGCAGAGAGCCTGTAAATGGACATGCAAGAAGGGAAGATATCGCTAAATTCTTTTCCTAGCAAGGAATATTGATATTAATACTCTGGGAAAGGAATTCATTCCTGGGGGAAGGCCTATAAATGGCCACTCTGGGAATGCCTGTCCTATGCGATTGAGATAAGGACTGAGATACACCCTGGTCTCCTGAAGTACCCTCAGGCTTACTAGGGTGGGGAAAAACCCCACCCTGGTAAATTTGAGGTCAGACGAGTTCTCTGATCTCAAACCCTGTTTTCTGTTGTTTAAGATGTTTATCAAGACAATATGTGCACCGCTGAACATAGATCCTTATCAGTAATTCTGCTTTTGCCCTTTGCCTTGTGATCTTTCCTTTTGCCCTTTGCATTGTGATCTTTGTTGGACCCTTATCAGGAGTTTCTGATTTTGCCTTTGTCCTGTTTCCTCAGAAGCATGTGATTTTTGTTCTCCTTTTTGCCCTTTGAAGCATGTGATCTTTGTGATCTACTCTCTGTTCTTGCACCCCCTCCTACCAATATGTGATGTCACCCCCAGTGGCCCAGCTGTAAAATTTCTCTCTTTGTACTCTTTCTCTTTATTTCTCAGCCGGCCGACACTTATGGAAAATAGAAAGAACCTACATTGAAATATTGGGGGTGGGCTCCCCCGATAGCAAATATAACATAGTGTGGAATAATCAAGATTGTGAAAGTAAGCATAAGCAACCGATTTTAAAGCACCATAAAGGAGGGTATGCTGATTTGATGTTTCAGGATTAGGGAAGGCATCCTGGAAAAAGAGAACAGCAAAGCAGAGATCTAAAGGACAAAGAAAAGATGGGCATGTCAACAAAGCTCGAGGAGCATGGGCTCAGGTTGGTTAAGCAACTTGCACATCTAGAAAATGATAGAGTTGCAATCTAAAGTTTATGATATTTCTGCTAGTGTACACTGTTAAAAGAAGGTCTTTGTCTAATGAGAACAGGAGTGGGTCAACCAAACAAATTGCAAAGAAAAGCAGATTTTAGCCAGTCCAACCCATGTGGAACTCTATGTTGAGGTCCCATTTAAGGCTCAATCTCCAGAAACAGATGAGCAGACCAGATGTACACAGCTAGCCTGCTACCTTGATGGTTCAATAATTCCCATTATAGTGATTGGAATCTAATGTTGGTAAGATCTGAGGCTCAGAGAGCCTTCATTTCCCCCTTTTAATTCCACCACATGGAAAAGAGCTGCAATTTAATCTCCAGACTAGACAGGAATGGCTACTTCCTCTCTGGATGGACCCCTGCAGATACCATTGACCTAAAATGTAAAAAAAAAAAAAAAAAAAAAAAAAAGTGTTAGCAAGTCCCTAGGCTTACCATATCTATTATACAAAGCACACAGGAATTCCATTGACAGGAGGCTAATACATGCTGTGTGGCAGCAGCAGCAGTAAGAGCAACAACCATATACAGCTGCAACACAGGCACCATGAATCTGCTTGAGATGTAACTTTATTAGATAGATGGCCCTATTTGATTAATCATAGCAACTAGTGGGAAACACTATTTGCATAGAGCATATCTTTTCTGTCCTAGCATCCATTTGTGGGTAAGACACATTTGATAAAAAGCAGTTAGGGAATGGGCATCAGGTGCATAAAAGGTTTACGTTGTTTTTATGAACAAAATTGCTGTTTACAAATATCACACAGCAGGTTCTCTGTTTTATGGACAGAAATAATTCACTCTTAAGCTATAAAGGTCTCTGGGAAATGGATTTGCTTATCTCCATCTCATTTTAAATTATGAGGAGCCCATGCCACCATCCCAGAGGTTTCTACCTTTCCTGGCCATGCTTTGAATATTCACACACACCACCCAAATGATGAATACTATCTGGGGAGGCTTGCCGGCCACAGTTCATTTACAGCACGTTAGCTAAATGTCATTATTCTTTGCAAAGTGCAGGCAAACACAGAGGTTTCTATAGAAAAAAAAAAAAAAAGCCATACTCTTTATTTTTCCAAGAGGGGTACGTTTTACGTTATTTCAAGAGAACAGGAGAACAAAGATTGCAGGCAAATAAAAAGTAATTCCCATTATAAAGCAGTATTGAAGTAATCTTCCCAGGCACAGTTTAATATTAAAAAAAGAATTTAAAGGATTCACTTTTGGGGTGGCCTATTTTAAGTGTTCTTTATTCTTTTTGACTTGAAAGAACCAACTACCTCATTTGGAAAATGAGATTGGCTCTTAAATTTATTACTGATATCATACATTTAGTAAGAGAGGAAGGACCTTTTTCCTCTGCTTGACTGTTAGAGTTATTTATAGGACTTCTGGTTTTAAATGGCAATTAGCACACACTTTGGTTATCAGTAGCAGCATCTTAGTAACCATAAGAAAACATAATATTACCAAAACAAGAAAAGAATAAAATCCTAGCAAGACTAAAGGAGAAAAAGACACAAAAAACCTATATTTAAAACTTTTAGAGTTAACTATGCAAATGAAACCTAATTATAATTACAGAATGAATTACAAACATTCTATTATTATACATTTTTAAATGAGCTAGAGGGAAGAGAAAGAATAAAAAAGAGGGTAAATGTTGACTTGTAAAAATTGAATCATCAAAAACTATATTGCTATAATACTAATCATTAAACTAATAGAAAACTAAACAATGAGAATATTTTATATTCCATTTGTTGGTATTGTTTTAAAGGTCGTGTTTCATGTGCACATATTTCCCCTTTAAATTAAAAGATAAGATATCTAGCTAGATAACCTTTGATAAATAATAAATAATATCCACAACATATTATTAAATAATAAAAGCAAGTCATAAGACAGTGTATATATGCACTTTGGAGGCTGAGGCGGGCAGATCACAAGGTCAGGAGATTGAGACCGTCCTGGCTAACATGGTGAAACCCCTTCTCTACTAAAAATACAAAAAAATTAGCCGGGCTTGGTGGCAGGTGCCTGTAGTCCCAGCTACTTGGGAGGCTGAGGCAGGAGAATGGGGTGAACCCGGGAGGTGGAGCTTGCAGTGAGCCAAGGTCACGCCACTGCGCTCCAGCCTGGGCGACAGAGCGAGACTCTGTCTCAAAAAAAAAAAAAAAAAAACAGTGTATATATGATTCCAACTATGTTAATAAAGAAAATTTAGTTTAATATGCATACAACAGTGTTGAACTGAGACTAATAGCTGTAACAGGGAGAGGGAGGGATGAAATGAGGAAAGCAGTGAGGACAGGTGGCTATTGTTCTCTCATTTTACCTATCCCTTTTTGAAAATTTTAAGACAATGTATACTTTTAAAAAGACATATTTTCAGCTCTCAGTTCTTGAGATTGGATTAGGAGATCTAGGACTAGAGTCTGTGAGTTTTCATTAAAAACTCCGTCAGTAGGATTAGGTTGCACAGCAGATTTTAGAACTAGTAATCTAACAACTGGTGTTTCTGAGTGAAGAACACTGATCACTTCAACAACCAGAGCAGAACCAGGGCCCATGCCCCTCCTGGTAACATCCTGAGGTGTCTGAAAGCAATTCCACGCCACCTCATGATAACAGATATTGACAATTTTCCTCCAGTCTTTTTCTATTCATAGAGACATCTTTTTTATACAATTGGAGTTACAAAATACTCTTTTTAAACAAGAATACATAGTCATGTCCCTGACCTTAAATATTCCTCTAAAACATAATTTTAATTTTTGTGGACTACTCTATATGAATGCATTAGCATACACTGAATAATTTATTATTTCTGAAGATGTGGGTATATTTGACTTTTTTCTCTCTTGTAATGTCATTGTGACTATCCACATTCTTAATTCTGTATAAGTAACCAATTCTTTACTTATGGTAATATTTACAAGTAGAATTTTGAATATGTAAATCTATTCAAAAGTAGGAATATTTCTAATTAATTATCCATGGAGTTTGTATCATTGCAATCTCCTTGGAGTATGAATTCCCATCTTCCTATAAACTTATCAACATTGAGAATTATAAATTTTTAAAGCAGTGTCTACATCGATATGTAAGAATTTAAAGTTCATTAATTTTTCATTAATTTGAAAACAAGTAGGGTTGATTTTTCATTTGGATTTTAAAAATGTGAGTTGTGTATTTATCCCCTTTGCCCTTTCTGAGAGAATAACTTTGTAAATCTCAACACTTCTACAATGTTAGCCTAATTTAGATCAACTAGATACTTATCTCTACTACTTCTACCAATGATTGTCATTTATTGAGCATTGACTAGATGCCAGGTAATTTACAAACCTTTTTTATTCTTACAGCTCTGCTATAATAGTCATGTTTTATCATTTTATTTATGAAAGAAAATTGAGACTCAGGAAGTTTAATTTAGCCCAGTGTTGCATAGCTGGGATATTGTGGATCAGGTCTTTGAAGCCCATTTTTTTATAACTTTCTAAGGCCTTTATTTGTTTTACAACAACATAAGGCTAGTTCAATAATAATTTTACAATTCTCTGAGAGAATGCTAATTTTTGAAAAACAATAGCAACCAAAAGGAGCCCAGTAAAATGTGTGAAATCATAGTGGATATTCAGAATTATTAGTTCCCTTTCATTTCACCTGTGGACCGCATTATTTGAGTATAATTAAAAAACTGTAACATCTTTCTGGTGTTCACAACAATGTAGGATCTCAATTTTTTGTGCATAAAGAGGTTCTTTGTTGGGGTAAGAGCATTTTTCTGTTAGTAATCCGTCCTAGGAAATTTACCAACACCAATTTAATGTTATGTATTTGGCTAGATTCTTAAATTTAAAAAACAAATCCAACTCATTATTGCTTTCAGTTTCATCAGAGGGATAAATATAAGCAGATAATTGAAAAGCAGTATGCCTCTAGGAGGCCAAAGTACCTTGGATGAGAGGCTTTAGGAATCAAGAGAGGAAAGGATTCATAGAGGCGATGACACCTGAGTTGTGAGGTGGTCACTGTCTAGGCCCAAGATACCCTTCCTACAGCTGCAGTAGTGTATTTGACTAAGGAAACAGAAAATAATTCATTTCTCTCACTTAATTAGATGAAGTAGAAGCATGCTTGCTTGTTTTATTGTCTCTGGTTCTCTGATAAAACTGACAAATATTCCTATCTTCTGGGTGATAAGTAAATAGTTTTGGCTCTCCTGAGGAATGCATGTGTAGGATTTTTGAAAGAGCCTGCAGAGTCTCACCAACGTGTAGTTATTGGCATAAGAGATCCACTTGTCACATTCTAGTGTCCCCAACAGCCTCCATCCTGCAGCCCCTTGCTTCTGAGGATGCCTCAGCCCAGACACCACGCCCAGTGTCTACTAGAAGAGAATCAAGAGAAACTCATTTCTTCGTCCGTGTCAAGTCAAATGGTGGGAGCTCAGTAGGCTGCACTGAGGCCTCTTCTTTCCCTGCTGCATTATTCCAGTTGCGTATGCTCATCTTCCACCACCTCCACACAGGTACCCATCTCAGATTAGCAAAAAAGCATATAAAGCAGGCACGACCCTGGAATTAAGATAGCAGTGTGCTCTTTATGGACATCTTCAGTGACATGGTTTATTCTTTTGAGGCCACGTCACTTGGATTTAGGGAGGGGAAAGTCTTTTACGAGGAAGTGTGCATTTTGAAAAAGATCTACAACCTCCTCTTCTATCCTATCTCCCATCACAGTTCATTTCTCACAATTTAGAAGAGGAAATGGCAGTGTTTTGTAATAGAACTAGTTCTGTCCTTGCATCTTGCAAAAAGCTGGAATTGGTGAATGGCCCCGATTACAAGTGATTTTTTGACTCTGTAATATGGAATGTCCTTTGACTTCGCCTCTGGGCCTGAGAGAACAAGAAAAAACCTTCTCTACATCTGGCAACAACAAAAGATCAGTGCAGCAGCTATCATAGTATTCAAATGAAGAGATGATGAGGCTGAGTTAAGACACTAGGTATTATTAATAGGATGAAGGTTATGGAAGAAAGTCAAGTGGTTATTTACGAGACCATGTGAATAATTAAAATGCAAGAGAAAGACAGTAAATGAGAAAGAGAAAAAAGGGTCAAGATCATCTCTAACATTTTTGACTTCAGTAGCTTCATGAATCACAAACTGAGAAGACAGTACAGGAGGACAGATTTAGGACTCCAAAGAGTATGACCAGACATTGAGGGAAATTTCAGTTTGATGTATCAAGAGGACACCCTAAAGAAAATACCCAGCAGGTAAGTTGGTTTGAATCTCTAGAGCAGTCAGAGCTGGAGCCCTAGTTGCAAAGAAACTTGTAGGTTTGGTGGATAGGACCACAGGGAAGGAAGAGGAAGATGTGTTTTCTATCAGCAAAGGGGGAGAAAAAATATTTCTTGGTTATTTGGTCACAGAAAACTATTTTTTCTTTTTTTTGAGACGGAGTCTCACTCTGTTGCCCAGGCTGGAGTGTAGTGGCGTTGTCTCGGCTCACCGCACCCTCTGCCTCCCGGGTTCAAGCGATTCTCCTGCCTCAGCCTCTCGAGTAGCTGGGACTACAGGCATGCACCATCACACCTGGCTAATTTTTGTATTTTTAGTAGAGATAGGGTTTCACCATGTTGGCCAAGCTGGTCTCCATCTCCTGACCTCGTGATCCACCCGCCTCAGCCTCCCAAAGTGCATAGCCACCGCGCCTGGCCAGGAAACTATTCTTAAAAAGTAAAGGGGTAAATAAAATACTAGACTTCTTGAAGAGTTAAACTCAAACTAACATGACCAGTTATGTGAGGATGTGGTACTTCTACTAGTCACAGTAAACTAGCTGGTAGATAAAACCGTAACGGCAGATGCTGCAGTTTTGCAAGAAACCCCTTCTCTGGCATTTTGCTTGAATAGAAGGGTGGATACAATGTCATGGGAAACATGACTGCTGACTTTAGATGAATAAAAACATTCTTCATGCTGTGTTTAAAAATTTTTTAAGGAAAACATCTTAACTTGAAAGCTAGAAATTGCTATTTTCTTACTCTCCTTAGTTGGATCATTGAAATGCATCCTGACCACACCAAGAGAAACAGTGACAAAGTTGAATCATGGTCTTGTCCTATTAAATGATTATAGGAAGGGAATGTTATTAGAACATTTCATTGCCAGGTATGCAACAACCTCTAGGACCAAAAACACCGAACGAGGCTTGTAATATCTCAGGCATAATATTTTAGTGGCTGAAATAGCTTATATCATCATGCAAGCATTTTGAGCACCTTTAATCCATAGATCAATAAATTATTACCTTGTCATATTGCATCACAGGGGATGCACATAAAATAAATTGATTTCACAATTGCTCAGTTCAGTCATTATAAAATACTGAACGCAGGTACTATGTGATCCTTTTGGCTAATTCATTTGCTACCCTGTTTTTTTAATTGTAGAGAATCAATCAAATATTTTCTGCCAACATTTTCCCCTACTTCTTCCTTCATCCTGCCCTCATCAGTTATCTGTATATTTTGTTATTAGGATGTGCCTAAATCACAGTAGGACAGAGAAAGAAATCAAAGATATGAGATTCCCAACATAGTTGGGAAACAAGATTAAAATAGTTAAGGAAGAGTAGCTATGGGTACCAAATTTTACAATCCAGACAGTGAATGTGCTGAAGAAGCTGCTGAGGGGAGCAAGTGATCAATAAGGGCTAATAGGAAGAAGTAGCACAGTTCACAGAGCCTGAGCTGAATCTTGAAGAGTGAAAATAACTTAAATAGGCAGAAGATGGTAGAAAGATAATCTCAGGCATATAGAGAATAGGATGAATTAATATTGGGGAATTATAGTGCCTTCTTTTGTGTGGGCATATGTGGTTCACTCCTTAAGGGAAATGATTTTACTAAAACAGAAAGTTTCTAATAATTGACTGTTCGTATACTCTTTTAGAGATTTTTTTTTTTTTACCTATATCACAAAGCTTGGTTTCTCAGAATTTATTACAAACCTCCTTTTATTTCTTACTGTATGCTTGTTGCAAAGTCTTATTCATTCCTGTTACTTCATTCATATTCCTATTCATGTTTATCCTTATTAATTCCAAATTCACACCACAAAGATAGGCCTGTTTCTGATACTCCAGTCCCATATATCCAACAGCTCATCTCTACATGGATGCTCTACTTCTAGTTCAATTACACAACACTTAACTCATTTTCTCCCCCACTCTCCAATCATCTTATTCTCCACAAATGACTCTTCAACCCATCCAAGTGCCTCTGCAAAACACCTGATTGTGTCTTGCTTTTTCACACTCCACATCCAATTAATTACTGTCTTGATAATTATATCTCATAATTAGTTCAAACTTGTTACCATCTCTTCATTCCTACAGACAATAATCTATTGTTTATAGAATAATAAATCAAGTTATAGCCATACAATGTTATATATTACACAAAAGAAAAAACACTATTTTTTCATAGGATTAAGGCTATAGATAAAGCAGCTATTTGTGTTTTTGATGATGGGATTAGTATGCAAACAATGGTGATTATAACTATCATTAATATTAAAACAACTAGTATGATATTACTATTATGTTATAATACAACTGTTATTATGGTATGTGGTTAATGTTAATCATAACAACAATTTATTTATTGGTAAGTTCTGAGTTTTGCACCAAATATGTAATGTGTGAGTTTGCCGAGTAATGAGTAAGAGTGGACATATGTTAAAAGGGGTTGATGCAACAGACAATTAGGATAAAATTTCCAAGCCTGATTAAAAGTGAGAAGAGTGAAGAAAAAATAATTTAGATAAATGTTTGAGGGATTCAACCCACTGTAAGAAAAAGAGCTGCTAGAGCTAAAACTACTTGGCCTGGTTGAGCATTAGTTCCTGCATCTATGCGATGTTACATATTATGAAAGTGAGGAATGATTGTAAGAACAACTGAGAAAAAAATTAAATTCACCATAAGGAAGGGCTTTTCATGGTCAAAGCTTTCTGAAAATGAAATAGCTTCCTTGGGCAGTCATTCACTAGCACTGGAGGGAATGAGCCAGAAGCTGGATAATCACAAAGCAAGAGGACACCCAGGGAATTAGAGCACAGATGGGTAGACCTTGAAGATCATCCAGTATAACTGCCCCCTCTCTGACTAGCATATCCAAAAGGTCCTTACCTTCCTATTTTGTGGGGTTTTTAAGAATTAAAGAACTTAATATGAATAAACAATTCTCTAAGTTTCTCCATGTCACACTGAAGCTGTACTCAAGCACAAATCTATAGCCTGCCGAGATGTGAGAGGAACCATTCCCTACTGGAAGTTTCAAATGTAAACATGTCATTGTGGTGGTGCTAATTGGTTACCTGTTGAGATTTCTCACCGAATGCCATTTAATAACTGCTCAACCTACTGTTTGTTCATTAAAGAAAAGTGCATGCATTTGTTTTTAGAATGCATAGCTATTAAGAACCACTATATTCTACTTCCGAAGAGTTAACTAGCAAACAACTGAGCTGGTGGTGTATGATTCACTTGATAGCATCCGATCTGAAAAAAAAAATTATTCTCCCCCTGTGGGGCAATTTTAAACCAGTCACATGGACATAAACCAGTGGCATGGACATAAAAATTAGTAGGACATAACTCATTCAGTCATTTATTAAAAACGATACTACATATCTAGGATGAAGTAGCCTTGTGGAGACATGGGATTGAATAGATGAATAAGGCATGATCATGTTAGAGAAATTCACAGCATAGTGTGCATAATAAACGTGAAAAATTCACATTCTAACTTGGTTTTTGCATAGCACAGAGACTTATACAAGTCTAGGGGGAGTAATAAATCCATTTGGAGAAATTGAGAAAGGCTTCATGGAGATTATATTTCAACTGGGCCTTACAAAAGAGATGTTCATTTGTTTATTTACTTATTTTTTCATTCATTCATTTACTCATTCACTCCTCATGTGTTTATTCATTCATCCATCCATCTTTTCATTTGTTATTTACTATAGTCCAGGAATTCTCTTGACCAAAAAAGATATAGTAAGTCAGTCTTGATCTTGAAGCAGCTCATGTAAATAGAAAGAAAATTCATATACCAAACAAGTTTTCTGATGACACAGGAAGTAGACAGGCCATAATGGGGAGAGAAATATCAGTTTCAGAGGAAAAAGTGATATCTGGCTAGTGGTAAAAGACCAGTGGTGTTTACTAGGTGTGGGCTGTTGGGCAACATAAGGAAATGGACATTGTAGACATGGATAGTAACCCAGCTAAGAAAGATGCCATGAGAAAAAAAATAACTGGGTAGCGATGCTCAGGTGCAGTGGGGCAGAGTGAAGGATGAGGGTAGAAAGAAAACTCTGGCCTAATCTGAAAGAGTCTTTGATGTCATGTCAAGGACTTTGAATGAAAAGGAATTACAGAAGCGGTTTTGGGTTTGTTGTACTTTTCTTTTTTGCTTGCATTTTAGATAGGCATAATGGTAGTCTGAAGGATGAATTGAGTTTCATGTCAAACAGGAAACTAAAGCAAGCTTTTCAGCTATTTGGATGTGGACCAACTAGAACCAAGTTTCTGTTCTTTCTGTAGGTGAGATTGTTGGATCCTACCCCATGGAAAGTGATAGCTAAAGTGGGTTTGGATCAAAATTATGAAACTTGCCAATTCTGCAAAAGAAAAGACATAATATAAACAATATTTTGAAAGAAAAGTATCATGTACTGAAGGGAAAATTGTTTTTAAAAATGTTAATATCAATCCCAAATAACAAAGGTACCGGTTAGATAGCCATTACCTGTCTATCCAAGAATTAAATGTACTCACATTTTTACACATTGAAGTATATGTTTTTAGACACAATAAAAACGAATGGCCTTAACAAGGTACTTATTATTTAAGACTTCGTGATTTTTCTTTTTCCCTTTAATTCTAATTGCTGAGGGTTAAATGTAATAATGGTTAAAGATGCACTCGTGTGTGATTCCATCAGGTCAGCAGAAGGTTGACATAGACCAAGGGCTCAGGCTCATAGACAAAGCTCACTAACATATTATGGAAAAACTTCAAGGCTTTTAAGAAAAAAAAATCATCATAAACACAAAATACAGTGGATAAATATTTCCAGAGAATAGAATAACTCTTGAAAGTATAGGATTATTTGAAATAATGGGAACTGTCATCAGAGGTTTTGATAAAGGCCATCATCCAGAATAATCAGCTGCAGTTATGATGTAATATGCAACTATGATACAAAACATGCAGCCAAAATGGTGGCATGTGGTTAATTGACTTAGAGATTTTTGCAAAATTATGTCATATCAAGGGTTCAGGTTTTTGAGTAGGAAACATGGGTTCAAATATAGTTACTGGTCTTACATTTATTTATTTTTTTAATTTTATTTTTATTATTATTTTTTTTGACACAGAGTCTTGCTCTGTCACCCAGACTGGTGTGCAGTGGCACTATCTCAGCTCACTGTAACCTCTGCCTCCTGCCTCAGCCTCCCGAGTAGCTGGAATTACAGGTCTTACAATTTTTATTGCCAGCATCAAGATGAAGTAGAAAGCATCATCCCTACTTTGCAAATAAGGAAACCAAGGCTCAGAGAATTTGAATATTCGAGGTCAAGATCACACAGCCAATTTAAGTCTATACTTAAAAAAAATATCGAGAACATAGTGTTCTTTTTGTAAATCAGGTACTGTCCTAAGGGTGTTATAATTATATAATCTTTATGACAATTCTACAAGGTACATATGAATGATGTTCATTTTAAAGGTGAAAAACTGAGATATAAAAATATATATATTATTTAATTAACTTGTTTAATTCACACATATACACACACGCACACCATCCCCATCACCGGTATCATGAGAACTCTTGGTATCCTCACTTTCCTGGTGAGAAAATTATAGTCAAGGATTAAACAATCTGTCCAAGGTAATACGACTAGTATGTGAAAAAGCTAGATTAGTGGAAGGTCTGGCCCCAGAGCCAGCTATATCTAGCCAAACATTCCGTAGGGTCAGAGTATATTTTTATATAAGATCTTCTGGGATTATTACAATTTTTTTTTTTTTTTTTTTTTTTGAGAAGGAGTCTCGCTCTGTCACCCAGGCTGGAGTGCAGTGGCGCCATCTCGGCTCACTGCAAGCTCCACCTCCCAGGTTCACGCCATTCTCCTGCCTCAGCCTCCCGAGTAGCTGGCACTACAGGCGCCTGCCACCACGCCCGGCAAATTTTTTTTGTATTTTTAGTAGAGACGGAGTTTCACCGTTTTAGCCAGGATGGTCTCGATCTCCTGACCTCGTGATCTGCCCGCCTTGGCCTCCCAAATTGCTGGGATTACAGGCCTGAGCCACCTCGCCCAGCCCAACTACTACAATTTTTAAAGCTTATTTTCAAATAATGATGAGAAAAGAAATCCTTATTACTATTTTTTCAGTATTCTTATATATATTTTTTGAGACTGGGTTTCACTCTGTCACCCCGGCTGGCATGCAGTGGTGGGATCTCTGCTCACTGCAACGTCCACCTTCATGGCTCAAGCGATTGTCCCACCTCAGCCTCCCGAGTAGCTGGAACTACAGGTATGCGCCACCATGCCTGCCTATTTTTTATTTTTTGTAGAGATGGGGTTTTGCCATGTTGCCCAGGCTGGCCTCCAACTCCTAGGCTCATGCGATCAGCCCACGATGGCCTCCCAAAGTTCTGGGATTCCAGGAGTAAGGCACTGTGTCTGGCTCACATAATTTTTTGATAGTGTTTCCCCTCTCAGCAAGACTTCCCTAGGTCATACGCTAATGCTGGTAGGCTGGGTTCTTTCTTCTGTGGCAAATTCACTCTGTCATTTCTGTGAGTAGTAAGTAGCTGTTAACCCTCCTACACCAACTTTCTCTAGAGGGTTTGACCTTCCTGTCATAAAGCCTTCTTCATTCAAATCTTTTCTTTGACGTGAATCTAAATATAATACAATCCTCACAGGCTTATGAGACTGCCTTCTAAGTGAAATCTCAGGTGTTCCTAATATTACTGCCAAAGGATTTTAGGAATAGAAGGATTCACATGGCATGGAATGATGTGAGGTTGGGGAGTCATTTTGGTGCAGGGTAGGGCTTAATGGTAGAGTGGGAAGTAGAGTGGGATGGGAACATGTTTAGTTGGAATGCCAGCCTCATCACACATGTAACTAACTTAATTTCTCCGAGATGCAACATCCTCATCTGCAAAATGAAGTTTATTTAATCCTATCTTATATCATATTATAAGGTTTAGAGGCAATGTATGTGAAATGCCTTCCAACCAAATAGGAAAGACTAGACATTTTTAGACCCCTGGGGAGCCTGTGGTTAGAATTCAGTGTTTGTAAATTGTCACAGAAAAAAAAATCTACATTTGCACTTTCACTAGTACCAACTAAAATTTAGCATTTCCTTCAATTGTAAATATAGACAATTGATAATAAAGTAATAAACAGTGATCTTCACAGTACCAATGTCTTTGTTACTAACAGAAATATTGCAGGTATTTTCATATTACATTAGAGATATTGCAGGTATATTGAAATATTTACTATCATCACTTTTAAAATTATGGTATGGATCTGCTGCCATATTTTGCTATTTAATGAAAAAAGAACATATTGCTCTATTAATACTTTTCTAAAATATTTGGATAAATATATTTGAATTGATTGATTATTGTATTGTATTGTATTCATTTGAAGACATTTACAAATATTTTTCTGAGAAAGGGTTCATGGGCATCTCAAGATTGACAAAGGGTTCCACGGCATAAAGAGGGTTGAAATCTTGAGTTCTAATTGCCTTTTCATAGTCTATGAAGTGGTGCTTAGAAATCTTAGTTACTAGCAGTTGATCGTTATAGACCCTGGCACCTGGCTGGAAGTGTAAATGGAAGAGCAGTAGGGAAATTTTATAGTACTAGGGAAGCTATGAATGTTTGATGTTAGAAATTTAAGATGAAGTTGGAGTTGTTTACTTCACACCTGTTCATATTATATCAGTGCCAAGAATCAGACAAACCTGCCAATTGTCAAACAGGTTTATCCCATATTAACGTGTTGCATCCTCAACTGCATTCAGCTGCTAACTCCATGAGTTCATGATTCAATAACATGAATCTTTTTTTTTGTCCTTACCCTGTGTGCCACGATTTTGAGTGGGGTCACAGATCATTATATCAGCTAACATTTGTCTCATCTCCCATTCCAAAAAACATAAACTACCTTAAATTAGGAAAATTGGTAGCGAATTGAGGCTCTCATTTTTCTAACAACATGAAGCTTACTGTAGTGAATAGACACATGGCCTCCAATATAGACAGCTTTGAGTATAACACTTTTTTTACTCTGGATGAGTGCGAAAGGAAGTTGCCTAATCCTCTGGATATCTGTTTATCCACTTGTAAAATAGGAATATCAATATCCCTTCCACAGGGTAGGCTAAATGTGGAATAGACAATACTGGTACCATCTCAACTGCAAAGTACAACCAATGGCATACTTTAAAACCCAATTATTCCATTTCTAGATCGTTCAATTCTTTTCCTATTCAAGTGTGTTTTATTTTCCGTAATTATTTCCTTCTGATTTCCTTATGGGTAACAACTGTACTAGGTTTTTCTTCAAACAGTATTGTGGAAAGCTAATGCATCTTAGTGTTATTAAGTTCTGTATTTACATTCTAGATCACTGCATACTAGTTTTGTGGCTTTGGGCTCTCACTTTCTTTAAACCTGTTTCTTTATGGTTTCAGTAATTCCTAAGTCACACGGTTGTTGTAAGGGTTAAGTCACATATATGAGGGTACCTGACACAGAGTAATTTTTAAAGGCTATTTTTTTTTTTTATTTCAGAGCAACATTTGTCAGTGGCCACTTATACATGTGGGAGAGGGAGAAATGGAGGGCAGATAATGACTGGTAATCTCAAGTGGTCTGATTGTTACTCCTGGTTGGCGTAGTTGGGAGTACTAGCTATTTCCTAATAAAACTATGAAGGGAGAAAAATTCCTCCAAACCATTGGGTTTAAGTGTGTTTGAAGTAAAGCAGTGGCAATTATTCATCTAGATTCTGTGTTCCTATTAAACACACCATCACAAAGCTGGACTCCATTCTTAGTATGACAAATGCAACCAAGTCCAAATCAGCTCTGCCAAATCTAAACAGGAGATGAGAATGATACTCAGAAGATTCACAGTACAAGTTTCACATGATCTCATCTGAGGTGTGTGATAGCCCTTGTGGGGTGAGCTTTATTATACGCATGCTATAGAAAGATAACTGATGCACAGAGAGGCTAAGTTATTAACCCAAGGTTACAAAACTAGTGAAACTAAACTGAAATTGTGTCTGCAGACACTAAAACCAATCTTCTTTCCATACTTTGTAGCAGTGGCTGAGCAGGAAGAATATGTCATGACCTCCTAGCATGCTATGAGAATTTTCTTATATTTATTTCAGAGATTTTTGTCTCTTTTTTTTTCCCTGTTCATTCTCTCTTATTACTTTTCTTACTGTTTGGGTTCAGTGGTTTACATGAGATCTTCAATGAAGTAGTCTTCACGTAGAAAAGTAACTGATCTAATGTCTTGTCTATTTCTGTGGGATCATCACTATTAACAATGAAGGCCTATTTCGCTATTAATTTTTAATATTTTGTACAGTCAGAAATAAGATTCAGCTTGGGAACAGTTTAGGACAGAATCCTCCCAGTGGAAGCAAACCCAAAGGCCTTTGCCCTAGTTTGCACCTGATTAACTACTCCAGTAATGGGCACAGAGTACAATTAAATTTAAGTACCTCCTCAGGTGCTTTGCAAAAATCGATTCTGGGGTAGTTAAACCCATCCACACAGGGAGGGGTAAATTGAACCACGTGAAAATAGCATCTTTTTTTATATAAAGTTCATCTGCCCCTGCTGTTTATTGCCCACCTGAAGTCATAAGCTTGTGCTTGTGACACCCCAAGTGTTTGCTGTATAAATTATGATTAATATGGAAAATAAGGAGTACAAGGTCCTTCCCCCAACAAAGGTGTTACTATCAACTGAGGAGGGGCTTCACAAAAGGAGGAGAGATAAGGCTGGGACTCAAATATTTTCTTAATGACATATTTCTACAGAGCAGACTCTGTACTTTAGGTTAAATGAAAAGCTTAAGACACTCCTGCTGTAAATCATTGGTAATTCCCTGGTGCCGCAGAAGAACCTCATGAAGAGGCAATCTGGCAATCAGCAACATCGTCTGACAATTTGCTAGAAGGAAACCTCATCTATTTAATTTTATTTTTTTAATCGCTTTCTCCACATGATGGTAATTTTAATAGACAGTGTGATTCAAAAGGTTTGCCTTGAGTCGCTAATTATTCCAATCCAGACTACTCTCTCCAAGGTCCAATTACAGCAATGCCCCAGAGAGTTAATGCCCATTTAAGCTCGTGGAGCAGTCAGTGCATCAACTCTGTTTTATCTTCAGTTTGTCAAGGCATGGTTATTTCACTGGATATTTTACCTGATGAGGCCATTATCTCCATTTGCTGGTCCAATTTATCCTGTAATATTCATTCATTCATTCACTAACTCATTCATTCATTCAAAAATATTGGTCAAATTCCTGCTGCATGTGAGGCATTGTGCTGGTCAATGTAGATGGAAATAAACATTCCTTACCCCGTAGAATTTGATTTCTAGTAGCAGGATGTTAAATGTAATCAATTATTACAGGTGATTTAAAGAAAGCTAATAGTGGGACACAAGAAGGAGTCAAACTGGTGAGGGAGTTCATTTCCAGAGGGCAAGGAAGAGTCAGAAAACGTGTCTTAGAGAAGGTCAATGAACTTCTAAAGCTGAACATTGAAGATAATAGTCTGTTCATGACTTAAATGGGCCAAAGGAGCAGATGTGCATATGAGAGCTTTTTTCTGGAATCAGAAGGGTGAAGGTGAGAATTCATTTATTAGAAAAATGGGGCTAGCTACATGGCTATAAACAATAAAGCTAATATTTATCAAGGACATATTGCATTTCAGAGACTATTCTAAGCACTTTATGTGTATTAATACATTTAAAATCCACATGCTCCTTCTGAGGGAGATAGAGTTATTATTCCTATTTTTATAATACACTGAAGGTTAGGACTTGCCCAAGATCAAACAGCTAGTAAGAAACAGAACTAGCATTCAAGTCAAGTCGTCTGATTTCACGGCAATATTCTTAGTCATCGTTCTGTGTGCTGAGGAAGAGGTTTACAATCCATTCCAAGAACTTTGACAGGATCTTTATTATGGGTTTAATCAGAAAGATACTACTGCGCAATTTTAATTTTAGGAAAAAACACAAATCAAAACACCAAGACTTCAGTATAGCACACAAAAAAATAGTGAAGAAAAAGTTATTTCAGTAATCCAAACAAGAGTGATGAGGTCTGGAATTGTAATGGTGGTAGTAACAATAGAGCAGAGCAGGTATCAGTGGTGTTAAAGGTGCTGGTTGAGGGTAGCTTGTATCGAACGAGGGCAAAGAAAAATGGAGGCTGACTTGTGAGTTGCTGGCATGGATCACTATGCATAAATAAATTCAGTATTTAATTTTCAATTGCAACAATTCTAGTCATTATAATATTTTCAGAATTGATGAGGCAGTAGTCCACACCTCATCTTACATTGCAACATAGAAATCTCAGTTTTTACCCATGGTGTAAGATTTAACTACTTTGCACATCTGGAGAAATCCATTCTTTATGCATTAGGTTTCTTTCAACACGCTGTGTGGAACAGACTTGTTTTGCCCCTATGATATATACAGAAAATAATTCTCTCTCATCAATCTCACAAACCTGCTCATCGTGCTTTCAGCTCTACAATGACCTTTTCTTATTGCCTGAGTAATGCCTGCCTAGCCCATTTTGTAACAAATACAGATTGCTTTCCTTCTCCTTCTGTCCTGTGATGGGCTGATTAATAGCAGCACAAGTGGCTGCTCCTTGAGATTAATTAATCACCTGTCATAATTGTTCAGCAGTTAAATAACTATTAATCTGGATGCTAGTCAGAGTGGAGGTTGACACGGTTAGGAAAGAGAGGAGAGTTCTCACCGTGAAATTAGGAGTAAGCTTTTGCTAAGATGCTGCTTCTGAAACTGAAATTGTGCTGTTTGGGGAAGTGTCTTTTAAGGGCTTTGTACATATGGAAGATGAAAGGACAGCAGGTCATTGCAGTTGCATGCTTATTTAACTATTAGAGTGTGTCCATTGGAATAGTGTTATAATTAGCATGATGTAAATAAGAGGCGGAGTTAATCTGAGAATTCTGGGTCTAGGGTTGTATCTGTAAAGGGAGGCAGCCCACAGGACACAGGAAGTATCAAAGGAAGGAGCTTCATTGAATGCATGGAGATTATGGAAAAAATAACAAAAATACCCTGACCTTCTCTCCATATAAAAGGGAAATATGAGGTGGGCAGATACATTTTCACATTAATTTTTGTTTTTCCTGTTCATCAATAACAATGGAGAATGTTTAGCAACAATCATTCAATCAGCTCAACACAAATTAGATTTACTTCTGGATTTCAAAGAGACTGCTGCTGCTGCTCATCCCTCAAGTGTGGGGCAGGTGAGGGAGCTGGGGGTATTGTTTGGAAAGACATGCTACAGAAACCATCTCAGATGCAGACCTGAGGGTGAGAGATCAACACCTTCCTTTCCATGATAAAGGAAGTGAAGGATTTATTTTTCTTAATAAGGATTTGGGAATAATGGGTCTGAGAGTAGGTATTCAACTCTGTTTGTAGTTGTTAATTTTAAGCTCTGGGGTATATGTGCAGGATGTGCAGGTTTCTTAAATAGGTAAATGTGTGCCATGGTGTTTTGCTGCCCCTATCAACCCATCACCTAGGTATTAAGCCCAGCATGCATTCTGTATTTTTCCCTATGCTCTCCATCCCCCCACCCCACCCTCCAACAGGCCCCAGTGTGTGTTGTTCCCTTCCCTGTGTCCATGTGTTCTCATTGTTCAGCTCCCACTTATAAGTGAGAACATGAGGTGTTTGGTTTTCTGTTCTTGTGTTAGTTTGCTGAGGATAATGGCTTCCAGCTCCATCCATGTTCCTGCAAATGACATGATCTCATTCCTTTTTATGGCTGCATAGTGTTCTGTGGTATATAGGTACCACATTTTCTTTATCCAGTCTATCATTGATGGGCATTTGGGTTGATTCCATGTCATTGCTATTGTGAATAGTGCTGCAATGAACATACATGTTAATGGATCTTTTAGTGGAATATTTATATTCCTTTAGGTATATACCCAGTAATGGGATTGCTGGGTCAAATGGTATTTCTGGTTCTAGATCTTTGAGGAATGGCCCCACCATCTTCCACAATGGTTGAGCTAATTTACATTCCCACCAACAGTGTAAAAACATTTTTATTTCTCTGCAAACTTGCCAGCACCCGTTGTTTCTTGACTTTTTAACAATCATCATTCTGACTGACATGAGATGGTTCTCCAGGTTTTGATTTGCATTTATCTAATGATCAGTGATGCTGAGCTTTTTTCATATGTTTGTGGGCCACATGAATGTTTTCTTTTGCTATCTGCTTGGGAATATATTTTACAGGACAAAGTAAGAGACTTGGAAGAAATTCTTCCTTGACATTTATTCTAGGGGAGAACCTTCTGCATATCCTCTGCACTGATCAGTTTTCCAGGTTATACTCATCTGTTGAGTAGTCACGGGGCATATCCAACACTATCAGAATGTTCCTTCTACCCAATCAAGTTTCTATGAAACATTTACCCATTGCACCAAGGTTTATCCCTGTGATCCTCAAATATACTGGCCTCTCATTTTCTTCTTCTATTTTCCCTTCTTTGTCTTCATTGTAACAGTAATATGAACAATCCATTAGGACTAGATTAACCACTTTTTCTGCCATAAGTTCATTTAAACCCCAAAGCTTCAAGGTTTAAAGAAGATCATTCAAGAAACAGGCTGAAGGAAAGGGAGGTAGATCAGCATATTAAGGACAATATACAATAGAAGGTGAGAGCATGGGTTCTCAAAATAAGGCTATCTGAGTTAAAGTTCTGACTCTGTCTCTTTCTAGCCTAATTGCTTTGGTAGTTACTAAACCTCCAGTTGCCTCTACTACTTCATTCGTAAAGTGAGGATAAAATATCTATTTCATAGGGCTGTCCTGAGTATTCAGCTTATAAAAGATTTAACATTGTTACTAAGCTCATAGTATTTACTTAATAAACGTTAAGGACCAGAATTTAAGGGACCAGAATAGTTTAAGCATAGAACTTTGCCACACATCACTAGAAACCACACTCTAGTTTGAGAGCAATTAGTAACATTTACCCTTTGCATTGCATACAAAGGCCCTCCATCATCTAGCTCTTACATGGTTTGGCTCTGTGACCCCACCCTAATCTCATCTCAAATTGTAATCTCCATGTGTCCAGGGAAGAACCTGGTGGGAGGTGACTGGATCATGGGGGTGGTTTCCCCAAGGCTGTTTTTGTGATAGTGAGTGAGTTCTAATGAGATCTGATGCTTTAAACGTGTTCGGCAGTTTCTCCTGTTCTCTCTCTCTCTCTATCCCTGCCACCATGTAAGACATGCCTTGTTTCCCCTTCACCTTCTGCCATAATTGTAAGTTTCCTGAGGCCTCCCCAGCCATGTGAAACTGTGCATCAGTTAAACCTCCTTTCTTTGTAAATTACCCAGTCTCATATGTTTCTTTATAGTAGCGTGAAAACAGACTAACACAAGCTTTGACCCCAAAACCATTCTATACCCTAGCCCTATTGAGTTAATATATAGAATTCTCTACATTTATTTGTTATACACTGAATTCTGTCTCCCCAAAATTCGTATGTTGAAATCCTAATGCTCAGTACCTCAGAAAGTGACTTACTAGTAGATAGGGTCTATACAGATGTAATTAAGTAAAAATGAATTCATTAGGGTGGGCCCTAATCCAACATGACTGGTATACAATTGAATATAGACACAGGGAGAATATCATGTGAGGATGAAGACAGAGATGGTGGTGGTGCTTGAACAAGCCAAGAAATGCCAAAGATTGACAGCAAACCAACAGAAGCCTGGGGAGAGATATGGAAGAGATTCTTCCCAGCAGCCCTCCAAAAGAACCAGCCCTGAGAACAATTTGATCTCAGACCTGTAGCCTCCAGAACTGTCAGAAAATAAATTACTGTTGTTCTAAGTCACCTAGTTTGTGGTATTTTGTTATGGCAGCCCTGGAGCACTAATACAATACTGTATTATATTTTTTCTACCTATTCTTACCTCTTTCTCAAATACAATTCTTTTTTTTCTATATGCAGAAAAAAAATGTGGGTTTCTTTTCTTCCAAATGTATCTCAGGTAGGACTGTTTAGCTTTCTTACATACCGTATAGCAAAGTCAAGACTCAGGTGAGAGGATACAGGAAACTTAGAACATATTGCAAGTATGTAGCTCTTCCTCTTTTAATATATTAACATTTATTATTTAAGAGCATTGGCTTATTGTAAGGCCATGGGTTCTTGGTGCTTTTACACTTAGTTTCTTCCCCTCTCTGCTTTATTTTACCCTGATCCCAAATTTTTTATGCTACACAAAGTTTGGTCATTTACAGACTCCCAAAGGCCAGCTGCTAGGTACATAAAAAAGGTAAGCTAAGTCTGCCACTATGTGGCTATTTGTTTATCTAAGAGCCAGCCAGGTTGAAATCCATTTTAATTATGACAGATGTCTAGTCAACATATTTAAGCTTGTTAGGGAACTACAGATATAAGCAATACATCTTTCAGCAATGCCTCAGTTATACTGAACCAAGCATTTATGAGGCTTGACCTATAAATTACATGTTCAAGAACACCAGAATTTAACAAAAGAATATATTATGATTAATGGTCTGGTACCAGCGGAATTAATGATTTTCTACTAGAAAATACTACACTCATGAGTCTTGGTCTTGAATGTACGAGAGATTTCATTAAACCATTTACCTCTAATAGATTGTTTTTTTTATACACAAGTCTAGATATTTCTAATATGTGAGTTGAACCTGAATACAGAAAAACCTAAATGCCCCCAATATGCTTTAATAGATACTCAATAGGGAAGACTGACATTTTTCCATGTCCCCAGTTGCTGTCAAGATAAAACCAAAATTCCTTCTAGGTTTTGAAAACTTATTCAGTTGAATGAGTATGCCCTTCTGTTTCCCCTTCCTCTTTCTCCATAGTTGTTGCCCTCCTGCCTTGGAATACACCCCCTCTCCTTATTTGCTAGTGCTCCTCAGTTCATAAGTTATCTCTTCCAGGGAACTAGTGCTGATTACACTGTTAGTCAGTATGCTGTTTCTCTTTTGTTCTGATCATCACTCTATGCTAAATACCCAACATAGTAACTTACACAGGGTGGCCTTTTCGCATATGGGTGAATGAGGTGAGTGAATAAAAGAGTAAATTACTGGGAAGATGAATATAAAATTGTGAATAGATAATTTCCCTAAAATAAATATCTGTGTTTGTGTTTATTATATTAAGCTATGGTGGTATTAATAGGCCATCAGAACGTAGCCCTGTACTATGCATACAAAAAGTTTTGTCTCAGCTGTAGGGAAAACTTGTGCTGAGAGCCAAATCTTTGAGCAAGTAGTGGTCTTCATGACTACGAAGAGCAGGAGAGCCTGGGTAGAATAAAACTTGAATCTCTCTCTGTCTCCATTTCTCTCTCTCTTGCTCTTTCCCTTTCCGAGTCAAGACTGTGAAAGAACCAAAAACACTCATCAGAATTATTGGGGGTGTAGTCCATGCTGGTTAGTGCCAACATATCACTATTCCTGAGAAATAATCTCATGCTAGGAAGTGAGGGACCTGAAAGGAAACCTATCCTTTCCCCTTGGAGTTCATGCACAATATGAACATGGCCATGTACTTGTTCATGGGCATTGGAAGCAATCTGAGATATAATAGGAAATACAATTAGATACTTGCATGATCAACTATTATTGTCTATTCACTTTTGTTTATTTCTATTTTTATTCCTAAGTTTTTGTTTGTTTGTTTGTTTTTGAGACGGAGTCTTACTTTGTCACCCAGGCCGGAATGCAGTGGTGTGATCTCGGCTCACTGGAACTTCTGCCTCCTGGGTTCAAGCGATTCTCCTGTCTCAGCCTCCTGAGTAGCTGGGATTATAGGCATACACCACCATGCCTGGCTAATTTTTGTATTTTTTTTTTTGGTAGACACAGGGTTTCCACATGTTGGCCAGGCTGGTCTTGAACCCCTGACCTCAGGTGATCTGCCCACTTCGGCCTCCCAAAGTGCTAAGATTACAGATATGAGCCACCACGCCCAATCTATTCCTAAGTTTTTAGTAACATTTTGCAAAGTACAGACTATCTCACCTATGCAGGGGGATCTAAAATGAAACTCTTTCCAATAGAACTCCAAGATGGGAAGGCTTAGCTCCTGTGATAAATGAGAAGATGCCAAGACTTGGATAAACTTCCTGAGAACAGAAATAGATAGTTCTGGTTTAGCTGACCTTCTTCAATGGAGGTCACTACTTTCAAAGCCATGTATCTGGGTTTCATATCTTAAGAGAAGTATCTACTGACAAATACCTCCAGGGTTATCACTGACACAGCACCTGGAATAATGTAGGCACTCATCAATATATGTGAGTGGTAGCTGTGGTTGTGAAAATCTGGAGAATTTTCCAGACACTAACAAAAATGCCTAAACACTACTACTTTAAACAACTGAAACTGACACCCCCCTTAAGATGTTAAAGACAAAAAGAAAAAGAAATGCAAATCAGAAAAGCAGTGTTAAAGAGTTTGACCCCAATATTTTTCATTTTACTATACTTAATAACAATATTTCTAGGCCTCCATTTAATTAAATAGGGGAAGTAAAATTTATTATTCCTATGTTAAAGTTTATTGTAAGAATTAAATGAGATAAATTAGCACCCTAAGCTGACAATAAACCTAATTGTTATTGGAGCAGAGATGTCTAACTGACCAAAGATTCATGATACTTTTCTATAGTGTGGCTATATTGTGGGATTTAACTGCTCAAATAAGAGCTGACGCCCCTTCCCTCAAGGTGGGATCAAATGAATATTACAATTTCTTTTCAGCAGGATATGAGTGTAAGTGATATGTGTTACATCTAGGCTTAGCTGTTTAAGAAACACACATGATTTCCTCTCAATCTCATCTCTTTCTCTCTGTCAACCTAAAGTCAATGTCACTGCCAATTTTCAAATCTATTATCTTCAAAGGTGGACAGTAGAGCCACCGTCTTTCTTGATCACTGAATGATTACATGAAGCAGAGCCCTATTGCTTTGTAAAAAATTTCAACTAGATAAGAAAAAAATGTTTATTGTGTTAAGCCTCTGGATTTAGAAATTATCATATCAGTTTTCATTACTCCTAATAGCCTAACTATAATTTGAGGAAGAATGCTGCCTCAACAATAGCCTAATATACATGTTATTGGCTTAGCAGCTAGACAGTAGACGTCAAGGAAGCAGATAGAGCATTTTGGAAAGCTTTAGAGTTCTGTTTTACTGTAGCAAAATATTGGGTGAAATAACATGTCTACTGGTTCTATGGCTCTAGGGTAAATAGATTAAGCCAAAATGTTAGAGGCTACTACTGGCTTCTCCTAGTATTTTAAAAAAGAAATAAACTCAAGCAAAGATTGGAATATTTTCAAGTTGAGACAAAAGAAAATTGAGAAAGTCTAGAGATCAAGGGCATTGGAAAAGTTTGCTGCTTCTGGACCCTCAAATAGCAACATACTTGAAAGACTGACAAATACCCACTATATTCAAAGTGTCTCAGTTTGTTGCAAAAGCTATGTTAAGTGTGGTACATTCCACTTTAGTCCATCTGACTAAATTCCAATTTAGTCAGATTACTTCCAGATAGGTACCATTAAGTTTAAAGAGAAAGATACGGGAATTAAAAAGTCAAGAAATAAAGCAGATTCGAGAAACGTATCTAGGAAACAATTTTTTTTTATTTTTTTTTATTTTTGAGACAGAGTTTCCCTCTGTGGCCCAGGCTGGAGTGCAGTGGGGTGATCTCGGCTCACTGCAAGCTCCGCCTCCCGAGTTCACGCCATTCTCTTGCCTCAGCCTCCCGAGTAGCTGGGACTACAGGCGCCGGCTGCCACGCCCGGCTAATTTTTTGTATTTTTAGTACAGACGGGGTTTCACCATGTTAGCCAGGATGGTCTCGATCTCCTGACCTCGTTATCCGCCCTCCTCGGCCTCCCAAAGTGCTGGGATTACAGGTGTGAGCCACCACGCCTGGCCTAGGAAACTGTTTTTAATGTGATTACTGGCTTCACGGAGTTGACTATAAGCACGTAGTTGAAAGTGTTAAATTTTGGAGAGAATTGTATTGCTAAGGAAACCATAGTTCAGATTTAAAATGTCTCTGTCATTCAATTCCTAAAATAACCCCTGAACCTCTAAATTTGCGTGGGCATAGGGTCTGAGAAAATTTCAGACATTCCATGGAAGATAATGGAAGATGAAGACACTTGGAGACAGTGAATCAGAGAACTAGGAACAATGTGTAAAGGAACGTTTCCCAGAGAACAGTATCGCTATCTAATCAAGAAATGTTCCCCACCACAGGACAAGGCTTCCTTACAGTGCCAGTTCTAAAGAATCCTGTTATTCTATAGACTAATGAATTTTTATGTGCCTTGAACTTGTTATGTGTCTATTCCTCTTTTATTTTCCAAATGGGAGTTTTCAATTTAGTTATCCTGTCCCTGTTTTCTGCATCGTACATTGGATAATGAATAAATAGCCAATTTGTCTTTACATTTATAGTTTAGCAAATGACAAAGAGCTATATCTGACTTAATGAAGAGGACTGTGATCACCCAGAGGTTCAGTCTTTCAGATGAGTCTCAAATCTCATTAGATATTTCCTCCTTTTGAGGGGCAGGGGACTAACATGGCAATTTATATGTCCTATACTTGGGAAGAAGGGTGCATTGGGCAGTTGATGGCCAGGGAGGCAGACCTTAATAAAGGTACCAAGCTGTCTACCAAAGATCTGAGTCCCCTGCCATAGAGTACAGATTTTTTATGAGAAGCAGCTGTCCAGTTTAGAACTGTATCTTTCAGAAGATCCTTGCATTAACACAGAGCCATGAACTACTTTTCACTAAGAAACTAAAAACAGAAGTGATGTGTGTCAATTCTGGTCCAAGGTGATTAAGAAGTATGTGTGTGCCTTCTGTTCTTCTCTTATCTTGAAATGTCACATGGTAAAGAGGGCAGATGCTGAAGCTATAGAGGTTTTATGAATAAAAATTAATTCACGAATTCTATAATCTAGAAGAGGAGGCAGAACAAGACAACAAAAATTACAATAGAACACAAGGTTTGGAACAAAATACTGTGTAATATGAGAGAAATTTTTACAAGAGCCTATGGCATCAAAGAAAAACACTTCAACCCACCAGAAGTACTTGGGACTATCATGATTGATGTATCTCTATAAAAAATGATTATCTTGTTACTTTATTTCTCTTCAGTAATTGTTGATTTTTAAAAATATATTTTGATCAGCTTTGTCAGGCTGTCTGGAAATGCCAGCTCAAAGACTAGGAGAAACAGAAAACAGTAAATATTTCAGAAAAGAGACGTAAAGGTTGAGGCAGCTAAGTTTGATAGTGGTGCTAGTAGAAACAGCTGTAACAGTATAAACAGCTATATCATGAAAAAATATTTAGTGAAGGATACTAACAGCTTAGATATTAAAGGTAAGGCCTTATTTTTACTGAGATGTAAAAAAAGTGGGATGGAGAGACGCCTATGATATAAGTTTTCTACAAAAAAAAAAAAATAGGAGGTAGAATACACCATGAATCATCTTCAGTCTTCTAATAGGTGTTTTGGAGTGGAAAGAGCACAGGGTTTGAAGCCAAATAGACCTGAGTTTTGGTCCCCTATCTGACAGTTTTATAGCTCTTGCAAAGTAACTTTTTTTTTTTTTTCGGTCTCTGTTTCTTTGGATTTAAAATGAGGGTAATAGCTTCCTCACAGTGGTATGACAATGTTCATGTTTATAGTGGTGTTAGTGTCAAGGACATAGTATGTACTCAATAAAAGGTAACTGTACTGCCTTGATACACAAATAGTTCCTTGTTCAGGGAGGTTAGGCTAATTTATGAAACATGATAGAGGACATCCTAATCACACATTTTTATTTTTACCTAAAGCTTATTCAGGTGAAATGTATTCCTTATATATTTTTTCCAATGCTTTTAGGTATCTTAGATATATATTATCTAAGTACTGCATATTTATAGAATAAATACCTCCCAATTTTATTGGTTATGTAACAATAATTTAGCAGCTGTACTTCAACAGAAGTATTTTAGACATAGATCTTTGATGCTAAAGACCCATTTTCCCTTGGTGGAGGGCACTCTGCCATAAAATTGCTACTTTCCTTAAAGTGCCATCCTTGTATATTTTACAAAAGGACTAGGAAAACACATACACAATTTAGATTTAGTGCATGGACCTCCAATTTGCCCCAGAAATCTGTTTGGTTTTGTTTCTTTTTTTCTCATCCTATGTCTCTGCTTCATGGGATATTGATTGACCAAAAATGCACGCCACATTATAGAAAGGAAGATTAAAAAAAATGACAACAGTGTATGCTTATTTTGTCTCCTAGGAATAAGGAAAATTTTTGAAGAATCCTTTAATTATTTAAATAAATGTGAAAATTTCTATTCTTGTTGGCAGTTTGCTTTGTTGCCACCAACACTGTGTTCACCTCTGTCCCCTCTCTGTCCATTGTGAAACTGTAAGGGAAGTTCACAGACAGAGGATGGTTGGGTAAACACATTTCTCAAGCTGTCATTGAGAGGTGATAATTTCAGAAGGCATTTTCATTGAACAAACTCCGTCTTGGGTTATTTTTGCAATATAAAGACTCTTCTCAGTCTTTGAATTCTTGAGAACTGCTTTGTATTCTCTCACGTGGAGAGAACCCAGAGCTGTGGTTCATCTGCCCAGAAGCTGATGACCACAGGTCTTTTGCCTGGCTCTGAAGACGCAGATTCAGTTTTCCTAGGGTCTTTTCAGGTTCTATCACTTGCAACCCCTTTAGTCCAAACACATTTGGTTCTTCCTAGTTTTCATGTATGCCTATTTCCTTAATTTGCATAATTTAACCAAAGACAATTCAGAACTGTCCTGGGCAGTTCGGGAAAATTTTGACATGAGTGACATTATTCTTTTGAGAAAAACTTCAGGATAAAAAAGAAAAATTTAAAGGTTTTGAGATGATACACTGTCCTATTGCCAAAACGATAGATCACTTTAAGTTTTTGAGATTACTCTTTTTATTTTCCATATGTTAGGAATTAATAAGGGCCATCTTATTAATTGTAGGACTTGATGGAATAGTCAAGAGCCCAAATTATTATTAAGACCAGCTATAAAAAGTCTCTTTTGATTATATGGGATAAGATATGTTTTTCTACATATAAGTCTTCTCTTTCTCTGAAGAGGGAGATAATTAACCTTTTAGGATGTTAATTTTTTTTTATCAGAAAATGGTAATGCAGAAGAAAATATTTAACTACGAGTTTAGGTAATGACCTTTGTTCTTAACTACTGAATAAAAAAACTAGACACTTAGAGTTTTAGATATTAATTCAAGACTCTTTAAAAATCTGGTTTATAAATATAGAAATTTATACATTATATTAAAAGAGTTCATATTAATTTCCTGATGCTAATTAAATCTGTGAATCAATTGGGATGATTTAATTTAGTTAAGAAACCAACATAAAAAATTAGGTTTGCAGAGTATTTTAGTTAATACATTACTTAAGTTTAATTTTTCATGACTTAAAGGTAGTAATTGATATAAGTAGTTAAACCAAAACTCTATAGAATAGTCCCTAAATATACAAGATTTTGACTATTACGAGCCTAATATTTTATCAAGAGAATGGTTATTAAAATGGTAAATTCAATATAACATATACACTGTTTTCTTTGGTGTGCTGATAAAGTTAATTATGTTCTAAGACTAAAGTTAAAAGCTTTAAATATATCATATATTTATGTGTATGTGTATATATACTTATTTAATAATTAGGGTATATTCTGAGAAATGGGTCCTTGGGTGATTTTGTAGTTGTGTGAACATCATAAAGTGTGCTTACACAAACCTAGGTGGTATAGCCTACTACACAGTAGGTATAGCCTACTAAGCTATATGGAATAGCTTATTGCTTGTAGGCTATAAACCTGAACAATATGTCACTATACTGAATACTATAGTCAATTGTAACACAATGATAAATATTAGTCTATCTAAACATAGGAAAAGGTAAAGTAAAAATATGGTATTATAATCTTTTTTTTTTTTGAGATGGAGTCTCGCTCTGTCCCCCAGGCTGGAGTGCAGTGGCACGATCTCGGCTCACCGCAAGCTCCACCCCCCAGGTTCACACCATTCTCCTCCCTCAGCCTCCCAAGTAGCTGGGACTACAGGCGCCCGCCACCACGCCTGGCTAATTTTTTTTTATTTTTAGTAGAGACAGGGTTTCACAGTGTTTGCCAGGATGGTCTTGATCTCCTGACCTCGTGATCCACCCACCTCAGCCTCCCAAAGTGCTGGGATTACAGGTGTGAGCCACCGTGCCCGGCCTAAAATATGGTATATGGTATTATAATCTTATGGTACCACCATTGTACATGTGGTCTGTTGTTGACCAAAATGTTGTCATGTGGTGCGTGACTGTGTGTATGTATATATATGTTGCATATTTGTTTGGGCTTATATGTATCTGTGTACTGGTCTTCTCAGACTAT
This sequence comes from Homo sapiens, assembly GCF_000001405.40. NCBI lineage: Eukaryota > Metazoa > Chordata > Mammalia > Primates > Hominidae > Homo > Homo sapiens. Next base: position 81,315,219 of record NC_000011.10, read on the forward strand.
CATGACAAAATACCAAATACTGGCAGCTTAAGCAATAGACTTTGTTTCCTCATAGACCTGGAGGCTGGAAAATCCAAGACTGAGGTTCTGGCAGTGTTTGGTTTCTGGTGAGGACTTTCCTTCTGGCTTGCTGACAGCCACCTTCTCACTGTGTTGTTACACGGCAGAGAGAGAGAGACTGAGTGAGCACGTTGCCTGCTGTTTCGTCTTATAAGGGCAGTGATTCCCCATCATGAAGTCTTCACCCTCATGACCTCATCTAAACCTAATTATCTCCTAAAAGGACTATCTTCAAATACCACCACCTTGAGAGTTAGGGCTTTAACATGAATTTTTGGAGGACCCAATTTGGTCCACAGCAATTCCTGTTTAAGAGAAAAAAAGTAAAAGAGAGAGAGAACTCTTTGATTTCTTATAAGGAGGACACTGATACTATTGGATTAAGACCTTATGTTTATGACCTCATTTAACCTTAGTTACTTCCTTACTTCAAATACAGGCACATTGGGACTTACGGTTTCAATATATGAATTTAGGGAGTGGGGAGACAATTCAGTGCATAACAAATTGAATATATGCATATAAAGATATATTAGTATACATTAGTTCAAGGTGTGCATACGTTGTCATAAATTGTTTAAAAAAATCAAAATGGAGTAAAATTAGTTTTTTTCTGTATAATGACTAAATCACTCTGTGATTAGGTATCAGTATATAACAACACTTTGTTGTGCTATATTTCTTTACTTTTGTCATAATCCTGAACCATTCTAACAAAAAATTATTTTGGAAAAAAATGTATTTCTAATGATCATCATTTCTCAATGCTGTATAGTTTCAAACTATTGCCTTTGTTATATTTTGCCTTTAGATAAAAATGACATATTTATACCTTATCTTCTTTGGCACATTCCCTATTCAAACACTAAATGCAGAAAAATAGAATATTTAAGTTTTTTATGCCTAAACTATATTTGCTAACACAAAGGCTTATTTTTTACTTTGTAAAATAAATTATAGTAATTAGGTTTTTTTTGGAATTCTCTAAATTTTAATGAACTAAAAATTATCACGAGCTCTTTTTATATACCGTTAGAATAAAGCAATATCTGACAAATCAAAAGAGAAATTCGATCTTCCTAGGTTAATTATATATAAGTAAACTATGTTAATATAAATAAAATTCAATAATTATTTCTTATATTAAAAGAAATATAATTATGTTCAATATGCTATACCACACAATAATTGTTTCCAAATTGATTATTTTTTAGGTTCTATAATACCTGTCAGTCAGGACAACCAGAATATGTTATGATATAAATCAAAAGTCTGTGGAGGTTTGCAATCTATTACTGTTGGTAATATACCTGTCTCTCAGTAATCATTAACTGAATCCTTATTAAGTTACCTGATATCACAAGAGAGGACAGTCCTCTCTTCCATTCTAATAATGCCAGTTAATGTAATAGATTAGCAAAAGCTGTTTTAACACCATAACAGAGATAAATTAGACATGTTTTTTAATAAAATAAATTGTATTGTGTATCTTTAAGCTATACAAATTGATGTTACAGGATATATATACATAATAAGGTGGTTATTATAGTGAAACAAGTTAACATATCAATAATCTAGTAATGATCTTAAATCAATTTATAGGGAAACTTCAAATATTTGGGCCAAGAAGGGGACTAATATATGTCTACTTACCAATAACACAATATTGACCAAACTTTAAAGATGAGAATGGGACTGGAGCCAAAATCTTCATATCCTTTTTATTTCCTCCAAATGGATTTTACATAATTACCCTAAAATGGGCTATGGAATTGTCCAGGTTATTGTACGTTTATTTTCAGGGTAGAGCAAAGCTTTTCCTTATTGGAAAGCCACAGCTTTAACAGAAAAAGAATTGCCTGACATTTTTTTTTTCTACTTGGCTCAAACTATCTGTTTAATGATGGAAATACATTACTGAAGTTGTTGTTAAAATATTTCCTCTTATTTAAAACTCCACTGCCCATATCACATTCATATTAAGGTAAGGTAGAAGGACAATATTAATTCTGAAATTTAAATTAACTGGTATACACCTAAAATAACTGAAATAGGTATACATACTTGTACACAAATGTTCATAACAGCAGTATTCACAACAATCCAAAGGACCCAAATATCCGTCAATGGATGATGTATGAATGAAATGCCATGCGTTATTACAATGGAATGTTATTCAGCCTTAAAAAGGATGAAGCACTGACACACGCTACCACATGGATGAACCTTAAAAATGTTATGCAATGCTGGGTGCGGTGGCTCATGCCCGTAATCCCAGCACTTTGGAAGTGCGAGGCAGGAGATTGAGACCATCCTGGTTAACACAGTGAAACCCCGTCTCTACTAAAAATGCAAAAAATTAGCCAGGCATGGTGGTGGGCACCTGTAGTTCCATCTACTCGGGAGGCTGAGGCAGGAGAATCGTTTGAACCCGGGAAGTGGAGGTTGCAGTGAGCCGAGATCGCACCACTACACACCAGCCTGGCGACAGAATGAGACACCATCTCAAAAAAAAAAAAAAACTTATGCAAAATGAAAGAAGCTGGTCACCAAAGGTCACGTTTTGTGATTCTATTTACATAAAATATCTAGAATGAGTTAATCCATAGCAAAAAAAAAAAAAAAAAAAAGCATGTTAGTGGTAGCTAGGGACTGGGGATGGGGAGTGAGCATCGGGGATAACTGCTTTATGAGAGCGAGGTCCCTCTGGGGGATAATGAAAATGTTCTGAAATTAGATCAAGGCGATTATTTTATAATACAACATTGTGGATGTATCAAATACCATTAATTGTAAACTTTAAAATGGTTAATTTTATGTTATGTGAATTTTGTCTCCAAAGAAACAACAGCAATGAAAACCTAGCAACTTGTATTAGTCAAATTTTCAGAAACCCCTGAACTTTCATGGCCTAAAGTATTGCCTCTGGCCCTAATGACAGTGAGGCCAACTCTTTTGATAGCATCTCTGCTCTCTCTCTCTGCGAACTAAGATTCCTAGCTACCAGGAGATATTTTCAGCATTCCTAGACACTGACTTATTATATGGTGATATAAGTAATTATTACAAAGGAGTCATAATATACTCAGTCTTTTTACCAACACATACAATCAGCTTTTCCTAAAGAGCTTCCCCTCAAAATTCCTTCATTATTTTAAACCTAGAGACTTCATCTGTTGGAAGAGATCTCAGAGAAAGGTAGCCTGAAGTTTTAATGAAGAGAGCCTTATCAGGTAGTATTGGAACCCCAGAGTGCTTATTCTTGGATCTGTGTCTTGATTAAAGACATACAGCCATCATTTAATCACCTAAAACTTTTTAAACTGGCAAACTCAAACCAAGAACTCTTAGGGATTCTTAACTCCATTAAGTACACAGCTTTATGTATGCCAATTCTAATTATTATCATATAAACTTTTCTTATTTCCAACAACGAGCCCTTTCAAAAGATCCATCATAAGCAATTCAAGACCATATTCAAAAACCATGTAAATATCTTTTCCAAAGTCCCCTTTGTCAGACAGTACAAAGACCCTGTCCAAGTAGGATTCTTCCTTGCTACAGAAGGTTTAAAATAACGCAGCTTCACTTGATGAGCAGGTTCCTCTGGTGAGTTTATTTTATCATAGCCTACTAACTATGCAATATATACTCTTAAATAACTAGTAGATAACATACATTTAACATGACTAAAACAAAATTCTGTTTCGTATCCCCCTGTTTTTCTCCACATCCCCATTTCCTATGTGAGTAAAGAGCTACTCCATTCTTATTATTCAGGCAGGCACCAAATCATTCTTGATTTATTTCTGTTATAATCTATAGCCAAATAATCTATAAATCCTCTCAGCTCTTACTGGAACATATGCAGTATTGTGAATGAATCTGACCACTTCTTCCCAGCTCTGTCGTCAACATGCTACTCTAAGCCATCTCTTACTTGGACTATTGCAGTACCTCTTACTGGATCTCCCTGTCTTTGCCTTTGCCCCATCCCTGCTCCTCCCCATCTATTCAGAGATCTCCTGTCAGAGCATGTCAAGCCTCTGGTCAAAACTCTTCAATGACTTCCCAGGTCATTTAGAGTAACAGCCTAATCCCTAAGAGTAGCTTGTATTATCTGCCCCTCCTTTTTAACTCTCAGTTCTTACTTTCTACAGCCCTCCTCCTTGCAGTTGCTTCAGTACAACAGGCCTACTACTGGTTGAACAATTCATTCTTCCAGTTCCCAATATCTAAATTGTGGTTTCCCCCACCCCCAAATATCTGTATGGTTTCTGCACCTCCTTCAGACCTTTACTCAAATGCTGCCTATTCATTAAGATTTCAATTCCTATCCCATCCAAAACTACTAGGGACAAGAGATTCACCTTCGCCTCCAACTCACCATATTTACTTTGACTCTTAGACTGCTTCGTATTTCTCTTTAGCATATATAATTATATAACATTCTTTTTTGAATATATGATAGCAGAAATTTTGTTTCTATTTTTAATTTTTCTTATTCTACTCTGTCTCCAACACATAGAGCAGTGTTTTAATAAACAGCAGGCACTGCTTCTTAATAAATCTATACATACACTTATGTTAACCTTTATTATAAATCATAGCGGGCAGACCGCGGGCTTGTCTCTTCAACTTGTGGATTCTGATCTGAGACTGTCTGCTGCCGGCACTGTTTAACAGAACACCTCTTGATTTTGTTTAACAAAGTAATATTGGCTCATCTTCAAATTTATTTTCATTCTCAAAATACCACAATTCTGATCCTGTCTTTGTTTCACCATCCCAGTGTTAGTGATTATAACTCAAATATACCCAGTGAGGCTATATAACCTCACACACTAGCCTGTGTACTATCTAGGTGATATTAATTGCATATGGCCTTGTAATGAACTCAGCTTATTTTTCTTACTTGGCCATTCCAATCCTACCCCTTCGAATTTGAACCTATTCCCCCCAGCTGACTAGCAATCTGGATGCCTGATTCTTTAGTATGAAGTAGGTGCTCAAAAATATTTGAAAATCTTCAGATAAAACATGACAATTATCTGCCTTTCCTCTTGCAGATGCAAGACCTAAATTATTACTATGGAAGCACTTAGCCTGATTTCTCTAGCTCACTGCCTAATACATAAATAGGTCACGAAATATACAGAGCCTTTATATTTTCTAAATAAAGCATTAAAAATGCAATATTTTAATATAATCAGTGTCTTCGTCTCCCATCAGGTACATTTTATAAGACTGGGATATCCTGCTATCCGTCATAACTATCATCATGTCTTAGCTAAAGAGAAGTGTGTCTCATACAAGGCAAAATGTAACAACATTCTCATCTCTTAGATCTCATTGTTACTCTGATTTTCTTGCTGTTATGTGATACCCAGATGAGTCGTTTCACCTTTGTACCTTCATTCTACTTTAAATGTTTTCAGACTAAAGTTTTTCTTTGCATTGTCTGCTTGGTTTTCAGCATCACTCTATACATGTAGAGACACAGCTTGTTGTGCTGCTTCTCAGCCCAGCACTCCAGGCTCTCCTTTGTTCGGAAAGGGGTTCAGAGAAGTATTGTGGGTTCTTTGTTGAGGCAAACTGAAATTATGCTTATGGGAAGCATTCACCATGATATTGTAAACTGAGGGTATAAAGGCTATATCCTAGGGGACAAGTTAACTCCACACAATAAATTTTAAAAATCTTATTTTCTACCAAAATGATGCTCCTGAACTTTCCAGATGTTTTATATAATATTATCACTCAGAATGGTATTCTGACCAATCATGATATAAATAGGGGCTCCCATAGACCATCTAATATAAAAGACATTGACTTTGTAATAGGATACAAATATTTCCTGCTTTCCTTATTATTGTAAATATATCTGTTCTTCAGTGGAAGAGGAAAGGACTTCTGGATAATTTTTATAATAATTGATTCTAACTCCTCCTCACCTCATACAGCTTAGGAGTGTGACCATATAGAGCCATAAAAACACTCAGAATTTACAAGACTATATGATTCTATTCCATGCAGCAGACTCAAAAAGAAAGCTCCCATGGCCCAAAAGCAGCACAATAATGACAGTCCACAGAATATCATGGGTTACTAATGAAACCAGAAGTAGCCTGTTGTCTGAAAATTATTCATTAAGTATTCCATCATTTGTCCTCTGATACATAATGTGAGTAAACAAACAAACAAATAGACATTTCCAAAAGTTTGTTTTTTTCTAGGCGATTTCCGGGGCTAAGTCTGTACCAGTGGACTGATGTGTCCTGTTAGCCTTCCTCCCAAGGAACCCAAATGGCAGAGGGATTTCCCTGTTGAATAGCAAATACATATAGTGTTACTTAAACAATTGTGTTCCAGGAGATGGGATGGAAAACTATGTTCTCACACGTAGAGGTCTTTTGTGTTGTTGTTTTTGTTTTGTTTTGTTCTTTGTTTTTTGAGAAATAGGGTCTCACTCTGTTCCCAGGCTGGAGTACAGTAGTGACGCTATCAAAGCTTGCTGCAACCTCAGCCTCCTGGGTTCAGGCAATCCTCCCACCTCAGTCTCTTGAGTAGCGAGGACTGTATGTTTGCATCACCACACCCAGCCATTTTTTTTTTAACTTTTTATAGAGACAGGCTCTTGCTGTGTTTCCCAGGCTGGCCTCAAACTCCTGGCCTTAAGCAATCAATATGTTTTATAGTATCTATTCTCAACATTATTTTTCTTATTGTTGAAGGGTATGTATGTGTATATTTGAGTGTGTGTGTGTGTGTGTGTGTTAAAAGTAACAACGGTAAAATATTGTAAAAATCATTTGAATACTTTATGTCATGACATATAATAGTCAGACATACGTAGACATAGTATGTCCTGTAATGACATACTTTTAAAGAATTGCTTTGCATTTCTCTAATAATCAGCGATGTTGAGCTTTTTTACATTTTTTGCCATATAAATGTCTTCTTTTGAGAAGAGTCTATGCATGTCCTTTGCCCACTTTTTAATGGGAGTTTTTTTGTGAATTTAAGTTCCTTGTAGACTCTGGATATTAGACCTTCACGAGAAGATACCGGCCCATGCCAGTCAGAATGACGATTATTAAAAAGTCAGACAACAGATGCTGGCGAGGCGATGGAGAAATAGGAACATTGTTACATTGTTGGTGGGAATGTAAATTATTTCCACCATTGTGAAAGATAGCGTGGCAATTCCTCAAAGACCTAGAACAAGAAATAACATTTGACCCAGCAATTGCATTACTGGGTATATCCCCCAAAGGAATATAAATCATTCTATTATAAAGATACATACACATGTATGTTCACTGCAGCACTATTCGCAATAGCAAAGGCATGGAATCAACCCAAATGTTCATCAATGATAGGTATGATAAAGAAAATATGGTACACATACACCATGGAATACTATGCAGCCATAAAAAGGAATAAGATCATGTCCTTTGCAGAGACATGGATGGAGCTGGAAGCCATTATCCTCAGCAAGCTAATGCAGGAACAGAAAACCAGACACCACATGTTCTGAACAATGAGAACACATGGACACAGGGAGGGGAACAACACACACTGGGGCCTGTTGAAAGTGGGGTGGGGGGACGGAGAGCATAGGGAAAAATACAGAATGCATGCTGGGCTTAATACCTAGGTGATGGGTTGATAGGTGCAGTGAACCACCATGGCACACATTTAGCTATGTAACAAACCTGCACATCCTACACATGTACACTATAACTTTAAATAAAATCAAATAAAATAATTTTTAAAAAGTGAAAAAATGTTGCATCATATTCCTTACTAAGAATGTATCATAGAATATTTAAACAACTTACATCGTGGCAAAATGTCCTCTATATGGTTTTATAATTTATATTCCTCCTAATATATACTATATTCTAGATACTATTCTATATACTATATTCCTGGTAATATAATTTATAATTCAACTACTTGTATAATTTACATTCCTACTAGTAGTGGACAAAAATTTCTATTGTCTGGATCACAAACACCATCAGATATCATCACTTGAAAATATTATCTATTTTGATTGCAAATGCTGCTATTTTACTGTTTTTCTTCAAATTCATTTGATTTTCAGTCATGTTGTACATTTTCATATGGTTATTATTTATTTCAGTGTTTTTAATGCTTATTCATTTCCCTTGCCTTTGTATTTTTAAGGATGCCTATCTTTTTCGATTGACTTATAAAAAACTTTTTACATATTAAAGATTGAAACAGCTTGTCATCTTCATAGAACTTATTTGCTGTTGGCCTTTTAGTTCTGTTGGTGACATCTTTGACATTTAAAATTAAGTATATTATCATTTATATTTCCTTTTATTATAAATATAAATATGCTTGATGTGCTAACTTATGAAATAATTTTGGTGTGTGCTGTAAGGGTGAGATTTACCCTCAAATAATCATTTGTTCAAAGATGATTTAGTAGTTATTTAAAAATCTATGGAATAATATCAAGGATTCAGTTATAAATTTTATATGTATTTTAACCTTTCCATATTTTTCCCATGCTCCAAATTGTCCTCACTTTGCACAATAATTTTACAATGTTTTATATTCTAGCCACACTAAACCATCCAAAACTTTGTGAAAATATTTGCAACTTTTACATGTTTTTTTTTTCTTGCTATTCCTTCTGTCTCAGTGTTTCTTTCTTCTCATTCTATCAAAATATGCTCATCCTCTCTAAGGTTCCATTTAAATGTGACCTCTTCCATGACAACTTTCAAATAATTTTAGAGAGAATTAATGTTTCCTTTTTTCCACAACTGCACACCAACAATCTTATACCTCTGCTTACCACTTACTTTTATGCTTTACATTATAATATAGTATTGACATATTTATCACCTCCCACTTAACTCTAAGATCCATCTACAGACTCTTTTCTTAAATCTTTCTTTTTATTTTTATCTTTTATTATTATTATTTTTTAGATGGAGTTTTGCTCTTATTACCCAGGCTGGAGTGCAATGGCGTGATCTCGGCTCACCGCAACCTCCTCTTGCTGGGTTCAAGTGACTAAATCTTATACAGTACGTAGAACGCTGCCAACTATATAGTATGCGCTCAAAAAATATCTGCCCCATGTAAAAAATAAATGGGGTTTAGAGAAAGAGAAGCAGTCAAGCAAGTGGATAAGGAAAGGGAACAATTACATTTTAGGTGTCTGGTATATACTAGGTGTTACACACACATTCTTGGTTAATGTTCATAACTTCATGAGTATGTATTATCCCCTTGATTATTAGAAATGGGAATAGAAGCAATCAGATAAAGCATACTTTGTCTAGGACCAAGTGCCAAGATTTAACTTGGGTATCTCTTAGTCCAGGGTGTCTCTTCCTTCTTGTGTATCCCACCAAGTCTTCACTCTTAGCCTTTCTATCTTGTATTAGAGATCACAGCAATAACATATGCCCCAAACATTATTAGTCGAATCACCTAAAAGTGTACATTGAGCTCTTTTAGAAGCAATTTGAATTATCCATTTATGGAATTTTCCAAGGAAGAACTCACAGTCATGAAACAAAAACAATTCGTTACTAGATGGTGTTGGCCAGAAATACTACAATACGAGCTCAAAGAAAAGATAGAGCCATGTGGAATGGAATGATTTGGAAAACCTTGAATTTTGACTGGAAATTAGGAAGATAGGGAGGCTATATTGAGTCCATGTGTCAGGGACAATGCTAAGTCTTATCATACCTCACTGAGTTCACATACAGTACCTCCTTTCTGAGGATTCAGAGCCATTCAAGTTTTGAAATGTCTTGCATAGACAAAACAGTTTCCAATATATGGCACACTTTTACCAATGTTGTCTTATATAATCCTCATAATCCTGCCAAAACAGCAGTAAGAAAGTATTCATTTATTCATCTCTTCACCTGTTAATTAATTAAACTATTCACACATTGACTCATTGCTTCATTTATTTACACAAAAACTTATTGAAGACCTTCTATGGGATAGGCATAGTTCTAAGGGCTGTTAGATAAAGGTATAAAATCTATCTTGGCTTTGAGTATCATTATTCTTTTTTCCAGATGGGCAATTTGAATCCCTGATTAGTGCATAGACACACCCAACTACATAGAAGTATTTTAGAGCAGGGGAGGAATTGTAATCATATTGTCGGACTCCCCAGTAGGTCAAACCAAATCCTAATTTTGCTTAATACCTATGACCAAACTAGATAGATAAATATGAAAGTTACAGTGGCAGGTGTCTGCACAGTGCTTCCATCTTACTGGCTATTTTATGGTCTCTTATCTAACATTTCCCTCAGAACTCCTGGTTGAACATTTTTTTAAGACTGTTTTCTCCACACTACTCACTAGACTGAATAAAATATTCTAATTAGATATTTGTTGATACAAAGGTGAGAACCCAGAGGCAAAACTTCATGCTGTGGTGTTGGAGCTTGCTACCTAAAGCGCAAGTTAAGGTGCTGATATATTCAGTATTAGGGGCTGGAGCTCTTTTTCTAAATTCAATACTCTCTTAGCTGTACCCTAGAGCTATTTCAGTTCAATGAAAACACACTCCTAAAATGACACAGTGTGGTTACCCATGCAAAGAACACTTGGCAGACCTTTATAGTGAGATCCCATTTATACAGAAATATACCAATGATTCTATTACAACATGCAGAATTGTCCTAATACAAGGATAAAAGAAGGCACTAGTACATCCATTTCAAGAGTTTCAGGATAGTAACTTATTCAAATTATGATTCCTTCAAACCTATCTTTGATGCTTGAAATTTATTTTATTACTCTGAGAAGTAGAAGAAAGCATGTATTAATAATATGTCAGGCATAAATGTTACCCAATTTAAAGACATTCTTAAAATAATAACATTGGTATTATTATAATTATACTAATTATTATTTGTCACACATGATTTCAGGGTTATATAAATTGTACATAGAATAACCATTACTTAACTCATGACTATTGGGTCAGTTTCTTCATCTATAAAAAGGAGCCTATTTTTGTGAGTTTTCCTACAAAAGAGGACTGTGCAAGTAATCAAAGGGAGTAATAAGCTTTGGGAATTATAAATTGCTATATAATTTAAGGTGAGGTTTATTATAAAATGCTGCTTGATTCTGATGGCAAATGAGTCTGCCTCACGTTGTGGAATAAGGGTATCATAATCACATTCTTAAGACCCAAACTCACTTTCCTCTAAGACCTCACTCTGACCACATTTTCAAGGATAAACAGGTGGATTTGAAACATTTCTTTCCTATAATCTGTATCGATTGGCTGTATGTTTTTTTTCCTGTGCCCACATTCATAATATTAATGAAATTAATGACTAGTCTTGCTGAAAACTATTAAATTTACATTTTATAGTTCTTATAAATACAAGAACCCATTGGCATGCACCTTAATGTTCCCCAAATGTTATTAATATACATTGCACCTGGTATAGAAATTTCCAGTTGAATTAGTTTGGGCATTAGATCCCACTAACTCTTTAGTATAGTCCAGGAGGCTTGATGATATTTTATGCTTTGACAGCTGATGTGGAATCATAAAAGGATAAAACACTATATCTTTTTTTCTGTTCAATAGCTGTAGGAAAACAAAATGCAAGACTAAAATTTATTCATCTGCATTTATATTAATCAGTTCAATGGGAATGTGCTCTAACCCATTTATTGACAGGTTTCTATATGCTAAGAGTGCTGGTTGTTAAAAATATGATATGTGGGCCTGGTGTGGTGGCTAACACCTGTAATCCCAGCACTTCAGGAGGCTGAGGCAGGTAAATCACTTGAGCCCAGGAGTCTGAGACCCACTTGGGCAGCATGCGAAAACCCCGCCTCTATGAAAAATACAAAAAAATTAGCCAGGCATTGTGGCGAATGCCTGTAGTCCGAGCTACTCAGGGGACTGAGGTGGAAGAATCTTTTGAGCCTGGGAGGCCAGTGTTGTAGTGAGTCAAGGTAACACCACAAACAAACAAAACAACAACAACCACAACAACAACAACTAATATGATATGTAATTTACTCCTCACAAGTAATTTGTTCGGAAGTAACAGGCCAAAATATCAATATGCAGAGATATAGAATGTCAAAGGCCACGCAGAGAATAAATAGTGGAACGAAAATGAAAACTTAGGTCTGTCTGACTCCACTTAATGATACTTTTTCTTAACCCCTTTTATTACTTTACCATCATGGACTACAGAGTATGGAAAATTGTATATGTCATGCATAGAAACTATTTATTAAATAATGACTTATTTTTCCATTTATTAATAAAATATGATAATTCTAGCTAAGATTTATGATCAGCCTAAGATAGCCAGCTTTTCCACAATGATTTGGCATAATAATTATTAAAAAACTCAATGTCTTATTCATTCAGCTTTATATCAGGATTACATTTCTATGATGCTTAGAAAATTACAAAGTCTTAAAAATGAGTGTTTCCCTGTAATACCAGCACTTTGGGAGGCCGAGGCAGGCGGATCATGAGGTCAGGAGATCAAGATCATCCTGGCTAACACAGTGAAACTCTGTCTCTACTAAAAATACAAAAAATTAGCCGGGTGTGGTGGTGGGCACCTGTAGTTCCAGCTACTCAGGAGGCTGAGGCAGGAGAATGGCGTGAACCAGGGAAGCAGAGCTTGCAGTGAGCCGAGATAGCGCCACTGTACTCCAGCCTGGGTGACAGAGTGAGACTCCGTCTCAAAAAAAAAAAAAAAGTGTTTCTATCTTTTTTGGAATGCCAGACATCTAGGACTTGGAATCAAACAACTTAGGGGTAGTATATTAATTCCACTGTACCAAGAGGGAACTGCAATGAAAGACTCCTTTTCTCAGTCCGTAATGGAGTAAAGTGGAGATGAGGGAGGTACGTCCTACTTTGACACATCAATTCTTGGCTCTCCACATTTTCAAAGACCCTCAGACTGAGTCAGAGCAAGAGATAGGTTCCTAGACATTCAGGACAGAGGATCACATCCTTTTCCATATCCAAACAATTGCCTTCCTTTCTCACTACCTTCCACTGTTCCTCTCTTGAGTCTGACCAAGAAATTAAGACTTTACACCACCTTGTATAAAGCCTTTCTTAATCATGAGGCACCACACTGAATTTTCTTCCTCTCTAAACATCAGCAGTATTTGTAATCCAGTCCCACGTTTCACCTGGCTTTTTTTATGAATCACATTTACAGAAATTGTTCTAATCTCATGTACTGAACCCATATCTTCTAGCCATTAGGAAACCCTATCTCTTCAGCAGGCCCTCTCACTTATGTATTTCTAAGACACCCAAACAATAAAAGCCTCTACATCCAATTGTTTCCTAAACTTTATCAGGTTATGCATCCTTGGTAAGACCATTTGCCTTTTGGTATAGTCACTCTCTAATGTATTATCCAAAGTTGGACACTGTTGAGATTGAAAAGGAGGCATTTACCAGATGAGATTCCAGTAACACATGTAAAACCTGAGATTGTCCTGAGCTAGCTGGTTCATGTGGCCACCTTGCCACTAGGGATACCCTATAACCAGACAGTGTCACATCTACATTCTACTCCACATCTATTCCAACCCACAGCAATTTTTTAAGGGCCTTTGGTGGTTTTTGTTTTAATCTATGGCCTCTCATTCGTGGAGCATGCAGTTTTTCCTCAGTGGACAGGGTGGCAGAGCAGTGCTAAGGTAGGAACATTGTTCAGTCTCACCTTTTGCAAATCTGATCCTCAGATCCTAATACTAGGGCAATGCACTTCAGCACGAACTTTTTAAGGTGATTTTCTTTAGTGGTCTTGCAGCCACATACTTCCCTCCTTCCATTAACTCCACAGTCTGTCACACATAGCAGTACATATCTGAACTGCACTTTTAGACAGTTCAAATGGTTCAAACACTTTTCCATTAGCCAACTAGAATCCATCTGAATACCTCTAAAATCGGTGAGTTAAGTTTCTGGAATATTCTTTGGCTATCAGAAGGGTGGTCAACCAAGAGCTCACAGAACACCTCTTGGAGAACTATGTGTCTAAATTCACATGCAATTTAAAGGAATTTTATCTGCAGCTCAGCCACAATAGACTGCTATATATTTTTGCTTGTAATACAACAATCTAGTTCATAGTGATTCGTTCACCAACCCTGATGTGTTTCAAAAAAGATTTGGTGTCAATTTCACACAAAATTTTTTTAAGAAGTTTTGTTCTGTTTCAATATTTTTTCGGAGTTATTTTCTGTTCTTCCTGTCCTCCTTTATCACATCATTTGGTAGGCATTATTGACACTGTTAATGATAAGAGAGGGCACCTTTAAAACACAGATGTAAAATTTTACATGCTTCATTTAACTATTACTTTGTTTGGGATGCACAACTATGTGAAATCAAGAAATATTATTTATTATCAGCCTTTTACTGCTGAGGAAACTGAGGTACTGACAATTTAACACATTTTTCCAAAGCCTAACAATTAAAAAAGTGACCGAACTGGAATACAAAGTCTGTTTCCTGGAACTGTATTTTGTGCCCTTCAGCACTTCAAATGGCTCCTCATTGCAGGAACATTTTTCAGCGGCCTTCACCAACACCAAAGACAGAAAGTTGAAAGACATGGCCAATGTACCAAGGTGAAAGTCAGTCACCATCCCGTGGTACCTCTTCATAAAATGTCCATTTACTTTTTGCTTGACAGATTTCTGTTTGCAATGGAATCAGCTCTGTGTGTGTGTTTTTTTTTCTTTTTTTTTTTTTTTCCGGCAGTGTATCCCTCTGGCTTGAATACTTTAGCTATGACCTTAAGTTTATGTCCCTTCATATTATCTTAGATAAATGCCATCCATTGAGACACATAAGGAGTTGCCTGGTGCCTTTTTAATCATTAGTATTGCTTTTTTAGTATCCTGCATTATCCTGCTGATGCTAAAATATTACGGCATCATTTTTCATAGATCAGCAACTCTACGTATACCAGTTTAGATTACTTTGCAATTATAGCAGAATACCATTGCACTTCTTTCCCTCTTAGATAGATACAGTTGCATTTTCAACTGATTCTTCTGATCTAGAAACTACTTCTCTAGTGCTGCGTTGGAAAAGGCTAGACATGTGCTTTTATGTCCATCTGCAATGAGTCTCCAAGTAGTATTAGAACATATATTATTAGTATATTGTGAGATAGAGCAAAGCTTTGGGTTTGAGTTGAAGTTCTGACTTTATCACTAAATACTGACCTGACTATAGTCAAGTTACTAAACCGCCCTGAGGTTCCACTTTCCCTTTTGTCCAATGGTTATTAAATAAAATGTTTTGTATAAAAAATGTGAGGCCGGTCTCTACTAAAAAAAAATACAAAAAATTAGCCGGGCGTGGTAGCGGGCGCCTGTAGTCCCAGCTACTTGGGAGGCTGAGGCAGGAGAATGGCGTGAACCCGGGAGGCGGAGCTTGCAGTGAGCCGAGATCCCGCCACTGCACTCCAGCCTGGGCGACAGAGCGAGACTCCGTCTCAAAAAAAAAAAAAAAAAAAAAAAATGTGAGACAGCCTGAGTGCTGAATGAATTGTAGCTGTCATTAAAATTAATAGTAATAACTTCTATTGAATACAAAGTAATTCATAATTTGTTTTGGTTTGCTTTGTTTAAAGAAAGAAGGTATAGCATAATGGCTTATAAGCTGCATTAGTCAGGGTTCACTAGAAAAAACAGAACCAATAGGATTGTGTGTGTCAGTGTATACGTATAAAAATATAATTACTATATGTAATATTTTATACATATTACATCAGAAATTGGCTCACACAATTATAGAGGCTAACAAGTTCTAAGATCTATAGTCAGCTATCTGGAGACCCGGGATATCTGATAGTTTAGCTACAAATGTAGGCAGGCTCAAGACCCATGAAAGATCTGGCAGCAGAAAAAGAATGACGCCCCAGTTCAAAGTCAAGTTGACAGGAGGAATTCCTTATTTGGAGGAGAGGCAGCCATCAGGCCTTCCAGTGATTAAATAAGGCCTATCTGCATTAAGGAGAGCCATCTGTTTTACTCAGTTCATCAACTTAAATGTTAAACTTGTCCAAAAACACCCTCATAGAATTACTCAGAGTAATGCTGGACCAAATACCACGCTGTGGCGCCTCCAAGTTAACACATAAAACTGAACATTACAGAAGCTGTAATGGGTAACTAGAGTAATCGGTGTCCCAACTATTGGCCTTGAGGCACATGAAGGGTTAAAAAGTAAACCAACTCAAGGGCAAGTGGGCTTGGGCGGCCAAGGGCCTGCACAGACTAAAACCACTTCCCCAAGAGCCTCAACTTGAAAAAGAATACAAAACTTTTCCCCCCTTCTATGTAACTGTGGGAAACACACTCACCCATCCAAATCCAAAGAATGGACTTAGAGGCATGAAGAACAGCGAAAGTGAGATTTTTTAAAAACAGTCTTGCAAGATCAGGTGTCTGGTGAACAGGCACACCCAGGACAGTCACAACAGGTAATTTATCTCCTAGCACGCAAGTCCATTCCCCAGTTCCTCATTGGTCAAGTACTATGGGGTTACAATCTTCCCGGACGTCACCTAAGTTTCATTATCCCTCTTACAAGGTTGTGTATACCCTGTCCCCTTCCCCACTTAAGGTTTGACGTTCCAATAACGAAACTTCTTCTCTTTTATGGGCTGACCCCTCCTCTGCATTCTGTTTGCTCATTGTGACCTTTCAGGTGCATGAGCTGTGCGGTTTATTACTTTTGTAGGCTGACTGCCAGTACTTAGATTTATCGTTCCTTGAAAATGGACCTTTTAAAATGTTTTCTCACGGTAACTAAAACATTTATTTTTCATCAGATAATATATTCTTTCAAATGCTTGCTTAGGCATTCTTTTTGTTTCAGCCATTTAAAAAAAATTAAACTTTCTTAATTGAATCCCGCCCAGCACAATGAAGGAATCAGCTAACTCATCCATCTCTGGTGGGGACCATATTATGTAGTGAAGGTGAAATGTAAATGTATAAGTTCATTGAGGGTACCATGAGATGGAAAATTCATAGAAAGGCTATAAGAAAACACAACTTTCTCATGAAGAAATGTCACACAGTGCAGAGAAGAGAGCATTGAACTGGGAACTGGAAGAACAAACATTAATGATGCATGGCCTTGACAGTTGATTGAATCCCTCTGGGGTTAAATCCATTCATCTGTTAAATAAAATGATGGTTGCATTTGAGGGTCTGTGATGTTCTTTGTTGAGTTTTAATCATTAAACATCGAGGGAGACTTTTGAAGAATTTTTGTTTTCCTTTTGGTTTGAAATTCTGATACAGTGAATTAACTTAATCATGAAATTCCGTAGCCCTCTATGAGCACTCATTTACAGAAGTTTACTTAATTAGTGTATTATAGTTTATTAAGTTCTTTTCCTGTCATCCCTGATCCTTATACCCATTCCTATTGTTTGCACCATAGGTAACTGCTTAATATATATACTTGGATTAATTTGTTTAGGATACTTTTTTTTTTCATTTCATAAACAGCTTTTGCCACACATCTCATTCATTTTTCTCATGTTTGTCTCAATGCAATGTTACTATTTGTCTTGCTAGTTTTTTTTTTTTTTCTCACTGCAATATAGTACAGTAAACTTCTTCCATACTCATTTCCCTAGGACAGAGCACCTAGATTACTTTCATCTAACTATTACCTCAAATATGCAACCTTGACTGGGACAACTCTTTACTAATTTACAGTTTTGTTGGTATTATAAATAGTATTCTTTTCCTCCCTTTCATCTTTTTCAAATCGTTTATATCTGGTGAGGAGGAAAACATTGATTTTTTGTTATCCAGTATTTGAATATCTTGCTTAATCCTCTTATTCATTTTAATGGTTTATAAGTAGATTCTGTTGGTTTGTTAATAAATGAAATATTATCTGCAATAGAGTGTACATCTTTATTTCTTATTCTTATCCCTTCATACCTTTTTCTTTTCTTATTACAGTAGCAAGAACTTTTGGTAGCAGTGAGAGCAATCTTCTCTCCTTCATAACCTTAAGCTAACAAAAGTTGTCAATTGAATTGAATTTGATATTTAGTGTGTGGTTTTGGTATAATACCTTGATCGAGTTAAAGAAGTTACAATCTTTTTTTTTTTTTTTTTTTTTTTTGAGAGAGGGTCTCGCTCTGTCACCCAGGCTGGAGGAGTGTGGTGGCATGATCTTGGCTTACTTCAACCTTTACCTCTGTTTCAAGGGATTCTCATGCCTCAGCCTCCTGAGTAGCTAAGATTACAGGCGCGTGCCACCACAACTGGCTAATTTGTGTATTTTTAACAGAGACAGGGTTTTGCCATTTTGGCCAGGCTGGTCTGGTACTACTGGGCTCAAGTGATCTGCCTGCCTCGGCCTCCCAAAGTGCTGAGATTACAGGCATGTGCCACTGTGCCCAGCCTACATCCTATTCTTGAAAGTAAAAGCACTTTTAATATAAATAATAAACTTCATCAAATGCTATTGCTACATATATTGTATATTCATGTAATTTTTCTATTTTAGCTAAATGGTTAATCATGTTGATAGATTTTGTGATATTAAAAATAACATTTCTTGCATTTCTGAAGAAAAGCTAATTTTTATACACAGATTTAGTCGTATAAGAGTGAAACAAAATTAGACTATATTTTTCTCCTACTGTCTTTTTTCTCTTACAGAACCAAGGTTCCACGCTGACTTCATGAAATAAATTAGTAAGCTTTCCTTAATATTTACACATGGAAACATATGTATAAAATTATCTCTCTAAAAATTTTTGGTAGGATTCTTATCTGATGTTACTGAAACTAAGACTTTTTTCTTTTGGGTGAGAGTAGTTAACATGTTTGATGAAATTTTCAGTCTTTAATGTTTATTGGTTTATTCAGGTTTTGTATTCACATTTGAGCCAGTTTTAATATTTTATATATTTGGGGGAAATTTATTCATTTTTTGTAGTCTTTCAAATTTACTGATATATATTGGATCCCATTACCATATTAAATTATATTTAAATTTCTATTTTGTCTATGACTAATTTCTGATTTTAATTCTATATTTTACTTATTTGGACATTCTTTTCTCTTGATCTCACTTCCATTTCCAAAGAACAGTTTTGAGGTTTCTGAACCTACATCCGTGTAAACTACACATTCATCACAATGTCATGTTTACGGTAGACCATAAATACTTGCTGAAAAATGGATAACAGACTTATTTCTTCCACCTTAATAAGATCCTAGAAGTGACAAATAATTTGTTAGAAGCAGCCTTCTATGTATAGTTAAGAGATCCAGATCCAAGGAGAGATTACAATTTTTCTCAGTCACGTTTTAAGTAACTTTCTGATCAAGTTTCTTAAAATCACAAAGACTCTGTCATCTCATCATAGCATATCATCCCATAGAGTCATCATGGAGATTAGATGAAATAAATCATAGCACTTTGTAAATGATGATGAATTATAAACATGTTTAGAAAAATGAAGGAAAGGGAAATAGAAAGGAAGAATAGGTTTACCTGAAAATGGCACAAAGAGAGAATTCTGAGGATAATAGCAAACTTGGTGAGTAGAAGGAAACCTGGATTTGATACCAGAATATGGACCTTTGGGCCCCTCTCTGATTCTTACTATTTGTTTTATTTTGTAAATATCTCTTAACATCCCAGGTATAAAATAGGAAATTACATTTTGTACATAGGCTTCTTGAAGGCTCAAATGAGATACTAGATTTAAAAGTTTTATGTAAGCTGAATCATTTTATACAGTAATTTAAATAGAAACACACTGGATATATGTCCAAATATTGTTAGAAAACCAGTTTTCTAACAACATTTTCTCATATTTTCATTAAAAAGCCTCTTTCTGTGGCATCCAAGGAGGATACTATTATTTGCTGATTTCCACACTAAGTTGTTATAGAGAATACAGCCAATTAATTAAGAAGTAGTATGCATTCCCTCCAAAAATAATTGCTGGACATCTACAATTAGCACAAAAATAGGCAATGTGATGATTACCAGCTCTACCATATAGAAATTCAAAATCCAAAAATAGAAACCAATTGTGAGTGCAAATAATAATTATAAACAGCAAAACATGCTAAGCTTTATAAGAAAAGCACAGGAAAAAGGGCTATGGGGTTTGATAGGAGAATAAATCACTTCCTAATACAAAAGTCTGAAAAGTCAAGGGGGTGGGTTGTGTAGGAATTGTGAAAGAAGGGTCATTTTAATTTGGGTTTGGATATATCAGAGAGGAAGGACATGTGCAGAGGGAAAAATGAAACATAGGAACCGGGGAGGGCTCAGGCTACAGTGAGAATGGGTGAGTCCCCAAGAGGGAAATGAGAGGATTTCTGGGTGGGGTCTTGGGGATCACAGGCAAATATAAGTTTGATTAAAGTCTCACATGCCATGCTACAGAACATTGACTGCAAGCAGTAGGCAATTTGAAAACAAGGATTTTAACACAAAAATGAGATGAATCAAATTTAAAGGAAAAACGAATGACAGAGAGTTCCATTAGTAGGTTTTCAAAATAATCCAGATGTGATTAAATGAGCAATGGATACAAGATAGTGGCAGTGAGAAAGGGTATAGATATTTATAGTTTATAGATATTTATAAATATATACACATTTATACATTTATAGATGTTTATAGTTTCCAAGCAACTGGGATTGTAATGACTTGGCATATGTTCCATAAATCCAAATGCAGACTAATAACAATGACACATATATGACACAATGACACATATATAATGACACATATATGAGTTATTATTATTTTTGAAGTATTGTGTGCAGAAGCAAAGGGAGAAACAGAAGATGACGTGTTAACTTGTACGCAAACAAAAATATCTGCCTTGCAGATATGTAGACATTCAGTACTGAAGATTAAAAAGACTCATAGAACAACCCTGGAACATTTTAAAGACTGAAAACAAAAACAACTTAGGTACTAAGAACCATAATTCTACAATACGGGTAGATGCAAGTTTGTAGGTCTTAAAAAACAGTTTTTAGAGATCTGGCCTTCTGTAAAGGAAAGAATAAAAATGATGTACATAAAATTGTCTTGAAAATAAATGTTAATTTAGATTTTAAAAATAAATCAGTTTTATAACAACAAATTAAGTTTGGTGTTGAATAATACCAGAAGTATCATAGAATCCACAAATACTATATATAATACTGTTTCTTTATTGTTTTTAGTTTATTTTTTATTAACTATTTATATAACAATTTTATTAAATTTATATAGAAAATATATCATTGAGTAATCTCTCAATTTATTATATTTTTATTACTCATATAGTTTAATTTTAATTTTTGTCATATATCTCGCCATTGGAATTGCCATATAAATATCACGACTTTTGTCCAGTTTTGGAAAAAACCAACTTTCTTTTCATACATGATTTGTAAAGCCTCAAAGAAATTTTCAAAACTTAACTGCTAACTCTGTAATTTTGAATCTTCTGTCTCTTCCATTTCCTACATATTTCCGCTTGTGGGTTGCATAGTGTTCTTTGAGCATTATAACTTTCATTTCTTTGCCTTCGAGTCAGCCCAGGAGACAGTAGCAGTATTCCTGGTATTGTGGGGAGCTTTGCTGACACTGGGATAGATACCAATAATTTTACCTCTACATTGATATGACTGCACTACATAAATACATCTCACTATACACAAACTAAATGGAGCCCTAACTGTTCTTAGCCAGATCCCCAAATTGCCCTTGGCAATTCCAACACCCTCTGCCAATAGAGAAAATACAACAGAAAGAATCTTGGAGGGGAAAGAGAAAGCTGACCCAAGAGACTGCTGTTAAACTATCCTTTTTTTGTGATCTTAAAAAAAAAAAGGCATGTGAATATCAAGGCCTTGAAAGGGACCCCTGAAAGTGAGGGGTCTAGAGACATATACACTTCATTAGCTTCACTGTGAAGTTGTCTCTGAAAATACAGTAAAAACACATTTTGTGATTGATATGTTTCTATTAAATAGGAGTTCTGCATTAGATAGGCTGAGGAGGAGAGGCCAGTAAGTAGCACATCTAGGGAGGAATATCCAGTCTGTGATGATTGTAAATTGGAGGTGCTGGAGGAGAAGTAAACAAGAGAAGTAAACATCCTTGGAAAGGTAGTTGCTGGGGGATGCTAAATAATTGACTATTAAGATAACACACCACACAATCTCTTTAAGGGAGATAGATTTGAAGGAAAAGCGCACTAATGAACTGTGTCCAGAAGTATACAAACAGCAATGAAAATGTGGCATGGGGCTAATTTCCTCTCCACTGTGACCATATGCTTGCTGAAGGCGTTAATGGCACTAATTGTTGAGGGAGGACTCTGTGAAGTGCATTTTATCTGCTTTGCTGAAAAATATCACAGAAAACATAAAATCTCAAATCTGCTGTTTGCAACCCTTCACAAATCAGACACAATTTATCTGTGGTGGATTTGATATTAAGGAAAAAATCTCGTCTCCCATCTGCATGGACCAAATAAATCTCCATTTAATCAAGGAGCAAAGTTTCCCCAAATGAACTCTTTACGGATGGGTTGCTTGTCACCATTTATGAGCCAACACAGATAAGAGTGCATACTGTAGTTCTGCCTCTGAGTATGATACTCTTGATTATTGCAAAATAGCAAACAGTGGAAGTATAATGACAGGCAGAAAATGAAAGACTTTAGATTCCTAGGGAGTCCCTGAATAACAGAAAATCAGTGTTATTTCATTTCTAAGTAATTGGCTATTTAGAAACTTGGGTTCGACACAATTAGATTACCCAACTAAACTAGAAATTGTGTTTAGATACAAAATACATGTGGCATCATGGTAATTAGGCGTGACCTACAGAGTGGACAGCTAAGCAGAGGACCAGATATGACTCTGAAATAGCATAAAAAGAAGGTATAAGGATTGATGGGAAAGAAAGCTCCTCTCTGCAACCCCAGAAGCCAGAATTAGATGTGAGTATGGCAAAAGAGGGAAGAGGGAAGCCACTGGCAAGCCTTTGAGAAAAATGTGGAGGCAAGAAAAATAGATTGAGGATTATTTTTTCTTTTTTTAAACAGATCAATGGACTTTCCCTATATTCTGCAAGACCCTGGATAGGCAACTGTGGCTATACTAAAACTGTAGCATTTTGAACATTTTATTGCATTCTATTGCAGTTGGAGTGGGAAGAAGAACACATTGCAGAGGCTGAGTGGTCCAAAAAAAAAAAAGCTTCTCCATTCTCCACACCATCAAACACTGTGATCACAACGGAGGACTTTACAATCACCATCTTTATAGCTGGTTTATGATGCAATGACTCTATGTATCAATATAATTCTTTGCCAAGAGAATTTGTATGGTTCAATTCTTGGGTGAATAAAAACACTACCTGGTTTAAAAATACGTATATTTCTACAGCATGTTATTTGCTGAACAAAGTTGGATATTCTTCTACGAGAAGCCATCATTTGAAACTTCCATGACTGGTAGCTGGATTGGAGGTTACGTAATGTTTAGCATGCCTGTCAACAGTTGGTGGTAAAATCCACTTGACCATAAACTACTGAGGGCAGATGGAGAATTGATATTTCTAACAAAAATCTCTCCAAGGGCTGCCACTTGTGGATACTCAGACAGTGCTCTGCCCAAAGGTGCACCAGCAGAGCAGGGAGAAATAGGGATCAAAATCTTGCCAGGTAGTACTCAGTTGGATCAATCCACAATGGAGCATTTCTGCTAATCTACTAAAACATGTTATGCATTTCTGAGACGGGAACCTTACAGACCATATACAAGCAGAACCTTTCATCTCAAACCACCCACAGCAGTGATTCTTCAAAATGGGACAAGTCCAAAAGGATGCTGTGATATCTGTCATACTTTCCTCTACTGGCAGCCCCTCCTCTTCTTGAACTGTGGGAAAGAGTACAGACTTTCAAGTGAATAAGTAGATCTGATCTGAATCACAACCACTTCTGCCACTCAGGGGATGTGTCATCTGGGCCACAGCATTTATCTTCTCTTGGCCACCTCAAGTTTGGAATCTGAACTCTTCTGCAAAAAGGTAACTGATGGGACCTACATAGCAGTGAATTTTTGGAATCATAATAGTCGAACTTGGTGATGTCAGTTGCCTCCACTATCCTTCCTCAGTTTGAAGTAATTTTGGTTTTGGTGCAGGGAATATTCTTCTGCTTTTTAATTGAGCAGCAGTTTTGTTTGACATACTTTGGTCAGAACCTTCTATATATAAACTTAGCTACTGAAAACACAATCCTGCCATTATCCTTTCTTTTCCCTAAGTGAGCAGTTGAGGGTAAAGGCAGTTCTACAAGTTGGCAGCTTCCCAAGAGAAAAGCAAAGAGCTTAAGTAATTGATAGCACTTCATTTTTTTAAAATTTAGGATTTGTTGTCCGAATTCTTTGAAAAATCCATGTGCATTCTAAGATTATTTACTTTAAAAATTGCATAAGCAATGCCAGAATTATTCCTCCTCGCAAGATGTCTTCAGTCCAGTGAGGGAAAGAGCTATATAAGCAATGGTCTATGAACCAAGTCCATTATTTACTGATAAATTGATTCTTTCAGTTAATGATATTTATTGAGCATTCGACACAGCTTAGAAACTGAATGAGATGCTAGCGGCAGTGAGAAGTGGCAGAGCGCCTGCATTACAGGAACTCACAACCTGAGAAAAACACACAGTCATATCCATCACTATATTCCTGTGTGACAAATGGTACGTTCTGTGGAGATCTATGAAATGGAAGTAAGTTCTTTACAAGTAAAAATATGAACTTTGTTTCCACCAATATTTTAGTATAAAACTCCTTCAAAATCTTTGCCCCATATTCATGCTACTCTTACTTCCTTGTCTTTTCTGTTTTATCTGGCCAGAAAAACCATCTCAGCTCTCTCTTGGCAAGGTTCTGTACACCCCCAAGGCCTTGTAATATCACTCTTTCTGCTATGGAACTTTCTCTTAAGCTTTCAGGCAGAATTTTCTGTTGTGCATAACATAAGTTCATGTGCATTTACAAAGGATAGCACTTAGTCTATTTTATTATGGTCTTAAGCGAAGTCTTATTTGTTCACTATTTCCCCCATTAAGCTGGGGGCCTCTGAAGGGCTGGCTCCTTCACTTCTGAGGACTATAAATATCTGTGCATTTTACCTAATGCATATTTGCAGGGAAGGCCTACATAATAAATGGAGGAATTTGTGAGTTTTACCAAGACTTTTGTGGAAGGATAAGGAGGCGAAGTGTAGACACTCCTTTTAAACACTTTGAAAATAATTTCAGTTGCTCACATTTATGCATAAATTATCAGAAATAGATAGGCTATTTTACCCTAATGTAAATGCACTTTTAAGAAAGTTAGCTTGGTGAAAAGGGCATGGACTTTTGGAAGACACAAATAGAATTCAAACTTCAGTTTTTCATTTATCATTCTTATGATGTTATAGATCAAATATTAATCTTCTACTTTATTCAACTAAAAAGATTGGCCTTCCTGAAGCATGTATATGTGAGGATGTCAACAAACCCTTGTAGTACATTATTATAATACTGTAAAATAATACCCATTTGTTTGGGATTGTCCATAGCCTAGCATTCAGCAAACCTCGTACATTTTTGATGCAACTACATTTCCTAAGTAATGACTTTCAGATCCACAGATGAGCTGATGCTCCACATGGTACCAGTGTTAAAGGAGATGTCACCTTGATAGCAGGGCGATCTGGGAGGTAATGGCATGATGGAACCCATTATCAAGAGGCCTATGCAAAATGACTATTTCTAAATTCTCTTCCAGCATTTTAAAATCTGGGTTAATGAAATGTGACTTTGCAAAATGACTGCAGCCAATATCAAATGGATTGTTCAGTGAACGGCGCTCTGGAGCCCAGAAGACATTGTTGGGGCACTGACCTGATGGGCTTAGGGTAGTCTGCAGAGACCCTTTCACACCTGGATTCTTCTTGTTAGACATAGAATACATTATTCTACATTAATTTTTCTCCTAAATTTGTCATTTTGTGTCAGTTGCATCCCATTATAACACCATATTCCCTTTCCCACATACATATAGTACTCCCATCTCACTGCTTGCCATTTTCCTTCTGCATTTATCCTTTAATGCTGAAGCATTATCTCCTTGGCCTCCAGAATGAGTGAGGTATCCTGTGTATGTCTCTTTTATCTCACTTAGCATTTTATTTGTTGAATTATAGGTCAGTATTACCCTCATTAAGAATGATGTCTTTGCTTCACTTATCCCTGAATTGTCTGAATCTAGCAAAGTGGCTGGCAAATAATAAATACTTATTAATAGCTTATCTAAGGACCCATGAAGGAAGGAATGAGGTTCTAATTGACCAGGCTTGGGTTAATTTGTGAGACCATATTCATGTGCTGAATTACTCCTCATCACCTGGGATGTGTTCCCTTCCCTTACATTTTACAGTCCAGCAGATGGTTTAAAATTCCCATTATGGTTATCTTTCCTAAAATAAGAAAAGAAAGAAAAGACTAAAGATAGTCTTCTGCATTGCTAGAATAGATTCTGTTCTTGGTCGCTGATTCTTTCTGCAGTCATGCTGAGGCCTTACTTAAGTGTGTCCATGTAACTGGCTGAATTGAAATTGACTACAGTTTTTGTTTGTTCCCCAAAGTCAGTTTTTAAATTTTTGATAGAGCCAACTCAATCCACAAAGCATTTATTGAGCAAGTAATGTACCCCAGGCAAGGTAAGAACACGAATTTGAATATGCCATCATCTCTGCACTCAAAGGGAAGGACAAGTACTGAGTAAACAGACATGCACCTGCTTGTGTGCCATGCAGACTTTTGGAGTGAATGTGCATGGGGAGATGTGCTTCCATGTATTTATTTTTTTTTCTTTGAGATAGGGTATCTGTGGAGTGGCATGATCATGGCTCATTGTGGCCTTGACCTCCTGTGCTCAAGCTATGCTCCCACCTCAGCATCCCAAGTAGCTGGGACTGCAGGCATATACCATCATAGCTGGCTAATTTATTTTTTATTTTTATTTTTAGAGATGGGGGCCTTGGTTTGTTGCTCAGGCTAATCTCAAACTCCTGGTTTTAGGGGATTCTCCCACCTTAGCCTCCCAAAGTGCTGGGATTACAGGCATGAGTCACTGTACCAGGGACCCCAGAAATTTAACTTTTTAATTTAATATTTAATTTGAATTTATTACTTAAATTTTTAGTCTGTGTTCACTCCCGGCCTCACACAGGCTTCCTGGAATAGGGGTGTCCACTGGAAAAGGATACCATATGGGTGGCTTCAGTTTCTCAGTCTATGTTGAACACTAGACAGGTCACCTTCAAGGATGAATCTTCCTTTGCTATTGACTTTGCAATGTATTCAGGAAGATAAGACAGGTTTATTTTAAAATGCAATGGACTGGCTTTTTTTTTTTTAGGAAGAAGGTGTGTGTGTATGTGTGTATGTGATATTTTACATAGAAGGCAATCCTGTGAAAAGAGAAAAAAACTAACAATGTACTTCTGAGATTAGGCAGGTAATTGGGAACACTGAGTCATTTCACCTCCCTGGGGTGGACAGAGGTACATAAGCCTACTCTTAGAATCAATAATCAAAAAAAAATCCCACCCCAGCAGGACACACAGTAGCTGTCCAGTTAATAAAAACTAGAGCTCCTATTTTTAGATTCATTCTCACACTAGGGAGAAAACAGTGACACAAAGGAGTTTTGTACAAAAGCCAGTAACCCTTTTCAGAAACAAGTTTTCTTTTAAATAGCTTTCTGTCCTTTTCTTTCTTTCTTTTCTCTCTTGTTCTAATTAAAGCAGGTTTTAGGAAGGAACTCACATTTTCAAAGCCAAATTTTCTTTTTGCAGGGTTGGCTCTGTGTTTTCTATTTGATGAGTAAAACAGACATTTTCTATGCTTGCTAAATGAAATATTTTTTTTTGTTTGTCTGTCTGTTTTCCAGAAACCTTGGAGAACCCAGGGATTTTGGAATCATCCCCTACGGATTACTTGTAAAATCCCCCCAAATTCCACTGTTGTTTTAGGGAGGAAAAGTGTGTTATCTGGGCTGAAAATCTTGTAGGCTTCCAAAGTTTGGGTAAAACAACTCTCAGAAAATTGAGATCAGATGACAGAGGGTTAAAGGTCTGTATACTTGGGCAAGAGAATGAGACTTAGCCAGGACTAAAGCAGCATAGGGAGAGCTGGAGGATCACTGAATTTCCAATATGGTTCTGTCACAGCCCAGAACTCTGCTGGTGCATTTGTAGCTTCTGGCACTGGAGAGGGATCTGGATAGTCCTCTCTTTAGTTCATGACCAAGCTCCTACTGTGAGACAGAAAAAAAATCATCAAAAAATCAAATTTTTTGTTTAATTCATTTAGGGAAAGGGCAAAGCATAAGACCGGATAGACTCTAGCAAGAGCAGGTTCATAATCTTGGAACTGAACCTACAAGGGAGTCAGAGGAGAGAGAACATGCTTTTACATCAGACAGAATGGACTCCTCATCACAGGTTTGTCTTTATATTATCTTTACCCAAGCCTATCTTCTCTGATAGTGTCCTGAATAGATAAGTCACCTATGAGGCATGTACTCCATAAAAATGCCTATATCTGGCCTCCAAACTTTTAATGGCCCACACATTATCCTGGTAATATCAGTGAAGGCATATTTGTTACATTCTTAGCCTATGCAAGTCATTACGCTGAGTTTGAAGAAGCTCCAAAGTCTCCCACCTCCTGGTCCTTTATATGTCAGCATGAGCTCTAGTCTTTATTTCTGTTACTCTCTTGGCCACACGTGGAAAATAATCTCTTTGAGACTTGGCTTGTTCATCTTTAAAATAATACATATGTTTTATTCATCAGGATTTTCATGTGCGAGGGCTTGTACTAAGAACTTGCCTTATATTACCTCATTTGATCCTCAGAATAACTCTAATAGGTAGATATTATTCTTGTATTGATTTTTGTGGTGGGGAAACTGAAACTTAGGGAAACCAGGCAACTAAAATTCAAAGTTGGGGGTATCTTACAAAGGGGTAGTTAAAACGTTAAACACGTGCAGTAGTCACAGCAATGGTGGTAGTACTAATGGTTGGAGCCATGAGCTGTTGACTAGAGCACAGGCTGCTGGGTAAGGGACCAGGAGGCAGGAGACTGTAGAGCTCCTTCAAACTTAGCCTAGTGCCTTGCATACAGTAAGAATGCAACAAATATGCATTCACTGACATTGCCAGGATAACATGTGAGCATTAAGAGTTTGGAGGCCAGATAAAGGCATTTTCAGAGTGCATGCCTCACGGCTGACTTATCTATTTGGTACACTATCAGAAAAGATGAGCGCAAGGCTTGGGTAAAGACAAACCTGTGATGAGGAGTTATGGAACTCCAGGGAAGGTTCCGTGTGGGTAGCATACTAACACTTTCCAAAATGGGTTCAATGCTTATCTAAAATTTTTCCTTAAGCATCTGGGCTGTTTCAAACTCAGGTTTCAATAAAATTCAAACCATCTGGACCTTTTCAAACTCAGGTTTCAATATTGCTCAAACTACCTATAAAAATACAAGTAGAGTTTTAATATTAAATTTTTACACTTGTGAGAAATAAATAAATTTAATATAAACACTTGGCAAATGCACTTAGACTGAATACAAGCTCATTTAATTAAAAACATAGGCCCTTAAATGACATTCATTATAAAATTGAAGTTGCATGTGTTTTAAAATTTCCTTAAGGAAAAGAATTTAAAGAGGTGTTTGATATTGGAACTAGGTAGGTAGCTGGGGAAAAGGAGGCAGGGACTATCCTCCCAAGATAGTTTAGTTTTTTTTTTCTTTTGCTGATCAGCTATCAATGATGATAACAAAATATGAATTATTGAATATCTATTATGCCCTTTACTAGTGAAACTTAGTTTAACCTCACAAAAACTCTGCAAGCAAATACTGTATCTTCCCTTTCAAAATGATGAGTTTGGGGAACACAGAGGTGAAGTCATTGAGAGGCTCTACAACTCAGTAGAAGAAATGGGATTGAAATATATAGGTTTAACTACAAAATCTGTTCTCTCATTTATAGCAAACAAACTGCAATACGTCCTGAAGCTCTACGTACTTTGTACCCTCCAATTGCCTTGTCTTGTTATTTAATTGCTCCTAAGCTAATTCCAGACAAAATGCCTTGTCAACAGGCATCTTTACTTCTTAGACTGACTGCCTTGAGGTGTAGGGTGTCTT
Organism: Homo sapiens; assembly: GCF_000001405.40. Classification (NCBI taxonomy): domain Eukaryota; kingdom Metazoa; phylum Chordata; class Mammalia; order Primates; family Hominidae; genus Homo; species Homo sapiens. The sequence goes on from NC_000011.10 coordinate 81,345,631, forward strand.
ATCCAACCTTTGCTCTTGCCTTGCATCTGGAATGGCATCTAGAGAAAGCTGATACACCTCTTCAAGGCTGTCTTAGAAACGGCTGTTCCTGTATGGGAAAATGCCGGTGACCACTTACCTATCTAAAATACGGGGATTCCGAGAAGGGCTATTGAACTGAAAAGGGAAAGGAGACCTGATCCCTCCCCTCAGGGCATTCATGTTCTACTGAGAGCAACAGGTAACAAGCTGATGATTGTTAAGCAGTGCAGGAAATGAATAAGGGAGTACTTTAGGAAGAGAGAGAAGAGACACTAAATCCAATCTAGCGCTAGATAGACTACAGGGAAGATTCGTAGAAAGGGGTTGTTTGAAGGGAGTCTTGAAAATGAGTGTGAGGAAGACAGGAGCTATAGTGAATAGCAGGCTAGAAGGGAGGTGGAGGTGTGGGGTACAGAATGAACAGTCATTAAGGAGGCACACAGAAAAGGCAAACGTCAAGTGTTTCTTTGTTGCTGGGGCATAAAGTGTGATGGAGGCAGTGATGGGACATCTGTCTGAAGAGATAAGGGATGACCTGGTGGTGGAGGACCTTATGTCTTGTTAAGCACCTTGGACTTCCACCTCTAGGAGACAAGAACCTGTTGAAAGGCCCAGCAGGAAAGTTTCTTCTTAGATCTGCATTTTAGATTAAATACTAATAGAAGAGTAATACTACTACTACTAATTCTGTTTGTATGACAGTGTTATTTTCAGAGTTTAGATCCCTAGCTAGCTGCCTCTGAAGATAAATTAATCCCTTTAGTTGTCTTCTTATTTAGCTAGGACCTTACTGCACATTCTAGTCTATCCTAAGCTACCTTAAACCCAAACATACCTTGCTTCCTGAATGTAAGTTACCATGACCTCCTTTGAACACATATCTTTGTAGTCCCCAAATGCACTCTTTTTACTTACGTCTGAGAGCTAGAGGGGAAAAAGCAGTCATCCAAGCTCATTTTCATAGATTATCTCACTAAAAAGCACAAAACATGAAGTGTCCATTAACCATTAATATTATTATTATTGTTTTACAGATGAGGAAAAGAAGCACAAATACCAAAGGGGCAGAGCTGGGATTTAAACCCAGGGCTGCCTGTCTTACAGACTGAGCTCCCACACACTCAGCAACACAGATGGCTAATACTGAGTCATTTTCAGCTCTAGCTTTAAACAGTAATACTGAAATTGACTGAACCAAGATCGTGGATTTCTCTGCCAATTCTATGATAGATTTTTATCATTTTAATTATTAATAAAACAGCTTTAGATTGTTGTCTTGCTGTACAGCTTTGAAGCACATACATCCCTCTCTCCTCTCTCCCTGAATGAAGGTATATTGCCAGAGTCTAAGAATCATTATATGCTCTATAAAAGCTGAACAGCTAACCCTCACGAAAAGTTGCCATTTTAGAAATTCCTGTTATCAACCTGAGTGACAGCATTCACCAAGAAATCAGATGCAGTGCCTAGAAGGTAGAATGTGCATGAAAGATGTTTCTCATGCCATTTCCAAACTTTTCTCCTTACAGCTGAGACGGTAAGATAAATACATATTTCCTCTCTTAAGCCAGTTAACTGTAATTGGGTATAGAATCTTCCGCCAATGAGAAGAGCTTTGTGCTGCCTAAAAGTCAAGGCCTAGTATGCTCGAAAAGTACCTTCTGAATCTGAAATCACATAAACAGCTTTTCTAAAGTAGAAGAGCAAAGTGTGACAGGACTGGAGGGTTTGGTTATTCTGTATCTTTGTGATTCATAAAGACAGAGGCAGTAGCTGTGGAGATGGAATTATCTGGTCCTCAGCTACCCAGAGAGAGGCCACAGTGAAGAAAGGCAAACTCTGTCTTCATAGCCAATCCCTCTGCTAGCACTGCAGGCAAAAATAATAGCTCATAGGAAACACAGACATGCATTCCTATGAAAAGACACAAATTCAGTGTCTTCTATTAGGTATAAGAGGGAGACAAAGCAACCAAAACCAAAAATAAAAATACATTCTATCTAAATAGACATGTTTAATTGCCCTCAGGACTACCAGATTTGCCCTAACCATGTTTTAGTCTGCGGAGCTTCCCGTTGATGTTGGAACAGTTTCTTTGATTTTTTGTTTTAACCTTAGTTCTTCTTTTAATTACTCAATTCATTTACTTTTCTAACGAGAAATTAGTTTGAGTTGGAGTCAGTTCTAGTTGTTATTGATTGTAACTCGACATCATAAAAGCTAAATGGTCTTGAGGGTTTGCTTATGCTTGTAGTAAATTTTCTCTTTTCTCTATCTGTACAGTGGGGATGATGCCGTTCTCCTAAATCATGGGGATTGTGTGCAGGTGTGATAAGACTGAAAACTGTACAATTCAGTGCCTGACATAGATCACATTTAATCAGTCTAGGGAATGTTAAGAATTGCCAATTGTACAGTCCGGGCAACATAGCAAGACTCTGTTTTTACCAAAAAATAAAAATAAAAATAAAATAACTGAGCCAGGTGTGGTGGCCTAAACCCTTGGCCCTAACTACTGGAGAGGCTGAGGTGGGAGGATCATTTGAGCCCAGGGGTTTGAGGCTGCAGTAAACTATTATCCTGCCACTGCTCTCCAGCCTGCTTGATAAAACGATACTCTGTTTTGTTGTTGTTGTTGTTAAAGAATTGCTAATTGTATTCTTAAAATTATAACTACTTGGTGGTTAGGGTATATTTTTTCCAAAGGGTGTCAAACATTTTTCTGTCAAGACTCCTTTACATCTATAGATTATTTCAGACCACAAATAGCTTTTTATTTTTAATGTGGGTAGGTTATATCTATCAATGTTTACCATATCAGAAACTAAAACTGATTTTTAAGGTAATTATTTCATTTAAAATTTGCAATATTATACCCTTTAGATATTGACATACTTTATTTTTATGAAAAATAATATTGTTTAAAGCAAAAAATATTTAGTGAGGAGAGTAGCACTGTATATTTCTATAAATCTTTTTAGTGGCTTGTCTAATGGAAGGCAATTTGTTCTCATATCTTCTTCTGCATTGGGAAGAATGGCTTTCATTGTTTTACTATATGTATTTTTTAATAGGGGGAATTAAAGTATATGAAAAAGTCTGGCTGCACATAGATATGTAGTTAGAAAAACATAGGATTTCCTTGACCCTATGAAGAGTCCTTGTGATCCTCGAGACTGTAATTGAACAATCTTTATTCAAAGCACAAATTTCCTCTACCATCCTTCCCTCATTATCTTGTTGATAGCCCCCAAAGAACAGAGTATTAATCCAAGGAGGAGACAGCAGGTAGCTGGTTATGCCTTTGCTGTGGGTGAAAGGATCAGACACCTGGGCATTTCTCTGTTTCCTACCCATATGACAGACGTGGTAGGCTGGCTCTCTGTGTCATCTGTTTATCAATTTATATATGGCCAGGGCTGGTTCCATTTTCTCCCTTAGTTTGTATTTTGAACCTTTACAAACGCTGAAGACATCTCATTCTCAGCTTTGGAATAGAGATAAACCATATATACTCAATCAAGGCATAGTTTTAGAGAACTTAGAAATATACTGTAATCCCAAGAGAACTTACATATAGGGAATATGTTAGATTCTATGAAAACAAAAAACTACTAGAATCTCATGCTTTTAGTTTTCTCTTAAATAATCAATCATGTTAATTGGTGGACATAAAAGAGCAGAGGCCTATTGAAAACCCACAATTTGGGGATAGTGTTTTGAAAGAAAAAAAAATTCAGCACCAACTTATTTTTTAAAATTATCTTATAGAAAACATATTACCATATATGTAATATTTTTCCTGTGTAATAACTTGGATATGTATTTTTCATAAGTATGGGAAAGTAACAAATTGATTAATCAATGAAATAAAATGTTTTTTAAAAGTCTAAATGTTAAAAAGAAGATGAAGTCAGATCTATGGGAGAGAGCAGAGGAGAAAAAAGAGGATAAAAATTTGAGGCAAAAGGCACCCTCCACAGTGCAGCCTCGGGGAAACTCCAAGCTCAATTTCATCAAGCTTATTACCTAAAGAACTACACTTGTGACTCTGAGCTAGTTAAATCCCACCCTGTTCCCCATGAAGTCCAATAGAACTTTCTGTGGAAGATGGGCTGCTTTATAAACTGGACTCCTAATATGGTAGCCACTATGCACATGTAGCTAATGGGACACTTAAAAATGTAACTAGTATAATTGAGGAGTTGTATTTTTAATATAATTTCAATTAACTTAAATTTAAATTAAAAAAAAATTCCATGGGGCTATGGACTACTGTACTAGACAGTACAGATTTCTTTTTTTTTTTTTTTTGAGATGGAGTTTCGCTCTTGTTGCCCAGGCTGGAGTGCAGTAGTGCGATCTCGGCTCACTGCAACTTCCACCTCCCAGGTCCAAGCAATTCTCCTACCTCAGCCTCCCAAGTAGCTGGGGTTACAGGTATGTGCCACCACGCCTGGCTAATTTTTTGTATTTTTAGTAACGATGAGGGTTCTTCATGTTGGTCAGGCTGTTCTCGAACTCCTGACCTCAGGTGATCCGCCCGCCTCGGCCTCCCGAAGTAGTGGGATTACAGGCGTGAGCCACTGTGCCCGGCCGACAGTACAGATTTAAAGGAAAAAAGGAAATACTTTTCACATAAAAAGTAGTAAGTAAATTTTATTTAAGTATTGAAATGCAGAGCTCTTGCAGAAAAGAATGATGTAGGTGTATTAACTGACATAAAAATGTTTACAATTTGACGGAGTTTTTGTTTGTTTGCTTATTTTAAAAAAGTTAGTTGCAGAATGTTATAAATACTATAGTGTATATTCACAGAAAAATTTTGAAAGCATATATACCACACATTGGAGAGAGTTGGAATTTCATTTCTGTATTTTTTTTTAGTGTTCTAAAGCAAAGAAATGGTAATATAAAGAAAAGTATAGACATAAAGGGAAAATCAGTCATAACTGTCCTACGTACAGATAACTTTCAAAAGTTAACCATATAGTCTTCATTTATTATATACATTCAAATTATTTCTTAAGAAAATTAGGTATAAAATGGAAACCTTTTGAAAATAGAATAAATTTAAATTTATCTTGTAATGAGAGTGCTTCCTTTGTTTTTATTTATCCATTTATTTAATTGTGGTAAGAACACTTAACATGAAGTCTATCCTGTTAACAGATTTTTAAGTCTACGATGCATTATTGTTATCTATAGCACAATGTACTATAGCACAGCAAAGCTCTAGATCCTATTTATCTTTCATAACTGAAATTTTATACTCATTGATAGGAAACTCCCCATTTCTCTCTTTCCAGTCCCTGACAACCACCATTCTTTTCTTTGCTTTTATAAGCTTGACTATTTTAGATTCCCCATGGAGGGCGGAATCACGTAGTATTTGTCCTTCTGTGATTAGCTTATTTCATTTAGCAAAATGTCCTCAAGGTTCACCCATGTTGTCCCATATTTTAGCAATTCATTCTTGTTTAATGCTGAATTATATTCCAGTGTATGATATACTACATTTTAAAATCCATTCTTCTGTTGATGGATGTTCATGTTGTTTCACATCCACGCTATTGTGAATAGCGATGCAATGAACATGGCAGCACTAATATCTCTTTGATATCCTGATTTCAATTATTTTGGATAAATACCCAGAAATTGGATTGTTGGATCCTATTGTAGTCCTGTTTTTAATTTTTAGAGAAATTTCCATATTCTCTTCCTTAATGGCTTTACCATTTTGCATTTCTACCAACAATGTGAAATGATTCCAATTTCTCCACATCGTCACCGATACTTGTCTTTTGCTTTTCAATAATAGCAATCTCAACAGGTGAAAGGTGGTATTATTTCATTGCACTTTTGATTTGCATTTCCCTGATGATTAGCTATGTTGAGGATCTTTTCATGTACTTCTTGGCCATTCCTATGTCTTCTTTGGAGAAATGCTTATTCAATTTTTTAGCTCATATTTTAATTGGGTTAATAGTTTTTTGCTATTGAATTGTAGGAGTTCCTTATACATTTTGGATATTAACCCTTCATATGATATATGTTTTGCAAATATTGTCTTTCATTTTATAGGCTGACTTTCACTTTACTGATTTTTTTTTTTTTTTTTTTTGAGACGGAATCTCACTCTGCTGCCCAGGCTGGAGTGCAGTGGCATGATCTTGGCTCACTGCAAACTTTGCCACCCGGGTTCAAGTGATTCTCCTGCCTCAGCCTCCCAGTAACTGGAATTACAGGCACATGCTACCACACCCAGCTAATTTTTGTACTTTTAGTAGGGATGGAGTTTTGCCATGTTGGCCAGGCTGGTCTTGATCTCCTGACCTCAGGCGATCCACCCATCTCGGCCTTCCAAAGGGCTGGGATTACAGGCGTGAGCTACCGCACTCAGCTTCTACTGATTGTTTCTTTTGCTGTGCAGAAGGTTTTTCGCTTGATACAGTCCAAATTTGTCTATTTTTGCTTCTGTTTTCTGTGTTTTCGATTTCATATCCATGAAATCATTGCCAAAATCAATTTCATGTAACTTTTTGCCTTTGTTTTCTTCTAGAAGTTTTACAGTTTAAAGTCTTACTTTTAAGTCATATTGAGTTGCTTTTGTGTATGGTGTAAGATAAAGGTCCAATTTCTTTCTTTTGCATGTGGATATCCAGTTAAGGATGAAAACAGTGGAAAAAATTCAAATGAATGAATGAACTTAACACATTTGAAACAAGATTTGTTATATCTTCTAATAGATTGCAGGTAAAATTATATTCAAACAAAGTAAGTAAAAATATTTGCCTGACTGACAAATAAAACACCGTGGTCGTACATTAGGATAACCCATGCCTCATTGATCATTGTATCCCCGATAACTAGAGTACAAAACGCAAGGCTATGTCTGTACATAGGTATGTGTAAACTAAGAAGAAACTTTCAAGCATTGTTCAAGAGCCTGAATGAACAAGTTACACACAAAGAAGTAAAAGCGACACCCATAATAATTCTTAAAAATGCAAATGAAAACAACATATATAATGTTTACATTTTCAGTACAACAATTGTTCAGATCACGCTCAAGATAATATTGTAACAAAGTTTTATATGTAAGAGATGATATGTAGTAGAGGTTATCATGAAAGTAGTCTCATGGAAAGTTCAATAAAATGTCTTACAAAATTTGAAAATAATTTGCTGTTTGATCATTCTTTGTAATGGCAAAAATAGAAGACAAACTACATACATAATAATACAAAAATGATTATATACATGATAGTAATTTAATTCAATGGAATAGTATGCAATCACTAAAATATTTTAAAGACTTTATGTGACATGAAATTTTTAAAAATTTATTTTATTTTATGCCAATGGTTTTCAACTTTTATTGGAACAGAACATTTTCCACTGAAAGTTTGTATAGAAACATAATATTTAAAGTGGCATCAGCCAGGCATGGTGGCTCACGCCTGTAATTCCAGAACTTTGGGAGGCCAAAGCAGGCAGATCACTTGAGGTCAGGAGTTCAAGACTAGCCTGGAAAACATGGTGAAACCCCGTCTCTACTACAAATACAAAAATTAGCTAGGCGTGGTGGTGGGGGCCTGTAACCCCAGCTACTTGGGAGGCTAAGGCAGGAGAATCGCTTGAACCAGGAGGTGGAGGTTGCAGTGAGCTGAGATTGTGCCACTGCACTCCAGCCTGGGCAACAGAGTTAGACTCCATCTCAAAAAAAAAAAAAAAGGTACACATTTACTTAATATGTTAATATTAACAACTTTTTATTATAAAACCACACAATAACAGTAATGAGACTTTTTGATGAACTCTGGAGTGATAAATGACATTTTCAAAAATATTAGTTTCCACATCAAAATAATTTTTGTTTTATATTATATTATTTTATAAAATTTATATGTACCCAGAATTTTGAGTGAAAAAGCCTTTTTAGTAAAACAGGTTACCTTGTAAACACCACATACAATTGAACTATGCTCATTCAAAACCTTGAATTGCGAGTAGTAGGAAATTGTGATTGCAAGTGGAAAGGCTATGATTTACTTATAAATGTTAAGGTTGGAAAAAGAATAATCAAAATTTACATCTTATTTATTTTATTATTTTGTTTCTTTTTTGTGACAGGGTCTCACTTTGTTGCCCAGGCTGGAGTGCAGTGGAACGAATGGCTCAAGTGATCCTTCCACCTCAGCCTCCCAAGTAGCTGGGAGTAGAGGTGCATGCCACCATGCCCAGCTAATTTTTAAAGATTTTTTGTTGAGATGAGGTCTTATTCTGTTGGCCAGGCTGGTTTCCAACTCTTGGCATCAAGCAGTCTTCCTGTCTTGGCCTCTCCAAATGCTGGGATTATAGGCATAAGCCACTATGCCCAGCCGAAATTTACATCTTATACTAGAACTCCCTAAAATATGGTATGATCATATCAAATATTATGCATTTCTCACTGTAAAACTGATTATTATATCCTAAACAGATCAATTTCCATGTTCATAATTTAACCTGAGATGTGGGGGCATTGTACGGATGCTATAATATTGACCTTGTTTTTAAACTTCATGTAGGAGGACTTGTGCAGGCTGAGTTTGTTTAAAAGACTTATACATATTTTCAAACTTTCCAATTAATTACACTTTTAAGGGAATAGCAAATGTATCTTGAAAGCAGAAAAAATATTCCCAGTTTTCCCCAAAACTTGCCTGACTCATTTGAATATGGTGGTGTTTTTAACAATAGTTTTAAAAATAGACGGCTGGGCATGGTGTCTCACACCTGTAATCTCAGCACTTTGGGAGGCCAAGGCGAGTGGATCACAAGGTCAGGAGTTTGACACCAGCCTTGACAATATGGTGAAATCCCATTTCTACTAAAAATACAAAAATTAGCTGGGTGCGGTGGCCGGCGCCAATAATAACAGCTACTCAGGAGGCTGAGGCAGGAGAATCGCTTGAAACCGGAAGGTGGAGGTTGCAACGAGCCAAGATTGCGCCACTGCACTCCAGCCTGGGCGACAGAGCAAGACTCTGTCTCAAAAAAAAAAAAAAAAGAGACAATATTTCAAAATAAAAGTTTAATTAACTATCCTGAAGCACTTCCACAGAATACTGCTATACATAATAATAATTCTGCAGAATAAATATAAAATTGATATCATTTTAAGCATACATATACATTTATATAGAGGTACAATATAGATAAACATATGTATGGAGGAAAAGAACAAAAGACCATTATATTGGCAATTACTATGTACAAGTTTTAATATGAAAACTAGTGTTTCCCTGTTTAGGTTTTTTTCATCTTTCAAGTTATCTATTATGAACATTTCTTTGTTACTAAAATTTAGCATGATGGTTTGAAAGGTTTTCTCCTCAAAACTATTTCACTTTATCTCATAGATGGGTTATATAATTTTTAAGAAAAAATTTTAAGTCAGTGATTTTCATAAATATTACTTTAGTAGAATAATTTTGTAAAAATTGCCATGAGGCTTGGATTTCATCTAATTATCATGATTTCATTTATTTATTAGTTTACTCAACAAATATCTTCTTAGAACCCAGTACTTGCCAGGAACTAAGGTATTACTGAGTAAATCTTTTTATACAGACCTTCAAACTGGCAAATAACGTTACAGCCCATTAATAATGGTACTTCTTTTCTGTATTACTGTAGTCAGGAGATGCTCAAAAGCATTTTGCAGAGGAACTCATTCACTAAATCCCCTTAAAAAAAGTATGATGTGTGTGAATGCATCCGTGTGTGTGTGTAAGTATGAAGCAAATTATATTTATTAAAATGCTCCTATTTACTTGACAGAAGTTTTGAAAAGATATTTTAAATACTGGACTCTACCTTCGAAGTTGCTAATACATTTATTATTGTTGTTCCTTTTAATGAACCAGATGCTAAAGATTGCTGAACAATTATTTTATTTTATCTTTTTCTTTTCTTTTCTTTTCTTTTTTTTTTTTTTTTTTTTTTTTGAGATGGAGTCTCGCTCTGTTATCCAGGCTGGAGTGCAGTGGTGCTATCTTGGCTCACAGCAAGCTCCGCCTCCCGGGTGCATGCCATTCTCCTGCCTCAGCCTCCCGAGTAGCTGGGACTACAGGCGCCCACCACCACGCCTGGCTAATTTTTTTTTGTATTTTTTAGTAGAGACGGGGTTTCACCGTGTTAGCTAGGATGGTCTCGATCTCCTGACTTCGTGATCTGCCCCTGTCAGCCTCCCAAATTGCTGGGATTACAGGCATGAGCCACCGTGCCTGGCCATTACCTTTTTAATAAAATAATATTTCCCATTTTCACATAGATAAAAATATAATTTTTGAAATGAAAAGGCAAATTAAGTAAAATTTGCAGTGGAAGCCACACATAAAATACCCACTTTCTGTTAGGGTCAAAATGTGCTGGAATGCAAAAGTAGAATTGGTAATAATAATATTAATATAATAATAATAATTAAAGGGAATTAAAAGTTTAAGAGAAAATGTTTATTGAACATCTTTGCTTGATATTCACGAAAATAAATATATATAGACCAAACCAAAAAATATTTTGCATGTATTTATTTCTAAGACACTCAGAAACTTTCTCAGTTACAACTATGGTCTATAGCCATTCATTCCAACAGCAGACTGTAATAAGTCTCTAGATGCCCTATCATAGCTGAAGATAAGAATGAGCTCTAGAACTAATTCTGGGAAACATATGCCAGAAGCTATTCGTGTGCTGAATCTATGGCATAATTTGTCATTCACTGAAGCTCTAAGGCATCATTTTGTCTCCAAGAGCCCAATGAATGTATTCCGACTTCTTTCTACATGTGTTAATTCCACCTTTGGGCCTTTCAAGGACATAAAATTTGGATTACATTTCAGCTGAATACATGTACAATATATGTATATACATACATAATACATTTTTATTGTATTCATAGTTTTTTTCCAGCAGATATCGAATCTTCAACTGGTAACTATCTTTTACTGCTAAAATAATGTAGGTTCTTCATAAGAAGGAAATAATGTAACGTTGATTCCATTTATCTCTTTAGCTGTTTACAAGGCATTGCCAATACTATATTGGTAATTTTCTTAAACACTTCTATATATTTTGATAAATTTATTTACAAGATATTGGTGTCTTTGGATGTGTTTTATTTTTAGAGTCATAAAGTGTGAATTAAAGACAAATCTGAGCATGCAACTCCTATATGAATACTCTTCAATGGCTCCTTATCATCTATAGAATAAATTCCAAATTCCACCATTTAGCTCATTAGAAGGTCCGTAACGTGCGTCTCTCTACCTTTCTAGTTCATCCTCCACCTCTCTTCCATGTTCAACTATTCGCCCTTGACTTTGTACCCAACTGTCACGCTTTTCTCCATTATTCACTCTGTCTAGAATTCATTTTCCCTTTTCCAATCACCACACTCATACTCTTCCTATAGTGTATTTTTCAAGTATAATATCCTCTGGCCTTTCATAAACTCATAGTAAAGTTTCATTATTCCTCTTATATTAATATAATTATGACATTATTTTACTTGTGTTTTGCATATTTATTTACTACAAAGGAGTGAGTGGGAGTTCCTCAAGGTTAGGGACAATACTTTACTACTACCTAGTACAATGCCTAAAGAATAATGGCTATTAAGTATTTAGTGTATATTTATAAAAACATACAAATGAGTGTATAAATGAAAGAACAAAAAGGTGGCAATGCACTAATAAAATAAAACAAAACAAATTTGCCTAATGAAAGAACATTTCATTTGCAATTGCATAATGCAGAAGAGACAAGAGAATGAAAGTTGATCTGTGGATATTTGCAAGAGATATATCCCAAGAACTTTTCAATTTGGTGATACTATTATTTACCTATTAAAAAAAGTCTTTTTGTGTTTCTGTTCTTTATCTTGGCCAGAGCTACTCATTGAAACAGTATCTCAAATAACAGTTCTTATTTCTGTACAGAATATATGGTAAACTTCTTCACATCATGGATCTGAGCCAATGCTGAGTTCAAAATTGCACTCTTAGGTATACAACATTTTCTGGCCATAACCAAATAATGTAGACTTTTAGATTTCACTTGCAGTTTTGATAATAACCTTTCTTTTTTTGGGCTATTTCTCAGGTTGAAGAGACAGGTATTTGCACTTGGTTTAGTTTTCAAATCCCTGCATAAATAAGACATAAGAACGTAATTTAGGATAAACTTGGGGAAAGGGCCTTGTTTAGAAAGTAAAGAGCAAAAGAAACTATCATTAGAGTGAACAGGCAACCTACATAATGGGAGAAAAATTCTGCAATCTATCCATCTGACAAAGGGCTAATAGCCAGAATCTACAAGGAACTTAAACAAATTTACAAGAAAAAAACAACCCCATCAAAAAGTGGGCAAAGGATATGAACAGATACTTCTAAAAAGAAGACACTTATGCGGCCAACAAACATGAAAAAAAGCTCATCATCACTGGTCATTAGAGAAATGTAAATCAAAACCATAATGAGATACCATCTTATGCCAGTTAGAATGGTGATCATTATAAAGGCAGGACACAATAGATGCTGGAGAGGATGTGGAGAAATAGGAACGCTCTTACACTGTTGGTGGGAGTGTAAATTAGTACAACCATTTTGGAACACAGTATGGCAATTCCTCAAGGATCTAGAACTAGAAATGCCATTTGACCCAGCAATCCCATTACTGGGCATATACCCAAAGGATTATAAGTCATGCTGCTATAAAGACGCATGCACATGTATGTTTATTACAGCACTGTTCACAACAGCAAAGACTTGGAACCAACCCAAATCCCCATCAATGATAGATTGGATAAAGAAAATGTGGCACATATATACCATGGAATACTATGCAGCCATAAAAAAGGATGAGTTCATGTTCTTTACAGGGACATGGATGAAGCTGGAAACCATCATTCTCAGCAAACTAACACAAGAAGAGAAAACCAAACACCGCATGTTCTCACTCATAAGTGTGAGGTGATCAATGAGAACACATGGACACAGTGAGGGGAACATCACACACCAGGGTCTGTTGGGGGTGGGGACAGGGGAGGGACAGCATTAGGAGAAATACCTAATGTAGATGACGGGTTGATGGGTACAACAAACGACCATGGCACGTGTATACCTATGTAACAAACCTGCACATTCTGCACATATACCCCAGAACTTAAAGTATAATAATTTAAAAAAAACAAAAAAACAAAGTAAACACTCAAAGGCCTACAGGTATCAGGATGATGAGAATTATAGAGTATGAATAACAGTAGGTAGCTTGAGGGTTTGTTTGAAGCTAACCCTGCCTCAGAGCGGACATTGGAGCCTAACAGATGCCTTGTAGAAAGCCCACCAGTGCAGTGTGTTCACAGAAGCACTACCTTGTCTCCTTTTTCTTCTTCTTCTTTCACCTGCTCAGGACAAAAGTCTAGATTTTTGTGGGGAAAAAAAAAACCCCTTGTAATCCATTAAAGTTAGAAATGTTTAACATGAGGACAGTTGAAATTAAGCAGTTTTGTGGGTTGAGTTCTACAGTTTTGTACTATTGTTACCAGGAAGGGGTGTGGATCCAGGCCCCAAGTGAGGGTTCATGTATCTTGTACAAGAAAGAATTCAGGGTAAGTCCATATAGTGAAAGCAAGTTTATTAGGAAGATGAAGGAATAAAAGAATGGCTACACCATAGACAGAGCAGCCTGAGGGCTGCTGGTTGCTCATTTTTGTTTTTTTCTTGATGATATGCTAAACAAGGGGTGGATTATTCATGCCTCCCCTTTTTAGACCATATAGGGTAATTTCCTGACATTGCCATGGCATTTGTAAATTGTCATGGCGCTGTTGGGAGTGTAGCAGTGAGGACGACCAGAGGTCATGCTGGTGGCCATCTTGGCTTTGGTGGGTTTTAGCAGGCTTCTTTTCTGCAACCTGTTTTATCAGCAAGGTCTTTATGGCCTGTATCTTGGGCCGATTTCCTGTCTCATCCTGTGACTTGGAATGACTAACCATCTGGGCATGCAGCCCGGTAGGTCTCAGCCTTATTTTACCAAGCCCCTATTCAAGATGGAGTTGCTCTGGTTCACATGCCTCTGACACTATCTGTTCTAGGCTCATTCACTAGCAAAGGAGTTAAGTCCTCACTTAACATCGCTAACAGGTTCTCGAAAACTGTAACTTTAAGCAAAAAGACATGTAACAAAACCAGTTATTATTTCTCATTAATTTTATAACAAATCGATGTTATTGGAGGTCCTGCTGTATGTTGTTTTGCTTAAAGTCACAGTTTCAAAGAACTTTTTGATGACATTAAGTGAGGACTTGCTGTACTTGGGCTTCACACTGGTTCATTCTCACATTGTATAGGCTTCAAATTTCTTTCTCTGAGGAAAAGAAAACTTCACATAACAAAATTTTGCTCTATCAGGTGGATGAATTTGACTGTATCACCCTGTAAATGCCAAGGTTTGTTGACTCTTTTCTCAGACATCTCATATATCTGTTTTGGTGGCTTTCCCTGGTGGGTTATGTTTTATCGCTTCCCTTCTACTCTGTTTACATATCTCAATTTTACCAATCTTTTAATAGCTATCTCAAATTCTTTCTTTTACTTTCTTTGACAGAATAAGAGTAAAAACTTTTTTTGTCTTTCATGACTACTCAATCTGCACCTCTGTTATGTTTTTCTATCTCCTCAAATGATATTCAAGTTATATCATATATATGTCATATATATACATATATACATATATGTATATATGTGTATATATATGTGTATATGTGTATATATGTATATATGTGTATATGTGTATATATATACGTGTATATGTGTATATATATACACACACACATATATATATATATCACTAAATCATAAGCTGATTTCTTTGTTTCCTGTGAAGGACTAGACACAGTGTTTTCCAAGTATTTAGTCTTTGTGCTTGGGTTGCTATCATAGGTTTCATATTTGTTGAAGAGCTAATATTGAATGTTAATATGAAATGCAGAATTAATGTTCCCTGGTATGAAAATAACCTTTGAATATAGCACCTAGAGGTAAAAACAATTGAGTTGTATTTAGTTTGCCCTATCATCCAGTTGGCTGTTGTCAGGTGAATAACTTTAACATATAAAGAAAGTTCAGAGAAGCCTGCAGATGTGAGTTAGCTGTGTGTGTGTGTGTGTATATATATGCAACTGGACCACAGAGTAGAAGCCTATAAAAAGTAATAATAGACAGCATGTTCAGATAATCAAAATTATCTCCCCACTTTTCTAATTAAAATGTGAAATATTTCTGAACTAGATATAGACTCCAATAGAGAATGAGAAAATCCACAGATTTGTAGCCAAAACATGTGAGCTAAAGCCTGTCAAGTTGTGTAATCGAGGAACATTTACTTTCTCTCTTCATACTTATTTTTTTGCCATATAAAAACTTAATATACTTAAGGGGCAAAGTGTTATTGAAAAATTGACAGAAGAATACTGTAAAAGCAAACCAACATAGTTTTTGTGAGAATTAAATAAAATAATATGTAAATATGGTCAGTTAGATCTGAAAAATAAATACACGACTTGATTTTTATACACTGTGTTCACCTTTCTAGTAGCAAATGAATTCTGGCATATTACTACTAATATGCAATTTTTAGAGATATTTTTTAAAATAATTTTAAAATATAGGTTTTTGTTAAAAAGAGCTTTCATGTTTTAAATGTTTCTGCAGAATCCAGTGTTTTAAAATTCTTTAAATACATTTTCACCACTCTAATTGGTTTCTTGACACTACTATTATACTTTTGTCTATAGAAAAATACCCAGAGTCATATTATCAACATCTCTTAGCAATATATGGATCATGTAATATTCACTAAAGAGAAATTGAAAGCTTTAATAATTCAAAGCAATTAATTTACCATGAAGTTATTATTCTCCTTTGGCTACTACAGTAAATGAGAAAATTTGCTTCTGAAGAAATCAGTGAATTTTTATCTTAAAAGTAGTAAGTAAGTCTTATGGAGACAATGTTTGCTACTGATTAAAAAAAACAAAAATTAAAATTAAACAAAACCAAGAAATGCCTTAATGCTGTTCTTCTTTTTGTTTAAGGGAATTTATAAAAGAAAAGAAAATACTTTGAAGTGGTAGAAAAGATGAAGCTGGAAATTCTGACATCCCCACATAGGAGAATTTGAGGGTGATCTCGCTAACATATTCCAAGTCTCAATCACACCTTGCTTATTCTGAACACCTGAAGTCTAAAGTGAACATTTCCTTGAGAATATGGTAGACAACTTTATTATTTATGTGATTATAAAATGTTTAATTTAGATTGCCTTCCAGGGCCCTGAGCAGACATCTCTCACTCTGATGTTCAAAACTAAGACATTTAGACTGAAAAAACTGTGAATTACTAAATTGGATTTTATGAGGGCGACCGGGCAACTCCTTGGACTTGTGAAGAATATCATGTGATCTTTGTTTTCTGGGCAGTTTTAAGACAAGGCTTTGATTTTACAAAAGCCTACAGTTTCAGCACTTACTGACCTTCGAAATAATTGCATTGAATGGAAAATGAAGATTTTCAATGGCTGAAACAGTGACATTTTTTCCCCGGTCATAGTTCTGGCCGTGGAACAATACACCAAATTGAGGCTCCTGCATCTCTCCTTCCACTAGGCTTCATTAGTCATAATTTCCCTTCATGGTCTTAACACAAATATAAGAAATTACCTGGTGTGCCCATGTAACAATTCAGACCAAGTCAGGAGCCCCTGAGCCACTAGCTGCTAGGATCTAAAATTCATCTTGCTTCCATCTACACATTTCTGATGACAGAAACACTTTGAGACCAGTTAAACTTCTCCTTCAACACAGTGTCTCTGTGTTGTCTTATGTTGTACAGCAACAACAATACCAACAATGATCAAAAATAAGACTTTTTACCTAGCCCATGTGAAATTTCAGGCACTCATCTGGCACTTTATATGCAAAGTCTATCATTCGTATTGTTGATGTCAGGGTCTAAGTTATTTTCACTTAATATGAGGGTAATAAATTGATTGATTAGAGGTTAAGTAAGGTTAGGTAGCTTGCTAAAGTTATAGTATTAGGAATGAGGCTTATCTCTCAGTTTCTCTACTTAATTTCAATTTACTTTCTCAATCTCAGCACTCTTAGGCAGACACTGATCCAGCTCCTTTATTCTACTATTTGTATAAACTTAAGGGGTACAAGTAGTTTTGGTACATGGATATATTGAAATTTGCTACATAGATATATTGCATAGTAGTGGAGTCTGAGTTTTAGTGTGACCATCACCTGGATAAGGTACATTTTACCCATGAAGACCCAGCTCTGATAAACTGAGCTCTCCACAATAAATAAGAATAGAAAGACCCGATGATGCCATGATATCCTCACCTCATTTTTTCCTGAAAACATCCATATGATTTCTACTTTTGTGCCTAGTATTTTTATTGATCAGGCAGCCTCCAATGATAGAATTATTCTCCATTAATAAGAGCACAGTTCAAATTCATCCTATTCAAAAGGCATTCCTGTATTTCACTGGTTACAACTCTGTCCTGAGAACCTTGAAATCCTGGCTCTGCTGACTTTATTTTTGAGGATTCTTGACTTTTTATTTTGTGTTCCAGCAACACCAAGCTACTTTTTATTTCCTGGGCATAACATGTATTTCCTTACATTAGTGCTTCTGTTTATGCTCTGCCTGAAATATTTTCCTCAAATTTTTTGATGAGTACCTATTAGCATGCTTTGAGAGTCATACTAGGTATTACCTCTTCTAGGGAACCTTCTCTGATTCTCAAGTTTTATGTTTCTCAGTAATATTCAATGCCTGCCCATTATACTATATTTATTCATAGATGTGTGTTTCATCCTTCCAAACAGTATGCTTTTGCATCCACAGCACCATGTCTAAAACTTAGCATATTTGCAAATAAATGAATGAAGAATCCGTCTTAGAACTTATCAAAATATGTGTTATACATTAGTCATTGGTGTTTGGTTAAGTTTTCTCGACTTGTTTTTAATTTATTAATTGTTTGAATCACTAATATACATGCCCTAGCACAGTGATGAAAAGCATAATTCTAAAAATTGTCTGGATCAAATCCTGGTTCACCCAAATGTAGCGGTATGATGTGATCTCTGGTGGTATAGCCAGAGTCTCAATGAAGCCACACTTTCATAGACTAATGAAGGAGTGCTATTTGGAGTAGCAATAGGATGTATGGGGTACACTGTACTCATCTCCTCTGATACTGACGTACATTAGAAAATAAAAAAAGTTCCTTTTGAAAGTGTTTTAGGATAAGTCAAATTCACAGGTAAAAAATAATGTTTATGTTGGGTTATGAAGTATGGAATTATTCATTGCAAAGTTGGAGGATGTAGAGAATCATGGTAAACATAGAACTGAATATCCACACAGCACTATAGAGAAATAGAAGTGTCAATTAACTATGGGAAGAGAGGGAAGTTAGTAAAAAATATAAAAACTAGAGATAAATATAAGGGCAAGCTTACAGTAGACGACAGATGACCACAGGCACTCATCTTTTAAGTAGTGACCAGGGATAATAGGATATAAGCTATGATAAGTACAAATGACCACAATATTTTTCTTAAGTATCAGTACTTAGGAGGCCCCTAATACTCTGGCACACAGAAGTCACTTATCTGTTTACTTTGAATCAAAGACTCCTGGATAGAAGAAGATTTGGAGGTTACTAAAGTATGCACAACAATTCCAACAACAGACATGAAAAAAATTACCCCAGGGGACCTTGGTGAGAACAGCAAACTCAAAACCCACTAGGAAAAGGCAAGTAACATAAAATGGGTGTTTCTATAGGAGTAAGATACTAGTGTGCATATTGGGGTGAAATGGAGTGGAGCCAACTTGACTTACAGTTATTCAAACATTTGTTTTTATTTGCAAACATTAATATCAAAGTATGAAAAATGATAGACATAATGAAGAAAAATAACTCACTTCAATCATTCTGCACATATTTACTCTAAAGTTCTCATTTGAGGACAGTGGTTTGAACCTGGAGCATCAGCGCCAGCTAGGGCTTGTTAAAAATACTAATTATCGGCTGGGCGCGGTGACTCACGCCTGTAATCCCAGCACTTTGGGTGGGCGAGGTGGATAGATCATCTGAGATCAGGAGTTCCACACCAGCCTAATCAACATGGAGAAACTCCGTCTCTACTAAAAGTACAAAGCCAGGCGTGGTGGTGCACGCCTGTAATCCCAGCTACTTGGGAAGCTGAGGCAGGAGAATCGCTTGAAGCCAGGAGGCCAAGGTTGCAATGAGCCAAGATCGTGCCACTGCACTCCAGCCTAGGCAACAAGAGCAGGACTCCATCTCAAAAAAAAATAAATAAATACTGATTATTGAGCCTAATCTCAGGCCTAGTGATTCAGAAATCAGGCTGTGGCCGAGCCATTGACAATCAAATGTATGATTCAAATATTGCCCTATACCTTGTCTAATAAGAAACCCTGTATATGGAGTCTACTCTTGTATATTAGATTCATGCTCCATTCCATTGGGAAAATATTTGAAAAGCGCCTTCTAGGAAAACCACTCCCTTTTCATCCCCACCCTGCTGCAGGAAAACATCTACTCCATCTCTGACATGTGATGATTGTACTTTTAAAGACATTTAAGTGATGCAGAGTTGACTCTTACATATGGATCATCCCATATTTAAATATTCTTAATTTTAGAAAGCTTCTCCATTTTTGAACTGATATTGATTCTAAGAAACTTCCATATTTACACACTTCTAAATGTAACTTCATGTTTTATCTTCCCAATTTAGCCCATTTTAACACTTTAAAATGATCATGTAAAAGCTGTTTCTATGTATATATGCATTTATAAATATAGATTTACCCTAAAAAATGTTGCTCTTTCCTGATTATCTGCATTTAAAAATCTGTGCACCATGTCTCCTATTTATAGTCAGTTTACATGAAAACAACAGCTGCCCTAGAAAAATAATTGTTGGGAACGAACCAGGACATAACTAAGCAACTATGGGCATTTCCTGATGAAATAAATATTTTTGACTGAAAGCAACTCCGCATGTTGAAATGAGGATAGAAAAACATCTATGGGCATGTCGCTCCTCTTTCAAGTGCAACCAGATTTCGGAATTAATTAGATAGCTGTATCTCCATCTGTACTTTTATTACTTCTTAACCACCAGGCTTCTATGATTCTTGCAGTGCACATACAGAGCATTGATATATTAATGTGGAAAAAAGATAGGCTGAACCTAAAATGTGTATATTGTCGAGCTTGATAAATCAAAAGGAGCATTAAGCAGTCATTTATTCTTTAAATCCCATTCAACTCTGTGTTTGCTTTGTGTGTTTCATTGACTTTCAGTCTGTCTTGGTAGGCCTGTTATTTGAAGTCTAGTGGACCAGAAAGAGATACATCCTGTTAATATGTTAAATACAGGATTAAGCCTAATACTAAGACTGCATAGTATCATTTCAATATGTTTGTGTTAAATTGGTCAACAGTAGGGTGGGTGTCTATGCTTGAAACAAACATTTCTGCTTCTTGAATCTTGCTTTGATTTTTTTAATTTGGTCTCTAAATGTTTTTAAATTATGTTATCTTTCAAAATGTACATGGTACAAAAATAAATTTCAAAGGATGTATGTGGAAATAAAACTCTCCCCTCCAGCGTGAATCCGTGGGTTCTCTGCACCAATTTTCTACTAAGAGATTTTAGTGCCCTTCAAAGTATTTTCTATTCCTGTTCTTTTCCCATGTGTAGTACACAATAGGTAATTAATATTTGAATAAATACACAAATGTGTATGTATGTGTGCATATTACATACGTGTATGATGTTTAAAAAATAGAATCTGTTCTGGCCTTATTTTTGTTTTTGTTGTGTGGGTGTGGGCATGGGTATGTATTTATGTTCACTTTAAAGATACTTCCAGAATATATAGGTCTACTTTTAATGTATAAGAGCCTCCAAGCATTCCATAACTATGATATTGTTTAATCAGTCCCAATTATTGGGAATTTTGATAGTTTCTGATTTTCAATTGTTACAAATAATGCTGCCACAAGCATCTTGTATATGCATTTTTGGGGACATTATTGTGTCTACATCTGTAAGACAGCATCCCCAAAGTGATGTTGTTGGATTAATGGGTGTATGTATTTTAAAATTTTGATAGGAACTGACAACTTGTCCTCCAAATAAGTGAGTATTAAAACATGACTAGATTGCAGGTGGTCTGTTCAAATCAAAAATTTCCATCAACTCCATCAACTCTAGATACAGAATTATCAGTTTATTAAAAAATAAAGTTTCCTATTCAAACAGGCAGTAGGCAAGTGCTTCTTCTCCAGTGTCCTTTATGTCCTCAAAAATATAATCTAAGAAAAAATATTGCATCTGTCAGGCAGGCATGGCTTCAACACATAAGCCCTAGGCCCCCTTACAATCACATTGTCACACATTATTCCCCCTGCTCCAAAGGTGTTGAACCAAGCTACAATCCTGACAATGATTCTGAGCACTCATTTACACACAACCTTGTCACAATTGCCTTTTCTCAGATGTGGTCACGCCTCCCAACGTGTCAAGAAAAGTAAAGGTGTCTCTTTATTATTTTCCTAGCTTTTGATTATAAAAGTGGCTGCGGATCCTCTCATTAAAACTCTGGATTACATTATACATTATCCATTATTCTTCAACAAGAACAATGCTGATAAATAAATCTAATTTTAAAAGAATCATGCCTATTTTATAATTTTTCATCCAATATTACCACGTGCATTTGAAGTACCCTAATGTGTCTGGAATCAGTGGGTTCTTGGTCCCACCAGTTCAAAAATGAAGCTGCAAACCCTTGCGGTGTTACAGTTCTTATGGTATGTCCGGAGTTTTTTCCTTCAGATGTTCAGATGTGTCCAGTTTCTTCCTTCTGGTGGGTTGCTGACTTCAGAAGTAAAGCGCACACTTTCGTGGTGAGTGCTACAGTTCTTAAAAGCAGCGCGTCTGCAGTTGTTTGTCCATCCCGGTGGATTTGTGGTCTTGCTGGCTTCAGGAAAGAAGCTGCAGACCTTCACAGTGAGAGTTACAGCTCATAAAAGCAGTGTGGACCCAAACACTGAACATCAGCAAATTGTAGCGCAAACAGTGAAAGCACAAAGCTTCCACAGTGCACATGTGGACCCCAGTGTGCTACCGGGTTGTCACTGATAGCGCCGCAGCCTGCTTTTATTACCTTATCTGGCCCCACCCACATCCTACTGATTGGTCCATTTTACAGAGAGCTGATTGGCCCATTTTACAGAGAGCTGATTGGTCCGTTTTGACAGGGTGCTGATTGGTGCATTTACAAACCTTGAGCTAGACACCGAGTGCTGATTGGTGCATTTACAATCCTGTAACTAGACATAAAAGTTCTCCAAGTCCCCACCAGATTTGCTAGATACAGAGTGCTGATTGGTGCATCCACAAACCCTGAGCTAGACACAGAGAGCTGATTGGCGCATATGCAATCCTCCAGCTAGACATAAAAGTTCTCCAAGTCCCCACCTGACTCAGGAGCCCAGCTGGCTTCCCTGGCACGGGATCTCGGGTCTCCTGGCGGAGCTGCCCACCACTCCTGCTCTACGCACCTGCACTTCTCAGCCCTTGAGCGGTCAATGGGACTGGGCACAGCAGAACAGGCGGGTGGTGCCCGTCAGAGAGGCTCAGGCGGCACAGGAGCCCACGGTGGGTGGGGTGGGCTGGGGTGTGGCTCAGGCATGGCAGACCGGACTAAGACAATTGATTTGTAGGCAAGGTTTATTTTAAAAGTCTTTAAACAGGTTCCTAAAAGTTGATGGAGAGGAGTCCCTACAGACAAGTGAAAAGGCAGAGAAGTCACTAAAGTGACAAGATGATAAGATGAAAAGAGCCAAATACAGGGAATGTTGAAGGGACATACACAATTTAGTGAATAAGATATGGCCCATACCTTGAAGAAGTAGAAGAAAATGTCAGAAAATAAGACTTAATGAACTATTACACATTATTAGACACTGTGCTAGGTGATTTCCTTGCCTAGATACTTTAAGGTAAAAGTTAGTGTTACAGTTTTAGAGAACAGGAACTGGAGCTGAGAAGTATTACCCACCTAGTCAATGATGGAGGGAGAATTTAAATACAGAGTCTTTTTCAAACCCGAGATTCTTTTCACGGTACCATACTAGTTCTTTCCAAACATGTAGATCTAATGAAAGTCAGAGCAATGTTCTAAAATCATAGTAACTATAGAGATTGATAAGAGCTCTAGGAGGGAAATGAGAGAAAAAGAGAGAGAGGTTAGTAGCTGTTTTGCATTTTGCATGAAGGAAATTGAAAATAGGCTCCTTTTACACAACGAGTAAAGAAAATTCACTTTGGAATGGACACCTTGGCATCAACTATGTTCCAAACTTTCCCTCTTTAACAAATGTCAACATATATATCCCCATCCATTCCCAACAACTTGAATGTATTTGGTCTTCGTGTACCTGTAGGTCTTGCCATAGTTTATATTCTCTCTGAATCTGAGTTCATTGTAAGTGATTTAATGTGACAAGAGACAGAAAAAATTGCATTGGCAGACTGTTATGCACCAGATCCAACCCCAATCAATTAACCACAGCACTACACAACATAAATTCTGGATTATCCTCCATTAGAAAGGTTGCCACTCCTGTTTCTTCTCAATTAACAACTTCACTTCTTTCCATTTACTGTTCTGAGCCATGGCCAGTAAATCTGTGATAATTTACAATAATTGTGTTTTATATTTATATAGCAGTTGCCACTTTTTCAAAGCCCGTTCATATCTACTAACTCAATTCAGCTCCACATTCAGTAAGTCATTAATCAAAGCAGGCAACATTATCTCCATTTTTCGGGTCAGTAAAATGAGACTTGCAGAGAAAGACAGCTTCCCCAGTGTAATGTGCTTAGGAAATTTCAGATATCAGACATGGCATGTAGTCCTTAGAGATCAGTAAACTCATGGATATTTTCCTAAAACCTTCTAAATATAACACATGAGGAATCAAAGACTTAAAATTTCAGTGATAGGTCTAAAGCTACACACCGAGAAACTTGCAGAACTGAGAAGTAAATACAGGTCTTGTCTCCTAGCCCAATACAATGCGTAAACACCCTTAACTCCTAACACTTAGAAACAATATAAATCAAAGATTATTGTGAAAATTATGTTTTAACATTGTCTATTATGGTTTATTATCACTTGTATTACTATGATACCTTACATTTTTAGTTTGTATTGACAAAATATCAAGAATAATTGTAAAATAAAAATTTCATATAACCATTTGTTTCAACATAAAACAATACAGTAAACATTTATTTTGTTTTTCTCTATCCATATGCTCCTTAAATTTTTCTTTTCTTTCTTTCTTTTTTTTTTTTTGAGACAGAGTCTTTCTCTGTCACCCAGGCTGTAGGGCAGTGGTGTGATCTTGGCTCAATGCAATCTCCACCTCCCGGGTTTAAGCAATTCTGCTTTAGTCTCCTGAGTAGCTGGAACTACGGGTGCATGTCACCATGCCTGGCTAATTTTTGTATTTTTAGTAGAGATGGGGTTTCACCATGTTGGCCAGGATGGTCTCGAACTCATGACCTCAGTTGATCTGCCTGTGTTGGCGTCCCAGAGTGCTGGGATTACAGGCGTAAGCCACTGTGCCTAGCCTTAAATCTCACCTATTTTAACATATCATCTCAGAATGCCCAGTTTATTTTTATACTTCCCATTTTAGAACACATAAAACATTTCCTTGCTAGAGAAAACTAAAAAGTGTAAGCAAAAGAGAAGATAGCACCCACTATCTTCCAGGTATGCATTATCAGCCTTAGTCATCACAACAGCCCATTTTTGGTAGGTTTAGAAAAGTTAAGTGAGTGAGTTAGGTTCATTAAGTTATAAATCTAGTATTGCAAACCAGACTAAAATACTGCAATTAATAGTAATAACAGTAATAATAACAACAAAATTAAAATTAAATTTTTCCTATATATAAGATAGAGCTAAGTAATTTATACATATTTTGGAATTTCATGATTACAATAACAATCATAATAAATAACAATAACCCTACTTTAGAGATAAGGGGAAAAAGGCACAAAGCAGTTATTCCACCCAAAGCTTTATAACTTATATGTCATGAAACTTGGACTTGCACCTAATCAGATGATTTTGTACTTACCCATGTTTCTATATATCAAATGACATAATGATTTATTGTCAAATTTATTGTCTGATTGACTTACACATATTGTGTTACACTTTCCAGAAGTTAGAACAGTGGAGTCTTTATGCTTAAGAATTGTCTTGAAAGTCAGCATGTCTCCAAAATAATAACTTGTGGATAACTTATAAGTACTAAGCCTTAGATATATTATGTCAAATCTACAACTATGTGATATAATAAGGTGTACCCACATTTTTTAAATAGAGAAACCGGCCCCAATAGTTATATAAATGGTCAAACCAGAATATAAATCCTTTTCTGCTGCTTTCAAGGTGCTCACTTTTCACTATTCTGTAATATCTCTTACATTAATCATGTACTTATAACATTCTAGGCAATCAGCACATATTTAATACAAGGGCTTGCGTCTGATTTTGTTTAAAGTGAAGAATCCTTATTGTGTGATTACATTTTCCAAAGAAGAAAATAGAGGAGGTTGTGGGAAAGGCTCTCCCAAATGATTTATAATTCATGTTAATGAAAAATCTTACTGAATATAAAATGCAAATTATATGTAATTATATATTTACAGAGTTACTTATTTGGCAAATAAGTTATAAACATTAAGACTGTCTAATCAACATCAGGACATATGGCCATCTATGTTCAAGAGACTAGGTTTGATATTGTAGAAATAATTAATGAACACATTTGATAGGTTTATAGAAGTCAGGAAGCAACCTCTTAGTAAATAATTGTTAAATAGAGAGTTCAGAAATTCTTTTGTACTCCATTATCCATTCAGTATTGAAATGAGTTAGCATTCCTCCTATTGTCTTACTACCTTAAAAAAATCAAATTCTACAAGCTTCTTAATTATTTTCCAAGGGTATTCACCATTCTTCCTTTAGAAAATTTTAGCATAAATGGCCAGATGTGGTGGCTCACATTCCAAGCAGATCCCACTTTGGGAGGCTAAGACAGGTGAATCAGTTGAGGTCCGGAGTTCAAGACTAACCTGGCCAACACGGTGAAACCCTGTCTGTAATAAAAATACAAAAATTAGCTGGGCATGCTGGTGCACACCTATAGCCTCAGCTACTCAGGTGGCTGAGGGAGGAAAATCGCTTGAACCCGGAAGGCAGAGGTTGCAGTGAGCCGAGATTGCACCACTGCACTCCAGCCTGGGTGATAGAGTGAGACTCTATCTCAAAAATAAAATAAAATAATAAATAAATAATTATTAGCATAAAGTATATCAGGCAAGTCCAATTCCATATATTGCTCTCAATATCAAGAAGCAACTGCATTATGGAGAAGAAAATTAGATGGAAAGAGTGCAAGGTGCAGTAGGCCCTGTATTGGTACATTGAATAAAATATTTTTATGAGGACCATTGAGGGGCCAGTAGGCCCTATATCGGTACATTGAATGAAATATTTTTATGAGGACTATTGAGGCCCACTGGACTGCCAGCCTCAGAATCACTGGGGTACTTGCTAAAATACACATGTTGGTGGCTAAATCTAGATCAAAATAATTTAAATTGTGGAGGTAGCCTGAAGTTTCCATTTTTAGCAAGCCTTTTAAGTGATCTTGGCTTACACTCTAATTTCAAAAACACTGAGGTAGAATAGAAATGTTTTCCTCTTCTGGGGTAAATTGCATTCCTCATCATGAGGCTCCGTCTTTTTCCACATCTATGCCATTTAGAAGTAATTTTGCAGTAATCTCCAAAGTGAGTTCAGTGTAATGCCTGACTTTTGGTAGGGACAATGTGATTTGCTTTAGCCAAAGGGATGTTGGAAATATGGTGCAATAAAGTACCTATAAAATTGAATCTGCTCTTACACGTGCCTTTGTCTTCACCACACATGCCAGTGCTAGATGCCGCTCTCAGGAGAAGAAGAGACTTGAGGACAGCTACCACTGAAAAACTGAGCCCAACACAGCTGACCCCAGGCACTTTAGAGATATCTGAAGACAAATGATTATGATTTTAAGCCACAAATTTTGAGGATAATTTGTTATGCAGCAGTCTGTTGTCATGGTTAACTGATACACTTTATAACAAATGAGGAAGGAAACTAACAGTTTGTAAGCTCACAGTAAAAAATATAAAATAGGTGAATAGACAGTGTCTCCCAAATCAGA
Source organism: Homo sapiens (assembly GCF_000001405.40). NCBI lineage: Eukaryota > Metazoa > Chordata > Mammalia > Primates > Hominidae > Homo > Homo sapiens. The sequence goes on from NC_000011.10 coordinate 81,373,123, forward strand.
TGACCTTGTGTTGCCTTCCCACTCTATCACTGTTTTTTTTTTTTTTTTGTGGCAAGTTAGTACATTTCTAAGGTTTAATTTAATTTAATATTAGTGTATCAAACAACAGCTTCTTTGCAAGATTTTTATAAATATTAAGTTGGTGCAAAGGTAATTGCAGTTTTTGCCATTTAAATTAATTTTAATGGCAAAAAAACTGCAATTACCTTTGCACCAACCTATACTAAATAAAATGAAACAGTGTGCATAACTCTATAACTAGTACATAGTAAGCAATCAGTAAAAGGTAGCTATTGCTATAATTATCTTAATTTATGTTACATACTGGACTAGGGAGTTTTCATATTTTTCACTGAAATGTTACAGTACTCCTTATAGAATGTATAATTCTACCTCATTTCATACCACCAATGAAGAATTAGAGGAATAGAGATGTTAATTAATTTGCTCACCATGACATAGCTAATACACTGTATTTTAATTCCTAAGTCCATGCTCTTATAAACAAAATGTTTCCAACTTTTTCTCCACAATGTCGCCCAAACCTACTATTCTACCAACAAAATGAGAAGAACTTAATATATAAAGGTATTCTGTGTGCAATTCTGATATAAATTTTATACTGGAGAATTTATACTAGTACCTTTTATAAACCCTCTTCCATTCATTTAAGTCATGTCTGTGACTATGAAATCTGAAACTCAGCTCCCTATTTTGATGTAATTCCACTTGTCTGCTTTTGCTTCTGTTGCCTGGGATTTTGAGGTCATATCCAAGAAATCATTGTTAAGGTCAATACCAAGAAACATTTTCCCCTATGTTTTTTTCTAAAAATTGTACGGTTTCAGGTCATTCCATTGTGAGTTTCTTTTTGCGTATGGTGTAGGATAAAAGTCCAATTTCCCTTCCTTCCTTCCTTCCTTTCCTTTGTCTCTTTTCTCTTTCTTTCTTTCTTTCTTCCTTCCTTCCTTCTTCCTTTTCCTTTTTTCTTCCTTCCTTCCTTATCTTTTTTCTTTTTCTTTCTTTCTTTCTCTTTCTTTTTCTTTTCTTCCTTTTCTTTTCTCCTTCCTTTCTCTCTCGCTTTCTTTTTCTTTTCTTTTATTTTCCCCTCCCTTTCTGCCTTCCTTTCTTTTTCTCTCTCTCTTTCTTTCTTTTTCATTAATGGGGATACCCAATTTTTCCAACAGCATTTATTAAAAAGACTACTTTTCCCTATTGTGTCATCTGGCACCCTTAAAGATCAATTGACCACATGTACAAGGATGTATTTTTGGGCTTCCTGTTTAGTTCCATTAGTCTATATGTCAGTTTTTATGCCAGTGCTATACTGTTTTGATTACTATAGTTTTGTATAATATTTGAAATTACAGGAAGTGTGATGCCTCCAGCTTTGTTCTTGCTCAAAATTACTTTGGCTGTTTGGAATGTTTTGTGGTTCCATATAAATCGTGCTGTTTCTTTACTATTTCTGTACAAAATGACACTGGGATTTTTTAAGATACTGCTTTGAATCCTTAGATTGCTTTGGGTAATATGGGAATTTAAAAAATATTCATTATTTGAATACATGAAGAAAGAAAGTCTTTTCATTTATTTGTGTCTTCTTTAATTTCTTTGTATTTTATGGTTGTCAGTGTAAAAATATTTCACCTCCTGGGTTAAGTTTATTCTTAAGTATTTAATTTTTTTGACGCTATTTTAAATGGGATAGTTTCTTCATTTTCTTTTTGGTTGGTTTATTGCTATTAGTGTATAGAAACACAAGTAAGTTTTACATGTTGATTTTTACACTGCAACTTTACTGAAAATGTTTATTAGTTGTAACAGTTTTATTTGTGAGGTCTTTAGAGTTTTCTGCCCATAAAATTATGATATCTAAAGAGATAATTTACTTCTTTCTTCCAGTTAATATTTCATTCATGTATGTGTGCTTGCGTGTGTGTGGGGGGGTGTGGGTGTACTTATTGTGGCTAGGACTTCCATTTCTGTGTTAAACAAAAGTAGCCAGAATGGGCATCCTTGCCTCATTGCACATTTTAGAGCTCCTACAAAACAAGGAAAATAATCAATAAAATGAAAAGGTAATCTATGAAATGGAATACAATATTGATAAAGAATTAAAATAAAAAATATATAAGGATCTACTATAAATAGTAAAACAAAACTAACAATTTGATTAAAAATTGGCAAAATACCAAAATAGACATTTCTCCAAAGAAGATAATATAAATAGCCAACAGGTATATAAAAAGGTGCTCAAGGTCATAGTCATCAAGAAAATACAAATCAAAAACATAATGAGATAATCCTTTGTACTGTTAGGATGGCTATTATCCCCCCCCCCCAAAAAAAGGTAAATATTGGCAAGGATATGGAGAAAAAGGGATATGTACAATGTTTGGGGGAATGTCGATTTGTGTAGCCATTACGAAAGACACTTCAGAGGCTCCCTGAAAAATTAGAAATAGAACTACCATAGAATTACCCAGCAATCTCACTTTTGGGTATATATCCTACCGTTTTTGATAACATGGAGGAAACAGAAAGTCATTATGCTATGAAATAAGCCAGATACAGAATGACAAATTATACATGATTTTACTTATATGAGGAATATGGAATATTCAAAAACTCACAAAAGCATAGAGTAGTGTGGTAATTGCCAGGAGCTGGGAAGGGGGGGAAACAGGTATTGGTCAAAGCGTAGAGGGTTTCTGTTGTGTAAAATGAATATGTCCAATATAATGTCTATAGCTGACAATAATGTATTATGTACTTGAAAATTTGCTAACAGGGCAGGTCTTTCGTTAAGTGTTCTTGTCACGAAATAAAAATAAAAAAGATAGGAGGAAACCTTCTTTTAGAGGTATGGATATGTTTATGGCATTGATTGTGATGATGTTTCACAGATATATACTTATCTTTAAACTCATCAAGTTGTATATATTAAATTTGTGTAGCTTTTGTGTAAAAAAAGGAATAGCTTTCTGCCCTAGCTCCAGAGAAATTCCAGCATGAAAATATTTTAACAATAAATTTAAAGTTAATATTTTAATGATACCTTGATACCATACCAGATAAACTGGCTGTATGTGATATATTGCCAAAGCCATCAGAATTATCAAGTGCAACTCAACTTTGGAGCCTGTAAAACAAGATGCAAGGAAAATCTAAAATTAATGGCAATATAGTATAGCAGAAAATGCTTGGAGTTTGGTTCTAGGCGTATTTGGTTTTGAGTCTTTCATTTGCCACTTACGAGCTGTATAAACATGAACAATTTGCTTTTCTGAGTTGCAGTTTTCTCACCTTTAAATATACGGATATGTACTAGATGTGTACTTTAACGTTTGTTGTCAGAATTACATAAAATATATATTCTTTCTTACATATAAGCATTCACTGTCATTTCACAAGTATTAAGTTAGTTTTCTTTCTCCTAGCCCAAGAACATAAGCAAGAGTAATTTATTTCTTATTAATTCATAATTCATTTATAGATCATGTACAAATGAAAGGAAGATAATACAGTTTCCTAAGTCTCAATGAGGATATAAGCAGTGGAAGTAATGCAAGTAGGCTATAAACCTAGGTAACTGAAATAACCAACCAAAATATTTATGGTAGTTCACACAGATCCAAGTAGAGGAATTTCATCAGTTCATTCACAGGTGTAAAATGGAATGAAAAGTAGCCTAGACCTTCCTAAGGTAGAAGACATGTACAACTATGCCGTTGTAGTAAAGCCGAAGAGAAACGAAAATTCCTGATATTGTCATGTTACTAGAGAAAGTCTTTATCATCTCTAGCATCCAATGGGCTTCAATATTTTATGTGGCCTTTTCCCTCTGTAACTAATCTTACCGTGTAATTGCATTGGATGATTGCTTTAAAATTATTCATCATCATCATCCCTTTTAATTTTTTGCTGTACTGTAAAAATTTGGATTAAAAAGTAGGTTTATAAAAATCAGGTATGTCTTCACTTTCTAAGGAATTAAAATGCTTAGGCAAGAACTGGTTATATATAAATTCCATCATAATTTTCCTAAGTGCAGGTATTCAATCTTTATTGTTCATTGCTCTGTCTTCAACGCTTGTAAGCATGCCAGGTACCCAATGATATTTGCTGTGGTGGTTTTTCATTTTGTTAAATTGATAGACTTCAAAAACTGGAACCATATTTCCCATAACCCCCTTGCTTTTATGGTTCCAGCTGAGAGTAGGTCAAAAGAAAAAAAATACATCAGTGTTTGAAGGCAGAAGTAGAACAGCTACCATTTTTCTATCGGGTAGTTGTGGCCACATTTGCAAGACCAATACATAGGTGGTGGAAGGTTCCAGCTTGACCTGGCTTTTTACAGTGGGGAGATAAACCTGGAGGTGTTAGATTCCAGCTTGTCTTTGCTTTCTCCTGCTCCACATCTAGCATTTCTACCCAACTGGTAGGCCTGCCAAAGCCCAATACCAGACATAGAGGTGACACAGAGGCAAAACAGATTTCCTCACCAGCGCCCTTTGGTGGTCACTCAGAGATGGATGCACCTGACTTCTCAGGTCCCCTCCCGCTTTGAAGAAATAATCAACCCTCCTGAATTATGGGCAAAAGCAGACAAATTAACTCACAAAAGCAGAGTAGTGTGGTAATTCTGAAACCTTCAACTCTCTTCTCTAGATCTTTTTCTTTAAGTCCTCCCACAATTATTAAGCTTTATATACTTTAATAAATATTTTATTTCATAATACTCATAGTAGTTCTGCTTCTGTTATCAAACCCTGACTAATACAGATGTTGGTATCAGGCCAAAATCAGTCTAAGAATAGGAAGGGAGCACTTCCTATTCTTGGAATGTTTTAGCCAATCTAAAATATCTTTAGACTCTCATTCTTAGAATGATAGTCTCAGATAAAATTACTTGTAAGTATTTTTAGAGTATTGACCCAGAGTATCCTGACATGTCACCAGAAGTAGACAGGAGACTGTTTTGAAAAGATTTGTGGGTAGACTTTCGTTTAATGCGGTAAACCCAACAAGATTCACCAAAAATCTCCAAAGCTATTGGGACTATGCACTAGAGGAAGCAAAACCAGTTTGGATTTTCAAAAGAAAATAATTAATTCAAACTGAAAAGGTGACTCCAAGCCTACAGATTTCCATGGGCAAGAAACAGGCTAAAAATGCTTCTAGCTACAAACATGAAACATTTCTTCTAGAAAAGGAAGGATGACTCAGAAAGCAGAGCTGGGAGTCCCTTCGCTATAAAACTACTCTAGGGAGCAAACCAAGTTGCAAATAAATATACATTTCCTGCCCTTGGAAAAGTAGGATTTGTGGCATTTGCTTTTTTATCCCTTTTTGAATACAAGTGTCTATTAGTGTAATTCTGTAACTGTTTCCCAAATTATTTTTGTTCGTTTGGGGCATATGACTTGTCTTCTAGCCCACACATGTCTTCATTTGAATAAAAACACCTGTGAAGACAACCTCCAGGAATCTCATCCACGCCTGGATGAAATTTGAATATTAATACCTTATAATTTGATGGTGAAGTGTGATAAGATTTTCGTGTCTTCAAAGAAATTAGTCTATCTTATATTCCTGGAGAAATGGGAAGATCTTATGACCACAGAGTAGACTGTGGTGGACTGAAGTTGACCCAAATTTGCTGTCATTCCTTCTCTTTCACCTGGGCTGGCCTGTGCCTTACTATGAATGACAGAATGAGGCAAATGTGACTCTGTGTTACTTTGAAGAGTGGACTTTAAATGGACTTTTAAGAAAATTGCAACTTCCATTTTTAACTGTCTCTTGGAATCCAGCTTCTAAGCTATAAAAAGCTTAGACGATGTAGGAAGGTCCCCTGGAAGAGAATTAAAGTGCTCTAGTTAATGGTGCCACCTACCAAGCAGCACCAACTGCCAGCCACATAAGCGAGCCATCTTGGAAGACCCAGCCCTGGGAGCCTTCCAGACAACTGCAGCCCTAGCCAACACCACATTAAACAGAACTTCCAGCTGAGCTCAGTCAACCCCAGTCATGAGAAATAATAAATGGCTATTATTGTTTAAGCTACTGAGTTTTTGGGTAGTATATTGAAGTTATATAAAGACATAAATATATAGCCACAATACTTGTTAAATAAATTCCAAGGGTAGGGAAAACTACTTTTGAAATACCCTTATGTTGTTTCCTAATATCCATTCTCCCTATATGCATCCTATGAAGCTCTCTTTTGTAGACTATTTTCTGAAAATTCACATATTTCAAAGTAGTACGCCTTGGTTAAGTAGAAATTCATCTCAAATAAAAAATGTCCAAGCTTGAAACTTGGCCAAACCATTTATTAGTTGGGATACTTAATTGAACCACTTAACATTTTTTATCCTCAATTGCAAATTGTTTTCTTTTAAAATGGAGATAATAGTACCTACTTCATGGAACGTGTATAAGGATCACATAAAATATAATATAAAAAGCATTCATTAATACTTATATAAGCAATAATATTAACTACTACTATTATTATTTGACAAAGGAGGCAGTGGTTTGTTGGGTTGGGTTCATGAAATCAGCATTTGTCTTTCAAAGCAGAAGAAAGCAGTTGATACTGATTTATGTTACCTATTGTTTTGGTAATTTAATTAAAGAATTTTGAGTTACTTTTCCCAGGAAAGACCTTTAATTTTCTACAACTAGTGAACATTCTGGAAAACATTTTCCAGGCACCCGGAATTGAGCACGTCATTTTATGAGGCAATGCGCAATGCCAGACACACGCACACACACACACCCCCACACATACACACACCCCTCATTACAGCATGGGATGTCTTGGTGGGGTAGCTGATGAAGCTAGATGCCTATACAGTTGAGGCTAATCTCAATTCAGTTTCAACTATGTACATGCTGTAGAAGAAGACATGGCCTACTAGTAATCAAAGTATTGGGCAATATCTGGATTTTAATTGCTTTTCCCTCAAGCTAAATACAAATCACAATTTGGCACTAAAACTTTTCAGAGGAGGTAAATATCAAGAGCTAGAGTCTGATAGAATTTTGAAACATCACATGAATTCAGTTATTTATTTTATTTTATTCAGTTTTATTTTGTTTATTCAGTTATTTATTTTGCTAAGTCTATTTGTTTCTTTAAGTAGAAAAAGTTACTAAAAATTACAAAACTACAAAAAGAAGCATGGGTTGCCTGCTGTGAGGGTGGCTGGAGGGTTGTGAAGAATGGAGATGGTAAAACAAAAGTAGAAAAAATGTAGGCATGGATGAGTTCCCTGATTTCTTATGCTCAGGATGTTTCTTCACAGGCTGTGAGGGAGAAGTAGTAATAGATTCAACTGCAGCAGTGAAAACTACATCTACATTTGCCTGAATTTACACCTACATTTGCCTGAATTGCAAATGCCTACATTTGCAATTATTGAATGCCTATGAAGGGCCAGGAACAGTGCCAGTCAATGAAGGTGAAATAGGCTATTCCAAAAGAGGCAGTACAAGATCATAATTAAGAAACTGGGCTTGGAGCCAACCCACATGATTTTGAATCCAGGCCTGTCATCGCCTTATTTACTGTGCAACCTCAGGAAAGTCACTTAACCTCCAGGGTCTCAGCTTTTTCTTCTCTATTGTTAAAAGATGGTAATAATAACCAATTCCTTGTGGTATTGTGGGTAGAATAAAATGTATTTCTATAATAATACACATTCAAAAATTAGATCAGCACCGTAACAGCCTAGGCCTTTAATAAATGTGGATTATGATAATCTCTTGCTGTGCTGGCTGACTTCACCCCTTCGAAGGCCCTTTCTGACATCCCACTGTCTTTGGGATCAAGTCCAGAATTTTACTCTTGCCATCTTTGAATCAGAATGCAGATTCTGATTCCATTGGCCCAATGTAGGGTCTCATTTTGTACATTTCTAAAAAGCTCCCAGGTGATGCCAATGTTGCTTGTTCACAGACCACAATTTGACAGCAAAACTACACATTAATTCAAACTTTAGAATGTAGTATAAGTCTGGAACGTCATTTTTGCAGAGGCTCTTAAAATCTACTGTGGAAAAACAAAAAATAATGACTAATTTTGTCCCCTTGGAGATCAGGCAGACTTTTAAGTAGGTATTAGTGATAAGGGAAGACAAATATAGGGCAAAAGAAAAATGTAAGAGTATTGTGTCTTAACTTTAATGTCAAGGGCACAGGGTTTGAATCTGATATATACAGCAGGAGATCAGAGAAAAGACTGAGAAGCAGAACTGATAAAGTTGCAGGGCAGAGAAGAAGCTTTTGCTAACTGCTGTGCTGAGAGCTCCACCACAGAGATGGAGAAAATTCATAGGGTTATAGCATAGGGCATCAGGTTATAGCAGCAGGAAGTAAGTTCTAAAACTTTGTACACTTTTTATACTGAATTGAGGTAGACGGTTATCACAAAATACATTGGTTGAGCAGAATTCAATTTTTACAATTATTTTAATTTATTTTTAGAAGTATTATTTGCCTCATAGTGATTACAAATATAAAATCAATTAATAGATATAGACAACATAACATTTTTAGGATAGAATTGTGCCCAACACACAGTATTAATGTTAGCTATTATTATAAGAGAGGAATATATTCTTGGAGAAAATGATGATTTGAAAATGGTGTATTGAAAAAATAAGTAAACGCTATGCTCTATGTGTCATTTCTTTTAACATTTACAGAAAACCTAATAAATTAAGATTGAAAAGGTAAAATATATTGTCCTAATACACATAATTTGTATGATACATAGTTAGATTACCAACCAGTTTGTCTGGTCTGAAAGGCTACATTCTTTCATTCTTTCATGGCTGCATACTAAGTGTTTATGCCAAGGGTTAACATTAAGCTATAGTTTATTAACTGTATAATGAAGACAATATATTTAAGCAGCCAGGTGATTATTTATGTAATCAAGGCAGAAATGCACACTAAAAATTTACAAATATAAATTATGATTGAGAAAACAGATTACTTACACTGATATTCAGCTGCACACCCATTCATAACTGCTATAGTAGTTTTTGTATAAATAAAAAATACTTATGAATTAATTTTGGTATATATTAATATCAGCAAGCTAACATGAGATAAACAACACACTTATTTAACTTTCAGATTTTTTTTGACATGCACAAACCCTTGAAAACTCACACAATTGTTACAAAAATAAGAGCTTCCATAACCATAAACATGTTAGCGTTCCCTCGGCCTCACCAAGATGTCATATGAATTTTCAACTTAGGATCTTTTTTGGTGTTTCATTGGCTAGGGAGCTTTGTCCCCAGGTCTTGGCATAGCTAAATCCTTTTTGTCATACAGGTCTCAGCTCAGATTTTATGTCCTCAAAGAGGACTTTTAGACTGTTAATCTAAATTAATTCTTCCATCCCCACTCTTGCATATTCAGTAATGCTGTATCATACATACAATTTTCATCTTGTGAAATGGTCATTAATATCTAAAATCTTGTTTATGTATTTGCTTCTTTGCTTATTGAATATTTCTTTCCTTGAAAGCAAGGAAACATTTCACCTTGAGAGCCAGAACTTACCTCTCCTGCTAGGTTTGGGATGCAGTTACCGCAATTTGAACTGGCACATGGTAGACATTCAATTATCTCTTAAATAAGTAAATGAAGATAAGTGATGTTCACCATCATCATAAATCTCAAAACACTAACATGCTCACAACTCATAGATATACTTAGAATAGTTTAAAATGTTATTCCTTGTAAGTTTAGGCAATGCCCTTGATCCCAAATTATTAGCAATTAAACATTTATTTTAGTATACTTTTAGATTTGCAATAATATTTCTGCTATGCAGTTTTGGACATGTAAAAATAAGGGGGGAAGCAAAGATCTACAATCAATGGCTATGGACAGGTTAACTCGTATAGGTTTTTTGAATGAGATTCCACCATTCTGAACACAGCAGCTCTGTGCTTAATTCTACACTCCATCTCCCCTGCCAGCTACCAGCGAACTTAGGAGTAATGTTAAATCAGTAGTACATCACTTAAATAGTTAGTAAAATAGAATCAACCTTAAATTGAAAACAATGGATATACATTTTTATGTGTTAGTTCTTATTATATAATAGGCAATAGCACTGTGTGCTAAATTAGCTTTAGTTAATTACAGGATTTCTAAATGTTGCAAACAAATTATTTAATTTGCCATATGCACAAACCCAATGCATTCTCTTATTATCAGAGAGAGGTCCATGTTAGGGATGAAGAAAATGACTCACTGGGAAAAATAAGTCACAATCTGTTATTGTGATGGTCTTGTGTACTGTTACTATATAGTTACTCATTTTTATACCTAAAAAATATTCAAGATACAGTCAAAGGATGTACAGCATTTACTTTCAGTTTTGTACTTAAATGGGAAAAAATTGCATCAGAAGTCCAATTCATAGTATTGCCTTTTTCATACCAAAGTATTTCATTTATTGAAAGCAATGCTCAGTTGTATTGGGCCTGCATATGTAACAAGGAGCTTAGAAGGTGAGGTGGCATAAAAATGGTCTTTCTACAAATGTTCTTTGAAAGTGAAGCTATTAAAACAGGCTTAAATTTAAAGCCTATATCACAGTACATAGTGAACAGTAATAACTGCCCATTAAATTAATATGTTTCATTTTTAGTGTTTTAGTGTTCATATTTAATTTAGTGTTTATTGTTGATATTGACATCTAAATCACACCCCTTCTTCCTCCAAAATGTTTGTTTGGTTGACCATTTTATCTTTCCTTTTGAGTTCTATAATTTATACATTTGTCTCTTTGTTAGTTATCAGCAAAGAAATATGAAGCCTTTTGTATTATTCATCTCAGTTCCCAAATATTTACTGAATGCCTATTCAGATTTTGCCTAAGGTTCTAGGAAGGGTTACAAAATCAACAAAATGTGGTCCTATACTATGAAAGACCTACATATTGCCAAGAGAAGAATGTAAAGAGATAAAACAATAATTCACCAATGAAGTAACATTTTACATATTTCTTGAAGAGTGGGAGGAATTTTGATAGGTGGAGGGGATTTTGGCAATAATGGCAGAATGAAAGATTAGCTAAATCAACAAAGGCATTCAAATTGGAAAAGAGAAAGTTAAATTATCTCTCTTTGCTGACAATATGATTTTATATCCAGAAAACCCTAAAGATTCTTCCAAAAAAGCTCTTAGATTTGATAAATTATTTCAGCAAAGTTTCACGATACACAGTAATATACAAAAATAAGTAGTACTTTTATAGAACAATAACAATAAAGCTGAGAACAAAATCAAACAGGCAATTTCATTTACAATACCTACAAAAAATTGAATACCTGGAAATATGTTTAACCAAGGAACTGAAAGATTTTTACAAGGAAAACTGCAGAACACTAATGGAAGAAATTGCAGATGACAAAAATATCTGGAAAAATATCTCATGCTCATGAATCAGAAGAAGTAATATTGTTAAAATGACCGTATCACCCAAAACAATGTATAAAACTAATGCAATCCCTACCAAAATACCAGCATCATTTTTCACAGAACTAGAAAAAGCAATTCTAAAATTCATATGCAACCAAAAAAGAGCCAGAATAGCCAAAACAATTCTAAACAAAAAGAACAAAGCTGGAGGCATCACATTACTTGACTTCAAATTATACTACAAAGCTCTAGTAATCAAAACATTATGGTATAAAAATAGACATATACATCAATAGAACAGAATAGAGAACCCAGAAGACACAAATCTACAGCCAACTGATCTTTGACAAAGTGGAAAAAAACTTTGTCAACTTTGTCACTGGGGAAAGGACACCCTTTTCAATAACTGGTGCTGGAAAAATTAAATTGGCATATGCCAAAAAACGAAACTTAATCCCTAGCTTTCACAATATATAAAAATCAACTCAAGATGGATTAAAGACTTACAAGTAAGACCTGAAACTATTAAAATAGAAGAAAATCTAGTGAAAACTCCTCAGGACATTGGTCTAAGCAAAGAATTTGCTACCAAGACTTCAAAAGCAAAAGCAACAAAATAAAAAAATAGGCAAATGGACTTGATTAAACTAAAAAGCTTCTGCACAGCAAAAGAAATAACCAACAGAATGAGCAGACAATCTGCAGAATGGGAGAAAATATTTGCAAACTATGCATCTGAAGGAGTACTGACATCCAGAATTTACAAGGAACTCCAACAACTCAACAACAACAAAAAACAAATAATCCCATTTAAAAGTGGGCAAAGGACATGAATAGACATTTTTCAAAAGAAGACATATGACTGACCAGCAGGCATACAGAAAAGTGTTCAACATCATTAATTGTTAGAGAATTGAAAATCAAAACCACCATGTGGTATTATCTTACACCAGTCAGAATGGCTATTATTAAAAAGTGAAAAAATAACAATTAATGGTAAAAATGCAGAGAAAAAGGAACACTTATTCACTGTTGGTGGGAATGTAAATTAGTGCAACCACTATGAAAAACAGTATAGACATTTCATAAAGCACTAAAAATAGAATTGTCATTCAACCCAGCAATACCATTATTGGGTATCCATCCAGACGAAAAGAAAGCTTTATATTATGAAAGATACCTGTACTCTTATTTTTATCACAGCAATATTCACAATAGTAAAGCTATGGAATCAACCTAAGTGTCCATCAACAGATGAATGAATAAAGAATGTGATATATATCACATTTCACAATGAAACACACACACACACACACACACACACACACTCCCCCATACAATGGAATACTATTCATCCATAAAACATAATGACATGTCTTTTGCAGCAACATGAATGGAACTGGAGGACTTTAAGTGAAACAACTCAGAATATCAAATACCACATATTGCCACTTATAAGTGGGAGCTAAATAAGGTGGCACATGAACATAGAATATGCAATAATAGAAACCAGAGACTCAGAAGGGTAAGAGAGTGGGAGGAATTGGAGGGATGAGAAATTGTATTACTTAATGGATACAATAAACATTATTCAGGTGATGCTTACTCTAAAAGCCTAGTCTTCACCACTAGGCAATATATCCATGTAATAAAGCTGACTTGTGCCCCATACATTTATGCAAATAAAAGAAAATTATAGATTACAGACCAAAAAAAAAAAGAACGAAAATCGGGATTTTTTGAGAAAGAAATACGGAGATATGATGTAGAACATAGGGCTAAATATAAAGATTGGAAAAATATAATGGATAAGAATTAAAGTTTTCGTTTTTATTAGTTTTTAAGAAATAACCACTAAAATTTTGTTTTGTGGGAATGACAGGATTAAATGTTTTGATTTTTTTCTTCCTATCCATATAAACCAGTTTGCTCTAAATTGCCTTATCTTAATATTTCTTCTATTTTTGATAGCCTTAGTATATTTTGAATCCTCCCATTTCTCCATTACCTACCAGAATCTTTAACCGGATTTATGAATATGTCTCTTATAGCCATAGTCCTCCTATAGTCTTTCTTACTTCCAATCCTTTCTCTATACCACAGCCAGTAATCTTTGTGAAATATAAACATTCCAGGTCATTTCACTGGTTGGAAAATCTTCAGTAGTTTCCTAATACTCTCAAGACTCCTGAGCACAGCTGGATGCAGTGGCTCACACCTGTGGTCCCAGCACTTTGGGAGACCAAGGCGGGTGGATCACCTGAGGTCGGGAGTTCGAGACCAGCCTGACCAACATGGAGAAACCCCGACTCTACTAAAAATACAAAATTAGCCAGACGTGGTGGTGTATGCCTGCAATTCCAGCTACTCGGGAGGCTGAGGCAGGAGAATCACTTGAACCAGGGAGGCGGAGGTTGCCGTGAACTGAGGTCATGCCATTGCACTCCAGCCTGGACAACAAAAGCGAAACTCCACCTCAAAAAAAAAAACAAAAAAAAAACCAAAAAAAACTCCTGAGCATAATTTATGAGTCTTCGTGGGCTCATAACCCTTTGTTCTTTTCAACATCTCTATATAAATGTTGCTGTCTCTCATTTCTAACCTTTCGCCTTTGCTCTTCTGCCAGAAACTTATTTCCCTCAGCCCACTCATCTTTAGAGCTCAGTCTTCCAGGAAGCATTTCTGACTCCATGTGAAACACCCCCTTCTCACTGCTCCCAGTACTCTCTATTTTTCACATTGAATTATATTGAATATTTACATGATTATATTACTCTCTTTAAGCTGTACACTCTGTGAAGATAAGGATCATAACTATCTTATCCACTCTTTTATATGCAGTACTCCTTACATTATCTGGCTAATAGTAAGTACTAAACATGTATGCATAGAGAAAAGAATAATGAATGTAAAAACAAAGTGAGTGAGTAATGAATAAAAAGATGAGGGTAAGATTTTCTAATTAATATGGGTTACTAAAATTAAAAGTTTTCAATCTTGCAAATGAATGGATTACATCAACAGTAATCATAACTGCTATTTATTGAGCCATAAACATGTGCCAAGTCAATGCATGTAGTATTTTGTCTAGTACTTGGCAAAGTGCTTGATATCAATGTATGTATATATGCCTTCATTGACTAAGTGTTATCTTCCTAACGTCCCAGAAATGCAGTTACTATTACATGTTTCCACTTTTTAAACAAAGAAATTAATATTCAATGAAGACAAGTATCTTATCTACAATCACACAATAGCACTGCTTGAGTCTAAATGTTGTGAGTTTTCAAATATGTCAAAGTTTTCTAACATTTTAAAATAGTAAACTCCTCTTCCCCTGACAATAAATCTTATAGAAGATATCTGAAAATGGACCTAGTCTAGCATGGAGTGATCTCTCCGCCTCCATGCATATACAGGTTATATATATACAGGATATGTATATCGTTAGGGTTATCTTAGAGGAAAGAACTAGTAGGATATATATATATGTAATATATTATATATATTCATATATATTATATATTTTGTATATGAATATATACATTATATACATATTTTATATATAATGTATATATATGAATATATACATAATATACATTTATATATAATGTATATATAAGAATATATACATAATATACATAAATATATATATAAATAAATAAAAGGGAGTTAATTAAGTATTAACTTACACAATCACAAGGTACCACAATAGGCTGTCTGTGAGCTAAGGAGCAAGGAGAGCCAGTCAGGGTCCCAAAACTGAAGAATTTGAAATCTGATGTTGGAGGGCAGGAAGCATCCAGTACAGGAGAAAAATGTAGGCTGAGAGCCCAGGCCAGTCTCGTTACTTTTCACATTTTTCTGCCTGCTTTATGTTCACTGACAGCTGATTAGATTGTGCCCACCAGATTAAGGGTGGATCTGCCTTCCCCAGCCCACTGACTCAAATGTTAATCTCTTGTGACAACATTCTCACAGACACACCTAGGATCAATACTTTGTATCCCTCAATCTAATCAAGCTGTCACTCAGTATTAACCATCACAGTCCTCAAGTAATTTTTTAGGGATGCCAGCAACTCTACATGGCGCACTTAGTACCTCACTGGACCACTCCTTGCTGCCTGTCATTATACGAATGCATTATTAAGCAAAAACATTAAATACTTCAACTATTAATATATTTGGCTTTTCTGGCAGTATAGAGTTGACCCTTGAACAAGAAGGGTTTGAACTTCACAGGTCCACTTATATATAAATTTTTTTCAACTAAACTCAGATGGAAAATATAGTATTCGTGGGATGCGTAACCCGTGTATACAGAAGGCTGATTTTTCGTATATGTGAGTTCTGCAGGGCCAGCTGCGGAACTTGAATGTAGATGGGTTGGAGGATATAGTCCTGAAATCAATTCCCTGAGTATATGAGGAGACAATTATTTTTGCAATATAATTAAATATATTTACCTTGTTCTACTAGGGGGATCTAGTTTACTATATCAAAAGGTGTATACAAGAAGAGGTACTGGCCAGAAATAGAGCCCAGCCATTCTGAAGTTTGATGTTTAAGACTCTGTAGGAATAGGAAAGCTGAAATTTAAGAGCAGAAGAATTGAACCAGGCTTCTAGAAGAGTCTCTGGAAGTTACCCATAAAGTAAAGCTGGGACTCTGCTTCCAGCTACCAGTTTAGGACTGTGCAGAAGGAGACTGAAGTTCTGAGGTGAACTTTTAGTTTCTTCCTGTTCTAGGCAGTACATTCCACATGACGCTATGGTTAAGAGAAAAGACTTCACAAGCAGATAGATCGAAGTTTACATCTTAGTCTTCGTATTTCAAAAATATAGAGCTTATTTAAGACTTTAGATCTTATGTAGGTGTTTATTTTGGGCAGTGGCCCCAACAACAGGAGTAAGGGCTTCAAAAAATGAAAGAAAACATGAGAGAAAGTCAATCAAATGATGCATTGCTGCTGCAGGCAACTGGGGATCAAATTGCCTGGAGTCTTTCTTAGAGGCTAGGTAGCATCTATTTTTATTTTTTTTTCTGCATTTTTACTTGTGCCAGTGTTTTCTAAGACTTATTCTCTGAAAATGCACAGCCAGCAATCTTGAAGCTTCCTTAAAAATCCCAGGTCATAGTATCTAATGAGATTAATACTTGATTTAAAACTAAATAATAAGTGATATCCTCTTTTCATATCTGAGGGGAGAGACAGAGAGAGAAATTCCTTGGATTTATGTTATTTTCTTTGCAAAACTTCGCAGAACCTGAACTCAATCTTTTCTAAGAATTAAATCTAGTGAAAAATTCAATAGCAAATGTGGACCTGATTCTGACATTAGTCCACATGAGACTATTGTGAATAATCAAGTCTACTCGTAGAATAATTTGTGCCCAGATATTCCAGTATAACATGAGGGAGTTGATTCCATTTTCCTCGACCAGAGGAAGCTACCTGTGAAATAGAGTAGAAGGTTCAGACTAGAGAAATGATCTTTTCCCTCTTTCTTCATCCGGCAAAAATGTAAAAAGTAGCAATTCTGTGTAATGTGTTGTAAACACTTAAGGCTTCCCTTTGGAAAACCATGGTTTAAATGGGCATTTGCAGGTTGCTGTTAAAACCAAAGAAATAAATTGTATCCTCTGTTGTACATAATAAAACAAGCGGTTTGGCGTGAGGCGTTAGGACGATCTTCCGATGAATTTAACGGTCTGGCCAATTTGAGAGAGATTTAGAAATGCACCAGGTGTATCTTTGGTTGTTTTAATTGAATGAAGAATTATAAAGAAATGGGAAAATAAGGGGTGTTTGCTTCATGAAATCCACATTTTTGGAGACAGATCCAGATTAATAGGCATGAGTCCTGGACTTAGAGCTTAGCCCAGTATCATTCTCTTCTTAGACAAAACTTCCAATGTAATAGAACATTAAGATGCTCTAGCACTGAAACGCTTTTTGAAAATCATACAATCCAAGGGTTCCAAATTGAGATGTCTTTAGTGGACAAAGAGCCAGAGTAAATGAAAAAAGATCCTGGGATCTCTGGATAAGTTATTTTTACCTCGACTATTACATAGTTTGAGTCTTATAGTTCTAACAGTTTCCTGTAGTAATAAGAGGTACTCTAGAAAACAAACAGCATGAGAGTCAATCTCATCTGGATTTTGATGCAGTTAAACAGTGGCTGAACTTGGAACAAGTTGCTTAATATTTCTAAGTCTCGCCATGTTCAGCTGTTAAATAGGGAAAACAATACGTAATCTAGAGAGTTGTTTGGACAGTATTAATGTGTGTGTGTGTGTGTGTGTGTGTGTGTGTGTGTGTGTGTAGGCTCCAGCATCTGGCATGTGACACAGATGAGCCATGCTAAATTTTAGGATTAACACTCCTTGTGGTTGTATCACAATGACTCTAGGCCATGAAAAAAATTATTATTTGAAGCTGACCTGTGATTAACTCAGGCTTTGAACTCAAGAATGTTGGCTTTCCATACTATTCCTTCCCCTTTGTATCCAGGAAGCTATTTAATATTTCTAAACATCAGTTTTTTTAGTTTATAAAATTGAGATCTAACTCACAGGACTATTGTAAAGGTTAAATAAAGCAATGCTTGTAAAGCATTTTGCACAGTCCTTGAAACTTAATGCTCAGTAAACAGCATCTGCTATCATCATCATCATCATCATCATCATCATCATCACCATCTATTACAACGGTATCATGAAGATCCAGATTTTTTCTCTAGGCAGAATCATATCCTCCTTACTATTTACTGTGTTTTAGGAGCTGAGGATACAGCAGTCAATGCAAATGATGTAAGCAGTTCAATTGAAAACTGTTTAATTTCATTTGATAAACACTATGTTTCCTTTGGAAAAATAATGCCATATTCAGTCATATGAGAAGTGGTGTTTAATGTGCAAATAGAAACCACAAAAGCACATTCTGAAATTTTTATTTCATCTAGTCATTTCAGCTCAGTCCGCTTTACAAGGTTTTTAGGCAACAGTTTCACAAATGGAATGATGGTTGGAAAACATATTGCACTTTTTAGTTTTCTAAGATGAGAACTAAGATGAATGAATATCCTCATATTTTTAAAAATATCACCATTATTACTCCTGTTACTAAAAACCTCATTTTTATGTGCAATATAAAATGTACATATATCATTTTAACTATAACAGCTATTTAAGTAGACAAAGTAGATGGGGAGGACTTATTGTTGTTATTAAACCAACATGGAAATTGAGCTCAGAAATATCAGGGGACATGTCCAAGGTATAAAAACTTGATAGCAATGAGGCTTCAATCTGGTATTATAATTCAAAATCAATAGTCTATCTGCTATTTATTAAAATTGAATTAATTAGTTTCTCTTTTCTCTTCTCCTATGACAACATATGAAATATTTTATCCTCTACATGGTTCCACAAAGTTTCTTTTAATTGCCTATGGAAATGAGTCTGAATAATTGATTGGGATTTCAGTTTTTATTTCTACTGCTAAAATTGTGTTAAATACTGAATTACTGAGGTGAAACATTATTGTTCTACTGTTAAATAATAGAAATATGCATGTTTTAGGTGGTTGATATACTTTGTGTGTGTGCAAATGTATATTTCTCAGTCAAAAATTCATAATGGTTTTTATGTTAGAATAAAATGAAAATTTACCAGTGTGCAGATTCCCAGGCTGCAATCAAGAACTGCTGGATCTCTGTTTTCAAGAGAGAACTTCATCATGTTAAAGGTTATTGTTTTATCAATATCTGGTAAGATTTATTTCGCTTGATTTTTTTTTAACAAAAATGTTTATAAATTCCAAATGGATGTTAAGAAAAATAAAATGATTAAGGCATATTAAGGGTAATTACTCAGCGTTAGATAAGTTGATTCATCAGCTAGGTACTGTGACTTTCTATTCTCCTTGACAGTGTGGGCTATAAAAAGTTACAAATTATTGCCTGCTGTGAAATTGTGGCATTATTCACAAATAGCTGAAACCCTAATTTATAAATCTATGGCTTTTTTTTTTTTTTTTTTTTTTTTTTTTTGAGACAGATTCTTCCTCTGTCGCCCAGGCTGGAGTGCAGTGGCGTGATCTCAGCTCACTGCAACCTCCGCCTCCCAGGTTCACGCCATTCTCCTGCCTCAGCCTCCCGAGTAGCTGGGACTACAGGCGCCCGCCACCACACCCGGCTAATTTTTTATATTTTTAGTAGAGACGGGGTTTCACCGTGTTAGCCAGGATGGTCTCAGTCTCCTGAACTCGTGATCCGCCCACCTTGGCCTCCCAAAGTGCTGCTCCCAGCCTAAATCTATGGCTTTTAAGCAATGATATTTAATGTATATTCAAAGATTGGACAAAATGTAACATATTAAGGAATTATTGTCATGGGAATTAAAAACAGGAATGTTTAATCATAAATAGAAGAGTCCTGGTATTTACCTTGAATAACAAAATATCATTCTTTTTTCCATATTTACATCAGAATCTGCTTGAAGGGCTATGTTTCCACAATGCTGAATGGCACAATTGTGCAATGATTTTTGTTGTTGTTTGTATCTGAAGCAATGGTTTTCAAAAATTTTTTATCTCAGTACATTTTTGCAAACTTAAAATTATGGAAAATCTTAAAGAGTTTACTTACACGGGTTATATTTATTAATATTTATTATATTGTAATTTAAAACTGATTTATAAAATAAATGTTTTAAAATCATTTAAAATAACAGCAATTAACTCAATATGTATTTAGACAAAGGATATTTTTCATGAAAAATAACTTTATATTTCAAAAATCAATTTAGTGTCATGAGTGGCATTGATTTTCATTTTTGAAAGCTTCTATATGTGGCTTCAGAAAAAGACAGCTGATTTCTCCTGTCTGCTTTTGTATGTAATCTGGGGCACCATCACATATCATATATCCCTTGGACAACTTCCACTATATTCTCATGAAAGAATGAGGGTTTTGAATAGTTTTGAAGCTCATGGATCTTCTAAAGGGGTCTTGAGACCCCGTCCCCCAGACTATACTTTGAGGAATGTTTTCCTAAATCAGTAGCCTATCCTTGTCTTCTGTCAGGATTTTGGTATTCCATATCTGGTATCTAAAATGTAGTATAAGCGAATCAGAAAATGTAAAATGGAGAAAAGTAGACATGTCTGAAATTTGAATGATTTTGTGTTACATCTGAAAAAGTTTTAATAAGGCAAACATGATCTTATTTTAAATGGATTGTGGTATGCATCATGGGGACTGGAAAGGATAGATTTTGGAGATAAGACATGTTGAGACGTAGGGAAACACTGCTGAAAAGGATTTTTGTTTTTTTGATTTAGCACTAAGTTTTTGAATTGAATAGTCCATCTTGTGTGTCAATCAACACAATCAAAACATTTTTATAAGCTTTTTAAAACAGAAAATACTGCATCTTTAGGTAGTTAAGAACCTAGAAAATTGAGAAGAGTTCTAGAATCTGTAAGAGTTACATAAAAATTGCACATTGGACATTGGCCAAATTGCCGGCTAAAGTTGGATATACATATACATTCACGCATGTTTTTTCATTCTTTTTTCTCTAGTAGTTATAAGAGTATATGCTGATACAATACTGCCTGCTGGCATCACTACCATTAAAAAAATACAGTATCTAAGTAATAATACATTTGACCCCCTTGGTTAATATTCAAAGTGATGGTCAAGAAGGTTATAAGCAAACATCAGCTTTCTTTCACACTTCTTAGCTCATTCTGCAAATTAATAACATCATCTTGGGAGCATTCAAGACCCTGGATAATGAATGTTAACAGCAGTTTCTGTTGGCTGCATCTGAGGATGCATTTATTTTTCTCATTATCTTGCACACAATCTTTTAGCTATTGTCTGCCACTGCTGCTCACTCAGGAAGCCACAGAAAGTGCTAAAGACGTCAAGAAGCAAGAAGCCTCATTTATTTTTATTGTCTTCATCAGCATTTTTTTCTCTCCCTCAGTTTTTTTTTTTTTTTAACGTAAAGGCCTATAATAGAATCTGCTGATTAGAATCAGAACTGTATCTAAGTATAGATATGAGAGACCTTTTCTGAAGGTGATGGGCAGTGGAAGGGCACTTTATCCTTATGATACCTCTGGCAGATACTGAGGCTAATGTTAGTTAATGGGCATTTCTTCTTTCCATTCTGGCTATATTCTAGATATTTTACAATTGACAAAATCTAATAAATATTATATAAGAGAGTAAATAATAGAGTTGAATGAATGAAAAATAATAAGTGGATTAAAATACCATCAACAGACATATTCAAGTTAGTATGATGTGCAAGTAACTAGAAAGCAAAATATACTATACCTCTTTAGTTATTAAAAGGTTACCCTAAATTTCTTTTCATGTATCATTAGAAAAATAAAATGAAAACAAATGATCACCATAAAAAAGATACAATGAGATAAAAGATGATTTCTCATTGGAGCGGGAACTTCTCTGAGTCCTTCTGTGGACATGTCTGGCCATTTAGACTATGGGATTAGGATGGAATTACAGGTCAAGGAACCACTTCCCTATAATAACAGAACATGTGGACAGGGAGAAACAAAGGCAAATGGGGACAAAATGTTTGAAACTTTTTATCAGTCCAAGGAACTCAATGGACAATCAGAGGTAAGACACTATTAATAAGTTAAAAATAACGCCAGGGTCATAAAACCAAATATTTGGATTACCAATATGGGTGGAGAAGTGACAAGGCTTGAAGAGTATCCCAGGTACATTGGAGGCTTAGGAGTTGCAGTCTCTCAGGAAGGAATATGGTGAGTGGGCTTGAAGCACTTAAATAGCACTTTTTAAAATGAGAAAACATCAATGCTGTATATTAAAGAAATTAGGTGCTAGTGGATATGATTAACTCTCAACTATATTCACTCTTCTCTAACTATCACTCTTCCTGTCATGTGCCAAGATTAACTCAGAAACTGAACAGTAATCATGCTAGTGGTTTGGGGAATTGGATACTTCTGACGTAGGTAGAGACAATGTGATAGATACATACGGTGGACAGAGGAGGCAGGCATTACTGAGAAATGACCCAAAAAGAGTACTGAATTTACATCAGGAGCATATACCTCCTCCTTTGTCTGCGAGCTTTTCAAAACTTGATCTATACCATCTGCCATCTTCCTCCCCTTCTGTTGTGTTCTGATTACCTGGTGTTTTCTCTAGTTAGCTGATTTCTAGCCATTATCAAATTATCCTAGGTTGTCCTCAATACCTAGGGCACAGAGGCTCAATTGTATTGCAGTTTGATCCTTCAGTGTTCTGAATTTTGCTATCCTGATCTAAGTAAGAGTCCCAGGTGCCACTAATAATGAACAGGGTAGTGGGTACAAGAATGGAAGATCAACTCAGCAGTGTCCACAGGCTTCCAAAACCAAAAGGAAAATCTGAAAGCTGAAGGCTTCAAAAAGATACCTTTATAAATGCTCATGTCAAGCTACCAGTAATCATCCTAATAAGGATAAGACATATTGTTAATAAAAAAATTCTAAAAAGTCATGGAGAAAATTACACAAGTTTCTACAGTAGAAGAGCTTTCTTTTTAGCTAATTTTTGTACCTTTCCTTGTATTAGTTCAGTCAAAAATGTAACTTGTACATCACAATTCTAAGATCTTTGTGGCTGAAAGACAAACACAAAGGGTCAAAATAAAGAGTATGGGAAAGGCATGTCTTCAAAGCAAAATTATACAACTCTTCAAGAACACTTTGCTTTTTAAGGTCTCAGTGTATACCACGAGGAGGTGCTTTAGGGAGGGATCGCTGCCTAATAACCCATCCTCAAAGCACATTATTAGTCTTTATAAGCTTTAAAATGTATAGCGGTTCAGAATTGTTTATGCTGATTTTTTCAATAAGATAGTAAAAGAGTAATGTGAAGAACTTTGAGTACAGTTTCAGAAGCATATTATTTGGCTTATCACCTATTATTCAGTGAGGTAGAAAAATAAACTAAATGAAAAGAACTAACATGTATTAGGGGCCTACTAGATCAATCACTCTACTAATTTTATATAATGCACAACAGGCCTATGAAGGAATTATGGTTATTCAAAAAAAAAACAGTGACGTTGAAAACCCTAAAGTTTAAATGGAGATAAAGTCCTATTTGTAAAATGTAAAGAAATATATTTGGTATGAATTATAATTGAGGTCCTGGAAAATTTCTATGACAGCATTAAATGGAAACTTTATGTAAAAGTGTCATTTAGTCATTTAACAAATATTCATTGAGTGACATCTGTGTGCCTGGCACTGAACTTAGTTCTGGTGATAGAGCAAGGTCTTGACAAGCAATCTCACTGATGTTATGTCCCACAAAAGAATTTCCACGTCGATAGCATTTTCAAAAAAGGAAAAAAAGGAAAACCACCCAGAACTGGGGTATGAAGTTCATAAACTTGAGGAAAGAATAATATTGAGCCACATACTAGTCGGTTTTGTAAATCCTGCTGAAGTGCAGTCAGTGGGAATCCATCAGCAATCTGTTTTAATGAAATGTTCCAATCATTTCTGAAATCCATGAAGAAACTCTTTTATCTCTATAGAACTTCTGCTGGAATTTATCATTAGCATTCACATACTATCAGAAGTAATAAATCTTAATACCGCTACCCCTAATATGCTACCTGTAACTGATGTGCAAGCTGCCTATTATCTCAGTGCTTAGAAGAAATAATTTCCTTATACTTATTCACGCTATCAAAGGTCTGGAAACATGGCTTTATTAAGTCAAAGAACATATTCTAAATCAATGTGTAAGATTATGCTGTAAAATAGAAATACCACTAGACAAGCAAAAGTTCTTGTTAAGGCTTTGATCCTAACTGTAACCCTGGTAAATCATTAGTAACTTTATCTCAGTTTTTGTTTTCGTTTGACACAAAATGAGGATAGTGTTACCTACTTTGCCTTCTTCCCAGGGTTAGTAACCATTTTAATGAGTCAATATATATGAACAGCCTTTGACAACTAAATAAAACAAGACAAAAATGTATTCAAAGCAATGTGTCATAAATTACATTATTACATAAGTAACAGCTCCCTAAATTGTAAAGAGTGCAATCTTATAAACAACCTCTAACTTATCATCCCCTCTCAACCAAAATAAGATGACATGCACTCTACCAAAGCTAAAGCTTGCATTATCAAGTACGACAGCACATGGCTCTACAGAGAAAAGCTGTGTCATCTTAAAAATATTAATGACCCTAGTTGGACAGAGAAGCCTTAAAAGATTTCTTTATAAAGCAGTGTCCTCAGCATAAGAGGAATAGCTTTAATGGCTTACGTGAAAGGAGAAAAGGTGAAGAAAACTAAAAAAAGAATTTTATGGATGGAAGGAACTATAGACAATTACTTGTACAATCTCTTAACATTACACTTGGGAAAAACCAATGTTACAGAGGAGTTGAACCACTTGCACTAAGTCAACCACCTAGGAATTACCTAAATTGGGACTAGAACTCATCTCTTCTGATACTCTATCAACTGCCTTTGCCATTTTTTTCCAGTTTAAATGTTTACATAGCTGATTATTGAAATAAAACTTGTGTCTATTTTTCTTTCTGCTTATATTCAAATCTTTATTATATTTTAGTCAATTTCCTTCTCCTCAGTTTGCAATCTGCGCACTTTGTAATCCTGTAAATTTAGTGTCATTTGGCATTTCTATTAATATGCCATTTACTTCCTCATACCAGATTTTTAATAAAAATGTTAAATAAGACCAGATCCAGCATTTGTTACTTCTTGTTTATAACCCTTTCCTCAATTCTAATCTGACTGATTTTCTTGTCATCTAAGCTCATTTAAAACAAATTTGCAAGTAAAATATCATCAAACATAGTATCAGATGTTTTGCTAATGCCTAAATATATCATATTCTCCCTTCTACCCATTAATTTTGAGCATTTATCAAAAGAAGGAACTCAGCTTGTCTACCATGTATTTTCATTTATAAACTCCTGCTGCTTTAGGTCTGTAAGCCTCTTTCTTTTAGTTGTTCTAAATTATTCAACTATTTTATAAAATAACTTGAACCATTTTTAAAAATTTGTAGAGTTTCCCACTTTAAAATTATTACAGACAAAAAATTGGGGGTGAGAGTGAGGAGAACCACAAATAAGTATGTAAAATTACTAAACAAATCACCAGGCATGAGAAGGCCTGGCCTCAACCAAAAACAGTGCAAATTCTGGGTAGAACTCTGGTCTTCTCATCCAAGCTACTGAATCTATTATTAATAATTATGAGGCATTGTGAGCTAAGTAGATATTTACAAATCATATCTCTTGTCAATTCTGTATTAATTGTCAATTCTGTCTTCTGGCCTGAGTTTTCTCTGTGTTACTGCCTCTGTTTAAGTGTAGACTCTTACCCTCTCTTATTCGGATTTTTTAGACAATTTCTAACCTGTCTCTACTACTGTTTACTTTACCCTCTGATCACACCTCCTCAGCAACACCTCAGTATCTTACCAAAAATAATTGGTTATTTCATTGTTAAGTCCTATTCATTATTCCTCACGTTTTGTTGTATGAAGCTGCAATCCCTTATCCCTTAACAAGGCATAAAAGGTACTTTATAATATGTTCCCAAGCTCTGTCTCCTTAAACAACAAACTCCTCATTTTTTCCTAAACCTGTTGTTCTCCTCTGCCACTCAATGCCATTATGGTGATCCAGAGCACCCTGTCCTTCCTTTTTCACTTGGTGAACTACTCTTCATCCTTCATGACCCTGCACTTTGGCTGCTAAGTGAAATCTTTCTCAAACTCCCCAAGCTGTTAGGCACCTCTCCTTTGGATGTCTGGATGCCACATTATTTTGCTAGTTTTACTCTCATTTACTCCTCTCATTGTGTTATAATTGTTGCTAAGAGAATCTTGTGCTCTTTCAGTACAGATAGTTTCTTCTTAGTTATCCTGGCCTTGGTTGAACATAGAGTAAGCTTTAAACATTTGCTGGACTAGCATATGAATGCTTTAAAAAGTTTTGAACATAGAAGTAGATTGTATTTGGAAAGTGAACACCTCTGTCGTACTGATGCCTTTTATTCTTACAGGATTTTTTTTTTCCACATTTGCTTTCCAAGAGACACCGAAGTGCATTCTCTATTAACAGACTCCTACTTACTTTGAATAGTGAAAATATTATTATGTAGCTTACAAAATCATCCCCTAAAACATTTATGATAGAAATCCTATATTCTTGAAACGTTCTCTTCATTGCTAGAGGTGCTGGAATGAGTTACTCTTCTTATATTTAAATTTGACATTATAATTTTCCTAAGAACATCTAGCATCAATTCCAAAGCCATTGGCTTTCCCTGACATATTAACTGATCATTGCCACGTTTTCAGAATATTTTATTCTCTGCTTGTTTTATGTAGTCTCCCTTTGCTGGGACCATAAATTGATTTGCGTGACCTTGTTTGTTCAGTATTTCCAGCTACTAATCCCTTGCAGAAACAGAAGATGTAGGATCAGCCTTACATGGTGTGTAAGTTATTCTTAAGCATGCCTTGCCCCACTAGGCATTGGTGTCTGAAATTGATTTTGCTGCTCATAACTCAATACTGATTAGGGCTGATATGAACTTTTCTAATATCCCCACACCCAGAAATCTACCAGCTGCAAGACAACTATCTCAAGTTCATGACACATCTTGCCTAGAACTAGAGTCAAATCCTGAGCAGATTTTCATTTCTCTCCTATGGAAGAATCAGTCTTTCTATTTCTACTTACTATATGGTATCTGATCCAAAGGAAACAGATCTCCTCACCCCTGTCCCCCTTGCACAACTGTCATTGTATTTGGCAGTGGTATAGAGTCCTCAATCATTTCATATATACTATTACATTCAGTTTGAACAACTCAGTGAAAAAGGCAGGGTATCCAAAGGAAGAACCAAGTTGTTCAATCATTTCCTAACCCAGTGAAGAATTCTCTGTCTATAAACTCTGTGCATTAGTTGTGAGTTCTGGAATTAGTCTTACTGCCTAAATCTGGTAACCAATGTGCTCTTTTTGCTCTAGTTAGATACCTGGGAGTCATCCTTGACATATCCTTCTCCTTCTATGTCCATTTAATCACTGGATCATCAATTCTACCTCCAAACTATTCACCATATCTGTCCATCTTTTTTCATTCCAATCTAAGCCACCATTATCTCTTCCACACACTCTTCAAAATGTGCCTCGCTTTTGACCCTTTCTAATTCTTTGTACACACAATAGCTAGAATAATTTTTCTTACATACAAATCTGATGATTCTACACCTCCTTTTAAAAATTGTTCACTGGGGCCCATTGTCTTTAGTATCACATATACACTCCTTAACTAAGTATGGTAGAATTTTCTCTTAATTCTACTTCTTAAGCATGTCTTGAAACTACCTCTGTTACTCTTTCTTTCAATCCTATTCCAGGCATTCTGAACTTCTTTCAATCTCTCAGCTGTGCTCGCATTCTCTCATCATTGAGTCTTGACACATTCTTTTTCCTTTATCTGGAACATGCCTCTCTATGTTCTTCTCCAAATCTCCTTCTGGATAAATAGTTACTTCTTGTTTTCAGGTACTAAAGAATGTCCTTTGTATGAAGCCTGCCCCGACTTCCTAGATTCGACGTGCTCACTACAGCAATCTGTACACTGTCACATTTTACGGTATTCACCATAGAATGGCCTATTCCTCACTAGATTATACAATCTGGGAAAACAGAGACCTTCTGTGCCTTATTCACCTTTTGTTTCCTAATGCCTACAGTAATTGGTGTTCCCTAAATACTGTTCTTTTTTTTTTTTTTTTTTTAAAGACTTCTGTCTTTATTTCTTTGGACATCAGTCCCTACATGGCTCATAGCTACCACTGTACCTACTTTAAATATCTCCCATCCTTGCTGCTGTAGCTTCAAAGGGAAGCCCAGTCATTCTCTTTCTCGTTTTGTAAAAAAGGAGCAGAACTTGGAAAAATGTTTATAAAATGTTTCTAATGCTTTATTCTTACAAGAATGATGGTTCAATTTCTGGCTAGAAATTTTGGTCTGACGTTTCTGAAAATTCTGAAATTTTGGTCTTCTTTGTTGTCTAAATTTTATAGAAAGTTCTGTAAATAATACTGTCAAACCTAAATGCAAAAGTTCTTACTTTATCAATATATACATTTTTCTCCTTGTTTAAGTAATACTTGGTTTTATAATCTTGTAAGAGAAAAGAAGTGAAAGGCATTTCAGAATTCTACTTTTATTTTCTATGTGTTCATTTCTCTCTGCTGTTTGTTATGACCAAATCTGCTATCAAAGGTGGGTTAATGATTTGATAAATGAAGATAAATTATTTTAGGATTCTGAGTTACAATTAAAATTAAAATAGCATTTCATCCCACTACGTAGTTATTGAAAGAGAACAAGGTATTTGAATTTGAGAAAAAAATGCAATAACATGAGTGACATCTAATTATCAGACACTTGGCCTTAGTTCTCTTCATAATTGTTTACACTTGCTAATCCTGACTCAGACCCTTGGAGCTGGAGTTTCAGCTGCCTCTTTACGTCTACAGATGTATTATTCTTACAAATTCCATGTGAAGTTGATGTTGGAAATTTCCTTAGTGGTCTTTTCCTTAGTAATCTAATTTTTTGTCACTCTGCAGTAGAAAGCTGGGAAATTATTTTTAAAGAGAATGGTTCTTAAAGAGAATGGTTCTTTGACACGTGATCTATAGAGGATCTACAAAGGCAGGCTTTCTTAAAAAAATAATGTCTTCGGCATACAGGTGTGGTCTAACACAAAACCAGAAAATCCTTCAAGAGACATATAAAGCTCTAGAATGCAGTACAGCCTATAGTAGAGCTAGTATTTAGAAATGTTACACAGATTATCTAATTGAATCCTCTCAATAGCCTTGTGAATATTGTTAATCTTTAACTCAGTGGTCCTCAACCATGGCTACACATGGTAATCACTTTGGGATATTTAAAATACAAATACCTTTTCCCTAATTATAGGAATAATGATTTAACTGGCTTTGGCTGAGGTCTGGGCATCTAGATATTTAAAAGCTCCTCAGGGGGTACTAATGTATGGTCAGGGTTGAGAAACAGTGGTTTAACTTCATTAACTTAGAGCAAGAGTCACTGATGCCTACTACGTGCAGGCACAGTCCGATCAATCCATTGGGTTGAGCACACCTAGGGCAAGAAGTAAGTTGAAAGTCATAGCCCATCACCTTATGTAGCCTAGAAGTAGTCTGTAGCCATGACAATTTACTTTGTTCAAAGATTAGAATCCAGACTTCTTACTAAGAACATGAGGTCAGACAAAAGCTGGTTACATCTCCAAACATATCTCATCTCATACCATCTTTGCCATTACTCATATATGTCAGCCATCACTGCTTTCTGTTACTTAGAAAGTGAACTTTCTAACTCTTATCTTTTAGTCTAATGATGTGAATTGCATTGATTGATATTAAATTACTTATACTTACCTTGAATACCGGGTTATACTCATTTTGGTTTTGATGTGTTACTATTTGACATATCTCTAGATTGGGTTTGCTAATATTTTGTTTAAGATTTTTATTACTAGTCATGAGAGAGATCAGACTACATACTTTCTTAATTTAAGATCTGGTTAGGGTAGTTTTGGCCAGCTTCAGAAAATAAACAGCAAAATGTTTCCTTTTTATTTTTCTGTTCCCTGGAAATTTTTGTGGAATTTGTATAATTTCTTCTTTAAAATTTAGTATAATTTGCAAATGAAGTCACCAGAATCTGGAGTTTTCACAGCGAAATACTTAAATTATGAAATACATTTGTTTAACTGGTATATGACTACTTAGCTATTCCATTTCATTTTTGTCGGTTTTGACAAGTTGTATTTTTCTAGGAATTCTTCCATATTACCTTAAAATTTTAGATTTATTTACTTAAAGGTATTCATAATATTCTCTTACTGTAGTTACAGTATATGTTTATAATCTGAAGTGATGCTCCATTTTTTTCATATCTGATAGTGACAATTTACGCCATCTGTTCTTTTCTTTTTTTTTTTTTTCACCTTTCTATGATTTACTAAACATACAACTTTTATTTATCTTGGTAAATAATTAACTTTTGGCTTTGTTAATATTACTCTTTTGCATATTTTTTTCATTAATTTTTGTCCTTATATTTATTATTGCTCTTCTTTCTACTTTTTAATCCTCTTATTAATTTCAGTTTACTGACATGGATACTATAGCCATTTTTTTTTTTAGCATTATCATTTCTAATATACACACTGAAAATTGTACATTTCTCACTTTTTGACTATTTTGGCTTCATCTTGGGAATTTTGATATGTAGTATTTTCATTATGATTCATTAAAGATATTTTCTAATTTTACTCTTATTTTTTGTCCCATAATTAAGAAGAGCATTGTTACTGTGCATATAGAAATTTTTCTGTTATATTTATGATATGGATATTTAGATTAAATTTGCCGTGGTAAAAAAACTATTCTATATGATTTTATTACTTTCATATTTGTTGAGGCTTGCCTTATAGCCCATTCTTTAGTTACTTTGGGTAAATATTCCAGTTGAATTTTGAAAAGAAATGTGTTCTGTATTATTAACTGAATTTTTATATAGGTAAATAAGGTCAAGTATGTTAATCATGATTTGAAATTTTTAAATTATCTTTTTATATATTCATTTTATTGTTACTGAGGGAGACACATTAAACTCTCCCACTGTGATTAGTAATTCCTTTTTTATACTTCTATTAGTTTTAATTTACATATTCTTATCCTACAGTATTAAGCAAAAACACATGGAGAATTTGTTATGCTTAATTTGTGGAATTATACCTTCAGAAATTAGAAATTTTCCTTTTTATGTCTAATCAGAATTCTCACTTTAAAATCTATATAGTCTGAAAGTACTATAGGGAAAACAAGCTTTCTTTCATTAACGTTTTGATAATACATACACAACTTTCCCACTTTATTTTTATCTTCTTTTGTCCTTATATTTAAGATGGTTTCTTATAAGCGATATAAAGTTGAATTTTGTATTTTTAATTGGTGTGACAATCCTAACCTTATGTGGAATATTTAGTTCATTTACATTAAATGTAATTACAGCTATAGATGAGTTTAAATAAATCATCTTATGGTTTTCTTTTTGTTTTTTACCTTTTTTCCTTCTTTCTATTTTTATTGACTTTTTGGAATTAGCTATTTCATTATAATTTTTTTCTTTTAATATATTGCTACTTACACAGATAATTTTTAATATTTTAGTGAGTGACTTAGGAAGTACAGAGTATATACATTTTTTCCTAACTACTTTTATTTAGAACCTTTATTGCTTCAAGGACGGAAGAAGAACTTTTTAGGTCACTTTATTTATTTCCTCAATCTTTCTGTGTCATTGTGGACACAATTTTAATTCTTATTATTTTTAAAACTAAGGAATAATTATCAGCATTTGTTAGAGTCATAAGTGGTATAGATTTACTCACATGTTTACCTTTCCTTTTCTTCTCACATTCTTACTGCATTTTTTGACCTCCCCTTTAGAAAAATATGTACTTTGAAAAATTCCCTTTAGAATGTTATTTTATTTGGTAATAAATTTTCTTTCTGAAAATTAAGTTTACCTCTAATTATGAAGAAGATTTTTTCTCCGGATGTTATGATTTGAGTGTATCCCCCAAAGTTAGCGTGTTGGAAACTTGATACCCAATGCAGCAATACTGGGAGATGGGCTTAAAGGAGAGATGTTTGGGTCATGGGGCCCTGCCCTTACGAATGTGTCAATGCTATTACCAGAGGTGAGGGTTCTGTATAAAAATATAAGTTTGACTCATCTTGTTCTGTCTCTCACAAATGTGATAACTTCTGGCATGTTATGACATATGAAGGTTTGCTTGAGCCAGGAGGATCGCTTGAGACAAGGAGTTGAGGCTGCAGTGAGCTATGATCGCACCACTGCACTCTAGCCTGGGCAACAGAGCAAGACCCTATCTCTAAAAAAAGAAATAAAAAGAATATGCTCTTTTATTCACTCAACCCCTCCATACAATCTTTACACACTTTTCTCATATTTTCCTGTTGTATAATCCTAAAGTCTTTAAGCCTTTGGAAAGAGAGAGAGAAAACGTAAAGTAAACATTTGACAATATAATTCCAAATAGTTAATATTAAATTTCTTTTTCGAATATGGGGAGATGAATTGCATTTAAAAGTGTTTTAAAATGTGTCTACCAGGAAGTGGTGGGAAAGTGATTTCCTCTGTCTTAACCTCAGCTGAGATTAATCTCAATTTCCTCATATGGCAAAATGAGACAAAATAATGCTGGGTATGTCAACTACAC
Source organism: Homo sapiens (assembly GCF_000001405.40). Lineage (NCBI taxonomy): Eukaryota > Metazoa > Chordata > Mammalia > Primates > Hominidae > Homo > Homo sapiens. Next base: position 81,406,015 of record NC_000011.10, read on the forward strand.
AAAAATATTGATAGGGCTGTATTAAGAAAACAGAAGAAACATAATTTTAATTTTAAGCACAGTATAAATAAATGCACTATTTTTTCAAAAGTATTTGAACATGATTGCCGTGTGTGTGTGTGTGTGTGTGTGTGTGTGTGTATTTAAATACACATTATCTGGCTTTAAGGTACAGTAAAATTTTGTCAGTCTTGGACTTCACCTAAGAAGGCCTCAATTAAGAATACTTTATTGGTAAATATACCCTGTCAAAGTCATTGATTAACTTGGTTCTTTGGAGTAAAATATTTAAATGAAGTTCTCGTTTCCGTCCTTGGCTTTCTGGTGATCTTGACAAGTCATATTTACTAACTAATATAGAAGACTCCTAATCTGAAAACTTCAGAGCTATGGAAACCCATCAGAGGAAGGAATTCTCTGAACATAAAGCACATTTCCTTCGTTACTATTGTCACTCTGTGATGCCTGCCCAGTGGAGCACTCTGTGTTCCTTCTCATCCCTATCCCCCCTCCCTCTGTTTGTCTCTTCATATAGTGATACAAGAACAAGTTACTGTGACATTAAACATATTATCATATGTTACTTAATGGGGTATTTTAATATAGTTTCACATTGTTTTCATAACACAACCCACAAGAATTTGGGCTGAATTAAAGAGGCAAACAATATGAAGTCAAAAATAATTGCAACCATTTAACCTTTTAAAATTTCTGGACACACACATAAATTATCTGTCACAGAAGAAAGAAGCTTTAGAATATTATTAGAAAGATGTTGTTCTACTTAGTGAAAAAAAATGGATTTGAATAGGGGAGCCCCAGAGTTAAATAAATCTACTACTTAGGTTATCAATCAAGTAATATTTAATTTAATCCTAAATACATCCATCCGTAGAATAGATGTGCTAGATTTTTTTGCAGAAAATGACTTCAGTTTTTCTACTTTCAATATCTATACCCGTTCACTTGCTGTTCTTCTTGTCAGAAACTGAAGTTTATTTTTCTACCTCTTGAATCTGGGTTGGCCTTGCTTTGACCAACAAAGAGACTACAGCAGAAGTGATCTTGTGCTAGTCCCTAGTAAAGGCCACAAAAGACCATTTCCACTTCTATGCTGTCTTGGTAACCAGCCTAGCCAGCATGTAAAACAAGCTGCAGGTAGCCTACAGAGGTTGGAAAACCATATGGAGTGGAAATTAGGTGTTCTAGCTGAGGCCATCATAGAATAGTCAATACCTAGCCAGCCCCCTCTGCTGTCCATATACTCATCAGTGAGCCAGCTGGGACCAGAAGGGCCTTGCACTTTAGCCCAGTGAAGATTGCCAACCTGCAAAATAGTAAAATAAATGGTTGTTTTTCGAGGCATTACTATTAATAGTAGTTTGTTACTTAGCAAATCCTAAGTGATCTAAGGATTATAATATTTGGCTTTCCTCCATGGAAGAATTGAATTTAAATGAGTTACTGTGTGAAACAGAATACTATTTTACTTAGCAAAGTGGTTATAATATAATCAATGCTTCATGTGATTTAATTAAAAAACATTGATGATCCAAGTCAATTATAGAGCACATTATAGTTATTGAAGACACCTTGAAGCATTATTTATGCCCATTGCTATTTTGCAAGTACAGTCATTATTAAGTACATCAGTATATTTTGTTTTTAAAGTTTAATAAAGGAGGGATTTTACTCAATATAATTGTTTTTTTAATTGTATTTTTTCCTTTTGTGTGCATTATTCTTAGAAGGGAACCTGAAAAAGCTGATCTACTGGGATGCATAAAATCTGGTAAGGCAATAACGTATTCATTCATCTATTTAACAAACTTTTGTTGACTCCATCCATAGTATAAAGCACGTTAGGCCTTACTATTAAGCAAGGACTAACAAATCTATTTAGTAGTAAATGTTTATGTAATAACTGTTGTACTCTGCTCCGATGCTTTGAAGAAGTACGAAGATAAAATTCAAGATTCATTGAAGTGAGTCTGTCTAGGTTATCTCCAAATCTAATTAGAATAATAGATTTAGTACACTGAAAACAAAACAATTCAAATAAACATGTTATTTATTTTACTTTCAATCCAGGGAAAACTGATGCTTTTGGAATCTTTGATGCACTCACTCAATCAGTACTTTGAATTCAAGGTATTAAGCCAAATTTTGGAAATGCAAAGATGAAACTCATTTTCTGGGGACAGATTCAAATATAGTATGAAAAATTCTGGGATTTTAGCATGCACAAGATATAATAAAAGCTCAAAGAGGAAGCATCTATTCAGGAAGTTGGGGGAAAATCTTCTGAAGGAAAACATACCTGAGATGGGTCTTGAAGGGCTAGAAAGGGTTTTTATGTGAAGAAGGGAAGTAGTTGATTGAGTGGGACCAGAAGATATTGTAAAACGTCATCAAAAAGTCAGGAAACAACAGATGCTGGAGAGGATGTGGAGAAATAGGAATGCTTTTACACTGTTGGTGGGAGTGTAAATTAGTTCAACCATTGGGAAAGACAGTGCGGCAATTTCTCAAGGATCTAGAACTAGAAATACCATTTGACCCAGCAATCCCATTACTGGGCCTATACCCAAAGGATTATAAATCATTCTACTACAAAGACACATGCACATGTATGTTTATTGCAGCACTGTTCACAATAGCAAAGACTTGGAACCAACCCAAATACCCATCAATGATAGACTGGATAAAGAAAATGTGGCACGTATACACTATAGAATACTATGCAGCCATAACAAAGGATGAGTTCATGTTCTTTGCAGAGACATGGATGAAGCTGGAAACCATCATTCTCAGCTAACTAACACAAGAAGAGAAAACCAAACACCGCATGTTCTCACTCATAAGTGGGAGTTGATCAATGAGAACACCTGGACACAGGGAGGGGAACATCACACACCAGGGCCTGTCAGGGGGTGGAGGACTAGGGGAGGGATAGCATTAGGAGAAATAACCTAATGTAGATGATGGGTTGATGGGTGCAGCAAACCACCATGGCACATGTATACCTATGTAACAAACCTGCACGTTCTGCACATTTACCCCAGAAGTTAAAGTATAATAAAAAAAAATGTAATAGAGCGTGCTAGCTACTTAGAAAGGCAAAAACTGTTTACCCTTTTTTTTCCCTGAGTCTACATTTATTCCCTAACTTGCTTTGTACTTTATATGGTGATTTGACTGAATTCTTATCAATGACAGGGTAACAGAAGTAAGGCACACTATCTTTTAGACCTGGTTCACAAACCCTTCTACAAACAAGCCAATAAGATGGCTTATAAAATTAATAAAATAATTATCTCAATAGTTTCAATGATTCATAATTTTAGTCAGTTTCTTGGTACTCAAATATCTGGATTATGAATAGTGAAGTAGTCAATAAAATAGGAAATCTAAATAACTCCATATAGACTGTCTCGTTCAGGATTTCAAATTAACATAAGAAAAATCCGATGACTTTTTATGAGATTGCTCATGAATGACACTTTTTATAGGAAAGAAGTGTGAATGAGCAAGTAGGAAATCTGACTTGGGTCAACTGTGGAAGATCTTCAATGTTTGATTTAAACTCCTTGAATCCCATTTTTTTCTTCTATAAAAAGGAATACACATATTAAAATTTTATGACATTTTGAGGATTTATTAAAATGTGGAAATCATCTAGCATACTTTGTAGTTCAGAACGGCCACTAAATAAAGTCAGTTCCCTCAGCTAAATATACGGCTTTCTCAGTATGAGGATGATAATTTAATGCGGATTTTTTTATTGGGATGATTTAAACTGAATCATTCAAAGTCACCTTGATTTCTCTATTCCTATTGGCAAATACTTTCATAAATGACTATCTGGAATTAAAATTGCAGTCTATAAAATAGAAGTCCTCTTTATTGGAAGGAAACGGCTTTATTTGCAATATGCTTTAAAAAATCACACTAGAATGCTTTACTTGCTTTACTTTAAAGTGTAAGTACTTCTTTGGCTAGCACCATAAATAGAATTTTAAATGAAAAATTTTGGTGAAGTTGAAATGAATTACATTTTACACAGCATGCTTTTAATACAATGTGGGTTTAAAAACCCTTGGGTAAAAGTTATGTCTCCCGTGTCTTATCTAGTGCTAAGTACATTGTCAACAATCTCAATTGATGATAACAATAATTCAAAGGCATTTACAGTTTAATCAAAATTCAGAGATTCTTTTATTCATTTTGCAGTTGTCAGATTGAATAAAATGTAGGTAAAGCTACAAGTTGGCAATTTTTTTCTACTTATTAAAACATATTTCATGCATAAAAAGATTCTTTCAATTACTTTTTTATGGTTTAGATATGAGCTGTGTGAACTAAAGAATGAAAACTAACATTATTTTCCAATATTTAAGGGAAACAAAACATATGCTACTTAAGAGTCAATCCTTCCCACAGCTTTTTTTGTTTGCTTGTTTTGTTTTAACTGTAAGTTCTGGGATACATGTGCTGAACGCGCAGGTTTGTAACATAGGTATACATGTGCCATGGTGGTTTGCTGCACCTATCAACCCATCATCTAGGTTTTAAGCTCCACATGCATTAGGTATTTGTCTTAATGCTCTCCCTTCCCTTTCTCCCAACCCCCTGACAGGCCCCAGTGTGTGATGCTCCCCTCTCTGTATCCATGCATTCTCATTGTTCAATTTCCACTTATGAGTGAGAACAGGCAACCTACTTAATGGGAGAAAATTTTTGCAATCTATCTATCTGACAAAGGTCTAATAGCCACATCTTTTATACTGATGATCCCTCCAGCTTGTAACCAGGCATCCTGCCACTGAGAGTAGATTACATTAGCCTCAAATATCACAAACACCCTCTAAATGTGATCCCCCTTTTATTTTTCCATTCTGTACAAATCTGTCATTCATAATTATGCGAACATCTTTGGCAATCTCTATTTTTAATCAGGACAACACTGTTGCTTAATGTATTCTCAAAATTACTTCTCATTGTGCGAAATTCAAGTTTTATGCTCTCTAAACATGTATCTCTCAAGTTTCTAGTTGTAGAAGGCAGAATTTTGTTTTCCTTCTTCCTCCATACCAAGTAATTTCTGTTCCTTCTTGTTACTTCCATGGTTGTGTTTTTTTCTTCACATGGCAAAAAGGACTTTGTGTATGCAGTTAAAATTACTCATCAACTGACTTTAAAATAGGGAGATGATCTTGCATTATCTGGGTTACCTCACTGTATTCACAGAAATCCTTAAAAGGCAAAATGGGCAGTCAGAGAGGTTCAGTGCCCAAGAAAGACTCAACAGGACTATGTTGATTGGAAGATGGAGAGAGCCATGTGAAAAGCATGAGAACTGAGATATGCCAATTAGCAGTGGGCCTACAAGCCTACTCCCCAGATCAGAACTGCAGCCCAGCAGCACCTTTATTTCAGCCTTGTGGGATGCTGAGCAGAGAATCTAGCCACTCTGTTGCACTTCCGACCTACAGAACCATGAGATACTAAACAGGTGCTATTTTACGCTGCTAAGTCTTTGGTAATAGGAATAAAAAACTAACACATTTGTGTTGTATGAGATAGTGGACATGCCTATACCTTATTAACATCCTTGATTCTAGTGTAGACTTTGGATACATAGCCTGTCTTTCAGTCTGGCTGAAAATCTCATGGTGTCCTGAAGTGCCCTGCATGACCTTCTTTTGATTTTATCCATGGCCATTTTGATTATTTAATGAGAGTTGTGTGCAACATCATACATGCATATGCACCACTAATGTACACATTCACTCTGAGAGCTATTTTTTCACCATGATACCATATTGGACTAGTTTCTGTATATAGGAAACAGACTACACCATAGGCTGCACTAATCTTCTAAAGGTAATACTTGCTCCTTAGGAGAATTTTTTTAAGGAATAAAAGAACAACACTAAGGCACATAAATCTACTGAGAATGTGGATCATAGTAACTGATGTCAGCCAATCAATTATATAGTTCATATTCAATGTCATTAATCTCTTGGACATGACAAATCTTGGTAGCAGAAGGGAATAAGTTCCAGATAATACACTTTTGAAGTAATGAATAACCCTCCCTGTGCAGTACTTTAATGACTCTCTTTGTCAGATTTAAGATTTTATTATTAACATTAGAAAATGGAAGCCCAAAAAGATACAGTTGCAAATCAATTTCACTGTTCCTTCATAACGAGTCCCTAATTGACCTCAATTTCTGATATAGTTCCAAATTTCCTGGCATACTTAATTTTAATGATATGTACAGGAGAAATTAGTAACTGGGCATAAAGAAATTTATTAAACTATCTATTTTTATGTAGTTTAATAGATGAAATATAAATCATCACCACATTCATATGATGGTAAAGAGTGTATTTATGTCTTTTTACAGGTTAAAGGATGATCACTTTCTTAAATTAGTGTTTCACTTATCTCATTAAAAACACATGATAGGAATAACCTCAAATGCTAATATTCATTATATAAGGACCCATGATAGAAAATTTACATTCAATTGTTTTTAATGGCTAATAAAATTATGTTGCTGTTTTTTATCTTAAATGGACTCTGCTTGCCATTAAGAAAGTCCATTAAGAAAATATGAATTAAAAATATAATTGACTCTAAAATGGCCAGATCCCTGACATATTACATTTGACATACAAGAAAGCAAACATTTTTACCCCAAAGGATCACTGCATGTTAGCATATGTGTACTTACAATTAATATTTTTAATTATAATATTCTGACAATATTGAAAATTGAGTATTGTTAGAATGATGGAGTACTGCATGTCTGAGGACCATATCTGTGCTTTACTCTTTCTGAAATAGATCTGCTTTGTTCAAATTCATTTATAACTTAAGACTATAAATAAATCATGTTTATAGTTAGGATACAGCATCTTATTTTTTTTTTCTACAATGATTTAGTGGTAATCGGGCAGTCATTGCTGTCAGACAAACCTAAACTCTAAACTTTGCTAGCTGTCAAACTTGAAAAGATAACTTGAACTTTCTGTATATCAGTTTCCTCATCTGAAAATGATAAGATATTCTTACTTTGAAGAACTGTGAATACAATTTGAGATAATTTATGCAAACTGCATAGTACAATGCTTGGTACCTAGCACATAGATAAAATTCAATAAATATAGTTAATGTGATAATGAAGATGATGATGACAGTAGTGGTGATGACTATGATGATAACTACAATAAATTTTGTTTGCTTTCATTCCCATCTCTCTATTTTATTTCATTTGTTCGTTACACAATTTGAAAGTGGAAGCATTTCCCAAGCATGAATTTTATGTCAAGTATTATGTTAGGTGTTGGGCATATAATATCTAATAAAACATTATCTTTGCTAAGAAGAAATACTAGTAGCTTTCCATAAAAATATTACCAGATTTATATAAACCTATAATAAAATTTCCAAGCTCTGTTTTATATTTTACATTGTAATTACTATTTTGTCATTTCCACATTAAATATTTTATATCCTTAACTGAAATATCAACTCTTGATGACCAGGATCTTTCACATGTAATGGGTAATAGATAAACGGTTAACGATTAAGAAAGTAAGTGAATTGGTGTAATAAATAAATGACTTCAGATGGATAAAATGAAACTTTGTTCCCCTTATTCTCTTTACCATATTAAATACTCAAGCTTCAAAAACAATAACCCACTCAGTACTTTCAGAACTTTCTTTTTCACATCTTAGGCTACGTGTATACGAATTTCTGTGCTTAGAGATCTTTTCATTACTGATCTTTTTTTTTTATATTCCCCACCTATGCTCCCACCCCATTCCACCTCTGTATTAACTTCTACATCCTCTGTACATCAGAACATCTTATTCATTTGGTAAGTATTTCTCACCCTCTCTGTGCCAGGCACTGTAAAAGGAAAGCTGCCTACAGTAGTGAACAAAACAGACAGAATTTCATCCTGCACTGCGATCACCAACAGAATGTCAGAAGAGTTATCAGACAACAATTTACACAAATATTTAATGAAATACAGTTGCCCAGTGAGCTACAAAGTACAGGGTGCTCTAAAAGTGGATGGCTGGAGGACTTAACCTTGTCTGATATATTCGCCAAGTTTCCAGAGGGAGTGACTCTAAGGCCGAGATCCCAGGAAGTAGCAATGGGCACATTTTGTAGGGCTTTGGGCCACGGGAAGCCCCCTGAAAGGTTTCACATCACAAGTTACACATTGGTTTCCTAAGGGTTTTCTTGGGAAATTTGTTCCAATTTTCTGGTAAACTCCTTAATCCACGCCTTGGCCTTATGTTTCTTCAGATTTATATTGTCCCACACAATGACCAATGGGTAGCGGGTCATTGGATATCCAAGAAATGTTCATTTTATGAGGAAGCAGAAACGTCTGACCACACAACTCGCTAGTTGTCAAACTTTGCATGTAAATTTTCAGGAATGCAAAGGCCACAGTGGTTCTTTCCTCAGCAACTTCAAACTTAGCTATAAGTACCTAACTGGCAGTGGTGTGGATTGCCGTAAATAATGAAGGATTCTCTCCTACATTATCCTACCTCAAACTCAAAATATTAGTTGTTTTGTAACTAGATTTGTCCACTAGCAACAGCCAGAAGAAGAATTAAAAGAGGAATGATAATTGAACTTCTACTCTTATAGCAGGCACTTTGTTATCCCCTCTGCCAAGAAATATTGTCCAAAATGCAGAATTCGGGCAAAATAGAGTAAAATGTGCACTTTTTCATTGGATTCTGGTGTATTATTAAACCAATTTTATTTAATTCTCTAAGACAGGAGAGCCAAAACATTTTGGTCTCAGGACCCATTTATACTCTTAAAATGTTGACTATCCAAAAATGTTTGCATTTGGTGGGTTATATCTAGTAATTTTTACTACACTAGAATTCTAAACAGATAATTTTAAAAATATGTATTAATTGTAAAATAAAACCCATTTCATGCTAACATAAATTTTGTTTCTATAAGGGAAAGATATTTCCCAAACATATACAAATTAATGAAAGAGTAGGATTGACTTAAGATTTCTGCAAGTCTCATTAATATCTGGCTTAAGAGAAGATACCTGGATTCTCCTCTGTGTTTCTATTCTAAATCTGTTATTACGTCATACATCATGTAGCTTCTGGAAAACACTGTTCATGGATGAACCAAAGTGAAAAACTCAAATAATATGTTAGTATTATTAAGAAAATAGGGCCGGGCACGGTGGCTCATGCCTGTAATCCCAGCACTTTGGGAGGCTGAGGCAGGCAGGTCACGAGGCCAGGAGATCGAGACCATCCTGGCTAACAGGGTAAAACCCCATCTCTACTAAAAATACAAAAAATTATCTGGGCGTGGTGGTGGGTGCCTGTAGTCCCAGCTACTCGGGAGGCTGAGGCAGGAGAATGGCGTGAACCCAGGAGGCGGAGCTTGCAGTGAGCCAAGATGGCGCCACTGCACCACTCCAGCCTGGGCGACAGAGCTACACTCCGTCTCAAAAATAAAAAATAAATAAAAATAAAATCGTTTTTATCGTGTAGATCTTCTGAAAGGGTCTGAGGACTCCTAGGAGTCCCAGAACCACCTTTTGAGAAGCACAGATCTAGGATAATATATCTTCATCTTACTTTGCTATTTGATTGGAACCCGGATACTGTGTAGCTACATGTTAACTTGCAAATTTGTGGTGTCAAATAGAAACATCTCTCCTCCTAAAAAAAAAAAAAGGGTAACTCAAGTGTATTATACTTTTATTGTCCTGTATGATATTAACTAGTTTTGCATATAACCTGAAAATCTTATTGTAATATTAGTAATGATTGTTTATTAAGACAAAATTCTTGTAAATGCACAGCTCAACTGCTCTTGGTACTTTGGTACTAGTTTTATAGTCTTTCTGGTGTTCCTATTAATTATTTAATAAATTGGTGACACATGGTCATTCTATATTTGTATGGGAGTCTTGTATGAAAGTCTTTTATATGCTTTATTGAGGGTATAATTGACAAAAAATAGATATATTCAAAGTGTATGATGTGATGTTTTAATATACAGAAATACTGTGAAATGATTGCTACAATCAAGCTAACTGGCATACCTTTCACCTCACATAGTTAACTTTGTGTGTGTGTGATGAGAATATTTAAGATTTTGTCTCTTTGCGAATTTCAAGTATACATTATTAACTATAGTCACCATGCCATACATTAGTTCTCTAAAACTTAACTTGTCATATAACTGCAAGTTTGTATAAGTTGACCATCTCCCATTTTCCCTATCTCCAGCTCCTTCCAACCACCATTCTGCTCTCTGTGTCCATAAATTTTAGTTTCTTATATTTCGCATTGTAAGTGAGATCATGTAGTATACGTCCTTCTGTGTTTGGCTTGTTTCACTGAGCATAATGTCTTGTAAGTTCATTCACATTATCATAAATGACAGGACTTCCTTTTTAATGCTGAATAATATCCCTCTGTGTGTGTGTGTGTGTGTGTGTGTGTGTGTATGTGTGTTATAGCTCACATTTTCTTTATCCATTCATCTATGAACACTTAGGTTGTTTCCATATCTTGGCTATTATGATTAATGGTGCAATAAAACACAAGAGTGCAGCTATCTCTTCAACATACTGATTTTATTCACTCAAGATGTGTATCTAGAAGTAGGATTGCAGGAGAGCCCTGTTTTTAGCTATTTAAAAATTCTATTTTGGCCAGGTGTGGTGGTTCACAACTGTAATCCCAGAACTTAGGGAGACTGAAGCAGGTGGATTGCTTGAGCCCAGGAGTTTGAGACCAGCCTGGGCAACATGGTGAAACCCCATCTCTACAAAAGAATATGAGAATTAGCTGGGAGTGGTGGTATGCACCTGTAGTCCCAGCTGCTCTGGAGGCTGAGTTGGGAGGATGGCTTAAGCCCAGGAGGCAGAGGTTGCAGTGAGCTGAGATATGCCACTGCACTCCAGCCTCAGCAATAGAGCCAGAACTTTCTCAAATTAAAAGATGTATATATATAATTTATACATATAAAAATAATATATATTTTTAATATATAAAAATTACTTTAAAATAATTATATAAATAATATATTTACCTCAGCAACTCCCATCAATAACTTAGCATATTATTATTTTCATTTTATAGATAAGGAAATTAAGATTCTGAAAGTGTAAGTGACTTTTCTAAGATCAGAGAGCTCAGTGATGTTAGCCCTACATGATTTCTCTGGTCTTTTTCTGGTACCATCTTTCTAGCCTTTCCCTGTGCTGGACTCATGGAAATCTCCTAATTTGTATAACCTTTCCTATCTCACAGGCTGAAACACAGTGAGGAAAATACTGTAAACATTCTTTTCATACCAGTATCCCTAAAGGGGAGATCTTGTAGATACGTTTCACCAAGCATTCTATGATTTCAGCACAAATTGAGAAAAATCAATTTTGTGTTTTTGAGGGAGGTTCCCAGAATCAATCTTTTCCTTGTCATGAAACAGTTTATTGTGGTTTCTTAATATTAAACTATCTATTCTAGATGAAAAATGCAAAGACGAGATGACAAAGTATTAAACTAACACATTTAGAGATGCCTGAGGCTGAAATCTGGACTAAATAGATTTAGCAAACCTTGATGAAACATGAGAAAATCAAATGTAGAAGCAGTAGAGGTGGTAAAAAAAAAAAAAAAAAAAGGTCTAGGCATCTATTATCTTCCTTAGGGGCCTTAGGCCTGAATTAATACTGACTGTCATGAATTAAAGTTGGCAATGGACTAGAGACATAAAAAGTCTTTTTTATTTTATTTTATTTTTGCAGTATTGTTATTAGGGGAACTAGAAGAAATATAAATGTTCTTCTGCAGGAAAGAATCCTAAGAGAGCAAAGACCTGACACTTTAAAAATGATCGAGCCATTTTTGTGTAACTGCTTTCATATTTTATAGAAGCAAGTATGAAATGAAGTTTCTAAGTATTGGAAGGCACTTGTTCTTATCCTTTGTTGTGTGATGGAAGAAGACACTGTTATATACATAGGAGGGAACGGTTGAAAGGAGTCATTGGTGGGATTTTGTAGTGAAGAATAGTAACCTCTGTTTGGAGTTGGTTTCCAAATGTAGGACATTTCTACAAATACAAATTTTGGGACCTCACCCTGACTTACTAATCAGAGTCTCCTGAAAATAAGAATGGAACAAGTACTAAAATCAAAAGAAATGTAACCAGTCCATAGGAATAGCAAAGCAAATCAAAAGCAATCAGCCAACCAAACACAAACCAAGCTACTTATAACAGCAAACTTGCCAAGTCTGTATTAACTAGGTTCAGTCTCAAAGCAGCCTAAAACCCTGGTGTGGCACAATTCTGAGGCAGATTGCAGGACATGTTTTACTAAAGAGCAGTGCTTATAAATAAAAATAAATGACTCAATAAATTGAGGGATATTCAGAACTATTTCCTTAATAATGTCCAGAGCACCCTTTATCAGAAGAAAAAGGACTAGAGTTATGAAAAGAGGTGTGATAAATGCACATCTATTTGTAACTTGGCTCGTTATGCCATGCCTTATGCTGGTAAGCTCAGAAGACTGTTATGTAAGCAGCATACACCTTTGTTGTTGAGGATAAAGAAAATGTGAATGGTTACTATTGGGTTTCAGGAAATAGTAATTAAAAAAATAAGAAAGATAGAAAAAAAAAAACACAAGAGGAAAGAAAGAAAATCTCCCCCACCTCCCCGAACCTTAGAACTTTTAAAAAGTCTCTGATTTCTTCGGAGGCGGTGGAAAACTGGAAGAAGTGAGGGTAGAATCAGATCCTATATCTAACATTACCTGTGTGAGCTTGAGTAAGTTAGCCAAACTTTCAGAACTTCAATTTATTTAGTTACAAAATGGAGAAAATATGATTGCTATAGTTATTAAATGAGGTCATGTAATAAAGCATCTAAAATGGTGTCAATCATTCATAGGCATTCAAAATTGGGAGCTATTATTTGCTGCTATTTGCACAGTTCATACTCATATCAGATGTATTATAAAGGAATAACCTATTTTTATGCTGTTTAGGCATTTTCACTGAAATATACATATAGATAGGTAGACGGACAGACAGACAGTCTCACCAATCAACGTATAGCTCAGGAAGTGCCAGCAAGCAAACTGGTCAGATAGTAGGCACTGCCCTATTTAGGCACTCATGTTCACATGTAAACTTCCTCCTTTGAACTATATGTTTTTAGGTACACATTGTTTTTATTCTATGTCGTTGAACTATCTGTGTTGGAAATCATCAATATTCTAATTTTTACATTTTTGGTAATATTTTTAAATTCCCTTGGATCAAAATATTCTTCACACACAATTCATTTTGTAGCCATAGGTAAATATTTAAAAGTTTAACTAATTAATTTTGACTTCATCCTTTCAGTTGCTGCTCTAGTGTACATTAAATATTCTATGATCCTTTATATTGTATGTTGTAGACACAATGATAAATTTGAACTCTGCAGCTAAAAGTTATTTGAAGGTGAAGTTTTACCCTCTTTATGTGCCAATCTAAATGAGAAGACTAACCAGTCAACTGTTAGAAGGAGGACCATTTCAGAGGAAAAACCCCAGGTTAACCCTAGCTCCAATTCCAGTTATACCGCTTTTTGGTTGTGTGACCTTAGACTAATGATTTGTTCACTGAGTTCCCAATTCTATACCTATAAAATGAACCTGGCTATATCTACAGTTCAAGTTTTCTGTGAAAAGTAATAAAATAATGACTGTAGAACTCAAAAACATGATAGATTACTCAAATTATAATTTCATCTCTCTTTTAAAAATATTTAGAAAATACTATTACCATAATGCTTAGTATGTATTGAGTATTTACTGTGTCAGGCATCTGGGTAATCACTTTGCAAAGTACTCTTAGGTATTTAGAATGTCAAAATGTTAAGGGCATGAGGACCCAGACACAAATCATGTCTGGTTTTACATTAAGCACACAGGCACTGGAACCAGACTGCTTGGATTTGTATCCCAGATCTGCCCCTTAAAAGCCTAGAGCCTTTGAACAAGTTATGTAACCTCTGTGATACGAATTCCTCACATATCAATTGAAAATTATAAATTGCCTCTCTCATAGTATTGCTGAAAGCATTTAATAAATTAATGCATAAAAAGTGTTAAGAACATGTACCCTAAATCTTAAAGTATCATAAAAAATAAAATAAAATAAAATTTAAAAAAAGAATATTGCCTAACACATATGCAGTATTCAACAGTTCTGGCTATTAGAGTCATTAGCTATTGTTATTTTCTAACAAAGACAATAGTCAAAACATCTAATGACTCTCTTTAGATGATTTTCAAAGTGCTGGAGTCTCTTATTCTGAGCAACACCAAAGGTTACAGCCTCCATATTGTCAGATTGAAATTGTATGAAAAGCTCAATAAAGTAGCTAACAGCTCTAAAGTCAGGGATCTCAGATTCAGCATTTCTAGATCCAATTTCAAATCATGGCATTTTATGTATTTTTAAGCACCTGGTCACACCTAACTCACTGAGGTAAACTCCTTAGAGGACAAGGGCTGTAGTTTTTACTTGTCTTGCAAAGTGCTACAAAATCTTGATTGTTGGCAAGAGCTCATTCTCTAGAAATTGATGGGGTGGCTGAGGTAAGACTTTAAGTAATTTAGATGGAGCATTTTAAAATCCATTTAAAAGCTATTTAGGGAAGTATGAGTCTGAAGTCAAAGTTGAAGCTGAAAAGTCCTATGAGGCCTGCAGGGGGAGAGCCACAATTGATAAAGGCCATTATCTTAAATAAGTTCAGAACATCGTGAGCCTGACTGAGTATTTTAATCCTTGTCTGGCAGGATTAAAAGGCACACAGCACAAGACAAAGGGCCCAAGGCTCATAGGGCTTCAGAAGGAGAGAGCAGCTTTAAAACTCCTCTGCCAAGAAGTCTCTCCATGCACAGCAATTCTCTCCTTCCCCTTTTCTCACCCTTCCTACCCTCCCCTCTCCAGTCCTGATCCCATACTTATCCACTACCCTGCATTGTTCTAGCCTGGCAAAGGTTTGGCCTGTCAAGATTCAATGAGAATATTGTCTGCTCTATAAAGCCTTCCAGACTTTTTCCTAGCTCTCACCATTGCTTCGCAATTGTGGCTGTACATTAAAATCATCTGCGACAATTTCACATATGTAGAATTTAGCCCCCAATATTTGGATTTAATTGGCCTAGAGTGGGACACTGGCGATGGATCTTTTTTTTTTTTTTTTTTTTTTGAAGGTTTCTAGTTGGTTCTGATATGCAGGTAGTCAGGCACCACTTAGGAATGATTACTATCTCCTTTGCAGCCTAGCTTTTCTTTGTAATACTGCTGGGCTGATGAGTCTCTGCCCTTTGTTTTGCAAAACAACTACACTATGAGCACTCTGAGTTCAGAGGCCTCTCTCCTTTTTCTCTGCTCTGTATCTGACCTAAATTTCATGCTTAATAAAAAGAATTCCTTGAAAATGGGAATTAAGGCCGGGCGCGGTGGCTCAATCCCATAATCTCAGCATTTTGGGAGGCCGAGGTGGGCGGATCACCAGGTCAGGAGTTCCAGACCATCCTGGCTAACACAGTGGAACCCCGTCTCTACTAAAAATACAAAGAATTAGCCCAGCGTGGTAGCGGGCGCCTGTGGTCCCAGCTACTCCGGAGGCTGAGGCAGGAGAATCCCTTCAACCCGGGAGGCGGAGCTTGCAGTGAGCGGAGATCGCGCCACTGCACTCCAGCCTGAGCGACAGAACGGGACTCAGTCTCAAAAAAAAAAAAAAGAAAGAAAATTGGAATTAATTTATTCAGTTAATCTTCAGTTACTTTTTCATTACTTATATTTTTAATTCTTACATTCTAGCATCTATTGATTGATTAATCCTTTCAGCCGTTAATTTACTGATGCATATATTCACCAATAATATACATCATATATTACGCAAATGATGCATGAATGACTACATAAATAGTTATTTATATTAATTAAAGTCAGATGGCACATTTAAGAAAAGGTACTAATAAGTAGACATAAAGGAGGACTTATCACAACAGTTTATGATTTATACACACCGACAGAAGTACACACATATACTGAAATGTACATAGCCTATATGCATGCACATATATGCATTGACATATTTCAAGATACAGCTTACTGGTTAAAAACACAGACACTTGAAAGCAGACTGCCTGAGTTGGTCCCCAGCTCCACCAGGTACCGCCTATTCCACTTACTTATCTGTGTTTCAGTTTCTTAAATTATAAAGTGAGGATAATAATAATAGTTACCTCATGGGAATATTGTAAAGATGAAATGTATTGATTTATATAAAGCAAGAGTAAGCACTATACAAATGTTAGCCATCATCATCATCATTATTATTATTAACAGTTTCTCCTTGCTATTTTGTACATCCTTATACAATACTTCAGGACTAGCTAAGTCAGGCTGGGACAGATTGACTGCTCTCACATCTATTACATCACCAACATGTCAGAATCACAGAGAGAGTTCTAAATGATGGGCCTGCCATTTTTCCACAGTGAATTGCTTGAATATTTCTGTGGAATACCTGCTGGCATGAAAAAATAAAAAGGTAAAAGAAAAATGTGTCTTGTCAACCTGAAATCCTCCAACCATTTGAAATAATTGCTATGAATTAATATGTTGTCTTCTCCAAATAGCAGTTAACATCTGTGCTTCAGACAGATGTTCACCATTTCTAATATAACTCTTCCCCAATTATCCACATATGTTTTATTCTATTTGTGTATTCTATATAGCAAATTTCCACACAAGTGTGAGATTTTTTTTTTCCCTGGTACTACTTCACAGTCAGGGAATCTACATAAAACTTATTGTTATTTAACAGAAAAACAGCAACAAAAAAAAATACTAAGAGAAAATAAGCATTACATATTATAGCATGTGTTATGTAACCTTTTATATAATATAAAGTATACATATTACATCTGAGTGGATACAAATCTTATGGGGATCATTAAGAAATAAATAATTTATATATAATGTATTTACACAATAGGAACTCTTTCTTTTGCTTAATGGTCTGTTTTGACTCTCAAGAGCTGTTATTTCATGAAGCCCTCTTGACAATTAGTCGAAGACTCATTCCTCAAACATCAGGAAAATTTTCAAATTTGATACTAACTTTCATTATACAGTCTTGAAATTGTCTGTTAGATCTTATGTCAGTAGCAGAATGTCAACAAATCTCAGTAAATAAATATCTTTCTTCTTTCTTAGTATAATCCTAATCTTCACTGGAAAGTGTTCACACATACTATAAAAATTTTGCTTACTTATATTCTGCCTCTGGGTTGATGACATAATCATTTAGGAAAGAATATGATGCAACAAAATATGAGAATCCGTTATTTCTTAATTTTGTACCTTAATTGATAGAAAATTCCTCCGCTAAATTATCTTGATGCACTACTTTGTGACCCAAGGTTAGGAAAATTATTTCTGTTAGATACAATGTTTTCATCATTAAAATATGATTATATCTCAAAGAATAGTCTCCAGTTTTCTGTTCCTGTGTCAACAGGACAATCCTGGGTTCAATATAATGCCTGGAATGTGGTAGTTACTGAATAAAGATTTGCTAAAGAAACTGAAAATAAATCCTATAGGGAGAAAAAAAAAAAAAGACTCCTCACACTGCTTGCTTTCAAAGGCTTTAGTCAGGATCAGTGACAAGTTAATGATTTTAGAGAAACCGTTAAGTTCTTTGCCAATGTAATTGGCATTTCCACCACCAATGCATCACACCAACTCTACCACCACCACTACCAATACTGTTGACGCTATAAGATGTTTCTCTATGATTATCAGTGTAAAGACTTCATCATCAAATTGAATTTGGGCTAAATGATGTTTGGCAATACTCATACATAACTAGCAAATAATAGTGAGCATATTTTTAAAGATGGTGTTCATTAGCTAACCATCCATTCATTCAACACTATTGAATGCTTGCCACATTCTAAATTCTGTGCCAGGAATAGGGAAATAAGAGAGTATAAAGATGATTTAAACACAGTCCTTCTTACTAAAATGTTTCACAATCTAGTTTGGGAAAATAAACATGTCTATAAATTGAGATACTGTGGGACACATTATAAATGCAATAAAAAATATGTGGGTACTCAGAGGAGGTAGAAAATTCTTCTAATGAATAAAAATAGGAAGGAGTTCATGAAAGTTTAGTATGTGATCTAGATCACAACTTAGGAAATACATATTTGTAAATCCAACATATTGAAAAACATTGATTGTATGTCTTATTTGATGCCAGATATTATATTTAGCACTGAAAATTCTCATGTAAAATAATTATTGCATTCATGGAATTTAACATGCAAGGAAAGGCAGGAAATTAAATAGTATAGAAGTTATTACAGTGACACAAATATATCCGTTTACATCATGGAAAACCTGACCCTGCCATAGAGTTTTTAGAGAGTGATTTTCAGAAGAAATAACAGTTAAACTTAATTTTGAAGGAAAGAAAATTAATTAATGGGGTAAAATCTTTGTGAGAAGAGAAATATGGTAAAAGGACAGATGTTCTAGACTGAGACAAAGTCCAAGTAGGTCAGCATGGTGGGGTGGCATAAAAGAGCCTTTACTCATCCAATCACATACAAACAACACCTAAAAAGCACATGATATCAAAGTTGGAAAGATAAGCATGGTTTTGCGTATTGTATATTGTCAGGGAATGAGGAATGTGACAAGGGCAGAATAAAATCATATTGTATTTTATATACATGGAATTTATTCTTAAGGATTTTAGCAGGATTGTTCTACATTCAGCGTGTACTCTGTCTATTCAAATCCTTATAATCAGAGATGGAGATAATGACAAGAACATTCTAGCCAATGCACATAAAGGTGCATAAATAGGAATATGTGAATATGTGCAGAGTAGAGGAAGTAGCTCACCAGTACAGAAATGGATGAATTACAGAGATTAGTAGGTGGGATCAGACTAGATTATTGAGTACATTGTAACTATGCTAGGAAGTTGACACTGTATTCTGTGCTTTATTAATACTGATGTGGTAGTCCTGTGTTGTACGGAGTAAGAGACAGAAAGCCTGTCAAAGGAGACCAGTTAGGAATTGTAACACGAGGGTAAATTAGATTGTAAAAGGCCAAAACTAGGATAACTGAATAGAAAAGGGCCATGAAAGATACTCAGGTAATAAAGTCCACAATTAGAACATTTTTTAGTCTGTTTTTGGCTGATATGCTGATTACCAAGGAGAGGTAAGCAAGGGTATCTATAAACATTTATCACAATTATTACAGATTAGAACCAAAAAACAAATCACTTTTGAAAATCTAGTAAACCTACTGAGTTAATATACTTAGCATGGAAATATCCATGCTAATCCATACACAACTCAAATGTGTAAATCTTTTACTTATTTAATTAACCTTACTCTAGCAGAAATTTTTAGACAAAATAATAAGCTGCTTCCAGATTTCTGGGTGTGACTTCATCCATGCTGAGAACCTTTTGCTTGTCATGTGTGGTTTTGGGTTCTTTAGGATGGTGAATGGTGAATTTAAGAATGTGGAACTCTAGGAAGGTCTAGAAAATATTGCTCCAGAGCATGAATTCGTTGATTTTAGCTTAGATTTTGCACCTATAGTTCAGAAGTCCAGTAACTGGCTTCACTTGTTGAAAGCTTTATTGAGTATTGGTGAAGCTTTTTGGAAGCTAAAACATATACTGAAAGCAAGCAATATTGCAAGCCTTGTAATATGCTACAGATATAGGTCCTACTTTCCATGCCACTTTGCATTTTATTTCTCTTTAGGCTATCTTAGGAGACAGTTATAAAGAATTTTACACAATGATATAACTTCCTTGTCTATAAAACTTAAATTTTAGTGACATACATTCCAGTGTAATCTTGTTTCCTCTTATTAGAAAGAATCCAATTGTTTTTTCCTTGGCAAGAATGATATCACCCAAGATACATTATTTACCCAGATGAAAAAAATAGAAAAAAGAAGGGAAAAAAGCTGTTTTTTAATAATCTGCTTCTGTAGAAAACAATTCATAAAGGCAAAATGAAATATATATATATATACCTAGTATAATAAAACGAACCCTTAGACATAGAAAATGTTCTGTTTCTGTAATTCTAGTGACTCTGATCACCCTAGCAATCTTAGGCTTATTTGATGATACAAAATATATTATTCTGTTTCTCCTGAACAATCTGAAAAGTACAGTCTATTAAAGTACTCCCTCTGATCCACTAGATAGAAGGCTACACACAAAGCCTTGATAGTGGTAAGCCCTCAGTAAATATTTGGTAGTGATGAGGATGATGATCAATTCTTTCTACTGAGTGGGAACAAGGAACAGTGGTCCTTGCCACTGTATTATATTAGAAAGAAGTGTTACACTACTCTCATACAACAGTTTGTAATTTACTGGCATGTTTACATTTATGGGTCTAATGTAATCCTCCCAAAATCTCTGAGGAAGGAATAATGTTCTTTACCTCCTGCTTCTTGGAAAGGAGAAAAGCAAGCCTGAAGAAAGTGACTAGTGATTATAGTCACTAGGTTGCATATTTTAAAACAGCAGGTGCAAGGCCCACAATAAGAGATTCAACTCTCATTAGTAAACAAGATGAGAGCTCCACATGAACTTCCATGGTAGATGGTGTGTTCGGCTGTTCTTGTTTTGCTATAAATAAATACCTGAGGCTGAGTGATTTACAAAGAAAAGAGGTTTAATTGGCTCACAGTTCTGCAGGTTTGCAGGAAGCATGGTGCTGCCTGTTTCCGGTGAGGATCTCAGGAAGCTTACAGTCATGGAGAAAACCAAAGGGGGAGCAGACATCTCACATGGTGAGAGTAGGAGCAAGTGAGAGCAAGTAGGGAGGTGCCACACACTTTTAAATAGTGAGTTCTCACATGAACTCAGAATGATAACTCATTTGTCACCAAGAGAATGGTGTTAAACTACTCATGGGAGATCCACCCTCATGATCTAATCACCTCGCATCAGGTCCACCTCCAACATTGGGAATCATATTTCAACAAGAGATTTGGAAGGGACAAACATCCAAACTATACCAGGTGACAAGATGGCTAAGGGTACAGCTTTGGTCTCTTCTCAATATTGAATCTCAAGTGCCTCACTGGTTTCAGACATACCATAGGTGCTTAGTATACATGTCTTTCTTTTTTTTTTTTTTTTTTTAGAGATGGGGTCTCACTGCATTGCCCAGACTGGTCTTGAACTCTTGGGCTGAAGAAATCCTCCTGCCTCAGCCTCCTGACTAACACTACAGGGCACACCATCACCCAGCTAATTTTTAATTTATTATTATTATTATTATTATTATTATTATTATTATTATTATTTTGGCAGAGACAAGATCTTGTCATGTTGCCCAGCCTGGTCTGGAACTCCTGGGCTCAAGCAATTCTCCCACATCAGCCTTCTAAAGTGCTGGGATTGTAACAATACTGACTCCATTTTAGAGAAAAACTTGCTTACTTGAATGTAATTATTGCCTTGCTTGAGTTTGTAGATTATTCACTTCAAACAACCTCAGGAAAATAGGACCTTCAACAGAGATAAAGAAAACACCTCTACCAATAACTCTGGGAATGGGCTGACCAGTCTGATAAGAATAGGCTAATAGCAACTGTGGAAGGTCACAGAACACTGACCAAGAAAGCAATAATTAACTGCCCACTTGAGACAGCTCATTTTTCACAATAATGTTTTGATCATCATTTTCCCTAATTTCCTTTAAAAATCCCTGATCCAGAGAAACAACTTAGAGAAGTGGTCTTTGAATGCTATTTCACTGCCTCTCCCAAGTTGATGACTTCTCCCATAATGCTAATTTTCCTTTCACTAAAGCTCGTCTCTTGGGTTTTTGGCTTTCATGCAATGAGTAGCCCAGATCTGAGTTTGATTCTAGGACTAAAGGTGTGAGCCATGAAACCTGGCCTTGTTTCTTGAATAGATGGACAAATGGAAAGATATTACAAAAAGTAGACCTGCATTAAGCAATGGAATTTGTGTCAAGAATTGTGTTATATTAGACTTAGTGGACAAAACACAACGCATTGAAAGGAATATTATACCATAGAATTAATGTTTATAGTTTTTTGAATAAATATAGAAATTGACCCTCCCAGTCTTAAAATTCGAAACTTACATTTGTGTTTATTTCCCAGGAAACTGACCCTCAGGTCAGGAACTGAAACTTACCAGCTCACGCATCCAGCCAATGAGAAGTAAAACCCCTCATTCATCACGATTGCTTCCTTACCCCTCCGTAATTCCTGTTTTCCTGTACATAGCTAATACATTCCTTACCTGCTGTACAAATCTCCAATATATTCAGTTGAGTTACACAGGTTTGAGGTTTGGCTCCCACCTCTACAGCTGACGTCACCCAAATGAAAAGCCTGCTTCCCTGGCAATACTTGTTGTCTTGGTGATTGGTTTCCTGTGCTGCAAACATTTGAGACCTAGATGGAACCCCTGGCATTTCAGTAACAACGTTTACAATTTTTATATTGTAACAGAGTAACAATGTTAGTCATTTATCTATGACACATAGAAGAGAGCAGATAGAACTCCATGTCGTGGTAATATGACAGAAGGAGGAAAAGATGGTTGCAGCTGTGTTCAAGTTTGCAGATTTTGTGTTAAGATAAAGACAAAGCTACCGTCTGGGGACCTCTATATTATTCAATCTGAGGAGAATAATAGAGGTTGTGTAATAAGTTTGAGGATATGAGAGTACGATACTATATAGCCAGCCTTTCCTCTCACATTTTAAGTTTCATCTTTCATGCCACCTCTTGCAATGCTATCTCCCGCCAGAGGCCTTCCCTGGTCACACTATCCCATGTACTATGTAACCCCACTCCCAACTAGTCTACTGCTTGATTTATTTCCTTCACAACACTTTTCACTATGTTAGTTTATTTACTTATTGTCTTTTTGCCCTAGTGTTTTGTTGGTTCAACTGGACAAAGGATGCTGAACTTGTTCATATCTATTTCGATTATCTTAATTTCCATTAGAACTTAAGGTAATATTTATTAAAAAAAAACAGTGATTATAGGCTGAAAGGTAAAAGAAGATGGGGGAACTTTCTTTCTTGATCAAATGATAGGTTTCACAGCAGAGAAAAATTTCTTTGGGGAGGAAATAGGAAGTTATCGTCTACGTTGCTAAGAGTGGGAGTGGTGGGGGGAAGGAGAGGGACAGTTCAGTGACAACAGCAACTGAAATTCAGCTGAATAGCCAGGGGAGTCATAGCCTGAGCAGCCTCTCGTGGAGCAAGCCACAACCACTCTGAGCCTTGGTTTACTCTGACATGAAAAGATTTTAGGTGGTCTCTAAGACCTCCAGCCTCTTAAATAACATGGTGATTCTTTTTACTCTGTTTTGCCATTGCATCTTGTGTGTATCTGTATAATAAATTTTGCCACATTCCTTCACCCTTGCTTTGTGCATATACGGTACTTGTTTATTCTCTTCACGACTATAATTCAAACGCATGTGAGAGAACAGTTGGAGGTGGGGTGGATGGCTACTGAATTTAAATATTTTTGTTTGTAAGCAGATTTGAATTAACATATGGTCCTCTGCAGTTGTGTGAAGGTAAAGTGCTAGGCAGATATTTCTATGGACCACTGGACAAGAGTTATTCTGGTTCATTTCTTCTAAAGCATCCAGTCCAAATTGTTTCCGTACTCTTCTTTTTAGAGTAACTTATATGACTTTCTAAATCTTTTCACTTGGCTGCCACAGATTTGAGACAGATAATATATTTTTCTGTCTTTTTGTCTGTTCTAAATGTCCAGGCTGCAGGAGACAATAAAACAGGCTATGAATTCCTGAGCTGGTTTCCATTCATAGGAGACATTAAGCTCCACAAGATTGATCAAATTTCACATCACCAGGTGCCTGCAGCCCTGAGAGTGCCTTACATAATTATTTAATTTATAGTTGTAAATCACATTTGGATCATAAAATTCCAGCTAGATAAGTGTATGGAGCAAACATGTAATTAAGATTAGAGTCCTCACAAAGAAGGTGACTATTATTTATGGTCATTACCATCCTGATACTGTAAAATGAACTGACGTTTTAGGATTCTTAAATTACTTAAGGGTCCTAAGGTAATTTAATATTCATTAATAAACCCAACTAAACTAGTACAAATTATTGACATTGACCATAGAGCTGCAAATTTAAAAAACTGTTGTGCTTCCTTGTAAAATATTTGAAGTTTAAAGTGGCAATCTGAATGGAAAAATTATATGACTGCTTACTAGTGAAGTACATTTACATTGTCATCCTAATTGATATGCTTAGAAGTTTAAACCATGGTATATTTTCTTCTCTACCTGTTTTGTTTGTTTGTTTGTTCCCACATAGTACTTTGAGGGAGGATATCTTAGTCCCATCTTTCTAACCCCAGCTGCAGCTCAATGCCACACAACAAACTTCATCAGCTAAGAAAATAACTGCTAATTAAAATTACTGAAATAAAATATTTTCAATGGATATTAAGCAGTCATACAAAACATATTTTCAAGAGTTTTGAGAATATGAAGAAAATTATTGGGTTATAATATTATGTATTACACTGAAAGAGTGTGATCACAAATATGAAATGAACCTTTGTCATATGCGGTTATCTCTCTCTGCTCTAGGTAATGGAATTATATTTAATTTTAGTTCCTTTCCTAGTGTTTATTTTTTATTGCAAATAATACATTGAATGTTTCTCACTTTATAAGAATAAAAAGAAAAAAGTATTTTTAGAAAGATGCCCTTTTTTATCCTTTTTTATATATGAACCTGTGAATCTGGCTGTGTAAATACTGCAGGTTTAATATTATACAAATTAATAGTACATCAATTGATTATTTTTTATTTCTTTGTTTTATACAGGCAAAATTATTATGAATGTGAATATAGTATGCATTTCTTTCCACATCTGTTCTGAGAAAATAAATAATACATGGTAAAGTTCTAAATCTGACAAAATATAGCTTTTTAGTGGAGGGGAAATAGTAAAGCAGAAGAGCAATAACAACAGAAAAACAGGAATCATTTATACATCTCTCTAGGCTATTATATTGGCAAATCTGAAAGGAAAGGAAACGAACCTCGGGTCACATACTTAGTTCTCAATGTGATGATTGCCATTGGTGATTTTTCATTTGGAATATCCACATCCAGTAGTCTATCTCAGAATGCTTCAATATCAAGTCATTGTGTTTGCTGCATATGTCCTTATACATTGAATAACCATAACAACTTTAATGTGTATAAATCTTACAAAATTTCAAAATGCTCTCTTCCATGTTGAAATATGAAGACATTATCTTTTAGATATCTAATGTAATTTAGGTAAACAGGAAAGAAAATAAAAATAAATATTTATTGAGAAACTACTTGTGTTGATAAAATAAATAATTTTACACATGCTATCTCTTGATTCATCATGGCTCACTGTAAGGTAATTATTATTTCCTGCAGTTGGCAGAATCTTGTCCCAAAGACACTTATGTCTGAATCCGCAGGAAGTGTGAATATCATGTATTATATGGCAAAGAAACTTTGTATCTTTAATTAAGGTCATAGGCCTTGAAAGTGAGAGATTACTCTGAAATATACAGCTAAATGTAATATAAAAAAGCCCTTAAAGACAGAGAGCTTTCTATAGCTGAAGGCAGAGAGGCAGTAATAGGGAAAGTCAGTGAGATTCCAAGCATGATAAGGATTCCATGTGTCTTTGCTGGTTCTGAGATGCAGGAGGCCACATGAAAGGACCAGAGAAAGGCCTCTAAATGTTAAGGGCAACCAGCATAAAAATTAAAATAATTTTTAAAAAAAATGACTTCAATCCTACAACTTATGGAACTGAATTCTGCCAAAATCCTGAGTGAATTTGGAAGCAGATACTTCCCCAGCCTCCAGAAGATGGCTTAGCCAGGTCAACGCTTTGACTTCAGACATACAAGATCATAAGAAATGTAGCCACACCACACTGGACACCTGACCTACAGCAATTGTGAGATAATAAACAGGTGGTGGTTTAAGCAGCTAAATTGGAGGTACAGTGATGCAAAGCTTAATCACAGGAATACATTCTGAAAAACAGCATCCTTAAGCAAGTTTGTCCTTGTGTGAACATCATAGAGTGTACTGACACAAACCTAGATGGTATAGCCTACCACACACCTAGGCTACAAACCTGTATGGTATGTACTGTACTAAATACTTTAGGCAACTGTAACACAACAGTAAATCTAAATATATCTAAACATAGAAAAGATATGCTAAAAATAAAATATGAAATATTTAAAAAATAGTACACATGTATAGAACACCTGACATGAATGAGCTTGTAGGACTGGAAGTTTCTCTGGGCGAGTCACTGAGTGGTGAGTGACTGTGAAGCCTTAGGACATTACTGTGCACTACTGTAAACTTTATAAACACTGTACAATTAGTCTACATTACATTTATATTTTTTCTATTTTAATAATTAACTTTAGCTTACTATAATATTTTTATAGACTTTTTATTTTTTTTTATTTTTATTTATTTATTTATTTATTTATTTATTTTGAGACGGAGTCTCGCTCTGTCGCCCAGGCTGGAGTGCAGTGGCGGGATCTCGGCTCACTGCAAGCTCCGCCTCCCGGGTTCACGCCATTCTCCTGCCTCAGCCTCCCAAGTAGCTGGGACTACAGGCGCCCGCCACTACGCCCGGCTAATTTTTTGTATTTTTAGTAGAGACGGGGTTTCACCGTTTTAGCCGGGATGGTCTCGATCTCCTGACCTCGTGATCCGCCCGCCTCAGCCTCCCAAAGTGCTGGGATTACAGGCGTGAGCCACCGCGCCCGGCCTAGACTTTTTAATTTTTTAAGTGTTTTGACTCTTGTAATAATACTTAGCTTAAAACACCAACACATTGTACAGCTATACAAAAATAATTTATTTATTTACATCCTTATTTTATAAACTTTTTTCTATTTTTAATACTTTTTACTTTTACTTTTTAAATGTTTTTGTTAAAAACAAAGACACACACGTTAGCTGAGGCCTACCCAGGGTCAGGATCATCAATATCACTGTCTTCCACCTTCACATCTTGTCCCACTGGAATGTCTCCCAGGGACAGTAACATGCATAGAGCTGGCATTGCCTGTGATAACAATGCCTTTTTCTAGAATACCTCCTGAAGGACCTGCCTCAGGCTGTTTCACAGTTAACTTTTTTAGAAAGACATACAGAAAGGATACACTCCAAAATAACCATAAAAAGCATAGTATAGTAAGTGCATAAATCAGTGACAGAGACATTTATTAACATTGTCAAGTATTACGTACTGTATATAATTATATGTGCTATATTTTTATATGACTGGCAGCCCAGTAAGTTCATTTACACCAGCATTATCACATACACACCAGTAATGTGTTGCATTACAATGTCACAACAGGTATGAGATCACTAGGCCATAGAATTTTCTCAACTCCATTATAATCTTGCAGGACCATCCTTATTGATTGACATGTCATGATGGGATGCAGGACTAATTTGACACAGCGGTTTGAGAAAGCTAATACATTTTCTCACTTTATGGTTGAGGAAGATTCTGAGGCTCAATAGATCATTTGCTTAAGATCAAACAGCCCTATACGAGGAACTATTTTTCACTGTAGAACTTTGATTCCAAACTGATTTTTCTACCACACAATAGTTAAAAGGAATTGATAATTATGTGAGACAAATCACCTTCTTTGCCGCATTTTGTCATACCACCTAATACGTGAAGATGACAATCATCATCACAGATAATAACATAATAAAAACATTTTTAAATGTGTGCCATATGCCAGATATTTTGCCAAGCACTTTTAATTACCCATTGTATTGAATATCCACTAACAATAATTTAAATTTGGTTCTGAAACCTTCTTCATCTCTTGATGAAGAAACAGATTTTTTTGTTTGTTTGTTTGTTTGTTTTGAGACACAGTCTTGCTCTGCCGCCAAGACTGGAGTGCAGTGGCATGATCATGATTCACTGCAGCCTTGAACTCCTGGGCTCAACAATCCCTCCATCTCAGCCTCCCAAGTAGCTGGGACTACAGGCACGTGCCATGTTTCTCAGGCTGGTCTTAAACTCCTTGTCTTAAGCTATCCCCTCACCTTGGCCTCTCAAAGTGCTTGGACTATAGGTGTGACACTGCACCTGGCCAGAAACAGAGTTTTTAAAAGGTTAAATTACTTAGCAAAGTAGGTGGTAGGTTTTCAGTCTTCCAAGTTGGGTGTTTAAACTTTCGTAAAGTTATACATGAAAGTAAGTTACACAATCTGTGGCCCACAGAAAGAGTCTAAATGTTAGTTTCTGGTTTTATAATTATTACTGACAACAATAGATACATATTTTTGAGCTCTGACTTCATATGTGTTCCTAGGCATTCATGTAGATATTTCACAAATATGCAGTCACTTCTCTGCACAGCCATGTGAGATTAATCTTGTGTCAATTTAACAATTAGAGAACTAAGGTTTAAGGAGTATAAATTACTTCTCTGAATCTATAAAGCTAGTAAATGGCAGTGCCAAATTTAAACCAGGTCTGTGTGACTCTAAAGCCTATGTTTTCAAATTTCAAAATCTTGAATTTAAAATATTAATCAGAATAAGTGGAGGAGCACATCTTCTCCTTAGGAATCCATGAAGGTTAATGTTGATCTATGGAAGTAAAAAAAGTCAACCACTTAACCCATCCAAATCTCTCAAGCATTAGATTCTGGCTGGAAGACTGCCTTTTCATTGTAAGGCATGTGTGAGCCCAGGGGTGAGGTGAGGGCTCTTGGCCTTGCATGGAGACTCCTGGAAGAAGTATCCTCTATGTCAGAGACAGGACATCCTCTCTGATCCCTTCAAATAAATGATTATGTCTTGAAACTCAGGAATGTGGGAAGGAACCTTCAGGGCCAATACAGCTTTGATGTAAATCATTTCCTAGTGCTGAAGAAGTGTGCTTCCAACACTGATGCCACCTGAAAACAAATGATTATACTACATATTTAATCAGGGGCCCTCCTGAGAGCCTTCTGCTCTCACTCGGGCGAAGGATAGCCTATCTTCTTATGAATGCTCTAAAAGCTTTGTCACAGGCAACAAAAATGTGTTCGTTTTTTCTTTACAAAGGCATTGTAATTAGACCAATACTATGAGATTATTTTCTAAGGGCCAACGGAAATGTACACATATAGTGAGTTCTCACTGGCCATTGTTGATAGGTTCTTGGAAATATTAACTTTAAATAAGGTGATATCTATCAAAACCAATTTTTTCTCATTAACACTACAATAAAATGACATTGAAGTAAGCAATATTTTCGAGATTATAGGTTGATTTAATTAAATTCAGTGTTTCTAAAAACCCATCAACGATGTTAAGTGAAGACTTGCTGTATTTAACATGGCTTATTCAGCTGGTGCTGTGTGAATCACATGTATATTATTACATACCATCCCCTTTCTCTTTGTTTCATGTTTTGTTTTGTTTTGGGACAGGCTCTCAATCTGTTGCCTAGGCTGGAGTGCAGTGGCATGATATTAGCTCCCTGCAACCTCTGCTTCCTAGGCTTAAGCAATCCCCCTACCTCACCCTCCCAAGTAGCTGGGACCACAGGCTCGCACCACCATGCCCAGTTAACCATCTTTTTTCTCTTCTGTGCCCTCTGTCTCTCTCTTACTCTGCACACACATTGGCATACATGAAATAAGGGATACATTCTTATTTCCATTTTATTGATGAGGTAGCTAAGACTCTAAGTAGCTAAATACATTGTTCAGATTAAAAAACAAAGAGGCCGGGTGCAGTGGCTCATGCCCTTAATCCCAGCATTTTGGGAAGCCGAGGCGGGTGGATCACTTGAACACAGGAGTTCAAGACCAGACTAGCCAACATGGTGACACCCATCTCTACTAAAAAAATGAAAATTAGCCAGGTGTGGTGGGTGCCTGTAGTCCTAGCTACTCGGGAGGCTGAGGCAGGAGAATCGTCTGAACCCAGGAGGCAGAGGTTGCAGTGAACCAAGATTGTGCCCCTGCACTCCAGCCTGGGTAACAGAGTCAGACTTAGTCTCTTTAGTTTGATGAGTAATAGGCTTAACACTAATCCACAACATGTTCCTCATTGGTTTTAATTTGTGATATAACTTGTTTAGTGTCTTCTCTGGTTGTTGGTAGTGGCAGTGGTAATGTTATCTTTGTCATCATCATCATTTTTAAATATTGTAAATGCACTTCAAGCTCTTTTGGTTATAGCAAGTATGGAATATACTTACACAGCAATTGCTTATTTAGATTAATATTAGGATATAGTCATTGGTGCCGTGGTAGATGGTATTTGTACTGCACTTTGATTCACCAAGTGTTAACCTATGGGTTTAATGTTCACAAATCTACAGCTCACGTAAACGTATCACCATCACTTCATAGATGAGAAACAGAGGCTGAGGGGGGTTAAGTGATAAATCCGAGATTTCACAGACAGTGAGGGGTTGCACCAGCCCCCGCGTCCTGGTTTCCACGGTGCCAATCACATGCCGTTTTCACAATTCCACAAACAGTAATTAATAAACAACTGGGAAAAAGAATCACTTCATTGAATTCTTACATTTTTCTATAGTGCCTCTCTTTCTAAATTTTAACTTTCCACCATGATGCTAGTATAGGTACTTTTGCATTAGACTCTTATCATTTCTTTACAGGGCTTGTCTCCTTGCTCAACAGATTGTGGAAAACCTACACAATTTCTACACATCAACATGGAATCATTGAATAAAGAAAAACCAGAGCAAAACCCTACCCCTCTCCCAAATTACAAGTCTTTCTCTGAGTATCTTAGAAATTCTTATGTGATGAGCCAAGAGTTTTACTTTCTCGGGTAATAAATCCCTTTTCTTGGGGAAAATACCCAAAATATATGTTACTAATGGAAAGCTAATAATATCTAATTCCAAGATGATACTACTCTTATTCTTAGGTTTTACTTTCTCGGGTAATAAATCCCTTTTCTTGGGGAAAATACCCAAAATATATGTTACTAATGGAAAGCTAATAATATCTAATTCCAAGATGATACTACTCTTATTCTTAGGTATGCTTTTATCATTGAAGTAGCATATTTTAAAAACATATCTGACATTTCTAGACTAATCTCTCTAAAATGGCGATTCCTGGTTCTAGTCATTCAGAGCAATGGCACTTTTATTTATCTAGAATATCTATGTAATTACCACGGAAAATTTCTGTTCCACTCAAGTTTTACCTCCTCAAGACCTTTCCTGAGTCATTAGTCTAATTTAGTATTCCTTCACTCTATGTCTCTAAAGCAACTGTTTTATATCTGTAGCACAATATTTTGTTATTGTCATTTTACTGGAACATATCTCTTACTTGTCTTTTAGTTTAGTCTTCCTTTTCCTTTACTCATATTCCCAAGGCAGAGGAGAATAATAATATTCTATACTCAGTAAGTTCTCATTCAATAAATAAATATAGTAACAAAATTTTAGAAATGTGGCTAACTGGAATATAAACATATATTTCTATATATTTTGATATATGAGAATGATTTTCAACAGAGATGATTGCATATAATGTTTGTCCATAAAAGATTCTGTTAAGGGCAAAAAACTTAACCTTTACAGATAAAAATCTAGACTGATTAAGGGAAGACCTTAGCACCTTAGCAGTTATCTATAGGAACTGATTACTAACTATTATTGATAGAGGTACAGAAGACTTAATTTGCAATGTAAGTGATACGTCTGTCATTGTTATGAATTGTCTACCTGGAATTGTAGCTGGTTCTTGGGGGGAGGGTATGCAACACGGAGGTTTGCAAAACACTTCTGTCTAGTTTCCTTCTGACTTCACTTCAGGGTAACAGAATGTACAATGATAGGTTTTTAGCTAATATAGGTGGTTTTAGCTAACATAGGTGGATAAGCTCTTGAGGAACTCACAGCATATATTATAATGTTTCAAATAGCCAGGAGGAGAATATTGAATGTTCCCAACATAAAGAAATGATAAATGTCTGAGCTAATTACACTGATCTGATCACTATACATTATATGCATCACAATATCACAATGTACCTCATAAATATGTATCATTATTAAGTGTCAATTAAGAAATAAAAGAAATGTGGAAAGACTGTCAGTTTAGGTTCAGCATAACAGGTACTGCAATTGATGTATGCATGTAATGCTATGGTGACACAGGCGATGGGAACTTAGTACAACTTTTGTGGCAATTGTATAGGCGTAACTCTTTCTCCATTTTTATTGACTATTATATATAGCACAATGACTAATGCATTATAGATATTCAATACAGTTCAGTTTCCCACCTCTTCTCTTTTTCCCTCTCTTTCTTTATAGATTTTTAAATTACAATTAATAAATTGATCCTTTTACTTTTTTTTTTCATTGACCAGCATTGATTTGCTTATTCTCAGATAGACATTAGGGCAAAGAGTATGGCTTCGTGAAAACCCCAGGGTGAGGTCTCCTTAGATTGTACCCGTGTTTTCTTGTAATAATAAGTGAATATGTTTTGCAATAGATTTGGTCAAATTGAGGATTAAACGTATTATGTCAAAGAGGCATCTATAGACGAATCCCTGTACATTCTTGGATATCTGGTAATTGGAGAGACACTGTAATAAATAGACTGAGGAAAACAGTTTCTGTTTGGGAACAGCCCTGAACACTCTGGGAAGAAGACAAGAGTAAGAAAGGGCAGCCTGTACACTCATATTTGTAGATCTAGAAACTAGTTTGAAGATGTCTATGCTATCTCCTTTGTTCAGGGCACAAAGGGCATCGAGAATTCTCCCTTTCTCCAGCCTGCAAAGAAATCCGTGAAGATCAAACATGAGCAGTGGGGTACAGCTAGCTGGGATGCAGTATTCCTCCACAAAAAAATAGCTGGAGATTCAATTGCCAGAAACGTATTATTTTGCAAATCAAAGTACTCAGGGAAGTTAGATGTCTCCATGATTCAGTTGACTTGTGAGGTGTAAGGAACAAGCCAACATTCTACTATTAATATTATACTAGAAAGAGAAAGAAGGTATTTTGAAGGTTTAGTTGAAGTTCTTAAAATAAAAGAGAACACCTACTAAAGAAAGAGGAAGAGTGGCTTAATAGTTTCTGTATTATATCCTGGCCCAAAAGACAACTACCTAGAAGTCTTTGCACCTATCATAGTGCAAGTTTTATAATATTCCAAATGTACCCTCAGGCAAGTTTCTTTTTATTATTTGTACTGCTTCTTTTCCACTTAAAAATCATTTCATTTTAGGATGCACAATTCTAAAGCAAAGACATTATTTAATTATCTAAAGTCATATGGCTATGTAAGCAAAGAACTCAAGAATTTGTGATCTGTTTGAGAGTACATATGATGTGATACCCTCATCTTTAAACTGTGCTCTACAGAACTCTCAGAAAAGCTACAGATGTGGATCAAGAGTCATGAGGAGGTGAGGGATGGGGCTTGAGAGGGCAGCCCATCAGGATCCTCACCCCTGCACCAAACAGAGAAGCAGCGCTTTTATCTGTCTTATAAATGTTTCTGTGAAATATTTTACTTGAAAAAAAGTTTGTAAGTTAAACATATACTTGAAAGCCATTAGAGTATTGTAAAGAATATGGCTGTAGAATAAATGGACCAAGACTTTATATTGAAACTCTACCACTTACTAATGATATATTCCTGTGAATATGTCTTATTTTTTATCTTTATTTTACTCATCTCTAAAATGGGAATATTACCACTGATTTTATAGAGTGTAGTAGTCAATTTTCATACTGCTATGAAGAAATACCCAAGACTGAGTAATTTATAAATAAAAAGAGGTTTAATGGACTCACAATTCCACAGGTCTGGAGAAGGTATCACAATCATGGCAGAAGGCAAAAGAGGAGCAAAGACACATCTTACATGGCAGCAGGTGGAAGGGCGTGTGCAGGGAAACTGCCCTTTAGAAAAGCATCAGATCATGTGAGACTTATTCACTATCATGAGTACATCATGGGAAAGACTCACTCCCATTACCTGTCACTGGGTCCCTCCCACAACACATGGGGATTATGGGAGCTACAATTCAAGATGAGATTTGGGTGGGGACACAGCCAAACCATATCACAGAGTGATTCAGAGAATTAAGTAAAAGGGAATTAACATTGAGAGAGAATGCATTAATTACCAAGCTCTGAAGAAAACTCCTCAACAAATGCTGTATTTCTCCCTGCTCTTCCCACTCCTCCTGTGTACACTAATGATAATGTACTCACAGTGCAGTGTACTGTTTATCCAGATTAGAATTTATTTATATTATCATGTGTTCTACATTACAGACACATTGGATGTAAAGATGATACAGCATATTTTACGAGAACTTTCACAGTTCCAAGGAAAGGACTTCATTGCTAATCTCTTGCCATTTATTATCTTATTTGAGTACTTGCTGTTAAAGACACTGTGTAACGATCACTCCATTTCTTTCTGGAATTACCGTTCTCTGTACTCCACAGCATGACCCTATAGACACATCATTACTTTCCAGTGTCTTCCAATCTCTGCAACTTTTACAAGTGGTCGGCTCTACCTTTCTATTAGTCACCATGATACTGAGAAAAAAACAAGCAAACAAATAAATTTAGCTAATCTTTCAAAGGATAGAAAATTGCAGTTATATAGGATAAATCAGTATAGCGATCTAACATACATCACGAGGATTGTAGTCAATAATAATGTGTTGTATAATAGAAATTTGCTGAGAGCTTTTAAGTGCTCTTACTACACACACACACACGCACACAAACACACACGCATGGAGATAACTATGTGAGGTGATGGATATGTGAATTTGCTTGACTGTAGTAATAATTTCACTATATACATATATATCAGAATACCCTGTCATACATGTTAAATATATACAACAAAATTAGTGAATCTTGTCTTTATTGGAAAACTGTTAAATCTCCAAACCAAAAGCCCTCTGAAATCTCTTGAAGAATAAAACTGGTGGGTGAAGAGAACAGATAGTTAGATAGATAGACAGATAGATAGATAGACAGACAGACAGACAGACAGACAGATAGATAGATAGATACATACATACATACATACATACATACACACATACATACATAGAAAGACAATTAATTGTTCAATTGCTTCTAACAAAATGAAGCTGTAACATTCCAAATGGAAAATAAAACTGATTTATAGACAGGAATTGGTAATGCCTGAATTAAAATATCTGTACTTAGTCATTTTAGATTCTCAAGAAAGGCACCGTTAAGAAAGTGATTTAAGAAGACAATCAAAGGTACCATGTATTGAGAACTCTTGATGTGATAAGCCTTGGTAGTTGCTTTAGAAGTAGTAAGTTTCATTTTCACAATAAGTTTATAAAATGTATATTATCAAATTCATATAATACATGAAAATGTTGTCTTAGAAGTTTCAATAAGTTGAGCTTAAAGGTAGTGTTGAAGAGAAATGAGAGAAGTAAGTTGATGGAGTTTCTTTTCTGCAGCCTATCAACAGAAATTTCTATTTTCGTAGGTTAGTCCATCTTTCTAATACTTGTTTAAGATAATGGTCATATGCTGATGGCAAATGCCTTCCTATATGGAACTATCTAAATTAATATAGGGAACTAGAATTGGAGTACTGGTTAACAGGAAAATCTTTGGTGTCAGACCCAAGAATAAATCCTGGTTCCAACAATTACTAATTGTGAAACCTTGGATTAATTACAGAACCTCTCTGAATCTTGGTTTGTTACATATAAATTGGAGTTAACCATCCCTAGTTCACACAGCTATGGTGAGGATGATTAAAAAGTGATGTTCAGATGCTGAGGATGTAGTAAGTATTCAGTAGTTAGTTGATGATACTTGAAGATGTTCCCCACTTTCCAAACAACCAAAATTTAGAAGCTTTCTATTTTATCATTGTGAAATTCACCTCTCCTCATCCTCCATTGTGGACACAGATACAATTATAGCCAGATAGAGTATTTACTAATCTTGGTCTCCATGTGTTTGCCATATGAAGCATGTCTGTTTGCTTCTGTGTCACTTTGTCTCCCTAAGGTGGGGTTATTTTGGATTGATAGATTCTCACTCTTTCAGGGTCTCAAACTGCTGAGATTTAAAGGAAAGAGAGAGAAATACATTTCAGCTACTTTTCTCATTTGATCACTCTTGAGTGAAACAATTATTTGAAAAGGTTAAGGAAAATATATATTTGATGATTAGCAATATATTTATCATGTACCTCCTCCAAAAGTCTGGAAGCATATATTCAAAACTATAACAAAATCAATAAACAAATAAAAAAAAAAACTGTTTCTCAATTTTACGAGTTTTAATGCCAACAAAAGCACCTTTCTTGACTTCCATTTTAATGTTATCCTTTTGATTCAGTATAAGCAAATGCCACTGGAAGAATATTCCTAGATTATTTCTGTAGTGACCATCAGACACTCTTCCTTGCATAGTTTCCCAATATATAAATCCCCAGATTAAAATATTACTTACACATTTGAATTTTGTAGATGTTTACTTCTTTTGAAACTAGCATATATTTGCCTATGTCTAACAATAACAGCTGAGTATGGAATCTTTGCTTTTCATATTCACCAAATCTAACAGAAAGTACAGAATTATATTTAATTTTCAATCAAAAATTGTGCTAAATTAAATGTATATATTTCATACATATAGTACAACTTCCAGATCTTCTTTTCCAAGTAATTAAAATATGTATGCCCTGTAATTTACATTTATAAATGATTACCATTAAAAAGGGAATAACAACAATATCAAAAATCAGAAGTCCTATTCTTCAAAATGGCGCCAGATATAGGGGGAACCATCCCCCAATATTTCAATGTAGGTTCTTTTCTATTTTCCCTAAGTGTCAGCTGGTCTGAGAAATAAAGGGAAAGAGTACGAAAGAGAGAAATTTTAAAGCTGGGTGTCCGGGGGAGACATCACATGTTGGCAGGCTCCGTGATGCCCCCTGAGCCGTAAAACCAGCAAGTTTTTATTAGCAATTTTCAAAGGGGAGGGAGTGTACAAATAGGGTGTGGGTCACAGAGATCACATGCTTCGAGGGCAACAAAAGTTCACAAGGCCGAAGGTCAGGGTGAGATCACAAGGTCAGGGTGAAACTAGAATTACTAATGAAGTTCCATGTCCCACTGTGCACACATTGTCATTGATAAACATCTTAACAGGGTTCAAGAGCAGACAACCAGTCTGACTAGAATTCACCAGGCTGGAATTTCCTAATCCTAGCAAGCCTGGGGGTGCTGCAGGAGGCCAGGGCGTGTTTCATCCCTTATCTGAAACTGCATAAGGCAGACACCCCCAGAGTGGCCATTTTAGAGGGCCCCCCCGGGAATGCATTCTTTTCCCAGGGCTGTTAATTATTAATATTCCTTACTGGGGAAAGAATTCAGTGATATTTCTCTTACTCGTTTTTGGCAATAAGAGAAATATGGCTCTGTCCTGCCTGGCTCCAAGGCAGTCAGACCTAATGGTTATCTCCCTTGTTCCCTGAACATCACTGTTATTCTGTTCTTTTTTTCAAGGTGCCCAGATTTCATATTGTTCAAACACACATGCTTTACAAACAATTTGTGCAGTTAACACAATCATCACAGGGTCCTGAGGCGACATACATCCTCAGTTTACAAAGATGACAGGATTAAGAGATTAAAGTAAAGACAGGCATAGGAAATTATAAGAGTATTGATTGGGGAAGTGATAAATGTCCATGAAATCTTCACAATTTATGTTCTTCTGTCACGGCTTCAGCAGGTCCCTCCATTTGGGGTCCCTGACTTCCCGCAACAGATAAGCAAACTAATAAAAATAATAGCCATTTATCAGAAAAGGCATCAAAGGTAAGGCCTTCTTTTTGATGCTAATGATATAGCCTTAAAGGAGTAAATCTTATTTTCATGACATTAATCAACTCCGCATTGACCATTATGGCAACTTCAGGTTCCTCAAAGATAGGTGATATTTATCTACTGAGCTGTTCCTTAGTGGTTTTGTGCTCTGATTTAATTTTCCTCATGTACTTGTCATGGATTTAGAAGTATACTAGTGTCAGAAGTGAAGAGAGAAGCAAAGAAACCCTGGAGAATAAAAAGATCATCATTCATTTCATTCCCTTTTCCTCTCATTTCAGGTGGCTCTCTTAGTTGTTGATTTCTGATGGGCTTCTCAGCCCACAGTGACACTCAGTGGTGGTTGAGCAGACAACAGCAGAGAATTCGGGGAACAGAACCTCAAATAATGCTTATCTGGTGTGTTAGAATCTTAGGCATCTGATTTGAATCAATCAATAAGCAATTGTCTTTTCAAGACTCTTACTATTAAATAGTATAACTCTCTGAATGCTGGTTCATCATCACAATCACTTTCATTAGGCATTTTACCAGAGAACAAAACTGGCCCTGTTACTGTAAGTGTGTAAAAGATAAACATCTTTTATTAGAATGTTACACTCTGTATAACTTCAGAAAAAAAATGTACACACATGCATTTGCACTCTCCTACTTTCAATCTTGCCATCTGCTATGGTAGTAGTTACTCACATGTGGCTACTGAATACTTGAAAAGTGACTAGTGAGACTAAGAAAATGAATTTTTAATTTAACTTAATTTTAATTAATTTTAATTTAGCTGTAAAGACTGCTACCATATTAATTATTAGAAATCTTGTGAGTGCATTTGGAATAATTTTGACATGTGAACCTACTTTTTCAACTGTAAATTTTATAAAATTTTAATGCAGATAAAGTATCTGTGATGACAATTTAGCATACAAATTAAGATATATTATAAATGTATAATGCACACTGGATTTCAAAGATTTAATAAGAAAAACTATATATCTTAATAATTTTATACTAATTTTCATATTAAAATATTTATATATAATAAATTAAAATATGTTAACGTTGATTCTTCGTGTTTCTTTTTATTTTTGTTAATGTGACTACTAAAAAATTAATTTGTATATATTTCTGACATTATATTTCTATTAGGCAGGACTTTTCTAGGTGGTACATTATCTAGACCCTTCTCTAAATATACTTGATTTAAACCAAATTTTAAATTTCCTGGGTTCCTGGTTTTTCCTAAGGTTGAAAATAGGAATGAGAGAGCAAGAAACAAAGATGATGTAACAAGCAGAGTTCTATGTTTTCTTGTTTTGCAAAAAGGCAACTTCATTAAATGATCACTTCTTTACATAATCAATTTACGAGTTATTTATTAGGAACATCACACACCGGGGCCTGTTGTGGGGTGGGGGGAGGGGGGAGGGATAGCGTTAGGAGATATACCCAATATTAAATGACGAGTTAATGGGTGCAGCACACCAACATGGCACATGTATACATATGTAAAAAACCTGCACGTTGTGCTCATGTACTCTAAAACTTAAAGTATAATTTTAAAAAAAGAGTTATTTATTAAGTGCCTATGCTTTTCCTGGGTAAAAACTAGGGAATGAAAGAGAAAATGCTCATATCTACTGAATCTTATAAATTAGTGGTACAGACAAACACTGAAAACATAGACACACACATGTGTGAAGATAAACTGGGATGA
The DNA here is from genome assembly GCF_000001405.40 of Homo sapiens. Lineage (NCBI taxonomy): Eukaryota > Metazoa > Chordata > Mammalia > Primates > Hominidae > Homo > Homo sapiens. The sequence goes on from NC_000011.10 coordinate 81,445,883, forward strand.
CTACATGTAAGAAGTGGCCTGAGTTCAATGACAGAATTAACAGAATAGAAGGTGGACCTATTAGTGTTAACCAAAGACGTGTTCTCTGAGGCTATGACTTTGAACCCAAGGCTTGTTATATGAGTAGAACCTGGGCAAAGAACCAAGGAGACAGAGTTCAATGCAGAAGGAGACCACCTACAAATAACTGGAGGTGGAAAAGAGCTTAATGTGGTTGAGAAATTACAGAGATCTCAGTGAGACTGTAGCTCAAGAAATGAGTATTGTAAGTGGCCAGAAATGTCTGGTGAAGTTCACAAGATCTGAATATCCTGAGGCCTTGCAAGCCAAGGCAAATGATTTAGATTTTACTGAAAGTGTAATATGAAGCCATGGCAACATTTTGAAACACATGAGAAATATTTTGGTTTTATAACTTGAACTGCGTGGAAAGGTTGGTAAAGGGAAAGACTACAAGAAAATCCATCTATTCAGACCATCCAGATAGAGGGTGTAACAGCTCTATGGATGTGGCATGATAATTTGTTGGAATGTGGGGTTGGAGGGGCGGTACAGATAGAGGAAGATTGAAACTTTTGCTATGTATGTGTATATATATACTATCTCCTGCCTCACCTGAGATTATGAGCTCAGTGAAGACCAGGGTCTTTTATAATTCATCTTATACAGACAGAGCCCAGCTTAGACATGACACATAATAGGTGATCAGTAAATAGACTTGCATGTGTGTGTGTGTGTGTGTGTGTGTGTATGTGTGTAAAACAGAATAAATATTTTTCTGTATCTCTATTGCAGAATAAATAATTCTCTTTAGAATGGCATTTGAGATGCAATAAAGTATGGCTCAAAGCTATATTTTCAACCAACATTTCTCCCACCATTTTTTAAATACCAGATCAAGTGTATGCACCAACCACTTTACAGTAAGAGAAGAAGCCACAGTAATGAGAGTTCATGTTTTGGTTTTGCACTCTAGCTATGGCAAGATGTGTGTTACATCTCAGGCCCTTGCTAAATATATGTTGGCTAAGCAGGTGCTCCTAAGACAAGATGGTGAACTGGGACTATGTAAACTGATTGTTATAATCCTGCTTTTCCTTAGTTTTCTCTATTTCTCCATGATGAAATTCTGACAAAAATCACTTTACACTCCTCCATGGAGGAGAAAGAAGGCTATGTACTGGATGCAAGTTAAATTCTGCTTTTGTATACTCTTGAAAGGTTGGCATCCTTCCTATCCCCCTAGAAACATCAACTGAGTTTATGAACAGAACTTAATCTGGCACAACTGTCTATAAGCATAAGAAGTTAGAAACCAGTTTTGATTTAATTGATATACCTCTCTGCTTTATCTCATTGGACAGAGGGATTAGGTAAATAAAGGTCGGTTCTGAAAAGTATAGTCAAACAAATGTGAAAAAACATGCTTGTTTTCTCAATGGAATTAAGATCTATTCAGAGACTACAATTATATATTTGTTGGAACACTGCTTAGAATTTTATTTTCAATATTACCTACCTGTTAGGTAAGTTTTCTTTTTCAGTATAAACAATGAATTGGATGGACAGTCAATAAAATGTTAAAACAAAACAAGTTTCTGAAAGTTAATTTGACAAAACAGTTAGTGTGTAGGGATTGGAAGACAGATGACCTACTTGTGAATAATCAATTAGCATTTATAGTTAAATGGCAACAAATATATATATATATTTTTTTTTCCTATGACGCTTTCAAGTAAATATTATCCCCTAAGAGCATTATGCTGCTTGGAATGCATTTTTTAAGTTATTTTAAAATCAATTTGCAATTCAACTTCGCAACTTCTTGCAAAATTGCAATGCATCAATCCAGAACAAACAACTCATCAGAACCCGGAAATACAGTGTCATCCGAATAATGAAAAATTATTTGCCACAGACAATAATTAAGACAGGAATGCCAATCGCACTCAAAATCTTTCTTAACATATGGGTAATTATTGAAGAACGATGAGAGTAATGCATCAGCAAACAAGGATGATCTCTATTTTAAAGAATAAGATGATCTCTATTTTAAAGAATAAGCTGTTTCTTACAGGAGGTAGATTTTGCTGGCTGATACTATACAAATGTAACAACCAGGAGTCCTAACATCCTAGATCAGATAATGGTTAAGAGAATACTGACCCAGAACACAGCTAAGGTAGAATGTGTCTATAGAAGCAAGAATATCAAAATGTCAGTCTATTTGGAAGTGGATTGTGTAGAAGACACAGAACTTCATTCACTGTGATCCTGGGTACTTGAGTCCACCCTTTGGCTAAGGGGCAAAGTCTCTCCATTGCCAACATGCTACCCTTATGCTCAACGCCCTTCATTCCCTCTTGATGTTGCAACCACTGCAGACACCCTATACTCTGCTTGCCAACATAGTTTTCATCCTAAGATCACCTTGATTTTCAAGACCTCAGTGACAACTACTTTGCTGACTCCAACTTTAAGACTCATTAATCCCTGATACCTTCTCCTTCCCTCTTAATTTTAAGAGCACTTATAGTCCAAATTATGTAATTTAGCAATTGTTACCATAAAACACTTTGTATTTAATGTTACATTATGAACGTCCATTTCAACTACTGAAATATATCTGACTTTTTTTAAGTCAGGGTAAATATTGTCATCACCTCGCCCTATGTACTCATTCCCAATTTGATAAAACATGACTATGAATCCCAGGAGCTGTATGACCTAGGACAAATAACTTACCTATTCTCAAAATGTTTGTTTCCTTATATTTAAAATAAGATAGAAATGCCTAGCTTGTGAGTCTTTGTGAGTTTTGAGGGCATAAGACACTGAGTGCGTTTAACACTGTTCCGTTTTTGAATAGATGTGTCTCTTTTGTTCTTTTTCATTACCTAGAACTGTGCTGAGGCTATTGTAGAAACTCAGTAATGAGCTGATTTTACACTTTATCTTCCTAATCCTTGCTATGACATTCTTCTTTTTCTATTTTCTTTCAGCTTCAGGACTGATGAAGTTGCATTTCTGAACTAGTATTAAAAGGGTGAGAGAGATTTATGTGAAACAACTGAAACATTTCAGTGTCAAAATACTCCCAAATACAGAACAACAGAGTAGATCTGTGTGCTCACTCTTGCAAGAAAGGAAGAAGGAGGATCTGGAGGAAATTGAACAATAAAGCTTCCTAGCTGAATCCAGTAAATTTTCCCAACCTCTCCAGAATATGAAAAAAAAAAATGTTGCTTTTCTGTTTTGGTAATTTTTCACAGTTATGAAAGAATTGGTGAGAGCAGTTTAGGAGATGCAATGACACTGTATAACAGAAGAAAAATAAAAGGTAATAAGTATTTTTTCCTGTGTTTTCATTGCCATTATCAAACACTGAAAGTCTCCTGCAAGGATTACATAAAACTACAATTAACCTACATAACCCTCAGTCTCTTTGGGACATTATGCTTCTTGCAGAATGCTGGAAAATGGACTACCTGGTTTGCTGTCCTATCCCAAACACTGAGCACACTTTCTGATACATAGAAGATGTCCAAGACATTTTGTTGGGTGGTGGAGCCCCTTTATCTGCTAAAAGGCATGGTAGCTAATCTTGCTCATGCTGAAGTTTTCTACTTCATCTCCTTTGCCATGTATAAAAGACAATAAAATGCAATAGAAAAGGCAATGTGGTTAGGTGGGGCTGAGTTAAAATGAAACTTGGCACTTATTAGCTGAGTATCCTTGAGCAATTTACTAACCAAAATAAACATTGTGGCTATGAAATAACTTATGTGTCCCACCCCACCAAATTAATATATTTAAGCCCTAACTTCCAGTGAGATAGTATTTGGAGATGGACGGGGACTTTTGGAGTCAATTAGGTTTAGATGAGGTCATGAGGTACTCATAATGAAATTAACGCCCTCAGAGGAAATACCAGAAATCTTCCTCTCTCTCTCTTTCTCTCTCTCTCTCTCTCTAAGAAGGCAACCATTAGCCATCTGCAGGTTAGAAAGAGATTTCTTACCAGAGAATTGAATTGGTTGGCACCTTAATCTTGGACTTCCCAGCCTTCAGAACTGTGAGAAATAAATTCCTACTGTTTGAGTCACCCAGTCGATGTCATTTTGTTACGGCAGCCTAAGCTGACTAATGCAGTTGTCCTCTTCATTATTAGCATTAGACATATCAATGATTTCCTCCTTTGCAGAATTAGACAGTCACTTACCTTATATATACCTATTTCTAAAATCGCTAATAGTATTGTTATTAACTAATGTTCATGTTTAACTGTCCCTTAGGCGTTTAGTTGTCTGCCCCACAGACAACACAAATCCAATACATACAAAACTGAGCATGCTATTCCACCACTCACAGTTTATCCCAATGAAAGATACCACCACCAACACAGTGTTTCAGCTAGAAACTTGAGAGTCTGTATTAGTCTTTCCTTGCACCTCTTTAAAGAAATACCTCAGACTGGGTAATTTATTAAAAAAAAAGATGTTTAATTGTCTTATGGTTCTGCAGGCTATACAGAAAGCATGGCAGCATCTACTTCGGGAGAGGCTTCATGGAGCTTTTACTCATGGCGGAAGGCAAAATGGAAGCAGGCATCTTACATGGCAGGAGGAACAAGAGGGAGAGGGAGGAGGTGCCAAACACTTTTAAACGACCACATCTCATGAGAACTTACTATAGTGATGACAGTTCCAAGGGGGAATGGGGACAGTGTTAGACTATGAGAAACTGTCCCTATGATCCAATCACCTCCCACCAGTTCCCACCTCCAGCATTGGGGATTATATTTCCACATGAGATTTGGGTGGGGACACAGATCCAAACCATATCAGAGTCATACTAAACTCATTCATCTGGATGTCGCTAATTATTTCTGCTTCTACTTAGTAGTTAACCCAATCTGTGTTTCCATTTTGATTTCTATTGCTCCTAAATTTGTTGTGATTGTCATCACCTTTTTCCTGGATTTCCCATGGTCTACAAACCATCCTTCTCCAAGTTACAGCTAAAATGATATTTCTAAAATGCTTTCTAGGTGTGAATATTACTCTGTTTAAATTTCTGTTATTGTTAATGTAATAATAATAATAATAGTAATAACAGGTATTGAGTATTGATAGTGTGCCAGGCACTTTGCAAAAGGTAGAAAGGGCACAAAACAATGGGAAGAACAGGTACTAAGCCACTAAAGAACTAATAAACATTACTTGATGCAGAAACTATAAAACACTTCGCTATGACTCTGTAAAAATGGTATTTGAGAGAACGATAGGGACTGAACATGGAGAGGTAGCTGGGGTTAGATCATGAAGAGTTTAAAATGCAAAGGCATCTATGAGTGTATTTGCTATTACATTTCATTTTTTATATTTACTGGATGTTATAGACTTGAGTGCCATTTTTACCATCAAAGAATCTTGTCTCCCTATGAAACTTGTCACGCAGTAGTGCCTAATGAGAAGGCAAATTCATAACAGAAAAAAGGAAAAAAATAAATTTCAGAAGCAGAGAGATTTAATGATTACCTACTCCTTCAGTCATATTTATTTTAATATCAATCACTCTATAACAATCACTATTACTGTACTAAATAATTCAGTCACATTTTCATCCAAACTGGGCCCATAAAATACTAGTCATATCAAAAGTAATAGGGGACATAGTAATAAATTTAATAGTCCATAAGATACTTGTTACTATTAGGGTAGAAGGCTCAGAATAAGAAAAAGAGTGAACAGATCCCTTCCAAGCAATGAACAAGAAAGGCCCAGAACATAGAAATCTCTTGATAAAAATGGTAGCACTAAAAACAGTAAAATGTTTATTTTCTGCTTGATCAAGAAAATAGGAATTAATATTCTTGGTAACCCTAAATACATTTACCAATTTGCTTCTTATATATCACAAAAATCCATCTCTTTTTATCCCTTCCTTCCTTCCTTCCCTCCCTCCTTCCTCTCTCTCTTTCTTTCTTTTCTCTTTCTGTCTTTTCTCTCTCTTCTTTTTCTTTCTTTCTCTCTCTCTTTCTTTCTTCTTTCTTCATTATTAGTCCCCAATTCCAAACCACTACCACATTAAATCTGTTTTATGAAGCCAGAGTGTTCTTTTCACAGCTTGATAACGTTCAAGCAGCTTTCTACTGATGTAAGATAAGCACCAAATTCCCAACAGGACCTGCAGGCCCTCTCACCTCTGGCCTTTACCCTCTTGCAGGCCCACTGCCTCTGAACCTGCCTGCCTGGCTTTCCCCGCCCACCCTCTACCCACCCCATCTCCCTGCACCTTCTTGCTCCTGCCCTCAGATCCTTGCGAGGATTGATCCCTCAGTGGAGATGACCCCAGTGTTCTTTTAATCTATTTCCATGTGTCTCTCAATCTCAACATCAATTTCCAAGAAGCTCAATAAAAGCAATTATTACTTCTAAATCACCAATACCTTTATCTAATTTTTTTCTTCAGCTATTGTGAAACATTTTTAAACTTTTTTCTTGAAGTATAAAACAAACAGAAGAAAGTGTGCATAAGAAAATTGTAGAGCTTGAACATTTTTTTACAAAGTGACACTATCATGCTTTATTTGATTTTCAATGCAATTAACTGTGACTTTTATTAAACACTTGCTTTGTGATTAGTGTTTAGGGCACTGTGAAGGGCGCAAGCAAATCCTTGAAAAATTGCTTCTTGCCTTCATAGAGATCACCCTTTGATGACATCTACACTGTCAATTGGAAGCAGGAATGGCTAGAAATGACTCAGTCATCCATTTATTCATCTAGTATTTATTAAATCATTACTGTGTGCAGAAGATGGCTCAAAGGACACAGATTCTGTTCCTGCCCTCATTGAGCTCAACTAAGTGACTAAAGTGTAAAATATATGACAGGGAGATTGTGTTTGTTATGGAAGTTCATGCAAACTAATAGCAATCCTAGTTTTATCAGAATGGGGCTGAGGTTTCTTAAGTTTTCTAAAGAGAGGGAAAGATTTTTAAGAAAATGACAGTGAAACTAAGACCCGAAAGTTCGAGGAGAGCTAGCCAAGAAGGAGAGATAAAGGATAAAATCTCTTTCAGGCAGAAGCCAAAGCATCTGAAAAGGCCCAGAGGAAACAAAGAGCTAGGTGCATTTGCTAATTGCATTTGGAAAGCTGAGCATATCTGAGTCTTGCTGGAGTATTAATACTCATGAGCTGGAGAAAGTCCCTGTCTGGTGACTAAATTAGAAAGAGGGAGCTGACAAAGCCTGCTCTTACAAACATGTTTATATCTACAGTCCAATACTACCTGTCTCACAGGACATTTTTTTTTCCAAATCAAGTTATGAAATCTATATGAAAACTGCAAGGCAGATATTCTGAAAACTAAGCTGCAAAACTCAAGCACAAATACTGTAAAGGCTGCTTGGACTAGTCTTTGGGGACGATATGCAATTATCTAAAGTGAGAGGTGAAATGGGAAGATATTGACAAAGCAGGACTTACTGAATCCAGGAGGACCAGGCAGGCTGTCATTATGACATCAATAAAGCTTGTGCCCAGGGCAGGATTTAATATGTACAGACAACAGTCTTAATATAGAGGAGTTTCCTTCAATTATGGACCAAACAGATAATTTCAAATAAAATGGTACATTATCATCTATTCACCCTGCTTTACACATCAGCTTCATGCTCCAGGTTTGCTCTATTATCTCAGCAGTGATGGTCAGAGAGGACAGGAAGCTTCTGTCATACATATAAGGATAGAATAGATATTGCGACCAGTTGCTCTAACCACTCTGTTACTTGCTATTCATTCATGTAGGAAATAGTGATTGAGTCCTTGCTGTGGATCTGGTGCAGGCACCAGAGGTATGAAGTTGATTGAGAGATATAGAAAGTCTTTTCTAATGGAGCTTGACTTAAAGAGATAGACAATAGGTAAGTGAACAGGTGAATTAGGTGACTTCAAGTAGTTATATATGAAGGGGTGAAAATAAGAGAATTGCAACAGATAGGAGTCAGGGAATGCTCTCTGGATAAAAATATTTGACCTGAAACTTGACAAAAAAGAAAGAAATAGACCAGGACAAGAGCTGGATAGCAGAGGAAACACCAAGAAGAAAGACTTACGTAGGAATGAGCTTTTGGCTCTTTGCGATCACAAAAAGGTAGCTTGTGTCAAGGGAGCATAGAGAGGAAGAGAGAGAAATGTAGAAATCACATTCACAGAAGCAAGCAGGTGCAAGGTAGTTCAGGTTTTGCGTCTAGGTTAACAAGTTTGAAATTTTCTAAGACAGTGACTTGATTTATATTTGTAAGAAGATAATTCTAGCAGTGTTGGCCGGGCGCGGTGGCTCACACCTGTAATCCCAGCACTTTGGGAGGCCGAGACGGGCGGATCACGAGGTCAGGAGATCGAGACCATCCTGGCTAACACGGTGAAACCCCGTCTCTACTAAAAATACAAAAAAAAAATTAGCCGGGCGTGGTGGCGCGCGCCTGTAGTCCCAGCTACACGGGAGGCTGAGGGAGGAGAATGGCGTGAACCCGGGAGGCGGAGCTTGCAGTTGAGCCGAGATCGCGCCACTGCACTCCAGCCTGGGCGACAGAGCGAAACTCCGTCTCAAAAAAAAAAAAAGAAGATAATTCTAGCAGTGTTATAGATACATTTTTGTAGAGAAAGATAAGTATAGAAGAATGGAGACCAGTTGGGAGGCTGTTGCAGTAATTCAGGCTAGATATGCTCATGGGCTGAAATACGTTGGTGGCAGTGGAGACAGAGAGAAGGGGTCAAACTCAAAATATATTTTAGAGGTAGAGTTGAGAGGGTATTGTGATGGATTGAGTGTGGGGTATAAGGGAAAGAGAGGCATCAAGGAAGATCCTTCATTTACTAGCTTCTGCAAATTGTAGGTGATGGTGTTAATTTCTTGAGAACAAAGGCCTCCTTTCTGACGGCTGTTAAAGCAATTACTAAGTGATGTTGAGCCTGCTATAGCATTATATTCTCCAGTTAATTGTGGAGAAAAGTGCTTATCATTAGAAAGGAAAAAAAATGAAGAGCAATGTGTGATAGTACAAGGAAAGATGAGTGTTGTGAATGAAACTATTCAAGTCTCTCAATGAACTCAGCTGGTACCTACTGTCCCCAGCAGCCACCAGAGGCTTCACCAGTGGATTCACCAACATAGCTCCCATCTGGGCTGGAGCAGTTTGCTTAAAAGTCAGGGGCCAGTTTTCTGGTGGAGCTTTTGTGACACAACCACGGTGTGAAAGTTTAAGAGTTTTTAGTAATTACAGACCTTAGAGGGTACAATGCACCGTGGAAGCCACATACATGAGGGTCAGGGAGAAAAGGCAGAGAGAGAGAGAGAAAGAGAGAGAGGGAGAGAGAGAGAGAGACATTAGGGAACCATGGGCCAATGGCTTTATTGGGTCCAAGACATTATCCACACAGGTTTCTTGCAGGTAATTAATTGGTAGGTTTAAAGCAAGTAGGCACTAGTTCCAGAACATCATCTATGACAGGGCCAGTCACTTTTAGTTTACAGGTTAATGTCTGCATGATCCTTTTAAAGGAAGTGGTAAGAAAGCTGGGTGCCTAGCTTGCTAGGCAGGAGAGATGTCACTAAGTTTTACCTCCAGCCAGTGACTGCAGCCACTTGGGTGGGGTATAGTATTAGAAACTGTGTCAAGGGTGACAGAGCCCTGCTTCTGGTATGAGAAAGCTAAACTTATATTTAAAAATGGATACTGAAAGAACGTACAATTATAAACACTCACTACTATGGGAAATGTGTTCCATCTCACGGTCTGATTTCATCTGCCTGGAACTGGCTGTCTGGATCACTGTGGCAGGAAAGATTGTGGAGCCCTTAAAACATATTAGGAAATAATGTAGAGACTTTGCTAGACCAATAATAAAAATAAGGAGGGAAAGGTTGGCATAGCTTTCAGGTATCTATGAAAGTAAAATGCGCATGTCTATTGACTAAAACACCAAAAGCAATGGCAACAAAAGCCAAAATTGACAAATGGGATCTAACTAAACTAAAGAGCTACTGCACAGCAAAAGAAACTATCATCAGAGTGAAGATGCAACCTCAGAATGGGAGAAAATCTTTGCAATCTACCCATCTGACAAAGGGCTAATAGCCAGAATCTACAAAGAACTCAAACAAATTTACAAACAACTCCATCAAAAAGTGGACAAAGGATACGAACAGACAGTTCTCAAAAGAAGACATATATGTAGCCAACAAACATGAAAAAATGCTCATCATCACTGACCATCAGAGAAATGCAAATCAAAACCACAATGAGATACCATCTCACACCAGTTAGTTAGAATAGCGATCATTAAAAAGTCAGGGAACAACAGATGCTGGAGAGGATGTGGAGAATTAGGAACGATTTTACACTATTGGTGGGAGTGTAAATTAGTTCAACCATTGTGGAAGACAGTTCAAGGATCTAGTTCAAGGATCTAGAACTAGAAATACCATTTGACCCAGCCATCCCATTACTGGGTATATACCCAAAGGATTATAAACCATGCTGCTATAAAGACACATGCACACGTATGTTTATTGCGGCACTATTCATAATAGCAAAGACTTGGAACCAACCCAAATGTCCATCAGTGATAGACTGGATTTACAAAATGTGGCACATATACACCATGGAATACTATGCAGCCATAAAAAAGGATGAATTCATGTCCTTTGCAGGGACATGGATGAAGCTGGAAGCCATCATTCTAAGCAAACTATCACAAGGATCGAAAACCAAACACCTCATGTTCTCACTCATAGGTGGGAGTTGAACAATGAGAACACATGGACACAGGGTGGGGAACATCACATACTGGGGGCCTGTCATGGGGTGGGAGGCTGGGGGAGGGATAGCATTAGGAGAAATACCTAATGTAAATGATGAGTTGATGGGTAGAGCAAACCAACATGGCACATGTATACCCTAAGTTCTAGGGTACATGTGCACAACAAACCTGCATGTTGTGCACATGTACCCTAGAACTTAAAGTATAATAATGAAAAAAAGAAAGTAAAATGAAAAAAAATATCATTGCATTTAGAGTCCACTAGAATATGGCTTAAAATCCTTTGGGTAAGTTCTTTCATTTCCGTAATCTTCTGTTTTCTCATATAGATAATGGGGATATAAATCTAAATGTAACATATGGGAAGGGAAGACTGAATGTTCTAAGATATGTCAAGTCCCTGACATTTAAAAGACAGTAAGTATTAACACTCTTTCTCATTAAGAATTATCCATATATATATATACACACACACATGCAGAAATACATATATACATTTACACACAAACACATAATTATCTGATGAATCAAACAGTTTGAGTCACCCCAAACATGTTAAAGAAAATGTGTCCACCATATTTTATCTGTCACTTCCAGATCTCTAATATCATTTCATGGGAAGAGGAATCATATTAAGGTTATAGTCCCAGTTATAGAATTTTAACTTAATTGTGTGAAAAACTCTATTCTTCCCAAGTGGCTGCAAGCTCTTAGATAAACTAAAATAATTTAATGAGAATGATGATGATGATAAAAATCGCCTTCAAAATAAATAGAAAGAGATAGGCATCTGGAAGAAGAGACCATTAATGCCCTGAGGAGGTGACTTAGGATAGCCAGTATCTACACATCTGTTTTACAACAAAGACGCTCTATCAGTGTAATATTCTTTTCTTTTCTTTCCTTTTATTTATTTATTTTTTTCCTTTTTAGGTTGAAAGTGACAGAGTGGATGTAGAATTAGAGGACTAGTGCAATTAGAGGACTCATTACAGGGTAAATAAATGCTTTCATATTGAGCTTAAATTAGGTCTGCACCCCTGAAAGTCAGGTCATACCTCTAATCTGCTCAAAAATCTAACTTTAAGGGGCCCAAACCTGACTTAAGGTCAATATGGAAGCATTTGTTGACTCCCTTCAGAAACTTCTTGCCACAGTCACAGAAAATACTGATGTCCTTACTATGTTCCCAAGGTCCTCACTGCCCTTCACCCCTCCTCCCCCTACCTCATCTCCTCCTGCTGCCTTCTTGCTGCTGCCATGCTGTGCTGTGCTTGCTGATTTCCCTCAACACACTGAGCATGCCCTCATGGTCTCCAGGCCCCTTTCACCTGCTAGTCCCTCTGCCTGAAATGGTCTTCCTTTAGATGTTCTCAAGGCACAACCCTCACTTCCTTCAGTTATTGACTTAAAAGGCCCTTTCTCAGTGACAGCTCAGCTATTCATTTAAAATGTCAATACCTCCATGATTTGTTACATCATTTTTTCTTGATATGACAATATATAATGTCTTATTGATATTCATTTTTATCAAACATAATATATAGTACTTATATATATTATTTATGTTCTATTTAATTTTTTAGAATGGAAGCTTCACCACATAACTTTTTTTTTATATGTTTTGTTCACTGCTGTATCCCCAGTAATATAGTTTGGATTTGTGTCCCCCTTGTTGGACACAAATCTCATGTAGAATTTTAATCCCCAGTATTGGAGGAAGGGCCTGTTGGGAGGTGATTAGATTATGGGGCAGATTTCCCCTTTGCTATTCTCATGATAGTGAGTTCTCACGAGATCTGGTTGTTTAAAAGTATACAGCACTTCTCCCTTCTCTCTCTTGCTCCTGCTCCATCCATGTAGGAAAAGCAGGCTTCCCCTTCAACTTCTGCCATGATTGTAAGTTCCCTGAGGTCTCCCTGCTATGCTTCCTGTACAGCCTACAGAACCGTAGGCATTTTTTTTTTTTTTTTTTTTTTTTTGAGATGCAGTTTTGCTCTTTCTGCCCAGGCTGGAGTGCAAAGCACTATCTCAGCTCACTGCAACCTCCGCCTCCAGGGTTCAAGCAATTCTCCTACCTCAACCTTCCAAGTAGCTGGGATTACAGGCATGCGCCACCACACCGGGCTAATTTTTTGTATTTTTAGTAGAGATAGGGTTTCACCATGTTGATCAGCTGGTCTCAAACTCTACATCTCAGGTGATCCACCCACCTCAGCCTCCCAAAGTGCTAGGATTAGAGGTGTGAGCCACTGTGCCCGGCTAAACTGTTTTTCTTTATAAATTACCTAGTCTCAGGTAGTTCTTTATAGCAATGCGAGAACGGACTAATACAACCAGTATATAGTATAGTGTCTGGCAGTCAGTAGGTACTCAGTAAATATTTGTTGAATGACTAGAACACTACAAGGCTTATGCATGGGTTCTCTGCATTTAATGCATTCAGTCACTATGGCTAAAATGTGATATCCTCTTTATGATGCGGCCTCTTAATGAGCAGGATTTTCAGACTGACTGACTTTCCTGGTTGCCTTGGAATATGATTTTTATACATTTAACCCTATTTTTTGAAAACTATTCCAACATGATTTATTTTTTATCTTGTTTAATAACATCTGATAATTATAGTTGGATCTTTGATTAATAAATATTTGGGAAAACTGTTCTGACATCCAGAAAAATAATCATGCACTTAATGTGGCAACTTTGTATTGACCTCTGACTAAGAAATGGATACATAAATGGAACTACTGGTTAGGATCTGCATTCCATGGTCATGCTGACATTTAACTGTAAATTACAGGGAAGAAAGGAGGCACAGTATTTGTTAATTGAGATGCAAAACGTTGAATACTTCTGTGCCAACTGCTCTAGACTGTCCCTTAATATGATATGTCTTAATTTATTTAAAACCTCAGAAGAGATTTTAAAGAGTTTAACAGGAAAGAATATAGCATGAGCTCCCTCTTATCATAAAGTTACAATGCATGCTGCTATTTTTTTTCAACATAACATACCACCATTGTGAGAAAAATTGCTGGTGAAAATGTGATAAACACAAACATGATTTTACATAGGTTCAATTATGTAAATTGTGAAATAATTTTCCTACAACAGTTTGATATTTGATGAGTATGGGCATTGAAAATAATGGCATGCTATGAGCATTAATCTCATGGGAAGAAGCACTGTTAACATGTGGGGTAGTGCACCCCCTTCTAGCCATTGTCATGTGGCACCACACACCAAAATTATGCCCACTTCACAAAAGAAAGAGCTAAGAATCAAAGGGGTCAGAATATTTGCCAATAGTCACAGAGTTACCAAGTACAAATGTTTAAAGCAGAACTAAATCTCCAGGTCTCAAAGCTTCCATTCCTTCCACTCTGCCCCAGCAACTTCTATTACCGTCACATGTATTCTTACCCCATGCAAACTTAATTATGTGCTTCAGCATCACCACAGTGCAAGAAAAATTGAAACCAGTGAATTCTGATTGTATGTTCAGCTCTTGGCATATCATAGCCAATCAAATAGATGTTTGTTTTCCTTATCCGTTGGATGCATAAGATTCCAACCAAAGGTTTCATAATTTTCAGCTCACAGAGAGCGTCTGTCCAGTTTGAACAGACTGTGCCTAACCGGCATAGTACAAATTGAAGGCTGTCTAAGCCATCTTTCACACTAAAGTGCTGATTAAATAATCCTCACCCTAGCCTTACAGGCCCAAACAGATATGACAAATTGTCACTCTTATTTTAAAAAATGAAGGGGCAGTGGATAGGCATTTTTGATATAAGCACAAAGAGAGAAAAAAGAAACATTGTCTAAGTTCAGGCTGCAATTATTCTCCAAGTGCATATGAAATACAGAATAGAGGATAAGAAAATGATGAGCTTCATACACAGAGCAGTAAAGTATTTTGAAGCAATTTGTATTCTTTCGCCTCTCTGAAATACATTCAAATAAGAAAAACCACAGCTCCGTAAGCTTGAAAAATATTAAATTATATAAATTTCATGCACAGATTTTTTTTTTTGCTTTTCTTCTTTATCACTGATATAAGACAAGGTAGACAATTCTAGATTGGGTGTCAGAATACTTGGGTACTAGTTTTGGTTTGTCAGTTAATAATTATTTTGAACTTGGGTAAGTCTTTTCACCTCTTGCCACCCCCTTTTACTGAATCGTTTGATATAAAAAATACAATAGGGGTAGAATGTAAATGGTACAATGTTTGTTTTAAGTACAACATAGGGGTTTACTGAATCTACCTGAAGAAAGTTTGTTGACGAAGAGTGCAAGCTCTGGAATCAGAATGTATGGATATGAATACGCCCTGTTATTCACTGTTTGTAAGAGCTTGGGAATTGTTAGTTAAACCCTTATGGCTTCCATTTCTCATTTGTTAAAGGACAATAATAATAATAGCTTGTAACTTAAAGTAATTTTTGTAAATGAGTTAACTCATGTAGAGTATCTAAATTAAGATAAGGTGTTCAATACATGTTTTCTTTTTCATAGTATTATATTTTATTAATATTGCTGTGGTCATTACTGAAATTAAAATAGTTTGTAGTTCTTTTCTGGGTTCTGCTACTTGCTGGCTATGTAACTTGGGACCCAATGATGAGCCTGAACTCCTTATTTTGGTTTCTTCACTGTGAGAAATAGTTAATGGCAATTGTGTCAGGTTACTGGGTGAATCAGCCATCCTACAGGTTGAGTTCATAGAATATAACATACGTTAAATAACTGGAGGTTGATGTGATCACTTTTGCTCCCACCTCCTATGATTCCAATTTTCTCATGTAATGACCCCAGTGTGTAGGGCTTATTTCAATTGACCATCAATTCCAGAGCTAGATGGCACTACCCCTTATTAAGTTTTGACTCCACTGACCAAAACTGTGCAACAAAAACAGTACAATTAAAGGGACACACTGTACCTTCCCTTCCCTCCACATGTGTCACTGACACTGCCGTAACAAAGGGACGGAGCTCCAGAGAAGCCAGCCTCATGCTAGCAAAGAGGAGCATGTCATTTAGGAAAGGTGAAGTTGCATACAGGTGCCAGGGAAGTTGCTGCAGAGAGCCCTGAAGATCAGGATAGTAATATGGTTGGCAATGCACTCCAGAGCCCCCTCTCACTGGAAACCTCATTCTAGCCCTATTCTATTTTTTTTTTTTTTTTTTTTTGGATCAAAAGATTCAGTAAAGGGTGGTGGTAAAGATAGGAATGTTCATATATTTTCAGATGAAATTTGTCTGCTTCACTTCAACTTTTTAAAATTAGTCCACTAGGGTTGAAGAAGCAGATGCTGATTCCAGGCCAAAAATCTAAAACCCACCTTTAAGACTGCTCCAAAAAACTAAGTATGTCTGATTCCAAAGCTTGTGTTCTTAACTACTGTGTTCTCGCTTTCTTCTGCAAGTTCTAACATCAAGGATTCTCCATTCCCTTGGTGACAGCATGCATCTGCTTGAAGCTGTCTGAGGGACGGAAGGCCCCTCTGACGGCCAGAACTCCAGCATATTTTCCACTTAGAGTTCTCTCAGTCCTCTTACCAAAGAAGAAGAGAGACCTGAAGAAGACTTTTAAGCCTTTACAACTCTATGTTTCAGGCTAACTCCCAATTAAAGAATCACACAGTCTACATAAGGTTATTCTATATGCATTGAATTTTACACTTTCCAAAACTGATCTCTTGTCGACTAGCTCATTTAGTTTTCTAAAAACAATAATTTAGCAACCAGTGAAAAAAACTAGGTCCAGAAATTCTCATTTCTTTAAGCTTAATTAATAATATTTATGATGCTTTCCAGGAAACACGCAGACATCAAAATATTTTCTTGCCAATGCAACCATAAAATATGGAAGTATTTTAAATGTCTACCTTACATATATGTATATAGACAGTATTATTTGCTTCTGTGCCTATCTCTCATATCATCTAGATTCATTGTCTTACCTCTCCTTAAATTTAATTTTTGTTATATCTACCCTAAAACTTGTACCAGTAATTATAAATTTTTATATTCTCCTAAATAAGCCATGCTATTTTATCTCTCAGTACCTTTGGAAAGACTGTTTCTTCTTTTTAAAATGCACGTTTTTATGACTCAGAAATAGTCTCTGTCTCTCTCTCTCTCTCTCTCTCTCTCTCCCCTCTCCCCCCAAACCCACCTGAATCATTTTCTCTCTCTCCCCAAAAAATTTGACCATCACATTCATTTTTGTTTTCACTGTACCTTGTGCTTATCTCTGTTGAAATAGTTATTACCATATTTTGCAGTTATTTACTTTAAAGTCTGTTTCTAACTGAAAGTTCTCTGAAGTTCATTTTCCCTATACAGTTGTTTTCTGTCTATATTTCTTTGGAGTTTTTCCTAATGTCTATCTGATAGCAGGTCCTTAATAATTATTGATTGAGAGAATAAATGGTCGTGCACTATAAGGTTGGATGTAGAAGATGACGGTTTTTGTAACAGAAGAATATTGAGAAATGAAAAACTATACAGGCCCAATCCAATAATATTTCATGTGATAGTTTTATGAATAGCTAATATCAATCTTAACAAATTTATTTCTATGGTGACATGTGAATGAGCTGACTATTAAGTGTGGTATTTAGATAATCATATATTTGCATTCATATTTACCTGGATCAACTTTTATCAAGTTCTCTGTCCAGATTCAACAAATCATAGTATATTATTTTCCTTTAAGGGACTAGATGCATTTTAACTGAGACATAAATCCAGATTCAACAATGTGTTTGAAGAAGCCAGTTGGATAGAGTTGCATTGCTGGTGAAATTTGGATAATGATCCATGACAGTTATGCCATAATGAATTTTACTCTCTGGATAGTCTCTGGTGCTCCACTTACATCTAGTTATTGAAAAATTAATAAAAGTTAAAACCTAGGATAAGCCATCATGTGTTAAAGGCCTAAAACCTTGGCCTGACATTTTAGAACACCTGTGTTTTCAGGGAGCAGCTTGGTAGCAGAGCCATGTGCTGGCTTATGCTTGTATTGGGTAGCATGAGGTCCAATTTATATTCTCTTTAAATTGGCAATTTTGGCCCCATCTTCCTAAGTTTGCCTTTCTGACCGTACAGAACAATTTTGCTATTCTAAATAGTTCAGCTCTACCAGTTTGAGTGGATAATGCCTTAACTACTGTTTCTACTTCCTCCAACCCACCCCACACCTCAACCCATTTTTCTAGAATGGTGCCAGAGTGATCTTTTCTAAATACAAATCAATCATGTCACACCTTGTATAAAAACCTGGTGTGACATCCCATTTCTCTTAGAATCAAGAAAGTATTATAACTTTTCCTTCAAGGTCTCTGTGGTAATGCCTGTACCGAATTCTCCAGCCTCATCTCCTTCTATTCTCTTCTGTTACTCCTTTGCTATAGTCATATTAATTTATTTCTGTCACTCAGATTTGTTAAGCTCCCTCAAGAGGGCCTTTGAATATAAATTTCCTTTTGCCTGGCATGCCAGTCTCTCGCTTCTTTGTATAATTCCCGAAGAAAAACACCTTCTGTAAGTTTTCATCTACCGCATACAACTCCTTGGTAATGTTTACCACATTTGCAATTCAGCATTTGTTTGTGGAATTATTTTATCAATCATACTCTCTTCAACTTGTTTATAAACCTTTAAGACCAGGGAATATATATCTCATGATAAAACTTAACTAAAGAAGTTGCTTCTAATGGATAAGCAGAGAAAACTTCTTCCTGAGATCAAATCTAGCTCTAGTGAAGACGCTGTGAACATTGTTGAAATGACAGCAATGAATTTAAAATATTACGTACACTCAGTTAATAAAGCAGCAACAGGTTTTGAGAGAATCATCTCAAATTTTGAAAGAAGTTCTACTGTGGATTGTCAGCCTAAAATAACCAAAAAGAACAGAATCTAGTTCAAGGAGAGCTTACTGAAGTGCAAAAGTTGAGGTTAACCAACTGAGAGAATAGATTGAAACAGACCAAAATGGAATATACGCTCAGATTAGCAGAGTTACACATAGGATTTTACAGAAACAAAGAAGAGGCAGTTTCTAAATTGTTTACCAGGAATTTGAATTAGAATAACATAAGCTATTGATTGGCTATGTATCACTCTTTGTATCATAAAGTTCAGAAACATAAAGATAATGGATGAGGCAGCTAGTCAGGAACAAGATGCTTTTAGACAATTGTCCCCTGGCATAGGTGTGGAGGCATGAGTGAAGCCCATACTCATGTTTCTGGGCCTAATAAATTTTGCATACCTCACATAGCTCAGACGGCTCTGCACTATTTTTTTTCCCATGGTAAAATAATATCAAATAGCATCTTATGCTACAGGGAAATCTTTTGTGGAAGGAAGAGTCAATCGATGCAGCAAACTTCATTGTTGTTTTATTTTAAGAAATTGCCACAGCCACGCAACTTCAGTAACCACCACCCTGATTATTTGCAGTCAACATCTAGGCAATTCTCTTCACCAGCAAAAAGATTATGGACTTACTGAAGGTTTAGGTAATTATTAGAATTTATTAGCAATAAAGTATTTTAAATTAAGATATGTATATTGCCTTTTTAGATGTAGTGCTATTGTAAACATCATAGACTACAGCACAGTGGAAATATAACTTTTATATGCATTGAAAAACAAAAGAAAAGTATGATTCACTATTGACACATTTGCTTCAGTGGTCTGAAAGAGAATCTGCAATATCTCTGAAGTACGCCAGTATATTTATGTTAGTCACTGCCATGACACTAAATCCTGGCACTGTGCTCTGTATGGAGTAAATGTTCAATAAATATTTCTAGAGTGGGCTGGGTGCGGTGGCTTATGTCTGTAATCCCAGCACTTTGGGAGGCCGAGGTGGGTGGATCACTAGGTCAGGAGTTAGAGATCAGCCGGGTCAATATGGTGAAACCCCATCTCTACTAAAAATACAAAAATTAGCCAGGCGTGCTAGCGCGCACCTGTAGTCCCAGCTACTTGGGCAGCTGAGGCATAAGGGCCACTTGAACTGGGGAGGTGGAGTCTGCAATGAGCCTAGAGCATGCCACTGCACTCCAGCCTGGGTGACAGAGTGAGACTCCATCTAAAAAAAAAAAAAATCTAGAGTGAATTAAGAAATAGGTTAAGAAATAGGTTTGTTCATATGAGGTTATTTATGCCTAAACCAGCTCCGGTTGAATTTCTGTTGCTGGCAACCAAAAGTGTTGTTGCTGGCAACCAAAAGTGTTCTTACTGACAGATACATTGCTTGAAATCAGATGAGGTTGATAAGTATGTTCCTCAGAATATTTCCTGTTGGCTTGAACACCCCTGTTGCCCTACTCATAAATTTACCTTAATTTTAGTGTCAATTCCATATCTGGCTTTAGATTCTTTCCCATGTTCCATGTCAATCTAAAAGTTTATCTACTACAAGGAACTTTTTTTCTTTCTACCATTTTTCTGTGATATTTTCCTCTTTTGAATCTCTAAGTCCTTCTTATATTCTGTTTTGTAGAGTAGCTGAATTCCTTCTGCCCACTCGTATTAAATCAATCTCTCATTTGCCTCTCCACCAAAAGACGACGATCACTGAATTTGCTACTATACTTTATACAGAGTTCTGTTATTATCCAGCTTATACAATATCACAATTATGTGTTTGCTCACTTTTCTCACTCTATATTGTTTTATTATTCAAATGGATGAGAATTTATTAATCCCAGTTGATATGGTCTGGATCTGTGTCCTCACCCAAATCTCATGTTGAATTGTAATCCCCAGTGTTGGAGGTGGGGCCTGGTGGGAAGTGATTGGATCATGGGGATGGTTTCTAATGTTTTAGCATCATCTCCCTAATGCTGTCTAATTATAGAGTTCTTATGAGATCTGACTGTTTAAAAGTGTGTGGCACCTTCTCCCTTTTTCTTTTTTTCCTGCTCTAGCATGTAAAGACATGCCTGCTTCCTCTTCACCTTTCATCATGATTTTAATTTTCCCGGGGCCTCCCCAGCCATGTCGCCTGTAGAGTCTGTTGAACTATGAGCCAAATAAGCATCTTTTCTTTATAAACTACCCAATCTCAGGTATTTCGTCATAGCAGTGTGAGAATGGACTAATACACCTGTACTCTAGCCTTGCCCATAAATAGATGTTTACTGACTGAAGTTTGCCGAGGAGACTAAAATCTTCTTCAAGACCCACTCCATGTGTTATTCCTCCCCATAAACTTCCAAAATCAAAAACAAAGGACAGTCACTATGGCAGAGTCTCCTAACTGTCCTACAGTAACTATTCTCACTTTCTTCCATAGGAATAGAAAACTAATTTTCGGGAGGGCTATGGGCTAGCCAGACTAAAACTACATTTCCCACCCTCCATTGTGAAATAAGACCATGTGATTGAGTTCTGTCCAGTAGGTTAGCCCAATTGTCCTTTTGTAGATTTCAGGAAATTTTTAAAAGGCATCTCTGTGTATATTTTATTCTTCACCACTTCCTTATTCCTGTTATCTGGAATATGAATGATATGGTTTGGGTCTGTGCCCCACACCCAAACCTTATGTCAAATTGTAATCCCCAATGTTGGAGATGGGGCCTGGTGTGAAGTGATTGAACCATAGGGTAGATTTTCCCTTTGGTCCTTTTCACGTGACAGTGAGTGAGTTATCGTGAGATCTGGTTGTTTAAAAATGTGTAGCATCTTCCTCCTCTCACTTCCTCCTGCTCTGGCCATGTAAATTGTGACTGCTTCCCCTTTATTTTCTGCCATGAATGTAAGTTTCCTGAGGCCTCCCCAGCCATGCTTCCTGTACAGCCTGTGGGACTGTGAGCCAATTAAACATATTTTCTTTATAAATTACACAGTATCAGGTGGTTATTTATAGCAATGAGAGAACAGACTTATACATTGAATGTGATGGCTACTGACCCAGCTATCACTTTAGCCCATGAGGCAATCCCATGGTGGAATAGGGAGCTAGATAGAACTGTCATTTTATTCTCGAGTAGAGCTGCTGTAACATTTTGTACTGCATACACAAAATATTTTACATTGTGAAAGAGAAATAAGTGAGGTTATTTGTCTGTCTGTTTGAGCCACTCTTATTTTTACAATGCATAAGCAAGCCCATAGTTTATTCTCACAAATTATTTATTGAGTCCTATTAATGTTGAGTTATTCTTATCCATACATCTTTAGTAATTCACCTTACCTGAAAGTGTTTGAAAATATAATTGATTTGATTTGCAATAGTCCTTTAGAAGAATATAGCAAGGGAAGCGTAGTACAAGAAGTAATCATAATCTTAGAATTAATCAAAACAAAAACACTATTTTCTACTTGGTGAGCAACAGCATGTCATGGAGATAGACAATAGGAAGTTCACTCAGTTTTATACTTTGCCCCCAAGGAACACATAGTCGATTGGGGGACAAAGATGTAGCAGACAGACACAAAACTATCTGTGAGAATTTCCTAGTTTGTGTATACAGATTAAGTATACTGGGATAAAGAAAAGAAAAACAAAATTTGGGCCAGAAAAACCAATGACAAATCTTTGGCATTGAGGCAGAGGTCTCATTTTCCAAGAACTTTCTGATGACCATGGGCATAGTGCTGGCCCTACCTATGGTGGTTGGTCTGTCAGGAGACCCTGTGAGTCATTGTCCCCAGCTATGGGACTTAGGATTTTGAATATTGCTGGAGGAAAGAGCTCATTAGAGAGGGGGAGCAAGTCAAGGTGAAATTCATGTCCAGCTGAATCCAGGGGAAATTCATAAAGGCAGGAGGCATCATGAGGAGAGACTGATACCCCACTTGCAGCATCACTTGAAGGTGAAACTGCTGAATTCTAGAAGACATGATTTTGACAAGTAAGTTAATGATGGAAGGGCTGAAAAGAAAGAATAATAAAATACCTGTAGCCTGGTCATAGTGATGCACGCCTGTAATCCCAATACATTGGGAGGCTGAGGCAGGTGGATCACTTGAATGCAGGAGTTTGAGACCAGCCTGGACAACATGGTAAAACCCTGTCTCTACAAAAAATACCAAAATTTGCCAGGTGTAGAGGTGCATGCCTGTAGTCCCAGCTACTCAGGAAGCTGAGGTGGGAGGTTAGTTTGAGCCTTAGAGGCGGAGGTTGCAGTGAGCTGAGTTTGCACTATTGCACTCCAGCCTGGACAACAGAGTGAGATCCCAATCTCAACAAAAAAACAAAAAAACAAAAAATCTGTGGACCAAATGCAGGATTTTACCACATGAATGCCACAAGTGGTGAAAATAATATAAATGTCCTGTCAGGTGAAGTGGAAGGAAACGGTAAGTCCTTCAAATTTGTTCATAAAGTGAGAAGTGTCCTGACTGAAAGAGCTGAGCTTAGTCTCTATTTGGAAAGGTCAGACATTAGGAAAGGAATATGGACTCTGATGGTTCCTAAATCCCCATTTGCCACCTCCTGGAGTGGAAAACATTTTCTGAGGCTGAAATGGGATTACAGGTGTGAAGGGGAGATGGGTCCCTGATAAGGAAGAAGCACTGGAAAATAACATCTAAGGTTGGGATATCAGGGGGACGGTGAGGGAGATGGAGTAGGCATAATTGAAAGTGAAGGAGGTCTGTCAGGGGAAGAAGACCTGACAATCAATCCAGCAAGGTGAAGAGAACAGGAGAGTAAAAGAAATAAAAGAAGGGTATTCTAAAATGTCAAGAGTCAGTAGGGCCAAAGAATTTGGCCAAGCCCATTCAATGGGTTTGACAGAGATTAGGATCCCAAGAGAGAGTCATGAATTCCTGGACATAGGGAACTTCAGACCACTTAGAAGAGTTGCAACAGGAGGGGTCACACTGCAGAACAGTGTTGGGGGCAAAGGGCCCACCAGGAGGCCAGGATTGATGATCCGAAAGTTTATAAAGTGGCCATGCTGTATTCCACAAGAAAATTAGAAATTTCTTTTTGAGAGCCTGAAAGTCAAATTTATCCCAATATTTTAGAATGCTGCTGAGGGACAAGTCTGAGGGAATGGAAGGGCTTTGTCCCATGGTGGGACTAAGGAAGAACATCTGCTGGGAACACAAACCTTATTTCTCTTGGGGCATCCCAGCAAGGAAAGGGGATTTCACTTATGTCCTCTGAGGGACTCTGAGATCCACTTTCCAAAGGGGCATCCCACCTACTGGCATTAGGGCCTTACTGCTGGATGAACACTGGGTGATCAACCCCATGCAGCCCAGGTACGAATTACGCTGGGTGCTCAGTCCAGGTACAAGGGGAAAAGGTTGAGGGAAGACTCACCATCCTGGTGCTGTTAGGGATCATCTGGCTTAAAACATCAGGCGATCCACTGGTCCCCTGGTGCACACCTGTAATCCCAGCACTTTGGGAGGCTGAGGCGGGCCAATCTCCTGAGGTCAGGAGTTTGAGACCAGTCTGGCCAACAGGGTGAAAACCTGGTCTTTGCTAAAAATACAAATATTAGCTGGGCATGGTGGCACGGGCCTGTAGTCCCAGCTATTTGGGAAGCTGAGGCAGGAGTATCGCTTGAACCCAGGAGACAGTTGTTGCAGTGAGCCAAGATTGAGCCATTGCACTCTAACCTGGGTGACAGAGCGAGACTCCATCTCAAAAACAAACAAACAAACAAACAAACAACAAACAAACAAACAGAAATCAGGTGATACTGCCAGGAGCAGGAAGGCTGCCTGCCTTCACAGGAAATTTTTAGAGTGAGAAAGAGGGAGCCTGAAGTCTCCAAACCATGTGTGGGTTTACACTGGTGTAGCTGCCTCTGCCAAGTATGCCACACATAGGGTTTGGGGACTTTTGACCAGAAAGGATAGGAGAGAGTCTTCCTCCCTTCCGGGCAAGGCAGCCAAACCTGTTCACCCTTTGGCCTTTAAGCTGCACCAGGCAGTGGCCCTGGCAAATTGCCATCAGTTGCCAGAGGGATACTAGAGACTGTCTGCTGGAAGACTGGAAGGAAAGTAAACTAAACTTTCACCTGATGTGGTGGTGGCAGTTAGATCTCTTTCCACCAGGACCTTCTGATTCTCCGGAGAGTAGGCCCTACCAGGGACCATTGGTTGTGTCTGGGCTTGGACGTTATCACAGAGATGTTGGAGTTGGAGGAGAGGAAAGGGGGAGAGTAGAGAAGAGGTTTCCTGTACAGACCATCAAAATGTGGGTGCAGCTGGCTGGGTATGATGTTGTAGAAGGTAAAAGAATTTACCAAGACAATCATGAGTGAAGAAAGGCAGGGATTAGAGAAAGTATAAATACTCATTGAAAGAGGGCAATGGGCAGTACAGCAGAGAGAAGGCTGTTTGCCCAGAGACAGGGACTGAAGGGAAGTTTTATAGGGTTGTCCTGGAAAGGCTACATGCAAATTGGTCATGCTGCTTGGGCTACACTTGGAATGAGGTATTTGAGAATAAGACGTTGTACAAACAGGTTATTTGTGGTAAGCTGTTTCTCAGAACAATTGTTCTACCCCACCCTGTGGTCCCCTCCTGGTTGTTGCTTACTTATCTTATCAGGACTCTGCCTTTGGATTTGGGTCTTTTTCTTAATCAAGAGAACATTGTGTGGAGGGAACGTTGGATAAGGAAAATGCAAGACACAGCATGGAGATCACCAATGTGGAGCAAATATGCAAACAACTGTTTTTCTTTATGTAGATGCTTTTCGATAGAACATGGTGATCTTTAGCACATACAGAGTCAAAGTGATTTTTAATATAACACTCAGGTGTCTATCATCAACCGTTTTAATATTCTATAAAGCCTACTTGTCATCTCTACATAGAGTATTCTAGAGTAGTTAAAGAGCAAAGTAAAGTTTTTGATAAAAGTAAACAAAGCTCCCGAGCTAGACATAAAGAAGGCATGTTAAAGGAATCTGACTAGACATACATAGGGGATATATTCTAGATAAGTATGTAATGACACTGGCTCTCTGGATTGGGGTGTTATGTCCTTGGAATCTATGAAGCAATCCTGGAAAAACCTTTAATTTCTCAAATTTGACCATGAACACTTTCATCTTGTCTCTAAGGATTGTTAATAACCTCCTATTGACCCCCAAGGAACTGGGTGCTTATAATCTAGATGTAAAAACACATATAATATCTCTAATAAATTATAATAGAACTATAAAGAAATATATTCAAAACAGTGTGAATTAAAATAAAAAAAAAAAAGAGGACCACTGAATCTATCTGGATGTCGAGTTGTTAAGAGAAGTCAAAAACTGAGTGATTGGGCCTTGAAGAAAAAGTATCCCATAAAACAAAAAGGCATTCTAAGAAGAAGAAACTGTGGAAAAGACACACACTCTTGAAAGTGTTTGGTATTTTTAAATATCAGGAAAGCAATTTCAGGTGGCCAAAGACTAGGTCATACACAATAGGATGAAGAATAGAATTAGAAAAAAATGGGAATGGTTTTTTGCCCAAACTTGCTCTCAATATAGAATTAGGCTCTTTGATCTACAGCTGACAATGCTTTGCTTTGAAAGTTTTAGGGACAAAACACTCCACCTTGCTACTTTGTGGGAATGTCTGTGCCATTTTTTAATAATTCAATTCAATATATGATAATAATTATTACCACTAATACTGAACTTACATGAACCTACATATAGCTTGGTAGAGTGCAAATGTTTCGACTTTGGTGCTAAATAATTCTGGTTAACATCTCAATTCTACTACTTTTGAGCTATATATTCCCTTTCCAGCTGCTTAACATCCCACGACCTATTACATCCACTATTACATAAAAAAGATGTATAATTATATTGACCTATAGTGCTGCGTCTATCTGTGTTACATAAGATGATATATGTAAAGAACCCAGAACCTAGTAGGTTCTTCATAACAGTTGGTTTCTCCTTGTTCACCTTTTTTTTTTTCAAGTCTTTTTGTAAATCTCTGGATTAGCTGCCACTATTACTACTTCATCTTTCTTTTAAATTCACCACACAGTCACCAACACAAGGCTGATAGTATGCAAATGAATTTTCTTGGCGCTTCTGCATAGGGTTGTAAGAAGTTTAAATAAAGGCATCTTGTCATAGCCACTGTTATCCAGACAATTAACCGATCAAGCCTCTGGCTCAGCTGGTGGCCATGCTTTTGGATAATTATTTTGTTCATTGGCACTGTTTTTAATAGCTTGTTACAGGCTACAAGGATAATACATCTCAATAAATTTAAATGAAATACTTTATGAGAAGACCAATAAATAGCAGCATGCTGGTTCAAAATGTTAATTAATATATTATTGACTCACTCAGCAAGGGTTTGGCTTTTTGTCCTAAAGATACTGTCTATCTGAATTCTGCTTGGAGTCCTAAGCATTTAATTAATTCCTTACATTTGCTATAGAAATAATACAGGTTTAAAAGCACAAATTTTATATTATTATAAGTGAAAGGGCACTGATTTGCAATATTAAGCTTTATACTTATTGCCACACTTTGTAGACTGGTGGCATAATGTAGGTTTTAATTTAAAAAATTATATTCAATAATTATTAAAGTCGAGCTTGTATTTCTGCTCAAGACCAATTTGTCTTTTCAGATACAAATTAAACTTTGTCTGTTATAAAACGTTTCCTTAAGCCTCCTCAACTCCTGCCAGGTTAAAGCCCGCACTCATCCTCCTTGGTTACCGCCACCTACACCATTCATATCTCTCTCACAGTACCTATACTATTGTTTTTGTTTATATATTTCAGTTTACACCTTTGTCAACTACTACTAGACCCTGAAATCCATAAGGAAAGAACAGTTTTAAATTTGTTTCTTTATTTCTAACACTTAGAACAAGTCTGACAAAGTAGGCATCTGTATTTCACAGAAATTTCACATTTTTATATTTTCAAGTCAACTAGTAATAACTCTTGATGCCTGCTCCACTATAAAACACTGCTTGATAATAGAGTTGCCAGATTAAATATAAAGAGTCAAATTGGAATGTCAGATCAACGAACAATAATTGTTGAGTATAAGGATGTACCAAACATTGCTTTCAAATGTAAGTGGACCGTTCTATATTTTATTTACTACATTTGTCAAACCTATCTAGAGGCAAAGAGAATCTGTATGATTCAAGGGAGGTAAAACTTTTACATAAACTTTAATTACGTATTAGCTCAATTTAACCAAAGAGAAATCTCCATACTTCAGATGGGATTTCCTAAATCCCTCTGCAATCAGAGGGAATGCTAAACATTGCTTTGCTCAGAAAAATCTCTCCTAGTGTACCACTTAACAGAAACTATACATATGTAAAATTTAGAACATATCTCTAATCTGTCTGATGTATAATGACTTCAATATTCTTGTTCTAAATTTGATCAAACAGACAAAAATTAAGGTGCAAATTGTGATGTGTTTATCTCCCTCTTTCATAAATCAAAATTGCAAGCTTCTTTTTGTTCTACCCAACTTTCCTTTTCTCCTTCCATGTTTCCTTTACTAAAAATTACTACTGCTAATAACAAGTTAAATTTTCACAAATACTTAGAAAAACACACAAGACACTTTAAAAATAATTGTATAACAACCACGTAGCTATAATTAATAATAGTTCACATATTCAAATGGATTATATTATTCAAATTGGCATTTGCTTTTTAGTATTTTTAGAGATGGTTACTCAAACATCCCAAAAGTCATCTTTGAAAGAGATCTCACTTTAGGAGCCAGAAACTTTCATTTCAGAGAAGAGTAATTATTAAAAAGTTTTCTTATTAATAATAAGCAGACTGCTGCCTTCCTATAATTTCTATGAATTATATTTAATTATGATTTTTAGAACTATCAAGTGTGATTAGATGTTTCTCCCCACATGAGGTCATTTCAGATAGCTCAAGGTATTTATTTTTTTTTACCCACATATCCTAAAATACACTTCCCTATAGCCCAAAGAGCTCTCTTCCTCTTCTTCTAATATAGCTGGAGTTTAGAGACACTGTTTCATCTGAATGTCCATAAGGTTATTAGCTCCATGAGGAACAGACCCTCTGTTGGCATCATTTTATCTCAAATATCTAGTAGAATATCTGACATATTTTAGAGGCTCAGTAAATATTTGTAACAGAAATGAATAAATGTCTGCCTCTCTTGTCTTAAACCCATAAAAATGGGAAAAAAAAAACTCCATGAGCTCCTGAGTGACCTGATCAGTTTTAAATATAATTTACTCATTTACTCACTCATTTAACAATTATTTTTGAGTGCTTAAACTAGGATTCCAGGACACATTCTCTGTCCTGCTGAATATAGTGATGAATAAGAGAGACAAGGCTCCTGCCTCAAAGAGACCACATCTCCCATCATTTTGTCATTATGGTTCTCTTAATGGAGTCAAAATTTATAGATATCTATTAATCCTACTTTATTACTCAAGTCAACCAAATCCATAACTATTTTTCTTGCCATAGCTATTTTTTTTTTTTGAAACTTGCTCTGTTGCCTAAGCTGGACAACAGTGGCATGATCATAGCTCACAAGTGATCCTCCTGCCTCAGCCTCCCAAGACTATAGGAGCAAACCACCACACCTAGCTAATGTGCTATTGCTATTAATCCAGGACTCCACACTCCTCACCCAACTACTTTTTTCTAATTTATTAGCTTTTTTAAAACTCAAATACTTTGTTTTGCTTTTATGCCTAAAGAATACATAAATTTTAAATTTTTTTCTGAAATCTTGCCCATAAAATTTGGAGTTTGAACATTTTAGCCATATCTATTATTTCTTAGTAAATATCATCTTTGTCCTCTACATTCTTCCACTGAGCTGAAGAAGAACCAAAATCAAAGAGAAGAAAAAACATAGTATATCCTCTCTCTTTTCCCTTTTCTTCCTGTGTTCTCTCTCTTCATCTGAAGCTTCCATTCTCAGACATTTCTTTCGTGTTTTTTTCTTCTGGCTTTTCTTTACACTACAGCATCATGTTACACCTGAAAGCTTAAGTTAGACAAATGTGAATTCAAATTCAGTCTCAGACTCTCCCTGGGCATGTAACACTGAAGGTTGTGTAATCTCTGTAGGTCTCTGTTTCTTCATATATATAAAACAGAGGATATTAACAAATATTAACAAATGTTATATGAAGGTTCATTAACAAATGTTACATGAAGGTTCACTGAAATCTAGTATAGTATATGCCTGCCAGGGTTTCTAGCATTTAGTAGGCATTACATATCTGCTAGGACTTTCTGTCTTCCCAAATTCTTTCTCTGTTACCCCTCTCTACAATCACCTGATTTCAACTAATTATCAAGTAGAATTTATTCATAGTGTGAGTTATTGTTCAAGTAGATCTTCTCATAAGATGCCCTCCCTGATCCTCTTCCATCATAGCTGAAGTTTAATGATTTCTAGAAAATTGGAGTAAAATGTTAATCATGTTCAATTGTGTCTAGAACAGAGACTTTTGAGAGAGTTCAATTTAACCTTGTTTGTTCATGGTATACAAGGTTTGTATTTGGACATAATTGAGTTTGAGATATAGTTTCAACATTTATTCACCACCCATGTGGAGTGAGCTTTTAAGTCTCTCTTCATTTTAGTTATTTTTCATATTGAAGACTTGATGATGTCAACCTTGCAAACTTAAATGAGAAGCCATGTGCAAAGTGTTTGACAGGTTTCTTGACCATCATAAGTGCTTCATAAATGTCATTTTCTTCCTTAATCCTGTATTATCCAGTCATTTTAGTGCTTTTCTTCATCCAAGGCAAAGTTCAAATTTCCTCAGTCTCTCAAACAACACCCTGAATTCCTCCAGTGATAGTCATTGTCCATGCCTCACGATTTTGTTGTTTGACCTGTTCTTCTTCCTCACCTTCACTCCTTAGTTTTGGCAGTAGACTCTTTTTACTTTTTTTTCTTTTTCTGAGATGGCCTCTTGCTCTGTCACCCAGGCTGGAGTGCAATGGCATGGTCTCAGCTCACTGCAACCTCTGGCTCCTGGGTTCAAGCGATTCTCCTGCCTCAGCCTCCTGAGTAGCTGGGATTACAGGTATAAGCCACCACACCTGGCTAATTTTTTTTGTATTTTTAGTAGAGATGGGGTTTCACCCTGTTGGCCTGGCTGGTCTCGAACTCCTGACCTCGTGATCTGCCCACCTCGGCCTCCCAAAGTGCTGGGATTACAGGCATGAGCCACCACGCCTGGCCAGCAATAGACTATTTAGTTTTCTCTAGTTGTTCCATGCACATGAATATTCCCCAGAAGATACTAAGCAGACACTATAAGGCAGCATGACACCCAACAATGCTTGCTGCCCTTCCATGGTGTAGTTACTGTGGGGAAGTGGCTCCTTAAACACGGGCTATGTTTCCTAGCACTCTGTATATCTAAATTGGGGCTATATGAGTCATTCTAGCCAATAAAATATGACTTGAATTAAGTCTTGTCACTTCTGGCCAAAATGTTTAAAAAGTAAGTTTGCTTTTGTTGTGAAATCTTTCCTTATCTTCTGGCTGAATAGAGAGGGCTCCTAGCATCTACAAGAGAGTGGGATCATGAAGACACTAGGGTCCCTGAGTGTATACTGACTAGGCACAATGCATCAGACAGTGACATTAGTGAAAATTAAACTTATATTGTTTTAAGCCACTAACAATTTAGAAGTTTCTGTTTGTGCAGCTAGAATTACTTGTATTAATGCTGATGCCATTCCCCTTTCTTATTATGAACACATGGTAGATGCCCCAGAGATACTGCATGACTTTCCATCCTGTTCTGGAACATGCGGTTTTCTCTATCCACTAGAGCCATAATTTCATAATAGGAAGATAATCTGACAACTACCTCATGTTCTCCTCCTGCTGTGAACTCACCCATCTAAAGACACTGGAAAATTTTCAACAAATTTGCTTTGTGTGTACTTGTCCCAGCCACAATATTAGATTTTCTTCCAAGTTTTTTCCCTATACCTCATACCTCAACATAGCACTTCATTGATTATGGCCCTATGTCTGCAGAAGAGTATGAAAAGAAATCAGCTGGATGAATGAAAGGAGTTTCAAAATGTGTTCCAAGCATCCACTTATTCTGGAGTAACTCTTGCCTGCCTGGCAGCTGCCATATAAAGGTAGAAGCCTGAGACTTTGTATCAGAAGGCCTAAGTTTGATTCCTATATCTTTCACTTCAATCTGTGGGTCCTGGCACAAGTCACTAAGCTTCTGAGATTCAGTTGTATATTGAATAAATGTGGATTATTCATACCCCTTATGGTTATTAAAATAATTAAAAAGAATAATTTATCTATGAATCCTAGCAAATAATAATTTTCCAATGCATCTTAACCCCTTTTTCCTTCTTATGGTTATTGAGGAATGAAATGAGAGTACATAGTATGAATGATTAGAGTAACAGGCACACGGAATCCACTGAAATGCTTACTTCCTTCCTCTTCGTATCTAAAAGGTATCGATATAGAGAAAACAGGTTTTGGGATTTATTCAACACATATTTGGAAATTTCCAGAGACCACGTTTTGAATCCAATAATCAGGAGACAACAGAAATGTTTCATAGAATTTAGCCCCACAGTAAACCTCAAAATGCATTGTAAAGCACAATTTGAGCTACTTATTTTTCCCCAAAAACCATCACCTTATAATGCCATGTCAATTTAAAATATATATATATAATTACTGTTTGGAAAAAATCTCATGATTAAGTCAGTAGGCTAAAATTATTTTTTAAATGAGGTTTTGCCAACCTCATTTAGTAATCACATTCTTTTGACACTAAAGGACAAAAACTAGTAATTTTGTGTCTAGCTTCCATATACAAGTTAAATTAATTAAGTTAATGTCTTATAATTACACACAGTTGATTTGCTTGTTGCCTATACTACACAATATGCTGAAAAGATTTAGAGGAAGCTGCCATGGTTAATTCTATTATTCTAATATATTAGATTCCAGAAATATCAATAGATTGTTGATAACTATTAATTATGCACTGATTTCATAGAAATTCTTAAAATTTTTATAGTGAGAAGCCTCTTCTCTCAAAAACACTAAGTAACCATAATCTCTGATTATCTTTTTTTTTCTACTTGGAGAGGGAAAAAAAAATAGGCATTGATATCACAATAAAGGGAGGTTTTGTTAGTAGAATATTTTCTTTGTGCCAAGTATTCTGTTTACATGCAGAAAAATTATTTAAAGATTTTCCCATTGGGTTTATCAAGACTATTGATTTCCATTTTGAATTTAAAAATGGCAATAATAGCTGCATGCATTTTAACTTCATTGACAAAAAGTAACACGTTTCCTGGAACCCAGGTAAAGAAGACAATCATTTAAAGGTAAGTAAAATATCTTAATGAAAGCATTATAAAAATTTGAATAGCTTTCTTTCCACAAAACTTAAAAGAGCTATCTTGTCTCTGTATTCTATGAAATGAGTAATGCTACTACAAACACTTGGTTGGTTTTGTTGCCCTTAAATACAAAATGAAAAATGAAACTTTCATTGTCCTCTTCTGAGTTTTCTTCCCATGTCCTCAACTATAAAGTGAGGTTCTACCTCAAAGTAAGCTTTGATGATCCAATGAGACAATGTTATCTTTTAAACTTTAACATTGGAAACATACAGAATCTACTGTGATCAACTTCATCATATAATACATGTGTACCCATATGTTAGTTTCAGTATTTTAAAATTATAAACTCAGAATTCTCCTTGATCTCTTTCAGAAATTCCTTGTATATGATCATTAATAAGTAATTCCTTTAAGCATAGAAATTTGTTAACCATATTGTAAGAAGTCATAGTTTTAGTCTAGTTTAGAAATGAAACTGCTCATCATTCACTAAGTGAAAATAAATACTTAGCGTAAGAAGTTATTTTATGCTTTATAAAGTGGTTTTATTTAAAATATTTCACTTTATTCCAAAAATAGCAATGTAAATTTATTATTATTACTAATTCCACTTTACTGATGAAGAATTAAATATCAAAGATAATTGACTAGTTCAAATATACAGAAATAATAGATGGCATTGCCAAGGCTTCAACCTAAGTTGCCTGACTCCAAGACTCCAAAGTCCATGTGTGAACACTACTACGGGGAGTAGAAAAAGTCCCAACACTACTGAGTTTCTAAAATGCTCTGTCTTACAAATGTCCTAATGTCTGGCCCATGTATAAGTGGATCAAGAAGAAAATTAGACATAAGGCAGGCTGAATCATCTCCTTGAAGTGGCCTCAGGTATGCTTTGTCAGATGGGTTAGTGCTAATGTAAGGTGGTGAAGAGTCCCAAGGAATTATATCCTAGGTATACACAGGCCTAATTCAGTCATCCATCTGGCAAATATTTGAGAATCTGTGGACAAAGACCTAGGGAAGACAATTTTAAACAGAAACTGCTCTTACCTTCAAACTATTTGCAATCTTGTGAAAAACTACACAGACAAAGTGGATAATTAACTTTGATCATAAAGTTCCAGAGACTGGAAATAGAGACAAGGCCACAACCTGGCTGTTCTCAAAAACAATCAAATGGCACAGGGTTAGGGCGAACCCTGAGGGACCAATTAAATGATTACAAGTAGGACTGGTTGACCAGGGCCATTTTGGGGTGGCAGATTTTCTAGGAAATACTTTTCTCTTAAAAAGACAAACAAAGACAAAAACAGGCAAATTAAATGTTAAACACACATACATTCACCCACACATGTGCATGCATGGCTACCCGTCTTTACCCTTACTAAATCTGCTAAACACTTTGCACTCTAAAAAATATCCTGAGTCATGAACATGTGCAGCACTTTCCAAGTAAATAAAAATAACAATTGAATAGCAATAATGACAACAATCAAACTGGTCCCTGGTTTACATACCCCTCACACACAGCACGTGCACACAGGAAAGATGTGAAAATACAAAGCGAAAGCAAAGTGATGTTTCTTGAACATTTTCCCCTGTTAAATGGCAAATAGCTTCAGCAAGCTGCTCTCCAATACATCTTCAGGTTATTAAGGACCCCTAAGTTCCAAAAAGACTAAACGATTCTCCAAAAGTAATACAACGTTAACCTATGACTTTTAGTCATGCCACATATTAGATTGTAGAAGCTGTGTTTACTGTTTGTCCTAAAGGCACATTGAAGAAAAACACATGGTAGAAGTGCACAAACACTCATTCATTCAATCAACATTTATTAAACTCCTGCTATATACCATTCACTGTGAGAATCCTGGAGAGAAAACATACCTGGCCATTGTCTAGTGTGGTGAGGCAAACATTAATCAAAGAGTCACACATATAAATAGAAATGTAAAACATGTTATTATCAAGACATGCTAAATTGTATTATACAAGAAAAAGATCAGAGCAGCCTCCTCCAAAGAAGCAATAAATAAATTGCAATTTGAAGAAAAGTTGGAGTTGATTAGGAGGTTGGGGAGGTGAGCGAGACAAAGCCAGCAAGAATGCATGTACATTCGAAATAATTAACGAAGGACAGTGTGATCAAAGCATAGGCAGTAATAAGTAGAATAATGTGTGAAAAGGTTGACAGTGTAGGCAGGAGATAAATCACACAGGGCCTTGGAGGTCAAGTTAAAGATATGTTCTTTTTTCTGAGACAAATCAGAAGCCATAAAGAGCTTTATGGAAGGGGGGAAATGTGATCAGATTTACACTGGAAAACAATTACCTTGTTTGCAAGGGACAAGAGAGTAGATATAGTTAAATCAGACAAGTATGGGAGTTTGTATTAAGATGATGATTTCAAGGACAAATGTAAGTGGCTGGATTCAAGAGATATTTTAGAAGTAAAATCTAGGAGGGAAAATTGATGTAGATCAGATATGGGGGGTGGTGAGAGAGACAGAAGTTTTGAGTGCAACTTTGAGTTTTTCGATTTTAAAATGGAATGCGATCATTGTGGCTTCTCAGAGAATAACCATACTGGAGGTAGTGGCAGAGTAGGGTGGCAGTAATCATAAGTATTATTTAGGCCATTTTCAGTTTGAGTTATTTCAGGCTTCCAAGTAAATATCTTAAGTAGATAAATAGATAGACAGATATAGAGGCTCCATGCTCAGAGAAGCCGCAGATGTCTAGGTGTGTATTCATGATGGGGACCACCCTTAGTCACATTAGAAAATATTTCTGCTAGTTTTGGCCTCATGGATATTACTTGTCTGACAGTCAGGACTAGCTGCATAATTTTTGAGGTTCAGTGCAAAATACAAATGCAGGGCTCTGGTTGAAGGCGGGAAATCAATCTTCCCCTCACAGGAGCCCACTTCTTCTACGTAGGGTAGACAGATGATGCCCAAGGGATTGAAACCTCCGTATCGGGAAGTGTTCAGTACCTGGATTGGGGGAGGGTAGAAAAGGCATGATGAGACATCTGTTGAATGTGCAGGGGCATTGCCAGCCAAAGGCAGGGGTGACTGCTGCCCTGCCCAGTCCACAAAGCTGCAGAGTATGTGTCCAACTATAAGCTTGTCCATACACATGTCCAGACTGAATCAGGCAGTGTAGCACAATGGAAGAATGCAGACCATCCCACTCATGTGATCAAACTGGCTCCCTGGGTGGGAGCTGGCAACAGTTACAGGGCATGGGATGTGTCCCCATCCAAATTTCACTTTGAATTGTAGCTCCCATAATACCCATGTGTCATGGGAGGGACCTGGTGGGAGATAACTTAATCATGGGGGGTCATTACCCTCATGCTGTTCTTGTGATAGTGACTTCTCATGAGATCTGATGGTTTTACAAGGGGTTTTTCCCCGCTTTTGCTAGGCACTTCTTGCTGCTGCCGTATGAAAAAGGACGTGTTTGCTTCCCCATCAGCCATGATTGTAAGTTTCCTGATGCCTCCCCAGCCATGCTGAATTGTGAGTCCATTAAACCTTTCCTTTATAAATTACCCAGTCTTGGGTATGTCTTTATTAGCAGTGTGAGAATGGGCTAACACACTGGCCCGCTGCCAATGTACTGTTCACATGCTCATGAAGCCCTGCTAACTTTGTCAATAAAGTGTTCTAAGCAACTAGTAATAGAACCACAAAGATTTTCTCTGACTGTTGAGTGTTGTGTATGTACTATGGTTTCCAAATTATACTATTTGCTTTAATCAACTTGACTTCCAAAAGTTTAGTTGATGCTAATTTTATGGGTCATAGTTAAAAATTCTAATATATTTCTAATAATCTTTCCACTAAATCAAAGGAAGGGAACATTTATTGAGCATCTACTATATGCCAATTATTGTTATAGGTGAGTATACAGTAAGTCACTGTATATTCGCTCTGAGGTGATATGATTCTGATTAACTATTAATTTAGTGACTCTTGATGTATCCAGAAAATACACATTGAATGCCTACTACCTATTAGGTGTTATGGTAGACATTGAGGATAGATGAAGAGTAGTCTCTGCAGTATACTAGATATACAGTTTCATTTAATTCTCAAAACAAATCTGCAAAGTCAGTATTTTTATATTTATTTTTTAGATTATAGCATTTGATGCTTAGAGAAACTAAATAACTTTTCCTAGCTCTCACAATTTATAAGTAAAAGAGGTAAGACTTGAACTTGTGTCTCTATGACTCTGAGCTCTAAGCTTTTCTTCTTAGCTAATGCTATTTTTATTAAAATAAAACAAAACAAACAAACAAAAAGCTCTGCCTTATGAGTGCTATAGATCTTTCTCAAAGCCATCTCTGCAACTCTGATCCAGGGTACTCTTCTATCTTAAGCTATGCCTCTAAGTGTTCATGCTCATCACATCTGATGTGGCTCATCAGTGCGGCCAGCAGGGAAAGTAGGGGATATGGGATTTCTACCATGTTTGGATTATTTATGTGTCCTTCTGTTGAGTGGCTACCTCAGTGGCATTTTGTTACTTGCAATTTTTGTTGTTTTTCATTGTGTTCATCTCTCAGTCAGAATTAATGC
The DNA here is from genome assembly GCF_000001405.40 of Homo sapiens. Lineage (NCBI taxonomy): Eukaryota > Metazoa > Chordata > Mammalia > Primates > Hominidae > Homo > Homo sapiens. The sequence goes on from NC_000011.10 coordinate 81,483,685, forward strand.
TCCTTTTCCTGATATAATTTATTATATAGATTATTTTACTTTTGAAGATCTGCTGATAAATGTCATCCGTACTTCCCCCACACCAGAATTAAAAATTGCAGGAAAGTTTGTGCAAAAGAAGGGAATGGACGTTTTTTGAGCGTCCCTACCATGGAAAGGACTTTCTATTCTTATCCTATTTAATCCTCACAACTACTCTACAAATTCAGTGTTATTATTCCCATTTTATTTGAAGAAGCTCAGGCACAGAGAAAATACATAAAAATCCCAGGGCTGTTTATTTCATTAGTACATAATAAGCATCTACTTTTTGCCAGGTATAGTGTTAATCAGTGAACACAACGGCAAATAAAAGATAAAGCCCGTAAGCAACAGATGGGGCCCTGAACACAAAACTCTCTGGTGTTAAAGTGCATACTCCTTTCAGAACAGAAGGGTGAGTACTATTAATTTTTTAGTTTTACCATTGCAGTAGTGTGCTGTTATCCACATAGTAGATGTGCCGCAAAGCATGAGCTTAATGATTATTTCCCAAACTCTGATTATTAACCAAAGAGAGTATCCTTGAATTTTCAGAGGATGAGTTCAGACTAAGCTAGCATAGGCAATCTAATTGAACATCCATCTTAATGTGAGAATAATGCCAGCTGCAATTGTCCCTGGATGTCACTGGATTCAGCACTTTGCTAATGAGAGCCCTATCATCTGTTTGATGGCAGTGTGGTCTCCTTAGTTGTATTCTATTGTGTGGCCAGAGACTGTGCCTCTAACCCCAGCCAGCTGTCTCTGCAATTTTTTCTGTTGATGATTAGGGAGTTTAAGCCAAATAGAATGGTTGGATTCACTTAGAATCACAGACCTTCAACACAGGAAGTTGGGTGTTCAACATTCAATATCTTTTGATATTATCCAGTTCAGCCTAATAATGCAGATGAAGAAACAGACAAAGGCTATGGAGATTTTTTTAAAGATATGCAGCCAAGTAGTAGCAGAGCCAAGGCTAGAATTTGTGTCTCTTAGCTACAGTATAATCCCAAACTGAGTATCTAACCACGAAATCTGGGGTAGTGTCCACTTTGCATCTATTATTGAATGATTTCATGATAATATTCCATGATTATGTAAGGATTTGTAGTTTATAAAGCTCCTTGATTTTCATAGCCATTTTAGAATGTGGTAGGGAAGTCACTACCATCTCAATTTTATAGATATGAAAATTGAGATTAAGTGACTTCCATCTGGTTAGAAGCATCGCTAAAATGTGTGCTAGGCCCATAATATTCACCTTCCAAATGTGTACCTATTGTTTATCTTGGTAAACCACGTTTCTACTCCAGGTAATATTTTTAAACAATCTACATGATTTTAGGAGAGTATTTTGAGTCTTGTAAACTATTACTTTAGATGGTCACCATAGTATAGTTGGCAGAGAACAAGACAAGAGCTGAGAAGAGCTTGGTTATAAAACTGATTCCATCAATTATTAGCTGCATGGTCTTGGGCAAGTCACTTAACTTCTCTGAACTTCACTTTTACAATCTTTAAAATTAGAGTAGTAGTAAAATAACTGCGTAAGTAGCTCACAAGAGTGTTGAGGGTTTCAAATGGGATAATCTGTTTGAACCCTGTAAACCACAGAGTTCTTTGTAAGTGCTATAGGCTGAGGGATATTTAGAAATTCTCAGACATGAGAGATCTAAGTTGCTGATGGCAATTTTTAATGCTAACTTCCTCTCGGATGACGTCCATGTATCTTTTTCTCTCTGAGACTTTCTTTACTGGCTTGGACTTACTTACTTCCAAACCATTTACTATCTGACTAGAAGCAAGAAAAAAATGTGTGAGAGAGATAAAATTTAGTATTGTTTATGATGCCGTATAGCTATAATTTCTTACAAATATGAAGTGTCCCTAATTGCAGTCACTTCAACACTGAAATGTTAACACTGTGAATATTTTAATAATGTTAAGAACACTTTTAAATGATGTTTTAATAATGCTTTAAATTTATTTTTTCTCAAATAGTCAACTGGCTTAAACAATGTGATATAAAAAGAGGAATAATATTTTACCCTCTTACTGACATGTGCTTCTGTACAATAAAAATAATACAAGAAATAATTCATCTAATGCTTATAGTTGACATACATTTATGTATGTAAACGCCATCATGTGTTAAATTCCCTAGATGATATAAAAATGATCTTGGATAATATGGGCTACCATTAAGAAGCCAGTAATCTAGTGGGGGTAAAATACTTCAATTCAATTAGAAGAAGAAGACATCTATTTATTTCTCCAACCAAGAAAGGTTTGAGGAGCTGCTGTTTGTCAAGTATTTATTTTGATGTCCTCATTACCCTGCACTGCTCCTGGTACATGTTGTACATGTACATGCTTCAAATATTGATTAAATTGTGTGTGAAAAAAGTCAAGTGTAATAATATTTTTCTATTTTTCATAGATTACAGGGTGGCATTTTTTATTTTTGAATTAAAAACTCCATTTACATAGTATTGATACAAAGTCCTCAGAAAAAAATTTCAGCTTCTGGGAGGAAATAGAAAGTTTTTCCTTTAGGTTCTGGTTGTTTTTAACTAACTACAAGCATAACCCTGGAAAGAAAATAAAACATCCCGATGGGCCGCAGTTTTCCCAAAACAATTCTTAAGAATTCACCATCCCTCACTTTTTATGCCCTATAACCACTATTGCAGGTTTCTCCTGCCAAACTTGCCTGACAATAATACCACGTCAATTTAAAAATTATTAGTGTTATCTTTGAGTTTTACAGTTACCATAGCAATACCTTTCTTCTCATTTATATCATTTTACATTTCAACAAAACTGAATAGAATTATTTGTTTTAAAGCCAGAGCTATAAAATTAGTTTCCATCAATACAAAAGCAGTAATCCAGTCCCTAAAATTTACAATTAGTGATAAATACAACAAAACAATGTCTATAAACATCTCCATATCTTTATCAGAATAAAGTACCCTTTTTATTTCTATCATGCTGAGGTCCACATTCTTTGATATAGTAACAGGAGAAATATAAAACTGAAAAGGTTAAGAATCACTGTTCTGCAGCAATGTTATGGAACCTCTTCTGATTAGTACGTGATAACACAGATATGCTAGTCTTTAAGTCCTTAGATAAATATTTATTGAGCATCCACTATCGAACCCCTGGTGGGAAATAGAAAAAATAATACAGTTTCAATTCTACAATGTTCCTGACTCTATTAAAAGGCAAAAAGACATTCAAAATTAACTTTCATACCTTCAAATATTTGACAAGGAATAGGTATCATGAGAGTGTATGTCTACTGAATGAGCATCTCCTCTGATCTAGGCTCATACATTATCTTATGTAATATTGAAAATACCCACAGGTGATAGCATTTCCATTTTTCACTGGAACTCAGAAAGATTCAGAGAACCTAAGAATGTTGTCTTATAGTAAGCAGCCAGTAAAGGTAAAGCAAGAATTAACTCCAATGACCAAACTCCTGCCTGCTGTCTGTTTTTTTAAATAAAAGTTTTTGGAACACAGCCACACATGTCTATTTACTTATTGTCTACAGTTGCTTTTGCATTCAAACAGCCTATTTGCAATGGTGATTATTCAGCTAAAAATGCCTAAAATATTTACTATCTGACCACATGTGAAACAAATGCTGAACTATGCTCTAGACCTTAAACAACGAACAGAAAAAAATATTTACTTATTTAACACTGTTCTGTTGTCATGTTTATGTATCAATTATTATAAATGTTCAAAATACAAAACCCTGAGTCCTTTCTTGAAGGAGCCTACAATTTATCCAACTGGAAACAGAGAGAGAGAGAGGAAGAAAGAAGGAAGGAAGGAAGGAAGGAAGGAAGGAAGGAAGGAAGGAAGGAAGGAAGGAAGGAAGGAAGGAAGGAAGGAGAAAGAAAGAAAGAAAGAAAGAAAGAAAGAAAGAAAGAAAGAAAGAAAGAAAGAAAGAAAAGAAAAGAAAAGAAAAGAAAAAAGAGAAAGAGACAGACATCATCATTCTGTATCAGTTATTCTCCATCTACTGGGAAAAAAGCTAAATTCATAAAATATTTTTACTTTTAATGACCAGGCTACCATAACAATAAAAAAATTTTTCAAAGGGACCCATGGCAGACACAAACATTTACAAATATTTATTTTTTAAGCTTCATTGAGGTATAATGGCTATAAAAAAAAGGCACATAATGTATACTTTTGATGATTATGAATATATGCATATGCTCATAATGCCATAATCACAATCAAGGTATTAACCATATTCATCAACTCAACATATTTCCTTGTGTTCTCCTCTGTACATTTGTGTATGTTTTTTTTTTCCAGGGTGAGAACACTTAACATGAAATCTATCTCCTTAACATATTTTAAAGTACATAATACCACATTGTTAACTATAGGTACTATGTTGCACAGATTTCTAAAACGTATTCATCTTAACTGCAACTTTATAACCCATTTCCTCCTCTCCTCAGTCCCTGGCAACCACTATTGTATTCCCTGCTTCTATGAATTTTACTATTTTAAATACCTTATATAATTGGAGTCATGCAACATTTATTCTTCTGTGACGGGCTTATTTAATTTGGCATAATGTCCTCTAGGTTCATTCGTGTTGTCGTGAATGAAAGACTTTCCTCCTCATCATCATCTTCCTTTTCTCTTTTGTAAGACTTTATTCTTTTAAAGGAGTTTTAGATTCACAGCAAAATAGAGAGAAAGGTATAGAGATTTTTCCATATCCCCCCGTCCCCATATATATATCACCCCCCTCTTTATCAACATCCCCCAACATAGTGGTACCGTTTCTACTGTTCATAAGTCTCCATTAACATACGTTATCACCCTAAGTCTCTATTTTACATTAGGATTTATTTTTGATACATCACACAATGGTAAAAACAAATAAGCTACCAAGCCATGAAAAGATAGAGGAAACTTGAAAGCATCTTTCGAATTTAAAGAAGGCATTCTGAAAAGGCTACATACTGTATGAGTTCAACTATACGATGGTCTGGGAAAGGCAAAACTATAGATGTGGTGAAAAAAAAAATCAGTGGTTGCCACAGGTTAGGGAAAAGGGAGGATTGAGTAGGTGAAACACAAAAGATTTTCAGAGAGTGAAAATAAATCTAATGTATGATGCTATAATGGTGGATACAAGTTATTATACATTTGTACAAACCGGTAGAATGTATAACACCAAATCGTTTTCTGTTTAGGATTGACTAATATACCATTGTATATATACCACATTTTCTTTGTCATTCTTCTACAGACAGACATCCCTAACAGACAGTTAGAGTACATTTCCCAATTTCTATTGCGGTATGGTCTGATCACGTGCATGAGCTCTGGTCAGTGGGATAAGAACGTAAGTCATATGTAGCATTTTCAGGTCAGGGTTTTTGAGAGATGGATATGCTCCCTTCTACACACTATTTCTTCTGTTGGTAGGATGCAGTGATGGAAAGACCATAGAGGATGGTGGAGCCAGATGAAATCAGGTCTCCGCAAAGAGAAGAACTGCCTACGGAGCAGAAATATTCACCTCAGACTTGTTTGAGCCATTGTACATGTTACATCATTTATTATTGCAGAGCATCCTCTGCTAAATAAGATAGAAATTGGTACTTTGAAGCAAGGTGTTGCCATAGCAAACATATAAACTATGTGGCATTGGTAGGTTACAAGGAAGTGTGAGTAAGGTTACAAGGAGCCTGCAGAAATGAAGTCTCATTGAATTCAGAAGTAAAATACCTGGTAAAACTTTTGCTTATAAGAATTTGAAAGACAGACCAAATTCCCATGAGCCTGTAGCTCAAGGAGCAAAGGTATCAAAAAGCCAAAATATTAGTGTGTAACAGCTATTATTTGCCATTTTAAGAAAGACATTAAATGAAAAAGATTAGTTTTGTCAAGAATTGGCTGCTTGGAGAGCTTAAATAGAAGGAATTTAGAAAGAGTCTGGAAAATTGGGGGCTTTGTATAGTTGCAAAATTATTTCACTGCTTTTGTATTTAAAATGTTTTGAGGACTAGAGACGTAGTAACAATTCTTAATTGAACAGCAGGCTTAAGTTATTGGCAAAAATCAGATTAAGAATGAAGGAGAAAGGATGTGGAATTAATTGAAACAGCAAAGAAATACACAGATTTGATATCTGCGTTTAAGAAAGAATTCTGGTTGTGTTGATGGACTACATGTTAACATGATACCAATGAAAGCAAATGCGGATTAAGTGTCTCAGGGAATTTGCATTGCCCAAAAAACCCAAGAGTAGAAAACAGTCCTCAGATCTCCAAAAATTCACCGATAAGCAGCAGCTTGTGAATGCTACACATTCTCTTTCCAAAAGTCAATTCAGGTCTCCATGGAGGATACTCAGTGAAGAAGAACTTTCCAGAGTTCAGAACCAGAGGCCACATAGAATAATGACAAGATAATGATTTCAGAGACAAGATTCCATTTCTATTTAAAACAATTTTTCAACTGTGGTTTTTCTCAATGGCAGACAAGTTAGATTTCATCAGTAGTATAAACCAGTGACTGTGTGGTTTCCCCATTCTTTCCTTTTTTTCTTTTTTTGAGACAGCGTCTCACCATGTTGCCCAGACTGGAGTGCAGTGTTGTGATCTCGGCTCACTCCAACCTCCCTACCTGTCCTGCATGTACCAGTGTATATTATGAGTGGAGTATGTGTGCAAGTGTGTATTCAAAGCTTTCTAGGTGACCAGAGATCTTATTTGAACTTAAATAATAAATTTGCACACTACCAAGAGCTCCTGGTCTTTGAGACAAAAATCTTAACCTCATGGGAAAGATGGCTAAGTTAGCACCGGTAAGATTCTGTTTAACACAGAGGGAAATGGCAAAGTCATTGTTTCTCAGCAACCAATTAGCAAAGATGTTACTGCCAGGAAAGGCCCTGATAGAATTTGTATCAATTACCTCATTTATATTTAAATACTTTAAATGATAGTGACTATGTCGGTTTTGTGCATTTATTTAATAGAGATTACTGAATTCCTACTATGTTTAAATTCTCAGGAAAGGGAGAACTACTAACGTATGGCCACCTATGTGTAAGAAACTATAATGGAAATAAAACCAGTCTCGAAACAATTGCCTGGCATATCTTTCTTTCAAGTTATGCCTCCTTCCATTTCTTTTTGTGAAGTCAGTCCCTCTTATATATTTTGAAACACCTAAAATCTACTTCTCTCCCCTTTTCCAGATCCAGAACTCTTTTCTGGGATCCAAAACTCATCTGTGCTTTGATAAATATTTAATTTTTTAAAGATTTAGTTGGCAAGTCAGTATTGTAGTTAAATTACAATCAGTTGTTTTGCAATACTTAGTGGAAAAGACACATTGAAACTTCAATTTGAATCAAATTTCATTATAGTTTTGAAATGGAATGGATTGATGAGTACTAGTAATAAAACCAAAGTAGAAAAGCAGGGCATGATGGCATGCACCTGCAGTCCCAGCTACTCAGGAGGCTGAGGTGGGAGGATCACTTGAGTCCAGGAGTTCGAGACTGCAGTGTACTATGATTATGCCTACACTCCAGCCTGGCCAACATAGCAAGAATCCATCTCTAAAAAAGTTAAATAAAAAAATAAATTAAATTATTGCTTAAAAAAGTAAGCCTCTGTAGAATCATTTGTTATTTTGTAGTGTGAAAATTTAAAGTACTGTAATAAGGATTCTTTTAAAATTGATTGCAGGAAACTATTCAGAGCCGTTAAGTGCCATGTTGTTAAATAGTGTTCAGAAGTGCTTCCACACGCATATGATTGATTAATTACCTTGCAAACAACCCTTGGGATCTCTTATAAGTCTTTTGTATTAAGGCTACTTATCCCTCCTACACACTGCTCTTAACTAGAGTATTAGTTTTATCATTTGAAAGCTTTGAATTCAGTGGCACAATTTTTTGGACTTCAAAAGCTACTTCAATTCAGGAATAGAGATTGTCAATATCTAAGATATCTAATATTGTATACAGAGACATTGGCAGATATTAAACATAGATATATTATAGAGTTTGATTCTAATGAGTCACTAACGGAAACTTCCAGAACTAATACTCTTACTAGTAGATAGTGTTACTATTCTTCAGCCTCACAAACTTTATTTTCCGGTCAGTATCATTTATTTAGAATTCTTCATGAAAACTAGTGACTCAAGTCAGCACAATGAGTAATGCTGTCATAGTTAACACATATTATATATCAAGTAAATTATTCCATGCTTTTAAAATCCATAGATCTAAATGTCACCCACAGCAAATATAAATGCTCACAGGAGACATTTGCAAAATCAGATAAGTAGTGTTAGGAATAGATGATTATCATATTTATTTTAATAATTGATTAAAATTATAAATCAAGAAGCTAATAGTGTTCAGTTAAATTTTGTTGAATCAAATTTCTTTATTCTTTTGGTGTGGAGTCATTTGCTCTTTATTGACAAGCAGATTGGTTTTTTTTATATTAACGTATTTTGAGGTCTCTGAATTTGTGACCTTGGTGAATTAATTTCACATCATATATCAGTTTCCTCATCTGTAAAATAAAGAAATTAAATTATAAACTTTAAAATAAACCTTTTAGCTCAATGTTAATATATGGTAATATAGCATTTGAGTACTTAAAAATTGTAGATAATAAACAGTTATTCACCACCATTTAGTGAGCACCTTTGGAATTATATAGACTATCCTAGGGAAAAATGGTAGATTATATATTATCTGATCTAAATAGTCTTAGTCATGGATTTTTTATTAAAAGGGAATGGGAGCCATTTGTTTGTGATCAAATATATTAGGTAAATCCAGTCTCCTAAAACCATCATGATAAAAAACATCAAAGAGCCACTTCATGCTCTATATTTCTATAGCACATTAAATATTACTTTACTATCAAAATTATGTCATGACAATAACATTTAAAAATTTCATTTTGGCTTCAAGGGTGCATATGCAGCTTTGTTTTATTGGTAAAATCGTGTCAAAGATTTCATAACGAAGATGCCAAAAGCAATTGCAACAAAAGCAAAAATTGACAAATGGGATCTAATCAAAATTAAGAGCTTCTGCACAGCAAAAGAAACTATGAACAGAGTAAACAGGCAACCTACAGAATGGGAGAACATATTTGCAAATTATGCATCTGACAAAGGTCTAATATCCAGCATCTGTAAGGAACTTAAACAAATTTACAAGTGAAAAACCAACAACCCATTAAAAGGGGGCAAAGGACATGAACAGACACTTTTCTAAAGAAGGCATGCCTGAGGCCAACAAGCATATGAAAGCATATGCAACAAAGCTCAGTATTACTGAGCATTAGAGACAGTAGCATCCTTACTGATAAGGGCGTATCTTATCAGAATACATGATATAAGTGACAGATGAATGGCTGTTAATCTAAATTAGATGGTTATTTCAGCTGTGATTGAAATCAAAGTATGATAGATTGCATGTGGTTTTATACATACATTTACATATATCTACATAGGCATGTGACAAAAATGTCATAAGATTGTCTATCATTCTGTAAAAACCCTAATTATATACTTTATGGAGAGAAAGGTAGAGGAGGAGAGAGAGAGAGAGACAGAGAGAGAGAGACTTATTTTTTTTTTTTTTAACTTGAGTGAAAACAGTAAGGTATGAGTGAGAGAGGCTTGGTGTAGCATAAACTGAAAAGCCATAGGATTTCATTTCCACTGTACATACATGAACACATACAGATATAATCCAAGATAAGCCACTTAAAATTCCTAAGCCTCAATTCCTTTATGTATACACCAAATTGTAATGAATATGACAATCGAAATGTAACAATAATTAAGAAAAATATAGTTATTAATATAAATTATGTTTGAAATTGCAAATATGTATAATAAACATACAGGTATGAAAAAGTCTGTTAATAGAAATCTAGTGCATATGTATAAGGGACTAGCAGTCAACCCATTTACATACACACAGATACACACATATACACTTAGCATGCAAATGTACTATATACACAACCATAAACTCATCAAACTATTTATGTTCATATGTGTAGTTATTGCTAATAGAAACTCCCAAATATTAATAATTCTTGCAAAAAATAATTTGCTCCTCCATATACTCCTTTATTTTGCTAAGTTTGAACATTATTCAGTAAGGATTTCTTCTTTGGAAAGACATGAAAATGATAAGCAAAATTCTTCTGGTTAAAGATGCAATATATATCCAATGCAAACATATGAGTAGTGGCAGGGATCTCTTCATTAGTGACGGCTTTTGATGTTATGAGGGGCTTAACCAGGCAGCAAGGATTCAAGCTGCCATCTAATGAGCAGGTGTTCTTACACAACCTTCTCCTCAACTCCTGCAATTCTCTGGGTTTGACTTGATTCCTTATGCCCATTCAAGATGCAATAAGATTTCTGCTCTGATTAGATAGTTTATGGTTTAACACAACTGACTCTAATATTTTCAAGCCTAGCATACTGTTACCAGACATCATTTACCCAATTTTTGTGGGATAATAGCCTCTGCTTAGTTACATCAAAGTTGTGTGGCCTAAGGCGGGTCACATTTCACATTAAGCAATAATAAGTAACATTTGTTCTTTGTGCATAGTGCTTTCTCTTTAATATGTTATTCAATATTATAATAAGGCTCCCAATGAGGCAGACACTATTATTTCCATTTAATAGATGAAGGTGTTGAGGATTAGAGTGGGTCAAATTACCCAGAGTAATTTTTAGGTAATTTAGTGGAGCCAAAACTCAACTCTCAGAGAGCCTAAAAGATGAGCTATTCTACTAGAAGACTCTTCTAACATTCTAAGCTTCAATGTCTTTACCTGTAGGGCTCTTACAAGTGCTAATGAGATAACTCACCTAAGTAAAGTACCCAGCAAAAGCCAGCATGTAGTATGAATTTAGTAATGTGAAGAGTTAGCAGCAGTAGCAGCAGCAGCAGCAGCAGCAGCAGGAGTGAGTGGAAGCCCATGAATGCTTTATTAGAATGTCATAGAGTATTTTCTATCTTAAACATGTCTCATTTATAAGTTATCAAATAAAGAACAAAGATGTAACTAACTCTGACTTAAGATATGTAATTACCCATTTAAAACAAAACACTGGAATTGTCTACATAAAAGGAAAGGAAATTTAAGCAATTTCTCACACCTCTTTCTGCCCCAGGCATTTAATATGATTCTATTAATGGGAAACCAAAAAAAAAAAAGTCTCTTTCTAGGAATTATATATATATACCTCTCTGAAAGCTCTATTACCAATTTCAATGCTTTATATAATCTTTTGATTTAATAATATCCTGAATAATCCTGAATATCTATGTGATATACATTCAGAGCAAAGCTTTGGCCCATATGGAAAACGGGAAGGTCCAAATGCTTTTGTTAAATAAAGCTGCCAGCTACAAACATACCTGTGAGATCTTTGTCCTATCGTATAATTCATTTTTACACCTTTATATTCCCCGGAGCTAGGAAGGAAGCAACCATGGCTTAATGGGGCCATTTTTAATTCCTTCCACCCCCACTCCTGCCATCATTTTTTGTACAGGAGTTTCAACCAGTTTCTTTAGAACCAGCACCGGGGAATGCCATAACAATGAAAGATGGAAAAAATGTGTGTCTGAGACTAGTTTCCTCACAAGACCACCATCTGCTTTTTGAGGTCCATAAAAAGCTAAAATGCCTACTTTCTAGGAATTTTTCCAGCTGTGTGAAACAAAACAGAAGGTTTCATATATGATAGAGTAGTATTTAAATTCTTACCCCATTACTTTCTAGCTATGGAACCTTCATTTAGTTACTTCTCCTTTCTAAACTTCAGTTTTCTTATCTGACAAATGGGGATGACACTGTCAGTGGTGTTTGAACCAGAGCAACTCCATCTTGAATAGGTGCTAGGTAAAATAAGGCTGAGACTTACTAGGCTATGTTCTCAGATGGTTAAGGCATTCTAAGTCACAGGATGAAACAGGAGGTCAGCACAAGATGAAGGTCATAAAGGCCTTGCTTATATAAAACAGGTTGCAGTAAAGAAGCCAACCCAAACCCACCAAAACCAAGTTGGCCACAAGAGTGGCCTCTGGTCCTCCTCACTGCTACACTCCCAACAGTGCCATGACAGTTTACAAATGCCATGGCAACATCAGGGAGTTACCCCATGTGGTCTAAAAAGGGGAGGCGTGAGTAAACTACCCTTTGTTTAGCATATTATCAAGAAATAACCATAAAAATGGGCAACAAGCAGCCCTCTGGGTTTCTCTGTCTGTAGAGTGGCCTTTCTTTCATTCCTTTACTTTCCTAATAAACTTGCTTTCACTATACTCTACGGACTCACCCTGAATTCTTTCTTGTGTGAAATCTAAGAACCCTCTCTAGGGGTCTGGATTGGTATCCATTTCCAGTAACAATACTACTTACCTTTCTTGATGGTTATAAACACTAAATATGTTGGAAGTAAACCTCTTAGCTGCTTCACACGTATTGGCCACTCGAGAAGAATGAGTTCCCTTTGGCTTGCTTTATATTCCCACTGCACAGGGACACATCATAAGAGGTTCCTATTGACTAAATAACAAATATAATAACAATGATAATATTAGCAACTAATACTTAGTTCTTATGTGTCAGATACTTTTCTATGTAATCTATTCAGCCCTCTCATGAACCAGATGAAGCATCATAGAAAGAGGAATACATTTCTTAAGACCACACAGACAGTAAATTACAAAACTGGATTTAGACCTATGCAATCTGGCTTTAGAATCTACACTTTAAATATATTTTACTACCTAAATATTTCTCCAGACAGATCCCTATGTCCAGGGCCTGCAATGGATGAAAAATACAGCAATGGAAAAGTAATGAATATAAGCTTTGTACATCGACCTCTAAATGAACCTTCTCTTTCTGTACACAAACCCTGTTACCAACATGTAAATGCCCTGCTGAGGTCTTTTGCCCACTGAAGTGTGAAATGATCTAAAACCCTTTGCAGGCCTTGCTTTCAATGTCTCTGTTTCTCTTTCCCAAATTTGAACCTGCACTTCTGCAAGCTGTTCTTGCCTAAGAATTTTTTCCTTTGAAGAACTGTTTGGGGTCACATTTGCAGTCTGAACTCTGGTCCTGTCTTTGAGGTGGGAAGCTGCCTTCTCCCCTTGACTGCAAGTATTATGACAGCTGTGGTAAGAAGTGTGTTGGCTTTCTTCCCTAATCTCAAAGTACTCAGGCTGGTTTTTTGGTTTTGGCATAATCAAAGTTTGACCTTTGATTGGGAAAGTGTCTAGAATTACTAGCTAAAAAAATACAAACTCTATACTTTTACTTTGACTGCCTCCTGGTCGACCCCATTGTAACTCGTACAGACATCTCTTTGGCTTTTTTTTCTTTTTTTTTTTTTTTGATGTCATAAAAGTGGACGTAGACATAGCTGAGAAAGGTTGGAGGAAGAACAAGACTGCTGAGACCAGGTTATCCCTGCTGACTAAGGTGGATCTTTCTAAACTTTCTAAATTTTCCTTCTAAACTGGAAGAAAACTAAACCAAAAAGGGGTTTAGGTAGATCATTTTAAGTCAAAGAGAACAAGTGATCAGATTGTGCGATAAAGTCAGGCATAGTGCCACCTAGTGGACAGTCCTTGGTAATTAAAAAATTGAATAGGGAAGGATTTTACTGAGTCGAGTTTTGTTGTAGTTCGGCATGACATTTCCTGTCCACTATATTCTCCGGTGAGTGATTGTGGACACAGGAGGATTCAGTTCTTGTCAAAAGGAACTAAAAATAACTGGAATTCAGAGAGCAACACAAGTTAGTATAGGATCCAGAGGAAATAATACTGTGTTTCAAAGGATCAAATAGTTGGACAAACACTTGAAAAAAGATGAATCCAAGTATTAACGATAGTATCACACTAGAAGGTAGTAGACTAAGCAACTTGAAGAAAAGCCAACTGTAAATGTATATCACATTGTCTCAGGATGCTGGTCTGTTTGGGTTGCCAGATTAAGCAAATAAAAATACAGGGTGTCCAGTTAAATTTGATTTTCATATAAACATCATTTTTTAAAATATAACTTGTAACAGACTAGGTAGCTAGTCAGACATGAGCAGAACAGCAGAGGACTCCCCCCACCCTGCCAGAAATGTCAGGTGACCATCAGGTGATGGTCTGGCAGTTGTTACAGTGTCTCTCTAAAATAATAATTGGTCGCAGCCTGAGCCAGGGAAAGGCAGTCGCCCAATAGATAGAAACACCTGACGCTGGTGATCAGCAGCTTCCCAATAAGATCTCAGGAGTTGGGCGAGTGAGCTCAAGTATGTGCATTAAAAGGCAAAATGGTAGTGTTTAACTGGCATATGACCTTCCAGAGACATTTGACTAGTAAGGGAAGAAGGCCTCAAGTGAGCAGGTGTACAACTCCAGTAAACACACTACACATGCTCACCCCCCAAGTGCCAGAAGGCCACTGCACATGCGGACAGCTCACCACAAAGAAACAATCAGGGGAGATGGGATACATCCTGCATGTATGCCTGCTACAATAGGTAGCTAGTCAGAAATGAGCAGGGCAGGAGAGGACCTCCCTACACCCACCAGGTATGTCAGACAACCATCAGGTGATGATTTGGCAGTCGTCACATGGCCTTTCTAAAAATGATAATCAGCCACAGGCCCCAGGGAGAGGCAGTTTCCCCATAGGTAAAAACACTTGAAATTGGCAATTAGCACCTTCCAATAAAATCTCAGGAACTGAGAGAGTGAACTCAAGCACGCACATTAAGAGAAAAAAATAGCATAGTATGACCTTCAGGGTGCATCCCACTGGAAAAGGGAAGAAAGTCTTAGGTAAGCATGCACACAACTTCTTAAACGTACTGTGCATGCTCACCTCTCAAGTGTGAGTAGGCCACTGCACATGCAGGCGGCCCACCCTAAGGGAAGAATCATGGGAAAAGGGACGCAAGACCTTGGAAGTATGCCAACATATAAAATTCCAAGTCAAAATGTCAAAAGCCACACCTGATCTTCACATGCCCACTTGGCCCTTTTCCAAATGTACTTTCCTTCCTTTTGTTTCTGCTCTAAAACTTTTTAGTAAACTTTCATTCCTGCTCTAAAACTTGCCTCAGTCTCTCCTTCTGTCTTATGCCTCCTCAGTCAAATTCTTTCTTCTGAGGAGGCAAGAATTGAGGTTGCTGTAGACCCATATGGATTTGCCGCTGGTAACATAAGTATGTCTCAAATACTGTATGGTATGTACTTAAACTAAATAATATATGTTTTTTTTAAATCTGAAATTCAAATTTAACTGGGTGTTCTCTATATTTTCTGAAAAACCTGTGTTTGGGCTTGAAAAATAAAAATAAAATTTTAAGCCCCTTTGTGGCCAAGGAAACTCCAGAGGAACTCTGGAAGCTGACTTCATGGCTATGGCAGGATGGGAGATTGGATTCCCCTCATTATACTTCCTCCATTGCTAACAACTATTAGGCTTTTCTTCCTTGAGGGCTAAGTAGAAATCAGCACATTCAAAAGACTACTAGCTTATCTTCCTATGTACAGAACAAAGATGAGATGAGATTAATCATTCCTTCACCCTTCCCTCAGAAATCTGCTTTCTCCATTCCCTTTTTCCTCAAATGTTCACCTTATCTTATGTAAGATGTAAATTTCCTAGACACTAGCTATAGACTCACAAGTATGTCACTCGTCTCGCTGCCACCCCCACCCCTCCCCTTTTTAAAGAAAACGTATAAATACTAACCCTCCTGAGAACCATTTTGGACAAAACAAACAAAAGTGCCGCTGTGACTCCTGTTTTTCCCATGCACGCTGACAAGCTGGCTCAATAAACCTCAACAATGTGAGATTTATGCCTCAGTTTGAATAATTCAAACTGAGGTTGTCAGACTTAACTCAATAACTAACTGAGCAGTAGTGTTTCCATACAAAGTATTTAATGCAATGTCTATATGATCATAGTAGGTCCTTGATAATGTTAGTTCCCTTTTTTTCCCTGAGGAAACAAAGTTTAAAGGTAGACTAAATATTCTTATTGACATGTAAGCATATATAGGAAACTAATTAGGAGTTAGTGAGCATTCTTGAGAAACAAATTAGACTGATCAAATTTGAAAACAGCAACATTACTCTGGTGAGAGTGTGGGATAAAGACAGCAAAATGAAATCTTTATGGACCAAACAGATACCATTAAATGGGCAAAGAAATGGGATTCTTGGGGCCATTGTGATGTGGAGAATGCATGTCCTGTTTGTGTGTGTTACAGTTCCAATGGTCACTATTAAAACTCCTTCCTGACCAAACAAAAAAAAAAACTTTTGGAGACTAGATATGGGCTGGTGGTGGGGACAGTTTCTTATCCCCAGAGTACAGGATCTATTAGAGACCAGATAAGTTAAAGGCAGGAAATGGAGTTAGGTTCTTATCATACTACTGTAAGTAAGAAATTACCATCCCCAAATAGAACAGCTACTGTGTGGAGAAAAAGACAAATCCCCATAGGGACAAAGGGGGTACACCTGAAGAAATTAGCTGCTTCAAAATGGAAATATCATAAACAATTTTCATTGCAAATGTTCACAGAGATGTAGCTCTCAAAGACATGTCTTTATAAAATAATTAATTCAAAATGCATCTTCTATTTAAATCATGATTCCCAAGTATTAGAGGCACCTAGGTAACCATAACTGTGTATATATAGTTTCAAATATGTATTTAAGTATATGTACATATTTATGCATATATAAATTATATGTCATAAGTTATTAAAAATCTATTACTTTTACTTTCATCACGTGATTTTTGAACTGTGAAGATTGTTTACAGATTTTCCAAGGAGCATTGACAATATTCCCCTACTAACCCTTCAAAAGAATAAGGCAAATGCATTAATGGATTTTCATGGAAGCTTGGATAATGCTATAATTATGAAAAAAATTACTGTTAACTCATAAAAGCAAGTGTAAAATTGGCCAAAGGGATGAATTTCAGTTACTGGTCACATAAGATCATTTAAGAGCTGGTTTCACCTGTTGAGGAGCTGTATTTATTTGGCTGAAATCCAATTCAGTTCATGGTAGTATTTTCTGAAATATATTCCTGGACTTTATAAACAAATACCATATACCTATTACCAACTTTGTATAAATCACTTTACATACATTATTTATAATCTTTATAGCATTGCTCAAAATAATTATAACAACTCATCTCTTGCAGATGGGAAAATAAACACAGTAGACATTAAAAAACTTGACCACATTCATAGTATGTGTTAACTGCATTGTTTAAAGCCTACCTTTTTACCCTCCTATGCCATGGAGGCAGCCATTAAGTAAATTAAAATTAAGTAAAAACTTAATTTTACTACAAGCCTACAGTAACCAAAACAGCACGGTACTGGTACCAAAACAGATGAAGAGACCGATGGAACAGAACAGAGGCCTCAGAAATAACACCACACATCTACAACCATCTGATCTTTGACAAACCTGACAAAAACAAGAAATGGGGAAAGGATTCCCTCTTTAATAAATGGTGCTGGGAAAACTGGCTAGCCATATGTAGAAAGCTGAAACTGGATCCCTTCCTTACACCTTATACAAAAATTAATTCAAGATGGATTAAAGACTTAAATGTTAGACCTAAAACCATAAAAATCCTAGAAGAAAACCTGGGCAATACCATCCAGGACATAGGCATGGGCAAGGACTTCATGACTAAAACATCAAAAGCAATGGCAACAAAAGCCAAACTTGACAAATGGGATCTAAATAAACTAAAGAGCTTCTGCACAACAAAAGAAACTATCATCAGAGTGGGCAACCTACAGAATGGGAGAAAATTTTTGCAATCTACCTATCTGACAAAGGGCTAATATCTAGAATCCACAAAGAACTTAAACAAATTTACAAGAAAAAAAACAAAGAATCCCATCAAAAAGTGGGCAAAGGATATGAACAGACATTTCTCAAAAGAAGACATTTATGCAGCCAACAAACATATGAAAAAAACCTCATCACTGGTCATTAGAGAAATGCAAATCAAAACCACAACGAGATACCATCTCACACCAGTTAGAATGGCGACATTAAAAAGTCAGGAAACAGGTGCTGGAGGGGATGTGGAAAAATAGGAACACTTTTACACTGTTGGTGGGAGTGTAAACTAGTTCAACCATTGTGGAAGACAGTGTAGCGATTCCTCAAGGATCTAGAACTAGAAATACCATTTGACCCAGCAATCCCATTACTGGGTATATATACCCAAAGGATTATAAATCATGCTACTATAAAGACACACGCACACGTATGTTTATTGAGGCACTATTCACAACAGCAAAGACTTGGAACCAAATATCCATCAATGGTAGACTGGATTAAGAAAATGTGGCACATGTACAACATGGAATACTATGCAGCCATAAAAAAGATGAGTTCGTGTCGTTTGCAAGGACATGGATGAAGCTGGAAATCATCATTCTAAGCAAACTCTCACAAGGACAGAGAAGCAAACACTGCATGTTCTCACTCATAGGTGGGAGCTAAACAATGAGAACACTTGGACACAGGGCAGGGAACATCACACACTGGGGCCTGTCAAGGTGTGGGGAGCTGGGGGGAGGGATAGCATTAGGAGAAATACCTAATGTAAATGACACATTAATGGGTGCAGCAAACCAACATGGCACATGTATGCGTATGTAACAAACCTGCACGTTGTGCACATGTACTCTAGAACTTAAAGTAAAATTAAAAAATGAAAATAAAAAGTTAATTTTAAAATATTATAATTAAATTGCTTATGTTAAGAACAAGAAGTACTCAAAATTCATAGTACTTAATCATTTAACTCCATTTATTCTTTTCTAGGCTTTTGAAATTATTTACATCTCTTGTATCTGTATTGTGGAAATAGTGTGTATTGGTGTGCTAACTGCAAATCTCTTTCCAGCTCCACTTGCAGAATGCCACATTGGTAGCTTGAAATCAGTAATGGTGGGAGTATTTACATTACAGAAATAAACTGGTGAATACTAAAACAGGACTTCCATTTTTACCACCTTCCCTGGAAATCTGATTGTGAATATTTACTAGCAGACCATTTAACATATTATCTTTTCATTACTTCCTCTTTTTTCCAGATGTTCCTATATATCATATGCTATATTTGTCTATCATCCATTGTTTTTGTCATGCATCATGAAAATATAAAATAAAATAAATTGCAATTTATTCTACTTAGTATTGGTTGATTGTCTGATAATACACTTAGTGCTATTTGGTAACAATGACACTATGGAGGATATAAAGACAAAATATAGCTCTTGCCTTTACGGTGAGTTGGAGAGAGAATGGATAATTATATATTCAAGTAGGCATTGCTTTGGTATGAAAAATAATGTATATAATATTGCTTGGTATGAAAGAATATCTATAGAATATTGTTTAATTTTCAAAGTGCTTCATAAACAGTCTCCTTCATTTAATTACCACAACAATCCTGGAAAGTAAATAAGTAAGTTATTGTGCCCAATAGGCGGGGGAGAAATCCAACACTTGCCAAAGGTCGTAGAGCTAGGACATTGAGAGATAAAGTAAAATCCAATATCCAACTCTTTTAACTCTGAGTCCCGGGTTATTTGTGTTTTCCTCTACTGTTAAAAAAGAAAAATGCTTCCAAATTCCATCTATAGGTTTCAGTGAAATTGTATTTCGAAACACTGAGTTTTTTAGGGAAACTTCAAATGCCTATTGTGGCAACCTTAAGATTATTAGTCTATTGTATGAAGTGAAATCATACAGTGACTCTACCTAAGGATTCTCATGCCACACATAAAGCACTATAATATTACACTTGAGATGGCTGCCAAAACAGGTAGATTGACCAAAGGCACACACACTGCCACCCCTGAATCTGTGCTTCTAATGTCTGCAACATTGGTGGCACAAGTAGTCTTCAGTTCAGAATGAAAGACTATAAAATGAAAAGCATTCTTTCAAAAGACAAGACTAAAGACAAGAGGCATCTAATCAAAGTGGAGGATCATACAGGCTGAAAGAGAACGAAGAGAATTGTAGGAAAAAATAATGTTTGAAAAACCAAAAATTTTGTTAGATGGTTTATTTGAAATTGGATAAGGAGAAAAAGTCACTTAAAATAAATCAATTTATGTTTTTATTTTTAAAAGTGTTCATGAGATTTCTATGGGAAATAGTATTTTCAAGGTGTGAAAAGGCATAGTTACCAAGTTAGCCTCAAACCAAATCTATCCAAAGAAATCCCAGAGAATGTGGTATGAATTAATAAATGCCACCATAGAAAAAATGCAGCAAATAGAAAATTCATAATAAAGAAAAAGCAAAGTTGCTGTTGTTCTTGTTTTTACTATTTATCTTTTTATGTGACCATTATTTAAAATTGTGGAAGTTTTCTTTTTCCTTCTCATTAAGATCAATAAAAGAAGTGCAGTTTAAATACCTTCGGCTCAAGTTTTAATTTAGATACTGCCTGAGACAGAATATAACTTGTGAGAGTTAAAGAAATTAAAATGTAAGTGACCTGAGGAGACAAATGGAAAAATCTGTTAATATAAACATTAATATGAGCTGATGTAAAATTTTCATCAAAAGTAAGAAGATACGATATTTCAGAAATTTAATTGGGCACAGTGGCTCACGTCTTTAATCCCAGCACTTTGGGAGGCACAGGTGGGCAGATTGTTTGAGCCCAGGAGATCAAGACCAGCCTGGGCAACATAGCGAAACTTCTCTCTACAAAAAACACAAAAATTAACTGGGCTTGGTGGCTTGTGCCTGCAGTCTCCACTGTTCAGGAGGCTGAGGTGGGAAATCACCTGAACCCAGAAGATGAAGAAGGCTACAATGAGCCGTGATCTTGCCACTGCACCCCAGCCTGGGTGATGGAGTGAGACCCTGCATCAAAAAAAAAAAAAGGTATACCATGCAGAACGAGGTTGTGCACTAAATACAGTATAAGTAACATTCTATTCCTCTCAAACATGTATAATGTCTGCTTCCATCGGTGCAGTCATTCTGCAAATGTAATACTTTATTATCCTGAAAAGTCTTTTGCATACATCACATCCCATTGATCAGAGGCTGTAAGTAATTTATTGAAAATACAGAAATATAATGGGGTTATCTTGTTGATGGCATGAGTGAAATTATATATTTATAATATATCATTATATTACAATAAGATATTCTATATCATTACATATATCAATGTAAATCATATATACATGCAGCCATTTTCAATATCTACATTATATAGATATTACATTATTTATGTTATATATTATATAAATGATATATATTATGTAATTTATATTACTTATATAATACAAATTATATATTATATATAATATAGATATTGAGAAATTAAATTTATGTAATATAAATAATATATATATATATAATGTAGATATTGAGAATGACTGCATGTTCCTTCTTTCAAAAACCACACTGGAAAAATGAAATACAAACATAACTTAGGAGAACTTAGTAACCGAGCTACTTATTTTGAAAATGATGCCAATTCTCCAGTTCTCCAATGCAGCTAGTAATACACATTGTGTTAGTGAAATTTTTAAAAAAGCTTCAGACAAGTTGGGTAGCATTAGTTTTATTTACTATAAAGATCAGACTCTCTGCCAAATATACCTTTTAAAATGTAGTCGATGAGACAAACAATAAATTTCCTGAGTTATCTGACATCATTCTTACAAGGTTCTATCAAATCAGAAAGGGGAGAGAGGGAAGACAGAGTCATATTGCAGCTTTGCTGCTAAATTGACTCAAATTACTCTTCTCTTCTTGCAAAAAAATATCGTTAGCACATTTCAAATGGGAATCACTTTATAATTCTTTTTGAAATTACCTTTTTACTCCTCAAAATTCTAATAAAATAATTTGCATTTACATATCCTTAATGACATTTCAATCATCCATTATGAATATAGGCAATTTGCAACTTTTATTCAACATATTCAAATGTGCACTGTTCATGAATTCTGATGTTTATTAGATAATTGACTAATTAAATCTGTTTTAGAGCGAAATTATTTAAGCATGCCCCATAGACTCCATTCTTGTTCCACTTCAATTCTAAAAGCCCTCCATGTTTCTCCCTATAAAACTCTGAATAAAAAGCCCCTATTCTTTAAGAGCTGAAAATTCCAACACAATTTGTAAATGCATTTCTTCTATTTTGCTAAAATCCTAGATATTTACCACACTAGTAAATTGTCACAGGATCTTTCAAACAACCTGGTTGTTATCAAGTATTGGTTCATGGGATTACAGTGGTCTGAGAATGATTAAATGTTGCTTTCTTTCAGGCTGTTTCTCTAGAATATTCTGACTCATTATTTAGAAACATGACAGCTAGATTTCTAAACCCACAAAAGATTATGACAATCACTGCGGTTACATAAGATATATAGAAAAGCAAGAACTGAAGATTCCTTGGAGAAATAACCAACTCTGAATATATTCTGGGTTTCTTTGCTCTTGTTTCTATGGTATTACAGCATTCCATATTTCTGCAAGTGTTAATAGGAATTTGTAATGCTTGGATAACTAATTCCATATTTAAACAGATTTAATTACTTAATACACTGCTGACTTTCTAAACTGTCCACACTGAATTTGCTGAATAAATGTTATAAATGAGTTATATTTATGAGAGAAGATTGAAATGTTTAAAATGCAAATACAAACCCTTTCTCATATGAGAAGGAAAAGTGAAACTGGAAACAACAATAGAATTTTTAAAGTTCTTCAGCTGGAATTTTAATGATTAGACTAATGACATCAAGGCACATCCCCAGTGCCTGTCTCTAGCTTCATACTAGTCTTTTATTGTAGACCAGTTGAAATAGCTTTTACATGGAGAAGACACATAGTGTTCTTTGATTACTGCAAGTAACTTCAATATTACATCAGAAATTCATCTGGGGCTTTGAATCCTCCTAAGATTAGATATATATCTACATTTTCAAATAGTATTAAGGTATAAATGTTATGACTTCTCATCTATAATCATATTTTTCACCAAATACATCAGACCAAAATAAATTTATTCATTATAATCTCTTTAGACATATAAAATTTCTGTTATTTATAGCTGCTGGTAGATATTGGGATGAAATTATTTAAAGGACTCTGAGATTAGGTCATGGGAAAATATAGGTTATACCCTCACTTCAGGTCATTTTTATGATAAAATTTGAAAAACAAATGTATGATAAACCATAGGTTTTGGATATTTCTTGACAATGCAATCGGTGGATTCAACCAGTATCTATTTTTAGTTTTTTTCCTTGCTTTTATTTTTAATTTTGTTTATAGTTAATATCATACTTTCAGTTATTCATTACTACCAGATCTGGACATCTTATAATTACTCAAATGTGTTTAACACTTTTATAATGCTTTACACAAGATAAGGAGTGCTAATTTTCTTCATTATCTATATTAATGAACTTACTTATATCAACTTTTTTTTTCTAAACAAGAATTCTTGTCCTAACTCTAGGATTTTGTAAGTGATATGTTATTAAATATTCCATTTACAAGTATTTTAACAAACTACATATTTATTTGAAAGGAATCTATTTTTATTGATACTTTAGCGTGTCTCTATTGCAGTTTAGTAAGTCAATAGAATTAAACTCTACCTTGCTTTGAAATGCATATTTCCCTTCCTCTTTTGGATAATTATAAAAAATATATATTGAGTAATTATTGTGTATTAGTCCTTTATGAAAATAAACTGAACATTTTACCTACTCTCAATCAGTTTATAGCCCAAAATGTAAAGGCAAGTATAATAATTTTTATATAAAATTGAAATGATTATGTCTTAAGAGGTGAATGGAATATCTTGAGGTATATGGTGTAGACAATCAATGTATTTAGAAGAAAGACATTTCAACCAGAACGAATATAAGTCATAAATAGGCATAAAGGCAGAAAAATCACAAAAAAAATAGCATACAAAATAATGACTTCAGTAATCAGATATTGCTGGGTTCAAAATGATTTCTTCTAAAAAAACTTGACCAGTTTGAATCCAAACTATCATCAACCATTCTTGACTGTGAACTACCATCTACTAAATCTGCCATGAAATATGTCAAGATATTGAGAGAAACAGAATACATAAATATATATATCCATAAATATATTTATGTATATGAATATACACACCCCTATATATGATTTATAGCAAATTTTTGTAGTTCTGAAAAAGCATCTAAAGTTGACTCCTAAGTGCATACAAAATACATCTATAATGCTAAGGCATTGTAGACTTCCTTTTGAAACAGATTTAGAGGAAACATACTAGCTTGCTTTCCCTTTATAAAGATGGAATAACTCTTTATAGTGAGTTTATTTCTATCATTTGTAACTCTTTGTGCTCATTTCTGTATTTGTCCTACAAACTTTTCTTAGGTGTCTACAGTATGCATAGCACAATGGTTAACACAGTGAGATTATAAAACAAAACAAAACAAAATAAAACAAAACCCTGGATACGAAATACAATGTTTATCTTTAAAATAGTTTGCAAAAAAAGCAATAACTAGGAGAGAGAAAGAGAGGAAATAAATATAGATAAAAGAACTAATTTTTATGAATGCTACCCGGAGTGCATATGAGAATTCTGTATAAAAAGCCATTCATTCTGCTCTGGGGAGAAGAACATGAAATCATGAATGAGGGGCTCTATAGACACTAGTTGTTTGCAGTCTTCAAAAACACATCTACTGAAACATATTAAACATGCATATTATTTAAATATTTTTATTTTCTAGATTTTTAGAAACGTTCTCAAAGTATTTTCTGCCTTACACTTTCTTTTTCAACCCATAATTTCCGTGCCACACAGCCAAAGCTTGCCGCTACAGTTAACTTTCCTAAGGGATCAACAAATGAATTAACTTGACAAAAATCAGAACAGATATTTGAATTTATTGAGACTAAATGAAAACATCTCTAAATTATTTCTCTCCTTCAAGCCGCCATGTACATACTAAGTTGCTGTAAGAAAATTCGATGAAACCCTCTTTCTTCAGACCAAAATTCCATTTAAAATCGAATAATACAGTTATACTTGAGTCCCTATTTTAACTCAATCCTCTACTCAGAAATTTCTGAATTCTAAATTCAAGTTGCCATGCCATAGATAAGCAGATTAGCACATTCCTGGTTGAATTTTGCTTTTCTTTTTTTCATAGAGATAGGGTCTCAGTACGTTGCCCAAATTAGTCTCAAACTCCTGGGCTCAAAAAATCCTCCTGCCTCAGCCTCCTGAGTGCAGTGGAATTTTTTTTTTTTTTTTTTTAGATGGAGTCTCACTCTGTTTCCAGGCTGGAGTGCAGTGGCGCGATCTCGGCTCATTGCAACCTCCGCCTCCCAGGTTCAAGCGTTTCTCCTGCCTCAGCCTCCCATGTATCTGGGACTACAGGTGCAGTTAATTTTTGTATTTTTTTAGTAGAGATCGGGTTTCACCATGTTGACCAGGATGGTCTGGATCTCTTGACCTCATGATCCGCCCACCTCGGCCTCCCAAAGTGCTGGGATTACAGTGTGAGGAACAGCGCCCGGCCTGGAGTTCTTAATAAAGCATACAAGCCTTCTCTCTTTGAGGTGAGATATGTCATGTAGAAATAGGACTGAAGAACATCCTGTAAGAAAAATCTTTCCTCAGGAAAAAGCCATCTTTTGGCTCTTCGTAATTCTTACAAAAATGGGTAAGCATACATTTGTTGACAACTAGTCAGCCCTCTGGGAGTCTCTTCCTGCCGTCAGTAGTATCTATAAAGCTCTAATTTATTAATAACCTACTAAGTGACGGGCACTATAGTGGAAGGCTTAAGTATCACTAGTCTCCAATTTGTAGAAAAGAAAGCAGACTTACAGGCTTTAGAAGATCAACCCAAAATTTACAGCTAGCAGTGACCAGAGGACGGTATTCAGCACTGCAGTGGATTTTCATCTTGAGATCAGTCAATCAATTGCAGTCTTATGGCAACCCCCCACAAGATACATCCACTTGTTTTCTTCACTCTTTTTTGGGGTGGGTTGTGACAGAAAAATTGATTTAAACAGACACTGTGTTATAAGAAAATTAAAGGGTCTTGGATTTACAACGAAAGCAAAAGGGTTTTAGCACAAACTATGCAACTTAAAACTCTTTGGGTTCAGTTTCCCCTTACTCTGAATGGAAGCAGTTCATGGGTCCTGCTTTTGTGCGACACATGCTTACTTTGTAATTGTTATGTGTGCCATGTTAGGAAACAAAGTGAAAGCCGAAGGTCTTTCAGAAAAGATTTTCTTTACATACAGCTTTATTCAGATGGCCAACAATAGTGTAGGAAAGGTTCCAGTTATTCCTCTGCATGTGGAATGGCATAAGAACATTCCACGCAGAAAAAAAACATATGTAAAAAGCCTGGAAGCATGAAAATCCTTGTTCTGTAGGTAAAGAAAGGGTTTGTTTTCTGTAATGGAACTTGAGGAAGGAGTAGAAATCTGGCTGAAAACAAAAATAGTTTTCTCCCTCCCTACAGGGGCATGAGTTTAAAGCTGTGCAGTGTGTGTGTGTTTGGGAGTAGGCATCACAGGCTTTTAAGACTAGCATGGTCACATTGGTTTTAGAGTGATAATTCTGTGAACAAAATGGTAAATAAATTGGGAAGATGACGTATTTAATGCAGGGATTAGGAAGTGGGGAGTAAATATATGGGTTGAGTATTTTATAGATCTGTATAACTTGTACTGCCAACAATGAGCTTAGAGTTTGCTACTGCCAAAACATAATTAATAATGTGTTTGCTGCCTTTCAGAAAAGCATGTTATTAGTAAACTTCGGTAGGACATTTATTTTCTTTTTTACCTCCTGGGAGTATTTTTATCCTTCCTGATTTGTATTTCTCCCCGAATGTGGCTCAACCATTAGCATTGAACTTAGGAGGTAAAACATTGCACTTATATAATGAATTCACCCAGCATACCAGAACTGATGCATGGAGGGTTTTCATCTTTTTGAGCTAATTATGCCTTGCTAATAATATTTAATTTGTAGAAAATCTTTAATTTACAGAAGAAAAATTCATATTATTATTATGAAGATTTAATCTCCTCACCTTTCTAGTCCACAAAGAATTTCATTCAGTGTATAAATTCTCTTTGCCACATATCAAGCATATCTGGTTACAGAAAAAAAATTAAGATTTAACCATGAAATTGGACGGGGATTGGTAAAATCAATTTCTTTAATAATGTCACAGGAGGGTAAAAGTCTATCAGAGAAAAAAGAAGAAAGAGAAACTTAATTCAACAGTCAAACTAGCCATGATATTTTTAAAGCAATAAAGCTTATAAATGGGCAGTTGGTATTTAATTAAAATAAATGAAAGAGTTGTCTTAGTTCTTCATACCAGTGTAATACTATTCTTGTGGCAAGCATTTCTTTTTCTCATAAAGAGTCAATTTTACATCTTAGGTAAAGTATCCCTCAGAAATTAAATACTAGAATTAAATTGCCATACTACAGTTTACCATTTAACACATTTTATCTGAGGACAATAAAATATTCTATACTTGTTCCATACCATCTCCATATGGCAAAACAATATTTTATTATATTGAAATCAAGGCACGTGGGATAAAAATGGTGAGTCTAGCACTCAAGTCCTGCTTGTTGAGAATTACACTCGCCAGCTTCATCTTTCACTATTTTCCTCCCACCCTATGCTTCAGCCATTACAAACTATTTACTAGTGCAAAAGCATATTCACATTTGGTTTCATATCTTTGAACAAGCTGTTCCACATTCCTGATTCTATCCTTGCTTTAGTCTTTTCCCTTGCTGAGCTAACTCCCACTTGAACTTTCAAGCTTTTATCAGCTATCAGCTGGGTTAGGTCCTCCATGTTACATTGAATGTGGCAATTATTGTTCAGCATTGCAATTCAGATCAGCTTGTTTCTCTCCCCTATCAGATCAAAAGATTCCTGAAGGTAGAGAAAAAAAAAACTCTTCATTATAACCATCTATTAATATAATTTTACTTCATAGTAAGAGTCAGTTGAACAAATAAATATATAGATAAGTAACAGAAAGTAATGGACAAATCAATGGATGGCTAGATGGATGGGTGAATACTGACTTAGAAAGAATCATATAATTTTTAGCAACCTCATCTCACACATAACTTATGCTAACTACTGACAAAATATCTAAATATACTTTATTACCAGTCTACCCAAGTGTGAACATTTGTACCTTGCTGAATTTAACATTTGCATTTTGTTGGTTAAATTGTACCTTGTTGGAATTAACAACTTTTTTCCCCTGGACTAGTGATACTAAAATTTAATATGCACAGAGATCACTTGAGTAAAAATGTTAAACTTCACATTTGTGATCCCACTATTATAGATCCTAATTCAATTGATCTAAGAAAAGGCCAAGAAAACTTAACAGACTCATTATTAAACCCTTCTTAAGACTTGTTAATAAACAATAAATTTATTTATAAACAGTTAATGAACATTTCAAAAGACTTCTTAATAAACACTTAAAGTAAATTTTGTAGAGGTGATCCATGAACAATATTTTCAAAAGGACTTTTCTGTATATCGTGCTAATTTTCTTATGTTATGCAATTATGATCTCATCTAAGTTTATTCCATCCTAAAATCTTATGATCATGTTCTCTATTTTCTCATACAAGTTACTAATTCACTGATTCTACACAAGATAACTCAGGTTACGTCCCTGAAAACAGCCACAGAGCTGCTTCCACTACAAAAATAACATTAGATCATCAACATAGATCATCATCAGTTACATTCAAGAGCTTGTCTTTAAATCCATCCCTTAATTCTCCAGTTCTTCACCAGTATATTTTGAGATACCATGTTAAATTACAGTACTAACTTTATAAACTCTATTTTCGCTTCTTCTGTCTAATCAAACTATAACTTCATAGCAAAGAAAAAAAATGTGTTTGATGGACATGCTCTATTTTCCATGAAAACATATAAGTTGAACTACTGTTTATTCTTTGAGGTAAGTATAAGCAACCATTTAAAAAATAGTTCTAGATTGTTCCTAAAGTCAAACATGAAAGCATATTTTCTTCCCTCTCTTAAAAATATGTGTATGTCATGTAATCCTAACAACAACAGGACAAATCTTCAGTTTTAAATTCTTATCTAAACCTAAGATGAAAAGCACTAGTAGGGAGGGAAGAATGGTTTCTAGGGCCAGGGCCAAGGCTCCACAACCGTGCACAACCTCTAGACATAGGTTTCTGCATCCCAGCCACCCCTGCTTCAGCTGTGGCTAAAAGGGCCCCAGATACATTTTAGGACACTGATCCAGAAGGTGTAAGCCATAAACCTTGAGAACTTCCACATGATGGTAAACCTGTGGGTGCACAGAAGGCAAGAGCTGTGGCTTGGAAGCCTCTGCCTAGATTTCAGAGGATGTATGAAGACACCTGGAGATCCAGGCAGTAGTCGCAGCAGGAATGGAGCCCTCATGGAGAACCTCTACTAGGACAATGCAGAGGGCAAATGTGGGGTTGGAGCTTCCACACAGGAGTCCCTACTGGAGCACTGCCTAGTGTAGCTGTGAGAAGAGGGCCACTGTTCTCTAGATCCCAGAATGGTAAATCTACCAACAGCTTGTACCGTGTGTTCGGAAAAGGCACAGGCACTCAACACCAGCCCTTGTGTGTAGGCATGGGAGCTGAGCCCCAGGAGTGGAGCTGCCCAATGACTTGGGATCCCACCCCTTGCACCAGTGTGGCCTGGATGTGAGACATGGAGTCAATGGAGATTATGTTGAGCTTTAAGATGTAATGACTGCCTTGCTAGATTTCAGATTTGCATGAAGCCTGTAGCCTTTTAGTTTTAGCTGATTTCTCCCTTTTGAAACAGGTGTATTTATCCAAGTCCTGTGTCCCCATTGTATCTTGGAAGTAACTAACTTGTTTTTGGTTTTACAGGCTCATAGGCAGAAGGAACTTGCCTTGTCTCAGATGAGACTTTGGACTGTGGACTTTTGAGTTAATGTTGGAATGAGTTAAGACTTGGGGGACTGTTGAGAGAGATGACTGTATTTTGCAATGTGAGAAGGACATGAGATTTGGGAGAGGCCAGGGGTGGAATAATATAGTTTGAATTTGTCTCCTCACCCAAATCTCATGTTGAATTGTAATTCCCAGTGTTAGAGGAGGGGCCTGTTGGGAGGTGATTAGATCATGGGGGTAAACTTCCTTCACGCTGTTATCATGATAGTGAGTGTTTTCTCGTAAGAGCTGGTTGTTTAAAACAAAAAACAAAAAACAAACAAACAAACAAACAAAAAAAGTGTGTAACACCTCACGCTTCCCTCTCTCCCTCCTTCTCTGGCCATGTCAGACATGCCTGCTTTCCCTGCAACTTCCATTATGATTTTAAGTTTCCTGAGGCCTCCCCAGCCATGTTTCCTGTACAGACGGAAAAACTGTGAGTTAATTAAACCTCTTTTCTTCATAAATTACCCAGTCTCAGGTCATCCTTAACAGCAATGTGAGAGTGAACTAATACACCATATTACCCAGCAATCCCACTTCTGGGTATGTATCCAAAGGAATTGAAATTGGTATGTCTAAGAGCTATGTGCATTCCCATGTTCATTTCAGCATTATTTGCAATAGCCATGATATGAAATCAACCTAAGTATCCATCAGTGGATAAATGGATGAAAAAAAATGTGGTTTATATCGGCAATGGAATATTATACAGCCTTACAAAAGAAGGAAATTTTGTCATTTGAAACAGCATGGATGGAACTGGAGAACATTAAGTGAAATAAGCCAGGCACAGAAAGACAAATACTGTATGATCTCACTTATAGGTAGAATCTAAAAAAGTCTATCTCATTGAAACAAGAGTAGAATGTCAGTTACCAGAGGCTGACAGGTTGAAGGGGAATGCAGAAAGAAAAGATGTTGATCAAAGAGTACAAAGTTTTAGTTAGACTAAAACTAGGAGACTAGTAGAATAGGTTTTAGTTATCTAGTGTACTAGGAGACTAGGTTTTAGTGATCTGTTGTACTAAATGGTGACCACAATTAATCATAATATATTGTATATTTTTAAAATACTAAAATAATATATATAAATGTATTATTTAAATTTTAAGAAGTGGCTCAAATAATTTAAATAACTTATCAAATTCAAGAAATAAATTTAAAACTGTGACCTGAAGTAGTCTAATTCCTGAGTGACTGTTCATTCTGCCATTCTGCCATACTATATCTCTGAGAAGCAAAACGTATTATGCATGGTGAATCTAAGTCTAATAGATCTATGTCTAATGATAGTAGCCCCTGGGAGCCCTGGAAATTATTTGTATTAGTCCTATATGGACCAAAGGGAATCAAGTAATGATGAATCTGAAAAATGCTAGGCACTGCATATATGGTCTGTGGCAAATCAAGGCAAAAGTATTGCGTGTGTTCAGTGAGATAACACACTAAGTAACTGTTCACCACCTACCATGCATTGGATCTTGCACCTATCAACAATGACTTCACCATTGTAGAGATAAACATTAATAAGTAATTGTACTTCCCTCCAAGTTTATAAGCTACTAAAGAAGAGGGATAAGTAAACAAGATAGATTACCATGAGTACAAATATGGAGATAGGTAAAGAACCTTTAGAAAGTCTAGTGACAGATGCCAATCAGGTAAATCAGGGCAACTTTATGAAGAAGATAGTATATAAACACATTTGGGATGGTAATACAGCCCACTTCATTCAAGTCTCTACCTTGTGAAGCTGTGGGGCTTTTTCTTTGGCATACCCTCTCATCAGGATTAAACCAAGGATTCAATTTCATTTTAATTGCTTTAAATCCCAGAAGACTAGGTAAATTGCAAATGAGGTTCCCAAGGTGAGAATGCTGTGCCAGTATTGGTTTCATGCTTAACTGAAGCAGATAAAAAACTCACTAATTAGCAAAGGCATAAAGAATAATTTAAGATTTCATTTAATTGAAAACTCATAACTTAGAACACAACAATTACTTTAATTAGACTATTCTTGTATTAACCTCTCTCCCACATGCTTAAAAATTCCATCAAGTTAGTTCAGCAAGCTTAGGGATTTGGTAAAGTTTTCTTCACTTGTCTTTGTGTAGATAACTGCATACTCAGTAGATGGACTCTACAGGTTCTATCTTGAGTACCCATTGTAAAAATGGAGAGGGGAGAAACAGCTTAAGGAGACTTATATGAAAGTAAGAGGCTGATTTCAATTATTCAATCCATATTTTCTCTTCCCAAACTTTATATCCACAATCTGTCAACTCTAATAGTGGAGCGGAAAAGTTATCTGGACTCTAATTATTGTAAAACATGAAGATCGTTCCCAACAGAGGGACTACTCTTGGTCCATAAATCCTAGAAATATATATGAAGTTATCTCTAGTGACCTTTCGTGCAGTGATTGTGACTGCAGACCCAGTTCCAAAGATCAACAACTTCTATGTAACACACGTCACTAGAATTCTACTGTATACTTGGTGCCGATTTTTCTGTTCTTTACTATTTATTATTGTGTGTTTGTGTCTAAACATGAGTAGACTTGCACATTTGTGGGTGTGTGTTTGTGTGTTGGATTGTGAAAGAATTGGTTAAGGAGTCTGTATTAGTCTGTTTTATGATGCTTAAAATAGAACACCTGAAACTGGGTAATTTATAAAGAAAAATATATTTTTTTCTTACAGTCATGGAGGCTAAGAAATTCAAGGTTGGGGGGCTTCAGTTGATGGAGACTCTGCAGAATCTTGACACAGCCCAAGGCAACACATGGCAAGGGACTGAATGTGCTAATATGCTAGCTCAGCTCTCCCTTCCTTTTCTTATAAAGCCAGTACCACTTTCACGAAACCCATTAATTAGTTAATCTATTAACCTACTAACCCATTAATCCGTTCATGAAGGTAGAGTCTTTATGATCCAATCACCTCTTAAAGGCCCCACTTCTTAATATTGCCACATCGGGACTAAATTTCAACATAAATTTTAGGAAGGACAAATAGTCAAATTATTGCAGATTACTTTGTAATTTTAAATGTATTATTAAGTTTAAGTTATGCTATATAATCCATATTACCAATTAATAGAACGGCATAATAAAAAACTTGAGAAGTGGAATAAAAAATACAAATAGTCTTACCACCTGAACCCAATCCTGGTTTGACTTTTCTGATGTTTACTTTTACATAGTCAGAATCATATTTTATCCCTTTTTTCCTCACCATTATCTTATCACTTCGTAGCATAAACATATCTCTGTTGCTCCTACAGAACTTTGTGTCTTCCTTTTACTTTTGTGCTTTCTCCTGCTCTTGTTCTCACTCTCGCTCTCTTTCTTTCCTTCTTCAGACTTTTCCTTATCAATATCCACTTTCTTTGCCCACTCATTCTTCCTTGGTCTACTGTTATCTGGCTTTGACCTCACTTCTCTACTAAAATTGTTCTAAGGTCAAAAATGACTTCCTACCTTCATAGCTGCAGTGGATATTTTCAGTTCTTTTCTTTCATTTAATTTGTTTTGGGAAAGTAACAAGAGAGGGCATGAGTAAGCAAAATTTTGCGAGAATTAGGGAGTGCGGGGCAATGGAAGATGTTAGAAATCTGGAAATAAGATAGTTTAAATATTGCTAAGTGTGTGCTTTTCTGCATTGAAAGAGTTAGAGATACAACGAAAGAGTAAATGACCATGTGGATATGATAGAATAAATTTGGTCCATTCTTCATTCTTTTTCTTCATTTTTGTGGCTCAGATTGATGGCCACTGTGCTAATGCAGGCCCCATTAGCTTAATATTTTGACCATCATAACACCCTCTAACCAGTATCCAAGTCACCAGATAATTTCCTCACTAATCTAACCTCCACAGATATGCGATGACCTTTCATACCTGGAAAATGCTTAGTCATAAAATATAATAAGTATGGTAGCTGGGTGCAGTGGCTCACGCCTGTAATCCCAGCACTTTGGGAGGCTGAGGCAGGAGGATCGTTTGAGGTCCGGAGTTGGAGACTAACATGGCCAATATGGTGAAGCCCCATCTCTACCAAAAACACAAAAATTAGCCAGGTATGGTGGCACATGCCTGTAATCCCAGCTACTCTGGAGGCTGAGGCAGGAGAAAGGCCTCACCCTGGGAGTCAGAGGTTGCAGGTGAGCCTAGGTTGCACCACTGCATTCCAAACAGGGCAATAGAGCAAGACTGCATCTCAAAAAATAAATAGATAAATAAATAAATAAATAAGGCTAAAGTTTCATCACTTTAACCCAACTGTGGTTTCAATTTTGTGATATTTAGTTTCACATAATTATATTTATATTATATACATTAGTTTTTGTCCTACTGTTATCTGTTGGTGTTAATATAAACATTTCACCATGCCTCCTGGGAATACAGGAAAAGGAAGGCTTTCCAGAGGACTTGTGCTAAATGAGTATTATTTCAATGTTGTCAGAAGTCCTTATTTTATGAACACAATAATTGTAAGTTACTGGGATTTAGTAGCAGCTAAGAGCACACACTGTGAATGAAGCCAGACTGACAAGATTCAAATCTTTGCTCGAACTTTAACATGTTTGGGACTTTGAACAAGTAGGTCTATGTTCCTGAGCCTCAGTATCTCTAATTGGAGAAGACATAATAATACATACATCTTAGTGTTATTGTGAGAATTCAACAACATATTACATGTAAATATTTCAGTGTTTGGCACACAGTGACATAGGTAACATTATATCTATGTGTGTGTGTGTGTGTGTGCGCGTATGTATGTGTGTGTGTGAGGTAACATTATTGCATCAGGAAAGCAGGAGGAGGAAAACATAAGCACACACATTGTTTTCCATGATTGTTTTATGGGTGGCCATTTCATGTACTGGGAAAAATAAGAACTAGATTTCAGAAAATCTCATGTCTAATCTAGCTCTAACAATAGCCAACCCTGGGCACATCTTCCCAACTAGCTAATTAAAATAACAGTTGTATTCCATAGATTTCATGGACAAGGACACTGAGGTTTTAGAGAGACTCTTGACAAATGTTCCAAGAATGGGAAATAATATCGAGGACTGAAAGGCGATACCCTACAACAATGCTGCCTCTGTAAAATACATGTCCCGAATCGAGTGATTTCCAAAATTCTTTGATGAGCTTCCATTACATGAACTGTAAACTAATAACTCTAAAAATAAGTAAATGAATGTGTATAGTTGACCTGCTCATTTAAAATTTATTAATTAAAAATCATTTAACTCTTTTTTAAGGTATACATTGCCAACAACAAAGTAAAATTGTGTGTACTGGTTAAAAAAATAAAATACTATCTTATTCTTTATTTTGGGATTCATTTTCACCTTCCCTTTGTTAACACACTGCCAAAAGACATTTAAGGATTGTTCAATTTTTTTCTTCCTGCATGTTTGACTATGATGGAAAATATATATTGAAAACTCCTTTACTGTCAAGAATTGCTCCAGTGTATTTAAAAGCTCTGCTAGTAACAATAGATGTCTTCAGGTCAAAATTACCTTTATCAAAATATTTTCTCCTTCTTTTATCCAAAAGTATGCTTTACAATAGCAGCACCACACCTACATTAAGTAAAAACTTCAGGAACTACAATTGAATAGCAGAATATGTTCGGTGCCAAAGTTCACACTTTCCAGAACCTTAGAAATGTCATCCACTCTTGCAGGTTTCAAAAAGTGTCTCTTTACTAGGAATATAACAAAGCTTCAAAGGTTATAGAGTCAGGCACCGGGCTTCTGTAATTGGCGGGTGGATGTCTTCTCACTCAAAATAGTCCCCAAAATAGAATAGAAATAAGCCAGATGGTCCTGACCAGAAGCTCAATGAGAAGGCTCATATATAAATAAGTCTCCAGTTATGAATTAGGAATAAAAATTATTTAATGTAGAAGTATCTTTATAGTCCTAGGAAGACCGTGAAAACTATAAACAACTTCAGAAATAATTTAAGTCAAATGTTTCTTTTTTAATCAAGGAAACTGAAGTCCAGAGAGGTTAATCACTTGATGTCTTGCAAAGAGCTCAGGACTTTTGACTCTTACTGCAATTTAACTTAATATATGTTTTTCATAATATGCCACATAAAATGTAAAATGAACATCATGCCAACCTACCAGAGATTGCTATTCCATTGATATCAGGCATATCATTTTACTTTTATTTTTAGTGGAACTAAAAGACAATTAATGAACTCCAGATGAAGTTGTTTAAAATGCATGCTCTGAAGTAAAAATGAAATGAGAGAAAGACTGTTAGTGACAACACAGAAAAAGTGTCATGTTATTGTATGAAATAATTAACTTATTTTCAAATTTAAATGCAAGTAAACAGCGTCTTTTTCTTCATACGGGTTTTAAAGTCCCCTTTTTGGTGCAGATAGTAAGGATGCATCCCCTAGAGAGAACTGATTTCAGATGGGGACCACAAATTACTTGAATCAGAGACCGAGAGCTATGGCATCCTGAGTTACAGCCAAATTTTGTAGATCATGTTACAAGAAAGCAATGCAAAGCTTCTGTAAAAACTATGTTACAAACAGTGTATATCAATACTGTACATGGAACACATATCTAGAAAAAGACAAACTGAGTAATAAAGTTTTCACAATGAGAATTTAGCAACTAACTACAAATCTGATGGAGTACAATAACAATAATATAAACAGGAGGAGTCATGTTGAACTAACTCAAATATTATTCCACTGGCTAAACTGGCTACAAATTATTCCCAGCTTCTTAAATATTAGAAACCAGAGAATGATATTGGAATCCCTAGAGCCAACAAATATGATCAACATATGTTACATAGATATGTATAGATATGTGTAAGTTTTGTGGGATTATATTTCAAACTTCTGGTTTAGTTATTTTTAAAAAGTATTATCTTCATTAATATCTGAAGTTGCAAATAACCACTTTATTGATGTTGTTAAAGGTATATGGATCTCAAGACTGTGTAATCCCTACTTGGCTGAGATTCTAGATTTCTATACAGAGATACAAGAAATACAGTTAAGGTGCCAGAACACCTCTAGTATACCTCAACATCTATATACACACATACAGACCGTTCCCTGACTTCCATCTGGGTGTGCTTCATATTACCGTGAAATTACAAAATCAAAGACTGAGAAGTAGCCCACTCACCATTCTAAAATCAGTGGTACATGGCTGCTTAGCATCTTTTTGACAATTGAATAAATCTAGCCTTGTTTTTCCCTGTCATATAATTAACGTTGGAAATAGGGTATGTTGAGTTTTATAGCTATATTACTAATTTTGGGGTTGATTTTTCAGTTTTCTTATAAACATTATCCCATGCCATGTGACTTATATTTTCTAAACAATCTTCTCTATTCAAATTCCTGAAGTTTTATTTGTATATCCAAATGTAATATTACTTGGCACATTTATCATTTATCTAGTTTATGTAAGAAATTTAATTTTATTTATCTTTTTTATAATCAAAGTGGTCATCCAAGTAATCAATAATTAAGATACATTATTTTAGGTCATATAAAAATAAAAATTATTTATATGTGTATACATATATATATAAATATGTAATCATAGAGAACTTTATATGCTATAGAGATCCCTAATTATCATAGAGTATGACCACTAACTCCTAGAGATGTGCCAGCTAGACAAAATACAAAATAAAAAATCTAATTTTCTCTCATTTTCTATCGAAGTTTTATGGAAAGATTAAGTGAGAAATTACATATTATTTCCATCGTCTACACAAACTCAATTAATTTTGATAAGAAACTTTGGCCAAGTGTCATAATTCATCTAGTCTTAGTAGGAAAAGTTGCATTTGAAAAAAAAATATGTATAACATGGTTGAAGAAAGAGCAAGTCAGCCCATATGCCTCAGGTAATTGCATCTAACTTAAAGACAAATCATTATATGTTCAGCATTATGTTGGGTTAGGCATGAAATTTCTTGAAAATCACAAACCATGACTCCCATACCAATGGACCTTCTATTTTATAAAGTCCTATGTGCAAGAAGCAACTAAGACATATTGAGTTTCATGTAAGTAGAAACATTCCATTAGTTATTCTAAGTAATCTAGAGATAACTTAAAGTATACAGGAAGATGTGCATAGGTTACATAAAAATGCTATGTCATTTTAAATAAAGGACTTGAGTATCAGCAGATTTTGATATCGTTGGGTGTCCTGGAACTAATCTTTCAATGATACCAAGAAATGACTGTGTGTATGTGTTTATGTGTGTATATGTGTATATATCATGTTGTGTGTGTGTGTGTGTATATATATACGTATAAGTATATATGTATATGTGTGCTGTGTATGTATATGTATGTATATGTGTGTTGTGTGTATATGTATGTATATATACATATATCTATATATGTGTTGTGTGTATATGTATGTATATATACATACACCTATATATACATATGTATATATGTATGTATATATACATACACCTATATATACATACGTATATATGTATGTATATATACATACACCTATATATACATACGTATATATGTATGTATATATACATACACCTATATATACATACGTCTATATGTATGTATATATACATATACCTATATATACATACGTATATATGTATGTATATATACATATACCTATATATACATACGTATATATGTATGTATATATACATATACCTATATATACCTACGTATATATGTATGTATATATACATATACCTATATATACATATGTATATATGTATGTATATATACATATACCTATATATACATATGTATATATGTATGTATATATACATATACCTATATATACATATGTATATATGTATGTATATATACATATACCTATATATACATATGTATATATGTATGTATATATATATCTATATATACATATGTATATATGTATGTATATATACATATATCTATATATACATATGTATATATGTATGTATATATACATATATCTATATATACATATGTATATATGTATGTATATATACATATATCTATATATACATATGTATATATGTATATATCTATATATACATATGTATATATCTATATATACATATGTATATATGTATGTATATATACATATATCTATATATACATATGTATATATGTATATATCTATATATACATATGTATATATGTATGTATATATACATATATCTATATATACATATGTATATATACATATATCTATATATACATATGTATATATACATATATCTATGTATACATATGTATATATGTATGTTTACACACAAGATATGATATATATAATGTATATATACATATACATCATGTATAGATATATATATGGCATGCATGTGTGTGTATACATATATATATAAATAAATATATATGCACACACAGACCTTATATTTTATAAAGTCCTATGTGCAAGAAGCAAAAAACAAACCTTCCATAATATAAAAATAGACACCACAAATCAATAAAAAAAGGATATGGAAGATATGGACAAAAGACTAAGTAGGCACTTTAAAATACTAACGTTTGTAGTTTATAGGACACTTTCAAATACTGTATTAGCATGTGAAAAGGTGTACAACATTAGTCATCAGAGAAATGAGAATTAAAACCACAATGAGCACTACTACACAGCAATAAGAATGACAGAAGTAAAAACATTAAAAATACCAAGTTGGTAAGGATATATGTAAATTGAAAATCTTTTAAATGGAGTATTATATATATTACATCTTATGTATCGGTACCTAATCTCTGTCTCTCTCTCTCTCTCTCTCTCTCTCTCTTTCTCTCTCACTCTAGTGGGGTTATAAGTTATTACAGTCACTTTGAATAACTGTTTGACAGTGCTTAGGAAAGCTAAACATAGTCTACTCTATGGGCCCAGTAACCTCACTCATAGGTATATACCAATTAGAAATGAAGGCTTATAGGAATCAAAAGACATATGCGAGAATGCTCATAGCAGCTTTATTCATAACAGCTAATTAAAACCTTGGAGAAAAATAAAATATCTATCAACAGTTGAATATATTCATAAAATAAAACACTATATAAAGTTTCTTAAAAATACACTACTTACGTTCACAAAACATGTTTGAATCTATACTGACATTATGCTGAGTGAAATAAATCACACACTAAAGAGTACACACTTTATGATTCCATTGACGTCACCTTTGAAAAAGGTGATAGATGTCAGAATAATGATTACTTTGGGGTGAATGGGCAGTTGTATTGACTAGTGAGAGGCATAAAGAAACTTTCTGAAATTATGGAAATTATCTATATTTTGACCTAAGTGTTTATGAATTATATGTTTGTAAATTTTATTAATCAGCACACTTAAAATTATTGCCCATTATTTTACATGTCATATCCCAATACAATTTAAAAACATTTTAAAGTTACTCATATTTTATTATATTGATAATCACTGAAAATGTAATAATGTGAACTAATATCTTTAAAATACACATTTACACATTCACATCTTTTAGAACCAGAAGGGATCTTGGAGATAATTTAATCAAGTACTTGCCAAAGCATGATCTGTGGTCCACCTTTAGGAGAATTCTTCCCTGGAGAGCTTGCTAAAAGTGGACTCCCAGGACACACACTGGGCATACTGACTCTGAGCTCTGAGAATCAGACTTGGAAACCTGTATTTTAAATATGTCTCCCAATTTTTCTTTTTTCTCATATGTGCTAAAGGTTGAGGACCAAGATCTAATTCAGCATCTTAAGTTTTCAGTTAAAACTTGAATCTTGGTTAGTCCAGTGATATATAAGAACCACTGGCACAATCAGGCTGGGATGCAAATAACTTTTGGGAATCCTTATTTATGCCAAATATATCAGATTTCATTTTATCTTTCATAATAACACAAACTGGTAGCTGTTAATATCCTCATATTTTACATAAGTAAATAAATATCCAGAAATGTTAACTAACCCAACATCACAAAGTGAGTAAAAATTTGAGCTAGGATTCATGTTCATACCTTCTGACTTAGAGTTTACTGTCATTCTATGCTTTCTACTGTGTTGTAAAGAATTACAATCTCTAGAGTTTGCACTCTGTGACTCTGATTCAGGGCTTTTGTTATGGGTGGTATGGCATGGCAATGCAATTTTAGCTGTATTTTTTTTTTAACTTCTATTTTAGGTTCGGGGGTACATGTGAAGGTTTTTTACATAGGTGAACTTGTGTCATGGGGGTTTGTTTTACAGATTATTTCATCATCCAAGTATTAAGCCTAGTACCCAATAGTTATCTTTTCTACTCCTCTCCTTCCTCCTACCCTCCCTCCTCAAGCAGATCCCATTGTCTGCTGTTCCCTTCTTTGTGTTCATGAGTTCTCATCATTTAGCTTTCATTTATAAGCGAGAACATGTAATATTTGACTTTCTATTCCTGCATCAGTTTACTAAGGATAACAGCCTCTAGCTCCAACTATGTTCCCACAAAAGACTTAAGCTCCTTCTTTTTTATGGCTGCATAGTATTCCATGATGTATATGTATCATATTTTCTCTATTTAATCTGTCATTGATAGGCATTTAGGTTGATTTCATGTCTTTGTTATTGTAAATAGCATTGCAATGAACATCCGTATGCATGTGTCTTTATGGCAGAATTATTTATATTCCTCGGGGTATATACCCAGTAATGTGATTGCTGGGTTGAATGATAGTTCTACTTTTAGTTCTTTTAGGAATCATCATACTGCTTTCCACAATGGTTGAACTAATTTACACTCCTGCCAACAGTGTATAAGTGTTCTCTTTTCTCTGCAACCTCACCAGCATCTGGTTTTTTTTTTGTTGTTGTTTGTTTGTTTTGTTCTTTTGACTTTTAAATGATAGTCATTCTGACTGGTGTGAGATGGTATCTCATTGTTGTTTTGATTTGTTTCTCTAATAATCAGTGATATTGAGTTTTATTTTCATATGCTTGCTGGCTGCATGTATGTCTTCTTTTGAAAAGTATCTGTTCATGTCCTGTGCCCACTTTTTAATACACTTGTTTGAGTTTCTCTTATAAACTTGTTTAAGTTCGTTATAGACGCTAGATATTAGACCTTTGCCAGATGCATAGTTTGCAAGTATTTTATACCATTCTGTAGGCTGTTTACTCTGTTGATAGTTTATTTTGCTATGCTGATGCTCTTACATTTAATTAGATTCCATTTGTCAATCTTTGCTTTTGTTGTGATTGCTTTTGGTGTCCTTGTCATGAAATCTTTCCTGCTATGTCTAGAATGGTATTTCCTAGGTTGTCTTCCAGGGTTTTTATAGTCTTTGGTTTTATATATAAGTCTTAATTCAACTTGAGTTGATTTTTGTACATTGTGTAAGAAAGGGATCCAGCTTAAATCTTCTGCATATGGCTAGACAGTAACCTCGGCACCATTTATTGAATAGGGAGTCTTTCCCCATTGCTTGTTTTTGTTAGCTTTGTCAAAGATCAGATGGTTGTAGGTATGTGGCCTTATTTCTGGGCTCTCTATTCTGTTCCATTGGTCTATGTGCCTGTTTTTGTGCCAGTATTATGCTATTGTTGTTACTGTAGCCCTGTACTATAGTTTGAAGTTGGGTAAAATGATACCTCCAGCTTTGTTCTTTTTGCTCAGGATTCCTTTGGCTAGTTGGGCTCTTTTTTGGCTACATATAAATTTTAAAGTAGTTTTTTTCCTGTCCTCTGAAGAATGTCATTGGTAGTTTGATAGGAATAGCACTGAATTTGTAGGTTGCTTCAGACAGAATGGCCATTTTAATTACATTGATTCCTTCTATCCATGAGCATGGGATGTTTTTCCATTTGTTTGTGTCTATTCTGATTTCTTTGAGCAGTGTTTTGCAATTCTCATTGCAGAGACCTTTCACCTCCCTGGCTAGTTGTATTCCTGGCTATTTTCTTCTTTTTGTGGGAGTTGTGAATGGGATTGCCTTTCTGATGTAGCTCTCTGCTTGGCTGTCATTGGCATATAGAAATGCTAGTGATTTTTGTACACTGATTTTGTATGCTGAAACAGCTGAAGTTGTTTATCAGCTGAAGGAGCTTTTGGGCCAAGATGAAGAGATTTTCTAGATATAGAAACATGTCATCTGTAACAGAAGTAGTCTGACTTCCTTTCCTCTTATTTGGATGCCCTTTATTTATTTATCTTGCCTGATTGCTCTTGTCAGGACTTCCAATACTAAGTGGAATAAAAGTGGTAAGAGAGGGTATACCTGTCTTGTGCCAGTTTTCAAGGGGAATGCTTCCAGCTTTTGCCCATTCAGTATGATGTTTGACATAGATGGTTCTTATTATATTAGGTATGCTTCTTCAATACCTAGCTTGTGTATATTTTTAGCATAATGGTATTTATATTTTAATGAAAGGCTTTTATGCATCTGTTGAGATAATCATGTGATTTTTGTCTTTACTTATGTTTATGCAATGAATCATGTTTATTGACTTGCAAATGTTGAACCAACCTTGCATCCTGGGGACGAATTGATTGATTGTGGTGGATTAGATTTTTGATGTGCTGCTGGATTCAGCTTGCACATATTTTGTGAATTTTTGCATGGATGTTCATCAAGGATATTGGCTTGAAGTTTTCATTTTTTATTGTGTCTGCAAGATTTTGGTATCCAGATGATACTGGCTTCATAGAATACTGGCCTCAAAGAATAAGTTGGAGAAGAGACGATTCTCCTCAATTTTTTGTAATAATTTCAGTAGGAATACTATCAGCTCCTCTTTGTAAATCTGGTAGAATTTGGCTGTGACTCCATCCATCCAAAAAGTCTTGGGCTTTTTTTGGTTGGTATGCTATTTACTACTGATTCAATTTTGGAGCTTATTATTGGTCTGTTCAGGGAAACAGTTTCTTTCTGGTTCAGTCTTAGGAGGGTGTGTGTTTCCAGAATCTTATCCATCATTTTTAGGTTTTCTAGTTTCTGTGCAGAGATATGTACATAGTAGTTTCTGATTGTTATTTTTATTTACGTGGGGTCAGTGGTAGTATACATTTTGTAATTTCTAATTGTGTTTATTTGGGTCCTCTCTCTGTTCTTCATTATTATT
Organism: Homo sapiens; assembly: GCF_000001405.40. Lineage (NCBI taxonomy): Eukaryota > Metazoa > Chordata > Mammalia > Primates > Hominidae > Homo > Homo sapiens. Next base: position 81,528,028 of record NC_000011.10, read on the forward strand.
CTAGCTAACAGCATATCTAACTTATTAATTCTTTCAAAAAACCAACTTCTGGATTCATTGTTCTTTTGAATGGTTTCTCATGTCTTGATTGCCTTCAGTTCAACACTGATTTTTGGTTATTTCTCGTCTTCTGCTGGCTTTGGGTTGACTTGCTCTTGCTTTTCTAATTTTTTCAGTTGTGATGTTAGGTTGTTAATTTGAGACCTTTCTTTTTTTATGTGGGCATTTAGTTATACAAATTTCCCTTTGAACACTACCTATGCTGTGTCCTAGGGATTCTGGTACTTTGTTTTGTTCTCATTCATTTCAAAGAACTTTTTGATTCTGCTTTAATTTCATTATTTACTCAAAACTCATTCAGGAGCATGTTGTTTAATTGCCAAAGAATTTTGTGGCTTTGAGCAATTTTATAGTCTTTACTTCTATTTATATTGTGCTGTATTCTGAGAGTGTGTTTTGTATGATTTCAGTTCTTTTGCATTTGCTGAGGATTGTTATATGTTCTATCATGTGGTCAATTTTAGAGTATATGCTATGTAGTGATTAGAAGAATGCATATTCTGTTGTTTTGGGGTGGAAAATTCTGTAGAGTTTTATCAGATCCATTTGGACCAGTGTTGAGTTCAGATCTGAATTATCTTTGTTAATATTCTGCCTCAATGATCGTTTTAATACTCTCAGTGGAGTATTGAAGTCTACCACTATTATTGTGTGAGAGTCTATGTCTCTTTGTAAGTCTCTAAGAACTTGCTTTATGAATCTGAGTGCTCCTGTGCTGAATGCATATACATTTAGGATAGTTAGGTCTTCATGTTGAATTAAACCCTTTACCATTATGTAACATCTTTCTTTGATTAACATTTATTTTGTCTGAAATTAAGATTGTGACCCCTATTTTTTTCTGTTTTCCATTTGCTTGGTAGATTTTCCTCCATCCTTTTATTTTGAGCCTATGGGTGTTATTACGTGTTAGATGTGTCTCTTGAAGACAGCATACCATTGGGTTTTGCTTTTTAATCCAGCAGTTATACTTTTTAAAAAATGAATTGAAAGTAGCACTACAGAATATATAATCAAATAATCTGACTATATGAATAAATTTTATGTCATTATCCAAATGCTGCTTGCCATGAACTCTTAATCTGTCATATATTTAGCTTCAGTAATTATTAAAAGGGCATTTTTTTAATGTTTAGAGAGGTGGAGTTCTCTGTATTTTACCCAGCCCAATTTTCCCTTTTGGAATCTCTATATGCAATGTTAACAAAGGCTCTGTTGTGTGAAGGTTTAGAATATTTAGCGATTGGCTTTAAAATTTTAATTTTTGTTGAAGTAAAGGATGACTCCAGGTGGGATGACAGAACAGATTAAATGAAAGATAAGGTCAGGCTTACAGTCACAAAGGTGGCTCACATTTGTAATCCCAGCACTTTGGGAGCTGAGGCAGGTGGATCACCTGAGGTTAGGAATTTGAAACTACCTTGGCCAACATGGTGAAACCCCATCTCTACTAAAAATACAAAAATTAGCTGGGCATTGTGGTGCCTGCCTGTCATCCCAACTACTTGGGAGGCTGAGACAGGAGAATCACTTGAACCCAGGAGGTGGAGGGTGCAGTGAGCCAAGATTGTGCCACTGCATTCCAACCTGGGCGACAGAGCAAGACTCTTGTCAAAAAAAAAAAAAAAAAGAGAAAAAAAGAGAGAGAGAAAGAGAGAGAGAGAGAAAGAAAGAAAGAAAGAAAAAAAGAAAGAAAGAAAGAAAGAAAGAAAGAAAGAAAGAAAGGAAAGGAAAGGAAAATAAAGATTAAATTTCTCTTAGTCTTATATTTTGAAGAAAGAGCCTCAAGTAGCATCTTCCATGAGACAAACTTAAGCAGCATCCACTAAAGGTTACTATAATGAAGCCCAAACAACCCATGAGAAAATTCTCAGATTAAAAATTACTTAATTATTCAGCACTCACTATGTAGCAATCACTTTTAAAAAAGATTTTATTTGCATTATCTCATTTCAGACATAAAACACTGAGAAGCAGATATTATTATCCTTACTTGATGAATCAAGGCACTTGTTTATAGTCCCTCAATTACTTGATATTTACATGTTAGCTCAACTCTAGCTGAATTTCTCACCTTTTCTTCTGTGCTCACACACCACTTTGTATATGTTTCAATTATATCATTATCATAGCCTGCCTTATACACGAAGTAGCAATTGTGGAAGAATCTCTCTCCTTGGGTAGGTTTCCAGATAATTCAGTACAAATAAATGCATCAAGGTGAGATATCTGGGTGAGGAAAGTTGAGCCAACATCATCACTAACTACAAAAAGAATAGGTAAACAATTACTGGAAACCTGTGTACTGGGGGTTTCATCAAGTGCTTTACTCATATTATGTTATTAATTCAAAAAATGCTATTTAACCTTGATTCTAGATGAAGAAACTCAAGAAATGAGAGTATCCTGTCGATTAGGACAAAGTAAATGAGGAAGCATGCATTCAAACTGAAATCTGTCCCCCAAACCCACACACCTCTCCCTTATGCACAAAATGTCAAATGTTTCATATCCTGATTTTGTGATTGTTGTTTGTCTTTACTTAAATATTAGCTTAAATTCAGAATATCCTGAATATTGCAGAGAAAAGCAAATGGTTGTTTGAAAGTAGAAAGTTAACATCAGAAGAATGATAAGATTCTTCTGATCTTATCACTCAGCTTCTACAGAGAAAGAGATAAAGCTATTCTTTATTTGAAAGGTGCCATTCTCAGTGGAATAAACACAAAAAAATCAGGCACAATAGGAATTTTCTACACGCCTGAGTCCTCTCAATCTTTCTCCAAACAGTGCTATGAAGAGTAATGTCAATCACTTGTAACTTCAGAGATTTGGTATCATTTTTACAGGGAACAAAGCAATTGGAAATAAAAGCTCTTTTAAGTACAGCTGCTTAGCCCTTGGCATGTTGATCTTAGAAAAGACAAAGTGGTGACAGCAGCATGCTACCCCTTAGGTACTTTGCATGCATACATCCACTCAAAATAATTTATCTAGGTTTAATAGCAAATACATGGATTCAATGTGTTATGAATACTGCATAAAAGGGGGAAGATAGTTTGAAATTTGATGAGAGGAAGAAAGAATTTAAAACAAACTGTATTAATAGTATTCATTAATTCAATAGATATTTGCCATGATGAGAAAGAACCATCTTGCAAACTAAAAACATTTGTCACATCGTTCACTGAGAGTTTCAATACCCTCCAATGTCTATGTCACTTGGAATAAAACACAAAGTTGTCATAATGTCCCATAAAATCCAGCAATCGCTCCCACAATTTTACCTCTTTGATATAAGTTTCTTCTACTACCTCTCAACTACAATGCTCTAGTACAACATGATAAACAAGCTTTCACCTCTGGCCTTTGCATTTCAGCCCCCTTTGCCAGAAATGTTCTTCTTGTAGATATGAACATGCCTCCTTTGCTACTGTGTGGAGAGTTAATTGCAGGAGAGCAACAATGAACCATGCAGATGACAAGGTGGAAAAATAACTTATAACCAGGACTACAGTGGAGAGATTCTGGTGGATTGTTGGGAAGACTTGTTAACTGTTGCTGAAGAGTAAGGGAACCAGTTTTGCTGAGATCAGGCTCTGTTATAATCATTCACTCTTTCAACATATAATTGTCACATATCTAGAAATTTTTTCTAGGTGTTATGGTGGATAAAAAGATGGCTTAAATTTAGTTTTTATGTCACTTTATTGGATTAGTTTGAAAAAGTCATTTTCTCCTTGGCAATTTCATGATAATTAGGGTAAACTACCACTAGAAGGAAAAACAATTAATATTTATGGACAACCCAAGATATATCAGGTCCAGGAACAGGTGCTTTGTATATGTTATCTTACTTAATCTTCCCACCAACTTTGACAGATAAGCTAACTTTTCTAACAGACAGAGGTGTAGTGGTAGGGCAGATTAATATGTTCTGGTTACAAAAATCCTGCCTTTTCCTCCATGCTAGATTCAACATTGCAATGGCCTTGGTTTAACAAAGTAATATGGATGCTTGTTCATGTTACCCTGTTTGGGACACACACACACACACACACACACACACACACACACACACACACATGCATTCAAAAGGGATAAAATAGAAGAAAAAACCAAACTTTTAATTAAAAATTTAGCTTTTAATTCTAATTAAAACAGTGTAGCCTTAAAAGGAGTGATAGATAGTTCACGAGAGTGTTTTTAAAGAGGAAAATGCTTTAGGCATAGTTTAATATTGTTCTCAGTTTTCAATTGTTCTCAGTCGTTTAGTTTAACTTCAGCTTTGACCTCAGGCATAATTAGAATATTTCTTTCAACTTACTATGGCTAAACTTTGTACTTCAACTAAAAAAAAATTTCCTGTGGCTTGCTTCTAATGATCCAGCAGCCAAAATTTAAGTATCTGTTCTTTTAAAAATGTCCTATGAAGAATAATGACTCTAAAACTTTACTTAAAAACACTCAAAGAACAGGGCTTATTTCACCTCTTTAGAACTCTACTTTTCACCTGAAATACACTATGAAAATATTGTCCCCCAAAAGAAAAATAGTCATTTGTCTCAGTCATCTATTCTGAACTGTTCTGGTTACCCTCCCATAAAACTATCAAAAGTAAGAAATCCTTTCCAATAATAAAACCATGCTATCTATTGAATTGTGTTCCTCCAACCAAAAAAAAAAAAAAGATACATTGAAATACAGTCATGCACCACATAACAACATTTCAATCAAAGACAGAATCCCATAAGATTATAATGGAGCTGAAAATTTCTTTGACCTAGTAACTTTCTGGCAAAATGTAAAACATTACTTATGCATTTATGATGATGCTGGTGTACACAAAGCTACTGTGCTGCCAGTCATATAAAAGTCTAGCACCTATGATTATGCAGAGAAGATAATATTTGATAATAATAATAAATGACTATGTTACTGGTTTAGGCATTTACTATGCTACACTTTTTGTCATTTACTTAGGGTTTACTCATTTTACTTATATAATAAAGTTAACTGTAAAGCAGCCTCAGGCAAGTCCTTCAGAAGGTATTCCAGAAGAAGGCCTTGTTACCATAGGAGACAACAGCTCTATACATGTTTCTGCCCCTAAAGACCTTCTAATGGGACTAGATGTGGAAGTGGAAGATAGTGATACTGATGATAGTGATTCTATGAATGCCTAGACTAATATGTGTTTGTGTCTTAATCTAATTTGACGGGTATCCTTATAACAAGAAGGCCATAGAAAGACAAACACACACAAGGCGAATGCCCTGTGCCAGTGAAGACAGAGATTAAAGTTATGCAGCTGCAAGGTGTGAAAAACCAAGGACTGCCTAGTTTATTTCTCACCATAAGCTAGGAAAAGGTAAAAAAATGAAATAAAAATCTTCTCTACGCTTCAGAGGGAATATGGGCATATTGACACCTTGATTTTAGACTTCAAGCTTCCAGAATTATAAGATAATAAATTTCTGTTATTTTAAGCTACCCAGTTTGTCATCATTTGTTGCAGCAGCCTTAAGAATCTAATATACATTATGATGAATTTGTATATTATTATGGACAATAACATTTTTTCATGCATTGGATTACATTTAATTCTTAAAGTAATCCTTTTTTCCATCTATTTTATGTATCTTAAATACAGTGCCATTTCCTTACCTGGTACATGTGTTGATCAGAAATCTACTCAGCTCTTCGTTTCACTTTATTAAGTTCTCAGAATGTCTTCTCCTAAAAGGAGCCTCCCCTAACCACCCTATTTAAAATAGCTTCTCACATCATTTCTTTTCCCTCTCACTATGCTTAATTATTTTCATATCACATAAAAATCCCTGACAGTATTTTATTTTGTATGTGTTTATCTTGTTTCCCCAGACATGAGTGTAGGCTCCAAAGGGATAATAATTCTTTCACCCATCTCTCTACTTCCTTTACATGTAACAGTGATTTAAAATGTAGAAATCATAATAAGCTTTCTACTTGGACAAAACAGTGATCATTTGGTAATTGAGAAATGTCCTCATTATTAATTTAAAATTACAAAGAATCAATAAATTTATATGACTGAAACTGCATGTCTGAAGAAAAACACAGTCTTATCTGAAAGTCATATTTGAATGCTTATGAAAAGATTAAAATTATTAAAGGACTGCTTTTTCAGATTGTTTTATACACTCCAGAAGTATATTTTCTTTTATTATTATTATTATTATACTTTAAGTTGTAGGGTATGTGTGCAAAACATGCAGGTTTGTTACATAGGTATACATGTGCCATGCTGGTGTGCTGCACCCATTAACTCGTCATTTAGCATTAGGTATATCTCCTCATGCTATCCCTCCCCCCTCCCCCAACCCCACAACAGTCCCCGGTGTGTCATGTTCCCCTTCCTGTGTCCATGTGTTCTCGTTGTTCAATTCCCACTTATGAGTGAGAATATGCGGTGTTTGGTTTTTTTGTCCTTGCGATAGTTTGCCAAGAATGATGGTTTCCAGCTTCATCCATGTCCCTAAAAAGGACATGAACTCATCATTTTTTATGGCTGCATAGTATTCCATGGTGTATATGTGCCACATTTTCTTAATCCAGTCTATCATTGTTGGACATTTGGGTTGGTTCCAAGTCTTTGCTATAGTGAATAGTGCCACAATAAACATACATGTGCATGGGTCTTTATAGCAGCATGATTTATAATCCTTTGGGTATATACCTAGTAATGGGATGGCTGGGTCAAATGGTATTTCTAGTTCTAGATCCCTGAGGAATCGCCACACCGACTTCCACAATGGTTGAACTAGTTTACAGTCCCACCAACAGTGTAGAAGTGTTCCTATTTCTCCACATCCTCTCCAGCACCTGTTGTTTCCTGACTTTTTAATGATCGCCATTCTAACTGGTGTGAGATGGTATCTCATTGTGGTTTTGATTTGCATTTCTCTGATGGCCAGTGATCATGAGCATTTTTTCATGTGTCTTTTGGCTGCATAAATGTCTTCTTTTGAAAAGTGTCTGTTCATATCCTTCGCCCACTTTTTGATGGGGTTATTTTTTTCTTGTAAATTTGTTTGAGTTCATTGTAGATTCTGGATATTAGCCCTTTGTCAGATGAGTAGGTTGCAAAAATTTTCTCCCATTCTGTAGGTTGCCTGTTCACTCTGATGGTGGTTTCTTTTGCTGTGCAGAAGCTCTTGAGTTTAATTAGATCCCATTTGTCAATTTTGGCTTTTGTTGCCATTGCTTATGGTGTTTTAGACATGAAGTCCCTGCCCATGCCTATGTCCTGAATGGGAATGCCTAGGTTTTCTTCTAGGGTTCTTATGGTTTTAGGTCTAACATGTAAGTCTTTAATCCATCATGAATTGATTTTTGTGTAAGGTGTAAGGAAGGGATCCAGTTTCAGCTTTCTACATATGGCTAGCCAGTTTTCGCAGTACCATTTATTAAATAGGGAATCCTTTCCCCATTGTTTGTTTTTGTCAGGTTTGTCAAAGATCAGATAGTTGTAGATATGCGGCATTATTTCTGAGGGCTCTGTTCTGTTCTATTGGTCTATATCTCTGTTTTGGTACCAGTACCATGCTGTTTTGGTTACTGCAGCCTTGTAGTATAGTTTGAAGTCAGGTAGCCTGATGTCTCCAGCTTTGTTCTTTTGGCTTAGGATTGACTTGGCAATGGGAGCTCTTTTTTGGTTCCATATGAACTTTAAAGTAGTTTTTTCCAATTCTGTGAAGAAAGTCATTGGTAGCTTGATGGGGATGGCATTGAATCTATAAATTACCTTGCGCAGTATGGCCATTTACACAATATTGATTATTCCTACTGATGAGCATGGAATGTTCTTCCATTTGTTTGTGTCCTCTTATTTCACTGAGCAGTGGTTTGTAGTTCTCCTTGAAGAGGTCCTTCACATCCCCTGTAAGTTGGATTCCTAGGTATTTTATTCTCTTTGAAGCAATTGTGAATGGGAGTTCACTCATGATTTGGCTCTCTGTTTGTCTGTTATTGGTGTATAAGAATGCCTGCGATTTTTGCACATTGATTTTGTATCCTGAGACTTTGCTGAAGTTGCTTATCAGCTTAAGGAGATTTTGGGCTGAGACGATGGGGTTTTCTAGATATACAATCATGTCATCTGCAAACAGGGACAATTTGACTTCCTCTTTTCCTAATTGAATGCCTTTTATTTCCTTCTCCTGCCTGATTGCCCTGGCCAGAACTTCCAACACTATGTTGAATAGGAGTGGTGAGAGAGGGCACCCCTGTCTTTTGCCAGTTTTCAAAGGGAATGCTTCCAGTTTTTGCCCATTCAGGATGATACTGGCTGTGGGTTTGTCATAGATAGCTCTTATTATTTTGAGATACGTCCCATCAATACCTAATTTATTGAGAGTTTTTAGCATGAAGGTTGTTGAATTTTGTCAAAGGCCTTTTCTGCATCTATTCAGATAATCGTGGTTTTTGTCTTTGGTTCTGTTTATATGCTGGATTACGTTTATTGATTTGTGTATGTTGAACCAGCCTTGCATCTCAGGGATGAAGCCCACTTGATCATGGTGGATAAGCTTTTTGATGTGTTGCTGGATTCAGTTTGCCAGTATTTCATTGAGAATTTTTGCATCAATGCTCATCAAGGATATTGGTCTAAAATTCTCTTTTTTTGTTGTGTCTCTGCCAGGCTTTGATATCAGGATGATGCTGGCCTCATAAAATGAGTTAGGGAGGATTCCCTCTTTTTCTATTGATTGGAAAAATTTCAGAAGGAATGGTACCAGCTCCTCCTTGTACCTCTGGTAGAATTCGGCTGTGAGTCCATCTGGTCCTGGACTTTTTTTGGTTGGTAAGCTATTAATTATTGCTTCAGTTTCAGAGCCTGTTATTGGTCTATTCAGAGATTCAACTTCTTCCTGGTTTAGTCTTGGGAGAGTGTATGTGTCGAGGAATTTATCCATTTCTTCTAGATTTTCTAGTTTATTTGTGTAGAAGTGTTTATAGTATTCTCTGATGGTAGTTTGTATTTCTGTGGGATCGGTGGTGATATCCCCTTTATCATTTTTTATTGCGTCTATTTGATTCTTCTCTCTTTTCTTCTTTATTAGTCTTGCTAGTGGTCTATCAATTTTGCTGATCTACTCAAAAAAACCAGCTCCTGGATTCATTGATTTTTTGAAGGGTTTTTTGTGTCTCTATTTCCTTCAGTTCTACTCTGATCTTAGTTATTTCTTGCCTTCTGCTAGCTTTCAAATGTGTTTGCTCTTGCTTCTCTAGTTCTTTTAATTGTGATGTTAGGGTGTCAATTTTAGATCTTTCCTGCTTTCTCTTGTGGGCGTTTAGTGCTATAAATTTCCCTCTACACACTGCTTTGAATGTGTCCCAGAGATTCTGGTATGTTGTGTCTTTGTTCTCGTTGGTTTCAAAGAACATCTTTATTTCTGCCTTCATTTCGTTATGTAGCCAGTAGTCATTCAGGAGCAGGTTGTTCAGTTTCCATGTAGTTGAGCGGTTGTGAGTGAGTTTCTTAATCCTGAGTTCTAGTTTGATTGCACTGTGGTCTGAGAGACAGTTTGTTATAATTTCTGTTCTTTTACATTTGCTGAGGAGTGCTTTACTTCCAACTATGTGGTCAATTTTGGAATAGGTGTGGTGTGGTACTGAAAAGAATGTATATTCTGTTGATTTGGGGTGGAGAGTTCTGTAGATGTCTATTAGGTCTGCTTGGTGCAGAGCTGAGTTCAATTCCTGGATATCCTTGTTAACTTTCTGTCTCGTTGATCTGTCCAATGTTGACAGTGGGGTGTTAAAGTCTCCCATTATTATTGTGTGGGAGTCTAAGTCTCTTTGTAGTTCACTAAGGACTTGCTCTATGAATCTGGGTGCTCCTGTATTGGGTGCATATATACTTAGGATAGTTAGTTCTTCTTGTTGAATTGATCCCTTTACCATTATGTAATGACCTTCTTTGCCTCTTTTGATCTTTGTTGGTTTAAAGTCTGTTTTATCCGAGACTAGGATTGCAACCCATGCCTTTTTTTGTTTTCCATTTGCTTGGTAGATCTTCTTCCATCCCTTTATTTTGAGCCTATGTGTGTCTCTGCACGTGATATGGGTTTCCTGAATACAGCACACTGATGGGTCTTGACTCTTTATCCAATTTGCCAGTCTGTGCCTTTTAATTGGAACATTTAGCCCATTTACATTTAAGGTTAGTATTGTTATGTGTGAATTTGATCCTGTCATTATGATGTTAGCTGGTTATTTTGCTCGTTAGTTGATGCAGTTTCTTCCTAGCCTTGACAGTCTTTACAATTTGGCATGTTTTTGTAGTGGCTGGTACCGGTTGTTCCTTTCCATGTTTAATGCTTCCTTCAGGAGCTCTTTTAGGGCAGGCCTGGTGTGACAAAATCTCTCAGCATTTGCTTGTCTGTAAAGGATTTTATTTCTCCTTCACTTATGAAGCTTAGTTTGGCTGGATATGAAATTCTGGGTTGAAAATTCTTTCTTTAAGAATGTTGAATATTGGCACCCACTCTCTTCTGGCTTGTAGAGTTTCTGCTGAGAGATCTGCTGTTAGTCTGATGGGCTTCCCTTTGTGGGTAACCCAACCTTCCTCTCTGGCTCCCGTTAACATTTTTTCCTTCATTTTAACTTTGGTGAATCTGACAATTATGTGTCTTGGAGTTGCTCTTCTTGAGGAGTATCTTTGTGGTGTTCTCTGTATTTCCTGAATTTGAATGTTGGCCTGCCTTGCTAGATTGGGGAAGTTCTCCTGGATAATATCCTGCAGAGTGTTTTCCAACTTGGTTCCATTCTCCCCATCACTTTCAGGTACACCAATGAGATGTAGATTTGGTCTTTTCACATAGTCCCATATTTCTTGGAGGCTTTGTTCATTTCTTTTTATTCTTTTTTCTCTAAACTTCTCTTGATGCTTCATTTCATTCATTTCGTCTTCCATCGCTGATACCCTTTCTTCCAGTTGATCGCATTGGTCACTGAGGCTTGTGCATTTGTCACATAGTTCTCATGCCATGGTTTTCAGCTCCATCAGATCCTTTAAGGACTTCTCTGCATTGGTTATTCTAGTTAGCCACTCGTCTAATTTTTTTTCATAGTTTTTAACTTCTTTGCCATTGGTTCGAACTTCCTCCTTTAGCTCGGAGTAGTTTGATCTTCTGAAGCCTTCCTCTCCCAACTCATCAAAGTCATTTTCTGTCCAGCTTTGTTCCATTGCTGGTGAGGAACTGCGCTCCTTTGGAGGAGGAGAGGCGCTCTGATTTTTTGAGTTTCCGGTTTTTCTGCTCTGTTTTTTCCCCATCTTTGTGGTTTTATCTACCTTTAGTCTTTGATGATGGTGATGTACAGATGGGTTTTTGGCGTGGATGTCCTTTCTGTTTGTTAGTTTTCCTTCTAACAGTCAGGACCCTCAGCTGCTGGTCTGTTGGAGTTTACTGGAGGTCCACTCCAGACCCTGTTTGCCTGGGTATCAGCAGTGGTGGTTGCAGAACAGCGGATATTGGTGAACCGCAAATGCTGCTGCCTGATCGTTCCTCTGGAAGTTTTGTCTCAGAGGAGTACCCGGCCATGTGAGGTGTCAGTCCACCCCTACTGGGGGGCGCCTCCCAGTTAGGCCACTCGGGGGTCAGGGACCCACTTGAGGAGGCAGTCTGCCTGTTCTCAGATCTCAAGCTGCATGCTGGGAAAACCACTACTCTCTTCAAAGCTGTCAGACAGGGACATTTAAGTCTGCAGAGGTTATTGCTGCCTTTTGTTTGTCTGTGCCCTGCCCCCAGAGGTGGAGCCTAGAGAGGCAGGAAGGCCTCCTTGAGCTGTGGTAGGCTCCACCCAGTTCGAGCTTCCCAGCCGCTTTGTTTACCTACTCAAGCCTGAGCAATGGCAGGCGCCCCTCCCCCAGCCTCACTGCCACCTTGCAGTTTGAGCTCAGACTGCTGTGCTAGCAATGAGCGAGGCTCCGTGGACGTAGGACCCTCCGAGCCAGGTGCGGGATATAGTCTCCTGGTGTGCCGTTTGTTGAGCCCACTGGAAGAGCGCAGTATTACGGTGGGAGTGACCCGATTTTCCAGGTGCTCTCTGTCACCCCTTTCTTTGACTAGGAAAGGGAATTCCCTGACCCCTTGCACTTCCCGGGTGAGGTGATGCCTCGCCCTGCTTTGTCTCATGCACAGTGCGCTGTACCCACTGTCCAGCACTCCCCAATGAGATGAACCCGGTACCTCCTTTGGAAATGCAGAAATCACCTGTCTTCTGTGTCGCTCAGGCTAGGAGCTGTAGACTGGAGCTCTTCCTATTTGGCCATCTTGGCTCCACCCCCCAAAAGTATATTTTCTTTTATCAAATTCTAAAGCTTTCCCCTTTGAAAATTCTAAATAGAAATACTACTTCATTCATAACACATTTTTCTCTACAGAAAAGTGTCAGTAGAGATTACTATGCAAATTATCTTATACTAGGAGCATTTAAATTATATCATAAAACTCTGGGAATTAAATAATAAATTTATTCATTCTTCAGTTAAATATTATGCCTCTGCTATGGTACAAAACTCAGGCCAAGAGCTGTAAGGGATTTAAAAATAAGTATCCAAGAGTCCCTGTGCTGCAGCCTCATGAAAAAGATAGCAGAGATACACAAATCAATATAATTTTAGTTAAGAGATGATAAATCCATAAGATGGGCACCGTAATATAGTAGGAAGAGAAAGAAGTTTGAAACTAGAGCTCAGCTTTAGTGATTTCAACTCTCATAGAATAGTTTCTTTTTTTTTGGTTCCTCAAAACTGTCAAGAACTGTCAAAATGTTAACATCAATAGTTAACATTAATTCTTAACATTAAGTTAATTAATTCTTAACATTAATAATAATTAATTCTTACTATTAATAGTTAACATTAATTCTTTTTTATTTTTTTTGAGATGGAGTCTTGCTCTGTCACCAGGCTGGAATGCAGTGGTGCAATCTCGGCTCATTGCAACTTATGCATCCTGGGTTCAAGCGATTCTCCTGCCTCAGTCTCACTGTAGCTCGGAGTACAGGCGCCCGCCACCACACCCAGCTAATTTTTTGTATTTTTAGTGGAGACAGGGTTTCACTGTGTTAGCCAGGATGGTCTCGATCTCCTGACCTTGTGATCCGCCCTCCTCAGCCTCCCAAAGTGCTGGGATTACAGGCGTGAGCCACCGTGCCTAGCTAGTTAACATTAATTCTTAACATTAATAGTTTCTTCGTGCCTAACCATTCCTTGTTTTTTCCACTTAACCATATGATCACTTCTATAAATGTATTAAAATCCATTCATTAAAGCTGCTTCATTTGAAACTCTTGGGAAGAATTATATTTCCGGTAATACAGTTGCTGCCCTTGGCATATTTCCTAGTACATGGGAGGCAGCCACCATTATTACAGATTGGGCCTTTTTAATGATCATTTATTGCTATTGCAGATACACAGCCTATGCATAAACTGCTATTGCATGATTGCTATTGCCAATGATAACATAATCATTAGCTCAAGACAATAAGATTAGTCTTGAACTAGATCCCTTTCGCCTTGCTTCTGTCCCACATATAGATAGTGCTCATAAGTAAATGCAATGAAAACATTCAGTATGAATACATGTAAAATGATCTTTCTATTGTTAAATCATCCTGAATTGTCCATTTGAATCTTTTCCACATGAATTGTAATGTTTTATTTCATCATTTGATATTAATACTGATACTAATTATATACATATTTTAACATGGGCAGTCTATCTTTAAAATGATGAAGTGAAAAATATGATTTAAGTGATATTTCCAATTATGAAAAGTAAAGTTGGTATAAGAAATATACAAGCAGAGAAACCAAATCCAAAGGAAAACAAGAATCAGAAAGCCCTTGGGCACAACCCTGGCCAACATACTGTTAACATAAGAGGTTTTTGTTATTGTTGGCCTTTGTTTCTATGTTGCTTGGGTCTTGGAAGGAGATAGACACACTTTGGGCATAATTGTTTCCAAATTAAATTAAGAATGTGGGTATAAATCTTCACTATTAAGTGTGGTGGAACTATTGGCAGGAGATAAACTCACACTCCACTAAAATGCAGCGCATATGTTACTGCTATTTCTCTGAGAATGACCAAAAATTACAAAGAAGAAGAAAAATGTAAAAGCAGAGTATCAGAAGTAACCAAGTCTTCCCTGTTTGCATCTCTTCAGAATTAGAAGCTGTCACTCACATCTGAGGCTGAAGTTTCCATGACGAAATAGGTTAGGGAAAGACTATCTGGGAAGAGTAAAGAAAGGGTTTAAAAGGATCCAGGCACTGGAATGAAGGAAAAGTGGAAGAGCGACAAAAAATAATAATAATTACAATACTAAGCAGCACTCTCAGGTAGTTTGAGGGAAATAAACTGCTGTCCCATATTGCAGGGTCACGGAAGCCTTATCTTTTTGGGTATAGGTTGGTGCAAAAGTTATTGCAGTTTTTATCATTACTTTTTATGGCAAAAAATGTAACTACTTGCACCAACCTATATAATGGAACTGCAGAATTAGCAAAGGTGTTTACTAAGCCCTCCACCCACATCATCCTGAGAGACTCTGACTGTCTAACTATCTAATGTTTACAAAAGAACATTGTGACATAATAATGTTGAGAACTTAACATTACTTACTGAATACACATCTTTTATGTTTCCATCGTTTGATATTAATATTGAGTCTAATTCTATATATTTTTTTAACTTGGGCTGTCTACTTTTAAAGTGATAAAGCAAAAATTCTATCTTTAAGTAATATTTTCAATTATAAAAACTAAATTCAGTATAACAAATACAAAAGGGAAGAGACAACTGCCTTTCTTCTATCCACCAGCAAACACACCAACTGATATGGCTGGCAATATGGTGAAAAAGATCACCTCTCAGAATGACTTAAAGACACCATTGAGAGATGGAAGAAACAGGTAGGGAGGCTAGTGTCTGGGTTTCGTGAACAGGTGAAAATCCAGGCTCAGAGAGATTGAATAACTTGCTGAGGATCACTCAGCTAGGAAGTGGTGAAAGCACAATTCTCTCTCACTGCAAGTGGGATACTTTTCACATGGCCTTTCCTTTTAAAGACGAGAGCCATTAAAGATTTCAACACTAAGTGATTATTATTCTTCACATTAGCATATTATGAATTTAGTCATTTAGTTCTGGGTACTGATAAAATTCATCCAGAGTTGTGCATTATAAGTTTAATCTTTAATGGTGTTTCAGTTTTACTTATCAAAATGTACCTTTTATTCTAAATTATCATCAGGAAAAAAAATGGATGCTGCTGCCATACAAAGCCAGTTTCCATTATTTCATAGGTTAAAACTTATCCTAAGGGAACAAATATTCAAATCAGAAGTACATTTAAAGAAATAAATACACTGTTAAAATTTTTAGCCTGAAGGATTTTGATGACAATTACATTTTTATTACAGATCATAAAATAATTAACATTTTAAAGTCCTAATGAAAATTATAGGGCATTATGCTTTAAAATGCTTGTTGGAAATTAAAGATTGGCCTTTGGCATTTTACACTAATTTTCTGTGTTATAAAAAAATGAAGATGAGTGTTTTGCCTGAATCAAGCATCTCTTGTATCAGACTATACACTTAAAAAGAACATAATAGTTATAAAAATGATTTGATGCTCTCCACTTTTGTTTCTCAGAATACTCTTGAAGAATTTCTGTGTAAAACAGACACAGAAACAGAAGATTTGGAAGAATGGTGTTATGGGTGATATTGTGTCCTCCAAAATTCATATGTTGAAGCCTCAATATCCAGTAGCTCAGAATGTGATAATATTTGCAGATTAAGACTTTAAAGAGATAATTAAGGTAAAACGAGGCCATTAGGGTCAGCTCTTCATATATTCTGAATGATGGCCTTATAAGAAGAGATTAGGACACACAGAGAGGCACCAGGGGCACCTGTATTAAAGGAAGGAGCTTGTACAGAGGCAGCAAGAAGGCAGCCATCTGCAAGCCAGGGAGAGATGCCTCAGAGGAAGCCAACCCTGCCAGCACCTTAATCCTGGCCTCCCAGCCTCCAGAACTGTGAGATAATAAATTTTTGTTGTTTAAGTCACCCAGTCTGTGTTATTTCATTATGGCAGCCCTAGCGAACTAATATACTCAGGATGCATTTATTTAATTACTTTTTAAAGAATGGTTAGAGAGTATGATATTCTGGCTAACTTAGAGGAAAAATGTATTACAATTTATAGAAAAACTATGTTAACAATTTTAAATTTTATTCTATTAATTTTTTAAATTTAACAATTAAAGAGTTAATTACAAATGTGAATAATATTACCCACAGGTAATATAAACAATGCCAAACATTAAATTTATGTTACAACACTTTAAAAGCTTAAAAAACTTATGTTCTCAGGAGGAATGTAAAATTTTAAAACTTTTTTAAGGCAAAATGTGTTAGAACAGTAAAAATTATGACTTTGATTTCATTCAGGTCTATGAACAAAAATTTCAAAGGTACGCCTAATATAGAATCCAAAATCATGTATGAATGATGCAATAATCCCCTAAACTACTCATATGCTTACTTGGCACACATTAATTAAGCAGCTGCGATGAAAAGTCATAATATAAAGACACATTGTCCAACATAGTAGCCACTAGCTACAGATGGCTATTTAAATTTAAATTAATTCAAGTAAAGTAAGTGTAAAATTCCATTCCTCAGTTGCACTACCCACATTTAAAGTGCTCAGTGACCATATGCGCTAGTGGCAACATTCTTAGATAATGAAGATGGAGCATTTCTGTCATTGACAAGCATTCTATTAGACAGGAGGTTAAGGATCCAGAAGTCCTGGGTTCACATCCGGGATTTTCCATTTACTACTAGTCATTCTATCTTTCTGTAACTTAAGTACCTTGTTTGCAAATAGGGAGTAATGAGGAAGCCTTTTCTCAAAACATAATTATGAGGATTTAATGAGGTAACACCTGCGAAGGGTAATTGTAAATTGAGAAATTTTATGCATATGATGTCCTGTACTATGCTGAATGAATGCAGTGATGAATTAGATATGGACCCTACTCTGAAGGAGAATATGCAGTACATAAGAGAGGTAATTGTTCCACAAAATAGAATATGATGAATACATAATTAATATGGGATTACAAAAAAAGATGTTGAGAGAGTTTCTTCATTGCTTGAGTATAAAGTCCAAACTCCTCACAAGATTAACAAGCATTTCCTGGATCTGGTGTTCTGATCGCTTGGGTGTTTTTTGTTTGTTTATTGGGTTTATTTGTTTGGGTCTCTTACTAGTTGTTACTTTTCTATATTCTACTTAGATTTGGAGATTTGGTTTGTTAATTACATTCTTCAAATAGGCCAAATCTCACTTTCTTCTGGACTGAGTCACAGTCCAGGATGTTTCTCCATTCTGACTCCTGACTCCTTCCATCCCTTTGCCTGGCTGAATCAGCCATAAAGTCTGATCTAAGACTACATTTTTTTTTTTGGAGAACACTGTCCTAGTTCTCCATCATCATGTTTATCATATTTGGATGAAATGTCCTATAAACTGAAATCACCTATCTCCCTACTGACTGCAAACTCAGGGTGATTAGAAATCATTATTTACTTCATTGTTGTTAAATGCCCAGCACCTCCACTGTTGCTAACTCATAGTAAGTGTCCAATATGTTCACAAAATGAAAGATAAAGAAGAGAGAAAATGCTTTTAGTTGGCTGAGATTGTGTATGCAGGTAAATTACCAAGGAAATAATATTTGAATGGCCTTCCCATGTGATTTTTTTTCCTTTCCCCAACCAGCAATGTTGTGTGCAATGCAAACATTCATGCTAGATCTTTCCTTCATGTCTAGTTTAGAAATTAGCCTATATTTTGGTTCTCAAACTGAATACTTGGCATATTTTATCTGCATTTTAAAATTTAATTTATTGTAAGATACCTAGGCAAAGTCAGTAGAAAAGATTATAAGAATATCCTCATCATTTCCTCTGTGCCTGGGAACATTCCAGTCCCATTACCTGGATTATTTCATGTAACACTTTTAACAACACTGACAGTTAAGTATTATCTTCATTTGATAGACATCCATATGTAAGTTAAGAGAGGGTAATTGGCTGGTCAAATGTCACATAACTAGTAAATGGTGAAGCTGGAAGTTGAACCAGGTCTGTCTGAATTTAGAAACTCCGTATTCCACTGGAAGATTTAGGTGAATATGAGATAATAACCTCAACTCTCAACTACAAGTAAAATTTATATAAAAGTTGGGAGCCACATTTCCCCTTGGAGGCGGGGGGAAAGGGTTTCTAATTTATTTAGGTAATTAGTTCACCTATTTGTTACTTCTGTTATCAAAATAACAGTTTTTAATTATACCTTATTTAAGCTAATTCCATTAATAATCTCTTTGTGGATAGACATCAGATTAATTCATACAGTTTGCTTCAGTTTCTCAGATTCTACCTACCCCAGATCTTTTAGTTGACAATTTATTGTACAGAACAAAGACATTATTTTCTAGATAAAGGAAAGTAAGTTTGTATCAATAAAGACTGTTTACTGTTCTTTTTTGTTTATGTATGAGCATATATACGTAAGAAAACTGAGATAAATGCATTCAATTAAAATCTTTGGAGAAGGATTATTTTTTTCTGAAAACTTTGTAATTTAAAAATTACCAATATTTATATTGATCCATTTAGTTTATGTTAAACTGACACATTATTTATATTAACTGAGCACATAATGTTGATTTTTATCTCCAAAAGATATTTGTATACATTCATAACGAAGTGAACTATATTTCATTTTCAAAGTATCATTAACTCATTAGAACAAGTGATTTAGAAGAATCTTTGTTAAGCCTAAGGGATATAATGATATATCATTTTCTCACAGGTGAGGGTGAATGCTGATCATCCCACAGACACATTAGCAAAGGGACAAACTATCATGTACTCAATATTTTTAAAGGATAACTTTTGAAGTCTTTGATAGGCGGTTGTCCCATTGGATTTTAACTCTGCAATTTTGGCCCTCATGTATGGCAACCCTTAGTTTAGCTTGCAAAAGGTATCCTGTCAACTTGATGGGTGGAAAAAGTAGTTGTATTGCTAATATTTTCAATGGTATCTGTCCTGTTGAAGCCTTTCACTTTTCTTGTCCTATGTCTAAATTCCAGGTCTTTAATATTGTCTTTAAAAGGCCCACAAGTTAAAAATGTATGCGAGAAAAGTATCTGCAGTTCATTGCTGTTCACTGTGTCCTTAAAGAATGCACTGTGGCCACCTTTATATATCAAACTGGTCATCTCCCAGGAGAATGAAAGGAGTAAGACAGATGGAGAACTGATGACATCAGACCAATATAAAGCTCCAATCAACCACGCACCAATTTTTCAATCATTTATCTAAAGCTTTTTATGTGCTAAGCACTTCTTAGCTACTGAAGGTAAAGAGAGGAAGAGAACACAGTCCCTGTGGTAAAGAGACACTCATACATGTAATTATAAAATACAATAAATGTGATTCTAGCAATACATCAGATAATATTTATCAGTTGATTAACACAGTGTATGGCATTTGAAATGCCTTCAATAAATATTAGGACATCATTATATATACTATTAATATTATAAAATATTTATATTAAATGTTCATCTATATTGTATAATCATATGTCATATATATGCTGTATGGAATATATGTGCTATTACTATTAAAAGCAGATTTAAGTTCTGCAAAACGAATAGTATTTTCTACCTTGCATGAGAAAGAAGAATCACCAAAATGCTTACAAAATGTTTAAGAAATTTGGTGGATTTTAAGAAATGAATTACATTAATATGAAAATGAGTAGAATCTTGAACTAGACAAATAAGCATGAGTTTGCTCACACCTAGGAAAGAGGAGCTTGTGGCCAAAGTCCTGAAGCTTACAGGGTCTATCCCCATCCTTCCTCAGGTCATAACACTCCCCATACAGAGCTCACACTCAACCTGCAAGAACATGCTCCAGATATGAACACCAGAGTTTCTTGCACAGTCTTTTATCTGCCTCCAGAAAATGCACAGGCCTCTTTTCCACCCCTGCTCTAGAAGTGCAGACTGTACCACAATTGTCATAACTGTACTACTGCTTGGTGACCAAGGGGTGGCTGCTTGCAGGGCGTGTAACTGGACCTTGGACATATGACCTGGGTTGTTTAGATGTGTGAGCTGTAACACTTGAACAAGGGGTCAGAGTTTGGGGTTATTTGTCCCTGTGCTGTCATATTATGAAATAAAATTCTGATAGAAAAAGAGAATTATAAATTTGGACTGGACCTTCAAAACCATGCTCAAGGTATACATGTTAGAGGGGGAAGATAGAACCTATTTAACAGTTTGATATATCTCATGGTGTTTAACTGTGTAGACATATGGTAAGTGGACTGCTGTTTTGTTGCTTCCCTAGACCCTGAAAAGGTAAGGAGTAGACTTGTGACTTAGCCAAAAAGTAAAGTGGGATAGATCATGGCATAATGTTTTATGTGATAAGAAAGCAGAAATGCATAGTGAGGAGGAAAAGGTGAGTAGTAAAATGCCATTACAATCAGACCATAAATTACTGGATGGTGCTAAGGAGTATAGGCTTCCTATATGGTGGTGTGGTAATGTCTTCCAAGGATGTTCACTTCCAAATCCTTGGAACCTGTAAATATTTTACTCTATATGGCAAAAGGGAATTTTTAGATGTGATTAGATTTACAAGGCTTGAGATGCGGAGAGTGTCCTGGATTATTTGGAGAGAACTAATCTAACTACATGAGACCTGAAAAAACTAAAAACCTTTCCCAGCTGTGTTCAGAGAGACAGAGATATGTGGACAGAACAAGCCTGAAAGAGATTCACTTTTGGTGGCTTTGAAGATGGCGGAAGGGGCCATGAGTTAAGAAATGCCAGTTGCCTCTAGGAACTAGAAAGGATGAGAAAACAAAATCCTTCTTTAGAGCCTCCAAAAAAGCAACACAGCCCTGCTGATAACCTCGGTTTTAGCCCAATGAGACCCATGCCAGACTTCTTACCTCTGGAGCTGTAAGATAATTGATTTTTGTTATTTTAAGCCTCTATGTTTTTGGTAATTTGTTATAGCTGCAATAGAAAACCAAAACAGACAGCATTGCTGAAAATGTTTCCAGAAAATCTTACTTGAGTTTAAAAAGTAATAAATTCCTGTCGTAACCGTTAAAAATGTTTTTGTCACAAATAGAAGAACACCTGACAATTAGTGACTTTAATAAGTGGTCTACTTCTTCTGGCCTAAGAAGTAGTTCAGTGGGAGAAACTCTGGTCTAGACAGCTATGCAAGGATGTGGGGTCCTCTATCTTTCTGCTCTCCTATCACAACAATTCAGGTTGCATGCTCATAGTCACAAGATGACTATTCTAAGTGTTTTGTCTGTGTTCCAGATAAGAAGAAAGTATAAGGGAGCATGCTAGGATGAAAATACATGGTGGGATCCTCCTTTCCAAAGCTTTTTTTTTTTTTTTCTTTCCCAAAAGCTCTACCCATCAACTATGCTTAAACCTTCTTGGCCAAGACAAGCTTACTTGGCCACTTACTAAAAAGAAGTCTATTATTTTATATGGAAACATTACCAGATTTCCAATAATAAGAAAGAAAAATAAGAAGTTTGGGGAAGACAAGACAAGTGCCTGAATTTCATGGCTTCTCACAGCCTCTAAGTTAGTGTGTATTGTGACTCTCTAAGGGAAGGTATTAAGTACAGCATTTCCCAAACTTACCTGAATGTGGAAAAATGAGTTTATTTTCATAAGGAAGAAAGTCTTACCAGACTAATGTATAGCACAGCTTGTAAAACGCTGTTAGGCAAGAGGATCCAACAAAAGATTCTGGGCAGGAGAATAGCTTGATCCTATATCATTCTAATAGTAGAGTGGCCATGAGTGATAGGCGAACAACTCTTTCTATAGCTTATGCTCCTGCTGCATGCAAGGCATAGATTAAGCCCCAAGTACATCAGGGGGACTAAATATTCTCTAGCATTATGTTGGAACAGCTAAATGTTTTTAAATTCTCAGAATGTTCTGTCTCAAAACTTGTACATTTTTTTTCAAATCCTATTTATTAATTAAATAACCGATTCAATTTCCAAGAGTCTAAAGAAACTACTTTTGTCTGAGTTATTTAGATACATTAGAAAGCCTTAAAGAGGATAATAACCTAATCATATTTTTTGTTTTAAAGTGGAAAATACTGCAGACATCACTGAATCTTTAATAGCAATGAGGAAAGAACTCAAACGCAAAGGTTACAAATTCTGTCTATTACACAGCTGTCCAGTGGCAATATTACGGTTAGAGCCCAGTTCTCTCAATACTCAGGTTGCTGGTTATACATTGTTCCAAAGCAACACCAGGAAGTAAGATTTTACCTGGTATAAGAATTATATTTCAAGGATAATATTACTCTGGAGAAAGGACACCCTATCCAACACATGGTGCTAGAAAAACTGGATAGCCATATGCAGAAGAATCAAACTGGACCCATATACTTCACCATATACAAAAATTTAACCCAATATGGATTAAAGACTTAAATGTAAGACCTGAAACTATAAAAATCCTAGAAGAAACCCTAGGAAACACTCTTCTGGACATTGGCCTAGGGAAAGAATTTATGACTAAGACATCAAAAGCAAATGCAACAAAAACAAAAATAGACACATAAAACAATTAAATCAAAAAGTTCTGCACAGCGAAAAAATCATAACAGAATAAACAGAAAACCTATAAAACGGGAGAAAATATATGCAAAATATGCATCCAACAAAGGGCTAATATCCAGAATCTACAAGAAACTCAAATAGAAAGAAAAAAAAACACAAATAACCCTATTAAAAAGTAGGCAAAGGACATGAACAGACATTTCTCAAAAGAAGACATGCAAGTAGCCAACAAACATGTGAAAAAATGTTCAATATCACTAATCAGACAAACGCAAATCCAAACCACAGTGAGATACCATCTCACTCCAGTCAGAATGGCTATTATAAAAGGTCAAAAAATAACAGATGTTGGCGAAGATGCAGAGAAAATGGAATGCTTACATACTGTTACTGGGAATGTAAATTAGTTCAACCCCTATGGAAAACAGTATGTAGATTTCTCAAAGACCTAAAACAGAACTACTATTCAATCCTGCAATCCCACTATTAGGTATCTATGCAAAGGAAAGTAAATTATATAAAGAAGACACCTGCACCGATACGTTTATCACATCATTATTCATAATAGCAAAATCATAAAATCAACCTAAGAGTTCATCAACAGATAATTGGATAAAGGAAACGTGGCACGTGTATATACACACACCCAGACATATATATACACACACACACACACACATAACTTCACATACACATGCATGACTTCACGTTATTATTGGATCAACATCTGTCACTCTCTGCCTCCTCTGCCAATTAAAATTCCACGTTACATCCAACCAACACTTTGACTTTGAAGCCGCCACCTGATATTAGCGCTTCGCAGATGTAGTATGACTATTTTTATACATCTCTGTCTACTGATGAGGGTCCTACTCTTTTAGTATAAACAGTACCATTGACTTCCAATCAATTAGTTTCAATAGTATCCAAAAGAGAGTAATTAACCTGACACTAGCCCTAGTAACTGACCCCCTACTGGCCCTATTACTAATAATAGTTACATTTTGGCTCCCACAACTTAATACTTATATAGAAAAATCAAGCACCTATGAATGCGGATTTGACTCAATAACCTCTGCCCTCCTCCTCTTCCTCATAAAATTATTCCTAGTAGCCATGATATTTCTCCTCTTCGACTTAGAAATCACTCTGCTACTACCCTTGCCATGAGCCCTTCAAACAAACAACCTGACACAATAATCAGCACAGCCCTTATTGCTAGTTCCCGTTTTAATCCTAGGCTTGACTTATGAATGAACCCTAAAAGGGTCAGATTGAATTGAATTGGTAGTTTAAGTCAAAATAAATAAATGATTTTGACTCATTAGATTATGATAGACCATATTTACCAAGTGCCTTCTATTTACATCAATATTATATTAGCATACACCATGTCACTGCTGGGAATATTAGTCTATCGATGCCACCTAATATAATCCCTATTATGCCTAGAAGGCATAATACTATCATAAATTTATAAATAAATGTATAAATATTATTTATCATACTCATAACTTTAAACTTACATTTCACTCTAGCATCTATAATACCCATCATTCTCCTAGTATTTGCTGCCTGTGAAGCCGTAGTGGGCCTTGCCTTACTAGTTTCAATCTCCAATACATATGCTCTAGATTACATACAAAATCTAAATTTACTTCAATGTTAAAAATCATTACTCCGACAAGTATACTGTTACCAATGACATCATTCTCTAAAGATTCTATAATCTGAATCAACATGACTTCCCACAACCTACTCATCAGTCTTATTACCCTACTATTTTTTATGCAATTCAACAATAGCTCATCAGACTTCTCATTAATCTTCTCTTCTGACCCGGTGACCTCGCCCCTTCTAATCTTAACAACCTGACTACTACCTCTTATAATCCTAGCAAGCCAATATCACCTGTCCATTGAATTACCCCCACGAAAAAAAACTCTATATTTCTATATTGATTTCCATGCAGATTTTTAAAATTATAGCATCCACAGCCACAGAACTAATTATATTTTATATCCTCTTTGAAGCTAAACTAATTCCTCCCCTAATTATCATCAGCTGCTGAGGTAACCGACCAGAAAGCCTCAATGCCAGCTCCTATTTCTTATTTTGTACACTAGTAGTGTCCCTTCCTCTACTTATTACACTTGTTTATACTCAAAATACCTCAGGTTCACTAAATATGCTGGTAATGATTCTTACCACCCAAGAGCTATTGGTCTCCTAATCCAATAACCTTATATGATTAGCATGTATTATTGCCTTTATCATAAAAACACCTCTATATGGACTTCACTTATGACTCCCCAAAGCCCAGATAGAAGCTCCTATTGCCGGCTCAGTAGTACTTGCAGCAGTACTCCTAAAACTAGGAGGCTGCAGTATAATATAGCTTACCCTTATCCTCAGCCCCCTAACAGAACATATAGCCTACCCCTTCTTCATACTATTCCTATGAGGGATAGTTATAACAAGCTCTACTTGTCTGCGACAAGCCAATCTAAAATCACTTATTGCTTATGCCTGCGTTAGCCACATAGCACTTGTTATCATGGCTGTCCTCATTCAAACCCCTTGAAGCTTTACAGGTGCAGTCACCCTTATAATTTCTCACAGACTCACTTCATCCTTACCGTTCTGCCTAGCAAATTCAAACTACAAATGAGTCCATAGCCGAATCATATTACTTACCCGAGTCCTTCAAACACTGCTTCCACTAATGGCCTCTTGATGACTCCTAGCAAATCTCACTAACCTTGCCTTACCATTAATCTAGTAGGAGAAATCTTTGTGACTATGGCTTCATTCTCCTGACCAAACATCACTTTTATGCTTATAGGACTTAATATACTAATTACAGCCCTTTACTTCCTATGTATGCTAATCACAACACAATAAGGGACACTTGCATATTATATTAACTATATTAAGCCTTCCTTTACACAAGAAAATACATTAATACTTATACATCTTGGACCTATCTTCCTATTATCCTTAAGGTCTAAAATTATTACGGAGTTTGCATGCTGTAGGTATCGTTTAACCAAAACATTAAATTGTGAACCTAATAATAGAAGCCTGCAGCTTCTTATCTACCAAGAAATTATGCAAGAACTGCTAACTCACGCCCCCATGCCTAACAACATGGCTTTCTCAACTTTTAAAGAATTAGAGGTATCCATTGGTCTTAGGAAGCAAAAACATTGGTGTAACTCCAAATAAAAGTAACAAACGTGTATTTTTCCACTTCCATAATAGCCCTGATCCCCTTAATCTTACCGATTATTACTATCTTAACCAACCTCTACAAAAAAGGTTCGTACCCAAATTATGTGAAAATTATCTATCGCATGCACATTCATCATTAGCCTCATCCCTACAACAATCTTTATATGTACAGGCCAATAAGTCATCTCAAACTGACACTGAATGACAATCCAAACTCTTAAACTCTCACTAAGCTTCAAACTACACTACTTCTCCACAATGTTTATCCCAGTAGCAGTATTTGTTACCTGATCTATTGTAGAATTCTGAATATGATACATAAACTCAGACCCTAACATTAATCAATTTTTCAAATACTTACTTTCCTCATCACAATACAAATTCTGGTAACTGGCAACAACCTCTTTCAACTCTTTATCAGATGAGAAGGTGTAGGAATTATGTCTTGCTTACTAATTGGCTGATGATACGGCCGAGCAGATGCTAATACAGCAGCCCTCCAAGCAATTCTGTACAACCGCATCGGTGACATTGACTTTATTTTAGCGATAGCGTGATTCCTCTTATCCTCCAACACATGAGAGCTTCAACAAGCATATATTCTAAGCCTTACCCCCCACGCCCTTCCATTAATTAGTCTTCTCTTAGCAGCAGCAGGAAAGTCAGCTCAGTTCAGCCTCCATCCCTGATTTCCATCAGCCATAGAAGGCCCAGCCCCAGTCTCAGCCCTACTGCACTCCAGCACTATAGTTGTAGCAGTTTTCCTGTTCATCTGCTTCTACCCTTTATAGAAAATAATCTATCAATTCAAACGTTTACATTATGTCTAGGGGCTGTTACCACCTCATTTACAGCAATCTGTGCTCTAATACAAAATGATATCAAAAAAAAATCATAGCATTCTCCACCTCAAGCCAGCTGGGCCTCATAATAGTCACAATTGGCAAGAATCGGCCACATCTAGCATTCCTTCACATCTGTACCCATGCCTTTTTTAAAGCTATATAATTTATATGTTCAGGGTCCATCATCCATAATCTCAATGATGAACAAGATACCTGAAAAATAGGAAGGCTATTCAAGACTTTACCCTGCACTTCCTCCTCATTATTGGCAGCCTTGCACTTACAGGTATGCCTTTCCTTACAGGCTTTTAATCGAAAGACCTTATTATTGAAACCACAAACACGTCATACACCAATGCCTGATCCTCTTCTATTACTCTTGTTGCCACCTCCTTAACAGCTGTCTATAGGGCCCGTATTATTTTCTTTGCTCTAATAGGACAACCCCACTTCACAACTCTGATTATTATTAATGAAAACAATCCCTTCCTGATTAACTCAAGTGCCTAACAATCGGCAGTATCTTCTCCAGATTCCTCATCGCCAACAGTATTATTCCTGCTTCATCCCCCGAAACAACTATACCGCTCCACCTAAAGCTTACAGCCCTAGATGTGACCACCTTAGGCCTCTTACTAGCCATAGAGCTTAATCTCATAACTAATAACCTTAAACTAAAGTACCCATTACAGACATTCAACTTCTCCAATATACTAGGTTTCTATTTAGCCACAATACACCATGGAACCCCTTACTCAAGCCCATTCACAAGCCAAAATCTGGCTTCACTTCTACTAGACCTAATTCGACTAGAAAAGTCTATACCAAAGACCATTTCACAAACTCAAGTCTCAGCCTCCATTACCACTATATCTACTCAAAAAGGCCTAATTAAACTCTACTTTCTTTTTTATTCCATCCTTTCTAACCCTACTCTTAATTATCTAATCTATTACCCCGAGTAATTTCAATTGCAAGATAAATACTCACAAATAATGATCAACCAGCAACTACCACTAATCAAAACCCAGAACTGTACAAGGCAGCCACACTCACAGAATCCTCACACAACAACCCTGCCCCCTCACCCTCAAAAATTATTCAACTGTCTACGCTATTTAAATCAATCGCGACCACCACCCCATTGTACTCAACTATTCACCCAACCAACACCACTCTATTAATAATCCTAATTAGTAAAGCCTCTCAAATGTCAATACTTGACCGCCATGGCTCAAGGTACTCCTCAATAGCCATCACCGCGGTATAACCAAAGACAACCATCATACCACCCAAATAAATTAAAAAGACCATTAACCCCACAAAAGCCCCACCAAAATTCAACACAATACCACAACACAGCACCACTAATAATTAGCCCTAAACCCCCATAAATAGGAGAAGGTTTCAAAGAAAAATCTACAAATCCCATAATCAAAAGAACACTTAATAAAAATAAAGCATATGCCATTATTCCCACATGGACTATAACCATGACTAATGACATGAAAAATTATCATTGTACTTCAACTATAAGAACACTAATAACCAACACCCGCAAAACACACCCACTAATAAAAAATATTAACTACTCATTCATTGATCTTCCCATACTATCTAACATTTCTACATGATGAGACTTTGGCTCACTTCTTGGTGGCTGCCTTATTCTCCAGATCATCACAAGGTTATTTTTAGCCATTCACTATACATTAGACACCTCAACTGCCTTCTCTTCAGTTGCTCACATCAGCCGAGATGTAAACTATGGCTGAACAGTACACTATTTTCATGCTAACAGTGCTTCAATATTTTTCATGTGCTTCTTCTTACACGTTGTCTGAGGCTTATACTATGAGTCAATTATATAACTAGAAACCGTAAATATTGACATTAGCCTCCTCCTCACAACTATAGTAACAGCATTCATAGCCTATGTGCTCCGGTGAGGCCAAATATCATTCTGAGGTGCTACAGTAATTATAAACCTATCCTCAGCCATCCCATATATTGGAACTGACCTCGTACAATGAATCTGAGGCAGATTCTCAGTTGACAAAGGCACCCTCACGTGACTTTTCTCCTTCCATTTCATCTTACCCTTCATCATTACTGCTCTAGCAACTGTTCACTTTTTATTCTCACATGAAACAGGGTCTAACGACACTTCAGGGGTTTCATCAGACTCTGACAAAATCACTTTCCACCCCTACCATACAACCAAAGATATTCTAGGTTTAATTGTTCTCCTCCTCCTTCTAATAACTCTAGTACTATCTTTGCCTGAACTCCTGAGTGACCCAGATAATTATACTTTGGCCAACCCTCTCAATATCCAACCCCACATTAAGCCAGGGTGATACTTTTTGTTTGCATATGCAATCTTACATTGTATATATATATAGCTTATAATATAAAATATTATATAATAATATATAGCTTTGCCATTGTTGCTATATATATATATAAAAATATATAATATATCCTGAAATACTACTCAGCCACAAAAAAGAAAAAAATCATGTCTTTTTTAGCAACATAGATGAAACTGGAGGCCATTATCCTAAGTGAAATAACTCAGAAACAGAAAGTCTAATACTGCATGTTGTCACTTGTAAGTGGGAGTTAAACAATGTATACACATAAACATACAGAGTGGAATAATAGACACTGAAGACTACAAAAGCTTGGGGGTGGAAGGGGGTAAGGGATGAGAAATTACCTATTGGGTACAATGTACACTATTTAGGTGATGGGCACACTAAAAGCCCAAACATCACCACTATGCAATATATCCGTGTAACAAAAATGCACTTGTACCCCTTAAATCCATAAAGATAAAAATAAAATTTAAACTGTACAGTATAGTAAATACATAAACCAACAGCATCATCAATTATTATCACTGTCATAGTCAAGTATTATGTACTATACATATTTGGATGTGCTATATTTTCCTATGAATGGCAGTGCAGTAGGTCTGTTTATATACTGGCATCACTACAAACACATGAAAAAAATAGCATTAGAATACAGAGAAGACATATTTTTAGGCTGTTGTTTTTTTTTTTCCTTCTGTAAAATAAAACTACCTCCTCCTACCTGTTTCTGCTTCCAAGAAGCTTAAGTGAACATGATTTCCAAACTGTCTTTATGATGACAATAGGGTTCTACTTTATTTCAAACATTTTTCTGGTTGGAATTAACTAGTATATTACCTCCTTTCAGCAATTCAGTTAACAAGTGTGGACATAGTTGTAAATTCAGTAACACATTTTAATATACCATGCTACATTCATCCCCTGTTTATTTATTAAGCACTTTTAAAAGACAGAGAGCCCTGTGCTGGGCACTGAAGATACAGTGCATGTGACACATGATTCTTCTCTTCAGAGAAATTTTACTTTGGGTAGAGAGACAAAAGCAATTCAGAAACTGGCAAGTAAACCTGCAGGCATTGCCACTTTAGGAAAAGGAATGAGATTTAAGTAGAGGGCAAATCACAAGAAAAACTCTGTTTACTATAGATTTGGAAAGCATCTGAAGGCTGACTAGGCCTCAGAGCTACATCACTGGAACTCAAGGAGATCCACAGAGTATGAGCTTGGATTCCAAAACTATGGAGAAAATGAGACCTTTCCCACGGAAACATTCATTTGTCCCTCCCAGGTATTCTTATAACACCCTCAGCATGTCTCTAACTTTGCCATTGTTTCAATATCCTGTAATACTCTGTTTCTCTGCATGTGTACCCAAAAGCATTTTGAGCCTCTATAGGTAAATAACCAATAACTTTCAATTATTGTCTTCTCAGTGCCAAACATAGTGCTACACATATGATAAGTACTGGATTAATGTATATTAGATGAGTTTTTTATGTATAAAAAATTTCAGGAGAAGAGATGGTTTCTTCCCATTATTTTTATTTCTACAAATAGAATACCTGTAGAAATTCAAATCCTTGTTAGCTTTCTAAAAAGCAGCCTTTAGTTGTAGGAAATATGTTGGGCATATAGTCAGTAGACATGAGTTCAAATTCTATTTTTACTACTTTGTATTCTTGGGCTTCTAAGCTCATAACTTAACCTCTCTAAACCTCAGTTTCTAAGATTAAACAAAGAGGTAATCCACGGAATAGATGTCCCTTTCCCTGGAAGGTGTTTAAAACATATTTGCTTTCTATAAAGATAAAAAGTAATGCATGTTGTATCAGACACCCATTGTATCTGCATCACATCCCCTGGCACCATGTGACTTCATCTACCAATGACATGGATGTTTCCATGCAAACTCAGGCCCATCTTGATTGTAACCCAACATAGCAGTCTTTCTTTCTGCAGTTTTCTCCAGGAATGTCTCTGAACTTCCAGAAGCTACTATACAAGCAGAGCCCAGAATTATAGAGTTGAAATTCCCAAGAGAACACCTTCAACCAATGGAAGTAGCACACTAGTAATTAAGAGCTGCATTCTCTCATCAGCCATATGGGCAATTCTAGGAAGAATTCTGTGGACTTCTCAGAGATCCTGACAGACTGCCATTCGTTGGTTACAGAATTGATTTTTTTCTCACTCATCCTGCTTCTTTACTTCTACTTTCTGAGATTTCCTTCCAAATGAACTACTTGTAAACAAATCCTTGTATCAGATTGTTTTGTAGGAAATTCATACTAGGACTTTGAGAGTTATTTTAAATTATATTGCCTTTCAATGATGAAAACATTTAGTATAATTTAGAATGCCAGTATGTCCCAGCAAGTTCTTGCCTTGACTTAAAAACCCACAGACATAGGCTTCTATGTATTCTCCATAAAGTTAAAGAATAAAGGAAGTACATGACAGAACCTTTCAGCATTGCTCCTAATATGTTTTTCAATGACTTTTCTATTTCAGTGTTAAATGATTCAAGAAATAAAGACCTATTCCTTGACCCTTAGGAGAACATGGCAGTTGGGGATCCAGCTATGATAAACTATATAGTCCTTCAGAGTTTGGAGGAATTGGGAAGATACTGCATTTTAAGGAGGCATTTTTCTCTCAGTAGATAAGAATTGATTGCTAAGACTGGTTGTCTTGCATTTATCTGCCTTGGTTAAGCCATTTCCATAATGGAGAATATACTTTGCCTCAGAAATTAACTTAATTTTAAGTAAAATAAAAAGTGGAAAACTACAGAATCTCTGAAGCGAAAATCATTCTTTAAAACTCAAGATTATTTTACGTTGACAGCATATTCTTTAACTTGGTTTAGAACGAGTTAAGTTCAGTGCAGTAAATCAGATGGGAGTTCCTAGTTCATACATAGCATTGTGCCAGGCTCTGGAGAGTCAATGATAAGTAAGATACACTCCCTCTCCTTCTAACTTATACTCCTGCAAAGGAAGAAGAACTTTCAAAAGATAATTTTAAGAACACCATTTCAGTTCTAAATTTTAGGTATGCCCAGTAGGTTAAATAAAGATCCCTGGAGGAAAGGCCATTCCCATAACCAGAAAGTTTAGAGATTTCAGGGTTAAAACATGAACAAAATATTGGATGAGAAGTAAGCCAGAAAATAAAGGTGGAAATGATGCTGTAGAAGAGGGAATCACATGAGCAGAGTCTAAAATGGGGCAGTCTTGGGTCTATAAGGTTCTATGTGAATTTATGGATCATTTCAGCTTGATATAAAATAAAATCCAACTCAACCCGTGGGCAAAATATCTGAGCAGACACTTCACCAATGAAGGCTGGCAAATAGTGAATATGCATATGAAAAGTAGCACAATATTATATGTCATCAGGGAATTTCAAGTTAAAAAATGAGATATCATTTCATTTAGTTTTGGACTAAAATCCAAAACACAGACAACACCAAATACTGACAAGGATGTGAAGCAACAAGAATTTTCATTAATTGCTGATGGGAATGGAAAACAATAGCAACTTTGGAAGACAATTGGGCAGCTTCTTACAGAGCTAAATTTAAATATAGTCTTAATTTATGATTCAGCAATCATGCTACTAGGATTTTACCTAAATGTTTGAAAACTGTCTTAGTCAGTTCTGGTAGCTATAACAAAATAACATAGACTTAGTGGCTTATAAATAACGACACTGATTTCTCACAGTTCTGAAGGCTGAACGTCTGAGATCAGCATGGCAGCATGGTGAGGAGCCTTGGCTGCATTGCAGGCTGCCGACTTGTATCTTCACGTGGTGGAACGAGAGCTAGAGAGCTTCTGGTGTGTCTTTTATAAGGGTATTAATCCACTCTTATGACCTAAATTACCTCCTGAAGTCATTACATTACATTGAGAGTGCGATTTCAACATATAAATGTTGGGGAGTGGGGAAATACAAACATTCAATCCATTGAAAAAAAAATTATATCCACACAAAAATTTACATCCAGACAAAATATTCCACTCAAATATTTACAGTAGCTTTATTCAGAATAGCCAAAAATTGGAAATGACCAAGATATTCTTCAATTACTAACAGATAAACTGTGGTGTGTCAATGAAATGGAATATCATCTGGCAATAAAATGAGTGATCAAATGACAAAAAGACACGGGGGAAATTTGAGTGCATATTGTCTAGTAAAATAAGCCAATCTGAAAAGGTTACAGGGTGTTTGATTCCAATCATAAACATTCTGGAAAAGGGAAAACCATGGAAACAATTAAAAGATCAGTTAATGCCAGGGACAGCATAAGAGTGAAGAGGAGAAGAACAAACTGGTGAAACAGGGGACTTTTAGGACATTCAAACTATTGTGTATGAGTATGGCATTATGCATTTGGCAAAACCCAGGAACTGGCATAACAGAAAGACGGACCTTAATATACACTAAAGACTTTGGTTTAAAATAATATATCAGTATTTGTTCGCCAATTGTAACAAATGGGCTATACCAATGTGAAATGTTAATAATGTGAGAAACTGGGGAGGAGAGAGTGAGTGAGAGAGACAGAGAAAGAGAGAGAAAGAATGGAAACTCTGTATTTTTCTGCTCAATTTTCCGTAAACCTACACATGCTCTAAATATAATTTTCAAAAAGAAAAAAAGACATAAAAACCAACTGAACATATGCTTATTTCTGATTTAAAACCTCGACATGTTGAACTCCGTGTTTGTGGTGAATTTCAAGTGCATGTTTCCAAATCCAGGATTAGACATCTTAAAGTTTGACTATATAAAATATATTTTGTTGAAGATGGTTCATTTTCACTGTGACTAGGATGGTTAAAAAACAAGTACAACCAGCAGCTAGTTCAAAATACTATATATTCTTACATTATCTTTATAGCTAATGTAGACACTATTGTCCCCCTTTAAAAACTGAGGAGGTAGGCTGAATACTGAGGTCAAATGTCAGACAAGCAGCAAACAACAAGTCCAGATCCAAACCTTGTCATTTTCCTTAACTTCCATGCTGCTTTTAATAATACAAACATAAATTAAATAGACATTGGATCAAATAAAATACATATCTTGACCATTTATAAGAAAACCCAAATCTAACTTTTTACTCGACAGACAGCATTACTTGTACCCACGATATGCCAATGAACCGTGTATATCTTCAAATTTTTACTCACTTATTGAGCAATATTCTGCCAAAAAGTTATCATTTACATAATGAAAGCAATAAAGCAACAGACAAATTTTGGGATCAAATACTGTTTGCTAATTCCCCTTGATTTATTTACAGGCATATTTAATGTTTATACTAGAGAGAATTTCCTTCCCAAGCAAGCAGCTATGATTTCAGAATTAGCCAATTGATCACCCTCAGTTCAGCATAAAGCTTGAAATGTAATATATATGTGGATGCTCCAGTTGAGTCTGTGACTCTTCCAGAGGGTACAGGACTTTCTTCCTCCTAGCTTTGGATATACATGACATTTTTTGGTGGAATGAATTGTTCCCTATTCAGAGTGCTGCCCTGCATTACAAAATACCTAACCCTGGGTTTCATGTGTATTTGCTTTTGCATGTACACTTTTAGGGATTGGAAATGGCTTCTCTAGTACAAAAATACAAGCACCTAATAAAAAGTGTTAAAAGAGTTTCACCACTAAACCAAAAATGTAAAAACAGCTGAAAGCAAATAAGAAAACAACACAATAAGGATAATGCTGAGATAGTCCCAAGATAATTAACATTATACTTTCAGGTAAATATGTTATCATACCCAATTTATGAACACTTAAATATTAGTTTATTTTATTTAGTTATTTTTACTATTTTCTTACCTTTTCATGATATTATAAATGTATTATATAAAACAATGTAACTATAGATCTAATTTCCAGGTTACAGATCCTGATATGGACTATATATTTTTATGAATAATACTTAGGTAGTGTAGTGTATGAGTCCTTCTTTCCCCTTTATTGAAGACGGTATAATGATCTATTGTTATTATCATACAAACTGACTCTACCCTATTGTGTAACCTGAGATCCACATTAAGAGTTCTGGGATCTACACTGCACAATCGCCCTCATTTCTTAATAAGAATTCATCAGGTAAATCATTTTACTCTTTGACAACTCAGTCAAACTCAGAGGTATATTTTTTTGTTTATTTGTTTGTTTTTAATACTTTAAGTTCTGGGATACATGTGCAGAACGTGGTGGTTTGTTAAATAGGTATACACATGCCATGATGGTTTGCTGCACCTATCAACCCACCATCTACATTAGGTATTTCTCCTAATGCTATCCCTCCCCTAACCTCCCACCCCCCAACAGGCCCCAGTGTGTGATGTTCTCCCTGTGTCCAAGTGTTGTCACTGTTCAGCTCCCACTTAGGAGGGAGAACATGTGGTGTTTGGTTTTCTGTTCCTGTGTTAGTTTGCTGAGAATGATGATTTACAGCTTTATCCATGTCCTTCCAAAGGACATGAACTCATCCTTTTTTACGACTGCATAGTACTCCATGGTGTATACATGCCACATTTTCTTTATTCAGTCTATCATTGATGGGCATTTGGGTTGGTTCCAACCCTTTGCTGTTGTAAATAATGCTCCAATAAACATACGTGTACATGTGTTTTTGTAGTAGAATGATTTATATTCCTTTGGGTATATACCCAGTAAAGGGATTGCTAGGTCAAATGGTATTTTTGGTTCTAGATCCTTGAGGAATCACCACACTGTCTTCCACAATGGTTGAACTAATTTACACTCCCACCAACAGTGTAAAAGCATTCCTATTTCTCCACATCCTCTCCAGCATCCGTTGTTTCCTGACTTTTTAATGATCGCCATTCTAACTGGCATGAGATGGTATCTCATTGTGGTTTTGATTTGCATTTCTCTAATGACCAGTGATGATGAGCTTTTTTTCATATGTTCATTGGCTGCATAAATGTCTTCTTTTGAGAAGTGTCTGTTCATATCCTTTGTCCCCTTTTTGATGGAGTTGTTTGGTTTTTTCATGAAAATTTGTTTATGTTCCTTGTAGATTCTGAATACTAGCTCTTTGTCAGCTGGATAGATTGCAAAAATGTTCTCCCATTCTGTAGGTTGCCTGTTCACCCTGATGTGCAGAAGCTCTTTAGTTTGATTAGATCTCATTTGTCAATTTTGGCTTTTTTTGCCATTGCTTTTGGTGTTTTAGTCATGAAGTCTTTGCCCATGCCTATGTCCGGAATGGTATTGCCTAGGTTTTCTTCTTGGGTTTTTATGGTTTTAGGTCTTATGTCTTTAATTTATCTTGAGTTAATTTTTGTATAAGGTATAAGGAAGGGGTCCAGTTTCAGTTTTCTGCATATGACTAGCCAGTTTTCACAACACCATTTATTAAATAGGGAATCCTTTCCCCATTGGTTGTCTGTGTCAGGTTTGTCAAAGATCAGATGGTTGTAGATGTGTCGCGCTATTTCTGAGGCCTCTGTTATGTGACATTGCCTAAAGAAAATATCCAGACCTAGTGATACGGTTTGGCTGTGTCCCCATCCAAATCTCACCCTGAATTGTAATAATCCTCATGTGTCCAGTGCAGGGCCAGGTGGAGATAATTGAATCATGGGGGTGGTTTTCCCATACCGTTCTCATGGTAGTAAATAAGTCTTATGAGACCTGATAGTTTTAGAAATGGGATTTCCTCTGCACAAACTCTCTTGCCTACTGCCACGTAAGACTTGACTTTTTTCCTCATTCACCTTCTGCCATGACTGTGAGGCCTACCTAGCCTTGTAGAACTGAGTCAATTAAACCTCTTTCCTTTATAAATTACCCTGTCTCTGGTATGTCTTTATTAGCACCATGAGAACAGACTAATACACCTAGTATTATAACACTCAAAACCCATTTCTAGTCATCTCCTTCCTCTATACCAACCACATTCCTTTAGGAGCCTCCTGAGTCCCTAGTCTTCTGCAGGACCAAGCAACAGCCAATTGCACCACACTTTCTCACACCCAGGGCCCTGTCACTCAGCTTCCAATCATCTCCTCTCGCTCCTTGCACTCTTACCATAAATATTCTCCCTGCTACACACCATCATTTCTTCTTGTCCATTGACTGACTGAATCATCCCAAATCTTTCAACACTCCCTTAAGAAACACTTTCTCTGTTAACGTTCTCCAGTTTGAGATTTTCTTTCCTTCCTTCCTTCCTTTTTCTTTTTCTTTCTTTCTTTCTTGACAGGGTCTTGCTCTGTTGCCCAGACTGGAGTGCAGTAGTCTGATCATGGCTCACTGCAGCCTTGACCTCCTGGGTTAATCAATCCTCCCACATCAGCCTCTCAAGTAGCTGGGACTATAGGCATGCACCACTACCCCTAGATTGTTTTATTCATTTTTTGTAGAGACAGGGTCACACTATGTTGTCCAGGCTGATCTCTAGCTCCGGGGCTCAAGTGATCCTCTCAGCCTCTCAAAGTGCTGGGATTACAGGTGTGAGCCATTGTGCCAGGTAAGATTTATTCTTATAATGTAGACACCTGGGTGCCTTCCCAGAATTCATTCTCTGCTTTTGCCTTCCAAACACCACACCAATTTTGTCCTCTTCAAATTCTGGTTTCTCTGACATTCTTTGACGTTTCAGAGTGAAACTGCTTGAGGCAGAGGCAGAAAAGAAGAGATCTAAACTGGGAAGGTGGTATTCTACATGTGCTTTCTGTATGAGATATGATGAGGTGTGCTGGTCTGGATAACTGGAATCAGGGAGACCTGGGTTCAAATTTCAATTCTTCTGTTTACTAGCTGCATAATCTTTGACAAGTTTACTTTTCTGAGCTCCAGTTTGCTAGTATTACAATGAAAATTACAATGCCACCTCTATAAGATTATCATAAGGCTTAATTTAGTTTAAAGGCCTAGAACAGTCCTAGGCACATAGTAGGTACTTAAAAAAAGATCAACCTTTATACTGAGATATAGATAGTTGTTTTTCTGTGCAGAAAACTGGTAGCATTTTCAGTGAAACCCCAGTGTCCTTCAGCTGTACTTAATCACAACAAATATATTGTGTAGATAGATAGGCAGACAGATATAGACAGAGTAGATGATGACTATCTATCTATCTATGTTTCTATCTACGTATCTATGTATCTGTCTATGTATCTGTCTATCTATCTATCTGTCTGTCTGTCTGTCTATCTATCTGTCTCTGTCTCTCTCTCTCTCTCTCTCTACCTACCTACCTACCTACCTACCTACCTACCTACCTACCTACCTACATGCCTACCTATCTACATACCTCTCTATATCTATCTATCACCAGAAGAAGGAGACAGTAGTAAGCAATGCACTGTAGTAAAAGAAGATCTAGCTCTGGAGTCAGATAGATGGGGTTTGAATCACCATTATCTATGGCACCTACTAGTGAGGTAACCTCAGGCAAGTTACTTAATACTTCTAAATCACATTTACCCTTTTGTAAAATAAAGAAAATAAAATCTCCCAGGATGAGTTGTTTTAAGATTTAAGAGTATAATCTAGGTGAGCTATATATTTTCCCTCTAGGAGCTTCTGTATTTACTAAGTCAGTGTCTGTGTGACCTTATAGAACATAACTACCATGAATAATGATAATCAACTCTGTGTATATTATACATATAAATTTATATATGACATTTATCTCCTTCAGGATGTTACCTATGCCTGAATAGAATATAACACCGTACCATCACTATGCCTATTATATACAAAGGTGGAGGAATGAAGGAAAGGTGAGAAGAGAGAAAGGATAGCAGGGACTGAAGGAAGAATGACTGCATGAAAGATGGCTTTGAAACTCATCACAAAATTGACATATGGCTATGGCTAATGCCTGTTTTCCCCTCAAAATTTGACTGCCAGGTTTTCATAGAAATGTTACTCTAATGCCTTTCACGCTTGGCATCCTGACTCACTGTCAGTTCTCCCGAATGCCAAATGTACCTCTGCATGCTTTTCATTTTTCTTCTTAAAAGATTTGCCACCATTTATAGCATCAACTTCTTCATCTGGGTCATCTGCTTTTTCAATTATGACAAGCTCTTGCTAAATGTGTAAATGAGCTCAGAGTATTCCTTCCCTTACCAGGGCTCTTTATCTTCCTCCCTCTGCCCTGCACTTCGTGCTGGGATTGCTTGTGCCCTGTCTGCATGCCATTTTTCTTTTCAAGCCAGCTGAGCAAGAGACTGAAAGAGCAATTTAACAAGAAGCAGTAAAGTTATTTTTTGATCTATTGGAAACCTTTGACTAAAACTGATAGTAATAATGTTTCCATGAGTAAAGTGCCAAACACATACCAGGCTCCATATTGGGCCTTTTATTTATTTTTATTTATTTATTTATTTTGGGGGACAGGGTCTCCCTCTGTTGCCTAGGCTGTAGTACAGTGGCACAATCATGGCTCACTGCAGCCTTGACCTCCTAGGCTCAGGCAATCCTTTCACTTCAGCCTCCCTAGTAGCTGGGACTACAGATGCTTGTCACCATGCCCAGTTAATTTTTTGTGTTGTTTTGTAATTTTTTTGTAGAGACAGGGTTTCGACATGTTGCCCAGACTGGTTTCCAACTCCGAGGCTCAAACAATCCAGGCGTCTCAGCATCTTAGTGTTGGGATTGCAGGCATGAGCCACCATGCCGGCCTGGACCTTTTATGTATTGTTATAGGCTGAATATATCTTCCTCTCCAATTCACATGTTGATGTCCTAAACCCCAACAATTCGGAATATGTCTGTATTTGGATAAGGCCTTTGTAAGGTAATTAAGGTAAAATAAATTCATATGGGTGGGCCCTAATCCAACATGACTCTTGTCATAAGAAGCGGAGATTAGGTCAGAGGAAACACCATGGGAAGAGAGTGGGAGAATATGACCATCTACAAGCCAAGGAGAGAGGCCTTAGAAGACATGTACATTGCCGACACCTTGATCTTGGATGTGTAGCCGAAGAATTATGAGGAAATAAATTTATGTTGTTTGCCACCTAGCCTGCAGTGCTTTGTATAGCAGCCTTAGCAAATCAATACATATATTTCATTCCCTTGGTTTCCTATGATATCATATAAAGAACAAACAAGTGTCCCCCTTTTATAGGTGAAAATAAAGGCTCAGATATAATGTTTGACAGTGGGCCATCTGAAGTGGAGAAACAACTCACTGATCAATGAGATTCAATAGTTCAAAGAGCAAAAATAATCTGAGGCCAATGGGTTCATAGTTTAATCCTCATATATTAAATGTGTTTTCTATTTCCCCATAGTATTTAGTAAACTGATTTTAATCATCTGTTTTGTGCCAGGAATTGTGATCTGTGCCAAAGATATACAGAGAAATAAAATGTTATTCTTTCTCATAGAAGCTTTTGGTATTTTAGAGAGGATGTAATCAAAATGTTTTTATTCAATAAGTTGTACTGGACATATTAATTACATATATCTTCACCTATTTAATTGTCTCTATATTTGACATGGACATGATTATTTTGTTGGAGATCAAGAAAGGCCTTAGAGATACAATGAAGACTAAACTGAGCCTTAAAACATGAGGATGAAGCAGTCAGAGCAATGGCCAAAAGCATCTCAAATGGAGAGAAGGACATATGTTATTGCTCTGTTACTTATGAGCTGAGTAAATAAGCAGATCACCAGAGGCATGTGAACTGAGGTGCTCCAAGCCATTTCATCCAGACCAGCCCTGCTCCACCTTGTTGTTCACAGAACATAACATGGCTACTGCTTCCAGTACCTGCAAATAGTGGAAACTCTATCAATCCTGATGACAGACTGACTGAACAACTAGCCCATTTATTTTTAATCTGGGCTGATAATACTACTATGCTTTTCCCTTGGGAATGTATATGAAGATAAATGAGGTAATTTATGCCATAAGGTTCTGAACTCCTCAGAAGAAAAATGCTAAAATAAATTCACAGTCATGTTATATATTCTTTAATAAATATTTGATCAGATGTGCATAGAATATCCATGATTCCTTAAAAGATTTAGCGGAAGATAGCCAAGAAAAGACCTATAAGCCTTAAACTGCCAAAATCACAGAAGATGATTTAAGCAATGTAATAAGTAAGTAGGTTGACCTATTTTCCATTTTAAGGGCAGAAATAAAATTACCATTCATATGTAGGGAAAGGCTTCTTTCTGCAGTAACTATAAGCCATATTAACACTGAGTTCTTTTTTTTTTTCAGAAATACCTCTAAGTTGAGCTAAGTAAGTATGAAAGAAACTCAGAAAATACAAAAATACTTTCATAAAAAATAATCATAGTATCATGTCCTTGATTAACAAATTCAGTCCCTTTTATGCTGTCCCTGGTAGGTTGGGGCACATTGTGGACAAAACAAAAGCTCTGAAGACAGAATAATCCAGATTTCACTCCTTTCTCTTCCAATTATAAGCCTTGTAACCTGGACAAGTTACTTAACCTGTCTCACTTATAAAATGAAGATATTAATAGTGGATATGCAGATTTATTATAAGTGCTCAGTAAGATAATTTTTTAAAAAAAACACCTAGTATTCCAGCCAAGGTATGACAGGTGGTTGCCGAAAGTAATATATTGTTCTTACCATAAAATGTGTAGTTTCTAAAACACATGGCAATGGGTTAAATTTTAGCACATGAATAATGACATATTAAAAGTTAATTAAGACTCAGTAACCTCCTAGAGCATAGGTATTGGTACTATCACTATTCGTCAGATGAGGAGACTGGGCTTTAGAGAAGTCAATTGACTTACCAGGGTCAGAATGTTAATAAATTACAGGCACAGGACTTACACCAAGATCAGTATAGAAGGATTGTGCTCTTATAGTTACCACCAGGTGGCCTCTATGGCAAAAGAAAAAAAGTTATTAGAAAAAAATTAACTCAGTTAAAAAATGTAGCCTAGTTCCTGTTAGATGATTATAATGATTATTGATTACATCTCACATTGCACTCACATATTTATATTTTGTAAAGTTTTTATATACAAAACAGCCTTGTGAAGCAGGACTGAAGAAATCAAGTATCTCCATTTTCAAGGTTTAAAAGTGATTCTAAGAAAGTACAGGTTGAGTATCCCTAATCCTAAATGATTAGGACCAGAAGTGTGTCAGATTTTGAAATATTTGCATTATA
This sequence comes from Homo sapiens, assembly GCF_000001405.40. Classification (NCBI taxonomy): domain Eukaryota; kingdom Metazoa; phylum Chordata; class Mammalia; order Primates; family Hominidae; genus Homo; species Homo sapiens. The sequence continues at coordinate 81,570,526 of NC_000011.10, forward strand.
CCATTTGAGCATTCCTAGTGGATAAGCATTTCCTTCAAGCATCTTGTTTGTGCTCAAAAAGCTTTGGATTTTGAAGCATTTTGGAATTTGGATATTTTGACTAGGAATACTCAACCTGTATAAGTAAATCTATCTGATGTTTACATTTATACATACTCAAATAGTGTAGCTTTGCTTTTGACTAACATATTTTTTGCTCCTGATTGCATTTATTTATTATTTTAATAAACAAATAATAAGTATGTTATCTAACATCTTTTAACTTCCAGATTTCTGTGATGAATTAGTTAAGCACCCATTGGGAGAGTATTATACATTCGGTCCCCCTAGAGTTACATGTGGGGAAATGCTGCTGGGTTCTGGAACAAAAGTCCTGGCCTATCACCTCACTTACACTGCTTATTACTCTTATGGACTTAGTAAATTACTTATATATGCTTTGTCACCTGCTCAGCTAAAGATGGGCAAAAATTTTCATATACGTTTATTACTTTATCAGAGTGGATAAAACTTAGTCCTATCACCAGCAGCTATGACCCCACAGCTTAGAAGCTACCTTGGGGTTCTTCTATACTTACTTGGCTCTTTTTTTTTTTTTTTTTTTTCATTCTAGTGCTTTGTATCTACGTTTTAGTGTTCCATCTATCTTTTTGAGTTGATTATCTAGTTGGACTATCTTCATAGTTAGTTTTTGTTTCTCCCCAACAACTCTCTCTCTCTCAGACCTTTCTTTATATGTTCATGCACTGGAGACTTAAGGCACTGCCAATTCCATTTGCAGCCAGTTCTGGCCCTAGGAAAGTATATTGCAGCAAGTTCAGAAGTCTGGGCTCCTTCTGGTCTAGAAGAATGACCTGGACAGAGTATAAGAGACAAAGGAAGTGAAAGATGAAAAAAGAGCAAAATTCAAAAGATAATAGGAGAAACTATGAGAAAAATATGGGTATAGGTTGGTTGTGTTCTCCCCTGGGGAGAAAAGTAAGAGAAAAATTTTCAGGAGGCAAATGTGCTTTCAAAATCTCATGTGACTCAGACACTTTCAACACAAACACCCTTAAAATCACTAACATACTTTGTGGGAACTCTGGAAATACGGATGCTTCGTGTCTTATTCTCAACCATGCCTGTGGTAGCTGGCACAACAGGCTGATAGTAGAATGGGGAGATTTGTTGACAGGGAAACCCATCCCTCCCAAAAAGGTTTTATCACTTAAAAAGGAAATTAATTATTATCAAGATCTAAATATTAAAGCTCTAGGTGTCTCTATTTTCCACTTGTGTAGGTAGAATAGAAGCAGATTCAAACAATTTAGATTCAGATAATCTACTAGTGAAATAAAAGAGTGGAAACATGAAGTCTTACTTAAAAAAAAAAATAAATGGAAATGAATGTAGGTTTTATCTAGTTGTGGGTCAAATTTTGATGAGAAATAAGCTCAGAAATGTGTTGATGTAGCTGGGAAACATCTCCATTTTTATTCAAAATAATTTATGGCCGTCAATACAAGATGTTTTACAATTCTCTAAGATGTACATTTTAATTTTAACACTTCTAAAACTGGGATTCATCTTAAATTGATATGAATTTGCTTAATTGGCAGCATTTTAAAATGATAAATGAGATAGCAGTGCATCTTGAAATTCTTTTAATATCACAGCATCAGTGAAATATGTTAATAACAGTATTGTGAATAAGCATATAAATGGCATAAAAGAGAAACCTTTATAATTAATTAAAAACTTTCAATCAGTAGTTCTCAAACATTGGTTTACATCAGAATCATCTGGAGAGCTTGTTATAACACAAATTGCCACCCTTCCGACTGCTGTCTCCAAAGTTTCAGATTCTAAGTCTACATTTGATGATGATACATCTGATTTGAAAACCATACTTCTAGAAAAACTACTCTAAAACATTTGAGAAAGTGTTTTGTTTTGCTTTTCATTATGTGTTTTTGAATCTAAGTTTCTACTGCAACTAATTTTAAAACTTCACTTAAACTTTAAAGATATCACACCCAGAAAATTATAATTATCTTCTGAATTATTTTCATACTACCACTCTCATCTCATTCAGAACCATCCTGCATATAAATAGAAAAGTTATTATCTGTTAGTAACTCCCTCCTGAAACACAGGCACACACAGGCAGACCCCCGCCCTGCCCCGAACCACACACATCTTAGGCTATAATTGAAGGCTGTTCATAGTAATGCTGTAATCTTCCTCATCTAAGTCTAGTTTCCTAACCAATTTGATTCTAAATTCAGTGCAAAATAATGTTATCAACTAGTTCCCCAATATTTCAACTTCTTTTACAGGCTGCATGGCTTTCTACTTGCTCTTGCTCGCTTAGACGATGAAGGCCCACCTCAGTCCAGCACAGATAGTCTTGCAGATTCAGATATAATGTCATTTTCTGTTTCAATTTTTTTCCTGATGATATAAAATGGTATTTATTTCTTGATTTGAGGTTTAATAACATTAGCTCATAGTGAATATTACATAATCATTTTGTGGGTTTGTTTAGTTCTTCCTTCCTCTAAACTACAATAATTTCATGCTGAGGAAATATCTTACTTTATTTCATTTAGTTTTTACTTTAATGATTAAGATAATTCCCGATACATAGTTGGGACTCAATAAATCATGTTAAAAGGGAGGGTATATGGAATGAAACTGTGTTTTCAATTAAATTAGTACTTTCAGTCTAGCTTGTACACATGTGGGATCGATTACACAGGACATGTATTTGTTGAACACCTATAACATGTTAAGTGCCTCTAAGCACTTTGTAGATTCAAAGGCTAATAATATCTTACCAAAAGGCAAAATTCTGAAGGAGCCCATGGAAATATTCTATCAAGTTAGAACTTCAATATTACTTCCTGTAGTATTCTTCTGTGGTTTAAACAAAGAGCTATCCAAAAAAAAAAAATTTAAATCACACTTACTGGGGCCAGAGGGAAGATGGCCCCTTGCTGACGTGAAAGGAGGCAAGTGCAGTTCAGAAATAAATGACTTTACATAGATACAAGGGCCTCTTGAGGGTGGAGTAGACACTCCAGCTTGAAAGCTCTCAGGCTAAATCAGACAGCAAAAGGTCATGACTCACAAAAGGGAGTCTCTTCTAATATCATTTTTCAACCTTAATAAGAAACTACTTCAAGACTTTTAGTGACTTAGTTTCAAGTATAAATTGAAGAAAGGCAAAGATAATGGTATACTTTAGAAATTTCACTAAACACATACTTGGTTTCAATAACAGTACTCTTAATAAAAAAAAAATTTAAGTATTTTATTTGAAACATACCCAGGAAACAAAAAAAAATATTCTCAGGCGTGTTCTCTAATGTCTATCACAATTCCTAGATACATTTTATATGGCAGAGGCTCCCAAGCAGCAATAGCAAAGAGGAAAGTTCATGGAGATGGAAAATTTGAGACATAGAGTTTTCACCTGATTAACCTTTTAGAAAGTACTGCATGTCTAATTTGTCTCAGACAAAATCTTATTTACTAACGAAAAATTTGAGTTTATCAGCCAGCGTCACACAGCTAACAAGTGGAAGTGTGCATACTCAAATCCACTTCCTCCTGCTACCAATTCCCTTCAACTACCTGCCTCCCCCAACCCCTCTGAATTGCTAAGCACCACTCTTCTGGATGTCTCTAACATTGCTTTAATTATTTTTTAAAACTATGTTTCTGTGACTAGGCACATTCAATATTTCCATTGAAGAAATGTGTCTTTACCAGGTGATATGGTTTGGCTGTATCCCCCCACAAATCTCATCTTAAATTGTAATCCCCATAACCCCCACGTGTGGTGGGTGGGTCTTAGTGAGAGCTAATTGAATCATGGGCTGGTTTCCCCCATGCTGTTCTCATAATAGCAAGTAACTTCTCACAAGATTGGATGGTTTTATAAATGTCTGGCATTTCCCCTGCTGGCATTCATTCTCTCTCCTGCCACCCTGTGAAGGGGTCCCTCCCATGACGATTATAAGTCTCCTGAGACCTCCCCAGACATGTGGAACTGTGAGTCACTTAAATCTCTTTCCTTTATAAACTACCCAGTCTTGGGTAATCTTCATAGTAGTGTGAGAATGGACTAATTAATACACCAGGTTTTCAGAATGTATCTTTCTGAGAATGTTTGTATATATATTTAGAGGCTATACTAATTTTGCATTCAATCATTTAAATCACTGTTCCAAAATCTATATACTTAGTAAACAGGTCTATGCAAAAGAGAATTTTAAAGTCAAATAAATCTGAATATAAAATGGTATTGTTAAAGACTCCACATGGGAAACATATCAAAGTTAGAAAAAAATTAATATTTCTTCATCCTTTCAACTTAGCCCTCCATGCAAAATTAAATGGAACTATAAGTTGTTCCAGGTAAAGCCAATGTTTTATTCTCTTCTAAAGTACAAAGTGAGAAGTGTGAAATAAAAATTAATTCAGCTGAAAAGTCATCACTTCTCTTTGGCTTTCTCACTTAGAAATGATAGATTTTCAGTGGTAAAGTGAATTGCTCTATAATCTTCTGATTGAAAAAGCAATAACATTTGAATTTTAGACATGGTTACTAGAACCATTTAGATTTTCATGAAATTAATATTGTTTTTCATATTGCAAAATATGAAAAAACAAACTTAAAAAGACCAATATTTTCCATTTATGTCAAGAACAGAATAAAATTCAATGAGTTTATTCCTTGTGGGTGCTTTAATCTTCCACAGTAGGAGGACTTTTACTGCACAGCTATGAACATAGTGCAGAGTGGAGGTAAAGATCACTTTCTCTGGTCTCTGATAACCAGGGTTCAAATCTAGTTCTACCACTTCCTGGTTGTGTGACCATTGCAGTAAGATACTAATCGCTCTGTGCCTCAGTTTCCCAATATGTAAAATAGAGATTGATGTAATAGTACCAATCATAGGATTTTAAAAGGTAATCAATTGTTTTTAATATAATTTCAAAGTGTTATATACAAAGCAAAGTACTTGGAATTATCTGATTCAGTATAAGCCCTTAATAACTGTTTTCCATTTTTAGTAGAATTTGCATTTATCTGAAAGTCTGAGATTCTGGTATCATCCAGATCTCTACCTCTGTAACTGTGAAAAAGTTTCTTCATTCATTCAGCAAATGTGAATATATCCTTAACTAGGTAGTGATGATACAATGTTCGACAAAATGCAGTTCCTGACCTCAGAGAGTTTATAAATCTTTTGGAATGGCAGACTAGAATCAGCAACTCACTTTGTGAGCTCTTATTTCTCCATGTATAAAAGAAAGGACGGATCTATATTATTTTAATTTTCTTTCTTCTCTAAAACGCTAAATCTTAAAAACACAGTTTATGTATGGAAAACAGTTAGTTGTAACTTTGTATAGCATCAATCTGATATCTGAGAAGAATTGGAAGCATGAGTGTCAAAATATTTTCAGATATTCCTTTGTATAATTAGTAGAGAATAATCACCACAAAAGAATTTTTCTTCTTTTATGGTTTTCACTTTAAATCCACAATAATTATTGAAATTTAATTAGATCTATCACTAAGATAAAGTTAACAGTGAAATGCATTTATACAAAAGATTAAATTTCACATTATATAAATGAAGATATACTACTATATAAGACTATTATGTTGGTGACAATATTGAATGTGCATTGAAGTTGGACATAATTAATTTAACAAGACTAGTTATAAGACCATTCCAATAATAAAATGAAATTAACAAAAATTAATTATCAGCATGGCAATAGGGTTAGAATAAGGTGGATACAATTGAAATATATTAATTGGATTGTGTTGACCAGACTCAGAAGCTGACTGAATGAGAAGAGTTAAAATAAGGAGGTTTCATAGAATTAATCTCTACCATTTCAGCTTAAATAACTGCCTACATGACAATGTAATTTAGGGATTCCAGAATTTTTTTAGGAATGGAAATTGCTCATTTTAGATACAAAAGATAGAAGTTCTGCATAAATCAATATCCTATAACCATTTGTGTCTGAAATTCAGCAAGAATGTTGTACATTAGACATCAGTAGGAGGGCTCTTTTTTAGTTGTGGAAATTTGAACAGTTGATGACATAGCTAGGCTGGTTTGATACCTATAGTGCATGCTAAGAGAGCCAAAATAACAAAAAGCTCATAAAGTTTATGTTCGTCCTTTTAGAGGCTTCAAGGCTTGATCCCAAGTCAAGCAAGATATTGTACTGAGAGAGAGGCTGAATAGGAGGCTGGATAGGCTGGCTGGAGTCTCAAGTTGAAGAGTCATAGTTAACCATTCTTAAATGTCCTTGGCACTCTGTTAATAACTAACATATACATCATCCTAAACAACAAAAGATTTTCTTCATCCCCATTTTAGTCTCAAGTAGAAAAGAAATTTCTCCAATATGGTCATGCTTGGATTGTATTGATTGAGGGCTTGAAGTGGAAGGAGACTGACAGCAGGTCAATACTGTATCTGTGGTTAGGGGCTGAAGGAGACAGGTGCTGACACACACAGGAGTCATATGTTCGCTCTTTTCTAAAGGACATTTTGAAGGGGAAAAATGCAATTTTCTCAAAGCTCTAGGGGAAAACTTGTCTATTGGAAAGGGAGAAGAAGAAAAGAATAGCTAATAAATACAAAACAAAGAACATTCCTTGGAAATCCTTATGAAAAAGTCAGGTTTCTTGAAGAATTGTGCCTTTCAGCCCTTATAAATGTTCTACAGTGTATGACTGACTGTATCAGATAGAATCTGTAAGGACTAATGCAAATTACATAGCAGCAGCTGTTAAACTGGTGTGGGAGGGAAAGGTCTTCATTCATCATTTACAGCCTTCTCCAAAGTATTAATAAAAGCAGAGAAACAACCCAAGAAATAGAACTTCTGCTTTAAGATGATAATTTCTGCAGGCATATGATTTGAGTAAAGCCTTTATATTGTATAACTCCCATCACCTTTCCCTTATTTACAAAGTAATATACATTCATCACAATATATAATTTAGAAAGAACAGACACAAAATATAAATAACCATAAAAATTAAATATTACTAGATAATCTCACCATATAGAAATAATAGCTGTTAAGATATTGATTTTCACCCTTCCAGTTATATCTTAGAAATAATATAAATTATAAGTGGAATTATATGGTGAATAAAATTTCATATTTTTCCAAACTAAATATATCATGAATATATTTACACATTATTAGATATTTTATATATATTTATTGCAGAACTTTGAATAATACATAATTTTATTCTATGAGCATGTAATCTGTGAAACTAGTTCTTTGTCTTTGGACATTTAAGTTGACTCTCATTTTCCAATTAGTGCTACAATATCCTAACATTATTATTTTTAAGCTGTGCTCATATACATGATTATTTCCTAAAAATAAATTGGTATAAGTTAGGCTTTTTGTCTTACCATCAGTGGCTGTATGGCTATAATTTTTCATGAATTCAAATGTTATCTTTTAATGCTATCTTTACCATACACTAAACCAAAATCTCTACTTTTATCTGCATGTTTCTGCAGTAGGCCGTGGTGCTCTAGATCTTAAATAACATTTTGCCTGTGTGGTATAATTGTCTATACTTATTACATATCTTCAAAATAAATCTTTCCAAATATAAATAATCCAAAATTGATTATTTGAAATGGTGAAAACGTAATTCTGAGAATCAATGATTCTGCTATAAAATTCATTCTTCACATTCATATTTTATAGATTTTAGAAAAGGTTTATAATTTGTCCTCTTCATTGTATTTTATACATTTCCTTGTAAGCTAGTTTCTAAATATCTTTCTGATGCTATTGAGAATAGCATATTTTCTAATTGATTATTTCCAGTATTATTATAACTATTTAAGTGTTCTAATGACTTCAGTTGATTCTCAAGTTTTTTTAGGGAACTACTATCTGAAAAGGATAATTTTATCTCTTCTAGTAAGTATCCTGTGATGGTTAACTTTAGGTGTCAAGTAGACTGGATTAATTAAGGGTTATCTAGATAGCTGGTAAAACATTATTTCTGCCCGTGTCTGTGAGGGTATTTCTGGAGGAGATTGGCTGGTAGTTGGTGGGCTGAGTGGGGAAGATCCACCCTCAACGTGGGCAGGCATGATCTAATCAGGCATAATTTCAGTTGGAAAGGAGAACAGGAGAAGTAATAAAGTTGCATGTCACGGAAATCCTCTTTTTGGAAGAGAGTAGGGGAAGGACTAGAGGTGCTTCAAGACATTGCAGCACAGAGGCCAGTTGGAGTAGTCTCAGTATCCAAGGAAGAAATGAGAAAGAACTGAGCCAGAGGCTTATAAGAATTATTGCAACACAACCTGAAAATTTGGGAACACTGTGATTTCCAATCATACATAAAGAGAAGCGAGAGTTGGATTTTGTTGTTTGCTTACTTCTGATTGCACATTTATTAGTTAATCTGCCCAAATCTATATCTTTGCAATATGAAGTGAGCAAAGTCATATTTTAGAATACCTTTACTGTAGAAGTTTTTAGGGAGTTTATTGTTTGTGTTTTGTTTTCATTATTTTTGCATTAAATATTAACTTAGAAGTTTTAGCAGAAAACAATTCAGAATGGCAAAAGCAGGTAAAAGCAATGAAAAGAAATTAATTGGTAGTATTTATTCCCTTAGATCCCTAACCAACCTGTTTTACAAAATACCTTCAAACATTAAAAGAAAAAAATACACAGTAATGTTCTTCTATACTCAAGTATTTATATCTGAATGGATATTCTTCCACCTTCTCCATCCAGATAGCCACCTCCAAATCATCATGTATATATGTCTGTTTATAATTTTTCTAAAACACAGTTCTGCTAAGGTGAATGTATTTGCTCATAAATCTGCAAAATCCCCCCTTTGTCTATGCAGTCGAATCTAAACTACACAGCCTGTTTAATCTGTCTGTAATCCAATTTTTCAACCTCATTTCCTCATGAGACTTTTTACTGCCCCAGGACTTGACAAACAATCCTTAGTTCTCTCTGCCCTTCTTTGTCTTTCTCATTTCCACGCCTCTGTTCACACAAGAAATGTCTTTCTCTTTATTTTCCCAGCCAATAAAGTCCACTGAGCTGATGATTTTTCCATGAATTCTTTCTTGATTTAGTTGTTCAAAAGTAAACTCTCCCTCCACTGAGTTTACATATATTACTTTCTGTATATCACTTAAGTATTTTTTATATTTCAGCTTTAGTTTTCTTTTACACATGTTCTTCCTATCCTACAACATGGAAAGGAATACAAAGAAAAAGAAAAAGGAATAAAAGGAAAATACATACGGCTGAGCTTATTTAATTCTCAAAAATAAAAATAATATAAAGGTGTAAAATCATTACCCCAATTTACAGATAAGGAAACTTAAATATAAATCAGTGAAATAATCTGGCCAGGGTCTTGTAACTAAAAATTAATAAATTCAAACCTGAAATCAGCAATGCCCAAATCTATTATATTACACTATTTTACCTCTGGAAAATGGATATAAAATTGCTATACAGGCTTAAAGAGCTATCCAAACTGAACTCTCACCAGTATTTTTATCATTTCCATTTTCATCTCCATTGCTCTTTACCTCCATCCACTTTACTTCCCCACCCTCCATTTCTCCCTTTACTTTTCTGTAGTTGAACATGGATCTTTTAAGACCATCATCTTTTCTTTCCCAACCATTATAGGCTGCCTTGAGTTTAAACTCTGAGGCATACACATGAAAATATTTTCTTTCTCCACCCCATTTACAGACTGACCACGTATTCTAATGCTGTTGCAGACTTGGCAGGATTAGACATCCAACTGGAGCCTAAGTATTGCTGGAATTCTCAGAGGGACACATTGCTTAGGTCCCGTGAAGACTCTGATCAGAATAGCACTCTGTGTGAGCAACAGCCCCTTCCCTTTACGGGTGAGCAATGGTTCTTTAGTTCCTGGAATGTTTGTCCTTCACATTTCTTTTTATTTCTTGTGAGATCATTCTGTCACTTGATTTTCCTTTTCTTTGTTTTTTCTTTATTCCTCCAACTTGTATGTCTCCTCTGCCACCTCTTGTATCTGCCATTCATTCACCAACCAGATTTGTTGGTTCATCCCTATTCTTGTTCCTATTTGTTAAACTAAGGCAAGGACACGCATTCAACTGATCTTCAATAACTTCCTAACATGTTCTTCTCTCTAAATTAATTTTCTAACAGTTCTGATAATACAGAGAAGAGTTTTTACATTTTCTGAATGAATATATATTTATTTGTGTGTTTGTTTTTCTTCTACTGCTCACAGGAAGCATTGAATTTATCTGATGGAAACCTTGTTGTAAATTTCTCTGATATTGTACATCTTGCCAGTATAAGCACTACTCCATGCTCTATGATGTTCCTATTGGGGCTTTAAGGTAGATGGATCTGGGCTAAATTCCCATTCCTTATTGTGAAGTTTGAAATAATAACTGATGGCAGTTTCCTTCTCTCTTTCTAGAATAACTTACTTTAATCAGATGGGTAAATGCCCAGGGTACTGTAAGAGGAGCAAGATCCATCACCAAAAAACAAAGCCATAAGCTCACTGGTGTACTTACCTTCATCCCCCACTAGAGAAAGAGATGCATAAAAGTGACATGCTTAAGAGCAAGGTTTCCGATGACATTACTAGATTTTAGTCTTGCACCTGCTGCTGGCTAGCTCTGTGAACTTGAACAAGATATTGTATTAAATAGAGATAATAATGACTACCTTAAGCATTAAATGCAATACAGTGGGTAAAATTCCTTGTGTATATAATGTTCAATCCATGTTTTCTTGGTGTAACATGAACTTTTAACAGATAGAGATGAGTTCCTTATTTACTTTGCTAGTGCCTGGCACATATAGATTTTCGATGACGTGATATGATGGAAAGGACAAAAAATAGAGAAGGAAAGGAAAGAGAATGAAATTATCAGATCAGACATCATAATAAATATACCGCAGAACTTAAATGCTAGGTTAAGAAATTGCAGCCTTATTCTGTAAACGATATATAATTTTTCCCATTGTAGTTACTAGGCTCTCATCCGCAGCAACCATAGGAAAAGCTCACTTTATACCATGAGCTTTGGGAAGTTCACACTTTAGTCATACTGTCCTTACTTAAATAAATTAATGGGATGTAGAAGAGCCATAAGCAGGGGCAGATAATCAATTGCTACACATCCAAATCCATATCAGTTAATACGAACCATTATATGAGTTTCACTCACTACATTCTTAACAATATATTTTTTTTCTTTAGCCCACATTTACTGTCCCTGTTTTTGTATCTACCTCCTATAATACTCACATAACTTTTATTCCATGCCCATATGGTGGGCCTTCTATTGCTACATTAAGACACTGCTTAATCCTGCAGGCCTTCCTCAGGGCTCATGCTGCTCCCTTCAACTGGATTGTTTCTTTTATTCTTGTGCATATAGACACAGAGTGAAAAATAAAAGTAAACACAGATGTTTGCTGAGTTATTTCTATGTGTCAGGCATACAGCTGAGCTCCTGATGCCTCATTTGGTTTTACACTTCACAACAACCTATGCAGCACCTATAACTGTTATAATCATTTTACACTTGGAACAACCAAGGCAAAGAGACATGTACCAACTTTCTTAAAAACATAGAATTTGTTGTTATGATTGGAGTCACTGTTCTGCCTGACACTATTTAATGAAAATTAATAGATTAAATATCCAGGTTCTCATTATACTTCCACTCTTTATTCTTTGTGTCTATATCTCTCTTCATGTTTTGGATAGCTCTCCTGATGTTTTTACATGTCTCTCTTCATTTGTTTTGAAAATTTGTTTCAATGATATATAGCACTGAATCATAGTTCATATGGATGATACCAGGATGAGAATACCTCCCAAATATAATGTTCCTTTCAAATGCAATGTTGGCATCTTAGTCTTTCTTTGGTTCCTAATCTGTGCCGAATCAGTTGCTGAAGATACAGCAGTGAACAAGTCACAAGAATACCCCATCTAGGAGGTGAGAAAGATAATAAACAGACAACTGCAATGCTATTAATATATAGAACATAGTACGGTGAAGATACACAGAATGTGATGGGGGCACACAGAGAAGGAAGTTGTTTACTGGGGCAGGGGTATCCAGGAAAGACTTTTCTAAGAAAATCAACATCTGAGCTTAGCTTTAAAAACTATCCAGGCAAAAGAATGTAGAGGAACTTATAAGCCAATGAACAATCTCAGTAAGGGTCTAGAGATGATAGACCATGACAGAAGCTACAAATGGTCCCTGATTCTTGGGGTGAATGATTTGAAGGAGACATTAATAAGAGGTAAGGCAAGATAGGCAGGCAAAGCCTTCTAATAAGTAAATGGCCTTTAATAACAGGTTAAGAAAGCCAGACTTTCTCCTGATTGCATTAAGGATTATTATTTGGGAACTAGTCATCAGAAACAAGTATGAAGTAAAATATATAATACAGGCAATAACTCACCAGTACAAGCATGAATATGCAAGCAAGCTGAAATGGTCTATTGGTAATCTGAATTATGAAATATTTTAAATTTATTCCTTCTGGTTTATCTGAAAGTGAATCTAGTCTCACTAAGTTTTTTGACAGCATTTAAAGTGTTAAGATTTTTCAATATATTTTAAATATATATAATAAGTAATATGATCAATAAATTGGAAGGTTAGAGGCCCGAGTTCCAGTTCTTGATTTAGCACTAACAAATTATGCATCCTTGCAAAGGTCATATAACTTCTAGTGGTGTCAGTTTCTATAAAAGGGAGATACGTAACTAATTTAACACTAAAGTAATTTTCAACACTGTGATTATGAATACTTATACCTGAATAATATAATCTGTGGATTTGACCTTTTGTTTGTTTGTAACTGAATGCTTTCAAATTGCTCAAGGAATTGAGAACTTATTTTTAACTAATCTGGATCAGTCACTTTGATCAAATCATCAAAATCTCTTTACCTCATCATTTTATTTGCCAATTGGACTTAATGGCAATATACACTAATTAATAATGCGAATCAATTTCAACCTAAAAATTCTGTGTACATATGACAATTTAAGGATTAAGACCATACTGTCTCTTCTCCCTTCTCAGTCTATTTGATTTTTTTCTGGCATCACCATTGTTAATAATATTTATTAGAACCTAAATATTATTTTTATACTCATATATTTATGTTATATATTTCTCACCTTGGAAACATATTTTAACAAGAGATTGCTGAATCAAACTGGGGCTTATAATTTTCATAAATGTCAACATTCATTCTCATGGAAAAAATAAATAATTAAGTCAAGATTCTACATACTGTACCAGAAAGAGAATAAGATGATTAGATCTTAAGCCTATTAAACTTGGCTAGATAATTAATTTTCCCAAAGAAGATCCAATTTTATTTATATTCTCACAAACAGCCACATTTTCCAAGAGTTTAGATTTAATTGATAACCAACGTTTGGTGATTTAGAAGAGGACATCCATTTCAAGCACTTCTTAGGACACATTCTAAGGCCACTTTTCACTGATGCACAATCCTGCCAACCTTTACTCTTTGCAGTGAAAGTTATAATGTTATTTTTTTCTTCTCCATGAGTTTAACATAGACAAAGTATTTTTAATATTCTTTTACCCAGTTTTGGTTTAAAAATCATTGATCTTATCTCATCGCTGATCAGTTTTATTCTCAAGGTAATTAATGCACCTGGGATATTGTCATTAAAAATAAATTGTTAACATGGAGATGAGTGAAACAAGAAAATAGATTCACCAAAATCATTTTTAAGTAATTTTTAAAAAATATCAGTGTTAATAAAAATTTGAAATTGATGAAGTGCTTCTATACAATAACAACTCCCACAGAAGAGTATAGAACATGTACATAAATTGTTGTTATACAATAGAAACCATCTATTCAGGTAGTAGAATCAATTATTTCACATAGATACAAAGTTCTTCTTAACAGGAACTATAATATTACTAAAAATAATAAATCAGGGTTTTTTTTTAATTATTTATTTATTTTTGAGATAGATCGTGCTCTGTTGCCCAGGCTAGAGTGCAGTGGCATGATTTTGGCTCACTGCAATTTCTGCCTCCTGGGTTCAAGTGATTCTCCTGCTTCAGCCTCCCGAGTAGCTGGGATTACAGGCACGTACCACCATGCCCAGCTAATTTTTTGTATTTTTAGTAGAGACAGGGTTTCACCATGTTGGCCAGGCTGGTCTCGAACACCTGACCTCAGGTGATCCACCTGCCTCAGCCTCCCAAAGTGCTGGGATTACAGGCATGAGCCACCGCGCCCAGCCAGTAAATCAGTTTTAAACATATATTGAGCACCTATACTATTTATACACTAGCTATTCAGGTGTATTATCTCTAATCATCATGCAGCCCTATATGGTATGTATTTTCATGCTTGCACTATAGGTGAGTAAACTGAGATAAAATGTGATTAAAGTACTTGTTCAGAGCCACACAGTTAAGAAGTGAAATTGCCAGACTTAAAGCCCAATTCTACTCATCTCCAAAGCCTATCACTTTTTATTACCATCTGGCCCCTCCCCTTTGATGGATTATCCTATAATGTCTAAAAATTAAAGCATCTTTATTATGTTGTCATTGTTACTTCAACTTCTCCACTCTAGCCATGATGCCCAAATTACCAGTATCAGGCCCAGCCTCTTCTATTAGAGATGATAATTTTTTTTCATGCTTGAATTCTCATAAATCTGACAACCGACCTAGGTTGGCCAGTCCAAAGATAGCCCCAGATTCAACAAACTATTAGTGTCTCTGTGACTTAAGAAATTAGTGTGGCCACTCATGTTTCACTTTTATTTTGTGCTTGTAAGTTTTGGGCTTCTTTAGTATCTTTTGAGTGAAAAGTGACAAAGAGCGGAGCTCTTTAACAGAATCTCTAGGCTACAATAACTCCCTGCCCATATATATAACATTGTGAGAACTGGAATGGGTACAAGAGCTTTGCACAACATATGGCATATATTTTCCATAGAATGAAAGATATGCAGCATTCTGACTTCTCAGAAGTGGTTGTGGAGAGTCTGTGACATTTATGAAACTGGCTATTGCCTAAATTCATTGTTGCATTGTTAGTCATATCCTCATATATGCACTTATATTTTGGGCATCACAAACATGACACACAGGTACATACACTACATAGATTACACTCAGCAACCAATATCGGCAGCTTAATGTGCAAGGCAAGGTTAATTATATTAAAATGTGGTCCATATCCAGTTCTGTATAAAGGTAAATGGGCCATTTAGCCCATTTTCTAGCTCTATCCTTAATAAGGTATTTTAATTTGGGCAAACAAAATATCGTCCCTGAACCTATCATGTTGTGTGTCACATGGGCATAATACTGCTGTCCATGGTATGTCTGGTGTGAAAACTAAAGAAGAATATATAGAAAGAGCATATGGCACATATATAATACAGTCCAGTGACGAATACGCACCAGTAAATAAATGAGTAAAATGTGTGGTAGAATTAAGCTGTTGGGTGCCTGCTGTACCATGGCCTAGGCTGGGCACTGAAGACTGACACATCTTGTGATGAATACAGGCAGTGATTTTCATAAAATGATCATTACTGGAGAAGCTGACACCATGGACTTAAAAGCACAGGGTATGTGTACAGGGAGCAGAGAATAAAAATAACTTAAATTTTCAGAGTATGAAGAATAAGGTAAAATATATCAAGCAATAAATGTAGAAAAAGGGCAAACCTCAGTTTCTGAGGGCATTTTAGTGTATGCTAAAACAAAGTCAGCTTACCTGTTGTTTTCCTCTTTTATCCCTCACATGCCATAGTATGCTTATGTTCAGAAGTCACTTATAAATATTATTGAAATAAAATATTGTAATTATCCAAACTCTAACTACGAATGCATTTTTAAACATAGAATATTTTTCCTTATGACATTAAACACATTTAAGAAACAGATATTAAAAGCTACTATGTGCAGAATATTCCATGAAATCCTCAAACAAATGATGCAGACTGAAAAAGACACTGGAAAGCTGACTGCTAAAAAGGAAACATTAAGTGTTTAGAACATTAAACAGGGAATCAAAAGAGGGACGGTTTAGTTCTAGCTTGGTCCCATAAAGGGTGATATTAGCTACAAAATTGTGAATAAGTTGCTTTACTTTTGAGGCTACTTGTTCTTTTTAAAATAGAAATACAAATTCTTAATTTGTCAGGGTTATTTTAATTTGTAACTACGACAAGGATGTGAGAGTCCTTACTACAGATTAAAGCTCATATACTTAGAAAAACAATGTAGTTATCAATAGAAAAATGACATAGTTATTAAACACCTGCTCTGAGCTGTTGAAGCATCTTACATACCTTACCTCATTTAACTATCGCGCGCGCGCGCGTGCACACACACACACACACACACACACACAAACTCTAGGAAGTAGATATTATTAATATTATTATTATTATCCTAATTTTAAAGACGTGAGAAAGAGATGCTCAAAGAGTTTAAACAACATCTCCAAAATTCACATAGGCAAGATGTCATGGAGTTATGATTCAAGCCCAGAAAATATGATTTCATTATATTAAAATCATCTCATCTTATATCTCACAGTCTGTCTCCTTCTCTACTTTGTACAAACTGAAAATGCGACAAGCCTACTTACAAAACCAGGAGCAGCTGAAAGCAAGTAAGGTGAAATGACAAAAATACACATTCAATATCAGCATCATGAAGAATACAGTTGGGTAAGAAACAAAATATGCCAGAATTTTGTTAACTCTTGACACCACCAGGAAATGTTACCTGGACAGATGGTATCCCAGGCCTCCAAGGAGCATTGACATAATGAAAAAGATGAAAGGGAAGAGAAGGCAGGCAAGCATTCATCAGCCAGAGTGGACTCTAAGACTCGCTTGGCCTGCATGCATCAAGAACAGGTATGCAAGCAAAGAGAACCACCCTGTAAGGACAGAAAGGCCCAGCACACCTGATGAGAAGAGAGGAAAGGGCCCAGGAGGCAAAGGCACCAAGAAAGGACACCAAAAGAGCCTCAGAGAGGGCTAAGGGAGGAAGAGGACTTTAATTATCCTATTACAGGCCATTGGAAAGGCCTCTGAAAATGAGGGCTCAGCTTGCTGCATGTGGCTATGGAAAAACTTCATGCATTCAAACTGTATGTCGCTCAGGAAGGGAGTTTTGTTCTCTACAGGGCTTTTTACTGTGGGGACTAAGAAAATACGTTTTATCAAAATAGGTTTGTAGGACATATTTGATTTATTCTGTGACAGTTCCAAAACTAATTCTTGCAGGCCAAATGAAAAGAAAGTAGGGAAGGAAGGAAGAAAGGAAGGGAGGAGGGGAGAGAGGGAGGGAGGGAGGGAGGGAAAAGATGAAAAACTGCAGGAGAAAATAATGTGACAGGACAATAACTAAAAATATCTTCCTCTATGACAAATAATTGAAGCTAAAAACAGGTTTAAGAAAAAAAGTAGAGCATTTAGCTCTAGGGTAGAAAAATCATGTCAAATCTAGATTATGATCTGAGTCAGTGTCAATGCCTGACATGCGTAAACCTCCACTTCCAACCCTCTTCCCTGTGTAGGTCCTAGCGCCTCAGGAATTCCTCTGACTCTACAATAACCCTTCCATTCTCAGTCATGTGGGCATGTAACAGTATGATAAAAGTCAAAAAGTCCTGGGGTTTTTCATTCAATTTCTTAAAAGATACTAGCAACACCCAGAAATGAATGACTCATTGGATTTAGCAAAAGTGTTAAAAATACAAGTGTTTAAAGTGCCATGCTCAGATAGATCAGGAAAACAGGAGTATTTCTGTGACTATAAATATGGGCTAGGTACTACTGTGTATCTGAATTCAAATCCTTGCTTAGCTACTTTTTAGTTTTGTCAAAGATTGACACATTAATTACGCTCTCTGCGCTTCAGTTTATTTATCTGTGATGATATGCTACCCCATGTTTTTGTGCAGATTAAGTTACATTTCATGAACTTTTTCCTTTTTTTTTTTTTTCCTGTACCTGCTAAAATAGGTATCCAAGTATTGTTAGCTCTCTTTCTAGGAACAGGGCATGGTGGCTCACACCTGTAATCTCAGCCTCTTCTGAGGCTGGGGTGGGAGAATCATTTGAGCCCGTCACTTTGAGGCTGCAGTGAGCTATGACTGTGCCACTGCACTCCAGCCTAACTATAGAATACTAATTTTAGTGTTCTTTGCACTGAACTCCAATGCTGTTTCTGACTGAAACCTCTCCTCATGGCTCTCTAATAAATTGTACTCAGAATTCTTTTTTTTTTATTTTTAATTATTTTTTGAGACAAGGTCTCACTCTGTTGCCCAGGCTAGAGTGCAGTGGTATGAATGTGGTTCACTGCAGCCTCAGTCTCCTGGGCTCTAGGGATCCTCCTGCCTCAGCTTCCAATGTAGTTGGGACCACCAGGCGCATGCCACCATGCCAGCTAATTTTTTTTATTTTTTTTATTTTTTGGAGAGATGAGGGGTCACTTTGTTGCCTAGGCTGGTCTTGAACTTCTGGGCTCAAGCAATCCTCCTGCCTCAGCCTCCCAAAGTGCTGGCCTTAGAGGCATGAGTCACGCACCCAGCTTCATAATCCATTTTAAATAAATACATGTTTGAAAGATAGATATGAAATATTGTTTTAAAAATACCAAATAATCCTTTTCAATTGTACAGAGTTGTGGTATATGTGTGTGTGTGCATGTGTGTGTGTCTTTTTGCCTCTTTTTTCACTACAAAACCACAAAATGAGATATTCCATAACTGTGACACTAAGGTAGAACCTGATTTGAGTAATAAAATAATCAAATATTACTGTCCATTAGAATACATTTACAGAGGCAAAGAAAGAGAAAACAGATATTTTAAGGGAGAAAAAAGACACAAGACATAAAACTTGTTTTGCCAGATTATTCAATTTCATACCAGTCCAGTTTATGAATTAATGTTTCATAGATTTTGCAAAAGCTCTTAGCCTGCTTCTCTAAAACCATAGGTTTAGAGATTGGAAATGATCTGTAGCGATGCCTTTGTCATACATACAACATTTATTTCATTAATAGGAGATGTTATTTTGGGGATTTATTGACTTTGTTTGGGTTCTTTAAACCTTTTTTATTAATCTTTTTTTAAAACGTGTTTATGAACCTGTAGAGAATCTACATCTCCCCTGAGATTATTTGCAAAATGGTCTGTGAAAATCCATGTTTGCATTTTCTAAGAAAAGGACCAGGGGGTTTTATAAGATTCTTTAAGAAGCATGTGAACTTGTTAAGAAAAACATTGGCTAATTCAACATAACAAATGCTAATTTATTTTCAAATATTTTTTGAAGTTTGGTGTTTGACATTTTTGTGTTCCTACTATGTATTAGGTACAACTGTTTTGTTTGTCTTGTATTCATTGTTTTGGGATCCCTCAGTTAAACTGCGGTCTCAGTACCAGAGCAGCTAGGAAACCTTCCCTAAGGGGAAATGAAAGGGAGCTGGACATGGATACTTACAGTGCACCTTTGATGGGATACTTATTTTATCTGGCAGATGGCTTAATGCCTTGTCATGCAACCCTCACACGGCAAATATCCTTAAGGCTCCTCTCTGATCTGTGTCCAGTTTGTGCCTGCCTGACCACAGCTCAAGGCACTGGAAACTTGACTTTTTTTCCCCATGTCCCAGAAAGAACTTGGCCTGGGGAAGCCCCTGGATCATCAGATGGAAGGCACAAATTCCATACACCACAACAATAGGAAACAAATTCAAAGATTTTTACTTACAGATCCTAAGCAAGGAGTTCACAATGAGTTGGGAAGGTAGACCTCTGTCCTGGGTCACACAAGGGAAGAATGAAGGATCGAGTAGAGAGACAAGAACACATGAATACTAACAGTATATTTAAGGAAATAGAGAGGACCCTTTAAAATTAATGGGCAAATGCCTAAATGATCCATGTAAAGCAGAGATCCTTGTCTGCTAGGCAGGAGAGTGCTTCTAAGTTCTTATTTATTTGGGGCCACTGGCTTGAGCCACTTGGGTATGGTGTAGAATTGCAAACTGAATCAAGGCTGACTGAGCCCTTCTTCTAGTATGAGAAAGTTAAACCTGTATTCAAAATGGATGCAACGTGTCTTAGTCTATTTTGTGTTGCTATACAGGAATACCCAAGGCTAGGTAATTTATAAAGTAAAAAGGGTTATTTGGCTCATGATTCTGATAGCTGAAAAATCCAATGAACATCTATAGTTGGTGAGGGCTTCAGGTTGTTTCCACTCATGGTAGAAGGTGAAGGGAGGCCCCTGTGTACAGATCACATAGTGAAAGATGAAGTAAGAGAGAGGAGGGATGGGCCAGGCTCTTTTCAACAACCTACTCTTGGTTAAGGCTGTGGTGAGCTGTGATTGCACCACTGCACTCCAGCCCAAGTGATAGAGTGAGACCCTGTCTCAAAACAAACAGCAACAACAACAAAACAATAATAACAATAATTTAAAAACTGGCTCTGGCAGGAACGAATAGAATGAAAACTTTCGCCATAGGGAGGGCATTCACCTATATGCGATCCAAACACTTCCCATTAGACCCCATCTCCAACAATGGGGATCAAATTTCAACGTGAGGTTTGTAGGGGGCAGATATCCAAAACATAGCATGGAGGCAATATGAAATTTTAAGAATTCACTATATAACACAGTAAGTAAAAATATTGGCAATATCTATTTGAAAATTTGCCTATTTAGAAAATACCACAACATAAGATGGAAAGAAAAAAAACTGGATGGACACTGGTCTTTTCCCGTTGAGGTAAGCCGAAATTTTATTTTATAATAATGAAATGATACAATGGATATAGCTTGATGTGTCACGTGGAGAGGTATTGAATTATGTTGCATCAGCTATGTAACCACTTTTGGCGTAATATCCAGAAAATAGAAGAAACAAAATGTTTATGAGTCTTCCTATACAACTTTAATAAAGCAACATCTAGCAAAGGTACCTAACTTGACAACAGATACTAAAGCCTTTGCACTAAAATTCACAGGGTAAGTAAATCAAACATTCTAGACATGAGAAATATAAAATCAATTAAAGACAAACTGATGCCTTAATAGATTCTGCCATTGATATCAACCTACAAAAAAATGGTAGAACTCCTTACAGAGTTTCTCCAAAGTCCAATTGATGTCATCATATGTAAGTTTAGTTGACATCCAGCAGCATTTTAATTGGCTATATTCTTTATTTCTAAAGGGCAATTTTATGCACGATATCTAGGTATTCTGTGTTTGCTATTGCATTGACCTTTAGAGATTCTTAGAAATAGTTTTTGAGGTTGTATTTCATTTATTCCAGATCAAAAATAGCTTATTAAATTGCTTCCTTTGAGATAATAACCATTTATAGAGAAGTGTATATGGACCTACTAAGGCTGTGTTAATTATATCCAAAGCAATTACCAATACTATTGAACTTAGGTCATGGACTTTTAGTTTGTTCACTTAGTTTTAGCTTTTCATTGTGTTCCCTTGTCTTGCTTCATAAATATAAAATGACCAATTATGGTGGGAATATTTAATTGGCAAACAATGTTTAAAATAGCAAATGAAATAAAATTATTTTTATAAAGGGTATGGAGATCTCATGGGAGTTTGTTTGGAATCTATGTTGTGGCAGGTCTTTATCTTATTTTCACCTTAAAAAAATCATTCATGATTGGGAGAAAATCAAGCCTTATTAAAAAGTGCAGCAACTTGGAAAGATCACACAAGTATTTAGTGATGAATCTGGTTTAAATCCAGTGCCATGGGTTCCATAAAGTGTTTTTTTGTTTGTTTTTTCTCTTATTTAGTAATATCACCTCAGCAAAGTATCATTGCCTACTACCAAACTGTGTATTTCCTACTACCAAACTATGAAATCAGATTGTCTTATGATTTGAAATAATCAGTGCATATTATTAATTAGCCCCGTAGTAAAATTTAGACAAAAATAATTAACTCATGAAAAGCCTTTAAAGATAAGGTCTCTGACCTTCAAGGTATCAGCATATTCCTCCCTGAATTGTCTCAGCTGCTAAAGGATAGTTGAAACTTTGCTAATACATGGCTGGAGAGTGTGTAAAGTCTGCACTGATGACAAGATAGGAAAACAGGCTTCTGAGCCAGATAAAAAGATTTGGTAGTACTGGTTCCTTCAGTACTAATTGTATGAAGTCGGGTAAATCATTTAACTTATTTAAATTTTCTTATTTATACATTTAAGGTAATAACATTACCTACATTTTCAAGGTTTTGTTCTAGTATGCATAAACCTTGTACCACAAGCTGGAATATGGTAATTACTAAAAATAAACAAACAAACAAAAAACTAGTATGTGAAAGAATTTCTTCATTTTAAAAGGACAAAAACTCAAACCATCTTAATGTAAAAGTAAACCTGTGGCATGTATAACTAGGAATTCCAAAGAGCAGTACTAGCTTTAGGCATGGATGGATCCAGGGGTTTAAATAATACATTTAAACAGAATTCTGCTTTTCCCTCTCTCAGATCTGTATGCGTCTGCCTGGGCTTTGTAGACAAGCTCCTTCTATGGCTCTTTAATATGGCTATTATGAGGCTGAATCTACCAATGGCCCTCTACTACTTCACAATTCCAGAGAGAGTATGAACAAGCCAACATAACGGAGACCTGAGTGGTCTCGCTTAAGTTGCATGTTACGACTGCAATAATCACTGGCTAGAGAGATGAAGCTCTGATTAGCCAGTCTGAGCCATGCACCCCACCCATAAGCTCCTGCAGTCAAAGCTAGTGGGGTAATAGTATGAAAAAAAGAGAAAAGAATGCTAGGTAAACACATAGATACACACACACACACACACACACCACCACCACCACCACCACCACCACCACCACCACAACAACAATAAATATCCAGCATAGACGTCTATTATCCTATGCCTTTGCTTTTTTGGAACTAAATATAATTTGCAGTTAATTTTATTCTAGGCTGGCCAAATCTGTGCATAGGCATTAGGTACTTAATTCTTGTTCATTAATGGACTGTTCATTCCATGGGAAAATATTTGTCTAGTGTAAATTAATACCATTCTAATGTAAACATTAGTCTAAGGGAAAATTAATTCTTCTGGAAAGTAAAATAGCATTAGAAAATAATTTTAAAAACATATTTACTTTCAACTTTTAATTAGTAGCTTTCTTAATTATGAAAAAAATTCCTAACCTCTTTGTCCACTTTTGCCATCTATAAAATGGGTATAGTTTTGCATATAAAAGTATATAGAGTAATGTACCAAAAGAGTTTAACAAATCCCCTGTCTTTAGTAAACTTTTCACAAACAGCAGCTTAATTGTTAATGACATGATGTATTAAGAGACACTAGATAAATTACAGAGCATCAATATATTTTTCAAAGTTGTTTTAAAAAATATGTTTCAGCTACACATTATTAGTGTCTCTTAGAACCTTTATGAACCCTGGTTTCTTCATCTTTGTAACTTGTGGCAATGATAACACCTGTTTTATAATGAAATCAACAGAAAGTATCCTTGTCTTGCTCTACACATAATTATTTGAGATCTTACAGATAATTATTCAGCTTCTACAAATGTACAACAAACTAGATTAGAAACTGAAAACGCAAATAAAAAATGGTCCTTGCTTTTGAGTAAATTAAAGGATGACAGGTAAGACGGTGAGAATAACTATTCATTTTTATTTGTTATTTTGGCTTCAGAGATGCATACTTCCTGAGGGTACCACCTGTTGTTTAATCTTAATAACATGAAAATAAATTAGAAAACACAGGACATTATTCTCTGAATTAAAATATCAACAAATATCTTCTTACTTAATGAAACTGATCGTAAATTATGATATATTAAATGCCTGGTATACATAAAAGAAAGTTTAAAGTTTAGAGATATATAATGGAAGAAAGTACACATTCCTGCATATATATCAGAGAATACACTTTGGATTTTTTGTTGTTGTTGTTAAAGAAAGGCCTTACTCACAATTGCTAGGTGGGTTGGAGGTAGAGAAAAAAATGAAATAACTAAGATAGGGTAAATGAGTAGCCATATTAGTGTTAACTCACAACCAGGGGATGGAATTATTTATGTTATTGTGTAGATGAAATGGGTTAAACAAATAACTTTTGAATGTGGGGACCAATCCTGCTGCTTAAAGAGGTGGAACAGAAGCAGTGACTTATGGAAGCTCATCCAAAAAACCAAGACCAAGTGTGTAAAGGACAACTCTGGTTGAATTCTTAGAGGAATTTAAGATCCAAGTAGGAAAATATGTATCAGACAATCAAATAATAACTGATGAAAACTGGTGTAGTAATATCAACATGAGCCAGAAAGGAATCTTAAATACAATTAAAAATAAGGAATAACAGAAGCAGGAATACTATATAATAAACAAAGTTAGATTTATCTAGGTAATTTCATTTAAAATAAAGATGGCCAGTCACAGAAACTGGAAATCATAAAGATAATGATAATAGATAAGATTTTTTGAGGTAATGACTATAGACTGTACAAAGCAATAGGAGCATATGGTAAGCATTATTTTGTTTACATTTTATAATTTAGGAAACTGATGCCCAGGAATCTTGAATAACTTGTCCCATGTTTTCTATTAATAAGAGATTAAAACAGGTCTTGAACTCAGGTATCTTTGCTCCAGAATCCTTACACATAACCACTGGGCCACAGAGTAGGAATGGGATGAAAATGCAGATCTTGGCTGGGTGTGGTGGCTCATGCCTGTAATCCCAACACTTTGGGAGGCTGAGGAGTGTGGATCAACTGAAGTCAGGAGTTCAAGACCAGCCTGACCACCATGGTGAAACCTTGTCTTTACTTAAAAAAAAAAAAAAAAAAAAATTAGCTGGGTATGGTAGTGAACATCTGTAATCCCAGCTATTCAGGAGGCTGAGGCAGGAGAATCGCCTGAACCCAAGGGGCAGAGGTTGCAGTGAGCCAAGACCTAGCCATTGCACTCCAACCTGGACAACAAGAGTGAAACTCCCTATCAAAGAAAAAAAAAAAGAAAGAAAATGCAGATCTTAACCACTCTCTGGAGGACAGAGCAGCTCTCCATTGGGATCAAAGACCTAGAAAACAGGAAGTCTTAAAACCTCAAATGCATATGCAGAAAGAGACGTGTAAAGGCATAAATCTGACCTGTCTTTTTGCTTGATCCCATGTGTAGCACATAGGAGGTTGTCAATACAAATGTTTAAATGTGAATTGATGCGGATTGTCCTCCCCAAAGAGGATGGAATGCTCTGTTGCCATCCAAAACCTTATTGAAGTATCTATGTGTCCCACTGGCCTCCGGTGGTTGCAGCCGCTAAATGAAAATGTTTAACATACTCCTTCTGAACCAAATCAATTAATGTAAAAGGAGCAGCTATCCTATGAAAATTCTACTGGATTCGGGTCACTGGGCTCTTCTTCAAGGGCTAGAGGACCATTGTAAGAGAGTGAGGTGATGGGACTAAGACCCCAGGGTTGTAGCAGGATTTAATTTCCGCCACTGCTTATAATTTAATCTTAGTTATCCATTGAATTTATCATTTTGAGTAGTGTAGAGAAATAATATATGCCTTTTGACTGAATGATCTTATTCAAAATATGACAAATGGAAAATTGAAAAGTAAAAAAGTATTAAGATTCTTTCAGAATAAAAATAAACTATTTTCTAATAGGACATTAGGCTACAAATCTGCCATTTAGTGGGATTATAAGACTGAATTTATTATTTAAAAGCTTTATTTAATTACTAAGATTTGTTGAAATTTGGGTTTTTCTTCTGTGAATTGAGGTTGGTAGATCTCATAAATTCCTTAATTCTGTGATTTTTAAGTTGGAGTCTACCGTTTTATTGCAGCCTTTTTATGGGCAGATAGTCTTCTCTCTCTTATTCATTTATGTGTTCTTTTGTTCATTATCTAACCAACAATGAACAGTGTCGCTATATTCAGAAACTATTCTAAGAAACAAGGATACAGGAAGGAACGACAATAGTACTACTAAACTGACACTACTCTCCCTTTTTTACATACCTCCAGACACTAAATAAAGCCAACTGCAAAAGGTATATGATGATAAAGGCGGTCAATAATGAGGAATAAATTAGAAATAGTAGACTCCTAGGAGAAGCATGCACTCAGATTCAGTCCATCATCTCCTAATATAAGAGAGAAAAAGACTACCGCATTTGAATGGTGGTTGGGCTTCAAGAGTGTTGCTTACTTTTGCTTATATTTAGGCATGACCAGAAAACCTGTATAAATATAGAGAGGACTGTTAAGACAAACATTAAAATAAATAAATTTAATGTTTTCATGTTCCTCATTGGATCTCTGGGAAATGAAAGAAAAGAGATATGTAAGTTGATGTGGGGATCAATGAATAACTAAATGTTCCTTTCTGAAAGAGTAGTGAGTGGAAATATTTCTTCTTTGGTTGGATACCAGATGGAACAATGTGTCCCTAGGAGGTGAATCACTGATAGATTAAAAGATCTTTAAAGACACAGACTTGGACAGATGCATCTTTGCATTTCTTCCACCCTATCCCAGTGTATTGCAACATATTTCTGTTTACTAAAAGGGTACACTTTTATAAAATGTGTTATATTCAGATATTACTGATATTTGACTCCTGAGATGTTACTTCACCTTTCCTTTATGTCTACTTTGCCTCCTCAACTGCTTCGCAACCTCCTTGACGATAGAAAATGCATTTTTGGTATCTCCTTGCTCTTCGTTGTGTGGATCATCAATGGATCACTGTCTATTATGAAATACACTAAGTTTATGTGTCACAGTAACCATCAGATTCAATAAAGCACTTTTCCCATTATATTAATATCTATTCTGATGTCTAAGGAAATGTTACTAAAGAGAAAAAATAATCCTGATAGAGTTTGAAATCCCAACAATAATATGCCTGTAATGACAGCAATGTTTAGAAATAATGAATTCTCTATTAGCAGAAAGATTTAATAATATTATGATATTTGGAATGTAAGTGGAGAAAACCAGGGATAATTAAGGCTATCATAAGACTGCATGTAATATGCAATGGTACATGAGATGGCAAACAAAATTTACTTATAAGTTATGTTTAAAAACTTTTACTCAAATTTATTTGAAGCTTTGATATTTTATTTTTAAAAAACAATGTTTGAGATCTGTAATGAGCATATTAAATATCTAATTTCATAGTACCAACAACTGAAGCCAGTAGTAATGAATACAAATGTAGAACTATTTTCGGAAACATACGTTTGCTTTTAGTGGAGCTGTTTATGGATGAGTTCAACAAGTAGAATAATTAATTTTATTGGGTGCAATTTTAAATTAATTATGAGGATTAACAGCACATTTATTGTCAACTTTAAAATGAGTGGTAAGTCTCTCGTACGTTGGAATTAAAACTCAAATTGATTTTATCAATTTCAAGTAACGAAAATAAAATCTTATATTTGTGAGATAATTGTGAAGCCACAATATAAAACGTCATCAAAATCGTCTTTAAAGATCCACCCATGATGATAACAGTGTCTGTTCTACTAATCCTCAAGTTTAATATTATACACACACACATACTCTCTCTGTCTCTCTTTCCCTCTAACACACACACACACACACGCATAAACACACAATAGTCAAAACTTAATCTATACTGTTTGCTTATTCTGTGATTATTTATTGGTCTATCTTAATTACCCAGTATGTTAGTTTTTTTAAAAAAAAGTATGTATACACATGTTTTTAAACCTTGGCTTTTCTCCTTATTCACTTTTATTTGCCTATTCATTTCTGATTCTTTTAAGAATTATGTCTTATTATAGAAGGACTTGCTATATTTAAATATTTAGTTCATATGTATTATCTTTTTAAAAGATATTTAAAAACATTATTAAAAAACTATTGCAATCAATTTTTCTGTATCATTTAGGCTCTATGAATATTTAGAATATTTTAAGTGAAGGAGAAAGTTTTTCTTCTCTGATGTTTTTCCCCAAGTTCCTCTTGAATATTTTTAATAGCATTTTATTCAGGGAAACTTCATGGAGAAGAGAGCTATTGAATATCTATATAGAGTGTTAAATATCAGGCAGTCAACAATTAACATTAAGACTTCTGTACTGTGGGAAGTAAAATTGTCAACATCCATTTATTCTGGACCTTAGCCATTAAATTTTATTATTTTAAATAAGAAATGGGGAAGACCCTCACAATGTACTTAGAAATGGAAGCAAAAAGTTTTTTAAAAAATTAAATTCAGGGGTCCATATGAAGGTTTATTACCTAGGTAAACTTGTGTCATGGGGGTTTGCTGTACAGATTATTTTATTTTGTCACCCAGGTATTAAGCCTAGTACCCATTAGTTATTTTTCCTGATTCTCTCCCTTCTCTCATCCTCTACCCTCTAATACGCCCCATCGTGTGTTGTTCCCCTCTATGTGTCCATTTTACTTGGACATTATCATGTAAAACTTGCAACTATCTACTAAGGTTTTTACGATAACTGTAATAAACAACCTACATAAATTCTTTAAGTTTGCTCAGACTCCCTGTAGATGGGGTCGTTGTTCACATTATATTTATTCTGAAAGTCTTCTACTTGTTCTCTTCTCTGGGCAAAATTGAAGCACACAGTGACTAGCTCACTTCTTTTTCACGCCCTACACAGCAGACAGTGGTCTAATCCTGTCCACTTTCTTCTATCCATCTTTTATTTTTTTTTATTTATTATTATGATGCTTTAAGTTTTAGGGTACATGTGCACAATGTGCAGGTTAGTTACATATGTATACATGTGCCATGCTGGTGCACTGCACCCACTAACTCGTCATCTAGCATTAGGTATATCTCCCAGTGCTATCCCTCCCCCCTCCCCCCACCCCACAACAGTCCCCAGAGTGTGATGTTCCCCTTCCTGTGTCCATGTGTTCTCATTGTTCAATTCCCACCAATGAGTGAGAATATGCGGTGTTTGGTTTTTTGTTCTTGCGATAGTTTACTGAGAATGATGATTTCCAATTTCATCCATGTCCCTACAAAGGACATGAACTCATCATTTTTTATGGCTGCATAGTATTCCATGGTGTATATGTGCCACATTTTATTAATCCAGTATATCATTGTTAGACATTTGGGTTGGTTCCAAGTCTTTGCTATTGTGAATAATGCCACAATAAACATATGTGTGCATGTGTCTTTATAGCAGCATGATTTATAGTCCTTTGGGTATATACCCAGTAATGGGATGGCTGGGTCAAATGGTATTTCTAGTTCTAGATCCCTGAGGAATTGCCACACTGACTTCCACAATGGTTGAACTAGTTTACAGTCCAACCAACCGTGTAAAAGTGTTCCTATTTCTCCACATCCTCTCCAGCACCTGTTGTTTCCTGACTTTTTAATGATTACCATTCTAACTGGTGTGAAACAGCATGGTACTGGTACCAAAACAGAGATATAGACCAATGGAACAGAACAGAGCCCTCAGAGATAATGCCGCATATCTACAACTATCTGATCTTTGACAAACCTGAGAAAAACAAGCAATGCGGAAAGGATTCCCTATTTAATAAATGGTGCTGGGAAAACTGGCTAGCCATTTGTAGAAAGCTGAAACTGGATCCCTTCCTTACACCTTCTACAAAAATCAATTCAAGATGGATTAAAGACTTAAACATTAGACCTAAAACCATAAAAACCCTAGAAGGAAACCTAGGCATTCCCATTCAGGACATAGGCATGGGCAAGGACTTCATGTCTAAAACACCATAAGCAATGGCAACAAAAGCCAAAATTGACAAATGGGATCTAATTAAACTAAAGAGCTTCTGCACAGCAAAAGAAACTACCGTCAGAGTGAACAGGCAACCTACAAAATGGGAGAAAATTTTCACAACCTACTCATCTGACAAAGGGCTAATATCCAGAATCTACAATGAACTCAAACAAATTTACAAGAAAAAAACAAACAACCCCATCAAAAAGTGGGTGAAGGACATGAACAGACACTTCTCAAAAGAAGACATTTATGCAGCCAAAAAACACATGAAAAAATGCTCACCATCACTGGCCATCAGAGAAATGCAAATTCTATCCATCTTTTAATAGGAAAAACAAAAACTAAGAAAATCAGGCACTTAAGCTTTCTAGCTGTTACAATGTCATTCTTTAAGAGTTCAGGGAAACTCTTACTCTTCTGAGGCTTAGTTTCTTCATCTATATATTGAGGTGGCAGGTTTGGCTGAAGTTAGTTTTTTCAACTTCAGCATTCTCCAATGCCATGGCTAACGTCACAGAAAGCACTCTGGTCACCCTAAATTTTCTTCTACTGCCCTTTCCAATGAACAATGCTGTCTTCCATCAGAGGTACTTCTTATAGTGTTTCCTGGAGAGATTTTTTTTTTTTAGCATGATTTGCAGAGAATACAAAAGACATTGTTTCCTCATGCTTACTGTTTGGTGAGCAAATTTCACTCCATTGCATTGGCATTTCTCACATCCTGCAGAATCAACATGATACTCTGAACTTCATATATGAATAGGAGCAATCAAAGTATACTATTTTCTGTGAAAAGAATCACCGTGAGTCTGTGCTTTGTTTGGAACTTTGAATTTAATATCTCTCAGAAAAGGTTTCCCTGTATTAAAATGTTAACAACAATTTTCCCTGGGAAGGGAAGGAAGAGGAGGATTGTGGGTGATCTTTTTTTTTAATCACTATTATTATCTGTTACCCTGTACTTGTCTTCAGTCCACAGTGATTGCATTTCTGTTATAAATATACAAATTTTATTTTTTAAATTAAATTTCTCATGTAATCAGCTAAAAATATATAAAATTACTTTCTCAGGAAGATAGCATTTGCATTTGTTTTAATATCTTTCATAATAGCTAATAATGCAATTTGTTTATATTTCTCTATACATGTTATTATAAAACAGCATTAACAACAGTCGTAATAGACCTAAAATGAGTTTAGGCCTATTGATTTCCTAAAACATATTTGCATCTTATCTCTCTTTCTATCTTCACAGAATTTATGCCACGTGGTTAGGCTCATTATTATTCTGGATATATTAAAAATTTAAAAAAGAGGCAGAGAGAAAGAGATCCAAAATCATTACAAGCACTATATATTTCTACATTAAACAGTTGGTTCTAAATAAACAATGATAGCACAGTGATTAAAAAGGTATAGAAATACAACTTGAGTTAGTTTAGTTCTAGCATTCCATGTGACTACTTGGAGTTTCACTTTCTGTTTAAATTATCACAATTATAAGGCTATTTGAAAATTTCTGGATCTATCATAAAGAAACACACAGACAGTATTAAAATTTCTAGAATTTGTTTTAAAATGGGATTTGTTGTGACTCTCACACTCTATCTCAATCTCTGACTGCATATAAATATGCATGTAAAATAAACTTCTAAAAATAAAATTAATAAAAAGCATTTCTGATCATCTATAATCAGAGGCAGATTGACAGTTAATGGATTTAATTAAATTGGTTATTGTCCACGAATATTGGAGAAGATCAATTTGATGTACCCATTGACAACTTTGCAGAAGTTAGGGCTTGATAACGGATATTGCAATGTTAATTCATTGCTATGATAGTAATATGCTGGTATAAGATTTCATTTGTTAAAATATATTATTTTAATTTGAAAGTACAAATCAACTGTCTTTTTCTGAATTGTAAATTTTAATTTTTTGTTTGTTTATACTGGCAGGATTTTAATTTATGTAAAATTTCAATAAAAGAAAAATTTCACTAAGCATCTTTTCTGTCCATCATTATTAGTTACTTCATTACTTGAAAATATATTCATTAAAAAATTATCAGCTCTGCATCTTAAATATACAAGGTGCAGCCTGGCAACAGATGTTTTCTTGATGTATTTGATATCAGTAATCAGAAAGAAACACTGTGCCCGTTGAAAACAAACCAACATCCATCAAGGAAACAACTGCAAATTGCAGTACCATTGCACCATCTCACTCTGCATCTTCAGGAACCTGCAATTCCCTTTCTTGGTCCTTGATATAAATTCAATATAATGGATTTGAATGTGTTTAAAAGTCAAATAAATACTACTCCCTTGTCTTCTTTCAAAAGCATTCTCTATGTGATATCTTCATTAAATCATTCTGTCTGTTTTTGTTTTTGTTTTTCTTTTTCCTTCTCACCTAAATGAATTAACGCTGTGTCCCTGTGATACTGTTTTTGGGATACCTAGATGCCTTTTTTGAGATTGGTATATTTTCTGTTAGGCAT
The DNA here is from genome assembly GCF_000001405.40 of Homo sapiens. Taxonomy (NCBI): domain Eukaryota; kingdom Metazoa; phylum Chordata; class Mammalia; order Primates; family Hominidae; genus Homo; species Homo sapiens. The sequence goes on from NC_000011.10 coordinate 81,603,000, forward strand.
GTGCACACATTCATCATTTTATATGGAGATAAAACAATTGGAACCTAATATTCATACTTGAGATGAAAATAATATTAAAGTTATAAATTCTACCTCTGAGTAAATTTTCTTCTTAAAAGTACTTTAAAAAATTAAATCATACCACTTTGATTAGAACTACTTATCTGAAAAAACACATTTGTCAAATCAGACTTTCTGATGTCAAATAGTGAACACCAAATAGAAAAACACAAACAGTATCATACAGTTTCTTCATTTCAGTCTAAATTAAACAGAAAGTAATTAACTCACAATTACACATCTGGAGGGGCAAGGTATCTAAATAATTCAAATTGGCAAATTAAAAATAATTTAGATGATCAACACAGATTTTTGCATGTGGGTTTTAAGGTAGATGTTTCATAGTATGTGCATATGCTTTATAACTAATAAAGACAAATTATCTAATTCAGAAACAAACATCTTAGGTCAAAATATAGAAATTCTTCTTGAGTCTAGAAGAAATCAATGATTACATAATAAAAATACATCAGAACAATAAAACTAACTTCAGAAATGTTTTATAAATCAAAACCCATCCTTCCTCCAAAACATTTAAGAAGGATATTTTGAAATCTGAAAAGAATCTGTTTTGGTTGGTCTATGTATTTTTTCCTCTCAAAATTAACTTTGATGCATAGAGCCAGTGGATAGTAGACAGTATTCATTGTGGTCACACAATTATGTCTCCAGATTAGACAATAAGGTCATTGGATTCAACCCACTCCTGGGAGCTATCCCTACTCTGAAAGCCAAAGGGATAATTTTATTGCACTTACATACAGTATCATTCCCTTATCCATGTTAATTCATGCTTAGCACTTATTCCTAGATGAATCATTGAGGTCCAGATATGTGAAGTAAGTTACTTAAGGTCAAAATCAAAGTCAAGAAAACACAGTAACAACTCCCCTCAATATACCTGGTCTTTCGCACTTTCCATTACCGTTAATTTTTGCAATCACCCAAAACCAAAGACAGAGGCCAAGTCAGTTCTTGCAGAACTATAGCCACTGAGCAAACAACCTCCCTCTGTATACATTTGCTTTGATTGTACTGGAGAATAAATTGTCAGATTTTGAGAAATGCATACAGAAACTCTTCTGCTCAAAGCAGTCCCCTGTGTGCTATGGCTTGAGAAGATGAGTCTTGAGGGCACTGTTGACAAACCATTGATTTCATGAGGTATGTTGCTATAGGTTTTCTTTGAGTCTTTCTAACTTAGAAAGACTACAAGCTACATGCTTTAATCTCCTAGTTACCTGAATTTTCTTGACAGTGATCTTTCAAATAACCAAATTGATTACTAGGGCTGACAGATATTCTAAGGATGACGACAGAAAAATTAGAAAGGAAACTAACTGCTAACAAACTAAACATTAGCTTCCTGAAGTTATAAGACATTTTTTTAACATATATGAGTCCTTCTAACTTTCACAAGAATTCTGCAAGACATATATTCCCATTTTATCAAAAAGGAAACTAAAGCTCAGAGATAGGCCACAGCTTGCCCATTGTTAGGCAGTCACAAAAATAGAGTTAAGACCTAGTTGTGGCTGATTTGAAAAGCCATTCCCAATCTTTACATTGCACTGATTCATGTATTTTCATTTGAAGTATATGTTAAGTCCAAACACAACTGATGTAAAATCTTTGGGTAACAGAATAGTCACCAAACTAGCACTCATCTGGGACCTGCCTCAGCCTCGTCATCTTTCTTTGTAGTCCTTGAGTCAAAGCACTTCTATCTCAGAATGGTTAAGTTTGTAGCTTTGAGATCAAAATTGGTGATTAGCTCTGACTGACTTAACCTCACTCCCTTGCTTAGCACTTTCCTGAAGGGTATCGACTTCTAGAAATAAAACTCACTCTCAGCAAGATGCAGTACCTGTTATCTCTCATATTTTTCCTGAACAGCACATTGGAAAGGTTGGCCTCATGGTTGTGCAACCAGAGCAGTCAAACAAAGCTCCACACCCAGAAGGGTCTTATGCTTGGGCTTTAATGTTCTGCAGTCATTGTTTTTAAATTCTTAATAAATTAGATTTTAATTTGCATTTTGGCAGTGAATTCCAACGGGTCAATGGAGCATGCTCTGGGAGCTTCAAGATTAAGCTCAAGGGAATCCCCTCTTTGGCAGCCTCACTATTTTCCCACCTCCCTGAGATGAGTTTTCCACTGCATGCTTCACTGCCACCTGGCATTTTGGGTCCCAGTTGGCCTGCTCCTCCCATGCTATCAAGGAACCAGTGTTGCCTTGCAACCCTGGAAGGGGCCTGGGCATGTTATAGAGTCAAGGTTAGGTAACTGAGGACTCCAGCTGGGATATGAAGCAGCCTTCTCTGTCTTGGGCTGGCCATGTTGTTTAGCAAGTGAGCCCAGAGTACAGATTACAATCACTTCGATGTGGTCTATTCCTCATGGGTTCAGATAGGCCAACTCATGGGAAAGGAAGATGCCTCACTTTACTTCCCCGTCCTGGCTGGTGGGAAGGAGAATCTTCCAGCTGGTGGGTCCTGGTGCACACATGCAGATTTGCAGGGTAGCACTGGTGAGCCTGTGAGGGTCTGCACATGCCTGGGAGTAACCCCTGCCTGAAAGATGAGACATTAAATAGCAAATAAAAAATACCATGATAGGTCAAGAAAGAGACCTGAGAGAGATAAAAAGTTTTTTATTTTTGAACAAAAGTAAGTCTCCATATTTTTATTATGCATCAGGCATTGTAAATAATGTAGCCAGCCCTGACACTGATATAAAGGGATTTGGGTTTCTCTGAATAGCAAGTAAATCAGTGAGCATACCTAAGCCAGTTTGCTATCTTTTTCCTGCTCCCTTGCCTGATGAAATCTTGGGGGAAAAATCTCACCCCTCTGTAGTTCTCTAGTGCATTTACTTTTTCAACTGCATGACAACATGTTTTGTATATTAAAAACTTATGTTCTATATTATAATTCGGGTTCTTAAAAGGAAAGAGCCACACTTTCTTTCTTTTTTTATTTTTTGGATGAGTGTTCTCCCTGTTCTAAAAATGAAATGTAATAAAATGAATGTATAGTATATATTAGCATTCTGAAACCTGATTAAGGAAATGCTGTTTAGCTCCACCTTTCCTTTATCTGACACATTCAAAATAAGTCTTCTAAAACTAAACTAAGCAAACGATAATACGTTTTACAGAATGGACTCGGATGTAGAATTGTTCAGATTTCAGACCATTATTTCCCTTTTGAATGCAACTGTGTGATGGTCAGATGAGCCATTCACTCCAGAAGCAGTTACTGAGTGTCTACTATACACCGATCTCATACTAGTTGCAAGGAAAAGGAGAATGACATGAACTCATACTTACTGTGCCAGACACTTTGTGCACACTCATTCATTTCCTCCTCACAACAAATTAAGAGGTAGATATGGTTGGCCTGGCTTTCTAAACAAAAACATCAAGCTTCAATTTTTTAAGGTAAAAAAGTCAATTTTCACCTAGAAAGTGGGAAGGTCATTCAATGGTGATGTTAATGAAAAACCTATCAATGACAGTGACTGATTTTTTTGTTTGGTATTAATATGAAGACTCCATGTTTAGGTTAATCTATCACACCCTCCCCTCTCATGTTTATTCTGTACTCCTAGCAGGAGAAGCAGAATACAACGCTTAGCACCTTTCTGTAGTTATCTTTAAAATAAATGATGATGTTGAATGTGCACATCTCAGTGTGATTCTCAGCAACTTGTAATCAAAGCCCTTCCTGTTTCTATTAGAATTTGTCAATTGAAGGGCATTGTTTCTAACACCGAGGAAAAAACAGCCATTGAGAACACACTTTCAGTTAGGAAAGAACTGTCTGTGTTTGTCCTAGAGAAGAAGAAAGATGTTTCTTACTAACGTAACATCTAGCCACTCCAGAGTTGGTCATGTTACGTCCTGCTTGGAAAAATAACATTCTGCCCATGTCCAAGTTCAAGCTCTCAAGGAGGTCTCTTGTGCTCCCTCCCTTAACAAGTGTGGCTGATGTGTTTTCCCCTAGAAATTACTTAGTATTTTACAGAGCCTTTGAGGAGAAAATCTTGTAATGCTAATTAGCTAATTTACAAACATTAATTAACCAATTCTCAAAAGAGATATGGATAAAAAGTAGGCTACTCTATGCTAGTCTAGCAATGAGAAAGTTCTAGTTAAATAATCCACCCTATCAAGGTCATAATCTGTGTCAAAGAACAGGGAATGATAGATGAAATAGAAAAGACCAAACTGGCTGATGTCTTCATTGAGCAAAAATCCATTTCCTCTTTAATTCCAAGTAGAGGTCTTATTTTTCTGCTCATCTTTTCCTTGTTCCAATCCATGTAACTCCATCCCTGAAGTTGTCCCTTGTGCTCTAACTCATGTGGATATCTCCTTTCTCCAGTACATTTTCATCTATATTACTAAAATCAGTTTGCAAGTGTGCTTAATAATTTAATGCACATACTTGTTATTTTCCCAGATTAATCTTTTGGAGGACAGAGCGAAAGGCCACCCTGGATTGGGAACTCCTCCATTCCCAGTACACAGTGGGAAAACTACTTAACAATTTCCAGTTTGATTTTACAGACTCCATATTGCTTTCACTAGACATAAGAACTAATTATTGTTACTCCACCAAGCACATGTGAAAATTGAGGCTTTGTGTGGCTAAAATGTTTCCTAGGATCATGTAAATAATATGTGACAGAGTAGGGTTACATCTCCTATTATTCTTATGAAAAAAGAAATAATATTAGCATGCTTCCAAGTTTACAAATGAGAAAACCTAGGCTCAGAAGAAGACACTGCTTGCTGAAGATGAAAAATCATGTTACAGAGAAGTAGTATGGTATTATAAGAAAGAGAAGACATGAGCAATTAACTACCAAAAGGAAGCCTGCATAAAATGGGTTGACATGCCAGGGACAGTTGCCCTTGTATGAGTCTCAAAGCAGCTGAACAATAGCCTTTTTGGACCCTGTGTGCTGCTACCTTCAAAATAATCTTAGAGGCTGGAGCTACAGTACAGAGCTGTAGATTGTATGAACAGGTGTGGCAGATATGATGGGATGAAATACTTAGGAATAGTCACCATTGGTAACTCTTCCACTTTGCTACACCCGTGAAGTTAAACATTTCAATCTTATCATATGGACCTTATCCATTGGACAACCACCACCATTTTTTGAGAGGTCACCAAGTTCTAGTTCTAGATAAGTGCTTTATAACCATTAACTTAATTCTTGAGTTATTATGCGGTAAGGGTTGTTTTCCCCATTTTACAGTTTGAGAAAAGAAACTTGCACATGCATTTATTCATTAATTCATTAGACAGATAATTAAATTCCATTGTGTGCCAAAAACAGTTCTCAGTGCTGGCTAAGAGTTATGGACCTAGTAGACAAGACATCTTCTTTCCTCATGGAGCTTATAATACAATAGTTAAAGAAAAACAAGGAGGTAAACATAGATATTTGTGATTTTTATTTGAGAAAGTAACAGATTGCTATTATGAAAGAAAATTGGGATCATGACTGGAAAACTATGTGTGAATGCCTAGAAAAGGTGATCAGGAAAGGTCACATTCTAACTTGAAATCTAAAGCATGAGGAGACTTCTTTTCCAAGAGCTGATGGCAGGGCCATTTAAACTAACTTGACAGTAAAGATTAAAGTTCTGACATAGAAGAATTTGGGTGTTTTTAAAAGTTGAATGTGGCTTGGGTGGCTAGATCAGTTCGAACATAGAGAAAATGATGGCATAAGATGACACTTTAGAACAGGTAAAGAAAGAGAAATGAGAAGCTATTTAAGAGACTTGGTAAGGTGAAGAGGAATGAAGGAAGAAGGGGGGTTGATAGTGTCCCATAGATACAAGAGAAGCAGCTAGAATTTGTGGCCAAATCTATCTGACCTCAAATCCATGTGCTTGACCATCTAATTCCTACACCTTTAACACTAAATTCCCAGCTTGACAAAATTCCCACCTTGACAAAATTGATTGACCTAGTCTTGTGATTGTATGGGAGTCAGAGACCATGATGTTTAACCCGGAGAAACTGAAGCCCAGAGATGCTGCCTTCCAGAGTCCCAAGACTAGTCCGGGTGTTAGGAAGTAGAGTGGGGAGAAAAAACCTTGGCCCAACATAGTGGAGTTGGGAGTCGGAGGACAGAAAGTGAAACAGAGACAACAGAAGAGAGAAGAGAGAGAACAGAGAAAAGAGAATGAACTAAATTATCACATCTTAAAGCTAAAACAGATCCTTGACTCCAATTAGACTAAACCATCCTGTTGCTGAATCTGAGCGGTTCAGTGATTGACTAAGATTTTACAAGAAATATGAGCATGACTACACTAGAATCCATTTGCCCAGATGCTTGAGAATAAATGTAAACAAGTGACAAACAACAAAACATAGCAAATGTTGAAAATACATATGTGTTTTGTAATGAGTCTGGTTAAAATATGACTACAGGCTAGGTGAGAACACAGAGAATGACTCTGTTTGAAATTAAGGTGAAGATAGTTTTAATTATCTCCACTGTGAAATGATTTGCAGGTAATTTGTAAGAGCTTGAAGCAGAAAACAAATACTTCTCTCCCAATGCAGGTGATATGTTGTTGCATATGTTAAATTTTCACTGCACTCTATAATGTAATAGCTTTTGGACTTGAGAGTTTAGTCATTACAAAGTAATTGATCTAAAATTAATAAATCCATATTGCAAGGGGGTAAGGGTAGAGAAAAGCAGTTTTAATCCCTATTTTTCCAACTTTTCTCCTGAAAAATGACAGCTCTTATTATAAAATAGTCATTTTATTTGATCAGGTCATTATCTTTCCAAGCCTTTTCATCACCTTATCATTTAGTGGCCTATCAATCTCCTTTCTACCCTCTTTCTCTTTGGGGAAAGATTTACACACCACTCTCCCAACTACGGAAAAACCAGAAGCATCTTTAAAGGGAAATATAACAGATATCTCGAAAGATTTATGGAAGCATTTAAAATTGTTTAAAAATGTTATCAAAAAATGGTTGAAGAAACCCAGCATAGAACTTTACATAGAGTAAACGTCTTCCTATGAGGAAGCTCCTCCCTCTGTGTTTTCATGCCTAATTCATCTCAGCATCAACTTCTCCTGTGTATGTTCCATTATAAACTAGTCTGTTTTTTTAGTAAGTTCAACTACCAAGTAATCTAGAATGCCCTGCAATTAACAGTCAAAGTTAGATGGCACATTTGCTTGAAAAGGCAGCCAGTTAATTTACTACTTTTAAAATAATAACCTCTTTTGTTAAGTGCAAGGTAATAATGATTCCAAGTTAGTATTGGATCTGATTTCCAGGAATGATTATGCCTAATGCAACTTGCATCTAAAACACCATCGGCTATGTGTCTATAAGGAAAGCAACTCATCTAAAAGACTTGATATACTTAGTTTGTCTGATTATTTTACATACAGTAGAATTACAGTTAACATGGCTCATATACTAAAAAAAAAAAAAAAAATCCTTTGGCCACTTATTAGTCCATCCTAGGTTTTCAGGGTGCAGAAAGAAATAAGGAAATGCTGTTGTCTTTTAATTGCTAATACTTTTTTGTTTTATGGATTTATTGGATGGATGGGGAATAAGGCGGATTATGATTTTGATATGGGCTGAAACATATCTCCATCAAAAACATCAAGCAGAATTCAAGATTGATATTATTCAGTCACTTATATTAATATTATAAAAAATAATTAATAAAATTTAGAGGTATACATTGTTCCCATATTCACCATATATCATTTATTTCTATTCTTATCTAGTATATTTAGCAAATATTTAACTAGTTCCTGTAATTTTCATAGGTGTATCAAAAATGAATAAGAATATATAAGTAAATATTTAGTATGAGTTAGGTCCTTAAAATATGGCATTTAATCCTTATAACTCACAAGAAACAAAATAAGCTAAATGGAGAAAGTGGCAATTGAACTGATTCTTCAATACACAATAGCCTCTACCTTACAGGAAAGAAGAGGGCATGTGTGTATGTCTGTGTGTGTGTGCATGCGTGAGTGTGTGTGTGTGTGTGCATGTGTGTGTGTAGGTGACTGAGGCCAGGATAGGGAGTACAAGTATTTGAGAATCTCAAACCAAAGGGTAAATAGAAACAAAAACCTTGACACAGAAAACTATTCAGAGCATGGTTATTTAAGAATAAGGCACACCGCGAAATGACTGGAGCATAAGGTATGTGTAAAGCAAGGCAAATGTCCTGACCCCTTTGACTATTACACCTGAAAAAAGAAGACTAAGATGGTGAAACAGAAGGTAACCCACTCATAATTCCCCCCACCAAAATAAGAACGCTACACCCATCCATAGCCTCATGACTCAGGTAGGAGTTTGGGAAACCCAAGTGGAGCCAAAGACCTTGAAGGATCATTTCGAGAGTGCAGACTGATACTCAGGTAGCTTATCCACTATGCTTGCTCCCTAGTTCACATCTGGAAATGGCCCGTTCTTCCCAGAGGTTTGGTTACAGCTCAATTTGTTCTCGAGCCTGCAACCAAAACCATCTGCCAAGGAATCCAGGAGTTGTACACTCCAGTGCGTTGGTGGACAGGCTTGTCTGCCCAGTAATATCACTCTAGGAAGTAAACCTGAGAGTGGCCCTGTGGCTTAACTCCAGTTCCACTCAGCAGAAGTCTCAGCTCAGAGCTGTGTGCACAAGGACCCAGAGGGAGATTCACTTATATTTTTCAGCCCAGGAGTCTGAGCCTCCTAAGTGAGTTCATTAACTTCCTTCTGACAGCAAATCTAGGGGACCCGGTTTCAGCTCCAGCCCCTTCTGCTGCAGTCAAGGAACTATCCTGTCTTTGCAGGGTCCTCCTGGAAGATGCATGCCCCTCTGAACCAATGAGATTGGGCTCTTCAGCCTCTGTCCCACAATAGGTGATGAAGGGGTATAGACCCAGCTCCAGTCCTTATACTGCAGAGACCTATCCTGCCTGCACAGGGACTTGCTGGGAGACTCGTGCTCCTCTGAACCAAAGAGATGAGGATCTCCAGCTTCATCCCACAGCAGATCCTGAGGGGACCCAGTCTCAGCTCCAGTCCCTGCCTGCTGCAATCAGAAACTATGCTATCTGTTTAAGAATTTGGTAGGCAAAATGCACCCTTCTGAGTAGAGACAATACTTTTCAGCTTCTATCCCATAGCAGATACCAAGGGGTCTCAGTCTCAGTTCTGGCCTCTCCTGTTAAAACAGAGGAAATATCCAACTTGTGCGGGGGCCTGCTGGGTAATGTATGCCCATCAGGGCCAATTACACAGGGCCATCAGCCTCCTTCTCAAAGCAGATCCTGAAGGGGCCCAGTCGCAACTCCAGCACCTTTCACTACAGTCAGGGAACCACCCAACTCATGTGGAGACCTGCTGGGAAACATGCTTGCTTGGATCACCAGGACAGTCTGCTGGTCTCTGATCCTCGGACAGCATTCCCACGCAACTCAGGCCCTTGGTTGGTCTTCCCCAGGTCCATCTGGCCCCAAAAGATACATCAGTCTTGGAGTCCTCATGACACTCACAGCCAGCCTGGGCTTATAAAATGTCTTTTAGTGCTGAAACAGCTGCAGTGGTCACAAGTTCAGGAAACTTGCCAGTCTGCTTAGAATCCCTGGAAGGCCCTCTGAAGAAGGACAAACACAAAGTCAGAATACGAACACTAAAATAAATACCTAATCCCTCAACGCACAGATATCATTGCATGTCCAAAGCACCAAGAACACTCAGGGACATATGACCTCACCAAATGAAGAAAATGAGGTGCCAGAGACCAAACCTAAAGGGGTGGAGATGTGTGATCTCTCAAATAAAGGCTTCAAAATAGTTGTTTTAAGGAAGCTCATTGAGCTTAAACAAAATGCAGAGAATTAATTCAGAAGTTTATTGGAGAAATTTAACACAAATTGAAATAATTTTTTTAAAAATCAAACAGAAATCTTAGAGATGAAAAATACAATGGATGAATTAAAAAATGCAATAGAATATTACCAACAGAATTGACCAAACAGAAGAAAGAATCTGTGAGCTCCAAGACAGACTACTTGAAAATATACAGTCAGAGGAGAAAAACTTTAAAACAAAGGAATGAGCAAAGTTTTTGAGATCTATGAAATAACATAAAAAGGGCAAATATTTAGGTTATTAATCTGAAAAAGGGGAAATGAGAAAGACAAAGTAGTGGAAATAAATTAAATATTATTCAAAGAAATATTTAAAGAAATAATAACAAAATTTTTCAAACCTGGGGAAAGACATAAATATCCAGGTAATAGAAGGTCAAAGGCAACCAATCAAATTCACCCTAAATAAGAATACCCCAATACCTATTATAATCATATTCTCAAAGGACAAAACATTGAGAGGATCCTGAAAGCAGCAAAAAGAAGGAAACAGCATATAAGAAAGATCCAGTACACCTGGCAGCAGGCTTCACAGTAGAAATCTTATAGGCCAGGCAAAAGAGGGACAATATATACAGAGTGCTGAAGAAAAATAAAAAATCCCAGCCCAGAAAATTGTACCCAGAAAAGCTATTCTTCAAAAATGGAGAAACAGGCTGGTTCCAGAAAACAAAAGTTGAGGGACTTTACTGCTACCAGATCTGACCTACAGGAAATGCTAAGGGGAGTTCTTCAAACCAAAAAAAAAAAAAAATCCTAACATGATTGTTACACTGATATTGTAACCATGGCATGTAAACCACTAAGTCTTTACTAAGAAGGTTAGAAGACAAAACTATTAAATATAATAATAACAAAAACAATTTGTTAAGAGATAGGCATTGCTAAAAATGTAAACTATGACATTAAAAACTCAAAATATAAAGAAAGAAGGGGGTTAATGCATATAGGTTTTGTTTTTGCTTCTTTTTTTCTTTTCATTTTAAATTTTGCAGTCAAAATTAAGTTGGTATCAGTTTTAAATAATTTGTTATAATGATAGAATTTTTTTGGTAAGCCTTGTGGTAACCACAAAGCAAAAACTTACAACAGATACACTAAAAATAAAAAGGGACAAATTAAAATATATATTACCTGAGAAAATTGCTTAAGCACAAAGGAGGATATTAAAAAAAAAGAGAGAGGAAAAGAGAAGACATTAAGAAAGAAAGAGAAGAAGAGAGAAGTAAGAAAACAAGTAGAAAGCAAGTAACAAAATGGCAGTAGTTAGTTGTTACCTGTTAATAATAACATTGAATATAAATAGACCGAATTCCCCAATAAAACATATACAGTGGTTGAATGAATTTAAAAGCAAGACTCAACTATATGCTGTCAACAAAAACTCACTTTACCTATAAAGACTCACATAGACTAAAAGTAAAGAGATGGAAAAACATATTCAATGCAAATGAAAACCAAAAAAGAGCAGAAGTGGTTATACTTATTTCAGATGAAGTAGACTTTAAGCTAAAAACTATAAAAGGAGACAAAGAAGGTCACTGTATAATGATATTATATAATGATCATATATAATGATTATAAATAAATATTTATGTATAAAAAATATAAAACAAATAATAAATCTAAAAAGAGAAACAGACTGCAATACAACAATCATAGGAGACTTCGACATCCCACTTTCAGCAATGGACAGATCATCCAGGCAAAAAATCAACAAAGAAACACTGAAGTTAAATTGTAGTCCTTAACAAATTTTAAAAAGTCAGAATCATATCCAATATCTTTTCTGACCACAAGAGAATAAACCTAGAAATCAATAACAAATGCATCTGTGGAAACTAAAAGTATATGGAAAGTAAAAAACATGTTCCTGAATGACCAATGGATCAATGAAGAAATTAAGAAAGAAATTTTTTAAATTATTTTTAAAAATAAAAATAGAAACACATATGCCAGAACCGATAGAATAGAGCAGAAGCAGTTCTAACAGGGAAGTTTATAGCAATAAGATCCTACATCAAAATAGTAGAAAGATTTCAAATAAAAAATCCAATGATGAACCTCAGGGAACTAGAATAGCAAGAACAAGCCAAACTTAAAATTAGTAGGAGGAAAGAAATAATAAAAGTCAGGGCAGAAACAGTGAAATGAAGGCTAAAACAAACAAACAAACAAACCCAAAGATCAATAAAACAAAAAGTCATTTTTAAGATAAACAAAATCAATAAACTTTTAGCCAGATTAAGAAAAAAGAGAGAAAGCCCAAATAAATAAAATCAGAGAAGAAAAAGAAAACATTATAACAGATACCACAGACATTGAAAGGATTATTAGAGACTACTATGAACAACTATACACCAAAAAATTGGAAAACCTAGAAGATATGGATACATTTCTGGACACATGCAACTTACCAAGGTTGAACCATGAAGAAACAGAAAACCTGAACAGACCAATAGCGAGTATGAAATTGAAATAGTAAAAAACATCTCACGTCTAAGAAAAGCCCAGAACTTGGCAGAGTCACTGCTGAATTCTTCCAAACCTTTAAATAGAACTAATACCTATTCTACTCAAACTATTGTATAAAATCTAAATGGAGGGAATACTTCCAAACTTATTCTAAGAGGCCAGAATCATCCTGATACCAAAACCAGACAAAGACACAAAGAGAAAACTACTGGTCAATAACCTTGATGAATATAGGTGCAAAATCTCTCAGCAAAATACTAGCAAATGAAATTCAACAAATTTTAAAAATCATTCACCATGATCAAGTAAAATTCATACCAGGGAGGCAAGGGTGGTTTAACACACTCAATCAGTAAATGTGATACATCACAAAGGACAAATCAAAGACAAAAACCATATGATTTTTTAAATAGATGCCAAAAAAGCATTCGATAAAATTTAACATCTCTTCATGATAAAAATTTTCAGCAAATTGGGTATGGAATATACCCCAACATGATAAAGGCCATATATTAGAAACCCATGACTAGGTGGGGCACAGTTGCTTATGCCTATAATCCCAGCTCTTTGGGAGGCCGAGATGGGTGGATCACTTGATGTCAGGAATTTGAGACCAGACTGGCCAACATGGCGAAAACCCATCTCTACTAAAAACATAAAACTTAGATGGGCATGGTGGCATGGGCCTGTAATTTCAACTACTTGGAGGCTGAGACACGAGAATTTCTTGAACTTGGTAGTTGGAGGTTGCAGTGAGCCAAGATTGTGCCACTGCACTCCAGCCTGGGTGACTGAGACTCTGTCTCAAAATAAATAAATAAATAAATAATAAATGAACAAACAAAAAACCCACGACTAATTTCATACTTAACAGGGAAAAATAAAAAGCCTTTCCTCTAAAATCTAGGACAAGACAAAGATGTCGACTTTCACTACTTCCATTCACCACAATAGTGGAAGTCATAGCCAGAGCAATTAGGGAAGAGAAGGAAATAAAAGGCATACAAACTAAAAAGACAAAAGTTGAATTATACTTGTTTGCAGATGATATGATATTATACTAAGAAAAATCTAGACTCCACTAAAAAATGCTTAAAACTACTAAAGGAATTCAGTAAAGCTGCAGGATTCAAAATCAACATATGAAAATCAGCAGCATTCATAAACACTAACAATGATCAATCTGAAAAATAAATCAAGAAAGTAGTTATGTTTACAATAGCTACAACAAGGAGAAATATCTAGGAATAAACTTGCCAAAGAAGGGAAAGATTTCTACAAAGAAATCTACGAAGCACCGATGACAGGAATAGAAGAGGGCACCAAAAAATGGAAAACTGTCCTATGCCTATGGAGTGGAAGAATTAATATTGTCAATATACATATACTACTCAAAGTGATCTATAGATTCAGTGAAATCCCTATCAAAATTCCAATGACATTGTCAACAGAAATTAAAACAAAAATTTCAATTTGTATGGAACCACAAATGACTTGAATAGCTAATAGAACCCTGAATAAAAAGAACAAAGAAGAAGGCATCACCCTACCTAATTTCGAATTATACTACAAAGCTATAGTAGCCAAAACAGCATGAAACTGGCATAAAATCACATACATAGACCCATGGAACTCAATGGAGAACCCAGAAATAAATCAACACCCTTACAGCTAACTCATTTTTGATAAAATCACCAATAATATACATTGGGGAAAGAACAGTCTTTTTAATAAATGGTGCTAGGAAAACTAGATATCCGTATATAAGAAGAATGAAACTAGATACCCACCTCTCACTATAAACAAACATGAACTCAAAATGTACTAGAGAATTAAATGTGTGACCTTAAATTATAAAACTATTAAAATAAAACTTTGAAGAAACACTTCAGGACATTGCCCTGGGCAAATGTTTTGGCATAAGAACTCAAAAGCACAAGCAACAAAAGCAAAAATAGACAGATAGGATTACATCAACGAAAAAGCTTCTGCACAGCAAGGGAAACAATAAATAAAGTGAAGAGACAACCTATACAATGGGAAAACACATTTGCAAACTATTCATTCAATTAAGGCACTCATGTCTGGAATACACAAGAAACTCAAACAAAGCCAGAAATAAATAATACAATTTAAAAATGGGCAAAGGATCTGAACAGATAAGTTTTTCCAAAGAAGACATTAAAAAAATGGACAACAGGTATATAAAAATATGTTCAGCATCTCTAATCATAAGAAAAATGCAAATCAAAACCACAATTAGATTTTATCTCTTTTCAGTTAGAATGGCTATAATTAAGAAGACAAAAAAAAATAATGCAGGTGAGGATGCAGAGAAAAATAAACTGATATATTGTTGGTGGGAAGGTAAATACATACAGCCATTATGGAAAACAATATGAATGTTTCCTAAAAAAGCTAAAAATAGACCTACAATATGAACCAGCAATGCCATTACTGGATATATATCCAGTATGTTGAAGAGATATGTGCACTCCCATGTTTATTGCAGCATTATTCACAGTGGTCAATATATGATATCAAACTACATGTCCATCACCAGATGAATAGAAAAATAAAGTGTGGTATATACATAATGAAGACCTATTCAGCCATAAAAAAGAATGAAATCTGTCATTTGCAGTAACATGGATGAACCTGAAGGACATTATATTACGTGAATGAAGTCAGGCATGGAAAGTTAAATGCTACATATTCTCACCCACATGTGGAAACTACAAAATTGATGTCGAGAAGTAGAGTACAAAAGTGTTTACCAGAGGCTGAGAAAGGTAAAGGATGCAGGGGAGAAGTAGAAACTAGTCAACAAATACAAAATTATAGCTGGATACGAGGAATAAGTTCAATTTTCCATAACACTGTAGGGAGACTACAGTAACGATAATTAATTGTATATTTTCAAATAAAAGAGAGGATTTTGTTATAAACCTGAAAAAATGATAAAGATTTGAGTTGATAGATATGCTAATTACCATCACTTAATCATTACACATTATATTCATGATTATAAATATCACACTATATTTTAAAAATAATTTAGTATGTGTCAACTTATACACACACACACACACACACACACACACACACACACACACATATAAAATTAACAAAACAAAACAGAGTATCCTCATCTTGGATGTTAAAACTGGAAATGTGCTTTTTCTTCCATTGACCTGCTGCTTGTAGAGCATAATTAATCCTTGACTCTTTGCACCAATCCTGGACACAGCTCTGAGTGGACCTACCAGCTTGCTGCCTGCATATGAGGATTCAAGGATTCTGCACAGTAACATTTAAGGATTTCAAAGTTAAGAACATTAGTGCTACATCCAAACTAAAGGAAAAAGAAGTATTGTAGTAAGTTGGAATAAATCTATTGATTGGAATCATGTCATTGAGGCCAGACAGCAGGGCTAAGCGAATCCCCTAACCCAGCACAATTACCACGATCCTGTTCTCACTAGGATTTTCTCTCTCAAAAATTGTATAGAAGAGGATAGGACAAAGATATAGACCAGCTTGGCTACAAAACAATTGGTTTTTCTCTTGAGCTCAGGAAAAGAAATTAAGAACCCATAGACAAGAATGTGAAAACAAAAATAACCTAACCAAAGTGCCAGTGGAAGGAATTGCTTCACAGCAGTCAACTATGCAACCATTACTGACCAAAAATGACGGCACATTCAGTTTATATAACACTCAGTCTTCTCAGAAATATTTGAGAAAATACAGAAAGAGCGTACACCTATCTTCAACCTCATTGAGTTCAACTTAAGATCACCGGAATCCACTTATATGAATGGAAAAAAAAGAAAAAAAAACCTTGTAAAGTTTATTTTCACCCTAGAAGTTTCCAGTAACAGAGCATCTATGTTCGATGAATATCTCAGAAGACTTTTCTTTTACTTTGAATACATATTTAAAGAGAAAAAAAAAAAACCACAATTCAAGCATTGAAAGTAGGCTAACTTAAAAACAAACAATAAAAACAATCAAATCAGAGTAATGAATTACTCTTCTCATGAGATTAGAGAAGCCCAATCATTTCTACAGATCAGAAGCTATAATTTTAACCACAAATAAGTATTGTTAATAGAAATGTAAAGTGGTGCTAAAACCAAGCATGCAAAACTAACTGCAGCTCCTCCATGAAAATGGTAGAATCAGCATTTAAATAAGTGTTCACTTCTAAATAAGAGCAAACTATTAGCCTTATATAGTGTTAAACAGCTTAGAAATATTACCTTATTTGTGCTTCAAAACAGCTTCTAATACAAAGGCAATTGTATACATGTTATAGGTGAATAAAGTCCCTCAGAGAGCTTCCCAAATCCACATGGCTAATTTATGATAAAGCTCGTGGTACCCAGCACACTCACCTCTCCAAGGCAAATCATTAGACGACAGATATGATATTAGATTCTAAACATCTGATGCTGCCGATTTCACTGGATCTTACAAGGAAGACATTTTATGACTTTACAATTGTAATCCTTTTTTTCTGTAAATTGTATTTCATAAGACACACTATACAGTAAATAAGTATAAAGTCACAGTAAGAGCACAAAATGGCATTTCCTGAATTATCACTTATGTCATGGAAGTTTCGGACACTCATGTTTCTTTTAAATATTTATGATACCCAGTAGGGTAGAGTCTTGTGTGCTCCAGAAATAATTATCCCTAAAAATCTTGGATCTTCTTTTTTTCCTAAGCCAAAGTTATCAATACCAATTGTACTAGAACAAATGTTCATAAGAATTCTAGTGGAACAGCTCTATCAGTTTTACTATTACTTTAATTCCAGGTTTCATATGTCAATCCTTGGGACTGGGCTCAGAGAACCATCAAAGTGGCAGATATTTCAATATTATTTTTGGTTATCCTCCTATCAGATCCATCTCTTAACAAACGCAGGGTGGAACTATTCTGTCTTCTAAGTGAGCCTGAGATATCAGAATGAATTTTAATTAAATCCATATAAATGTAGGTAAAGCATATCTAGATTGATAAAATATTTTTACAATCACTTATAGAAAACCTTTCAGCAGCAAATTACTCTCCTATGTTATGTAGATACAATAACAAAGAAGACAGCCCTAGTTTCTGACACTATGAATATTTCAGTATGGGTGAGAGAGAAATGTGAAACATTATCACATCAACTAATGAAGTTACATTATAATCATGACTGCAAAATTACACAATATATTATTATAACTGGGATGAGCACTTGGAAACATATAATTAGGAGAATTAATCTAGTCTTGTAGAGCAAGGGGAGGAGGGGGAGAAGGTTAGGTGGAGTTTATCTAAACAAGGAAATAGTTAAACAAAAAAAAGTGTAAAATTATTAAAAGAAGGCTAGCAAAGAGAGTGGTTAAAGATATGAAAATATTGTCTATATTATATTGAGTAAATAATGGCATCATATTAAATTGTATGTAAAGCATAGTATCAGTTAAGTGAAAATGCTTTTAAAAAGATTAAAAATAGATAAAACAAGATATAACTTGAGTTTTTGTTTTTGTTTTTTTTTTTCTTGAGACAGAGTCTCACTGTATCTCCCATGCTGGAGTGCAGTGGCACGATCTTGGCTCACTGCAAACTCTGTTGCCTGGGTTCAAACAATTATCCTTCCTCAGCCTCCCAAGTAGCTGGTATTACAGGCACCTGCCACCATGCCCAGCTAATTTTTGTATTTTCAGTAGAGACGGGGTTCACCATCTTGGCCAGGCTAGTCTTGAACTCCTGACCTCATGATCCACCCGCCTCGGCCTCCCAAAGTGCTGGGATTACAGGCGTGAGTCACCACACCTGGCCATAACTTGACTATTTCTGAAGGCTGCTATTATTATTTATTTTAAAAATAGATTTCTATTTAAATGTTTGTATTATAATATTTAAATAAGAAAACACTTTGAATCAGGAAAATGAACTAGGCTTCCTTGGGGAGAAGGGAAATTTTTCAACTACAGTTGACCCTTGAACAATATCAGTTTGAACTGCATGGATTCATTTATATGCTAATTTTCTTCCATCTCTGCCACCCCTGAGACAGCAAGACCAAGCCCTCCTCTTCTTTTCTCCTCCTCAGCCTGCTAAAGTGAAGGCAATGAGGATGAAGACCCTTATGATGATCTACTTCCACTTAATGAACAGTAAATAAATTTCCTCTTTTTCATAATTTTCTTGATAACATTTTCTTTTCTCTACGTTACTTTATTTTAAGAATGTAATATATAATACATATTTTACGGAAAATGTGTGTTAACTGTTTATGTTATCAGTAAGGCTTCTGGTCAACAGTAGGCTAACAGTAGTTAAGATCTGAAGGAGTCGAAAGTTATACATGGGTTTCCATCTGCAAAAGGGTCAATACCTTTAACCCTAACATTGTTCAGGGGTCAAGTATACATGCTTCTCTTCATTATCTATACCAGTTCATTTAGGAAAGCAAACTTAGTAAAAGAGATATCCTAGATTAAAGTATACGAAAAACCCAATGCAAATTGTGAGTACTGTGTGTGTGCACATGGAAGTCATTCATTTAAACATGAGATTTCATGGTCACTATTTGACGTGTTTGAAATACACCTTCTCTAAATTCATTCTTCTGGTCATCATTAAATATGAACTCAGAGAGAATATTGAGGAATGTGTGAAAGCCATCTTATTTTTATGACTAAAAATTTAATTTTCAGAAACAAAAGTAGAAGTAAATTGGACACAAATCAATACTGGCACTTAAAAAGTATCTAATATATGCCAGCAACTGCTCACTGTTTGCTCACACATGTCATTTTATTGCTCTTCACAAAACCCCTGAGAGCAAGGTTTTATTATACTAATTTACTAAATAAGATCAAACTCAGCCATAGAAAGGTGAATAATTAGTTCAGCCTCATAAATTAGCAACATCAAAACTGTGTTAAGGCCACTAGATGCCAAGTCTTAAAATTACTATGGTGATTCTCTACCCCTATATATTAAACTATATTTTTACCCTTATATATAATTTAAAATGAAAGTAATATAAAACCATACTATATATGTAAGCAAGTCAGCCAATATTCTAATTTTCCCCAAACCTATTTTGTTGTTTATGTCTGAAATAACAGACATCATTTCCTTTTTTTTTTTTTTTGAGATGGAGACTCGCTCTGTCACCCAGGCAAGAGTGCAATGGCCCAATCTCGGCTCACTTGCAATCTCCGCCTCCTGGGCTCAAACGATTCTCCTGCCTCAGCCTCTCGAGTAGCTGGGACTACAGGCATGCAACACCACACCCAGCTAATTTTTGTATTTTTAGTAGAGATGGGGTTTCACCATGTTGCCCAGGCTGGTCTTAAACTCCTGACCTCAGGTGATCCACCAATCTCGGCCTCCCAAAGTGCTGGGATTACAGGTGTTAGCCACTGTGCCCAGCCAGATACCATTTCTTAAAAGAATAATAATGTTGGGGCCAGGTGCGGTGGCTCACGCCTGTAAGCCCAGCACTTTGGGAGGCCAAGACAGGCGGATCACGAGGTCAGGACATTAAGACCATCCTGGCTAACACGGTGAAACCCCGTCTCTACTAAAAATACAAAAAATTTAGCCGGGCGTGGTGGCGGGCGCCTGTAGTCCCAGCTACTCGGGAGGCTGAGGCAGGAGAATGGCGTGAACCCGGGAGGTGGAGCTTACAGTGAGCAGAGATGGCGCCACTGCACTCTAGCCTGGGGGACAGAGTGAGACTCCTTCTCAAAAAAAAAAAAAAAAAAAAAGAATAATAATGTTGCTTGTGCCCAAGGATGTCCTTGGCATGCCTATTCACCTAATGGCAAAGCTAGATTTTAGCACTGGCCATGCCTGTTCAGTACATCATTCTTGAGTGTGACTTGCGGTTTGGAATAATGATGTTGAGGGAGAGAAGAGTTTCCAAAAATAAAATGTTAGAAGGGATAAAAAGAAGAGTGGTCTAAAATAAGAAATATTATTCACGCTGAATAATTGAAGGCATTTTCTCCTTTCGAACATTTATTGAGCACTTCCTGTTTGCAAAATAATATAATAGGCTCTGAGGACATGGAGATGAATGAGGTGTGAAATTTGCATACTATTGGAAAAGAATTAC
Organism: Homo sapiens; assembly: GCF_000001405.40. Lineage (NCBI taxonomy): Eukaryota > Metazoa > Chordata > Mammalia > Primates > Hominidae > Homo > Homo sapiens. The sequence continues at coordinate 81,623,615 of NC_000011.10, forward strand.
CGGTAAAGACTCAATGACAATGCGATGCTACACACTATGGAAGAAACAAGGAGAGATTAAGGTACCTAATCCGGGTAAATGTGGTTTAAAAAAAAAATGCTTCTACTAGGTGACGATACTTGAGCAAGTCTTTGCGAACTGAACTAGAGGTTCAGAGGCAAGAAACCATGGCCATAGGAGAAAATGTTGGACACTCCCCATGGTTGGAGCTTAAGTGTTGATGGGAAAGTGGTCTTATATAAACCTGAAAGACAACAGAGCCCAAGTCATAAAGGAATTGGTAAAAACCAAAAGAAATCAGGCTCCCTCCTAAAAACAATGGGATGTCACTGAAGGATTTCAGGTGAAAGAATCACATAATCCAATTTATATTATAGACATTTCACTTTGAGTCCATGGCCAGTTTAATTCTGGATTCAAAAAGCTCTTAGAAGGTTTTATAGCAATTATATTTTCCTCAGTGTGACATTATTCCTATATCTTTTCCCTACGATGTTTAGACTTGAGTAATCTTAGATATATGTAGGGACATGGTCTTTCTTTGTTAGTCCTGGAGCACAGTTTAGAGGAAGTGTGTGGGTACGTAAGGAGGCCAAGATGCCAACACAGAGGTCCATATTCTGGAGTCAAATAGTCCCCTTAGCAGGACTGAGACATCGGTCACATGTCCTAGAGCCCTAGCACTCACATGGGCTGAGGAGCAGAGTCAAGGTTTCATCCTTTACAAAGAGAGTAAAAGTTTTGTGATAAACCCATGTGTAACTAAATCAATCATTTAATGCTAGTTCCTTTATTTTGCCATCTAGTGCACTGAAATGTAACTAGAGAATAATATAAGAAAAGGCAAGAGAAAAAGAGAATGAAGATTAAAGAACATCTTAGTTAAAACATAGGTTATTGAAAAGTTATGAAATTGAATAAAGATATCAAATTCTAAGAGGGCATTCCACATTTTCCTTTGATCTAAGATATTTAATGTATATTAGATCATCTACTTCACAGTTTGGGACAACCTGAATTTTGGATGGAAAAAATAAAAATATGTTTAAGTGACCAGGGGTTATGTGACAGAAAAGGCATTATTTTCCTAAAATATGTGACATTTTCAGCTTTTGTAATCCATCATCAGATTCTTGATTTTTTTTTAAGTTCAGTGATTTATTTATTTATTTGAGATGAGTTTCACTCTTGTCTCCCAGGCTCACTGCAAACTCTGCCTCCCGGGTTCAAGTGATTCTCCTGCCCCAGCCTCCTGAATAGCTGGGATTACAGGCACCCACCACCACGCCCAGCTAATTTTTGTATTTTTAGTACAGGCAGAGTTTCACCATGTTGGCTAGGCTGGTCTCAAACTCCTGATCTCAGGTGATCCTCCCGCCTTGGACTCCCAAAGTGCTGGGATTACAGGCATGAGCCACCTCACCTGGCCAGTAATACCTTTTAAAGCATAAAGCAAAGCATCTATTAACATTTTAATGTATGTTTGCCGTATTAAGGTGATGCTATTAACCCGGTGGGATAATGTTGAAGAACAGGTGGTTTAGTCTCCTACAGTCTTTGTCCTGTTTGGAGAGTTTGCAAGAAAACAAGAGCCAGATCTCCTTCTGAGTTCAGAAGAGCTATCCACACTACAGCCTGCAAAAAAAGTGTTACTCACATCCTTTTTCACAGATGAGAAAGTTGAGAGTCCAAGATATTCCACTATTTTGCCCAGGTATTAACCAAATAGATTTTGGAAACATCATTTGTGCATTGGTCCATTTGCCTGCAAAAGTTACATGTTATGTTTTCCATTATACAGCCCAGCCTTTATAAATGTATCGGAATGTTTTTCTCCCTGACTTGACCAAATCCTGGATGCTTTTCTTTCCTTTTCTATCTAGGAAAATGGAGCTAGTTGTCTCCTCTCCATCCAAATTTACATATTCAAAAAGAGTTGTTGCATCCTTTATGCATTATTTATAGTTTGTTTTTATTTTTGTTTTTTATCCCAGAACAAGGACTAGTTTACCAAAACGTAAATAGGAAAACACTTTTCCTGGCATTCCTTCACCTGGGTTCCAAATCATCTTATCTTTGGTATGACATGCTAACCATTTTTCAATCCTTTGATATTCATGTAGCACCTTTCTTGACTGAAGGTATTAAGGCCCAGATACCAGATACAGAAAATCTTAAAAAAACAAAACTAATACCTAGTTTGACTTTCCTCCTGCCAAGTGAAGCCCACCTATGGACAGTGATTTCATTCATTACCCAGACTTCAGGACCCTTGGATGCAAATACATACTATTGTGTTGAAAACTGAGCATTCTTAGTTAGAAACAGATCAGCTTCAGTGGCTCACAATTGTGGTTTTAACCTGAGAGAAGTACTGGTAAGGAAAAAGGGCAATTAAAATCAATTTGAAAGCATATCAGCAGAATAGATTATAAAGCAACAAAAGAAAAAAGAAAATTACCTAAGGAAAATTTTTTTTCAAATAGCAATGAAAGACTTGGTAAACGTTTGCTAAATTATAAGATTTAGATATGAAGAAACAGGCATTCTGATCAAATGGAATTACAAACACATTTATTTATCAATGATACCTGCTTAATAATTATTTATTTGAGCGTGTACTTTCCATCTAAGTAATGTTCCACAGAATATACCTTCAGAAGCATTAATTTAATGGAAGAGAACACTGGACAAGGCATTGTGTCAGAACATGATTTTAAACCCCACTTGATATTAACTTGCTGTGTTAATGTGGACCACCCATTACTCCGTCTTACTAAGGAAGTTAACATAGAGAAATAGTTCTTAAAATATGGTCCCCTGACCAAGTGATGACTATAATCATTATCATCACTTGAGAACTTATTAATAATGTCAATTATGGGGTCTCTACCCAGAACAATTAAATCAGAAAATTCAGGTGTGAGGTCCAATTATCTACATTTGAATAAAACCCACCATGTATTATATATCTGATACACACTAAAGTTTGAGAATTACTGACCTAGATTATCTGTAAATATTCTCTGGCTTTATAAATTATTTTTTAATAGTTTAACTCATGGTCAACTAACTTCAGCTCATATCCATTACCTATGTAACTCACAAAGAGTATAATGAGGATACTAACATGTGAGAAAGAATCAGGAACTGAATAAATTAAAAAATTGGATATAGTAAGGAGACTACAAAGACTTTGGACCTTAGACTTAGACTTGTACTGATGAGGAGGCATAAAAATAAGAGATAAATAATTTTTCAAAGGATTCAAACTTACAAAAATTTAGAACAATAAAAACACATTATCAAAGTAATGAGAACAATCAGACTTTTAGGATTTAGGGACACAAGGAGTGAGAAGAGTCCTAACAATTCATTTATTTCAACTGTCTCATTTTGTTCATAAGAAGCTGAAACACAGATAAAAGAGGTACATTATCTCAAGAGCCAACTTGTGGAAAAATAAAAACATGAATCATTATGTAGTAGGTGATTTTAAAATACTTATTGAACTATACCAAGTGGATTTGTTGAGTGGAGGTAAGACAAATTAGTTTCTATATGCGGATGACTGTGTACTTCACTGAGCAATTTGGACATAGCTTTAAAAAATTCATGTAGGAATCCATTTACTATGTCACCGTCTAGAGACATTTTTGGAACTTCTAGGATTAGCTTTCAACTTAAAATTATCTGGAAATGAGTCATGTTCAATCTATTTTATCATATCTTGATTTCTCATTATACCATGAATCAGAAAGTCAGCCTCAGATCTGTATATAGGGCTGAATCTTATGTAGCCCTAGCTAGAGCTGACAGCAGTCCTGGTCTCATGCCTGAAACCAATACAAAAAAAATTAAAACCATACAAAAACAATTTTCCAATGGTTAAGAAAGCATTTTCATATGAAATGCCACTGAATTTCTCATAAAACGTTATTGAAGGAGATGATGCGATTTAACTGCATCACTTTGGTATGATGATGAAACATAAATAATAAATTATCTTTTAAAATTTTTCAATCATTAAATTTAGCAGCTTAAATGTTTGATGTTTAATAAAACTAAATGGTCTCTTCTATTGTATGTCAATTTTCTTTTCATTTATTCAGCATATATTTTGCACTTACTATATGTCTTGACAATCTGAAGATGGCTACAATATTCGTGTTCTAAGGAATTTATAGTCCAAGACACCAGGAAAACATAATCTAATCATTGCTATGAAATGATCTTTTTTAAGCCTAAGCACATACAGAATTCATCAATTAATTTTAATGAACAAGTCCATTATACATTAATTCAGAACTTCCAAGGTAATCTAAATTATGAAGAGTTACCAGAATCATTAGATATTTAAGCAACATAGGTAGGATTCAGAGTCCATTAATGTTTGAATATTACAGATAGAGAATTAATCTTATTAACATATAATTTTATTATTTGGAGCAAACATAAGATAAATGTTACCTATAATTTGTAGGTAAGGAAACAGAAAAACAGGAATTTTTAGTGACTTGTCAAAGTCACATCAAGTCAATGGGATTCAGGATTCCTAGTCAAATCAAATTCTGAGAGCAAAGTTTTCTTCTACTCAGTAAGAGCATTTTACTTTTTAGGGACAAGGAGAGACACAAATAGGGAAAGTGTGATCAAGGGAGAAAGAGATAGACAAGAGGAAGAAAAGAGAAAGAGATTGTTAGTATAAAGTTTTTTTATAGGTCTTCTTTACATATTCATATTCATTCATTTATATAAGAAGCAAGTTATTGACAATTTTATTAGCCAGTAAACATTTATCAACCTAGACATCACCAATTTCCAAGGAACAGGAATTTTTAGCCAATCTAGAGATGTAAAAAGTGGAGTTTTTTTTTTATTCTCTTCTATTACTTTTTCAGCCTCAAGTCATCTAGGTCTTCCCCAAGATATATTACATTTTTATATTTTATGTTATTTCATTTTAACATTAATATTTTTTTACAAAATCATGCCACAGAGAATAGGATAGCCATAGGAAGGAGTATGTGCCACTATTCACAGAACCGATTTTTAGAATCTGAAAAAAGTTGGAATGTTATTAGTATAACTTGCCTTTGAGAAAGGATAGAATAATTTATTACTTGCACAAACTGGCTCTGAGTAACCCTAATGATGAATTCTGTAACACCTCCTTGGAGGAGTCTTGTTCTTTGTCAGTTTCAAAATTATTCTTCCCTTAATGTCCTTTTCCCTATAGAGAATCCCTGGGAACATACACAGAGAATCGTGACATTATCCATAGGTAGAGAGAATAATAACATTTTTCTCTTTCCAATAAGAACAATTCCAATTACTTTTAATTGCAGGAAGATGATATATTTTTGGAAGATTGTCATCTTTGCCACCCTTAAATTGTTGTCACAGTCCATTATTGCTCTGAGATACCTTTTGGTCCCATGTCCCTCCCTGGTGTAGAAACTCACTATGACTTCTTAATATAGGACAGAAGTTTCTCCATATTTTGGCATTGTCCACTTCTTGAAATATCATACTTCGTTACCCTTCCTATTTGTCCTGCATTCATTCTCTACCTATTCTTAAAAAAGATCATTTGCTATCATGTCTCTCTACAAATGTGATACTGTTTTCAGGGCCTCGGATACCTCTCATATATCCTTTAAACCTTGCAGGTTTCTCCTACAAAAGCAAGGTCAATAGTTGCGACCATTGTGAAACCTTTTTCTGGTAGAATGGGTACTTACTATCATGGTGTCTCATATTCATTATCTTGTTACAGCACCCACTATATACTTTTTCCAAGTGTTTTGTCAGTTGGGTCCAAGCTCTGAGCCCAGAGGCGATGCTGTAGTCTTCTTTGTAGCTCTAGCAACCCTTGCAGAGTTGGAATGCACATGTCAACATAGTATGCTCTACAGAACAAAGAATTATATGAAGCCCAAGAGGAAATAAGAAAAGATAAACTCTGGCAAATATGATTTTTTTTCAATTGTTCAGATGGAAACCATAAAATTATATCTAACACTTAGAAAGTGATTGTTTTGTGTCAAGCACTGTTCTACACGCTTTATGTAAATGTGCACATAATTAATTCTTACTCCAACTTCATGGGGAAGACACTATCATTATCCCTGTTTTACCAATCATAAAATAGACACACACATTGGTTAAGTAACTTAGTTAAGACCACCCAGTTTGGGCATAGAGATGATATAAACCAGGTAAATGAATTAAAATACCATACTCTACTATATCTTACCAGCCTTAGAAAAAATGTCTAGGAGTGGCTTAAATGTATGAACTCACTTAGTTCCACTTCCTATAGAGTGAGCTTTAGTTTAGTTACTAGCAAATAGTGTGCTGGGGATAGACGAAAGGACAAAGAGACATTTAAATTCTGGTTCTATATTGATTACTAGTTACCATTTAAATTGTGTTATTCTGATCAGGATTTTTGCAATGTTTTTATAAATTCATAGGGTTTCAATGTCCTCATCTCTGAAAGGAAAACAGCATAGACCCAATCTTCCTTGATTGGCTTGAAGATGAAATAGGTAATGCTCAGGAAGTGCTAAGCACAGAATCTACTGCAAAAAGAACCAAGTTAAAAAGATACAACTAAGAAGATCCACCTCTCAACATGATTTCTGTTAGAACTGCCACTTTTGGCTAGTCAGGAATTCACATGGCAACCATGATGATAATGAAAGAGGGGAGATGCAGTGAACTGGAAAGAAATGAAAGGTGAGGCACTACACTTTTTCTTCCTTTTTTTTTAAATAAAAAGTGGTAACTCAAATATCAATATTCTGCAAGGCAGTCATATGAGTTACTTGCAGACTCTCTTCATTACCTCTCTATGAGACTATCTTTCATATGACATATTAATTCCACACTTCCTAGCTTATGACTCAGAATGTTGTGTGAACACTTTATTCTGACCATCTATAATACATCTGAATTCTGACCCTGTTCTCAGTTCCCTCTACCCCTGCAGAGAGACAATTCCAGTACTGAGTTCAGAATCAGAACTTAGATTCATTCCCTAAACTTCTGAGATTTTTAAAAATCTTGCCTATTTTATTCAATGTTTTCCTCTACAAAAGCTTAGCCAAGCAAGAGATTTAAATTATGCACAACTGAGAGATATAAAAATGAAAGGAAGCGAAAGAAATTTTTCTCACATGCTCACCCTCTGCTCCTGTGAAATAGGCCTTATGCTGAAAACATGCAGAACCTTTTGTGCCTTTTCTGTTTCCTTAAATTAAGGCTCCTAAATGGTGTTCTCTTAGAGGATTAAGGAAAATAAATATGTATGAGGCCATCAAAATCAGGATATTGGTGGTCTTTCAACATTCCCTAAAGAGTAGATTTAATGTAAATCAAACTGAACATATCCTTCCTACAGCTTATGAAAAGTCTTTGAGTTGACAGTTTTACTATGTTGCTTTGAGGTGTATTTTCCAAGAAGAAAACACTGAGTGCAAGAGACAGATTTAGAGAAAAAGATTTGTTTTCACACATTCATATAGTACTCAATCTCTCTAAGTTTATGTAATAGTTACTCAAACTCCCTTGATACTTCCCTAGCCCACATTCTGGGTCTTCTCTCCCTACAGCAAACTGAAGATACACTGAAAATAAATTAAATATTCATCAACCTAAAAAGATCTTTTCACGTGTCCCCAGGGAACAGCCACAGGGAGGAATGCAGTAATATAATATTTTTTACAAACAACCCAGTATGTCAGTATTGACTATAATATCCACTTGTTATATGTTATCTTTATTTTTCTAGAATACTGTAATTCATAACTTTAGTGTTTCTAGTTTGCTGTCTTTTTTAATTAAAAAAAGAAACTAAGTAGCAGCTACCTCTAAATCAGATAATTTTTACTTAACAATATAGACTCATAAAACATTACTTTTACCTATTGGCAACATGCTATGATTTTTATTCTTTGGGGATGACAATTATTTCACTTTTCAATGCTTGTTTTGTTTTTCTTTTTCTGGCCTATTCTGTTTATGTCTCAAAATATGTTCTTAAAAGCTTACCAAAATGCCAAATATCAGAGGCAAATGAGTGTCAAGTTTATAACTTACTGTTCTAGCAATGGTATACTGTCCTCACATTTGCATAAAATAATATTATGGTTATGAAATATAGTATTTATACCAAGGCTTTCTGAAGCTATTTTTTAATTCTATGATCTTCACTGAATGTAAGTTGAAATACTTTATTTAGACTTATGATGGACAGCATAAGTTCAATTTTATAGTACAGACACAAATTTTAGAATAAAAATATTTAAACAAATAAAAGTACACACACACACACACACACACACACACATATATATATATAAAATCAAGGCTAAATTCCAGATTGAGCTGATACCATAAAACTGATAGAAGTAAAGAAGAAGCTAATTTAGACATGCCCACAATAAAAACAAGAATATGAAAGAGATGGGTTCATGGTCTTGGGTCAATGACATAATTTTTAATAAAAACTAAGAGAAGCCAAATTACACAACACACTTTAGTGTCCAAAAAAGTATTAATTTATACTGTAAATATAAACACAAATATAGCCAGCCACACTGAAACCAATGAGAGATAAGAATATAGTTACAGCACACGTACATGAGCTAACAGTGTTTATCAGGTGTGATTCAGTAAAACTCCTCTCAGTAATTAAGAGAATAGAAAAGTCTCCTGAAGATTGATGATGAGAAAAAGTAAACTTGTAAGTTTATCACTCACTTTACAACAATTTTTTAGAATGGATTAGCATTCATAGAATTTGTAAAGATTTCAAGAAAGTAGTGATTATACAAGCCTACCTGTGTTTACAAGAAATCATGCCAACAATATATTTTTCTTTCACACTGGGTCTCTTAATAAGGAATTATTTTAAGAGGTAGTGGTTTCAGTAAAGTTTTGACAAAGTCTCACATGAGGCATATCCTTACTAATAGATTTAAAGCATATAGAATAAAGGATGTATAGTTAAATGAATTTGTAGTTTAACCACTGCTGGCAAAGTGAATTATTGCAGCATTATCAAGCCAGAGGGAGACTTTCTGGCAGGATGTTAGATGGCATCCTATTCAAAATCATAGGTGCGAGTGCAGGTGACATAGAAGGCTTACATACTGAATTCACTGATGAGAATGTGGCTGACTGGCTATGCTAATTAAGTTGGGTTACAGACTTAAGATTTAAAAAGGTCTTATTAGGTAGGGTAAAATAAGTTGAATTTTATTTGTTTTAAAAATCACGTGCCTACTTGTACATGGCACAGTGGAACACAGAAGATTTATTTCAGTACTTGCCAATCTTCTGTGAATGTGATAATTAGAAAAACTAGCTTAAAATACTAATTTTTTTGCACCATCTCACAAACGTTAACTCATAATAATTTTCATGAGTGGTTATTGGAAAGTTATTATTTAAAAAATCATGTCAGTAATTTTTATCATTGTGAAGATCTTAATAACTCTGATCTATATGAAAGAGCCCTGAAACTCAAGAAATTTACAGAGAAGATATAACATACAAAATGTCTGTAAAACTTCTTTGTAAATAGTAAGTGGCTATATGCATTGGAAGGTTATTATTATTATTTGCCTCTAAGTTATAGGACATATATGATGAATTTTAAACATTGAAAATTGATATTTTCTCAGAAATGTTAACTAAGTCAAACCTGCCATGGTTACTTAAATCTCTGTCTTTTCTCTTATTCTCATATATTTTTAAAGGTAAATGAGACTGGTTAATGTGTCTGTCTACATTGGAGAGGTGTTTTAATGCTCTTTTCAATAGTTTTCTTTTTTACCTAAGGCTATGGTTGGAGGATGTACCTAATTTGCCGACAAAAGAAAAAGTAGGGGGAATCCAGGAAATCTAAGGCACATCAGTCATACTTGACTACAAATGTGAAATCTGTGATAAGCCCAAGAAAACCTAGATAACATGACCAAGGTGGTCAGTGAAATCAGAAAGAATAACACGTGAGTTTCCCACTGTGCTCACGATGACATTCCTCTGGAGTCTGAAGGGAAACAGACACTTAAATTGACAGGTATATAAGCTAGTAATGGTATTTTCTGGTTTTCTGTTACTAACTTTCTTTGTTCCTCAAGTCCTTAGCTAAACATTTTGTACTTCCTCAGTTATCCAACATCAGATCCCCTGAATCAAGAGGAATGTCTATTTTACCATTCTGCAGGCATGCCTGACCCTGCCAGGAAACATCCCATCAAATCCAGATTCTTATTTGCATTTGCCAAGCAGATACTTTACATCCAGTCACTGTAATGCAAAATATCAAAAACGTGAGGAAACATTGAGCATATTATTTTTCTTTTTGTATTGGAAATATTGTTTTGTTGTTATTATTACATTTAAGGAGAATAGTAAGGGATTTAAAAAAAATAACAGTGGAGGGTCAAACGAAAAAAAAAAACACAACTCAGTCACAAGGAGGAACAAATAATGGATTGGAAACCATCAGCCTAAAATTAAAGAAAACTATGAATACATAATATAGTCATCGTGTCAGAGGCATTTGAACCAAAGTAACTCCATCTTAAATAGGAGCTGAGTAAAATTAGGCTGAAACCTACTGGGCTGCATTCCCAGATGGTTAAGGCATTCTAAGTCACAGGTTGAGACAGGAAGTCAGCACAAAATACAGGTCATAAAGACCTTGCTGAAAAAACAGTTTGCAGTAAAGGAGTCTGCCAAAACCCACCAAAACCAAAATGGCGACAAGAGTGGTGGTCCTCACTGCCACACTCCAGCGAGCATCATGACAGTTACAAATGCCATGGCAATGTCAGGAAGTTACCCCATATGGTCTAAACAGGTGAGGCATGAATAATCCACCCCTTGTTTAGCATATCATCAAGAAATAACCAAAAAAATGGGCAAGCAGCAGCCCTCAGGGCTGCTCTGTCTATGGAGTAGCCATTCTTTTATTCTTTTATTTCCTTAATAAACTTGCTTTCACTTTGCACCGTGGACTCGCCCTAAATTCTTTCTTGCGCAAGATCCAAGAACCTTGAGGTCTGGATCGGGACTCCTTTCCTGTGACATATTGCTGGTGACCACGAAGGGACTACAGTGCAGAAACCCTGACTCAATGTCTACCTTTGGGTAAGTGTTGGCGTCCTGTAACATATTTCTAGCAAACGACAGAAGGGAAGATACTGAGGAGACTCCTCAATGCAAAGGAAATAGACTGCAGCACTGATTGGCTGACTTTGGGTAAGTGGTGGGGTACCCAGGTAAAGGATGGAATTGGGTTAAAGGCCCAATTTAGGGTAGTTAGAGTCTCTCCTAAGATAGAGTGGGTTAGAGTCCCCTCTTAATAAAAGGCAAGGATGCTTGATAGACCTTGGGTTAGAGACCCAACTTAGGAGGGTTAGAGTCCCTTCTAAGATTTAGGGAGGTTGGAGGCCCCTCTCGGTAAAGTCCCTCTTGGTTAAAAACAGGTTCGGCAGCGTGAGATGTTAACTGCTATTCTCTTTGAATTCATCTGTCTTGCACTCTTTGCTGATGGCTGTGGGTGACAGGGTTGGGCATGTACAAGATCTCGGGACATGGAGTTTTTCTTACCTAAAAGGGGAAACTTGAGAGCTAATAGGATTGCTGGAAAAAAAATCCCTTCACAATAGCTGCCGCAGCCACCTGAGCTTTTCATTGTCGCTGCAATGGGTGGGTCTTTCTCTGGCCTCCCTGATCATTTTGCCTTCCCTACCCTGGCACAGACAATACTTTCCTTCTCTAGTTTCCCTTTTTTATCTTTTCTGTTACTCAGGGCAACCATCTTACCCAGAGACCACATGTTGAAACTCCAAGTCTGAGGTTGGATTAAAGATGATGGGGCCCATCTGGGGACAAATTTAAGCCTTGGCAGTTTGATATTGGGTGCTAAGCAGAGTGGCTAAGGTCTCTGCTTTATCACACGTATTTTGCTCTGGCCAGAATGAAAAAATAATAATTTTCCTTTATGATACATTTTGGCCCCCAGGATAATGGTACGGCAAGCCAGTTCACTAGGGCCTTTCAGGGAATGAGACCCCAGAAGCCTGGAATGCCAGCAAAGGGTAAGAATATCTTACCAGTCAGGTGTAGGGCTTCTCTCTCTCTGTGCAAACGGTTGAATGAGTGGTAAAAATAATCAGTGTTTATCTCCTCTGTAAAGTTTGGATTAATGCGAAAAAGAATTCTGAGGCTAGTCTTAAGCTGGTGTATTTTGTGCTATGAATTCGTTTTTTCTGTGTCGAGGGGTACTTTAGGATAAAACACAGGCTTAGAACACCTGTAAGCCCGCTTTTCAAGATGATCCAGCAAGCTGGACAGTAATAAACTTGGCTACAGGTCTCTGAAACAAACAAAAAACCTGGATTAAGTCTCCACATTGTTTTATGTCCTTGGGAGCATCACCCTTTAACCTTAACCTTTAAAAGCTATCAACCTTTTAACCACGTGGCGGTACATTCTCTTGGTCTCCACCTTCCAGGAAACAGGAATTTTACGGTTCATGGTTGTAGTTAGCTCTAAAAATTCTATTAAATAGTTAAAAGCCTCCGCAAGCTCGAAATTAACTACTCTAGAATCTTTCTGGGAAAGAAAACAAAGTTTGCCCTGTGCTGTAGCTCAGTAGCTACCGTTTTGCACTTTCACAGTGGTAGTCTGGGTTCAATTCCCTGCCTAGAAAGAAAGTCGTTTGTCATTTAATAACTGCATGACCTTGTCTGTTCTCTTCCCCTCTGCGGACTCTCTCAAATTTTCCTTTCTCTAAGCACCTAGGAGGTTACCTTTGGTAAAGTTTAGAAGATAGAAATATTGGCTGCTTGGCATAACTAAAATCCGGTAATAAGAGATCTGAAAGAATTTCTTTTTTAAAAAGTGCTATGGTTAAAAGTCAGCTGAATTAAAAGTGGATAAACAAGCTATAGATATATTTAAAAGGCCTTTATGTTTTTCTCTTCTTAGAACTTGTTTTTCTGGAAAAAAAAATTTTCTTCTCAATCAACTAAATTATTTTTTCTCTCTCTCTCTCTTTTTCTGTCTTGCTACTCTTAATGCACACATGAGATGTCCTAAGATAACTTCTAGTAGCCTGGAACTCCTTGGGAAAAACAGAGGAGGTGCCACAGACCCCACTTTGGGGAAAGAAACCCTCTGTTTTCCTCATGAAACCCCAGGAGTTAAAGGTAAATAGATCCCTCTCAAAATCAAAGGCTCTGTTCTGTTTTGCATTATGTTATCTGATGGTTTTGAGTTTTGAGGATACCAGAAATTACTTTGCATTATAAGAGAGCTTTAGTGTTTAACAGCTAGGGAGGAAATATACTTTAAAAGATGGCTAATAGTAGTTATGGAGGGATACTTGACTCTTTGCACACTTGGATCAAAGAAGCATGCTCTTGGCCTCCTGGAAATAAGAAAACTTCCCCACCTCCCACTGGGAGATGACACTCCCATGAATGATGGGCTGATTACAAAATGGGCTGATTGGTTTTGGGTTGCCTTGCAATGAAATGCAAAGTAAAATCACCGCACTGTGTTCTCCTGCAGTATTTACCTCCTTTGGGGATCTAAGAACTAGTATAAATGGCACCCTTAATTTTAGGAATCTGTCTTTGCCTTCAGATGCTTATTTGCTGCTTATCTGGCCCAGAAACGCATGCTTTCTTGGTCCTGTTCCTCCATGATCCCCAGCCTGAAGCCAGTAATTCAATCAATAAACTGGCAAATGAAAAATCTTAAAAGTGCTAAATCTTCTGTCTGTGTATTTATATGTGTTGTATGTTTATATATAAAAGAGGTCTAATTAATTGGCTTAAAGAAATAAGCACTTAAATAAAATATTTTGTCAGAAAAATAGAAACTTTAATAATGTCTTTTTGTTCACGTGACTTTAGTAATCTTTTGGAAATAAAGACAGTTTTAAAAACTACTGGTAAAATAAAATGTCTTTAAAATGTAGACATTTGGTCTAAATTAAGGTTAAATATCAAATTTGCAAAATGCTTTAAGATCAAACTGTTTCTTTGACTTTTAAAAATTGTTCAATTTACCTACCATAAAGCCATTAAATTCTAGATAAGACCTGGGGACATGTGGAATTAGCCATGCCCCCTAGCTATACAAAGAAAACTATAAAGAAAGAGATTTTATTTAAGAAAGAATCTTGTATGGTAAATTATTGTCCTAAAATAAAATGACTGCTTGTTTAAAAGGAGGGATGTTGGGATGTTTAGGGCAAGCCAAAAAGTCCAAAAATGTCTCAGATGGTCTGTGTAAGTAATGAAAGGATTTGTGAAAGGGAATTTATGCAAGAAACGTACAATTCAAAGGTTCTTAGGCCTCCTAAATGCTTCATAAAATGCCGCTATGACTCTTACTGTACAACTTGCCTGCTTAAGCAAGGTAAGACCTGGGGACACCTGAAGTTAGCCATGCCCCTAGCTATGCTGGAGAGTCAGCCCTTACCTGCATTTCTGCCTGGTGTGTTCTAGGCTAGGCCCCACACCTAGTACACAATTAAAATCCCTTACTTACCAAGGTTTTCACCAAAAATAAAAGTCACTAAAAGTTAACATTGTAACATGCAACTAAGATTATTAAAGAAACAGTTTTACATGTAAGGTGTGTAAGGAAAGTAGAATGTACTTTTGGTAAAAGATTATAAGAAGGCATGAGAATGTAATTTTTTCTGTCTAAAGGGTTAAAAAATTGTTAAGTTAAATAGACTAAAGCTAAAGGTTTAAACAGTTGTGGGAGGTTTGTAAAAAATCAATTGTAAAATAAATTCTATATGTGGACACTGGCTAAATTTAAAGGGGTATTATTCAGTTTTTCCATAAATTAAACATTAGAATTAAAGCACAACAGGTATCTCTTAAAGCACTAATCTGCTCTTTCACACGCAAAAAAAGTAAAGGGCTATTAAAAGCTTATAAGAATCTTACCTTATGGTTAAACATTAAAATTGGGTAAATATGTCTATAAGGTTTTATTAAAAATTGGGTCTAACATTAATAATACATTAATGTAAAGGTAAAATGTGGCTTATTTGGTATAAAAACCATACTGGAAGCATTATAAAATGTGAAATGGTATTGTGCTTTCTTTGGGCTATATTTATGTAAATGCGTTATCGTTATATGTTCCAAAGTTATGGGCAACTCCTATAATTCTATGTAACTTAGTGTATGTTATTAGTAATTATAATTGTTAGGTAAAATTTTGTGTGCCACATAAGTAACCAAATTTCCTTATCAATTGTGGCTTTAGTAGTGGCTGTCCTAAAACTTTTTATCATCCACAGACAATTGTTTTCTTGTTTTAATCCTCTTTAGAAGGTGGTTTAAAATCAATTATAGAACTCTAACAGGTGTTCTTAAATGCAAATTTTCTGATAACTTTGGAAATTGTGACATCAGAATAGAGGAAAAAAACTTTCAAAACTCTCATAAAGAACTGAAATGTTCATAACTATCAAACAAAAGTTAACCTACATGGACTAAACTGAAAAAGTCTAGTCTTTTTAACTTGCTTAAAACGTTTCTAATCCTTTGTTTTATTTTTCAGAGTCAAGAAAACTTTTCTTTCGAGCTATTTACAGCTTTTAAAAGTTAAATGTACTCCTATGAACAAAATTTAGAGCATATTTCTTTCTCTCTACCTGATTTCTCCAGAATTTGGAAACTAGTTGTGAGTATTCTTAACTTACGGCAAAATAGTTATTTGCATAAGTGCAATAAGAATCTGTTTGTTTTTGTTTTTGTTTTTGTAACAGTACACAATTGGAGAAATTGGTTATTTTACCAAGGCTTTGACTGGAATGTTGTGCTTTCCTTTGAGGAATCAAACTTGACTTGTAGAGCCACAAAAAGCCCTTAGGGGAACTGGTCTTATATCTTGCCTACAACAGTCCTTGTTCAGGGTTTCTGATCTGTGGTAAGTAAAGAATGTCACTTTCTAACAGGTTCAGAAGCTGCAAGTTCTGGGACCTCAAGAGGAAAGAACTTTACCCAACTCATAAGTATTTAAGGGTACAAACCCATGGCTGGACTCAGCTTTAAAAAAGTTGTATCTAAAATTCCCTCTATGGAACAGAGTTCTGGGAAAGCCAATTTAAAAAGAGCCTATATGAAAAATAGTCATTCTTATTGCATTTTATACAAATAGTCCAAGTATAATAAAGCAAATCAGTCTTACCATTATTTGTCTTTAGTAAAAATGGGAAACTGGAAAAAGAAATATTATGTTTCAAGAACTATGGTACACTTGTTAATAAATTCTAGGCTCATCAGTGGTTTTTAAGTTTGTTTCTGCAATTTAGCCTAACTCCACTTATTCCTGTGAATCAACCAGTGATCTCTGACTGCTGCTCAGAACAAGAGGGATGGGTAATATAAATATCTAAATCACTATTCTAATTCTAGGCACATTACATTTGGCTAACAACCCCATATCAGCTTAGTTCCAAGAGTTACTCATTTCATGAAAAGCTTTCTAATTTAGTCTACTTGGAATAACTTTACCTATTTTGCTTTACTCTTGTGGAATATATTGTTGTTATACTCTTTGTGTAGGAATACAGGGCAAGCTTACTGAGTGCTTTCTTAAATTATACACTTATTCATCTTCCAAATATCATCTTTTGACAAAACTCAAGAGTTATAAATGGACCTTACCATACTATTGCTTTCTGACTGAGCTCTTCTCTACCCTGAATGCAAAAGACCCTCATAGTTAGAAATATCATCACCCCTATTCAGCCTGAAGAAGTTAAAAAAGATGGATCTTCATCCCTCTGCAACCCTTAGAATTAAGGGTTCTCTTATAAAAGGGAGGGGAGAAATATCAGTGGCGTTGTAACCAAAGCAACTCCATCTCAAATAGGAGCTGGGTAAAATTAGGCTGAAACCTACTGGGCTGCATTCCCAGAGAATTAAGGAATTATAAGTCACAGGATGTGACAGGAGGGCAGCACAAAATACAGGTCATAAAGACCTTGCTGATAAAACAGATTTCAGTAAAGGAGTCAGCCAAACCCCACCAAAACCAAAATGGCGACAAGAGTGATCGCTGGTGGTCGTCGCTGCTGGACTCCCATCAGTGCCATGACAGTTTACAAATGCCATGGCAACTTCAGGAGGTTACCCTATATGGTCTAAAAAGGGGTGGCATGAATAACCCACCTCTTGTTTAGCATATTGTCAGGAATTAACCATAAAAATGGGCAACCAGCAGCCCTCAGAGCTGTTCTATGAAATAGCCATTCTTTTATTCCTTTATTTTCTTAATAAACTTGCTTTCACTTTGCACTGTGGACTTGCCCTCAATTCCTTCTTGCGCGAGATCCAAAAACCCTCTCTTGGGGTCTGGATAGGGACCTCTTTCCTGTAACAATTGTAGCTGGGTATGTGAAAAGATAATATATAAAAAGTATGCCAATCAAATCTTTATTGCTATAGAATGTAAGATTTCATCTAAATAAAAGAAAACCTTTTGAGTTGTTCTAAATGGCACATTATTTAGAATGATTAAACACTATCCAATTAACTGAGTATTCAGTAAGACAATTTATAATCACTTCAAGAATGCTTTATTTTGTAATATTGTATAGAGAAAAAGAGTGGAATAGTTTTCCAAATTATTGCTTCTATTTAAATAATCATGATGATAGTAATAAATATCATTATAAAAGCAAATGCATAAATCAATTCATAAATTAACATTACTTTGCAAAATGAGCCTAGAAAACAGAAGAGTTCATATTGCTACCCCTGCCCATTCACAGCTTCAATCGACACATTACTAGGCAGATATGCTTTCTTCAAAGCTAGAAATAAACTTAGAAATATGTCTTTCTGAAAAGTGTGCAGGCTGTCCCTGAAGGAATATACTTGAAGCCAGCAGCACTGAGATGTCCTCAGTCACCGTAGCAAATGAGGGAGGTCCAAAAATATTCTGCTCCTTAAACAGGTTGATTTTTTTTAACCATGTGTGATTTATGCAGAGAATCTGTAAAACATTCCAGTTCATCAAAAGTCTAATTTGCATACATTTAAAGGACACTGTGGAAAATAATTAACTACTGAATGCATCACAATTGAGAGTGAATGTTGACTGAGAATTTTTAGAGCCTTAAATGAAAAATGAGGAGGTTAAATAAGTATACTGAATTGGTAGGGGGAACAAAAAGAAAAAAAAAGAGAAAAGGGGAGGGAAGAGAGGGGAAGAGAGGGGAGGAGGAAAAGAGACGAGCCGGGAGAAGTTGCTTTTCTTGCAATGCTTCGTATCCTAAACTCATGCGAAATAAAGAACTTTTTATTCCTTTCCCCTCTATTCTTTATGACTGAATAATTTTCTTGCTTTCTGGCTGTCAACTTGTAGTGTATTAAAATGATTACATATCTGTGTGCATGTAGCAAACCCATCTCACCAAGTTGTAGCTTACAGACTTGCAAGGAAGGAGACATCAGCTTGTGAAAGTCAAGCTAAATTCCAAGTCGTGATTGTACTTCCCATCACTGACATATATAAGTAAAATCTCAATTAAAAATTCATAGACATTTTAATAATTTTGAAGAGCATCTACTATTTTAGTGGTAATTTTCTAAATGTTTGTATATTCAAGGATATTACCTGATATATTAAAATTTATTTTATTATTTTCTTTACCTTTCCTCACAATGACATGGGAGCTGGCTCTTGAATAACCAGTAGAACAGTTTTATTATACCTGATTCTACTCTAATGACAACAAACAGAACAAGACATTTGAGCTTATTGTCACTATTTAAATCTCAAACAAGTGGAATATAACATAATAGTTTCCTGAGGTTAAATCAGGAATTATTATTATTTATTTAATTATTTGTTTGTTTATGTTTTCAGAGACCAGATCTTGCTTTCTCACCCAGGCTGGAGTGCAGTGGCATGATCATAGCTCACTGCAACCTCAAACCCCTGGGCACAGTAATCCTTCCTGCCACAGTCTGCTGACTAGCTAGGACTATATGCCTGTGACACCACTCCTGGCTAATTATATTTATTTTTATTTTTTTTGTAGAATGGGAGGGTCTTACTATGTTGCCAAGCTGGTCTCAAACACCTGGCCTCAAGTGATGCTCTTGCCTGGGACTCCCAAAGTGCTGGGATTACAGACATGAACCACCACACCCAGTCTAGAAATTATTAATTTCTGTTTGTATTCATACTTCAAGCTACAGATAGCTTATATGTGAACAATAATTTCAAAACAAAAACTTTCTGCTATTTTTTTAAAGAATGCACAGTGAATTACCAGTTTACACAGGGTGATCGCCCAAATAAATAAATTTGAAGTTGAAGGACAACATGGATAAGATGAGGCTATCTAGAGAAAGAACTAATTTAAGACTTAGAGAATGAAACTACACATGTGATTCTAGCCAGTATTTTCTCTAGTGTCATTAGTTAATAGGTGAATTAAGGAATTAATGAAATATCTGCCATTTAACATCTCAACTTTGTCTTTTTTTTTTTTTTTCTTTAGAGGCAGAGTCTCACTCTGTCACCCAGGCTGGAATGCAGTTGCGTGATCTCAGCTCACTGCAACCTCTGCCTTCCAGGTTCAAGCGATTCTCCTGCCTCAGCCTCCTGAGTAGCTGGGGTTATAGGCGCCTGACACTGAGTCCAGCTAAGTTTTTTTTTTATTATTCTTATTTATTTATTTTTATTTTTTAAGTAGATATGGGGTTTCACCACATTGGCCAGGCTGGTCTCACACTCCTGACCTCAGGTGATCTGCCTGCCTCGGGCTCCCAAAGTGCTGGGATTACAGGCTTGAGCCACCACACTCAGCCTTGTCTTTCTATTTGATCCATGTAAAATTCAGTTAAAACCAATTCCGGTTTAATGGGATCTACCCCATCTGCACCTAAGTCTTCTAAACTGGAAAAAAAAAAAGACATCAGAAATAATGGTGTCCTTTATTTGCACAGTACTTTTACACTTACTATATATATTTAGAGAACTCCAGTTCCCAAAGACCATTAACATCTGTACTTCCAAAGAGTTGTTTTCAGCCAAGAGACATGCCTCCTATATGAATGTCAGTTCTGACTCCCCACACAGAAAGATAGGTATAAGGAAAGATAATAAGGAAGGTAAGACAAGGGCTACTGTAGCCTTGGTAATTGGTTAGCTAGATTAGAGTCTTAAAAATATATAGGAAATGATGCCTAATATCTATATTTTGATTTAGAACAAAGGCATACACACACATATAATTGTATAATTTTATTTTGTTTTATTCTTTTTGTATGTTTTTTCAAGTATGAATATGCAAATACAGTAAACTATTTTTATATTTAAGCTATTCAAACTGCAGTATCAATACCCAGTGGAAAACATGTAATTTCATTGCTTTCTTTTTGAAATGTTTTCTTCAGTGAAGTATCTTGATACTTTAATATGTATAAAAATGTGTACGAATATTTATTATTAAATACATAGCAACATAAATGTGTTCCTCACAATGTGTACACACAAGAAACAAAAGAGGTGAAAGAGAGAGATCATATCAAATTAGAAAATGAAGCATAGAGTGAAGGAATTTGTACTTGTAACCTAACAATTCATTTGAAAAACAAAAAAAAAACCATTAAAGTACATTTTAATAAAATCAAACACCCCTTCGCAATGTAACAGAAAATTAGCAATGTCCTTCCTTGCTGTTAACTTGGAAGGCTGTTAAGAATGTAAGAATTACTCTTCTTTACCACCAGGTGGCTCACTTTCTATACCTATGCCTGATCAGAGATGCCACTGTGGCCCCTGAGACTGGAGATAATAAAATTCCCACTAGAGGGTGTTGAAAGAAGAAAAGTAATTCTTTCAGAGCAAACCTGAAGTCCTGAACAAGGAAATACCTGAGCTACAGCTAAGATTTCCTCACCAGCCTGGGAGACAGAGTAAGATCCTGTCTAAATGAAAAAAAGAGAACTATCCTACAGAGACAGAATAAATGAGGTGGTTTTAGACTAGGGACATTTAAAACCAGATGGAGACTTGTCTAATAACCATTCTGTGTCCAAGTCCAAATGGTTTCACAGACTTCTCAAATGCATTCATAATGTGAGACAGGTATATGCAGAGTGGAGTGGGGGTTGGGGGGGGAGGTACTGAGAGAGAAAGAAAAGAAAGCAACCTTGAAATAAAACAATAATTCACATTATATAATTTTGATTGAGTTTGGAATTAGAATGGAAAAAAATAAGGAAAAGGGAAAAAAAATAAGCCAACAAAGTTGAAAAATGTAATATGGAAAGGAAATTCGCTTTTCTAGATTAGCAAGATTGCTCTTAGCAATGAACCCCTTCCCTAAACTGCATTTTACTAGAGAAAATATAATAGGCCAGTAGCCATAGAAGCTTGTAACATTATCCAATGTATTGCTATAAAAAGCCTTACCATCTGGATCCTAATTCTCCTCAATATTTAAAGTGCAGAGCATTTTCTTCTCTTCATCCTAATTTACAGCTATCACTCAACGCAGCCCTGAAGGGTGCATGCAAAACGTGCCATTGTTAGAGCTAGTATATAGTCCAAGGTAATTTGGTGAAAATCACCTTAAGAGTATAACTACATGGTTTCCTTAGTATTCGGCACCTGTTTGCATTTCACAAAAGCTTATAGATTTTCTTCTTTTTTTTTTCTTCCCTTTCTTTTGCGTTGGTCAGCATTGGTTTGCAACGTCACCATGCATATGTAGAAATGCCTGTGGACGGCACCATCAATCCTACCCCATAGATTGGTAAGAACTGAAAGGTATGTGACCCAACAGCACTGAACATTGTTGAGAACCCACTTCTTTGGCTTAATCCATAGTATTTATTCATTAACTTTATTTTAATAAAATTCTCAAAACACCAATTCACCAAGATGCCCAGGAATGGTTATCAGATACAGTAGGAACAAAATTGTGTAAAAACTAAGAAGGCTGGTGACTAGGAGCCAGAACAATGACAGAACAGTCATGACCTCTGGTTGTAAGCAAAATGAAATTGATTCCCTCTCAGAAAAGACAGCTTTGAATAGTGATCTATAATGTGCAAGTAATTGGCTAACTCTTTAACCTACCTCACAAATCTGTTCACCTGGGGAGAAAGGTGAGTGAGGAAGACCAAGAAGGAGAAAGCTCACCCAACAACTTAATTAAATTACATTTCACTTCCACAGCAGGCCTGGTTAAGATTACATCTTTGGATCTTTTAGGTTGCTGGCTGAGTTGGACATCTTTGGCAAAACATAAACAAAAAGAGAGTATCTTCTCTCTCTCCAAGATTCCACTCCAAGTGCACACCATCCACCCCACATGAAAAAAAGAATTTTGTCCTCTATCTCCTTCACTCCTTCTGATCTCTCTATTTTACTAAGAGTGATATCAACTGAGCCATCAGCTACCACATCACCATGGAGAGAGTAATATAAGCAGGTCTATTGCAAGTTTGACTACGAATTAAAGCATGAAGTAACAAAAAGTAAAGTTGTGCTTTCTTTGTGTGTTTGTTGTTGTGTAGCAGACTAGAGAATCTATTTTCTCAAATTACTTTATGAATATCCAATGTAGAAACTACAAATACTATGGGAACTAAAGGCAATACCAGATAATATACATTAAACATTTGTTAAAGAGTGAAAGTCCCTATTGGATGCTGCAGAGGGATCACTTGCATCAAACATTAATGACAGTGAAGAAGGTAACCGTTCTTTCTTTCTACTACCCTCCAAAGAGACAGCAGACAACCTGTGTACATGGTCTTTTTGCTCAAAGGGTAGGTCCCTAGAGTTATCAAAGAAAGTACCTGGATGTTTGAGCTTGAAAATTCCTGACCCCAGGTGATAACTTGTCCTTTAAGCATAAATCTAGATCTGCCCCAAAGTTGTGTGTCACGCTCCTCCATCAGAACTGAGGTCATCCCCATCAAGACACCATGCCATAGCTTGGAGGCTCTTCCCAGAAGAGTAATGAAAAGAGACTAATGTTTTTAAAAGTGTGTTACACATACAAAGTGATGCTTGTAAAAACAATCACAAAAACTGTGTCTTCTGATTCTCTGCTTACCACAAACTTCACTCTTGTTGCTAAATTCTGTGATAACCCAGAGGCACCATGAGCCTGACTTGTGTTTGGGACTCATCTTCTAAAGAGCATTTTCTTTATGATCATTTCAAATCAATTGGATAAATTATGCTTATCAGTCTCTCATAAAACTCCTCATGAAATTATGTCTATGAAACAATTAAAATGAATATTAAAGGGTGAAGATATTAACAAGTTGTTGAAATTTTTCTTTATTAACTATTTTACTCTGAAATTGGCTAAGAAAATATGTACAGTCAAGGAATATTAGGGGTGATAATTTATACAGATTAATATCACTTAAACAAGGAGACTCAAATCAATAAGATACAGTTTTGTTTGGAGTTTTATAAATACAGATCTGTTAACTAAGAAACCTCTAAATTCACAACTAGATTCTAGCTTATTTTAGCAGAAGAAATCCTCTCCAGTTAATTATTTCTATGTCAATTAATCACTTTAGCCACCTCGCCACAACAGAGTGAGTTATAGCAAACAAATACTTCCCCTCTTCAAATCCACATCATCCGTATATGTATAAGAGCTCAAAAACATGAAAAGACATTTGATTCCTAGGTTTCCTTGACAAATACAGCAATTTCCATGAATATTAAACTTCTGTGATTCAGCAACTTTCACTCCTGTCTATATCACTGAATGTTAAATGCCAAAGAAGAGTTTGAATCCATAGCTCCCACCACTTGGCTTTTATTTTACAAGACTGAGGTATGTTTTTCCCAGCAGAAGAAGAGCATTTAAAGGTCTTTAAATTACACATGCTGAGTTGCATAACAATTGTCAACTAACTGAAAAGGTTAGAAGCGCACGCTTATGCTAAATGTGAAGTTGCCTATGAATCACAAAATGAGGCTGTCTCATTATCTACAGAATATTTCTAAGGGTTGGGAGAGAGAAGTAGAGTTACCGTCTGCACTAAAACTTTAATCAGAAGAATCCTGCTAAACTATCAAGCCCTTACTGTTCTGCTTCTTTAGCAAAAAAAAAAAAAAAAAAAAAAAAAAAAAGACTTTCTCAGTAAAAGTAAAGGCTATGATTGAGAAGGTTTTCCCATACCTAAAACAAGAAATGGCAAGAGCCTACCTGAAAGTGGATTGTGAGGTAGCTGGCACATTAGAAAAGAAAGCGACTAGGAAGCAGTCTTACCTTCAGTGTGGAGCAACCTCCTCCCCAGGCAGGCTGGCTTTTGGAAGAGTGTGCCCTCTTGCCAGGGCTGGCGAAGCAGCTGGGAAGAAGTGGCTGTCTGCCACTAGCTGTGACAGCTGCGTGTTGCCGGGTCCCTCAGATACTGGACTCTAGCGCTCCTCCAACAAATCAGGCAGTGGCCGCTTGTACCTCAGCAGAGGAAGCTGGGACTGCAGTTGCTAACGCTGCCTCACTTGAGGGGAAAACACTGGTGTGTGTGTGTGTGTGTGTGTGTGTGTGTGTGTGTGTGTGTGTGCCGCGCGTACACTAACTGCCAGCTCTAGGCTGTGCCGATGTGTTCTGCATACTCAAAATGCTCGTGCCAGGAGGAGTCTCCTCCACACAGACCCCAGCCTCCCCGCTGAGGAATCACAGTCCACTGACCTTGCGGCTGGGGAATCTGGCTGAACGGGGCTCTCTCATCAATAGATTCAACAATTAATCAAATAAAAGAGATTGGATCAGCATCAGATAGAGACAAGTGCTTCCCCCATGGGTACCGAAATTTTTTTTCAAATATATCTCTATTCAACATTTTATATTTAGAATTGATTTTTTCTTTTCTTTAAGCCATGATGTCTTGAACACAAAGTCTAATTGATGAGCCCCTAAGTTAAAACTTTTCAAGTTGTTTTCCCAGGCAGGATGGAATCTTACCTAGAAGCCAGTTCAAAACATTTATTCCAGAGACCTGTCAGACGCAGACTTGAACTCATAACAATCAAATTATGATGAGTTAGGCTAATGAACTGCTTCTAAAACCAGGGATTTCATGTCACTATACATAGCAGAAATGTTTGGGACCAGAGATAAAATCTATGTTTGAATCCAATCTCAGTTTTCTTTAACATTAATCCAATGAAAATTATGAGAAAATCCCTGTGCTGAGTGATGTGCTAATAATTCTATGAATTTCTTTATAAGACACACTACCATTATTAAGTGCATAATCTTGAGTCAGTCATTTAAATTTATTGATCTTTAACTTTTTCATCAGTAAAATTGTAGGTGTTTCTATGATGAGCCATTTAGTTAAAAGTACACATGAAAATCATTTGTAAACTATAAAGGGTTAACTGTACATTACAGATGTTTTTTAAATTGCCATAAAGAATGTGCAAGACTCTATGAGTCATAAATGAAGCTCCTTAGGGTCTATACACTAAATGATATTAGAAAGTTTCATTGCTGAGCTCTCAGTTAATACCTGTGATTTCAAAGTCTAGAGCTGACCCATCTGAAAAGCCAGAAGAGAACTTACGCACCCACTTATCATGTTCGTTCTCTTAAAAAAAAAAAAAAAGAAAGGAAAAAGAATCCTGGAAAACTAAGCTGAAATTTTCTTCTCTCAAATTAGGGTTGCAATATTACACCAAACTCAAATCCCAGAAATACAATGTAGTGGGAAAGAGCAGAAATGGGAATCAAGACACTTGGTGTCAATCTGAGATCTGTCATGGGGTCCCTTAACATTGTCCGTAATAGTGACGATGGTAATAACCACTATTGCCACCAAAACAAGCATACACTGGAAGCCAACATTTACAGAGTGTTTACTACCACCCAGGCGTTGTCTTAGGCATCCTGCATGTATTAACATTTTTACTCCTCACAACAGCATCATGAGGTAGATAATATTATTATCTTCATCTTGCAGATTAGGGTAACAATGCATAGAGCAGGAAACTTAATGTCTAACAAGCTTGCAAGGGCTCACTTTTATTAATTGAGGGAACCGTGGTAACTATTTACATTTTTAAAACCTTTTACTTGGAAACCATTCCAAGCATACAAAAAATTGCAAGAATAAGAATAAAAATACCTTCTATGCCCTTTAATCAGATTTCTTTATTACTAACATTTCCTCCATTTACTCATTTGATATATAGAGTGAAAGTGAGAAACTTTAGCTATTTGAACATAATATGCATATATTATGCCCCTTTACTAATTATTTCAGTGTACATTTCAGAAGAGTGAAGGTATTGCGCTACATAACCAAATAGTTTTATAAACATCAGTAAATTTAACAGTGATATAAGTTTAATTTATTGTCCATTTTCCAATTGGTCATTTAAACCAATAATGGGCTTCATAGCATTTTTTTCTTTAGGAGAGTTTCCAAAATACTGTATGCAGTTATCATGTATTTTTGGTCTCCTTTAAAATATGAGAATTACAGTTTGTCTTTTACTTTATGACATTTTTGAATGATATCATTGAGAATACATTTATCTCTTTTTTAATGAGCATTTCTAATTTTGCATTTGTATTATGTTTCTTAATGACTGGATTCAGGTTATGCATTTTCAGACAGAATACTGCAAAATTGTTGTTGTGTTTTTCTCAGACTCTCATATATGAAGGCATACAAGGTCCATCTATACTCATTGGTTCTGTAAATTCTGATAACATAATCATATGTTTTTGTTTTTATTTCTACACCCTATAAATACATTTTTTCCCTTTTAACTATTAAGTGACCTGTAGGAAAACACTTTAAGGTCATGCACATATCCGTACCTATGATTTCAGAGTCTACAGGTGACCCATCTGAAATCCAAAGGAGAACATATGCACCCACCTATCAGGCCCTATCTCTACAAAAAGCTGAAAATCTAAGATGACATTTCCTCCCCTCAAATTAAAGTCTTCCATTAGCAATATTAGACCAAACTCAAATCAAGAAATACAATGTGGTGGAAAAGAGCAGAAATTGGAATCATAGTTTTCCATTATATTTAAAATTAATTGATAATATGATGCTTGCAAGATAATAATTTTCCAGCCTGAATTCTCTCCACATCCATAGGACACTACATATTACATTGTTAAGAAGATCCCTCCATTATCTGGTATCTGTCTCCTCTCTCTTTCTCTTGCTTTCTCTTCTCTCTGCCTTTCTTCCTCTCTGTTTTTCTCTCCTTTATCCGAAAGGATTCATAGATTGCAAATGTTAAAATAATAATCAACGCCAATTCTACACAATCCCTTTCAGAAAACAGAAGAGGGTAGAACACCTCCCAATCTATTTTGTAGGGTTAGAATTACCCTGACACAAAACCAGATAAAGAAAACACACACACACACACACACACACACACAAATCCCTATAGACTGTTGTCCCTCATAAAGATAGACACAAAAATAATATATATATACCACTAGATGTTCCCCAGAAATAAAAATACATTATTGATACATGCAACAGGTTAGATGATTACCCAAAAAATAATGATCAATTTGGAGCTTATTCTTGCACATGGTATGAGAAATATATCTAATTGCACATTTTTCCAAATAACTTTTCAGTTGTCTCAACAACGATTATTAAAAATACAATCTTTGCCCAGTGATTTCAGATGGAGATTTGTTATATACTATATTTATAAATATGGTTGGGTCTATTTTTGGACTTTCTATTTTATTGCATCAGTCAGTCTGTCTTTCTATTCAAACACCAATACTACACTGTTTTTCTTATAAATATATTATAATGTGTTTTAATATCTATGAGGTTTAATAACTCCTTATAGCTCTTTCTTTTCAACATTTCTACAGCAAATTTATCTGTTTATTTTTTCATATAAACTTTAAGATGCTTAGCTCTATAAAATTCTCATTATAATTTTTTTGTTAAGTCACATTAAATTTATAAGTACACTTAGGAAGACCTAAACCTTTATAATATAAAATCATTCTAACTATGAAGAAGAGATGTCTTTCTATTTCTCCAAGTCACATGTGTGATGTTCAGGGGTGTTTTACAGTGTTCTCCATTTAATATAATTTTTGTTAACTTTATTTATAAGTGTTTTATATTTTTGTTGCTTTGGAATTGTTTTATCAATTTTACTACCTAATTGGTGCTTATTTGTGAATAGGAATGCTATCAATTTTTGGGTGTTAATATAGTACCCCACTACCTTACTGAAGTCATTTTTGAGATAATTTTATTATTGATTCTCAAAGCTTTTCCAGGTATTCTATCATGCATAGTTAATTCTATTTATTCTTTCTCAATTTTTATATTTTCAGTTTTTTTATTGCTTGTTTTATTTTTAAATCGTGGGTGTTTTTCGGGTTCTACATTCTAGCACAAGACTGGCATTAAGACTGTCTCTCTCTTTGTATATATATATATATATTCTGCATTATTTATATATAATATGCATTATTTATTATTATTTGTTATGCTGAATTATGTCAAAGCCTTTTCTATCAACCATATGGATATCATGTAAATTATGGTGAATTATATTAATAGATTTTCAATATAATAAACAATCATTGCATTCTTGGTATAATTTATAATGCATTATTTTCTCATATGGTTTGGATATTTGTCCCTTCCAAATCTCATGTTGAAATGTAATCCTCACTATTGGAGGTGGGGCCTGGTGTGAGGTGTTTGGCTCATGGGGTGAATCCCTCATGAATGGCTTAGTGCTATCCCCTGGCGATGAGTGAGTTCATGTGACAGCAAGTTGTTTACAGGTGCATGGCACCTTTCCTCTACTCACTTACTCCTGCTCTCGCTATGTGATATGCTAGCTCCCTTTTGCCATCTGCCGTGATTGTGAGCTTCCTGAGGCCCTTACCAGGAGCCGAACAGATGTTGATGCCTTGCCTGTATGGCATGCAGAAGTGTGAATCAAATTAAATCATTTTTTAAGATAAATTACAGAGCCTCAAGTATTTCTTCGTAGCAATGCAAGAATTGCCTAACACATTTTTTACCATGTTCAAATGCGTCTGCTAATATTTTATTTAAGATTTTTAAATTTTTAAGGGACATTCATCTATGTCTTAAGGTTACTGTTATCAGGCTTGGGTATCAATGCAATATCTGCATCATAAAAAGAAACGAAGTTTCCTCTTATTTTCTGTGCTCTGAGATAATTTATGCAGCATTTGTATTGTCTGGGTTGAAATGTTTTTAAGGTTTTCCTGTGAAAACTACATTGTTTTTTCCTCTGTGGAAACCTAGTGTTTCTTTAAGGAATAGTTCCTTCATAATTTTATGTTTGTCATCTGAATATTGATCTGTTTATGCCTAACCACTACTGCAGTTAATTTTAATAAATAGCATTTTTCTAAGAAATAATCCATTTTCTAGGTTTTCAAATGTGTTTTTATGATGTGTGTGTATGTTCACTTATTTTTTTCCAATTCTTCTTTACCAAAAGTTAAGTCTACTTTTGTGTTTCCTACTTTTTCATGATTAGATTTGCATCCTGTGTGATCTTTTTTTAAAGAAACACAATTCTAATTTATTAATTTATTTTATTTATTCTGTCCTTTGCCTCATCAATTTTAGTTTTTATCTTCATTTTTTCTTCAGTGTACTTCTATTTGGTTCACTTTTTGTTACTAGTTTTATGAGTTAAAATTTTAACATATTTATGCTTATTATTTTATTAGTGTAGGCATGTAAAATTAGATCTAATTGCTACTTTAAATGTAGTCCATGAATTTTGATATGTAGCTTTTTCAATATTAATTATAAGAGTTCTTAATTTCTATATATTTTTTTAAATTTTAGATTCAGGAGATACATGCATGTGCACATTTATTACAAGGGTATATTGTGTTATGCAGAGGCTTGGGCTTCTGTTCATCCAGTCAGTCAAACAGTGAACATGGTACCCAATACACAGTTTTTGGCCCTTGCCTCTCTCCCTCCATCCCCCTGTTTGGAGTCCCCATTGTCTATTGCACTCATCTTTATGTCCCTGGGTACTCAATGCTTAGCTCCCACTTATAAGTAAGAATATATGATATCTGGTTTTCTATTTCTGCATTGAATTTTTTAGGATAATTTCCTCCAGCTGCACCCACATTGCTGCAAAGGACATTATTTCATTCCTTGTTATGGCTGAGTTGTATTTCATATTGTATACGTGCCACATTTTCTTCATGAAATCTGCCATTGATGAACACTTAGATTGATTCTATATACTTGTATTGCAAATAGTGCTACAACAAACATAAAAGTGTGGTTTTTTTTTGGTAGAATAATTTATTTTCCTTTGGGTCCATACACAGTAATGAGATTGCTGGGTCAAGTGGTAGTTCCATATTTGCTTATTTGAGAAATATTAAAATTGTTTTACACAGGGGCTGAACCAGTTTGCATTCCCACAAACAGTGTATAGGTGTTCCCTTTTCCTCACAACCTACCCAATATCTGTTATTTTTTGACTTTTTAATAATAGCCATTCTGACTGGTGTGAGATGGTATCTCTTTGTGGTTTTGATTTGTATTTCTCCAACGATTAGTGATGTTGACCATTTTTTCATATATTTAATGGCAACTTGTGTGTCTTCTTTTGAGAAGTGTTTGTTCTTGTCCTTTGCCCACTTTTTAATGGAGTTATTTGTTTTTTCTTGTTGAATTGTTTAAGTTCCTTATAGATTCTGGTATTAGTCTCTTGTGAGATGCACTGTTTGCAAATATTTTTCCCCATTCTGTAGGTTGTCTGTTCACTCTGTTGATAGTTTCTTTTCCTGTGTAGAGTTATTTAATTTAATTTGGTCACACTTGTCAATTTTTGGTTTTGTTGCAATTGCTCTTGAGGTCTTAGTGATAAATTATTTGCCTTTGCTGATGTCCAAAAGAGTATTTTTTAAGATTTTCTTCTAGGATTTGTATAGTTTCAGGCCTTACATCTAATCTGTAATCCATCTCGAGTTAATTTTTATATAGGGTGAGAGGTAGGGGTCCAGTTTCATTCTTCTGCTTATGGCTAACTAAGTTTCCCAGCATCATTTATTGAATAGGGTGTTCTATCCCCATTGTTTATTTTTGCCTACTTCATCAAAGATTAGTTGGTTGTATGTGCATGGCTTTATTTCTGAATTCTCTATTCTGTTCCGTGGTTTATGCGTCTATTTCTGTGCCAGTACCATGCTGTTTTGGTAACTGTAGCTTTGTAGTATAGTTTTAAGTCAGATAATGTGATGCCTCCAGTTTTGTTCTTTTTGCCTAGGATTGCTTTGGCCATTTGGATTTTTTCCATATGAATTTCAGAAAAGTTTCTTCCTAATTCTGTAATGAATGACATCAGTAATTTGATAGGAATAGTGGTGAATCTGTAGATTGCTTTGGATAATGTGGACATTTTAATAATATTGATTCTTCCAACTCACGAGCATGGAATGGTTTTCCGTTTATTTATGTTGTCTATGGTTTCTTTCAGCTGTGTTTTGTAGTTCTTTTAGAGATCTTTCACCTCTTTGATCACGTGTATTCTTAGTTATATTATTTTGTTCATGGTTATTGTAAATGGGATTACATTCTTGATTTGGTTCTCAGCTTAAATATATGGATGTATAGAAATGCTACAGATTTTTTTCACATTTATTTTATATCCTGTAACTTTATTGAAATCATTTATCAGGTCTATGAGTCTTTTGGTGGAGTCTAGGGTTTTCTAGGCATAGAATTATATCATCAGAGAAGAGAGATAATTTGATGTCCTCTTTTCCTATTTAGATGCCATTCATTTCTTTCTATTGCCTCATTGCTCTGACTAGGACTTCTAGTACTATGTTGAGTAGGAATGGTGAGAGTAGACATTCTTGTCATGTTTCAGTTTTGTGGGGAATGCTTCAAGGCTTGGCTTATTCAGACTTATGATTTTTGTGTGTTTGCCATAGATGGCTCTTATTGTTTTGATATGTATTCCTTTGTTTCCTAGTTTGTTGAGAATTTTAATCATAAAGGAATTTTGAAATTTATTAAATACTTTTTCTGCATCTATTAAGGTGATTATTGTTTTGTTATTTTTAATTCTTTTTATGGTGTAAATCACATTTATTGATTTGCATAGGTTGAAGCCACCTTGTATCCCAGGAATAAAGCATACTTGATCATTGTGAATTAATTTTTTGATGTGTTTCTGGATTTGATTTGCACGTAGTTTTTTTGGGGGGGAGAGGGAGGGAGCAGGGTTGGATTTTTGTGTCTATGTTCATCAAGCATACTGGCTGTAGTTTTTAGTTGTTGTATGTTTGCCAGATTTTAGTGTCAGGACCATATTAGTTTTATAGAATAAGTTAGGGAGGAATTCCTCCACCTCAATATTTTGGAATAATTTCAGTGGCATTAGTACCAGCTCTTCTTTGTATGTCTGGATTCATTTGGAATCCGTGTGGTACAGGGCTTTTTTTGGTTGATAGGTATTTTATTACTAATTCAATTTCCAGAAATCTTACTGGGTCTCCATTTCTTCCTGATTCAGTCGCAAAAGTTTGTGTGTTTCTAGGAATTTATCCATTTCCTCTAGGTTTTCAAGTATGTGTGCCTAGAAGAGTTTATATTAATCTCTGAGAGTCTTACATATCTTTGTGGGATCAGGTGTAATGTCGTTTTTATTATTTCTGATTGTGCTTACTTAGATCTCCTATTTTTTCTTTGTTAATCTAGCTAGTAGTCTATTGATCTTGTTTATCCTTTTAAACAACCAATTTTTTGTTTTATTAATTTTTCATATATATTTTGGTACAATTTCATTTTGTTCTGCTATGATGTTAGTTATTATCCTTTTCCTTCTGCTAACTTTGGGATTACTTTGTTCTTGCTTTTCTAGTTACTTTAGATGTGATGTTAAATTGCTAGTTTGAGATGTTTTCGCGATGTAGGCGTTTAGTGCAATAAACTTTCTCTTCACACTGTTTTTGCCGCATCCTAGAGGTTTTGGTATGCTGCATCTCTATTTTCATTTGTTTCAAGGATTTTTTTTTTAAAATTTCTGCCTTTATTTAATTGTTTACCCCAAAGTCAGTCATGAACAACTTTAGTTTCCATGTAAATGTGTGGTTTCAAGAGTTCCTCTTGGTATTGATTTCTATTTTTATTCCACTATTCCAGTATGCTTGGTATGATTTCAAATTTTTTTGAATTTGTCGAGATTCACCTTATGACTGAATACGTGATCAATATTAAAATATGTTCTGTGTGCAGATGAGAATAATATATATTGTGTAGCTTTTGGGCAGATTATTATGTAGATGTCTATTAGGTCCAATTTTTCAAGCATCAAATTTAATTTCAGATTACTTTGTTAGTTCTCTGCCTTGATAATTTGCCTAATGTCGTCAGTAGTATGCTGAAGTGTTCAACTATTAATGTGTGTCTGTCTTTCCCTAGGTCTAGAAGTAATTGTTTTAGGAATCTGGGTGTTTCACTGTTCAGTGTATGTGTATTTAAGGTAGTTAAATATTTTTGTTGAATTCAATCACTTATCATTATGGAATGCTCTTCCTTTTTAACTGTTGCTGGTTTAAAGTATATTTTATACGATACACGAATAGCAACCCCTGCTCTTTGTGTTTTCCACTTGTATGACAGATCTTTCTCTATTTTTTTTTTTTACTTTTGCCTGTGAGTGGCATTACATGTGAGATAGGTCTCTTGAAGACGGCAGAAGGTTAGATTTTTTTAAATCCAGTTTGCCACCTCATGTCTTTTAATTAGAGCACATAGGCTGTTTTTTGTTCAAGGATAATATGATATGTCAGGTTTTTTTCCATGTCATAGAATACTATATAGTAGTATTTTTTCATGTCATAGAATACTATATACTACTTTGTAGTCTTGATTGCATAGTTGCTTTATAGGTCCATGGGCTATGAGCTTAATGTGTGCTTTTATGGTAGCAAGTATTATTCTTTCATTTTCATGTTTAAAACTCCCTTAAGCATCTCTTGTAGATTCATTCTGATGGTGATAAATTCCCATAGTGATTGCTTGTCTGGGAAAAGTTTTATTTATCCTTCATTTGTGAAACTTAGTCTGGCAGGATATGAAATTCTTGGAGGGCATTTCTTTGATTTTAGAATGCTAACAATAAATTTCCAATTTCTTCTTGCTTGTAAGGTTTCTGCTGAGAAGTCCACTGTTAGTCTGATGAGTTTCCTTTTGTAGGTAACTTTTCCCTTTTTTCTAACTGCCTTTAAGATATTTTGTTTCTCACAGATACTCTGTGTCTATGTGCATTTCAGATGGTTGTCATGTACAGTATCTTGAAGAAGTTCTCTGGATTTCTTATACATGCATGTTGACCTCTTTAATAAAAGTGGGGAAATTTTCCTGAATTGTATTCTCAGATATCTTTTTCAAGTTGCTTACTTTCTTTTCTTCTCATTCAAGAATGTCAATAAATCATAGATGTAATTGCTTTACATAATCTCACATTTCTTAAAGTTTTTTTCAAATTCACTTTTTTCTTTTTATTTGGTCTGAGTTGGTAGATTCAAAAGATTATTCCTCAGGCTTGAAACTTCTTTTTTTCTGCTTGGTCTAGTCTATTGTTAAGGCTTCCAAATGTAGTTTGAAATTCCTGTAGTAAATTTTTTAATACCAGAAGTTCACTTGGTTCTTTCTTAATATAGCTATGTTTTCTTTCAAATCCTGGATCATTTTTCTGTTTTCTTTGTGTTTGATTTCAACTTTCTCTTGGATTCCTTTGAGTTTTCTTTTCATCTATCTTGAATTCTTTTTCTGTCCTTTCAGATATGTCATCCTTTTTAGGATCCATTGAAAGGAAGCTAGTGCAATCCTTTGGAAGTGACAAAAAGAAAACTCTGGCTTTCTGTATTTGGGAGTTATTTTTGCTGGTTTCTTCTCATCTGAGGGAACTGATGCTTCTTTCTTTTCTTTTCTTTCCTTTTTTTTTTTTTTTTTTTTTGAATTTGCTATAGTTTCGATGGGACTTTTTTTCCATGAGAGTATTACTGTGGGGTACGTTTTGTATAATTGATTGGCTTTATTTCTGGATGTTTTCAGAGGGCCATTGTTAGGTGTAGATCCCTTTGTTGCAGATATACTCATGTAGTGCTTTTCAAAGATGTTACTTGGTGTAGCAATCAATTTTTGTTTGGTGGTGTAATTCCAGCTGCATACCTGTAGATGGCACTTATCAGTAAGAGCTGGCAGAAGGTTCTGGCTGTGAGTGCTGGCTGTGGGTGGTGAAGGTGATGGAGAAGCATGAGAAGTGCCCTCCCCAAGTGCTGTTTACTTTTGACATGAGTGGAGCTACTGGAGAAGCCCAAGAAGTTGACCTCTTTGGCCCACATGCCCCAGGTGTATTAGGCTGTTCTTACACTGCTGTAAAGAAATACCTGAGACTGGGTAATTTATAAGGAAAAGAGATTTAATTGGCTCATGGTTCTTCAGGCTGCAGAGGCTTCTGTTTCTGGGGAGGCCTCAAGAAACTTGCAATTATGACAGAAGGCAAAGGGAAAGATGGCACTACTTACATGGCCTGAACAAGAGGAAGAGAGGGAAGGGAAAGGTGTTACACACTTTTAAAAACCAGATCTCATGAGAACTCACTCACTATTATGATAACAGCATGAGGGAAGTCCACCCCCATGATCTAATCACCTTCCACCAGGCTCCTTCTCCAACATAGGAGATCACAATTCAACACGAGATTCGGGCTGGGACATAAATTCAAATCCTATCAGTCTGCCTCTGGCCCCTCCCAAATCTCATGTCTTTCTCACACTGCAAAACAGCATCATCCTTTCTCAACAGTCCCCCATCTTAACTCATTTCACCATTAATTCAAAAGTCCACAGCCCAAAGTCTTATCTGAGAAAAGGCAAGTCCCTCCTGCCTATTATTCTAGGAAATAAAAAACAAGTTAGTTACTTCAAAAATACAAAATACAATAGGGGTACAGACATTGGGTAAATACGCCTTTTCCAAAAGGGAAAAAACAGCCAAAACAAAGGGGCTACAGTCCCCATGCAAGTCTGAAACCTAGCAGGGAAGTCATTAAATCTCAAAGCTCCAAAATAATCTCCACTGGCTCCATGTCTAACATCCAGGCAACACTGATTCAAAGGGTGGGCTTCCAAGGCTTTGGGCAGCTATACCCCTGTGGCTCTCTAGGGTACAACTCCTGTAGCCGCTTTCATGAGCTGGTGTTGAGTGCCTGTGTGTTTTCTAGGTGCATGGTGCAAGCTGGCAGTGGGTCTACCATTCTGGGGTCTGGATAACTGTGGCCCTCTTCTCACAGCGTCACTAGGCAGTGTCCCATTGGGGACTCTGTGTGGGTGCTCTAACCCCACATTTCCCCTCTGCACTGCACTAGTAGAGGTTCTTCATGAGGGCTCCACTCCTGCAGCAGACTTCTGCTTGAACTGCCAGGCATTTCCATACATCTGAAATCTACTCAGAGGCTCCCAAGCCTCAATTCTTGTCCTCTGTGCACCTGCAGGCACCATGTGGAAGCCACCAAGGCTTATGGCTTGCACCCTCTGGAACAGCAGCCTAAGTAAGATGTATTGGGGGCCTTTTAGCCATGGCAGGAGGTGAAATAGCTGAGAGGCAGGGAGCAGTTTCCCAAGGTTGTGCAGGGTAGCAGGGACCTGTGCAGCTTCCTGACCAGGAAACTATTCTTCCCTCCTAGGGCTTCAGGCTTGTGATGGGACGGGCTGCTGCAAACATCTCTGAAATCCCGTTGAGGCCTTTTCCCCATTTTCTTGGCTATTAGCACTTTGTTTCTCTTTACTTTTGCAAATTTCTGCAGCTGACTTGAATTTCTCTCCAGAAAAATGGATTTTTCTTTTCTACCACATGGCTTGGCTGCAAATTTTCCAAATTTTTATACTCTGCTTCCCTTTTAAATATAAGTTCCAGTTTCAGATCATCTCTTTGCTCATGCATATGAGATTATGCTGTTAGAAGCCGCCTGGCTATGTCTTGAACACTTTGCTGCTTAGGAATTTCTTCTGCTTGATACCCTAAATCAACTCTCTCAAGTTCAAAGTTCCATAGATCTCTAGGGCAGGGACAAAAGCCTCCAATCTCTTTACTAATGCATAACAAAAGTGACCTTTGCTCCAGTTCCATAAGTTCCTCATCTCCATCTGACACCTCCTCAACCTGGACTTCATTTTCCATATCACTGTCAACATTTTGGTCACAACGATTTAACAAGTTTCTAGAAAGTTTCAAACTTTCCTTCATCTTTCTGTCTTTTTCTGAGCCCTTCACACTCTTCCAACCTCTGCCCATTATCCAGTTCCAAAGTTGCTTCCACATTTACTGGTATCTTTATAGCAATATTGCATTCTCCTGGAACCAATTTTCTGTATTAGTCTATTCTTGCACTGCTATAAAGAAATACCTGAGACTGGGTAATTTATAAAGAAAAGAGGTTTAATTGGCTTGTGGTTCTGCAGGGTGTACAGGGTTCTGCTTTTGGGGAGACCTCAGGAAACTTACAATCATGGCAAAAGGTA
This sequence comes from Homo sapiens, assembly GCF_000001405.40. NCBI lineage: Eukaryota > Metazoa > Chordata > Mammalia > Primates > Hominidae > Homo > Homo sapiens. Next base: position 81,661,245 of record NC_000011.10, read on the forward strand.
TAGGGAAATCTGGCATGTACTACATGAGCAGGAGGAAGAGAGAAAAAGAGGAAATATTACACACTTTTAAACAACCAGGTCTCATTAGAACTTAATATCAGAAGAACAGCATAGGGGAAGTCCACTCCCATGATCCGATCACCTCCCACCAGGCCCCTCAACATTGGAGATTACATTTTGACATAAGATTTGAGCAGAGGCACAAATCCAAACCACGTCACCATGCCCCATCTGTGCATTGTGGAGGTGGGCAGGAAAGAAAGAGCTGACCCCTCTCCACGTCCATGTCTGGGCTTTGGTGTTGCCCCCTTCAGTGGCTGGCATTGTGTTTCCTTTGACCTAAAGAAGGCTTTGTAAGGCTGTGCTCTACCCCTTAGGGGTAGCCCACACTGAGGGTTGGATCTAACAGGGATTGGGATCTGCCTCCCTCCCTCTTCTCAGAGCTAGCGGAGCACTGTGCCCAAACTGACCAAGGGAGCAGACTGATGCACTCAGCATTGACATATGCAGACCAGTTCCAGGTTGCAAAACTGTCCCTAGTTGAAAGTCACACTGCCCTTGTGAAACCTCAACTTCAGCAATACTACAATCCTATTGGGGGGAGACAGCCTAATTCTAATGCCTACTGTCAGGGTGCTCTCCACACTGACTACTCAGTCTGGCTGTGGGGGCCCTTCCTCTGCTCCAGAACAAGTGCTCCAATCTCTGGCCTATACTTAAATGTCTACAGAGGCTGTCATTGCCCAGTCACCAAACAATGACTGACTTAGTGTGAGCCCAGATTAAAAATGGTGTCCTCTCAATCCCAGTTCTGGGAAAATGCCTGCAGCTTTCCCCATTGCCTTTTCTTCTTTCCCTCTCTCAGCCTCTCTTCAAGCTAGCTTCTGTGCTTCCGAGAAACAGGATGCTCTCCCTTTGCCTGGACTGCACGGATTACGAGTGGAAAGGAGAGACACAGAGCAAGACTGGATGCCTTTCTCATGTGTGGGGCTCCATTCACTTTATCAGCTGCACTGTCACGGAGCTGCTTATCCACCTTCTTCCTAGGGTCTTAGGTGTCCTTCACTATTCCAGTGAATTCCTATTTTCCTTCTTGAACTAAAGCTCACAGAGTTTATCTTTACACACTATTTTGCTATTACCAAGTGGCTGAAGCACACTAAAAGCTTCTAATCCTGTATCTTGTCGGGAAAGAAAACAAACTTTAATTTCTGTTTTGATTTTCCCTTTCTATCCAAAATTTGTTTAGAAAATGTTTTTAAAGTCCAGTAGTTTCATTTTTTTAAGACATGTAAACCTACATAAATTTGCAGTTGACTCATCATAAACATTAAAGTGTAAAATTTGAAATATGTTGACATCATAAGTGGAAACTGTCACTGCAATCAAGAAATTAAATATATCTTTCATCCCCCCTACAATGTTTTCTTGTGCCTTTTTGCATTCCTTGCATCCTGCTTTTTCATATCCAGGGCTTCTTGCAGCACCAGGCAACCAAAAATCTGCTTTTTGTCACTGTAGATGAGTTTACATTTTCCAAAATATTATATAAATTAAATAATACTGTATGTATGTGCTTTTTCTGACTTCTTTCACTCACAAAAATGATACTGAGACTTAAGCACATTGTTGTGTTTATCAACAACTCATTTTTTTATTGCTGAGTGGTATTCTATTATGTGAATATATTATAAATTACTTTTCTATTCACTTATTGATGAACATTTGGGTTATTTTGGTTCTCTCTTACCCATTCTATTTACAACTGCACTGAGGGCTAAAGGAAACAGAAAAAGAAATGAAAAGTACCTAAGATGAGAATGGATGTGTTAAAACAGTTCCTGATCAAGGACTTAATGGTTTATATAGAAAATCCTAAGGGATAACCACAGAAATTTCTAAATTAATAAGCAGTTAGCAAAGTTTCAGGATAAAATTTACTTTTAAAATGTCTATTTTAGTTATATGTACTAGAAATGGTTGGAAATTATATTTTTAAATTCCATATAAGATAGCTTCAGAATGTAAAATGTACGGAGAAATAAATTTCACAAATGTTGATCAAAACCACCACAATGAAAAACACAAAATGCTGTTAAGTTAGACCTAAGTAAAAGGGAAATATAAGGTGATCATGGATTGGGAAGCTAAATATCTATAATGTGAAATTATCCCCTAGTTAACCTATAGATTTTATGTAATCTCAATAATAATCACTACTGAGTTTTTAATAGGAATTGAAAAGCTAACTCTAAAACTTGTAAAAAAGAATGATGAAGTTGAAGTGCACACGCTACTTGACTTCAGCCCTATGCAGCTATAGTACATTGATTTTTAGAAAGCTATGGTAATCATAAAGCTACAGTATTATACTTTAAAGTACAGTAATAAAGATGGTTTTATATTTGCGTAGCAATTGAAAAATAGAAAAATTGAAACAAAAAGAGAATCCATATATAGACCCACATTTATAATTTCCACAAAGCCACCAATGTATTCAATATTGATTCAATATTTGATGCTGGAACAATTGGTTATTGGCATTTAAAAGCAGATTTCCACACGTTTCTCACATTTTTACAAAATAGATTAAAGGCGGATCACATACATAAATGGAAAAGCTAGAATTATAAAATTTTAGTAGGAAACAGAGGAGAATATCTTCATGACCCAGAGATAAACAAAGATGTCCTAAGTGGAAACCAGAAAGCAATAACAACAGAAAGACAATGATACTCTGTTTGATTTAAGCCCAGATATATTTCTTGAGATAGAATCTCACAAGTGGAACTTGGGTCTGAACATGATGCGTATTTTAAAGAAGTCTGTTATTTTAGACCATGGAAACTCTCCCCATAAATACTCATGAGGTTTGGAACTTGGACACTTCCCTTTACGTGTTTGCCTCATGAGTGCCCCATGACTGTGACATGAGGGATTCGGAGAAGCACTGTTAATAAATTTGATCTTTGTCCAGAGAGATGGTGAGCATGACAACACAGTGAATGGTGAAAGTGATTACAAATACCAAATTTATCATCAAAATATATTGATCAGCTTATGTGAAATAATGAAATGGCACAGAATGGAAATGAGCTGCTTGTAGCATAAAAAAGGATTCAGCTAGTGAAATGCAAGACATTCTTCTCTTCTAACGTCAAATCAGTATTGTGTTTGAAAATAAATGTCCTACACACACACACATACACACTCAAACACACAAATAGACACATTTAGAAAACACTACAAAAAAACCATAAACATCGTAAGTTGACAGTAAGAGAAATCACTATAATTACTTTTTTCCTTTACCTCTTTCTCTCACACACACAAACACACACACACACACACACACACACACATTTCTTCCCACAAAATTGGAACTTTGCAATTCATACATCTTTGTAGCCAGCATTTGGTACATAATTTATTATGAGTGTTTTTCCATGGCATTAACTATTAATGCACAGTATTTTTATTAGTAGTATTGTATTCCATTTTATGGATGTGTCATAGTTTATTTAACCAATCTTCTACTTTTATATAGTCAGAACATTACCAATTTATTCTTTAATATAAATAACCCTGCAGTGAAAATCTTTACATGTGAATGATTATCCTCATCCTATTATTTCTTAAGATATATTTGTGAAACTTGAATTACTGGGTCAAAGAATATGAACATATTTAGATTCCACATATCTGATGGACCTAAATTGTTTTTCACTGAGATTATATCAATTTATATTTTAGGAGCAGCATTTACTACCACTTTTGATTCTCTTCTAACACAGCTGACTTTGGAAGGCCTGAATAAGATAGGAAAAATATTAGGTATGTGGAAAAACCTCTGTCTCTTTCTGTGGTAACAGTGAAGAATACAAATTAAAAAATGGGAATTGCAAGCACAGATATTAGCATATTTTATTCTACACAAAGTATTTTTATTTCCTGTGCAAAAGCAGTAGGCAAAATACTCACTGGGAATAATAAAAGCATAACAGAATTCCCTCTTACATGAAGAATGAGATTTTAAAATTTTAAAGAAATTTTTTTTAACTCACAGATGTGTTGTAGAGGGAGAGCTCCTGCGTAATAACAAACGGGTTATTTTTTCCAGTAAGGTTTTCAAGCTCTCCTCCTGACCTTTTAAAATAAATATTTACACTAAGTTTCTAGCCTAATAAAAAATTGAATTGTATAAATTATAATTCTACTACTGATATGCAAATTGTACAATGTTTTCTTTATCTTACAGTGGCATCTATAGTAGACATTGTTAATTCTATCCCCCAGCTATTTTCCCCATGTTCCATTGTTCATAATGGGAACAAGTGAGTAACCATCACTCTAAATGACTAGCCTGAGCCAATAATAATGTTCTTACTCACTTTTTTAGTGATTTGTTTAGAGCTTGGCATTATATATAACAGTGTCTTATCACTATGCAAAGGGATGGCTTTTTCATGTACAAAGGAAAAGACACTTTAGAGAAAAAAAATTATGATAAGCCAGCTTGTGTATTTAGAATACTAAATTGGTAGATGAATTTACTGATGTAAGGTACAGTATATAGAAGCCTACTCTGCAATGCTAAAAGAAGTTTGAATTGTCATTCTTCTAAAAATATTTAATGAGCATCTTTCATTTGCCAGGATTATTTCTTTAGAGTGTGTAGAGGAGAGGCAGGGGGTAAAAATAAAACTATAAGTATACAACAAAGTTGTACATAGTATTATGTGCCATGAAGCTACTATGACAGGATAATATGAGGAATATTGACAATAGAATGGGAGTTTTCATGTTTTAGAATGGATGACCAAATTGAGTGTCTATAAAGATAGTTGAGCAGAGGCTTTACCATTTAAAGAACCTAGCCATGAAAACCTATGAAGGGTGGAAATTCAAGGAAAAAAAGAATTGAAAGCTCAAAGGCTTGGGGATGTAAAAGAGTTTTGATGCTGGAACGAAGAGAACAACTCTTACATGCAGAGTCTGTTTCATGCAGGGATTTAGACTTCATGGTGAAAAGTTAAGATTTAATTCTAAGTGAAGTAAGAAACAATCAGAGAATTTTAAACAAGGGAGTGATAATGGTCTGATTTGTATTTTTAAACTATTCCTCTGTTTGCTGAGTGGAGATTACATTGCAGAGTAGGAAGGATATTTGAGACACCAAGGTGGGATATTACTACAATTGCCCACATTAGATATTATGGTGTCATCTAGGGTAGAAAGTGAATAAGTAGAAAAGCTAAAGTTACATTATGAAGGGCAATTGGCAGGATTTACTCATGTTCTGCGTATAGGGTGAAGTAAAGGGAAAAATAACTCCTTTTTTTTTAAGTTAAGTGACTGTGTGAGTTGTGGTACCATATATTGAAATGTAAGAGAATTGAAAAAAAAACTGTTAGAGATGATGGTAAATCACTAATTCTTTGTTGGGCATGCTAACTTTGAGAGACATGCCTTTTTCAGTTTCTGGTGGCTGCTGTGAGGACATGAAAGGGGATAAAAGAAACTGGCATAGACCAGGTTAGAGTTGATGAAATCCTACAGAAAAGATGTGTCATAGTAAATGATCAAAATATAGCACAGTAATATCCTGATGTTTAAAGCAATTAGGGTTGGAGCTACTAAATTATATTTTAAATCTAATAACCATATTCATAGCAATCTATTTGAACACAGATCCTGATTTCACGTTGTTTCAATGTTGGAAACAACTACTCACTCCCTGCAATCTACACAATTATCTTTACTCAATTCAAAGTCTTGCCCATTTCAACATTTCTGTTCTCTTTCTAGGCTTTTCCATGTCTCAGTTCCCTAGTATTGCCTATCAGTTTCAGTTCCACTGAACTTTTATCGATAGAATTGCTGCTGCACCTTTGTATAAAACCAGTCAATCATGCATGCAAGAATTTAATTCTTGATTATCCGTTCTTTTCCATTGATCTATGTGTCAATTTTGTCAATACCATGCTGTCTTGATAAGTGTAGATTTGTACTAAGTTTTGAAATTCTGAAGTATGAGTCTTTCATACTTTATTTTCTCTTTCAAGATTGCCTACTCTGGGTCCCTTATATTTCCATATGATTTTAGGACCATATTGTGAATTTTTGCTAAAATAGAACAAAACAACAAAACAAAAATAGAGCTGCTATTTAAAAGGGATTGCATAGATTATAGATCAATTTAGGGAATATTTACAAAGTATTGAAATCTTAACAATATTAAGTCTTTCACCATGAATATGAGGTTTCTTTTTGTTTATTTAGGTCTTTTTGCATGTCTTTCAACAGTATTTATAGATTTCAGAGTAAAATGTTTTGCACATCTATTGTTAAATTTATAAGTATTTATAACATTAGGATAGTGGATATTTCCTTCTTTAATTGCATCAATCTTTACTGTTTTCTCCCAAATTTGACCTTCAACTATTTTTTAATTTTTTTATTTTTATTATTTTGTGTGTGTGTGTGAGACGGAGTCTCGGTCTGTCTCCCAGGAATCTCGGCTCACTGCAAGCTCCGCCTCCCGGGTTCACGCCATTCTCCTGTCTCAGCCTCCCGAGTAGCTGGGACTACAGGCACTCACCACCACGCCCGGCTAATTTTTTTGTATTTTTAGTAGACACGGGGTTTCACAGTGTTAGCCAGGATAGTCTCGATCTCCTGACCTCATGATCCGCCCATCTCGGCCTGACCTTCAACTACTTTTAAAGACGGTTATACATAAACTAGTACTACTTATTTCTTAATATATTTTTACATATTGGTTTTATCTCTACAACTAGAATGTAAGCTTCTTGAGGGCAAAATCTATGAATTCATGTTTTACTTAAGAGTGGGAGGAATGGGATTTTATTTTTCATATTATATTATATGTCTATATTCTATAATTTTCTATCTTTTTGTTATGATTTCAGGTTTAAAATTTTTAATATGTTCTGCTTTTTTTAAGTATAGTGTATAAGGCTTAGGATCTAGTAAATGTTGATCTCTCCAACTTTATACCCTACTATATTTTCCACTAAGATGATGGTAAGTTTCATAGAATTCCTAAGACATTAAGCTATTTTACATTATATAGCTTTGTATATGTTTTCCCATCTGTTTAAGAGTTTGCTTTGCTCTTACTTTTCTGGCAAATAAGTGTTTAATTATGAAATCCCTGCTTACACATCATGAAATTCACGGAACCTGAGCTGGATACCCATATCCCATGTAGCTATCTATTCTCATAAGTATATTAACTTTGTACCTTTTGCATAATTTTATTGTCGTGTTTGTGGAAATACTATATAACTGTTTTTCTTAATGAATTGTGAGTTCAATGAAAGCAAGGCCAATGTTTTGCTCTTTTATACATCCCACTGCCTTGTGTAGAGCCATGTTCATGGTAGGCATTCAATAACAATTTGGTAAAACGTATGAATAAACTAAATTTGTTTCTAGGTTTTAGTTTAAATTTCCTATTTAACAGCGATGCACAAAATCTTTACCATTCAATTAATTTGTTATTTTCCAGCTTAACTATTAATTTAAGTTGGGTAATTTATTAAGTATTCTGAGTATCCTTAGATTTGGATAATTTTTTAATTTGCATAAATTACCCTATCCTTACCTAAGCAAGATATTGATGGCAATATTTTTATCTGATAAAAGATGCCAATTCTGGACAAGGGCTGAAGACTTGGCTTGGATTAAGAAAGGAACCATTTTGGAAAAAAAGAGAAACCAGTGGAATCTTTAAGAGTCACAAAGGCTGACATGAAATATTGGAATCTGGAGAATCCCCAAATATGTATCCAGATTTTTCTACATTAAATATGCTGAAATCTAAAGCTTTATACAGAAAATGGTGAGAGTGAAATCTCCTGAATTCTTACAGTGTTTGGGGAAATGATGCACAATGAGAGTAAGAGTACCTGCCTCAAACACAAGCCCAGTTTTCTTCTTAAGACACTTAACATATTTTGCAATACCTCTCATGAGAATAGACACAAATACCTTAAACAAATAATAGCAAACCAAAACCAGTAATATATTAACGATAATATACCATGACCAAGTAGGGTTTATTCTAAAAATACAAGAACATTTTAATATTCAAAACTTAATCAAAGCAATATTCATTATATTAAACAGAATAAAGAATAAAAACCATAGGATCATCTCAAGAGATACAGAAAAAACACATTTCATAATATCAATACATGCTCTTGATAAAAACTATCAGCATAGTTGATAGTAAAGTAAATATTCCTAATCTAAAACAGTCTGTAAAATTTAGTTAATATCATATTTAATGGTAACTTGTAACACTTTCTTCTAGCTCAGAACTTTTAAAAAAGGAAGACATAAAAACCTAATTTATTGAATATTAATGTATAGCCACTGCTATATGTTAGGAAACATTTAAAAATGTATATGCATCAGAAAGAAAAGGGCAAATAATGTCATTACAGGTTGAACATCATTTATCTGAAAAGCTTGGAAACAGAATTGTTTTGAATTTCAAATGTTGTCAGATTTGGAATATTTGCATTACCCAGTTGAGCCCCCATAATTCCAAAATTTGAAATTCAAAATGTTCCAATGAGCATTTCCTTTGAGCAACATGTCAGCTTTCAAAAAGTTTCAGATTTTGGAGTAATTTGGATTTGGGATTTTCAGATTAGGGATACTCAACCTGCATTTATAAATAAGCTGAATTTGCATATAGAAAATATAAAAGCCTCATAGTAGTTTCCTCCTTTCATAGGTTCCCAGGCTCAAGTGGATACTTAACAACCATGAATAGTACCAAACCCAATCTATACTATACACACTTTTTGTTTTTCACTTTTTCACATTTTCACAGATAGATTTGTTCTTCTAGAAGCTTTTTAGCAACCTCAGCATAAATTTTTTTATTTCTTTAATATGGAAAGAACTTTCACCTTTTCACTTAAAGGAAGCACTTTACAGTTTCTCTTTGGCATATCTGCATTGCAAGCATCACTACTCTTGCGCTTTAGAGCCATTATAAAGTAAAATAAGGCTCACTTGAACACAAGCACAACAATACTGTGACAGTCAATCTAATAACTAAGACAGCTACTAAGTGACTAACAAATGGGTGATTTCAGAGAAGGATGGCATAAGATTTCATCATGCTACTCAGAACAACACACAATCTAAAACTTAGGGATTGTGTATTTCTGGAATTTTCTATCTAGTATTTTTGGACCACAGTTGGCCACAGGTAACTGAAACCTCAGAAAGCAAAACCACAGATAAGGGGACACTACTGTACTATTAACATATTAGAACAAATGAATAATTTTAGCTTTCCATTGAATATACAGTCAATGTACAAAACATAAACTGAGTTTTTATATACTATCAACAGATAGAAGCAAATAGAAAATAAAATTTAAAAATATATTAGTACCACAAAACACCATGTATCTATGAATGAATTTTTTAAAATGCTTTCCAGACCTCTACATGAAAAGTTCTCTAAAGTATTCCTCAGATAAATTAAAGAACACTAAATAAATGAAGAGGTAACTCTACTACAAAGTTGTCAATTCTCTCCAAATTTATCTATACATTCAATGCAATTCCAATCAAATTTGTAGTTTGTACTTTTTAAATCAATAAGCTGAACTGAAAGTTTATGTGAAAAGCTAAATGAGTTGGAATGGTCTAGACTCTCTATCTTGAAAAATAATAAATCTGACATAGTTACAGCACCAGCATTTAAGTTGTACCATAAAACTACAATTACTAAGACAGTGGAGTATTAGAGCGAAGACAGACAAATGAACCAATTAAACTTAATAAAGAAACACACCCATAGTTAAATATTCACTTGAATCATGGCATAGATTTCACTGTAACTTAGTGGAGGATTAGATGATTTTAACAAATGTCCTATAAAAAGTGAATATGTGTAGTGAAAAATAATGAACCATGACTTTTACCTTGTACAGTATACATAACCGAAGTTGACATGTATCATAAGTCTAAATGTGAAAGTTAGAATACCAAAACTTTTAGAAAAAATATTTTCTGACTTTTCAGTACACATCAATTTCTGAAGCAGGACACAAAATTTACTACATATAAAAATGACTAATAAGGTAGCTTTCATTAAAATTAAGAACATCTATCTACCATATAGCATCAGTTTAGTATAGTAAGTACTCACTTAACATTGTTGATAGCTTCTTGGAAACTGTGACTTTAACTGAAAAATCATATAACAAAATGAATTCTAACATAAGCTAATTGAAACAAACAAGAGTTAAGTTCCTATTGCATATTTTTGGACACAGAAACATCACCAAACTTCTAAGCAAGACCAAAATGCTTCTGATATTAAACATTGAAATAAATGTTAACAATGCATACATTTAAGAAAGAGGAATTAAAAACAAATAAGATAGCTATTAATCATTCCAGTTCAGGGTAATGGATGGCAGAAACTTATCAGCAGCTCAGGGTGCAAGGCAGAAACTAATCTTGGATAGGATGCTATGCCATGGTAGGGTCACTCACACACATCCACCCTTACTCAGTCTGGGACCATTTATACACACCAATTCACCTAACGTGCTCATTTTGGGGATAAGAGAAGAATTTAGTTACCTGGAGAAAACTCACACAGATGTGGGGAGAACATGCCAACTCCACACAGGCAGTAACCTTAGCTGGAAATCAATTTTATTTTCTCATTAGTGTTATAATAAAAGGACATTGAACAAAATGATGTTATTTGAGGACCTACTGTATATGAAAAGTCAAGCCCAAAACTGTGAGAATATAACATCACTGCACATATCTGACAAATGACTAAAATTGATGACATACAAATAATTAGTAAGCATCAATTAAAATAAGACCAACAACATAATACAAATATTGGGCAAGATATATAAAAGAAGTTCTGCCTAAGAGAAGATATCTAGAGGCTCCTATATGAAAATGGGCACAACCAGAAAATGAATAACAAATAGAATTATGCAGTTCATACTAATGGGAAGGTTGTGTGATTTGTATATATGTGAAATTCTTCAAACTCACTAAAAACTATAGAAATGCAAATTAATATAGTAATTTACAATTCTCCATACAGTATAGGGAAGTGTGTGAAGAATAAAGCATTCACATATTGCTATGGAAATATAAATGAATACAACTTCTTTAGAAGATAGCTTCGATCAAAATAATCATGTTTATATTCTGACACAGAAATTCTACTTTTGGACAATTTATTACTATAGAAACTTATTACTATAGAAACTTCAAAACTTGAAAATAAAAAGTTACCTGAAATTAAAAAGTTTTATTATTGCATTGCTTATAACAATTATAGAATAGAAACAGTATCTGTGTACATCAATAAAATTTGTTTAATGAAATAATGCTAATCCCATGTTCTCACTTATTTGTGGGATCTAAGAAATCAAAACAATTAAACTAATTACATAGAGAGTAGAAGGATGGTTACTGGAGGTTGGGAAGAGTAATGGCGTTGGGGTTGCAGTGGGGAGGTGGGGATGGTTAATGGGTACCACAAAATAGAAGGAATGAATAAGACCTACTCTTTGATAGCACAACAGGGTGACTATAGTCAATAATAATTTAATTGTACTTTTAAAAATAACTAAAAGAATATACTTAGATTGTTTGTAACACAAAGAATAAATGCCGGAGGGGATGGATACACCACTCACCATGATGTGATTATTATGCACTGCATGCCAGTATCAAAACATCTTATGCACCCCATAAAAATACACACCTAAGCACCCACAAAAATTAAAATATAGTGCTAATTCCATACAGAACTGACATTCAGTTTGATAAACATCAGCATTTGTTTACAAATGTTTCTTCACATTCTGCTCTTGCCCTGATGCCCCTGAGTCATACACTTTGCTTTAGCCAGTGATGTGTAAGCAGGCATAAAGCTCTAAATACAATGTGTGGTTAGGCAAACTCTCTTGCATTCCTAACATCCACAGTGAGAACATTTCCTCTTTAACCCTAGTCACTAGAGTAAGAAACACTAAAGCTATATGAACTCAAAATCAGTGAATCTGTAAACTCAGGAATGAGAAATAAATGCTTGAAATTATAAGCTATTGAAATTGTTGTTTTGTGGCACTATTACACCCATGTTTGTTTTGAGTGTTCAGGCAGTCATTCTGATTGGACAGTGTTTGTACTGATTATTAATTATTTTAAATAAAAACCATGCATATCTATAATGAAATACAATTTAATATTATGGGATAGAAAGATTTATATATGCTTAATAGAAATATATTCAGAATTTAATTTTAGGTGATAAAATACAATGTAGAAATGTGAATGTCTTTATATTTGAATGTGCATTTTAATGTGTGAAGGTGAGTCTTTGTAAAGAAATATTTTGGAAATGTATACAAGATAATACTTAAAATGACTTATTCTAAAGTGTTTAAAAGAGATCTGTTATCTGCTACTCTTAATACTTTTCAAAACATTTCAAACACATGCATACATTATTTCTTCAATAACATATGTAATATTTTAAAGTGAACAAAAAGCAGCAAAACACTGAGATTGGTTAAGAACACTGAAGAATGTTAAAGTTTTAATTAGATAATTAAAAATAGACTGTGCCTGTTAGTCTTAGCTGTATGAACTAAATTGCAATTTATAAAATACATTGTTGTAAAGGAATTCAGTTGAGATATTGTCCTAATTTCCCTTTGTTATTATACATCCACAGTTGATACTTACTGAGTAGCACAAACCAGGAAATTTGCAGAGTACTTAACATGCATTACCTTATTTAATACAGTATCTTTTGAAGTAAGTGTATGAATAACCATGGTTTACAGATAATTTTTAATATCAAAATATTTTCTTGAGATATGCTTACTAAGTAACCACTTTTTTCTGAGTCACTGCATCTTCTTTTAGTGATGTTTAAAATGTATAGTATAAAAATAGCACAAAGAATGCAAAACTGTATTCCTTCTTGGATATACGTTCACTGTGTGAATCTCTAAACACAATTTTTGCTATTACTGAGTAAGTGAGGCATGCTAACAACACCTCTAGTCTGTCATCTTCAGCTTGATTTCACAGGGAGCCCGGAAGCCTAACTTTTACCACAAAATTGGTCGCAATTTGAGTCAAAGGGCCTGACTTCTGTATGCCAGTGTCAGTCTGTCATTGTGTGCTTTCCCTGGGCAATGAAGAGAACTTCTCAGGCAAATGGTTCTCATTTAGCTAGAAGAAATTAGATCTGTAGATCAGAAATCTGAATAGGTCTCACTGGCTAAAATCAAGCTGTTGTCAAGGTGCTGCATTCTGGTGGTTCTAGGGGAGAATGTATGTCCTTGAATGTCACAGCTTCTAGAGGCTGGCCATGTCCAGTGGCTCACAGCCTCTCTTCCTTCTCAAAGCCAGCAATAATAGGATAAGTTCTTCTCACATGATATCACTGACATTCTGACGATAGAAATCAATTCCAAGGGGAACTCTTGAAGCTATGCAAATCCATAAAAATTAAAGAAAATGATCCAAAATAATCCTGAATGACTTGGAATCAACAACAAGATTAAGGTGAAATTTTTTAAAAAAATTCAAAATGAATAAAAATGAAGACACGATATACCGAAGTCTCTGGGATACAAGAGATCAGTGTTAAGAGGGAAGTTTATAGCCTAAATGCCTATGTCAAAAAATAGAAAGATTACAAATTAACAACCTAATATCACACCTTAAGGAACTAGAAAAACAAGAACAAGCCAAGCCTGAAGCTAGCAGAAGAAAAGAAATAACAAAAATCAGAGCAGAACTAAATGAAATTGAGACCAAAAAAAAAAAATACAAAAGATAAATGAAATGAAAAAAATGGTTCTTTGAAAAAATATATAAAATTGAAATACCACTAGCTGGACTGAGGAAGATAAGAAGAGAGAAGATTTAAATAAGCACAACTGGAAATTTTGCCCAAAAAATAGTACATTGCAACAGATACCATAAAAATACAAAAGATCATCAAAGACTATTATGAACTTTTCTATGCTAACAAACTAGAATACCTATAGGAAATTGATAAATTCCTGAAAACATACAACTTCACAAGACTGAATGAGAAAGAAATATAAATTCTGAACAGACCAATAGTAAATAATAAGATTGAATCTGTAATATAAAATCTCCTAAAAAAAAAAAAAAAAGCCCAGGATGAGACGGATTTACAGTTGAATTCTACCAGTCGTACAAGAAGAAATAGTAACAATACTACTGAAAGTTTTCAAAAAAACTAAAGAGAAGGGAATTCTCCTTAACTCATTTTACAAAGCCAGTATCACTCTAATACCAATACCAGGTAAGTACACAATAAGAAAAGAAAACTATTGCCAATGTCCCTGATGAACATAGATGCAAAGATCCTCAAGGAAACTAGCAAACAGAATACAACTGGACATCAAAAAGATAATGCACCCTGTTCCAGTGAGTTTTATTCCAGGGATGCAAAGGTTATTGCACATACACAAATTAATAAATTTGATTCATCACATAAATTTTTTTAAAAATATAATCTTCTCAAGATATGCAGAAATAGCATTTGATTACATTCAAAATCCCTTCAGGATAAAAACCCTCAACCAACTTGGAATAAAAGCAACACACTCAAAACAATAAAAGACATATAAAACAAACCCACAGCCAACATCATACTGAATGGGGAAAAATGGAAAGCATTCCCCCTAAGAACTGGAATAAAACAAGGATGCCCATTTTTGCCACTCCTATTTAATATAATACTCAAAGTTCTAGGCAGGCCAATCAGGTAATGGAAAGAAATAAAATGCATTCAAATTGGAAATAGTAAATAAAATTATCTCTGTTTGCTGATAATATGATCTTATACGTACAAAACCCTAAAGAATCCTCAATTTGATAAATAAATTCAGTAAAATTTCAGGAGACAAAATTGTGTGCAAAAATCAATAGCATTTCTATACACCAATAATGATCAAGCTGAGAGCCAAATTAAGAAGTCAGTCGCATTTACAATAGCTAACACAAAACAATAAAACACCTAGGAACACATTTAGCCAAGAAAGTGAAAGATAGCTACAGAGAAAACTACAAAATGCTAATAAAAGAAATTGTTGATGACACAAACAAATGTAAAAACATGGCATGCTCATGGATCAGAAGAAATATCATTGAAATAACCATACTTCCCAGAGCAATATGCAGATTCAGTGTAATCCCTATCAAAATACAATACATTCAATGCAATGCCATTTTCCACAAAATCATAAAAAAAAATCTAAAATTCATATGGAACCCCCCAAAAAAGTCTGACTATCCAAAGCAATCCTAAGCAAAAAACAAAACTGGAGGCATCATATTACCTGACACCAGATTATACTTCAAGGTGATAGTAACCAAAACAGCATGGTACTGATATAAAAATAGACACATAGATTTATGTAATAGAATAGAGAACACAGAGATAAAGCCTCTTATCAACAGCCATCTTATTTTCAACACAGTTGACAAAAATATACACTGGGAAAAGGCCACCCTATTCAATAAATGGTGCTGGGAAAATTAAATAACCATATGCAGAAGAATGTAACTGGACCCCTATATCTTACTATATACCAAAGTCAGCTCAAGATGAAAAAAAGACTTAAATATAAGAACTAAAACTACAAGAATTCTAAAAGAAAACCTAGAAAAACTCTTCTGAACGTTGGCCTAGGCAAATAATTCATGACTAAGACCTCAGAAGCAAACTCAACAATAACATAATAGACAAACAGAATTTAAACTAAAAATCTTCTGAAAAGCAAAAGAAATAATCAGCAGAGTGACCAAACAACCTACGAAATGGCAGAAAATACTAACAAATTATGCCTCTGACAAAGGACTAATATCAAGAATCTACAAGGAACTCAAACAACAACACAACTACAACAAAAACCTCATTAAAAAGTGGTAAAAAGACATGAAGAGACATTTTGCAAAAGAAGGCATACAAACGGCCAAAAAAATTTAAAAAATGCTTAACATGACTAATCACAGAAATGCATATCAAAACCACAACGAGACGCCTTTTTATACCAGACAGAATGGCTTTCATTTATTTATTTATTTATTTTATTTTTGAGACGGAGTCTCTCTCGGTTGCCCAGGCTGTAGTGCAGTGGCGTGATCTCGGCTCACTGCAAGCTCCGCTTCCCGGATTCACGCCATTCTCCTGCCTCAGCCTCCTGAGTAGCTGGGACTACAGGCGCCCCCTACCACTCCCAGCTAATTTTTTTTTTTTTTTTTTTTTGTATTTTTAGTAGAGACAGAGTTTCACTGTTAGCCAGGATGGTCTGGATCTCCTGACCTCGTGATCCGTCCGCCTTGGCCTCCCAAAGTGCTGAGATTACAGGCGTGAGCCACCGTGCCCGGCCTATTATTTATTTTTATTTTTAACTGTTGTGGGTACACAGTAGGTGAATTTATTCACGGGTTACATAAAATATGTTCATACAAGCATACAACGCATAATAATCATGTCAGGGAAAATGAGGTATTCATCATCTCCAGCATTTATCCTTTGTGTTACAACAATCCAAATACACTATTCTGGTTATTTTTAAATGTACAATTAATTATTATTGACTATTGTCACCCTTGTTGTGCTAGCAAGCACTAGGTCTCATTTATTCTTTCCAACCCTCTTTTTCTACTTATCAAACATCCCCACTTCCCCCCACCATCTTACAACCCTTCCCTACCTCTGATAACAGTCTTTCTACTCTCTATCTCCATGATTTCAATTATGTTCATTTTTAGCTCCTACAAATAAGTAAGAACAGGAAAAGTTTGTCTTTTTGTACCTGGCTTATTTCATTTAACATAATGACCTCCAGTTCCATCTATGTTGTTGCAAATTATAGGAACTCATTCTTCTTCATGGCTGAATAGTAAACCATTGTTTATATGTACCACATTTTCTTTATCCATTTATCTGTCACTCCCAAATCTTGGCTTTTGTGAATAGTGTCACAATAAACAGAGAAGTGCAGGTATCTCTTCAGTATTCTGATCTCTTTTCTTTTGGGTATACATCTAAAAGTAAGATTGTTAGATCATATGGCAGCTCTATTTTTAGTCTTTTGAGGAACTTCTAAACGATTCTCCATAGTGTTTGTACTAATTTACATCACCACCAACAGCATAACAGGGTTCCCTTTCCTCCACATCCTTGCCAGCATTTGTTATAGCCTGACTTTCCAATAAAAGCTATTCTAACTGGAATGAGATGACATCTCATTTTAGCTTTATTTGCATTTCTCTGATGATCATAAATGTCGAGCACTTTTTCATATATATCTTTACCATGCTAATGTTCTTTTTAGAAATGTCTATTCAGACCTTTTGCCCATTTTTAAAATGAGATTGTTAGATATTTTTGCTATAGAGGTGTTTGAACTCCTTATATATTCTAGTTATTAATCCCTTGTCAGATGGGTAGTTTGCAAATATTTTCTCGCATTCTGTTAGTCGTCTTTTCAATTTGTCAATTGTGTCCTTCTCAGTGCAGAAGCTATTAAACTTGATGTATCCCATTTGCCCATTTTTGCTTTGATTATCTGTGCTTGTAGGGTATTATTCAAGAAATCTTTGTCCAGACCAATGTTCTGGAGAGTTTCCCCCAATGTTTTCTTTTAGTATTTTCATAGTTCAAGGTCTTAGATTTCAGTTTTTCTTCCATTTTGATTTGATTTTTCTATACTGTGAGAGATAGGGGTCTAGTTTCATTCTTTTGCACATCAATAACCAGTTTCCCTAGCACCGTTTATTGAAGAGACTGCCCTTTCCCCAATTTATGTCCTTGACACTTTTGTCAAAAATGAGTCCACTCTAGAAATATAGATTTACATCTGGGTTATCTAGTCTATTCCACTGATCTATGTGTCTGTTTTCATCAGAATGGCTTTTTTTTTTTTTTTTTTTTTTTTTTGAGATGGAGTGTCATTCTGTCACCTAGGCTGGAGTGCAGTGGTGTGATCTCAGCTCACTGAAACCTTTGGTTTCCCAGTTCAAGTGATTCTCCTGTCTCAGCCTCCCAAGTAGCTGGGATTACAGGTGCCCACCACCACACCCAGCTAATTTTTGTATTTTTAGTAGAGAAAGTGTTTCACCTTACTGGCCAATCTGGTCTCAAACTCCTGACCTAAAGTGATCTGCCTGCCTCGGCCTCTCAAAGTGCTAGGACTACAGGCATGAGCCACCACGCCCGGCCAAGAATGGCTATTACTATTGTAAAAGGTAATAAGTAGATGTTGGTTAGAATGTGGAGAAGAAGGAATGTCTATACACTGTTGGTAGAAATGTAAATCAATAAAACTTCTATAGAAAACAATGTAGAGATTTCTCAAAGAACTAAAAATAGAACTATCATTCAATCCAACAATACCACTAGTGAAAACAAACAGTAATCGTTATATAAAAGAGATACCTGCGCTCATATATTTATCACAACGCTATTCACAATAGCAAATGTATGGAACCAACCTAGGTGCCCATCAATGGATGCTTGGATAAAGAAAATCTATATATACGCCATGGAATATTAGCCTTAAAAAATAATGAAATCATGTTTTGTGCAGCAACACAGATGGAACTAGAGGCCATTATCTTCGGTGAAATACCTCAGAAACGGAAGGTCAAATAACACATGTTCTCACTTAGAAGTGGGACCAAACAATGTACCCACATGGACATGGAGAGCGGAATAATAGACACTGGAGACTCAGAAAAGTGGAAGATTGAGAGCAGGGTGAGGAATGAGAAATTACCTAATAAGTAAAATGTACACTACTTGGATGACATTTACACTAAAAGCCCAGGCGGGCTACACAATATATCCATGTAATAAAACTGTACTTATACCCAATACATCACCATTACCCATTATATCCATGTAACAAAACTGTACTTATTCCCACTAAAACTATGAAAATAAAAAATAAAATAAATGTGAAAAAAGAAACCTGCATACTGTTGCCAGGGATCTCACTGTTTTGTGCACCATCTCAAAAAGTTTTGAACATAAGGACCCAATCCAGTATTGAGCATTCCAGTCAGTTGTTACTTATTTCTGTTACACACAGGCCATATATTTGGGCCTGCAAATTACAGAGATGATACTGAGTCTTTCATTGTATCTTATTGAATAGCATACCTGTAGAATTGTCCCATTAGTGATGCCTTCATCACATTGATGAAATCTCACCACAATGATGTCTGTGAAGCTTCTCCAATGTAAAGTTACTGTTTTTATTCCCTTTAAATTAATACATATTTTGTGGGTATGTACTTTGAGACTATGTAAGATTGTATTCCTTATTCTACATTTACATGCTAGTTTTAGTGTCATTTAACATTATGTTGTGACTATGATGATTATCAAATGAGGACTTCTTTAATGACAGGAAATTCACATAATGTAAAGTTAATTATTTTAATAAAAATTTTGTGTTATTTAGAATAGTTAAGACAGTCACTATGTGGTGAAACCAACACTTCTATCTAGTTCTAAAATATTTTATCACCCCACCATGAAATTGTATACTCATTAGGCAGTAACTCCCCATTCTCTACTTCTCCTAACCTTGGCAAACATTGACCTGATTTCTGTGTTTATGGATTTGCTTATTCTGGATATTTTATAAAAGTAGAATCATATAATACATGATCTTTTGTGTCTGGGTTCACTCACTTAGCAAAATGTTTTCAAAGTTCATTCACACTGTAGTATTTATCATTCTTTCATTCCTTTTCGTTGCTGAATAATATTCCACTGCATATGTATTTCACAATTCCATTGCATATGTATTTCACAATTTGTTTTGTACATTCAGCTGTTGATGCATAGTTGAGATATTTGGGTTGTTTCCCCCTTGGAACTATGGTGAATAATGCTGCTATAAACATTCATGTAACAGGGCCTGCTCCAATTTGTGTTCCGTCATTTGGGGTATACACCTAGGAGTAAAATTTCTGGATCATATGGGAATTCTGTTTTAATTTTTGAGGAATAACAAAACTATTTTCTGCAATAGCTATACCACTCCTTCCATCAATATATAGGGATTCCAATTTATCTGTATACTTATCAACATTTATTGTTTTTCTTTTTGATTCTAGTCATACTAGTCAGTGTTCAGCAGTATTTCATTGTGGTTTTCATTTGAATTTCCCCTGTGACTAATAATATTGAATATCTTTTCACATACTTGTTAGTCATTTCTATATCTTCTTCTGAGAAATGCCCATTCACGTCCTTACTCTTCTTTTTAATGGATTATTTGTCTTTTCGGTGTTGACTTATAAAAGTTCTTTATATATTCTGATTATTAGACTCTTATCAGATACATGACATACAAATATTTTATCCTATTCTGTAGGTTGTCTTCTTTCTTGGTAGTTAACTTTGATGCACAAAAGTGTTTAATTTTGATAAAATCCAATTTTTCTCTTCTTTTTTTTGTTCATGCTTTCAGTGTCATTTCTGATAAACCACTGCAAAATCCAATGTCATAAACATTTATGCCTATTTTTACAGTGTTTTTTGGTTTTAGCTTTTATACTTAAATCATTGACCTATTTTAAATTGATTGTTGAATATGCTTTAAGGTAAGGTAAGGGTCTATTTAGAGTTAAATTTTGTGTGTGGTATGAAATATGAGTCCAGTTTTATTAATATGTAGACATCTAGTTTCCTCAACACCATTTGGTACAGACTTTTCCTTACTTGTTGAATGGTCTTAGAATCTTTGTTGAAAATCAGTTGGCTGGCAGTGTCTAGGTTTAATTCCTCCATTCTAGTTCATTGGCCTATATATCTACCTTTATGGCAGTATCACACTGTTTATCATCTTTTGTAGTAATTTTTAAGTTTTGGGAGTATGAATCTCTGAATTTGTTCTTCTTTTTAAATATCATTCTGGCTATTCAGTGCCCCTTAAAATACAAGCATCTGTAGCTCCTTTTAATATGGAATAATTTTTAGAAAACAAAAAGTAAGCTCTAATTGTGCTCATTTCTGCTGAACTGCTTTTGCTTTTCAGGCCCTTTCAGTAAACAGTTAAAAAGGATATAAATTGAACCTCCTGCTTTAATCTAGTTTTCTTCTTTTCCATACCTGTACTTTTCTTCTTCAAGAGTGGGAAGGCTGTGGCTCATTATTCTCAATGCTATTGTCTTGTTCAAAATCCTGTATATAGCCAGTCTGCAGACCTAAGCTTCCACCTTGGCTGGATGCACCATTTGCTCAGGCCCTGACTCCCAAACGGCCTTCTCTCAGCTTGGACCCTGTGTTAGGTAGGTAGAGATGGCATGACAAAATACCACAGAGGGGGTGGCTTAAATAACAGTAATTATTTTCTCACAGTTCTAGATGCTGAAGACCGAGATCAGGTTGTCGGCAGGTTTGGTTTCTCCTGTGGCCTCTATCCTTTGATTGGAGATAGCCTTTGCTGCGTGAGTGCACATCCCAGGTATTTCCTCCTCTTCATATAAGGACACAGTTACATTGGATTGGAGCCCATCCTAAGAGCCTCATTTTTAACTCAGTCCCCTCTTTAATGGCCCCAACTCCAAATTCAGTCACATTCTGGGACCTAAGGATTCAAAATATGAATTTGGGGAAGAAACAATTAGCCTAAAACAAGGACCCTTCTGGTGCATTCTTGCCCTTGCCAGCTTGTCTTGCCACTCTGCTCTGATTCATTCCTCCATATGCTGCAGTCACTAATAGGTTGCCATGGAAAGCAGGACATTTCTTACAATTGTTATTTTTTAATATTGTCTACTGATTTATGTTGAGGAGATTTAAAGAAGTTTGAACCTTAAAGAAAGAAGGGGGAAATGTTGGTAGACCTGTGGATAGAGACAAGTTAGTAGTAAGTTTATGAAGTAGGAAACATGTTGGGAAGATTTACAAAATAGTCCATTTGAATGCCTTTGATTCTGCGACATTTGTCTATCTCTTGATTTATTTTTCTTTTAATTTTTCTTTCATTTTTTCCTTTTTTCTCACTAGTACTGATTGGCAGCTAGATATCTTAGTTATAATCACATCCTTTCAATTATTATTCCTGACAAGAGAAATATTAAAATTCTGCTTACCCAGGGATTGACTGAAAACATTTTAAATCTCATTTAGGTATAGAGATATTGTATCATAGTCTACATTGGGTTGGTATATAAAGGGGTTTACATATTTTTTGAAGAAGACTTCCTTTGAAGAAAGTGTGCAGTATAAATACAGACTATATTACTGTGGCAGAGGGCCTAGGTTTTTTATTTGGGTAAATGAATTATTTTAGAAATTCACTTATTACTAAAGTACTCAGTGAAGATCTTTGTATTAATATTAGACAGTATCAGTGTCTCAACATGAAGAAATAAGGAATCTAGTGGAAAACACACAAAAGAACATTGACTTTAAAATACATAGTGACAAGAAAGGTGATGAATTGCACATGAGGCAAAGCACACAGAACAGGCACTAAACCAACTCTACAGTGAAAGCAGTGAATAATCACACCGATCTTTCAGAAGAATGTGCATGTGAAACTGAGGCTCCAAGTACCAGGAAGAGTTAGATGGATGTTGGAGAAATAGCAATCTGGACAGAGAAAGGATAATATGAGAGTGCAGGGCATACTCAGGGAGCTATTAATATTGTGGGATCCTCATGGTAAACACTATGCATAAAATTTGGAAAAGAGGACACAAGCGCCAACACTGCAGCACTACATATAGCATATGAAAATATTTAGATTTATCTTCAAGATGGTGGAGAAGCACTGAATAACTTGAAAAAAAGGAGTAAAATCATCCAATTAACATTTTAGAAGATATCTCACAAGAGTGTGGAGGATGAATTAAAAGGGCAAGAGATTAAAGGCAGAAAGTTAAAGTAGTTCCACAAATACAACAGAATCAATCACAGTAATATCAGAGTGGTACATTTTTAAATCTTGTACCACTTTTTATATAAATTTACAGCATGGGAAAATATAAGTTGTGACTATAGAAAAATGTGACTTTTTAACAAATTAATAATGACTTGGATATGCAAATAAATATGTGCTTCCAGGTAGTTATCTGTAATGTTCTTATTTTAACACTGTTATTTGCCACTCAAAATATATTTGTATCTCTTTTAAACTAGCTTTCAAAAGCCATTTGTAAGCCATACAAAAACTATGTTTTATTGCTTTTTAAAGTATTAAGTTGTTAATAGTAGATACTTGAACAAAAATTTTATTTCCTTTCTTAATCTGACACCTTTTTAAAATAAATACCCTTGTCTCTTCCCTGAATTGAATGAAAGGAATGTGGGTACTTTCAGAGGAAAAAAAAAGACATATGACCTAAAATGTAGCAGTTCCCTTTAGGTGATTTATTAGGTTGCCTTTTTAATAAAGAATACGTACCATATTTTTTTTCTGGTTCAGCACATGTTCCATCACTCCCTCATCTACTCAATCAATTTACCTGCCTAAAACTTTATAGGTATTTGATTTGTTTTAGTTACACTACTTATCACCTTAGATTCTCTTCTAATAAAATAATTATCACATCTAACTTTCATATTTGCTGTGAGAATTCATTTGAGGATTTAAGATGATATGCTAAGAGTATTTAGCTTTGTGTCATCTTAAATAGCATTTTAGAAAAGTCATTGGTCAACCCAAGTGAGAGATATAAATAATCAAATGTAATTACTCAGGTTTCTAGATGACTCAAGTTGGTAATTTAGAGAAAAGAATCTCATAGCAAATGTATATTATAACATTAGTGTTATGCTACACAGAACCATATTTGAATGGTTCCTTCATAGCATAACAGGACCTCCAGGTATTTAATATGGGCATCATCATTATATATTTTACTTTGATGAAAAATTAAAATACTAGAATGTAAGACTTAATGTATCTTTACTTCAGTTAATATATTCATACCAAAGAAAATTCCTCCTCACCCCTCAGAAATTGTACTAAAATACAGATCGATGAAATTTTCATTGTATCAGCTTACTTAGGATGAGACTTTTTAATTTCAGCTTCTACTTCACCAATGTTACATTTACCTTCACAACATGTGTTAAAAATATCTCATGGATTATGTTGAGCAATATTCTAGCCTCATGACCTTTCCCATTATTCCTTGCTTTTATCCTTCCTTTACAACTCTGAGTCTACTATTTTTTTACTTAACAGTTGTAACCTTTGAGAATTTTCTTGTTCCAAAGAAATTAACTCAATGTAGCTCTCAGGATGACATCAACCTAGGTATATTCTTTTGTCTTCATTAGAGCTACTTCATCAACTTAACATCAATATGTGCAACAACTTACATTTAATTTTTTTTTTTTTTTTGAGACGGAGTCTGGTTATGTCGCCCAAGCTGGAGTGCAGTGGCTCTACCTCGGCTCACTGCAAGCTCCGCCTCGGTTCATGCCATTCTCCTGCCTCAGCCTCCCGAGTAGCTGGGACTACAGGCGCCCACCACCATGCACAGCTAATTTTTTGTATTTTTAATAGAGACGGGGTTTCACCGTGTTAGCCAGGATGGTCTCGATCTCCTAACCTTGTGATCCGCCCACCTCGGACTCCCAAAGTTCTGGGATTACAGGCGTGAGCCACCACTCCCCGCCAACTTACATTTAATTTGCATCGACATATTATGTTCATGGAACTAGCAAAACTTCAAATTAGAAGAGACCTTACAAGGATAGACATCAAATTCAACCCTTAGAACTACAAAGAAGTGGACGCTTCTACATTTTACAGGTATGCCCCTTACACTTTTAAGTAGCTTCGACTTTTAGAAATATTGTTTATATTTAGTGTTAACTTTCCTTCTCTGATTTATGACAATTAATTGTAGTTCAATTAATAATATATGTATTAAATTTTATTTTATTAGGCTCTGAAGGTACTGAAATAAATGAGACATATTCATCATAGATAATACAAGGTAGAGATAAAGAAAATCTACCAAATTTGTAAGGATAGAGGATACATGAAGGAAAAGTAGCAGGGTGATTTTGGAACATGTAATTAACAGATTTAACCTAGTCTGAGTAATCATAAATTTGTGTTTAATATTACGTCTTCTCCACTAGACTAAACATTATGTAAGGAGAAAGACTTTTTTTAATCTCTGTATTTCTAGCATCTGTAAAACATCTGACTTTACAGTTGTATTTTTATTTTGTTACTTCTATTGTTCCATTCTGTCTAGATATTTTAAGAACTTTTATGAGTTTATAATCTAATTCAACCTTGAATTATTTACAAATCAGGTTTTTAAAAAAAATCTAAGACAGCTATAAAAATTTCTCTTATTGTTCTAAATTTTTTTTAAAAAAAACTGATGTTGTGTGTGTGGTAGGTGGCTAGTGAGGAGGAAGAGAAGTTGAAAATTCTCTAGGTAAAATTGTGAAGCTGAGAGGATTCCCATATACTCTCTTACCCAGTTTCTCCTGTCATTAGCATCTTACATTAAGATGGTACATTTTTTAAACTAATGAACCAATACTGGTATACTATTATTAGCTAAATTTCCTTATTTATTCATTATAATTTACTTATTCCCTTAGTTCTGCCTAATGTCCTTTTTATTTTCCAGGATTCCATGTGAATCACAGCATTACAATTAGTTATCTTGCTAAGATTTCTCTTGGCTGCGAGAGTTTCTCAGATTTGCTGATTCTTAAAGACCTTAAAAATTTTGAGAAATACTAGTTAAATATTCTGCAGAAAGTCTCTCAACTGAATTACATATTTAGGGTGTGTGTATTCTGTGATTACAATGGTGTCATGGTTTTCTGGGAGAAAGACCATAGAGGTAAAATACCAATGACATCACATTATATCATGGCTACATACTATCGCATGTATCGACATGACTCAGCACTTTGGATATTGACCTTGATCATCAGGGGTTAAAGTGATATTTCTCAGACTTCTCTACTGCAAAGTTGCTGTTTTAATCTCTTCCATATTTACTCTTTGGAAGAATGTCATTATCTGTAGACTGTACAGGGAGTGGGAAGTTACACTCCACTTCTTTGAAGGCAGAGTATCTACATTAAGTTATTTGGAATTCTTCTGCATTAGAGATCTTTCTCTTCCCTCATAGGTGGTGTTTTAATATATCCTCTTTCAAAAATAATATCAAAAGATGTAATATTACTAAATACACAGAATATGTAAACATTATTAACTCCTAGAATTAATTAATGTTTACAGAACACTATATTTTACAACTGCAGAAAGAACACTTTTAAAAAAATACGCATAAAATACTCATTAAGATAGACTATAGACTGGGCTATAAAAAGAGTTTTTTCAAAATATTAAGTCATAGATAGCATGTTCTCTTAAGAATAACAGGTAATAACTACAGTGTTTTTTTTCAATATTTAAAGCCTAATCAACGTACTTTTAAAAATGTGTGAAAGAACAATTGTAAAGTAAATCAGTACATATTTTCAACACAATAAAGATAACAGAACATATCAAGCATTTTGCACTGCAAGTAAGTATTGCTTAGAGGAAATCATATACCTTGAAATACATACATTAGGAAAGAAGAAAAGTTTTAAATAAACTGTCTAAATACCAAGAAACTTGAAAAATAAAATCACATTGAACCTAAAGTGAGTAGAAAGATGAAAATAATTAAAAGCAGAAATTAAAAAAAATAGAAAAACAAAAAAAAACAAGGAAAGTTAGCAAAACCAGTTGTTTTTTCAAAAAGATGAATATCACTAAAATCATTAAAAAGCCAATAAAAGAAAATATAAGTTACTGAGATCAGAGATGAGAGAAAATTATGACAGATTAAAAATAAAAGGAAAATAATGGGATATTATCATAAACTTGATGCCAATGTACTTTTAAATGATGAAATAAGCAAATACCTTAAAATAAAGTATCAAAAGAAAAATAAAAACATTTAATAGCAAGTAACTTTCTCTATATTAAACAGACAGAATTTGTAATTTGTAAAAAAAAATCCAGTGAGAAAACTCTTAAGCCCAGATGGCTTCAGTGGAGACTATTAACACATATTTAAGAAGAAACTTAAAAAAATTGATTAACTGACAGAGTCAGCATATTAAAAATGTATTTTTCTAAAGATGCTGCTAACAGACTAAAATGGAAATCACTGATGAGAAGAAAAATATTAGCAATATATATATGCCTGGCAAATAATGTATGTCTAAAATATACAATAAATGTTATGAATCAATAATAAGATAACAAATCAATAGTAAAATGGGCAAAAGATTTAAGCAGTACATCTTAGAAGGAACTGTAAGAATAACTAATAAAAAAAAGTTAAAGATGCTGCATAATATTAGTCCTTAAAATTGAAAATTTAATCCAGAATTAGATGAAAATACACACTGCTAGAATGGCTAAAATTAAGTAGTACATCAATGCCAAGTTTTGTCAAAGAAATGGGGCCATTATTGTTCTCATATATTGTTAGCTGGAATATAAAATGGTACAAAAACTTGGAAAACAGTAAATAACATTAAACATAGACTCATGTCTTGACCTGGTAATTACATTTCTTGGTATCGGCCAGGAGATATGAAAACATGTCCAAACCAACATGTGCATGAAAGTTTCTAAAAGTTTTATTCATAATAATGCTAAACTAGAAATCACTCTAATGTTCATCAACAAGTGGCTAGATAAAAAATAAGATATATCCATACAATGGGACATTACCTGTCAATAATAAAAACAAGCTGCCAATACATACAATCTTATGGATTAGAACAACATTTCTACCCTGAGCAAAGGAAACTAAACCCAAAAGCGCATATAATATATAATTCCATTCATGCAAATTCTATGAAAGAGAAATAAAATTTATAATAAGAAAACATTTTAATGTATGCCTGGGACATGGGCAGGCAGTAGTGATTATAAATGTGCGTAATACAAAGTTTTAATGATGGAAATATACTCTATGTTGATTCTCATCGTGATTAAATGGGCACAAGCATTTAACAAACTTGATTTGTACACTTAAAATTAGTGCATTTTGTTTTGTGTAAATTATACATCAATAAAGATATTCAAAATACACGTCATTACAAAGTTAAGAAGTAATTTTTACAGTTACTTCTTGTGTATACATCTTTAACATACATGGAAGTATTTTCTAAAGTAAATTACTAGAAGTGAAACCTACCATATAGCAGATTTTTGCACATTTTAATAATGTAAATTTACTCCCCCTAAAGCATTATGGATACAGGTAGTCTGTTTTGTAAAACTTAGCCTTTTAATCTTTGTCTCTTAATTGGAATATTTAATTTATTTACATTTAATACAATATCTGGCATATTTAGACTTACTATTCTATATTACCATTTGTTTTATATTTGCCCTGAATGTTTTATGTTTCCTTTCTTCTTTTTTCTCCATTTGTTGGTTTTATTATATATTCATATTATTTATTATCTGAGACAAATTTCTGATATCACCTAGCTATTCTTTTAGTTGTTACTCTAAAGCTTATAGAATATATCTTTTAGCTATTAAATTTCAATATAAATTATTAATTTTATCATTTTCCAGAATCTGCAAAGATTTTAGTGTGCTCAATGTTTTAACTGGAAAATTTTCTTCTGGTCTATATTCCAGTTCAATGATTCTTTACCTAGCCTTTTCTAATCTACTGTTAAATCTATTCATTGATTTCTTAACATTTTATTTCATTTTAAAGTTTTAGGCTGGACACAGTGGCTCATGCTGTAATCCCAGCACTTTAGGAGGCCAAGGCGTGCAGATTGCTTGAGCTCAGGAGTTTGAGACCAGCCTGGGCAACATGGCAAAACCTGTTCTCTATAAAAAATAGAAAAATTAGCCGCGTGTGGTGGTCCCAGCTATTCAGGAGGCTGAGGTGAGAGGATCTTTGAGCCCAGGAGGTGGAGATTGGAGTGAGTCGAAAAAATTTAATATGCCTATTATAACCCTTTCCATGTTTTAAAATTATAACTGAAGTTTTCACCGAGAAACTTTTCTATAGCAATTATGTTTCTAAACTCATCTCCTACAATTCTTCTAAACTACAAATAAAAGCTCATTCAACTTGCCATCGCCCAAAGATGCTTAGAGATTTTCCATGTCTTAACCTTGGTGGATATGTTTCTGTCCTCTGATTTATTAAAACATTTCCTATCTTTCAAGTTACAGGTGAAACTTGGCCTTCTACACAAAACAGTCCTAATCTGAAGATATATATTTTGCAAGACTGAAGATATATTATTCAAGACTTTTTCTAGCACTGTTATTTATTCATACACATTATATATTGTATTTTGGAGTGTGTGTATATGTGTTTGTGCATTATTTTATGTATATCAAAAGCTTTGTCAAATCAGGGAAAGCTCATGTTCTTTGGCATTATCCAGTACAGATAGCACAGTGTCTTACCTATATTTACAATAAATATAAGCTATGAATAAGACTATGGAGAGGTAGCATTAACTAGTAGAAAGACTATGAAAGCTAAATATCAATTTAAGAAATGCTTCAAATCTCAATTATTCTACTTAATAACTGTGTGATATTGAACAACTTAAGCTGAGACTCAGTTTCTTATATATAATTTTGTAATATTAATATCTATTTTGCAAATTATTAATAATATCTAATTGAAAAATGCATACAAAACACTCATGCCAACATAATGAACGTTAACATTAGTTTATATGTTCATAGACCTTTGCTTCCATAGTCAAATGTTCAAGTGTTTCTGACAAAAATTTATAGATTGCTTTTTGGTGATATTATTCCAAGTTTAGGTTATACCAAGGCATGCTGGTGAGTAAGTACTCAAGTAAATATTGAAAAGAAAATGCAGACATTAACAGCATTTGAAATTTCCCCTTTATTCTCAAAAAACACATAATATCGTTATTATATGAATGAATGGGATCAGGATGCACAGTAACATATCTTCACAACTTTCAGTAGTTTGACTGGGTAGTATTTTGGGGAAAGTATAGAACAAACCAGGTTATATCCTACTACTCTGCCTCACTTTCCAAACAAATGTCTTTCCTTTAGTCTTGGAAATTATTTCATGTGAAAAATAAAAAGACTTGTAAAGATCTCATTTGGCCATTTCTTTCTTGGCTAGAACATTTCTGACATTTCAATATTTTCTCACTTTCTATAATTTGAGAAAAAAATATTTTATATAAATTTTTGTTTGTCTGGCAACTTTCCTGCTACTACCTAAAGACTCTGCAAAACAACAATAACCATGGATGACAGTTTACACCATAACTCCACCAACCCATTTGGAATATTCTACCATCTGGTAGAAGCTTCTTTGCTTTTACCTTTAGGGGCCTGAGCTTTGTCAAATGGGTTCCTAGTCTTTTCTTGAGAACAGGAACTGTGTTCAAGCACAAACCTAGCCCCAGAAAACAGTTAGGCCAGCATAAATGTTGTTTATCCAAGGAAAAATAAATACATAAATGAGTGAACAAATGAGTGAATAGTAAGAGATTTCTGATCTCTAGAAAATGTATTTAAAAAGTGAGACAGTTTGGATTTTTCTGAACTTATCTATTAATTAAGAGAACAATATTAACTTAATATGTGTATACTATATAATATACTACAAATGTATCCTTACCACTTATTTAATGTAAGCCCCTGAGCCACTCTATGACATAAGACTTTGCTATTATTTAACTAACCTACAGATGAGAAAAATGTAACAAACAGAGATATAACTAATTAAGGGAAGCTTGTAAGTAAAGGAGGGGCTGCCCAGTGGATTGAGTCCCTTGAAATAACTTCCTGCACCACTCAATATAACATTACATAAATTAAATCCTCTTTATCATCTTGTTCCTATGCTGACTCCATAGAACTAAGTCCCATGTCCTGTCTGATTAGCCTCTTCTCTTGTACTGGAGACCTTGGAGATCTATATGATTTAAAGGAATGTTTGACTGGGTTTCATCACCTGTAGTCTTCTATTTTCAAGTTTCATGTCTTTTCCCAAGAAGAGAGTGATTTCCTTAAGACAAGGACTGACATGCTTTTTCTAGTACAGAGAATAAAGAAGCTTTAATAAGGATATGCATATATTCAAAAAAGTCAAATTCTACATCAAGAATGTAAAAACAAAACTTAATTTAGTGAAGAGGAGTTGATGGAAAGTGCTCTGAATAGCATTCATTGATATCCCTAAATCAAACTGTGTTAATGACTTTTTTGCAGAAATGTAGCTGGGTAAACACATATGCACATTTCTGAGATGTCTATATTTACAATATTTAATATAATGCAGCGCCAAAATATTGTGAACACTTATTTTGTGGTTAACTCAATTACTCAAATGGTATTTTTTGACTATCTAGGATGAACATATCAGCCCTGATATTAAAGGGAAAAAACATACTATATATCTCAAGAATTGTGTGTTACTTTCACATAAATAATTTGTCTTCCCAAATTAGCAAATAAAAGGTAAAAATAAAGAAAATTAGTCCAAAATATAAAAGACTATGGAGAGTGGATATTCTTTGTGTTTATGGATTAGAGATTTATCATTTGGTAGAGAAAATAATTCTCAGAGCCTTCAAGTACTCTACATAAACCAGTAATTTTACCCTAATCACCTAGAATATTCCCTTTTCTCACGCTTTAAAAAGACCTTTTAAAGTCATCCTTTCTTCTCAAACACACCTTTTTCCAACCAGCAATAACTTTGCTTCACACATAATTGAAAAATGTAGATGTAAGCAGAGGGGAATATTTTTTGTCTTCATTTAATTAATTGTTAATCTTCTAGTGTCTATAAACTATCCACACATATTGCTTTTCTTCTAGTCGCCAGAAATTCTGCTTTTGTACTCTACCTGGGCTCCATGAACAATACAAAAATTTCTACTTACCATTTCCACTATTAGAAACCCAGGTCAAGCTACCATCATTTCTTTCTTGGACTACTGCAAAAGATCTAATTGAGGACAGGCTTTAAGGTGGCTGACTAGATACATCTTGCGCATATCCACAAACAAGAACCTAAACAGTGAGTAGAAAATCACACTTTGAATATATCATCTAATTAAGAAAACTGGAATTCAACAAAGAAGTGATAAGACACACGTAAAAGAGAGAAGGAAGCAAGAAAAGAGGAAAGTGAGGGAAGCAAGGTCACCTGATTGGCCATGATTGGCTGGGAACCTGGAGAGACTTCCCAATATGAGGAAAGGTTAAATGAGAGATACCCAACTAGTCCATATTTTCACCATGGATTCCTACAATGCTAGCCACAGGAGAGCCACTTGATCCTCACTGGCCCTGAAACTAACATAGAAAGCTGCCTGGAGATGGTACAATGATTCTACTCCAGAGAGGAAGTTTACTCTGGATTCCACAGACCCTTCCAGCCCTAAGCAGCTATAGCAAGGTGCCATTTTGAGAACCAAGCCCCCAGTAGACTGCACCTTGCTAGAGGGCTTAACCACACCTGCATCTCCATATCCCTGGAGCTCCACTGACAACCCCTGTCTGCAACCACTGCTGTGGCTGGCTGCTATCACTGAAGCCAAAGCACAGGCCACTGGTGGTGACCCCACTACCTCCAGAAGAGGAGCCACTACACATATTCACAATCCCAGGGTCCCCCGCCCTCAGCTGCCTTCACTGTGGACTGCTGCTGCCAGAGCTAAACTGTGAGGAAAGCCTGAGCTACTGCTGCCTGGACTGAAGCACAAGTAAAGCGCATGTTTACACTCATTTGCATACTGTTACCGCACTGAAAGCAACCCCACCCTCCCCAGTGGTAGGCTGCAGCACAGGTACTGCAGTCCCCACTCAGGAATTCCACTGGGGGGCTGAGGATCACTTCACTTCTGCCTATTACAGCCAGCATGTGCACACACTATTGGAAGGCCTAAGGACAAGGTAATCTGGCCTGGCTTTGCCCCATACCCCCAATGCCAGAGCACGAGGTCCTGTGGCCTGAGGATTTCCCAGCCCAGTTTATCATTATTGGTATCTGAGCCCTTCTCCTGGAGTTCTGAGGTTGAGCTGGCCCACACTACTGCTACCACCACAGCTGGCACCTACCTGCACATGCTGGAAACTGGTCCACCCAGACCATTACAGCCACTGCCAACAGCAGTGTGCAACACTTGGAACCCAGAGGGTTGTCCTGACACTGCTACCGCATTGCCCATACCACATCTGCTATCCAAATGCCCTGTTGACTGCTGCCAATAATGTCATCTGAGAAAGCCACTTGAAGGCCAAGAATAGACCCACCTGGATCCAATAACACTGGTGCCAGCATATGTAGCTCTAGGGCCAAAGGACTATCATGCTCAGCAAATTGATGCCACCACAAAGGCTATAAAACTGCCCCAACTGACATCCCAGTCCCAAACAAAACTTTATTAATGCCTCTACTAATAACTGCACCCTAAGCCATCAAGGATATCCAACTGACATCCCAGTCCCAAACACAACTTTATTACTGCCTCTACTAATAACTGCACCCTAAGCCATCAAGGATATCACAAACATTTCTGATGTTGTTTATAACTGAAGAAATTATATACAGAGATTACTCTACTGCAGGAACTCAGAATCAAAGTAAAAGTGCCCTACCCAACAAACATGATAGATCCATCTTTAGAAAAATGCCTTACAAAAGCAAATTTAAAAAGTTGGAAGAAGTAACTTTAACACTGGATGCACACATATCAATGTAATGACAGAGGACCCATGAAAAAAAAAATATATGACACCTCCAAAGGAACAGAGTAATTCTCTAGCAATACACACCAATTAAAAAGAAATTTACAAAATCTTGGAGAAAGAGTTTAAAATATTGATTTTAAAGAAGTTTAGTGAGTTGTAAGACAATACTAAAAAACAATACAAAAAATCAGAAAACAATTTAGAATTTAAATGAGAAATTTACCAAAGAGATAGAGTTTTTTAAATAACCAAATAGAAATTCTGGAACTAAATAACTCATTGAATTATATATAAAATACATCTGCAAGCTTCAACAACAGACTAGATCAAGCCAAAAAAAAAATCAGAAATTGAAGACAAGCCTCTTGAAATAACCCAGTCAGACAAAAGTAAATAGAATTTTTAAAAATAGAAGTATAGTTTATAAGACATATGGGACACCATAAAGTGAACAAATTTTCAAATTTTCAGGTTCCCATAAGATAGAGAACAAAAGGATTAGAAAACCCACTTTTAAAATAATAGATGAAAACTTCTGAGGTCTAGCAAGAGATTTGGACATCCATATACAGCAGGCTCAGATATTCCCAAATAGTAAAATGCAAAGAGGTCTTCTTTATGGTATGTTTTGACAAACTGCAAAAATCAAATAAGTCTAAAAACAGCAGGAGAACAGTGTCTAGTCACTTGTAAAGAAAGCTTTATCAGCCTAACAGTGGATTTCTCAGCAGAAATTATACAGACCAGGAGAGAATGGAATTATATGTGCAAAATGCTGAAAGAAAACCTGGTAGCCAGGGATACTATACAGAGAAAGATTATCCTTCATAAATGAGGGAGAAATAAAGTATTTTCCAGACAAGCAAAAGTTGAGGGTATTCATCACCACTAGACTGACCCAATAAGATATGTATAAGGGAGGCCTACACTTGGAAACAAAGATTGTTGTGTATCATCATGAAAATGTAAAAACCACTGGTAGAGCAAACACACAGACAAGGAAAGTATTTAAGTGCTATCTCTACAGAAAACCAACAAATCAGAATGACAAACAAGAAGAGGGAAATAACAGAGAATAAATTAATAAAATGATAAGAATAATCTTCCACATATCAGTAATAACTTTGAATGTAAATAAATTAAAATTTCTACTTAGAAGTTGTAGACTGGCTGAATGGAAAAAAAACAAAAAACAAAACAAAAACATGATCCAACTGTATGCTGCCTACAAGAAACTCATATCACCTGTAAAGACACATACATTTACAGTAGTCATGTGAAAAGATTTCCCATGATAAAATAAACCAAAAGTGAGCAGGAATAATTATACTTGCATCACATAAAACAGACTTCAGTATAGCCAGTGAAGAGGAAAAGATTATCATTAGATAACGATAGAAGGATCAACTCAGTAGGAGGTATCACAATTCTTAACATATATCCACCAACATCAGATAATTTGTATATATATAACAAATATATTTAAAGGGAGAGATCGATAGATAGACTCCAATACAATTATTGCTGGGAAATTCAAATCACCCTCAGCACTAAACAAAGAAAATTAAACAAAAAATTGACAAGAAACATTTGATTTAAACAGCCCATTAGACCAAATGGACCTAACAGACATTTACAGAACATTTCATTCAACAGTGACAAAATACGCCTTTTTCTCATTGGAATATGGAACATTCTCAAGGATAGACCATATGTTAGGACACAAATCAAGTGCCAAAAAATTTTAAAAATAAAAATTATAATCAAGTATATTCTCAGAAAACAATGGAATAAAACAAGAAATCAAGCACAAGAGGAATTTTGGAAATTCTACAAATCCTTGAAAATTAAACGACATGTTCCTCAATGACCATTTGGTCAAGAAATAAAGAGGAAGTCAAGAAGCTTTTTGAAACCAATGAAAATAAAAACCCATTGTACTAAAACCTGTGGGATTCAGCAAAAACAATTTTAAAAGGGAAGTTTATGCCAGTAAGTGCCCACATTGAAAAAGTCAAAAGATTTCAAATAAGCAATGTAATGATTTACCGTGAAGTACTAGAAAAGCAAGAATGATCCATACCCAATATTAGCTAATAAAATAAATAATGATGATCAGAAGATAACTACATGAAATAAAGACTAAAATAACAATACAAAGAATCTACAAAATGAAAAGTTGATTTTTTGAAGTCAAACAAAATTAATAAACCACCAGCTAGAATAAGGAAAAAAGAGAGAGGACAAATAAATTTAGAAATAAAAAAGAAGACAACTGATACCACAAAAATGCAAGAGGGTATCAGAGATTACTATGAACAACTATGCACTAAAATACTTGAAAACCCAGAGGAAATGAAAATATTTCGGAACACATACAATCTACTAAGACCAAATCAGGAAGAAATAGGAAGCCTGAAGGGACCAGTAACAAGGAAGATCAAAACAGTAATAAAAGATCCGTCATCAAAGAAAAGTACAGCAGTGGATAGACTTGCTGCTGAATTCTACCAAACTTTGAAAAAATAACTAACACCAATGATTCTTACACTATTCAAAATAATTCAAGAGGCGAACATTCTCCTTAAATAATTCTATGAGGCTATAATTACCCTGATACAAAAATCAGAGAGGTATGCAACAAAAAAAGAAAACTACAGGCCAATATTCCTGATGAACATAGACACAAAAATACCTCAAGAAAACATTAGCAAACTGCATCTCATAGCACATAAAAATATACAAAATGATACAATGGAATTGATTTACGGGGTGTAAAGATAACTCAACATGTACAAATCAATAAATGTGATACATCAACAGAATGAAGTTTTAAATACAAAAATTATCTAATCATTTCAATAGATGTAAAAAAAGCATTTCATAAAATTCATAATCTCTTCATGATAAAAACTCTTGACAAACTAGATATAGAAGGAATATACCTAAACATAATAAAGGCTATTTATAACAAACCAAGAGCTATCATAATACTTAATGGGGGAAAAGCTGAAAGCCTTTTTTTCTAAGAACTGGAACATGACAAGGATTCCCATTTTAACCCATTCCTATTCAACATAGTACTAGAAGGCCTAGCTAGAGCAAGCAAGTATGATAATCAAATAAAAGGCATCCAGATATGAAAAGAGGAAGTCAAACTATCTGTTTTATCATTGTCTCATCTTATGTCTTGGAATACCTAAAGATGACAATAAAAACTTTTAGACCTAGCAAATTTAGTAAAATTGCAGGATACAATATTATTATACAAAAATCTATAGCATTTATATACACCAATAATAAGCTGAAAAACATTCAAGAAAGCAATTCTATTGACAATGGTGACAAAAATTAAAATAACTGGAAATAAATTTAAGCAAGGAGGTACAATATTTCTACAAGGAAACCTACAATGCATTGATGAAGTAAATTGAAGCTGACACAAACAAATGGAAAACATAGCATGCTTATGAATAGAAAGAATTAATATTGTTAAAATGACCACACTCCCCAAAGCAATCTGTAAATTCACTGCAATCAATACCTGTCAAAATACCAATGTCATTTTTCAAAGAATTAGAAAAAAAATTCTAAAATTTTTACAGATCCAAAAAAAGGAGCCCAAATAGTGAAAGCTATTCTAAGCAAAAAGAACAAAGCTGGAGGAATCACACTATCTGAATTCAAAATATAAGAGCATGGTAGCAAAAACAGTATGGTATTGGTATAAAAACAGACACATAGACCAATGGAACAGAATAGAGCAACCAGAAATATATCTACTTATTTACAGCCAACTGGTTTCCAACAAA
This sequence comes from Homo sapiens, assembly GCF_000001405.40. NCBI lineage: Eukaryota > Metazoa > Chordata > Mammalia > Primates > Hominidae > Homo > Homo sapiens. The sequence goes on from NC_000011.10 coordinate 81,698,911, forward strand.
GGCAACAAGAACATACATTAAGGAAAAGACACCTTCTTCAATAAATGGTGCTGGGAAAATTGAATGTCTTTATGCAGAATGAAACTAGACGCCTATCTCTCACCATACACAAAAACCAACTCCGGATGGATTAAAGGTTTAAATTTGAGACTCGAAAGTATGAAGCTACTAGAATAAAACATAGAGGAAACACTTTAGAACATTGATCTAGAAAAATATTTACGAGTAAGGCCTCAGAAACAGACAATAAAAGCAAATATAGACAAATGAAACTATTTTAAAGTAAAAAGCTTCTGCACAGCAAAGGAAACAATCAACAGAGTGAAGAGAACCTACAGAATGGGAGAAAATATTTGCAAACTCTTTATCTAATTATGGGATTTTAAGTAGAATATACGAGTAACTTAACCAGCTCAGCAGTGAATAAACCAAATGATTGCATTAAAAGTGGGCAGAGACATGAATAAACATTTCTAGAAATAAGACATACAAATGACCAACAGGTATATGAAAAAATGCCCACCCTCACTACTCATCAGAGAAATACAGTTCAAACCACAATGAGATATCATTTTACCCCAGTTAGAATGGCTTTTATTAGAAAGAGAAAAAGTAACAAATACTGGAGAGGATGTGGAGAAATGAATTCTTTTTTTTCTTCACTTTCTTTGCAGCACACCAACATGGCACATGTATACATATGTAACAAACCTGCACGTTGTGCACATGTACCCTAGAACTTAAAGTATAATTTAAATAAAAGGAGAAAGGAGTTCTTATACACTGTCAGTTTGGAATATAAATGAGCAAAGCCACTATGAAAATCAGTATGAATTCTCAGAAAACAAAAAATAGAACTACCATATGATTTAGTAATTCCAGACTGGATATCTATCTAAAAGAAAAGAAATTATTACATCAAAAGAATACCTGGACTCATATTTATTGCAGCACTATTCACAATAACCAAACTACGGAGTTAATCTAAGTGTCCATCAATGGATGAATGAATACAGAAAATGTGGTATATACACAAAATGAAGCATATGAGCCATGGTACTTAAGAAATGTTATATTCCTTAAAATAAGTTTTCCAAATTAATTTAAAATTTATTATTATGTCCTTGGTGAAGGTCACAAAATGAGACACTGAGTATTTTGTATATATAATTCAGTGTAATCCACTAAAGATTATACTTTTTTTGTAACAGCATTCTGGTCAATGCTGACTCCTGAATTCTTTTGCTCTGTGTTTAACTATAATTAAATTGCTGAAGCATAGAGGCAGTTACTAAGCTAGAAAGCAACTTTTCCACATGACTCATTAAAGAGATCTGATGCTCAGCCTAAACACGTGATGAGATTAAATGTGATGAAAGCTGATTGTGTGCTCTCTAAATTGTTTTAGGAAATTGCTTAACAGAAATTATTCCAAAAATTCAACCTCAAAGATAACTGAGCTTGCACTGAGTTGCCAGATTTAGGTTGAGCAAAAGAAAAGATGAGCAAAAACATACTTAGATATAAGTCATCAAATGGAAAAATAAGACTGCACTAAAAAGAGCATTTCTGACGGTTTCATGTGTGAAACTCAAATTCTGTGCCCCTAAATTCTATTTTGTTGAGACACTATATGTATATACCTTAGATTTACACACTTACCCCACAAATATTTCATTTTTATTTGTATATTTTTGTATATTATTAAAAGAAATTATTGAAATAAATTGAGTATTATCCTAAGAAAACAAACATCAGAATAATAATCAACATAGCACCAGTAATACTAATCTTGAATGTGTCCCTAAAAGATCAGAAAAATGTTTGAAACTCTACAATAAATTCTATGCAAAAGTAAGGTGCACAATTTAGGGAAGTAATATTTTTCTGCTATTACAACAATTCCAGAGTAGGTTGGACAACCTGGGCTAGATTCTGCCAATCTGGTTGTATAATTTCGTGTGTGATTCTCTAAAGAATAATAAATTATCACTGACAATGTCATATAGAGAAGACCTTAAAACCAGAAGGAAATGTATCTACATATAGAGTGAAATTTCCAGGTTTTTTTTTTTCTTTTATTTTAGGTTCTGGGATACACATGCATAACATGCAGGTTTGTTACATAGGTATATGTGTGCCATGGTGGTTTGCTGCCCCTATTGACCCGTCCTCTAAGTTCCCTCCCCTTACCCCCCATGCCCCAACAGGCCTGGTGTGTGTTGTTCCCCTCCCTGTGTCCATGTATTCTCATTGTTCAACTCCCACTTTTGTGTAAGAACATGCGGTTTTTGGTTTTCTGTTCCTGTGTTAGTTTGCTGAGGTTGATGGCTTTCAGCTTCATCCATGTCCCTGAATAGGACATGATCTCATTCCTTTTTTTGGCTGCATAGTATTCCATGGTGTATATGTAACACATTTTCTTTATCCAGTCTATCACTGATGGGCATTTTGGTTGATTCCATGTCTTTGCTATGCATATGTTCATTGCAGCAGTATTCACAATAGCAAAGACATGGAATAGACATAGTGCTGCAATGAACATATGCATGTATCGTTGTAATGGAATTATTATATTCCTTTGGGGATATACCCAGTAATGGGTCGAATGGTATTTCTGGTTCTAGACCTTAGAGGAATCACCACACTGTCTTCCACAATGGTTGAACTAATTTACATTCCCACCAACAGTGTAAAAGCATTTCTATTTATCTGCAACCTTGCCAGCATCCATTGTTTCTTGACTTTTTAATAATCATGATTCTGACTGGCATAAGGTGCTATCTCATTAGGGTTTTGAGTTGCATTTCTCTAACGATCGGTGATGTTGAGCTTCTTTTCATATGTTTGTTGGTTGTGTAAATGTCTTCTTTTGGGAAGTGTCTATTCATATCCTTTGCCCACTATTTGATGAGGTTGTTTTTTTTTTCTTGTAAATTTGTTTGAGTTCCTTGTAAATTCTTGATATCAGACCTAATATTCCATCTTCATGGATATGAATAATCAATATCATGAAAATGGGCATACTGCCCAAAGTAATTTATAGATTCAATGCTATTCACATCAAACTGCTACATTCTTCACAGAATTAGAAGAAAAAAAAATACTTTAAATTTCATATGGAACCAAAGAAGAGCCTGTATAGCCAAGACAATCCTAAGCAAAAAGAACGCAGCTGGAGGCATCACACTACCTGACTTCAAACTATACTACAAGGCTACAGTAACCAAAACAGCATGGTACTGCTACCAAAACAGACATATAGACCAATGGAGCAGAACAGAGACCTCATAAATAACACCACACATCTACAACCATCTGATCTTTGACAAACCTGGCAAAAACAAGCAGTGGGAAAAGGATCTCCTATTTAATAAATGGTGTTTGGAAAACTGGCTAGCCAGATGCAGAATACTGAAACTGGATCCCTTCCTTATACCTTATACGAAAATTAACTCAAGATGGATTAAAGACTTGAATGTAAACCCAAAACCATAAAAATCCTAGAAGAAAACCTAGGCAATACCATTCATGACATAGGTAAAACCTCATGACAAAAATGACAAAAGCAATTGCAGTGAAAGCCAAAATTGAAAAATGGGATCTAGTTAAACTAAGGACCTTCTTCTCAGTAAAAGAAAATATGATCAGCGTGAACAAGCAACTTCCAGAATGGGAGAAAATTTCCTAAGGATTTAAAGAATGAAGATCTCAGAGGAAAACAGAGTACAGCTCCAAAAGCTTACGCAATATTGGATATAGTTTTCTAACCCTCCTGAAGAAATATGTATGATGATTTTCTGGATAAATTTAAAATAAGACCATCCTATAAAATACAATTATATCCAATTTACCAAGACCTTAAAACCAGAAGGAAATGAATGATGCAAAGGAAATGAAAAAATTGGGGGATGCTAATAGATGGTTATGACACACTGTGTATTTTTAATAGTGTCTATTCTGAGGTTGCATTTGAACAAGACAGTTGAGTGAGATTTCACTCACCGACCATCATGTAATTACTACAGCGCTCTAAAATCATCTCTTAGTGGTTAAAGAGGGGTTACCTTATTAAGATGTGCACCTACATAATCTTGCTGTTGTTGGATATAGTATTCTATAACTGTCACTCAGACCAAGTTGAATAATAGTGCTGTTCAGGTAAATATGTAGTTAATCATTTTTTGCTTATGGGATTTATTTACTACTGAATAAGAGATGTTGAATTCTCCAACTATTATAGTGAATTTGTCTATTTCTCCTTGAGATCTATCAGGGTTTGCTTTACAAATTTGATGCTATGTTGCTAGGTACATATACATTAAGACATTTTTAAATCTTCTTGAATATTGACCTTTTTATTATTTGCTGTGTCTTTTTATTTCTATAATTTGTTTTGTTCTGAAGTCTGCTTTTTCTGAAATTGACATAGACACTCCAGCTTTATTGGTTAGTATTAACATGTGATCCCTTACTTTTAGCTTATTTTTGTCTTTACATTAAAAGTGAGTTTATGTGGAATCATATAGCTATTTGATTTTTTCTTTTACCCATTACAGTAATAATCCTTGTCTTTTAATTAGCATATTTAGACAATTTATATTTAAAGTAATTATCAATATAGTTGAGTTAGTATCTTTGCATCTTATCTTCCTTCTTTGGCATTTATTGAACACTTTGCATAATTTAATTTTTTCTCTTCTCTTGAAATATCAGTCTTTCTTTAAAAGCATTACTGATTGTTCTAGAGTTGATTAAATGCATTTACAACTATTCCATATCCACCCAAAAATAACACTATTCTGCCTTCCCTGTCATGCAAGTAACTTATAAAGTAGTCTTATAAAATGCTTATAAAATATTCTTATAAAGGTATACTCAAATCTTCTTTGTTATCTCTTATGACATTCCTACAATTCATTTTACTTATCCTTATGTTATAATCACCTAATACATTGTTACTGTTATTACTCTAACTAAACATTTACTTTTCCAGTCAATTAAAAATAAATAAGACAGAATATTTTATCTTTATTTATTAACTAATATCTTTTCATTCCTTATGCAGATTCAAGATTATTATCATTCTCTCTAAAGAACTTTTAAAAATATTTTTTGCAGGGCAAGTATGCTGGTAATCATTTTCCTGAAAGTCCTTATTTCTTGTTCACTTTTGAAGTTTAATTTCACTGCATAGTGAATTCAAGGCTTTTTTTTTTTCCTTTCAACATCTTACATATTTTATCCATTCTCTTCTTGGTTACACAGTTTCTGTTAAAGGTTTGCTATAATCTTATCTGTATACATGTATAGGTAAGGTTTGTATTCCCCTTTTTCAATTTTTTACTCTTTCTGATACTATATTACGTGTTTTTATAGTTGTACCACTTCTTAGATGTTTTGTTATATTTTTCTTTGCTATTTTTTTGATTTGCATTTAGTTAAGCAAATATTTATTGACAAATATTCAAGCTCATGTATGGTTCCCTTGGCTGGGTCTAGTCTACTATAGACATTCTTTATTTCTGTCACAGTTGTTTGTGTTTTTTTTTTTTTTTTCAATTTCTAGCCTTTTCTTTTGGTACTTCTTAGTGTTTTCATCTCTGTGCTTATATTACCCATCTGTTCTTGCATGTTGTTTATTTTTTAAAGTAGAGTACTTAACATATTAATTATAGTTATTGTAAGTGGTTTGCTCAAAACTTCAAAATCTGTCATATCTGAGTCAGATCTGATGCTTTCTTTGTTCATTCAGGCTTTTTTTTTTTTTCATCATTGAGCGTATCTCAATTTCTTGTTGAAAGTAGGGCTTGATGTTCTAAGTAATAGAAACCGAGATAAACAGGCCTTTATTGTGAGGTTTTAAGTTAATCAGGCTAGAGCTGGGTTGTGTTTAATGCTTGCCATGGCTGCAGGTACTAGAGGCTTCCAATTTCTCTACTGCCGTTGTTTTTGTTTTCTTTCCCAATGTCTTTGAACTTCCTGAAAACTCCTAAAATAGATTCTGCATCTTGCAGCTCTGCCAACTTTAATCTTCTGTCACAATACTGGAGCTCTATTGTTGGTGGAAAGATATAAGGAAGGGCAAGTGTTCTATAATATTATGATTAAATTTTATCTTTTAGTTGGCCTGTGTTCCTATGCTGTGGTCTTAACAAGAGTATCTTAGTTTATTTTCTTTTTCCCTTAGAAGAAACATGAAGACTAGAGGTGTGTGGAAGCAGAGAAATGCCAGTCTCTTAGACTGGATTAGGATCTAGTAAAGTTGTTTGCTTGTTTTTTTGCTTGTTTAACATACAGAGCAGATCTTTATTATTAAAAATATTTAGAGTATTTCACAGTGATTATTTTTCCTTTACTCTCAGCAGATCCCCAAGAGTATCATTTTGGTTCTTCACCCTTACATTCTGATGGAATTTCGGGAGGCAAAAAGCCATGAAATTACGGGGAATTCCCTGAGACTGAGGGGTCAAGAGTTTCTTACTCTTATGCTAGTCCACACTCAGCCTCGCTCAGTTCATAGAAATTACCATTTAAGTGTTCTTACCAGTTTACAAATCTGGCAGCTTTACTGCAAGGTAAGCAGATCTCAATTGTAGTTTCTCTATATTAGCTTGTTTTCCAGGTTTTTGGGGGAGGGTTTTCCCCACAACCACAGTTCTCTGACAGGCCCAAAAACATCATTAATTTTCAATTTGTTCACCTTGTTTTCTGGTTGTAAGGACAGATGACAACTTCCAAGTTCTGAATTTTTTTGGAGCTGAAACCAGAAGTCCTAATTATATTTAGTTTTTTTAAATTTTACTATTATTATTACATTTGTTACCATTGTATCCTCTTAGGTGACACAGGAAAGTTAGAGTTGCTAGAATTGGGAGAAATTCTCTTTGCCTATCTTGGGCCTCCATTCAGAATTGCGTCCTGCCAAAGCCTTTCCGCTACCGTGTAAGTCTTCTTTATAAATAAGGCTCACGTTATATTTCATAATATTTACTCTTTTTCTTTCTCTTTCAGGGCAAGGAAAATATTTCACATATTTTCACTATGAGAAACTGATAGGTTTCTAATACTGTACTATTATTATTATTAGAAACTGTAGTATTATTGGAAACTGTAGTTTCCTATACAGATTCTAGATAGAACCTGTATTAGACTGTTCAGTCTGCCATAACAAAACATTGAGTGACTTAAATAACATAAATGTATTTTCTCCAAGTCCCGAAGGCTGGAAGCCAGAGATCAGTGTGCCAGCATGGTTGGTTTCTCATGAAGGCCCTCTTCTTGTCTTGCGGCCATCTCATATTGTGTTGTCACATGGTAGTTATCTCTCTCTCCCTCTCTCCCTCATCCTTTCTCTATTACATTTTCTTATAAAGCCACTAATCTTATCAGAAGGATATCACTCTTGTAATCTAATATAATTCTGATACCACCAAATCTTCCACCTCTAAATAGCATTACATTTGGGATTAGTTCTTCAACATATATATTTGGGGAGACACAAACATTTCATTCATAATAAATGCCAATGTTCATGTAGGGGACCCCATAAATTATGGCCCCAAGAGTTTCTCATTCTCATGCTAGTCTATAGTCAATCCCTAGACATTCTTTAATATGACCATGTATATTTCCCTTCATCAGTTTCTGTCCTGGGTAAAGAGATGGCAATTTGACCTGCACCCTATTATTTGATGTGTCTTTTAAAAAGTTACTGATAGTTGGTATTTTTTTTTACTTTTGTTTTTGTTGTTGCTGTAAAGATAGGAATGTGGACTTCTTAGTGCTTTACATGCCAGAGCTAAAACCGGAATTCTAGGATGACTTTTTAGTTTAGTCTTGCTCACTTAGTATTCTAACACATGAGTGTTGAAGTGCTTTCCATATTGTTAACCTCATGCATGGCTTGCTGTTTTCTGTACTTTCCATGACATTTTTATGGATCTCAACATTGCTTTGTGGGTCTCAGCTCAATTGTTTTAGCATTTGTTTGCCCATTCTATCTTTTTCTAATAGAGAGAAGACATGAATCTGACTTATAATTGATCATCTGATTTGTTGAAAGTCATGGGGCAAATTTTACACATGGGGAAATTTAAGACCTAGAAATATGTATTAATTTTTCAAGATCACCTAGCTAATTTATGAATGAAAACAAACACCTGCACAACTTGTATTTTTAAATATCTCACTATGTTAATACAGATTATTTTAATAATAAGCTATAAGTCAATTACTTCTAAATTACTGGAATCTTTCATAATGCATATAGCCATATTCATTAACATTTGGGTATTTTAAGGTTTGCAGTTAATAATTGAAAATCTGACCAATGCAGCTTAAAGACATATAAGTTTGTTATCTTACAGAATAAGAAATCCGGATGTAGGCAGTCCAGAGTGGGTTCAGTAGCACAAAGGTGCTACTGGCAATAACAATTATCTAGCTTTTACTCTGCTAATTTTAGCATTTAGTCTCATCATTGGGTTGATGAGTGTGTAGTCCTCAACTGACACTGGAAATTTACATCTGGGTGATAAAGGAAAAGGAAAAATGATGAAGAGTAAAAGGTAAGATTTTACCTTTATATACATGGTATTTTGTTCTCATTAGTCAGAAATAAGCAAAGTGATATATTTGAGACGCAAGGGAGAGTGAGAATCAAATATTTTTATTTCTAGCCTTTATAGTGAAGGGAGAGAGGCAAGGGAGACGAGTGTTGAGTCAACAACTCCCAAACCCTACAAATCAATACCCAGGGAGTATTTCTTACATATATAGACATGAGTCCTATAAGAGCAAATGTTATGCTTTTTCTTTTAGCTTCAAACTCATCTCTATTCTTCGTTGTGCTAGAGCTGAGACTTTGCAAATCAAATTTCTATTTTTCCAGCTGGTTCCCTCTTAGGTTATGCCAGTAGAATGGTGCTAGAGAGAGAGAGAGAGGCCAGAGGAGAGGGGAAGGATTTGCTACCTTTGTTTTGCTTCCTGCTAATATCAACCCAGTCGCCCTTCACTCTGTCAGCAACTGTTGTGTCCATTTTACAGGTTATAATTCTTTTCATATCCCAAAAGACTAGTATCATCATGCTTCCTCAAAGACATCAGCAGCAGCTGGATGATCCCCAGATGAACTGGGACCCTTGTCCATCACCCTATGGTCTCTCACCACTAGTAGGCAGCAACCCTCCATCCCAACTCTGCAGTAACCCTTCTCTAAATTTCTAAATTATAGTAATCCTAATCTCTTCCCTCTGTTCTTTGTCCATGAAGACAAAAGCTGCTTTTGCATTTATTACCTCTATATCAAGTTAGTGCTTCCTTATTGCTTTTCCAATTCTCTCTCAAATGCTGATGTCTCCATGACACAGATACTCAAAGGTTCAAATGTGTTTTTTTTGTTTTGTTTTGTGATAAGCTTGAGTGTGTCCTTGAGCTGAATTGAAACTCTTGAAAATGGAAAATGACATGATAAAAATCCATGTCATACTGTGGCATCATGACTAATCCAATTATCATCTGTGGTTGATTGTGATAATGTCCTTCCTTGAAAAAAGTTCTTTGAAGAACAAAATGGCTATTATGCCCTTAGCTATTGCAGCAATGACAATGACCATAAGGATCATAGAGTGAGATGCTTTTCTTGATTACACTGAAATTCTTATAAAGAATAAAATAATAATAAACTCAAATTTTAAAATTGTCAGCTTAAGTCTTGGTCTGGAAACTAGAGAACTTCTATGGTGACCCTAAAAGAACCTCTTATTTTTGTAGCTTCAAGGTTGATGTCACTGACATTGTATGTTCTATAGAATTGCTACCTAAGTTGATTTTCAATGTGGATGCTGTGATGTGCTGGCCAAATCCCCCTTGAACAATCAATACCTTAAGTCTTCCATCTGCTGGCAGTGCTAGTTGATCAATCTTAGTTGTGTCATTACCTTTGGGGAATAATTGGACTGTATAAAAATATGTCTCCAAGGTCATGCCTCATTCCAGAGGCGTTCTGCATCTCCAGTGACTGATTGATTCTGTTGGCTAAAAACCCGGTCCTCTCAATACCACTTGGTGTAATGCTGAAGAGATGTCTTAGCTTCTAAGCTCCTCATAGGATTATCTAAGGCTTAATTGTGCTTCTTTTCCCTGCTTGCCACAAATGTTATTACAAGCATTTTCTAATAATTGTGCTGCTTAACTTTCTTTGAAACTTTGCTTCTCAGGAAATCCAACCTGTGACCAATTCACAGGCTTACCAAGTCTCTAATGTAAAAGAAAGATGAGATAATGTCATTGGCTAGGAAAATACTGAGACTGTGAGATGTGAAATAATAACATCTATGCGGACATAGAAAAAATTGTGTATCTTGAACTTCCAGGCCACTCTGAACCTCCAATCACAGTAGAAGCATACTATCTTCTTCTGTCTGACTATATTTGTCTTCTCTCCATAAATTATCCTGAAATAATCTACCCTTGTAAGTTAATAAGCAGATACCTATTTTCCTTGAGACACATCACAATTAATTCCTGCCATGAGACCCACATTGGGAGTCAGATGTAAATATATACCAGGGAGGAAAATACAAAATCTGACCCTAAAATAAATATTTTATATACTTCTTAAATAATTAAAATGTTTCTTCCAATTTATATGGTCATGAAATTTGTGACACAGAAATGTGTTGCAAATTATATTTGGGGATGGATTATGTTTGGGGATGGATTCTAAGGTCAATAGTCCATGGAAAATGGAATATTTGCACTGAATTGGGTGAAATTTACTCATGAGCATATTTAGCAGAGATTCTGGATTTCTTTTGTTAGATTATGTAGCTGGAAGTTTAAAAAATTATGTGGCTGATTGGCTGAAATTGAAATTCAATAGTGGCCTGCATTTAATGAAGCTGAGATGCCAGAATTTCTTGTCATAATGTAGAGGACAAAATCCAAAAGTTTTGGAAGACAGGAGCACTTGTTTTAATTTGTTGTGGATGTACTATACAACCATACTCCCCGCATTACACTTCTCAAGAAGGTCCAGGAGACACTGTCTTCACGAAGGCATTGAAAAGTAATTAGCAAAGGGAGCACCAATATCTCAGAAAAGCTCTTTGAGAGCTGCCTCCATAGACTGTAACAGTAGGAAATGTCACTCTAGAGATGTTCTCCTTAATATCAATAATGGTGCTAAATTTGTGGAATAGCAGAGACCAAGTGGCAGTGAGTGTTTCACTGAGATGATTGAAATAGCTAACTGATTAAATTGTCCCTAGGACTGAAAAATAAATAACAATTGGTTAGGTATTATTTGTTTTATGCATTAGTTTCCGATTGCTGCTATAACAAATTATCTCAGACTTAATGACGATAAGCAAGACACATTTATTATATAACAGTCCTGGAGGTCAAAAGTCCTTAAATCCAATTCCATCAGGCATGGTTGCATTTCTTCTGGAGGCTCTAAGGGATGATATGTTCTTTTTCCATTTTCAGTTTCTACAGGGTACCTTTATTTCTTGGCATATGACCCCTTCCTCCATCTTCAATCGTCAAGTCCAACAACGTTACATCTTCAAATCTCTCTCTCTTTCTCTCTTTCTCTGTCTGTCTGATCTCTGTTTCTGTCATCACAACTTATCCCCCTCTGTTTCCATCGTTGCATGGCCTTCTTTAACTCAGTTCCTCCTACCACTTTATAAGAAACTTTGAAATTATATTGGATTTGCCTGGACAATCCCCCAATCTCAACAGTCTTAACCACATATACAAAGTTTTTTTTGTCACATAAGGTAACATATTTATAGGTTTCAAAGATATAATTTTATGCATAAGTTCAAGCTGCAGTGAGTCTAGTAAATTCACAGACCTATCCTATGATTATTTCCCTAGTTACTGAAAGTATAATTCAATTACTATATACCTTAGACTTTCACTACAAGATACAAATCTAATAAGAGGTTCTATCTCTAGTTGATTTAATGAAGTCATAAAAATTAGAGAGATATCCAATTGCAAGAATAATGATAAAGGAGAATTAATTTTATTTTCAATACCATCAATAATTTACTTTGGATATGAAACAAGAGTACTCAAAAAAATCACAATGAAAGCCATGAATGCTGATTATGAGAAACATAGCTTCTTCATCAAGGACCTTTTCACTGACCTTCAGTAAAACCAAGAACATCATAGCAACAAAGGGCTATGTACTATACTCAGGAAAACCATTTATTTGCACTGGAGGCAACTGTTCTTGAGAGAGGAAAAGTAAATTGTCCAAGATGTAACATCTTATAAATAGCAAAGCAAGGATGAAAATTATTATATTTTACTAAATCAGTATGAGAATCCTGATTCTTCATTATTATATCCCCAACACTCTATCAGTTTGTTGAACAAATCAACAAATAAGCTTGAATAAAGGATCCACATCTCAATTCTCCTCCACCATTCTATATTGCCCTTCATCCCTACATTAAAATGATTATTTCTGCTTTTTTTCTTTAACAATTTATCCCTAAAGTAACTAGAAAGGCCATGCAAGGCACATATTCATGCCAGGGTGGGAGAGGAGAGTCATAGTTTTGCAAAGTAGAGTGTTGGAGGCCAACCAAGTGACCAGCATATCCAGAAGAAAAGATGGTTGCATGCTGCAGAATACTGATGCCCGGTGCATGGTGAGAAATGCTTCTGTGTGGGAAAAAGATCATGCATGAGATTTTAAAGTACAAATGAAAAGTTTGATAAGTGTAATATTTAGCCACTCACATTTACTCCACTAAAAATACTAATTACATAGAGAAATAATAATAATCTTAAAGTGAAGAAGACTTGAAGAGCTCTCCTTCATGAAGTGATCAAACTAAACATCAAAAGTAGGAGAAACATAAAATCATGTGTAATCTGATAGGATGGAATGAGAACATAGAACATCACTTTAGAGTTCTTCCTGTAAACAATATATAAATTAAATATTATCGTGAGAAAACATCAGAAAAACAAATTAAGGAGCATTATATAAAATAAGTAAATAAATAATGAGAAGTAGTTGTATTGAAGGAGGTAAAAGAAACATAACAACTAAATGCAATGTGTAATTTGGAACTGTATTATTTTCCTGTAAAGGACATGCGTTGGACAACTGGTAAAATTTTGGTACAGAGATTATATGGAACTTATTGAACAATATTGTAGTGAGGATTAAATGAGAAAATCAGCATTTAGGACAGGAACCTACTTTACATCTTAAATACAAGCAGTCTAGTTTTATACTTGTGCATATGTTTGTACATTTTTAAAATTCTGTCAATATTCTTTTATTAAACATGGGTTTTCTCTTCCCACACCAGTTATAAGACTGAGGAGCAGTCTTCTGCACCAGTTCAACTTCTTTCTTTTGCACTAGTCCCACCACTAGTTCATGAAATGGAAAAAGGGCTGACTTATCTGATTGGTGAGATGGAAGCAAAGTTGAGCTTGTTCCCATGCCTTATCTAGATTTCTATTTCTGAAGACTGAGAAAGTATGAAGCAGAACTCCACATGGTGAACTGTATAGAGCATGGAAAGGTTTTGTGGAGTCAAAAGTCATAGCTACCAGTTCAAATACAGCTTTACTATTAATAAAGCAGTTATTAATACTCATCTTCATCAGACTCCAGTGCATATTTTTAGTGTGGTTCACAATTCAAAAGAAAAGAGGAATTTTACTAAAGGCCATTCTTGGGCCGAGTTCAGTGGCTCACACCTGTAATCTCAGCACTTTGGGAGGCCGAGGTGGATGGATTGCTTAAGTTCAGGAGTTTCAGGCCAGCCAGGGCAACATGGTGAGATCCCCAATTCTACAAAAAAAAAAAAAAAAGTTGCCTGGCTTGGTGGTGCACGCATGTGGTCCCAGCTACTCAGGAGGCTGAGGTGAGAGGATCACTTGAGCCCCTGGGGCGGAGGTTGCAGTGCCACTGCACACCAGCCTGGGTGACACAGTGAAAGCCTTTCTCAAAATAATAATAATAATGGCCACTCTCAGAATGTCCAATTTATGGCTATTTTCAGAATGTCCAATTTATGCTACAAAAGATAAGTAGACACTTGGGATTCAATAAACAACCAATAGAGATTAAAGTTTCTGTAGTAGCTCTGACTTCAGTTATCTTGCACCATGAAGGTCTTTGAACTTTATGCATTGTTGCCAGAATCACTGTCCTTGATACTTGTTATAGCTTGGATGTGTGTCCCCTCAGACCTCATGTTGAAATAGCAACACAAAACAAGCTAAGACAGCATGTTAGTGGGGTTGGTTCCTTCTGAGGGCTAGGAGAAAGAATTTGTTTCAAGCCTCCCCACAACTTCTCATAGGTTGCCCACTATACTTGGCTTATGAAAGTATCACCTTCATTTCTATCATCATATGATGTTCTCCCTGTGAGCATACCTGTGTCCAAATTCCTTTTTGTGATAAGACTAGTCATACAGTATTAGGGGCTCACCCCTCTCCTGTATGACTGCATTTTAGCTTAACTAATTACATCTGCAAAGTCCATATTTCCAAATAAGGTCACACTTTGAGGTGTTGGGGGTCAATACTTCAGCAGAACAAACTGCAAGACATATGCCACTGTACTCAGCCTCTAGTTTTGATTGTATGTTTAATATAATTTGATTCTTTCACCTCTCAGTACACCAATTTTAATTCATTTCAATTTTGTTTTTGTTATTGTCCTAGAGTTTACAATCATATTTGCAACTACCTCCGCTGGCTTTTGAATAACCTTATATTGCTTTATGGATATTTCATGAACCTTTTATAATAAGAGTATTTCCTATTCCTCCATCTAATCCCTTATTAAATTACTATAATCCATTTATTAATCAATAGGTTATAATCCCTGAATACATTGTGACTATCGTTACTTTTAATAGTTTTCTATCAAATTAATTGAGAATATAAGAGTGAAAATAAAATATTTTATTTTAACTTTATTTCCTCCTTCTCCAACATTCCTCCCTGATTATTTGTGACGTGAGCTTATGATCTCTCTATTTTTCTTCCATGTGAAGAACTTTTAAAAACATTTCTTGGTGAGAGTCTAGTTTTGCTGTTTGTTTTGTCTCTATAAGCTGTATTTTTACTTGCCATTAGCATGCCTTCTAATTTCCTTTTGTTAAAAACTGGAAATGATGTAAAGGGTAGTAGGAACCAAGGTAGACTGACCTTTAGGGTGATGTTGTATATTATTCTGCTAGAAGATAGGCTGTGTTTAATATTTGCTGTGGCTTCTAGAAGCTTCAAATTTCTCTAGTTTCCTCATTTTTGTCACCCCTGTTGTCTTTAGATTTCCATAAAAACTCCTTTTTAAAATATAGACTGTGCTGTGCATGTCTTTCATCTGTAATCATGTTATCTCTTGGGGCCCTGTTGAGTGGTGGGAAAGTGTGGGAAATGAACAGCATGCTATAATCTGATTATTAAATTTTAGTCCTTTAGTGGGCCTGTATCCTTGTGCTGTGACCTGCATAAGTGTCTCCTAGATATTTTTTACCCACTTAAGGTAAGGCAGGAGGGTTAGAGAATGCTGGAGTTAGGTAATTGCGTTTCCCCTTAGGTGAGGTAAGTGTCTGATAAAGTCTTTCCAAAGGAGAGTAGGCCTTCGTTAATGTAAATACTTGGAGTATTTTAAAATAGTTACTTTTTCTTATACCTGCAAGAAGTGTAAGGGGCTTTTTCTGAGGTGTTTACCATGGGAAGCTGGTAGTGTTCCTGCAGGTAAAGCATATGAAATTGTGGGGCCCTCCTTATGACAGGAGCATGTAGTAGTTTCTCTTTTTCAAACTAGTGCAGTCCACACCCAGCCTCCAACAATCTTTGAAAATTACCATTAATATACCATATTAGTTTTGCTCCAAAGCAGCTTATACTTGGGTACTTGGGGGTAAATCCAAGGCTATGATTCTCTGCATTTACCTATCTCTTCTGATTTTGAGGTTATAATTTGCCCTACCACATCACTGCTCTGATGAGTTCAAGTAAAGTCATTTATTTTTAGTTTCTGCTGCTTTTTTTTTTCAGTGTAAAGACTTAAGTGATGCCCCCCAGCTCTTGACTCATCAGAGCTAAAATTGGAAGAAAATATACTTTTTTTTTTTTTTTTGAGACACAGTCTCATTGCCATCATACAGGCTGGACTGCAGTGGCATGATCATGGCTCACTGCAGCCTTGACTTCCCAGGATCAGGTGATTTTCCTACCCCAGCCTCCTCCTGAGTAGCTGGGACTACAGGCACATGCCACCAGGCCTGGCTAATTTTTTTGTATTTTTAGTAGAGATGGGGTTTCACCATGTGGCCCAGGCTGCTCTCAAACTCATCAGTTCAAGTGATCCACCCACCTCCGACTCCCAAAGTGCTGGGATTACAGGCGTGAGCCACCATGCCCAACCTAGCAATACATTTTTTTATCAAACATACTTGCTGTCACTGTGGGATGCTCTGTCAGAACCGTTAGGCAGGGTAGCATTGTTCTCTCAGAGACAGCTCAAGAAACACAGGCTCAAGTGAGAAATTAGCATTACATTGTAAATAAAGATGGATTCTCCCACTTACAAACAGCAAAACCATCTTTAATGAAACAATTTATTTAAAGAGAAAGAAAGTAATAAATCAGTATATCTAGAAAAAATTATTTAAGGACAAAACGTTTTTTGAACATGTAGCAAAAGATGTAACAGTCCTTACTAATCCCATGAAGGTACAGGGTTTCAAAAAACATACACAGTAATAATACAAGGCAGAGGTGGGGGAAAAGAAAGAAAACTAATCTAGGAAGCAGAGTTCATATTTCCAGGCAATTCTGTAGCAGAAAGCAGCAGTTTCAGCTAATCTATCATAGGAATATATATCCCTTTGGATCCTGCTGGGCATGGAGAGATAAAGAAAATTTTATGAATATGGAGTTGCAAAAGATAGAACACAGTATTTTGTTTTGTTTTGTTCTTGAATAGTCACTGGTCTTTCAGAAGGGAAATTGAGTCTCCATCACTGGGCAGACGTCCAATCAATCTAGCTCTGAAGTTTCAAGACCATAAGACTCAGAAGGGTATGAAAATTACTAGATAAGTCATATGAAGAAGTAGAGTAAACACAGTCACATTCAACACATTGTTCTGAAATTCAAATTTGATCAGGAGGTTAAGGAGCAAATGATTCATTTGAAAAACAATAATTTTTTCAAATGATTGACAATGTGGCTCAAATTTGTATATCAGAGGAAAAAAGGTAAGATTGTTAATTGAGAATAAGACTGACTTGAGAATAAAATACCAAGCAGATAAAAATAAAATTGTTCAATAATTTCAAGTCAATGCAGTGCTTGAGGATGGTGAGGCTATTTTGTCCCAAGAGCTGAGGAAAATACTCAAACACTGATAAGGTAAAGGATTGTAAGAGAAAGCACAGCCAAGATGACACATTTATATAAGAATGCAACAAGGAAGGTCATAGGTAAGAGAAAGGTCTGAATTATATGGGGTGCTAGCTATTATGGGGCTTTTATGTGTTTGTGAAATGGATGCCCTAGGAAAATGATGAATTTGGTAACAATATATACAAATCAGAGAGAGCCAACCTGTAGTGGAAAGTGTCATAAAATACATATGTGTACCAACACATAAAGGAAAAATCTTGGTGAAAATAATATATTGCAGTCGGGCAAGGATGATAACCCTTCAGATGGCTGAGGATGGAAGATCCAGTTTAATATAGAAGCAATGTAGAAATCTAATGTCTCACCTAGGCCCTACTAAACATACTAGGGAAAGAGACAACTAAGGAAACAGAATTATGTCTTATTGCTCCAGAAAAGGAGCAAGAACCACTTTCTCATAGCTATTAAGGTAGTATGGGTCCCTCAAGAGCTAAAAAGCTCAAAAAGTTGAACAAAGGCAAGATTTGAGGACTCAGTTATAAAGAAGATATCAGTCCTTCTTTTACCAATATGTCATCCTGGGCAAAAACTCTAGGTTACTTAAAATTAATCAAGGTTTTGGAGAATCTTTAACATGTGATCCTGCAGCTAAGATAATTGGGTGGACAAAAGGAAAGACTGCCTTAGGAGGCAGAGCACAACATTACAATACATCCCATAGAAGAAGTAGCAGTTGCAATTCATCTGTCACAGGTGTGAAATCATCTTGGGATTTTATTTGAGGTAAAATAAACATCTTAGGTAAGCAGTCCTAAAATATGCAATATATTGCTTTTAGCTTTATTTTTAGAATTACTGGCTACAGATTTGGGGTTCTGGGCTCAGAAAGAGTTGTGAGGGCCTTATTTGTCACTGGATAAAGCCCACACTCACTTCAGCTCTGAAAAGCAAAAAGACAAAGATGAGTAAGGAAATAAAATCTACTGGGAGGTAGCATTAGTCACAGTCTTCCTAATGTTGACAGGCTTGAGTTGCTTGCTTTTGGAACAAACTGTGTAGAAATCAAAGTTTACCAGATACTGGAAGATTAAATGCCTTGTTTTAAAAATCAAGGATAACTGATTGTCCAAAGGCTTATATCAAAGGAAAAAACCTTACAGGCAAAACAAAAAGGATACCTCAGAGAGCACAAATTCGGGGACCTATATTAATAATAATTATAAAAGTGATTTATGAAACATGTCTAAATTTATCAAGAAAATAATACATTGGGGAGGGGGCAGAAGAAGATGGCTGAATAAAAAGCTCTACCAATCATCGTCCCAGCAGGAACTCCAGATTTAACAATTATCTACACAAAAAATTACCTTGATAAGGCCCAGAACTCAGATGAGCAATCGCAGTGCTTGGTTTTAACTTCATAATGCTGAAAAAGACATTGAAGAAAGCAGAAAATAGAGTCCTGTATGACTGATGTCATCCCTCCTCCATTCCCATGGTAGCAGCTGCATGGCATAGAGAATCTGTGTGCCTAGGGAAGGAAAACTGCAGTGATTGTGGGACTTTGCATTGGAATTCAGGGCTGCCAACACCAGGCAGAACTCAGCAGGTTCTGCCTGGTGTTGGCAGCCCTGAATTCAAATAAGAGGGAGTATTTAGACCAGCCCTAGCCAGTGGGGAATTGACCATCCCAGTGGTCAGAATGGGAGTTTTGGCAAGACTTACCACCATGGGCTAAATCACTCTGGGGTCCTAAAGATACCTGAAAGTTGTCTGGGTTACAAGGATTACATCTGCTAGGCAAGTCCTAGTGAGTTGATGGGCTTCAATAGACTTGAAGGCATGCAACCTAGTAAGACACCAGCTGGGGTGGCTAAGGGAGTGCTTGTACCACCCCTCCTTCAACCACAGGCAGTGCAGCTCACTCCTCCAAAAATAGTCCCCTTCCTTCCACCTGAGGAGAGGAGAGGGAAAAGTAAAGAGGACTTTCTCTTGCAGCTTTAATACCAGCTCAGCCATATTAGGATAAGGCAACACACAAAGCCTTAATGCCCCCATTCCAGGCCCTAGCTCCCAGATAGCACTTTCTGACACCCCCTGGACCAGAAAGGAACCCATTGCCTTGAAAGGAAGGGCTGAGTCCTGGCAAGATTCATCATATGCTGACTGAAGAGCCCTTTGACCCTTTTCAGCAGTGGTAACCAAGTAGCACATGCTATGGGCCTTGGATGAAACTCTGAAACATGTGGGCTTCAGGTATGACCCAGCACATTAATAATCATGATGGCTATGAGCACAGATGCCTTCTGCTTGAAAAAAAACAGAGAGAGGAGTAAAGAAGACTTTGTCTTGAACATAGGTACCAGCTCGGTCACAGTAGGGAAGAACATCAAGCAGGCACTTACGGTCCTTAGTACCAGGCTTCGGCTCTTGAGCAGCATCTCTGGACCTAGCCTGGGCCAGAGGAGAGCCCCTGCCCTGAAAAATGGGTACCAGGCCTGGCAGTATCCATCACAAGCTGACTGAAGAGCCCTTAAGTCTTAAGTAAACATCGGTGGTATCCTGGCAGTATTCCCTATGGGCCTATGGTGGTGGTAGACACAAGGAGAGACACCTCTGATTGAGGAATGAGGGGGGAAGAGTGAGAAAGACTTTGTCTCATGGTTTCAGCACCAGCTCAGCCTCAGTGGAATAGAATACCAGGTAGATTTCTAAGGTTTTTGACTCCAGGCCTTGTCTCCTGGACAGCAACTCTGAACCTACCCAGGGTCTGGGGGAGTTCGACACCCTTAAGGGAAGGACACAAAACTGGCTGACTTCACCATCTCTAATTATAGAGCCTTAGGGCCTTGAGCAAACATAGGCAGTAGCCAGAGAGTAGTTAGAGTGGGCCTTGGGCAAGACTCAGTGCTGTGCTGGCTTCAGATCTGTCCAAGTACAGTTTTGGTACCAGCCACAGGGGTGCTCATGTCACTTCTTCCTTAGCACCAGGAACCTGAGCACAGAGAAAGAGACTTCGTTAACTTGGCAGAAAGTAAGGAAAAAGAACTAGAATTTCTGCCTGGTAATCCAGAGAATTCTTCTAGATCTCATCCAAGACCATTAAGGTGGTACCTCTTCAAATCTGTGAAAACCATAGCATTACTGAACCTGGGGTGCTGCCTAATGCAGATATAGCTGCAGTGACCAAAAAAGATCATAACATCCAAGATCCTTCAAATTCCTGGAAAGCCTTCCAAAGAAGGACAGGTACAAACAAGCTCAGATAGTGAGTCTAAAATAAGTAGTAAAGTTTATTCAAAGAGATAATACCAGAGCACTTCTCAAACCTATAGAAAGGTACCAATATCCAATAACAAGAAGGTTATAGAACACCAAGGAGATTTAACTCAAAGAAGACTACCTCAAGCCATTTAATAATCAAACTCCAAAGATCAAGGGTGAAGAAAAGATTCTAAAAGCAGTAAAAGAAAAGAAATAAATAATATACAATGGAGCTTCAATACATCTCGTAGCACACTTTTCAGTGGGAACCTCACAGGTCAGGAGAGAGTGACATGACATATTTAAAGTGCTGAAGGAAAAAAAAAAACAAAGCAAAAACCTTATACCCTAGAACAGTATATCT
This sequence comes from Homo sapiens, assembly GCF_000001405.40. NCBI lineage: Eukaryota > Metazoa > Chordata > Mammalia > Primates > Hominidae > Homo > Homo sapiens. The sequence continues at coordinate 81,719,957 of NC_000011.10, forward strand.
TGCAAAAATATCCTTCAAATATGAAGCAGAAATACTTTCCCAGACAAACAAAAGCTGAGGGATTTCATCAACACCACACATTCTCTACAAGAAATGATAAAGAGAGTTCTTCAGTCTGAAGGAAAAAATGTTATTGAGCAGTAAGAAATCATCTTAAGTTACAAAACTCACTGGTGGTAGTTAAGTACACTGAAAAACAAAGAATATTATAGCATGGAAGCTATAATATGTAAACTATGTGTATCCTAAGTAGAAAGATGAAAGGATAGGCCAGGCACAGTGGCTCATGCCTATAATCCTAGCATTTTGGCAAGCCAAGGTGGGAGGACTGACTGAGCCCAGGAGTTTGAGAGCAGCATGAGAAAAAAGGAAAGATCTTGTCTCCACACACAACAAAATTTAAAAATAGCCTGAATGATGACAAATGCCTGTGTTCCCAGCTACTTGGGAGGATTTGGTGGGAAGATCCCTTTAGACCACAAAGTCAAAGTTGTAGAAAGCTGTGATTGTGCCACTGCACTCCAGCCTGAGTGAAAGAGCAAGACTCTGTCTCAAAAAAATAAATAAATAAATAAATAAAAGGGAAAACTGATTAAAAATAACTATAGCAACTTTTCAAGACATGAAAAGTACAATAAGATATGAATAGAAATGGCAAAAAATTTAAAACAGGGAGATGAAGTTAAATCATAGAATTTTAATTGGTTTTCTTTTTGCTTGGTTGTTTGTTTATGCAATCACTGTTAAGTTGTCATTATCAGTTTAAAACACTGTTTATGTGATACTTGAAAACCTCCTGGTAACCTAATTTCTAAAAAAATACAGCAAATACATAAAAATTAGAAGCAAGAAATTAAAACATACCACCAGAGAAAATCACCTTTACTAAATGTAAGACAGGAAGGAAGGAAACAAGAAAGAGAAGAGCACAAAACAACCAGAATACAAATAATGAAATCATCTGTTATTGTTACTTATCAATAATAACATTGAAAGTAAATAACTTAAACTCTCCAAGCAAAATTTATACAGTGACTGAATCAATAAAAATCTAAGACCCCATGATCTGTTGCCAACAAGAAACACACTTCACCTATAAAGATACACATAGACTGGAAACAAGGAAAGGAAAAAGATATTCCATACAAAACTAAAGCAGAAAAGGGTAGGATTAGCTATACTTACACCAGACAAAATAAATTTTTAAGAAAAAAATTATAAAAAGAGACAAGGAAGGTCATTATATCAGGATGAAGGGGTCAACTCAGCAACAGCATATAACAATTGTAAATATATATGCAACCAGTACTGGAGAACAAAGATACAGAAAGCAAATATTATTAGAGCTAAAGAGAGAGATAGACCCCAATACAATAATAGCTGGAGGCTTTAACACCCTACTCTGAGCATTGGACAGATCATTTAGACAGAAATTGAATAAAGAAACAATGGACTTAATCTACATTATAGACCAAACAGACCTAATAAATATTTGAAGAACATTTTATCCAACTGCTGCCAAATTCATATCATTCTCTTCATCTTCAACACATGTATCAATTTTAACAATTGATTATATGTCAACCCACAAAATAAGTCTTAAAGCATTAAAAACATTTAAATATTAAGTATCTGCTCAGACCACAATAGAATAAAACTAGAAATCAATAATAAGAGGAATTTGTAGAGTTATAAAAACATATGGAAATTAAACAATATGCTCATGAATGACCAGTGGGTCAGTGGAGAGATTGGGAAGAAAATGGAAAAAATTATTGAAATGAATAATGGCAGCAAAACATACAAAAACATATGGGATACAGTGAAAACAGCAATAAGAAAGAAGTTTATAGCTATAAGTGACTACATCAAAAAAGAAGAAATACTTCAAAATGAACAACCTAACAATGAATCTTAAAGAGCTTGAAAAGCAAAAGGAAACCAAACCCAAAGTTAGTAAAAAACAATAATAATAAAGATAAGAACAGAAAATAATTGAAATAAAAATTTAAAAAATCAACAAAACAAAAAGCTGGATTTTTGAAAAGATAAACTTGACAAACTCTTTGGCAGACTTGAAAAAGAAGAAGACTGAAATAAATAAAATCATAAATAAAAAAGGTGACATTACAACCAAAATCACAGAAATTCAAAGGATTATTGATACTAGGCAACTATATGCCAATAAATTAAAACACCAAAAAAAAAGGATAAATTTCCAGACACATATGTCCACCAATACTGAACCAGGAAGACATTCAAAAACATGAACAGACCAATAACAAGTAATGAGATTGAAGGTGTAATAAAAATTCTCCCAGCAAAGAAAATACTGGGACCCAATGACTTCACTGATGAATTTCCCAATCTTTTAAAGAAGAACTAACATCAATTGTACTCAAACTATTCTGAAAAGTAGAAGAGGAGGGAATTCTTTCAAATACACTCTACGAGGCCCATATTATCTTGATATCAAAACCAAAGATGCATCAAAAACAGAAAACTACAGGCCATAACCTCTGATGAACACTGATGCAAAAATCCTCAACAAAATACAAGATCATCAAATTCAACAACACATTAAAAAGATTCATCATGACCAAGTGGGATTCATTCCAGGAATGCGAAGATGGTTCAAAATATGCATATTAATTAATGTGATATAAAATATCAATAGAATGAAAGATAAAGACGATATGATCATTTCAATTTATGTTGGGAAACGTATTTGATAAAATTCAATATACCTCTATGATTTAAAAAAAAACTCAAAAAACTAGGTATAGTAGGAATATACCTCAACATAATAAAAGCCATATATGACAAACTCACAACTAGTATTATAATGAATGGGGAAATACTGAAAGCCTTTTCTCTAAGATCTGGAACACAATAAGGATGTCTAATCTCTTGTAACACTGTTATTAAACACAGTACTGGAAGTCTTGACTAGAGAGATCAAACAAGAGAGAGAAATAAAGGATATCCAAATGGAAAAGGGAGAAGTTAAATTATTCTTGTTGCAGATAATATGATCTTATATTTGGAAAAGACTAAAGGCTTCACTAAATAATTAGAACTGATAAACAAATTCAGAAAATTGCAGGATATAAAATAAACATATTTCTATATGCCAAAAGCAAACAATCTGAAAAAAGTAATCTCATTTACATCTGCAAATAAAATTGAATACTTAGAAACGAACTTAACTAAAGAAATAAAAGATCTCTCAATGAAAACTATAAAACATTGATGAAAGAAACCAATGAGGACAAAAAAATGGAAACATTCTACATTCATGGATTGAAAGACTCATTATTGTTAAAATGTCAACACTACTCAAAAGCAATCTGTAGGTTCAATGCCATCCCTATCAAAATACCAGTGACATTCTTCACAGAAATAAAAAAAATCCTAAAATTCATAAGGAATCACAAAAGACAAGAATAGCCAAAGCTATCCTAAGCAAAAAACAAAACAAAACAAAACGAGGAATCACATTACCTGACTTTAAATTATACTACAGTTATAGTAACCTAAACAGCTTGATACTGGCATAAAAACAGACATATAGACCAATGGAACAGAATAGAGAACCCAGAAACTAATTCAGACATCTACAGTGAACTTATTTTTGACAAAGTTGCCAAGAACATACAATGGGAAAAGAATTGTCTCTCCAATAAATGATGCTGAGAAAACTGGATATCCATATGCAAAAGAATGAAACTAGACCCCTATCTCTCACCATATATTAATCAAATCAAAGTGGATTAAAGATTTAAATCTAAGATCTCAAACTATCCAACTACTACAAGAAAACATCGGGGAAACTCTCCAGAACATTGGACTGGACAAATATTTCCCAACTAATATCCCACAAACATAGGTAACCAAAGCAAAACGAGAAAAAGGGACCACAGTAGTTAAAAACCTTCTGCCCAGCAAAGGAAACAATCAACAAAATGAAGAGACAACACATAGAATATGAGAAAATATTTTCAAAGTATCCCTAGAATATATAAGGAGCTCAAACAAGTGTACAGGAAAAAAATATATAATAATCTGATTCTTTCAATGAGCAAGTTCTGAGTAGACATTTCCTAAAGAAGACATACAAATGGCTAATAGTATATCAAAAGGTGCTCAACCTTACTGAGCAACAGAAAAATGCAAACCAAAATGGCAATGAAATATCCTCTAACCCACTTATAATGGCTTTTATCCAAAAGACAGGCAATAACTAATACTGGTGATGATGTGGAGAAAAGAGAACTCTCATACACTGTTGGTGGGAATGTAAATTAATACAACCATTATGGAGATCAGTTTGGAGGTTCCTCAAAGAGTTAAAGATGGCCAGGAGCTGTGGCTCACGCCTGTAATCTGAGTACTTTAGGAGGCCAAGACGGGCAGATCATGAGGTCAGGAGTTCTAGACAAGCCTGGCCAACATAGTGAAACCCCGTCTCTACTAAAAATACAAAAATTCACTGGGTGTGGTGGTGCATGCCTGTAATCTCAGCTACTCAGGAGGCTGAGGCAGGATAATTGCTTGAACCCGGGAGGCGGAGGTTACAGTGAGGAGAGATTGCGCCACTGTACTCCCGCCTGGGCAACAGAGCAAGACTCTGTCTTAGAAAAAAGAAAAAAAAAAAGTTAAAAATGAAGCTACAATATGATTAAGCAATCCCACTGCTAGGTATATACCCAAAAGAAAGGAAATCAGTATATTGAAGAGATATCTGCATTCCCATATTTACTGCAGCAGTATTCACAATAGCAAAGATTTGAAAGCAACCCAAGTAGTTCTTTAACAGATTAATAGATTTAGAATACTACTCAGCTATTTAAAAAAATGTGATCCTGTCATTTGCAACAACATAGATGGAACTGGAGGTAAGTGTATTAAGTAAAATAAGCCAGGTACAGAAAGAACACAGAAATAAAGATTATTGTGTTACATACTGAGACATATACATAACCTGTGTATATTTTGTTAAAAAATGTCTTGGTCAGAAAGAAAAAGGAAAGAAAAAGAAAAGTTGACTTTGTAGTTTGCAAACATGAGAGTAATACATGTGGTAGTGATGTGGCAGGGACCACGGAATTGTACACTTAAATTGGTGAATTATATGATATGTGAGTTATATTTCAGTAAAGAAGATATATACATACATATATATCAGCTTTATTCTATATTTTGAATGTTACTATTTACAGCTGACTTTTCTATAGTTTGCATGATAATGAAAAGTTTTACATGTCCATATATCTTAATAAAGTTGATATATATTATAACATATATCACATATTATATACTTTGATCATGAAATGTACAATTGAAAATTTTTTACTATACTCACAGACACATGTAACCATTAGCACTATAAATTTTAGAACATTTTTATACCTCAAAAGGAAACTTTTACCCTTTAGCTATCATATCAAAATCCCCACCCCTCCTCAGCCCCAACAAAACACGAATCTAATTTCTATCTCTATGGATTTGCCTATATGGGACATACCACACAAATATCATAATAAAATATGTGGTCTTACGTGACTGGCTTCTTTCACAGAATAATGTTTTCAAGATCCATTCATGCTGCAGCATGTATCAGCACTTTATTAGTTTTTTTATGGCTGAGTAATATTCCATTGTTTCTATGTACAACATTTTGTTTACCCATTTATCAATTAATAAACATTTCAGTTTTTTCCATCTCTTGGCTATTATAAAAATGGTGCTAGAGACTGTCTTATACACACTGTTTTTTGTTACGTATACATCTGTCTTACTTTTCTCAGTCATATACCTAGGAATGGAATTTCTTGGTTTGTGGTAATTCCGTTTAACCATACAAGGAGCTGCCAGTCTATTTCCTAATGACTGCATGACTTTACAGTCTCATCAGCAGTGTTTGAGGGTTCTAATTTCTCTACATCCTTACCCACGTGCTTGTTATTATCTGCCTGTTTAATTCCCCCTTTGCTAGTGGGTAAAGAGTGGTATCTCATTGTGGTTTTGATTTGTCATTCCTTAGTGACTAATGATGCAAAGCATTTTATGTATGTGTTAGCAATTTGTATATGTATTTTGGAGAAGTATCTATTTATATCCCTTGCACATTTTAAATTGTAATTTCTAATTGGGTTGTAAGCCTTCTTATATATTCCATACACAAGTATATCTAGTATATGATTTACAAATATTTATCCCATTCTATGTATTTTATTTTTTTTATATATTTTTTGACATTTGTCTTGAAGCACATGATTTGGTTTTGATTAAGTTCAATCTATGATTTTTTTCTTCTATTGCTTGTGTTATTTGTGTCATATTTAAGAATCCATTGTCAAACCCAAGGTAATATAAATTTAACCCTATTTTTAAATCAGTTTTATAATGCTCACTCTTGTTTTTAGCATTTACATGCATTTTGTGGTTTTTTTTTTTTTTTTTGGACATGGTATGAAGTAAGTTTCCAATTTCTTTTTTTTAAATATGGCTATTCAGTTATAGCACCATTTGTTGACAAGACTGCACTTTTTCCATTCAGTGTTAGCATTCTTATCAAAAATCAGTTGGCCACAGGCACATCTTTATTTCTTTATCCTCGATTCTATTCCATTGATCTGTGTGTCTATATTATTACAAAACAACATTAATTACTTTTGCTTTACAGTAAGATGTGAACTCTGTAAGTGTGAGTCTTACTACATTGCCTTTTTAAAAAAAAATTGTTCTGGCTCTTCTGGGTCTCTTAAAATTCCATATAAATTTTGTCAATTCCTGACAGGGATTGCATTGAACCTGTAGATCTATTTAGGGAGTGTGGTCATTAAAACAATATAAAGTCTTCTGATTTATGATACATGAACATAGTATATTTTCCCACTTATTTATATCTTTAATTTGTTTCTAAAGTGCTCTGTAGTTTTCAGAGTATGTAGTTTTTACGTTTATGTTAAATATATTTATAAACATTATCTTAAAAATTATTGTAAACATATTTTTTTCTTTCTCTCCCAGTCTGTTCACTACAATTTTATGGAAGTACAATTGACTGATATATTGATCTTGTATACAGCAACCTTGCTGAAGTTGTTTATTAAATGCCATATGCTTTTAATTAGGTTCCTTAGTATCTTCTATATACATGATCATGTCATCTGCTGATATAGATTGTACTACTTTAGATTTCCATTACGGATTAATTGTGTTTGTTTTCTTGCCTAATTGCTCTGGCTAGAACCTATAGTAATAGTTCACTAGAACATTGGTGAGAATAGAACTTGTTGTCTTGTTTCTGATCTTTCATCATGAAGTATGGTGTTAGCTGTGTATATTTATATAGATGGTCTTTATCAGGTTGAGGAAGTTCCCTTCTATTCCTAATTATTGAAGTTTTTTTCATGAAAGGGCATTGAGTTTTGTCCAATAATTTGTCTGTGTCTGTTGACATAAATATACTTTTTTGTTTTTTCTTTTATTGGTATATTGTATTAGATAAATTGATTGTTGGATGTTAAAACAGCCTTGAATTCTTAGGATAAATCCTACTTGGGCAGTACATATAATTTTTGATATGTTAATAAATTAGATTTGCCATTATACAATTCTGTTAAGAGTTTTTACATTCATATTCATAAGACATTTCAGTCTGTAGTTTCATTTTCTTGTGTCTTTGTCACTGTTATCCAATTAATTCTGGCCTCATACAAAGAATCAAAAAAGAATTCCTTATCTTAATTTGTGGAAGTATTTGTGAAACAATTTTATATATTTTTCTTTAAAAGTATGGTGAAATTTAGTAGTAAAGTCATCAGAGTCTGGGCTTTCCTTAATGGGAATATTTTTGATTACCGACTTAAACTCTTTTTTTGCTGTAGGTCTATTCAGGTTTTCCATTTTCCTTGAGTCAATTTCAGTAGTTTATATCTTCCTCGGAATTTGTCTACTTCATCTAAGTTATCTATTTTACTGACATATGATAATTCATAGTATTCCCTTATAATCTTTTATATTTCTGTAAGGTTAGTAATATGAATCTAGTAATTTGAATCTTCACTTATTCAAGTTTGCCAATTTTTAAAAAATCTTTTCAAATAACTAACTTTGGCTTCATTGATTTTCTCTATTCTTTTCTATCCTCAATTTAATTAACTTCAACTCTCATCTTTATTAGATCTTTCTTTGGCTTGATTTAGGTTTAGTCTTCTTTACCATTGTCTTAGAGTTGATGGTTAGGTTATTTGAAATTTTTCTTCTTTTTAACATATGCATTTGCAGCTACAAATTTCCCTCAATGTACTGCTTTAGCTTTATTTTTTATTTTATTATTATTATTATTATTTTTTTGCAGTGTGGGGATGGAGTCTCGCTCTGTCACCCAGGCTGGAGTGCAGTGGTACAATCTTGGCTCACTGCAAGCTCCACCTCCTGGGTTCATGCCATTCTCCTGCCTCAGCCTCCTGAGTAGCTGGGACTACAGGCACCCACCACCACACCCGGCTAATTTTTTGTATATTTAGTAGACATGGGGTTTCACCATGTAAGTCAGGATGGCCTCGATCTTCTGACCTCGTGATCCACCTGCTTCGGCCTCCCAAAGTGCTGGGATTACAGGTGTGAGCCACAGCACCCGGCCTGCTTTAGCTTTATTTTATAAGTTTTGTTATATTGTATCTTCAGTTTCACTCATCTCAAAGTATTTTCTGATTTTCATATTTATTTTTCCTTTTTTCCATTATTTACATGGGGTTGTATTGTTTTATTTTCACATACATGTGATTTTCCAGAATTTCTTTCTGTTACTAATGTCTAGTTTTATTCTATACATACAAAGAACATGCATTTTAATTCCCATACTTTTAAAATATTTGAGGTTTGTTTTATGGCCTCACCTGTCATCTGTCTGGAGAGTACTTTATGTGCACTTTGAGAAAGCTGCATATCCTACTTTGTTTGGTGGAGTGTTCTATAGATGTCTATAAGGTCAAGTTGATTTAAATGTTGCTCAAGTCTTCTATTTCCTTTGATCACTGTCTACTTGTTCTATTTAGTATTCAGTAAAGCCATGTGGTCCTGAGTACTGATATGTCTAACTATTACTGTTTAATTGTTTATTTCTCCCTTTGTTTCTGTAGGTGCCAAATATTTAGCTACTGTTATTAGGTGCATACATGCTTATAATTATTACATACTTGTGTATTGACCTTTTACCATCATATAATGTTCTCCATTTATGTTAATAAGTTTTATTTTAAAATCAATTTTATTAAAATCTGTTTAGTATAGCCACTATAGCTTTCTGCTGTTTGCTATTTATATGATGTATCTTTCCCATCCTTTTATATTTGTATATTATGTGATAAAAGTAAATAACATAAATTTACCTTCTCAACAATTTTTATGTGTACTTTACAGAATTGTGAACTACATGCACTGATATGGTTTGGCTCTGTGTCCCCACCCAAATCTCATCTCAAATTGTAATCTCCATGTGTCGAAGGAGGGTCATAATGGGGATATAATTAAATCACATGGGCAGATTTCCCTCTTGCTGTTCTCCTAATGAGTGAGTTCTCAAAAGATCTGATGGTTTAAAAGTGTGGCACTTCCCCCTATATTCTCTCTCTCTCCTGCCACCATGTAAGGCATGCCTTGTTTCCCTTTGCTTTCTGCCATGATTGCAAGTTTCCTGAGGCTTCCCCAGCCATGCAGAACTGTAAGTCAGTTAAACCTGTTTTCTTTTATAAATTACCTAGTCTCAGGTATGTCTTTACAGCAGTGTGAGAATGGACTAATGCAGAAAATTAGTACCAGGAGTGGGGTACTGCTACAAAGATAAAGAAATTGTGAATGTGACACTGGAACTGGGAACTGGGTGTCGGGCAGAGGTTGGAACAGTTTGGAGGGCTCAGAAGAAGACAGGAAGATGTTGGAAAGTTGGCAATTTACTAGAAACTTGTTTTATTTTTTATTTGTTTATTTATTTATTTATTTTGAGATGGAGTCTCACTTGGTCACCCAGGCTGGAGTGCAATGGCATGATCTTGACCCACTGCAATGTCTGCTTCTTACACCTCCTGGGTTCAAGTGATTCTTCCACCTCAGCCTCTTCAGTAGCTGGGGTTACAGGCACCTGTCATCAGACCCAGCTAATTTTTGTATTTTTGTAGAGATGGGGTTTCATCATGTTGGCCAGGCTGGTTTTGAACTTCTGACCTCAGATGACCCACCTGCCTTTGTCTCCCAAAGTGCTGGGATTACAGGCATGAGCCACCACATCCAGCCTGTCAAATGGTTTTGACTAAAATGCTGATAGTGATATGGACAATGAAGACCGGATAGAGATAAGAAACATATTGGAACAGGAGTAAATGTGATTCTTCCTACGCTTTAACAGAGAAACTGGTGGCATTGCCCCTGTTCTAGAGATATATGGAACTTTGAACTTTAGAGAGACGATTTAGGGTACCTGGTGGAAGCAATTTCTTAGCATCAAAGCTTTGAAGGTGTGACCTGGCTTTTTCTAAAAGTGTAAACATATATGCATGAAGAATGATATAGACTGAAATTGGAACTTATGTTAAAAGGGAAGCAGAACATAAAAGTTTGGAAAATTTGCAGCCTTACCATGTGGTAGAAAAGAAAAACCCATTTTCTGAGGAGAAATTCAAGCCAGCTGCAGAAGTTTGCATAAGTAACAAGGTGCTGAATATTAATAGCTGAGCCAATAGGGAAAACATCTCCAGGGCATGTCAGAGATCTTCATGGCAGCCCTTCTCATCACAGGCCTGGAAGCCTAGACAAGAAAAACAGTTTTTTGGGCCAGACCCAGGGCCCTGCTTCTCTGTGCAGCCTCAGGACTTGTTGCCTGTGTCCCAGTCACTCCAGCTCCAGCCATGGCTAAAAAGAGCCAAGGTACACCTTGGGCTGTGGCTTCAGAAGGTACAAGCCCCAATCCTTGGTGGCTTTCATGTGGTGTTGGGCCTGCAAGTGTGCAGAAGGCAAGAATTAAGGTTTGGTAACCTCTGTCTATATTTCACAGGATGAATGAAAATGGCTGGATGTCCATATAGAAGTCTGTTCCAAGGGTGGAGCCCTCATAGATAACCTCTACTAAGGCACCACAGAGGGGAAATGTGAAAAATTATTATAGTTATTGTTTTTGATTAGTTCATTGTTTAGTCTTTCTATTTAGGTTAAGAGTAGTTTATACACCACAGTGCTATAACATTCTATGTTTTCCTATGTACTATTACCAGTGAGTTTTCTACCTTCAGATGATTACTTATTGCTCGGTAATGTATTTTTCTTTCTGATTGAAGTATTCTCTTTAGCATTTCCTGTAGGACAAGTCTGGTATTGATAAAATCTCTTAAATATTGTTTGTCTGGGAAAGTCTGTATTTCTTCTTCATGTTTGAAGTATATTTTTGACAGATATACCATTCTAGGGTAAAAGTGTTTTTCCTTCAACACTTTAAATATGTCATCCCACTCTCCCCTGGCTTGTAAGATTTCCACTGAAAAGTCTGCGGCCAGATATATCAGAGCACCATTGTATGTTATTTGTTTCTTTTATCTTGTTGCTTTTAGGATCCTTTCTTTATCCTTGACATTTGAAAGTTTGATTATTAAATGCTATGAGGTACTATTTGGGTTAAATCTGCTTGGTGTTCTATAAATTTCTCACATTTGGATACTGATCTTTCTCAAGGTTTGTGAAGTTTTCTGTTATTATCTTTTTTAGTAAATTTTCTACCTTTATCTCTTTCTCTACCGACTCTTTAAGGCCAATAGATTTGCCCTTTTGAAGCTGTTTTCTAGATCCTGTAAGTGTGCTTCATTGTTTTTTTTCTTTTGTCTCCTCTGACTGTGTATTTTCAAATAACCTTTCTTCGTGTTCACTAATTCTTTCTTCTGCTTGATCCATTCTGCTATTAAAAGACTGATGCATTCTTCAGTATGCTAAGTGCGTTTTTCAGCTCCACAATTTCTGTTTGATTCTTATTATTAATTATTTAACTCTGTTTGTTAAATTTACCTGATAGAATTCTAAATTTCTTCTCTGTGTTATCTTGGATTTCTTTGAGTATCTTCAACACAGCTATTTTCAATTATCTGTCTGAAAGATCACATATCTCTGCTCTCCAGGATTGGTCCCTCATGCCTTATTTAATTCATTTGGTGAGGTCATTATTTCCTGCATGGTGTTGATGCCAGTAAATGTTCTTTAGTGTCTAAGCACTGAAAAGTTATGTATTTATTGTAGCCTTTACTATCTGTGCTTATTTGTAGCTATCCTTCTTGAGAAGGCTTTCCAGATATTTGAAGTGACTTGAATGTTGTGATCTAAGCTGTTTGTGCTTTAGGGGGCACCTCAAGCCCAGTAATACTGTAGTTCTTGCAGACACATGGAGGTACCACCTTGATGGTCTTGGACAAGATACAGGAGAATTCTCTGGATTATCATGCAGAGACTTGTTATCTTCCCTTTGATTCTCCCAAACATACAGAGTCTCTCTCTGTTCTAAGCAACTCAAACTGGGGTTCAAGTGACACAAGCACTCCTGGGTCCACCACCACTATGACTACACTGGGTCAGAACTGAAGCCAGCACAGCACTGGGTCTCACCCAAGGTCTGCTGTAACCACTCCCTGGTTGCTTCCTGTGTTTCCTCAATTCCCTCAGGCTCCACAATCACCAGGTGGCAAAGGCAGTCAGGCCTGTGTTCTTCCCTTCAGGATGGTGGGGTTCTGAATCAGTCCCGAAGTGCCATCTGGAATCAGAGACTAGAGTCTTCCTTATAAGTTTACGTGGTATTCTATTGTATTATGGCTCAGCTGGCACTCTAACCACAATATGCAATCCTTCCCATTCTTCTCTCCCCATTCCAAAGGCAGAGGAGCCTCACCTTATAGCCACTGCCACCACTGGATACAAAGAATACTGCCAGACTACCACTGATGTTCCCTTAATGCCCAAGGTCTCTTAAGTCAGTTTGTGATGAATACTGCCTGTCCTGGTACTCACACTTCAGGGCAATGGGCCCCCCTCTGGCCCACAGCAGGTTCAGAAATTCCATTCGAGAGTCAAGCCCTGGCATCAGGGACCTCAAGAGCCCACTTGGTGCTCTACCCTACTGTGGCCATGTTGGGACCCAAAGCCAGCAAGTCTCAGAGGGTCACCAAGGCCCTGTATATAGTAGCTGGGTATCACTGCTAGTTACTCAGGGCCCAAGGACTCTTCATTTAGCGGGTGATGAATACTGGAAGAACCGAAGCTTCTCCTTCAAGGCAGTAGCTTTCCTTCTGATCCAGGGTGTATCTAGAAATGTTGTCTGGGATCTAGGGCCTGCACATGGCCTCATGATTCTGACCAGTGCCCTATCCTGCTGTGGCTGAGCTGGTATCCAAGATGCAGACAAAGTCCTCCCACTCTTTCCTCTCCTCTCCTCAAGCAGAAGGAAGGGGTCTCTTTTAGAGCTGGAAGCTGTGCAGTCTAGAGTTAGGGGAGGAGTGATGCCAACACTCCACTGGGTGCCCCAGTATGTCCTTAGTTTGTCATGTACACATCCAGTCCACTATCTCTGTGTCTAGTTCAGCCCTAGGACTCATCTATGAGTTGCAGTTCTTATGGCCTAGACCATCTTTCAACTTTGCTTAGAGACCAAGTGCACTTTGACTCTTGGTGGCAAGGTTTGCAGGCACTCAAGTTTAGACTGCTGGGATCAGTGATTCCCCTCTAGCTAGGGCTGGCTTAAATGCTCCCTCTGTGGGTGGGCATCATCTGAGTTTGTTCCAGTTTTCCTTTTGACTCTAACAGGACAGCATTGAATTCAGTGCTTTACAATGGCTGTGTTCTCTCTCTCCTGGCACACAGAGTTGCTCTTTGCACCATGTAGCCACTGCTGGGGGTTGGGAAGGAGTAGCATCAGTGATTCGAGACTGTTTTTTTTTTTTTTAATCTTTTCAGTGCCTCTTTCAGAAATATGAAGTTAAAACCAGGTACTGTGAATGTTCACCTGATTTTTGGTTCTTATGAGTATTTTTTTTTCCTGTGTAGATAGTTGTTAACTTGGTACACTTATTGGGGGGTTTGGGTACAATTGGTGGAGCTTTCTGTTCCACCATCTTGCTCTGCCTCTCATTACAGGAAGTTTCTATTGCCTGCTTTTTTGTGAAAGTGTACGGGTCATGTTTTCTTGTTTCTTCTTATGTTTAGCATTTTTATTGTTGTTGTTGGAAACTGAAAATTTTAGATAATACACCGTAGCAATTCTAGGCCCAAGTTTTCTCCTCTGGGTCTTGTTACTACTATTTGCTTGTTTACTTGTTTAGTGACTGGCAAGATTATTTCAGAGTAGTCTAAGTCTGCCTTTCAGAATAAAGTCTATGATGTCGTTCCTTAGGTACACAGCTTTGGATATGCTCATATTTACCCTGGGATGCCAGTGGATTTGGAAGGAGTTTTTTTTTTTTCTCTCTCTCTCTCTCTTTTCCTGACTAAAACAAGCTTTTCCACTCCATTTATTCCTGGCTGATTGTTCTATTGTTTTAAAAGATGTTCAGAGGCATAAATTACCTCGTCAACTTATCAAATCAAATTTGGGATCCTTTGTAGGGACAGTTCCTTGAGGTCACTTTTGATAACTCTTTTGACCCCAGGGGGGCTCTTTCTGGCTATGTCTACCCAATTTCTATTTGGGTAACTACATTTTAGCCTGTACGCCCAATGAATCTATCAATCTCCTACTGTTTTAGTCAGGGTTCTCTGGAGGGATAGAAATAATAGGACATATGTGTATAAGAAAAGGAGTTTATATTAAGGAGAATTGATTAACGTGATAACAAGGTGAAGTCCCATGTGAGGTGAAGTCCCACAACAGGCTGTCTCTAATCTGAAGAGCAAGGAAGCCAGTAGTGGCTCAGTCCAAGTCCCAAAGCCAAAAAAGTAGGGAAGCCAAAAGCATAGCCTTCAGGCTATGGTTGAAGCCCTGAGATCCCCTGGAAAACCACTGGTGTAAGTCCAAGTCCAAAGGAGGAAGAACCTAAAGTCTGATGTTCAAGGACAGAAAGCATTCAACATGGGAGAAAGATGAAAACCAGAAGATTCAGCAACCCAGCATAGTCCACCTTCTCCTGCCTGCTTTTTCTAACCATGCCAGCAGCCAACTGGATGGTGCTCACACACATTGAGGGTGGGTCTTCCTTTACCAGTCCACTGACTCAAATGTTAATCTCCTCTAGTAACATCCTCACAGACACACTCAGAAACAAAACTTTGCATCCTTCAGTCCAATTCTGAATCAGTCACCTGATTCAGCACCTTTATATTAACCATCACACCTATCAAATGCCTTTTACAACAACTTGAACTTTTTCACATTTTGTTGTAAATGAAGTTAGGTCATTTGTGGAGGTATTGGGAACTCTATTTTATGTCCTGTTTCTCTTCCCAGCCCTGGTGCTCATGGCAAGGCCACTAGGCTGATGATGCACTCTTCTGAGTGACACCCCCAATTTAGGAGCTGAGAGATTGGTATCTGGCACATATCTGATAGCCCTTGGCATGTGGTACACATCTGATAGACCTCTCTTCTGGTAGCCTCTCTGGGCTACCCCCATGGGCCTGGCTAAGGGTAATGAGAGCCCTGATATTCTCAGTCATGCTCTGCTCAAAACAGAATATTAATCTCATAATTGGGAATTAGCCAAATGAAGAGAATCCCCACTTCTTGGCTGAACTTGCCCAGAAGTTTGGCTCAGTAACTAATAGCTGGACACAGAGCTAATCCTGCCTCTCCAAGGAAAATGGCATTTTGAGTGCCAGCTGGTGGAGAGGGAGCCCTGTGTTCATGCCTGTACCACTCTAGGATGGTGTTTCTTTCTTACTGAAATGCAGAAGACGGAAAAATAAGTGTTTTATTTCAACTACCAAAAACTTCATATTTCTCACAGTTTTACTATATTTTCTTAGATAAATATTTATTTTTAATATAACCTTAGGGACATTTCCTGGAATTTTAAATGCTTGGTTTTTAACTTTGTGGTTTTTGTTCTTATTGTTTTCAATAATTTAATAATTTTGTTGCTTTAATAATAGTTCCACAGTGAAGTTCATCAGTAGAGCTCCTCATGCTATCATGCTGGAAGTGGAACTCAGAGATCTCTTGATCCACCTTCCTTTTGGCAATCTTGGAGGATATTGCTCTGCAAGGGGTCTAAGTGGAGCAGCCCAAGATACTTCAAAGAATAGAACTGTGTCATCAGTCAGAGAGTTGGGGAATTAACCTAAGTTTCTTGAACCTCCCTCAATTCCTAGTGTCTACTATGTAGGATTTGCTGTGTCCTACATAGTGGACACTGGGTTGAAAGACTGTGGCTTGAGGGGGCTTTTTGGGGAAGTAAGCAAAGCAATGACAAAACAAACAAACAAACAAAACTTGAAACGATGTTCCATGACCAAATCTAAAGGAAGACATTAATGACATAGCAACACCTATAGTACCAGTGTAAGAAGATCTTGAAGGAAAACAGGAAGGGAGTGGTTCTGAGTCTAGAAAACATAATAGACAAAACAAGAAAGAAATTATATGATATTATGGAGGTTTCAGATACTAGCATAATATGCCAAAGGAATTCCAAGAGGAGATTGAGTTATATCTTAGCATCCGCTATCCAGCATATATCCAAGGAACTGTTCAGGGCCAGGTACACCATTCCACAATATGCCATTTAATATAATTTATCACAGTTAATTAGTTTAAAAGGTTTATTTCAGACTATGCTCCGATCAGGGTGTAAGGAAATGTAGAATTTACAAATGATGAAATTATGATTCAAGACTGACCAATTTTGCTAGATTTTCAATTAGAGATTGATTATAAATGCTTCTCTGAGAATAAATATAATCTTCTGAGATTTTCCCATCTGCAAAAGCCAGCTCTCCTAAGCCAATTCTATCTTTAGTCTACCTTGTACAAATCTCACAAGGCATAGCCTAGGACCTATTGCCTTGCCAGGAATGTGTATACAAGTTTGATAAAATCTCTAAGAAAAAAAAACCCTGAACTCATAGAAAATAAGTAGTTCTCTTATTCCATTGCACGTTACATATTTTCTTTTTCATTTATTTATTTATTTATTTATTTATTTTTTGAGACAGAGTCTCATTATTGTCTCCCAGGCTGGAGTGCAGTGGCGTGATCTCATAGTCTCATGGTGTTGACTTCTAATTTTATTCTACGGTAGTCCGTGAATCATAGAGAGACTGGACTGGGAACTTCCCAGGGTACTTGTCCACAGGTCCTCAGGGATGGTAATAGGGTGGGGCAGGCTGATCCTCAGGTCACTCAGGTGAGGACAAGCAGAATACTTAGGCGGTTACAGAATGCTCAGGTAGCAGCAGCCACAGGGCAGATCCAAGGCCTCTCTGGGCTGAGCTTTCAGGAGGGCTCAGGGCCACAACTGAAACAATCAGATGGGATGGGGTGGCTGTGCTGCAGGTTTGTCACTGGCGAAGACAGGCCCCCATCAGCAGCAGTGGAGGCAGGCAGTTGAAAAATATGTTGCCTGCTTGCACCTCGCTACAATAGGAGCAGTGGTGGTATCCTTCACTGGGCCATATGAAGGTACCTGCTCTTCCTGCTCCCTCCCTGACCCTATGGTGTGGTTGGCAGTGTGGAGGAGGTGTAGTGACGAAAGTGGAAGCCTCAGGGTAGAACACAGGCTTCAGTGGGCTGGGCTACAATCAAAATGTTAAGGTGGGGCAGGGTGGCTATTCTATGGGTCTCTGGCCAGGGAAGGTAACACCCCTCAATGGAAGCAGAGGAAGCTGACAGCTGTTGGGCCCATGGCCTCCTGCAAAAGCAGAACCCACCACTGGTGCACACAAAGATGAACAGTCTCCCCTTTCCCTCTCTAGCCAGGCCATGGCAACTGCAGCAGCCAGGAATAGATACTACTTTGAGGGTGAAGAGTGAAGACCTCGAAAGAGCTCTTTGTTTTAAATCCCTGGCCATAATATATATTTATATATTGGCATTCATTTGGATGGGTTCTCAAATGACCCAATTAGGTAGAATGCCCAGGGCCTCCTATGAGAGACAGCCTTCCCCTATCTTCAAAAGCCCAGTAGGTGACCAAGTAGTTAAGGATCAAAACAGTGTTCAGAAAGATAGAGCCATAATTATGCATGACCACTTAAGTCTCTTTAGGATATTGTAGGAGGCACTTAACCACTCAAAGATTTTTAGCCCCTAGACAAAAAAGTCTACATGAGGGTGACAGACCAAACCCCTAAATGGTAATAAACTGGTTGTCTTCATAGTCTTTTCCTTAGTTCAGGGTTTTGGGCTCTGATACCCAAACTAAACGTTCTTTAGCCAGAAATATGCATTTAACAGAAAGATGTAAGGGAATAGCCTGGTAGGCAAGAGGAGTACTTTCAGTAGGGCAAAAGGTCAGAGATACATGACACATCTTTTCTGTGTCAGATATTATGTGACATAAGGAAATGCACATTAGAATCTACTGGACTATAAAATTTTAAAATGTCTTCCAATAACATTTGCCACTTTTAGTGAAAAGTAGACGAGAGTTTCTACATAATATGTACAGAGAGATCATAAAGTTTTGAAACATACATAGTATTATGTTACCAGCTATTGTAATGTAATATAAACCAATATGCTATTCATTATTCATTTGTTTATGTTTCCACACTTGATTGCCTGTCTGTATATGTAAGACTTGAACTAGATATGTCAAATCTGACTATTACCAATTTCCTTAATTATCTATGAGAATCAAATATAGGATCTTATCTTGAAGAAGTCTAATCTCCCCTGAAATAGCTTTTGGCAAATTCTGCTTGTTAGGGTCACCATATATTGGTTAAACTGACCCAAAGAAATAATCTTGTTATGGAAGTTTAAATATTTGAATAAATAAAAAATAGGATGCATGAACTCAGGTTATTGAACTGAACGATCTATAGTATCCTTATGATTTTTTACAATCATATAAGTTTGAGAGAACTAAACTCTAAAAAACTCTAAAATGTCCAGGGTTGATGAGAATAGCTCTCATGCCAACCCATGTCCCAGTATATTCTTGCAATAAAATTTAGTCAACTAAGATAACCCATATGCTTTTTTTTTCTTAAATGACTCAAAGTTATGAGGCAAAGGGGTTGGATTAGTTTGTTTCACACTGCTGATAAAGACATACCCAAGACTGAGTGCTTTATAAAGAAAAGAGGTTTAATTGACTCACAGTTCCACATGGCTGGAGAGGCCTCACAATCATGGCAGAAGGCAAGGAGGAGCAAGTCACATCTTACATGGCAGCAGGGAAGAGAGAGCTTGTGCAAGGCAACTCTTCCTTATAAAACAATCAGATCTCATGAGCTGTATTCACTATCACCAGAACAGGATAGAACAGACCTGTCTCACAATTAAGTTACTTCCCACTGGATCCCTTCCATGTCATGTGGGAATTGTGGGAGCTATAATTCAAGATGAGATTTTGGGTGGGGACACAGTCAAACCATATGAGGGGATGTCCCTTAGTTTCTCAGGCGATGCATGATCTGCTTATATAGGACCAGAGTTTTAAACTATTTATTATGCCTTTCAAAGATAAATGTTATTTGTAGTATCTGTCTTATTTCATCATCTTCTCCACTCTTCATGGATGGCAAATGAGACTTAGAACATCACTGCAGATTGCTCTAGCAGGCCAAACTTAAATAATCAGATTCTACCTGATATTTCAAAGCTCTTTTCAATTCTTCCCGACAGGAGACAGTTGGATGAAATTAGCTCAATCTTAGATGTCTAGCCCATGTCATGATTCCATATCATCTAATTACTGATTCATAGAGAGAGCACAGAAAAGCTCAACCCAGCCCTATTCATAATGCCTCAGCTCAGGATATTTACTTTATATGAAGTAGCTTATTCATGACCTTATATTAGGAAGAGTATCTCTTATTCATAAGTCTTCCTGAATCAGAACCTTTTACAGTTTCAGGCTCTTGGATGTACATACACACAGATGTCTCTGGGGCATTAGGCCATGGTCACCCCAAACTTTTCTATCTGAAGTCAAAGTTTACTTTTTAAAAGCACTGCATTAAAACAAAAAGACATTAAGAAGTGCTGTACTTCATGGGAACTGCTCTCCAGTTTTGCTGGAATAAATATTCTTCACAAGAGAATTAGAGGAAGACAAGGCTGGATAATGTCATTTGGGGTATTACTGTAGAGGGACATAAATGCCAGGTTTAGAAGTTTTTAATACTGAAATTTAAAATTTGTGTGTTTCTTCTTGAGGACACAGAGCTCCTGTTCCTAATCTCTCCTTCGTCATCACACTCTCTGTGTTCAGAGTCTGCACATGGTCCACAGCAAGATAGGGTTGGGAGGCAATGCCAAAAGACATTTTCTGAATAAACATCAATAAGCAGGATATGAACAAGTACCTTTCACAAGAGTGTACATTTGATAACTCTCTCTTGCTAAAATCTTCAAGTAATAAAGTATGACTATTTGAAAGCTTCTTTAAGCATCAGTTATACAGAAAGAAGGTTAAATTGTAGCCCAGAAGCTATGTCAGAGGAGACAAGATGAATGTACAATGGCCTCAAGATTAATGTGCTTTCAAAAGCAGCTTACACGCCAAGAGACTATTAGCTCACACTACAATTTCCATTAAAATAACAATAATAACAATGATGAGCTGTAATGTCATATCTTAAAAAATTATAGGATATTTAGATAAAAGGGTATGGGGTACAATTTTAGCTAAAATCTCCTCGTATTTTGTTGTTTGGAGTTAATTGTGAAGGAGCAAACTCTTTACGGAAAGGATATCTGTCTTATATTTTATTATCTTATTAACAATCTTAAAAATCTTTCTCAGTCATTAAAATTATTCACTTGACAAATTGGAGAAAGTTCTAGCTACTGTAAAATTATGCTCACTTCACATAACAGATATTTTCTGTGTGCATATTAAAATTTTAGGGGACTGCACTTTACTTATTTTTAATTTTAAAAGAAATTATGTTATAATAATGGCTTAGGTAAAAAGAAAACACATATTCTTACTTTGATTACATCACTATAAATCCCTAGTGTTGAACCAGTCATTTTAGAGACCCTGTGTGTCATTTTCTGTTTTGAAAATGGGAAAATAAATTGAATTAAGTACTAATGTATATGGCTTTACAAAATAGTGCACATTGAGAGACATAACATATAGAAAGGTGATCTCTGTCTTTTGATTGCTCTTCCTACAGCTTTCTAGAACTGTACACAAGGAATAAAACTCACCCCAAAAGATTTGATGTGATACTGCATAATATGATTCTGATAAACTAAAAATAAATCATTTTAAATTTAAACGCATTCAGTTTTGTAGTGTGATCCTCACAACAAGTCAAATCCGGCAAACAAAAAGCAATAACAATATTTATAAATGACGTAATTGTATCAGCAGCAAAACAACTAAAAAGGCACGGAGCTGGGAATAGAGTCCCAGAGCCTTTTGCACACCTCGTCATCTCCCCCATTATTTTGTGTGCACTGGAATATCAGGTATGTTTGCCAGCCTGCTATTTGCTTCTGTGAATACAGTTTCACTTGGACACAGGCATATCAATTTGCTTATTGGCTATGGTTGCTTTTTCACTACAGAAGAATCGAGTAATTGTGACAGAGACCTTATGGCCTGCAAAATCTAAAATATTTACTCTTATTTCTTGGTCCTTTATGGAAAAGATTATTAACCCCTGTTTTATTCATCTGTAGCGCAGGGAACTTGACTTTTTTTTTTACTCATGTGTGCCCACACCTTGCCTAGGATTAGCTGGTTTTCAGTACATGCTTACTGAAAGAAGGATAAAAGGAAGAAAGGAAAGAAAAAGGGAAGTAGAAAGGAGAGTAACAACTGAGAATATGTCTAAATTGAACAAAACTAATCTCTTCAACATGGGCTTTCTTAGCAAAGTAGTAACTCATTATGGCTTTACTGCTAGGAACCAAGTAGGGAAATGAATGAATGAATGATCTGCCATTCTTTCGTCACTACTCAGATTTATTTTATTTTATTTATTTTTTTACTTCAAGGTTATGTGAAAAGTGGCCTTAGTTAGAACACTTTTGGAGAAGAATACTAACTTCCAGAATGCACTGCTATCTTCTAAGTAAAAAGCTCCACAGCCTGGCTTCTACATTGGAGAGCGTTACATGAATACATCTTCTCAGTTCTCATGAACAACTTTAATTATTAAACTGCATTCACTTCATTTCTGTGGACTTTTCTGCAGATGAGCTAAGTTTTATTCATGGTAAAACCTAGTCACACAAAAGCAGCACTTTACAAACACCCAGACATGTTCAATTTAGATTTCAAGATATCAGTGAATAACTGCACAAAAGATTTTTCAGGATTTTTTAAAGCTACCTGTATTTAAGTCTAAACTTCCTTCTCTGATTACTTTTCAGCCTAAAATACAAGATGTTATCTTTCACAATATGCTGTGTACTCAGAAACTGCAGCAATTATTTTGATCACTTCAATGTTGGCATATTAACATCTAAATTCAAAGCTGAAACAATGAATGCATTAAGAAGGCAATTTGACACCTTCCAAGTTCTTCCTGCCTTCAGCTGCACATCTTAGAAAATCAGCAGCATTTGTGCAAACATATGTTTCATTTGTCAAGCTTCAGTTCATGGGGTCTTGCTTTGACCTTTGATTAACATTATGGGCCTTGGTCTCCGAAACCAGCCTTGAAAGGATAATGTGGGCCAGGGGTCAGGGGCCAGTCAGAACAGCTTCAGTTACCTAACACTGTATTTTTTTTAATAAAAGAGAAGAAAAGTCCAATTTCAACAGATAAAGTTGATGATCAACTATATTGGAAGATGGGGTATGTATTGTAGTACTCCAAGTTCTGCCTCATATCTTAGACTAGACAGTGTGAGCAGCTTACGCAACTAGGTCAAGATAATCAGTTAAGAACCATTAGGTTTTAACAGATTGGGAAATGATACCAACTTGTATTTCTATGAACTTTGCCTAATACCATGTGTCACTCTGTGCCACTCCTTTTACACAGCAGGCATGTGCATCATCCTGGTTCAAGGGGTCTTTATTCCTTCCAGGATGAAAACCAAACTAGGTAACAAAGCGTTCAAGTCCGCTCACGAGTAAGCCCTCGCCTACCTGCTGATACTTGGTACATCTTTTTACGCATTTCAGCTAAACTGTTAGCTGTCTTTTACACGTGTGCCATTCATTTCAGCATCTGTTCCTTTAAACAATGTAATCTCCTTTTTAAAAATGAGAAGATTGGATTTCTTATTCTCTCTGCCTCTGAAATCCATTGTTCTCAACACCCAAAATCTCATGAGTAAGAGGAAGTAAGGAAGCAGACATCTGTTATAAACACATACAGCCTTATTTTTCATAATCTCCAAATTCTCCATTCCATAAAGGCCAGCTTTAGCACCTCAAATCAACTGGAAACTTGTCTATCAAACATTGTTTTACTCTGTTATACTTTCCAACATATACCATATCCCCTCTGTATTTATTAAATCCACTCTTTTCTTCAAGATCCAGCTATCAGCAAATGCTGAAGAACCCTCTTGTCTACAGGAAACTTTACTGTAGTTTTACCTAATGCAGAAACTATTTTGTTTGTATTTGCATCCTATCCCTTCAAAATGTGTCCACCCCCCAGTGATACTGTATCCGGAGCTGGTGGGTTCTTGGTCTCACTAACTTCAAGAATGAAGCCGCCGACCCTCGCAATGAGTGCTACAGTTCTTAAAGATGGTGTGTCCGGAGTTTGTTCCTTCTGATGTTCAGACGTGTCCTGAGTTTCTTCCTTCTGGTGGGTTTATGGTCTGGCTGATTTCAGGAGTGAAGCTGCAGACCTTCGCAGCAAGTGTTACAGCTCTTAAAGGCAGCAAGTCTGGAGTTGTTCGTCCCTCCTGGAGGGATCGTGGTCTCCCTGTTCCGGTGAGTGTTACAGCTCATAAAGGCATTGCAACCCAAAGAATAAGCAGCAACAAGATTTAAAGCAAACAGCAAAAGAACAAAACTTCCACAGCATAGAAGGGGACCCACGTTGCCACAGCTGGCTCCCCAGCCTCCTTTTATTCCCTTATCTGGCCCCACCCACATCCTGCTGATTGATCCATTTTAAAGAGAGCTGAGTGGTCCATTTTACAGAGAGCTGATTGGTCCGTTTTGACAGGGTGCTGATTGGTGTGTTTACAATCCTCTAGCTAGACATAAAAGTTCTCCAAGTCCCCACCAGATTAGCTAGATACAGAGTGCTGATTGGTGCATCCACAAAACCCGAGCTAGACCCAGAGTGCTGATTGGTGCATATACAATCCTCGAGCTAGACATAAAAGTTGTCTAAGACCCCACCCCACTCAGGAGCCCAGTGATCCCCAGCCTAGTGGATCCCCCACCAGGGCCGCAGGTGAAGCTGCCCACCAGTCCCACAAGGAGCGAACCTGCAGTCCTCAGTCTTGGGACCGGGCACAGTGCAGCAGGGGGTGGCACCCGTGGGGGGGGGGGTCTCGGGCTGCGCAGGAGCCCACGGGGGAGGGCGGGCGTGGGTGCGGGTGCACTGGGGCATGGCTGGCTGCAGGTCCCCCGAGCCCTGCCCGGCGGGGAGACGGCTGAAGCCCAGTGAGATTTCAAGCGCCGTGCAGGCAGGCCGGCAGTGCTGGCAGACCTGGCACTCTGTCCACAGCTGCTGGCCCGGGTGCTAAGCTCCTCAGTGCCCAGGGCCAGTGGCACCGACCGGGTGCTCTGAGTGGGGGGCCTTCTGAGCGTGCGCCCACCCAGAACTCGCGGTGGCCCAGGAGCGCCCAGCGCCGCCCCAGTTCCCGTCCACGGCTCTCCTTCCACACCTCCTGGCAAGCAGAGGGAGCCAGCTCCGGCCTTGGCCTTCCCAGAGAGGGGCTCCCACAGTGCAGCTGTGGGCTAAAGGGCTCTTCAAGCGCAGCCAGAGTGGGCGCTGAGGCCGAGGAGGCACTGAGAGTGAGTGAGGGCTGCCAGCATGCTGTCACCTCTCAATATCAGTGCTTTACACTCAGTAGTTCTACAGTAAGTTTTAAGGTGTCTTTAACTTTGTCTTGCTTGAAATGTTCACCCAGCTTTTGCTCAAGCTTTAATAGCTGGGAAATTCTCAAGACATCTTTAATTAATCCTTTCTACTAATTCATTTTTTACTGGTATTTTTTGTAACTTTCACACTCTTCTGTTAGGCGTAATCTCTCCTAATATCCCAATACATTTTAATGCATTTATATTATTTTATTTGCATATATATGTATATTTATATGTGTGTATATATGTATATACACATACGTGTGTATATACGTTATATACACACGCGTGTGTATATGTGCATGTGTGTATGCACACATATATATTTCCATACTTGCATTCTTTGGTAACATTTTATCTCTTTAAGGAAAAATCTTTGTTTATTCATTTCTGTATCCCCAGTCAGCTGTGTTGGTACAGGTCTTAGCACTGATAAGCATTAAATCTAAAGTTATTGATTAGATGAGTTTTTAATTTTGTTCATAAAGCCATAGCATAATCTAGTGTTGCACTGCATCTTGGAAAAAGATAATAAAAATTTTCTAGGTGAGGCAATATGGAGTCTTTTTACCAAAATTATTTAACTCATTCTTAAGTCCATTTGCTTACCACAGCTACCTGTTTGTAACAACTTAATAACAACAGTAAACAAATGTATAATACACTGCTAATCATTGCCTGAGTACTTTTTGGCCCTTTCACAGGCTAAGAGGTGATGCTAACAAAAATATGTTTAGAGTCTAATAGTTATAAACAATGATATCTCTGAGATATTGTTGTAAATAATCCTGAAATTATTCAGGATTAACATAGGTAAATATACACAGACACATCTCTTGCCAAAAAAAAAAAAAAAATTAAGGGAGAAAGAAGTGTAGGAAAATCAGAAGAGGAGAGAAAGACAATGTAAGAAGGGATGAAAGAAGGAAAGCCTCCCCCCGAAGTTACATCTCTTCAGTTATTTGAACATCAATATATAAAGTGATATGTTATTGCTAAAATTAGAAATATTAATAAAAATTTATTGAGTCCTTGCTATGTTCAAGGTAGTAAATTTGATGAATTAGACAAATTAGTCTTTGCTATGTTCACGGAATTGTTGATTTTTGTTTTCCAAAAATAGAAGCCTTAAGTAAATGTAATTAGTTTGTATGGTTTGTATTGTTCTTAAAGTTCTAGAGCACATCCTAGAATTGTCTCTCATATTGTCAATGTATTTGTATTTTTTCAAAAAGTATAGGACTTGGTAACAGTGAATTTAAAAGGTTAGTGTTTATACCTAAGCAACAAATATCTTAGTGAGAAGAATCTACATCATAAACATTACTTATATTGCCAAAGAAGACCACGAGTTGCAGTAGCTATAAGAAGAATGAAGCTGCACCTATGACATTATCTATGATAGACATGACAGTCCAACTTTGCTGCACCTTTGACATTATCTATGATAGACGTGACAGTCCAACTTTGCCTCACCTGGATGAAATGCCTAGACATTGAGTTCATCTTAAGAATCGCACTTTCAAAATGAAGTACTATGTAGGAAAATGCAATGCAGGCAGTCTAGAAGTGAGTAGCCAGAGAAAATGAGGGGCCTTTCCACCATGCCTTCTGAGGAACATTTGGCATCTCAGAGTTCCTTTACACTGAAGAGAGAAATATCTTGTGTTTCATGAAAACATTAGTTTTTTTTAAAGATCCCAGGGAAGGTAGGAAAAGTAAGAATAATGGAGAAAGGCAATATATATTCTTAATTTGATTCTGATTTTAAATGAATTTTCCCACATTGAGTGAATTATCATGGGAGATATCAATTGTTACCCTATAACAGGGAATAGTTTAGAGCAGAATTAGAATAGAGGACTCTTTCTTTTCTTAATTTTACTTTAAGTTCTGGGATACATGTGCTTTCAGTTCTTTAACTTTAATTTTACTTTAAGTTCTGGGTCTCTCTGTGTTGCCCAGTGCAGGTTTGTTACAGAGGTATACATGTGCCATTGTCATTTGCTGCACCTATCAACCCGTCATTGAGGTTTTAAGCCCTGCATGCATTAGGTATTGTTAATTTTTAAGCTGCAAGGGACCTCAGAAGTCATCTGATTATAATATATCAAACTTTTCTTGCCCTTAGATCTGGATTAAAGTCAAACATTGTTTTAACAAATATCTTTCTGGTGTTTGGAGATAGGAGATTTTTAAAAAATGGCGTAGAAATTCAAAGCCCTAGAAGAAAACTAGTTAGTTCCTCCATATTGCAAATTGTTATAGTCAGGAATCACTGTCCTCATATGTCTCCATTACCCAGCTCCTAGAACAAGCCCATAAAATATGGTTGCAACAAGCTGAACTCCTGGACTCATTCTATTGCTCTCCCAGGATTGTAATTATACAGGCAATATTCTCCATGAAACTGGAAAATCTCACTCCCTACTCAAAATAATTGCAAGAGATCTCTTTTAAGTTTTTTTTGTTGGTTTGTTTTTACAGAATTGACCCATTTTAGCATTAGAAATCTCTGATGCTATTGATTACCAGAGCTCTTGCATGAATCTGAATCTGTTGACATGAATTCATTTCTTCTTTCTTTTTCTCACTATCATTTTCTCTCATGACTAATCATCTTCTTCTTGGACAATGACAACAGTTCTTCAGTTGCCGTCTCCAGTTTTTTCAGGTTAACTCCATGAGACTGTACCATACCATGCTCTTATGTAAAAACCATCATTGTCTCCCCACTGCCTACAGGCAAAATCCAATCCCCTAAGCATGACACACACACACAAACATTTATCAAACCTCTCAGCTTTTGCTACCCTGGTTACCTTTACTAGGACTTGTACCTTTAACTTATGTTTCTGTGAACCATTCACACTTTATGGCATAGTATATGTCATGCTTCTGTGAAAACTACCCTATCTCTCTTCTCAAAAGTAAAATTCGTATCACCCTCCATTGCTTTTCCATGGAACTTTAAAGTGTTTTCTTTCCTTAAATTTTGAACTCTTTGGTTTGTCTTTGTGTTTCCCTGAGATTTGAACATATAAATAGGTTACATTTATTGAATTAACAACTTTTTGAAAGTTTAAGATAAACCAACATGGTCACCAAAAATAAATGCTTTAAAAAAGTCAGTCTCTCTCATTTCCTTTGCAATAATACTTATCTTGTAGTAGTTTCTATTGCTGCATGCTTACCCATAAAATTTCATTTTTAAAAAAGCTTACACTTTCTTTCCATATTCTCAGTGAGAATGAGGCATAAAACAGATTTTGTAGGCCCTTTATTATACTGAAACTGAAGCTGAACAATGCATGAAAAAATGTTAGTTGGCAACCTTGGATATTTTGTAGTTATTGTATGTTCTAATTTTCAATCCTCTACAGGTCCAAGTTATTTTCTAATAAATTTGTAAATATCACTTCTACTGTCTGTATTACCACAGTACTGAATATTTTAAGCTAGTATATAAGATAATAATAAGACATGGTAAGCCAACACAGAGTAAAATGCATATTATTAAGGCTATATAGCCTATAAAGTGCATTTCTTTTCCCAAATCTGGTTGATAGCATAGATGACCAACTGTCCACAATTTCTAACACTCTTTCTTTGTTCAGATGGGTAAACATACTTCTCTCACATTCTCAGTTATTGCCTTTTATAATCTCTGTCTTCTCCTTCTCCTCCTCCTTCTCCTCCTCCACCTCCTCTTTCCTCTTCCCCTCTCCCTCTCCCTCTCCCTCTCCCCTTCCCCCTCCCCCTTCCCTTCTCCTTCTCCTTCTTCATTTTGGATAGAGACAGGGTCTCTCTGTGTTGCCCAGGCTGGTCTCAAACTCCAGGGCTCAATTGATTCTCCTGCCTCAGCCTCCCAAAGTGCTGGAATTACAGGTGTGATCCACCGTGCCTGTAAAATTGCTGTCTTCTATCTCCCTTTGACCCTGGTGAAAAATGGACTAGCTCTCATCCTATCATTGCCCCAGAGACAACATCATCCAGTTCTCAGTCAATGATTACTAGGCATTAACTATCATTCAAACAAGCTGCATCAAATGAAATAAAATTTCTATTAAAATCACTTTAAAAACAACTTACAAAGCAACAAGAATATAATTAAAGGTAAAGTGGGGAGGAGGAGATAAACGGGCAGCTAGCAAAAAGATTGAAGTATTAACAGAGAAAAGCAGCAGAGATCATGTTGCTACCAAATAAGTAAAATCATGCATTCTGGCCTTCACTTCCTCCTTTAATACTCCTAAAGTAACTACCATACAACCATGTCATTTACTGTCCAGTAACATTTTCCAGTTGATCTCATTCTATCATGTGACCTTTTTCTCACACAGTTCTAGAGTCACTGCCCCTTTTCTCAGAAACTTTCAAAAAGATCAGTCACCTTTATTCTGTTTCCAAGGTGCTCTCAGACAGACCCAAAAGTTATCTTCCTTCTGAATGGGAGTGTTAGGAGCTGAACTGAGACCATTTAAAATTCATAGGTTGGAATCCTAACCACCAGTTTCTGCGAATGTGACTATAGTTGGAGATAGAGTCTTTAAAGAGGTAAAGTTAAATGAAGTCACTGGAGTGAAAACTAATCCCATTTGATTGGTGATCTTGTAAGAAGAGCATGTTTAGGACAGCCACATACAGAGGAAGGACAATGTGAAGACACAAGGAGAAGACCATCTGCAAGTCAAGGAAAGATGCTCTCAGGAGGAACTAACCCCTCAGACATGGACATTTTGATCTCAAACATCTAGCCATCAGAATTGAAATAAAATAATTTTTGTTGTCTAAACCACCAGGCTATGGCAGTTTGCTATCAGCCTAGCCAACTAATACAGAGATAAATAGTTTTTTTGTTGTTGATCAAAAACTTTTTAAAATGGTTATGTAATGAGCTTTTTAATTTAATCTCAATGTTTATTGATACTATTAGTATGATTTTTGCATCTCCTCTCTTATCCTTTAAAATAAATTTCAATCAATCACAAAAGTGCTGCTAATTTGCTAGGGTAATGTGAGAACAAAAGCATATCCTTCAGTCAGCAAATACTGAATACCTGCTTTGATCAGGAAAAGTACAAAGCAAAGAGATGCTGTAAGTACTTCCTGTCAGGATCAAAATCTAAAAGAGGAGGAAAAACTTAGCAATATAATATAAAATTAAAATTGTGATATGGTTTCTATTTTGCTTTTCAGAATCTGGCATATGGTTGTGAACAGAAGAGAGATCAAAGCATATACTACTGAATTACAAACAACAAACAACTTCCCCAAATTTATTATTTCACAGCAGAAATAGAGTTGTCTTTAGAAAACAGCTTAATATATTGTTGCAAAATTATTTTAAGAAGTTAAAAAGGAAGAATAAAATTAAAGAAGGAAAAAGGTGGAAGGAGAGACAGAGAAATAAGAAAGTGAAAGGGATGGGTATAAAGAATACCGTGTCACCACATTTTATGTAAGGAAATTATATAATTTGCAGAAAATTCCAAAGATTCATGATACCCCCAGGCTGCCTTCCTTTAATGACATTTTGATATGGTTCTCTGAATGGAATGAATTTCCCACCAGTTTTCATTTTTTCAAATTCTTCTTTTTCAACAGGTTCAGCTCACATGGCCTGTACTCTATGGAGCTTTCATTAATATATCAGTAAATTACTTTTCTCATTGTCATCTCCTTTTGCACAGTACTTTGGACATACCTATCCTAGAATTTACTAAACTGCATTACAATTACTGATTTGCATGCTTTTCTCTTCCATTAGGCTGTAAGCCTAAGGTTACAACTTAAAGTCTGAAATAATAATTCAGAAAATAAATGACTGGAATGACATGTAAGGAATAGGAAAGCAGCTATCTTTAGAGCTCAGGCAGGAGAAAAGAACAATTGTTTTTGAACACTTCATGATGGAAATACATTTCAGATGAATTTTGAAGTAATATGGATAGATCGAGTGGCACTTTGGGACATTCCTTCATTCAACAAATATTCATTAGGAACATATATTTGGGTTAAGCATGGGGGATTGCTTGGAAGTAAATTTATAAGAGACTAGTAAGACAGCAAAAATAATTAGAATAAAAATGGAAGGAAAACATATAAAAATGAATGTAAAGATAAGTTCTGTTTTCATCATTGTCTTCAGCATATATGTACCACCTCATTGTTTTCATGCCAAGCTTCCAAAAAGGTAAGTATTAAATCAATGCCAAACCTAACACT
This sequence comes from Homo sapiens, assembly GCF_000001405.40. NCBI lineage: Eukaryota > Metazoa > Chordata > Mammalia > Primates > Hominidae > Homo > Homo sapiens. The sequence goes on from NC_000011.10 coordinate 81,751,345, forward strand.
CAAGAAAGTTTATTGAAAGTTGTATGGCAATGAGTTTTAAACTCAAATATTGAATATCTTCAATACTATTAATTAGTATCCTTTAAGGTTATTTTCAACCCTGATATGCATGTACACATTAAAATTTCATGATATGTGCACTTCTATCCATACATGTTTCATGATTTATTAGAAGGAATGATTGTAATGAACTTGGTTGAATAAATTTGCTAGGAAAGTGTCATGCTATCATTATGTTCCTGTTTTTACATTTTGAGTATTATATTGAAGAAATACTGGATAAAAGAACAAAGTATAAAAATGTGTCTGTTTATGGAGAACCTCTCATATTCAAAGCACAAACCTATACTGACCCCCTACGGTGCCCCTGTCAAGTAGATATTATTATCTTTTAGATTTGGAAAAATTAAGACAGATGTTTGGTGTCTTTGACAAATTCATAAAGCACATCACCATTGCACCTGTCAGGATATAGTATCCTGACCTTACCTTGCCATTCATTTGATGATGTTGCAAAGATCATTCATTTTCTTTGATCTCTCTGTCTGCACAACAAATGTGTTATTCTAAAATCTAGTCATCAATGGTCACTGACCACTTCCTAAAGCTGATACCATGGTTTATTTATGCATTTAAGTATCTATCTATCTATCTGTCTATCTATGTCCCACTTTGTACTAGAAAATATTTCAGATGTCTAATTTATGTGTTACCTTATGCTTTCAATTAAAATTAAGTCACAATCCCAGAGCTCAGAAATAGGAAACATTGAGACTAATGTGAATGACAAATATAATTTGTTTAAAAAAATACAAAAAGCATCTATACATGTAACAACACAATGATATATTTGGGCGCTTCTGCTTTGTACATATGTATATTTGAGGGCCCTTTATAAAACAATATATGGTAACTATCAACGTGTTTTACTGTATTTTTTAATTATTAGGTTGGCGCAAAAGTAATTGCTGTTTTTGACATTATAATAGTTCAATTAGAGTAGAATGACAATAACACCTCCACGTATTTATATAAAACATTATAGTTTTAAAATTGTTTTCACACGTTTATTTCTCTTGGGTCTAACATTTTTATCCCTGTAAAATAAAGATCACCTTTTTCTCTTATGCCTGATTTGTAGCAAGATAAAATAAATTCCAGTGAATGTAAATACAGTATTTGAATCCAAGACTTTCCATGACCTTTCATTAACTCTTCTCTGTCTCATTAGATCAATTCAGAAAATTAGAATGAAGGTGCAAACAATTTTTCAGAAATTATGTGTACCTCTGATATATTTTTATTTGTGACAATATATTCATTGTTCAAAAATTTAAATGCACATGCTTATTTCTTTTGTATTGAATATAAAGTCTTTGACACAGAATGCAGAGTCTAGATCATAAGATGCTACACTGAAACAGGAAGAAGGAAAGCTTGCTGTAAGGGAGGTTTGGCAGAAATGAAAAATAGGGACTTGCAGTAACTGTGGTAAATGAATGCTTACTAAGCTGATGTAAATGTTACAATGTAACTAATTAGGACAAAAGGGATGTCAGTCAGTAAATTGGGAGTGTCCCCCTAGTGCCTTCCTAGTCCTTCAAGAAGACTCATCCTACATCAAGTCAGAGACTAAAGTCACAAGAGCAGGATCAGGGTTACACGAAGATAGACGGGCAGTAATGCTCACTGAGATGTTTCCTTTGCCATATCAAAAGGCAACCTCAACAACATCTGAACCTCTGAGCCTGTATTTTCAACTTCCATGTGCCCAGACAGATTTAAACTACGGGTTCTGGAAATCATTAATTAAATCAAAGAGCCTGGAAATTTCCAATTCCAGCATTATGGAAACTACTTGGAATTTTTCTGAAGGTCATCCCAATTTTCAGCTGTTAGTCTATTATATGGGTGATTTAACATATCTGGCAAATGGAGTAATGGGGTGTGACCACCACTTTCAGCCTACAACTAAAGCCCTTTTTCTGACACCTATAATGAGAAGCAATGATATGTGACTATTATGTGCCACATTATGCAGTGTTACAAATTATGTGCCTGCCTTTCTGATAGATTAGGGACAAAGACATAACCTCTTCTCTTCATTATTACCATGGCAGATGCCCTTTTTTTACCATGATCCAAATCAAGATTAGGTAATAATAATAAATCAATAATGATAAACAGCATAATGATATCATAACAATGAATGACATAATAGCTAACCCATATGTGGTGGTTATTATATGCCAGCCATTGTTCCAAGTGATGTATTATATGTATAAAATATATATTATTATATTATATAGACTAACAATTATATAATTTTATATAGTATGTAATATACTATATAATATATGGTTCGTATATATTTTATATATACTAGACAAAATAGTATATATTATATATAAAATATCAGTATTATATATAAAATATATATATAATACTATAGCTTACATAGTATATATAAACTATACTATAGTATTAGTTTATTATTTAGTATTAGTACTATACTATAGTATATATAGTATATATAAAATATATACTAACTATATATTATATGGTATATTACATTTACCATATAAAATTATATAATTGATAATATACATAATATATCACTTGGGACAGTGGCTGGCATATAATAACCACATATGGGTTTATATACACATATATATAAAAGGTACATATATATGGTAATACATTTTTTATATATATATTATATATATATACATATACCTTGTATATATACACATACACCTTTTATAACAAATAGCAAGATATTTTGGCTTACATATTTTTAAATGAAATGTCATTGCTAACAGTTTTATAAACTACTTTTTTATCTTAACAGTATATTAAATATGTTTTTCTATATCATTAGTACACTACCCGAGAACAGTGGTTCTTTAAGGGCAAGAAATGAAGAGCATCTGCTAGAATAACCTGTAGCCATATTTCTGAGCACAAGTAGTGTAATTGGTGAATAACTCTGGCTGGCAAGTGTATTTTGAAAAATTTCCCCAGAAGATTTTATTATCCATTATACCCACCTCCCAACCCTCTCACCCCCAAAACTTCTATTTTATAATAATTTTAGTCAGTACATTTCATTGAATGGATATGAACTAATCATTTCTCTATTGTTGTGCACTCACATTTCTGCAAGTGTATTATTATTATAAGAGGACTGTGATAAATATCCTTGGAACTACAGTTTTAAATTGTTTATAATTATTAGTATTGTTATTATGAGAATCAATTTAAAAATTGTGAAGAATTCTATGCTTCTCATACACACTTCCCAAAGCCCTCCATTAGCAATTCTTTTTTAAAAATAATGTCTCTAATACCCCAAATTACCTTTTTTTTGTAATAAAAATGCATCTTGGCATCTAATTTGAATTTGGTTATTAAATACTTGTCCAGTTTATTGACCTTCTATTTTTTCTTAAATGATATACCTGTATAAGTATTTTGGAAACTTGTTTCTTAGTATGTTTGGCTTTTTAAATTGTTTAGATTTTTCATATGCTTTATATATATAAAAATAATATATATGAAAAATAGCAAAAATATGTAGCAAAAAAATATGCTATCATATATGTTACTTAAAAGAGTTTCTTAAGAGTTAATATGGATCATTTCATAGTGTCTTTGAGTAATGTAGTGAAGCTAAATTTATCCTAATTTTCTGCCTTCTTTAAAAACATATAAGAAAGATTTAATAAAAGGTCATTGTTAAAATTTAGAAGTATGGAAGCCAACACAGTATGGTGGAATGTGCCATTGGGTAATATTAGTTATTTTATTCTCCTCATTATAAAAAATAATTAAAATAAAAACCATATTAAAGGAGAAATTATTTGATATTATTTATATTTTCATTTTCTGTACTTATGTTGCTAAGAATTTTACATTTTGAAAAGTTTTTTTCTTGATATTTCTTAGAGTTCAAGCGCATACTTTGGACTGACCTTTTCATTTATGGACTCACCTCAAAGTCCTCACTTAGTAAAATGAAAAATAATAGCACTGGTTGGAAGTGGTGTTAAAAAGACAGAGAAAGTACAAGAGCTTTCTCATGCCTTTCTTTGCTCCAGAGACTCTGTGTGCTCTATATTATTTATCCATTTATTTATGTATTTATTCAGCAAATATTTCTTGGAAACTCTTTAGCATATACCTTTCTTGTTTTGTTTTTTCATAAATGGTGCTAAAACAGATCTGTCGTGAGAAGTATTGATTTAATATAAAATGAGAACAATGACACTCCCAAGACATAATACTTGGCTGTTGGTAGGTTTCTTTTTCTAGCTGAATTCCTCTTGCAACCTGGCCTAGAAGCTCATGGTATATTTTCTTGTCCAGAACTGTAGCTTTTCCACATGCCTTTAGAAAAAGCTGAATACTGTGCCATTGCATGCCAAGATTCAATGGTGTTCTAATTTGCAAAACTGAATGAAAGTTATGCTTATGACCACATAAAAGTACTTCAATTCTAAAGTAAAATAAAATAATATAATTTGTCTCTAAGTATTTTTTACTACACTTCTTCCCTAGGGTAATTCCAACTGTAGAATGCATAACATGTTTTGTTTTTTGGTTTTGGTTTTTTTTTGCTTTGTTTTTGAGAAGAAGACCATTTTGTTACTAACAAAATACAAATCCATCATTAAATATTGAAACCAAGTTTGTTTCTAGCTACAATGGGATGTTCATTCATTGTGGAAATTTAGCATTTAGCTTTGTCATGCTTTGAGGATTTAATAATTTTAGAAAAGCCATTCTGAGTTTAAGTAAAAGTTAAACGTTTCTACTTTTCTGTCAGGATTCTACTATGTCCAACAAAACCATTGAAACTAAGCAAGATTAGCCTAAATGTTGAAACTATATGGCTATGCATAATATGACTTTATATCAAAGATGATTTTATCAATACACAAAGCCATCTCTATGGGTATTATGTCAGGGACAATTCTGTGGTTAGGTCTGAGTCTCTCCTCAGTTCTCATCGTCTCCTTGGTGATGGCACAAACCATATTATATAGCTGCTTGACTTCAGCATAGAGTCATGTTGGCCAGTCATATCCAGACCCTTGGTGCTACTCCCTGATACTGTTTATTTCCTCTGGTTGTTTCTATTTACCATCCCCAGAGCCTCAGCTTCTGTGAACCTTTTCCATTTTCATAAGCACTAACACAAAGCTGTCCTTCCTCACATGCCAGATTGCTTTGCTTCTTCTCTCTAGAAACTGAATTTCTTCCACACCTTTTGAGATACTATTTATATGAGACACGGGAGAAGACAAGGTGAGTAAGATATCACTTTACCCTCTAGAAGTACTGGGTGGAAAAGAAAGGAAATGCCATTTATAAAACATGATGATGTACTAGACATGGTACTCAGTGCTTTATATGCAGTATTTTATTATAAAAATCTATTAAATTGAGCTGAAGACCAACTCCTCTAATTTCCAGTTTCCTAATTTAGCTATTAATGAAATTAAATCTTTGTGATAATGGATGTACATGTTTATTTACTTGCAGATGATCTGTGGGAAGTGGTCGCCCTGAGGAAAGAGGAAGAGAAAGAAAGAAAGAAGAAAGAGAAAGAGTGAGAGAAAGATAAGGAAGAAGAAAGAAAGAAAAAGAAAAAGAAAAGGAAGAAAGAAGAAAGAGAAGGAAGGAGGAAGAAAGAAAGAGAGAGAAAGAAAGAAAAAGAAAAAGAAAAGGAAGGAAGAAGAAAGAAAAAGAAAAGGAAGGAAGAAGAAAGAAAAAGAAAGTAAAAGAAAAAGAAAGAAAAAGAAAAGATAAAAAAGAAAGAGGGAAGGAAGGAGAAAAAAGAAAAGAAAGAGAGATAAAAGAAAGAGAAGAAAGAAAGAAAAAAGGAAGAAGAAACAAAGGAAGGAAGAAGAAAGAAAGGAAAGAAAGAAAAAGAAAGAGAAAGAAAGGAAAGAAGGAAAAACAAAGAAAGAAAAGAAAAGAAGGGAGGGAGGGAGGAAGGAAGGAGAGAGAGAGAAGGAGGAAGGGAGGGAGAGAGGGAGGAAGGAATGAAGCAGTGGGAAGGAGAGACAAAGGCAGGGAGGGAGGCAGGGAGGGAGAAAAGAAGGAAGAAAAGAAATAAGGGAAGAAAAACACAAAAAGCCATGCTGGAAGTATATAATGTGGCTGGAAGTTTGAATTAAACAGTCAGAGGTCTTAAGAAATTTAGTACTTATTGAACAACTGCTGTGTACCATCAATATTATATGTGTTATAAACATCTCACAGAAACTTTGTAACTAACCTATGACTTGGGTAATGTTATTTTACAGATGATAAACAAGTGTAGAATTAATGGTTCTTAAGTTTCATATCCACCAACACACAGCTAGTGAAGGAAAAGCTGTGCCTACAAACTACAGATTGAATATTCTTTAGATAATTTTTAAATTGGAGAATTTATAAACCTTGAGAACTTAAGAGACTCTAAGTTACCAAAAGACAGTTGAAGCTGAAGAGCAATGATAAATTCCATGAAGAACCTCACAGAATTTGAGGATGTAATCTGTAGCATAAATACTGAGATACAACACTGGAGAACTTTTCTTCCACTGTTGGGGAACAGCCTCCCACTTAAGCAGTTATATTTAATATTATATATAGTAATAAAATGTTATTTAACTGGATAATGTTGAATAATGTTTTCTGAGTCATTTCTTCGAAATATTCTTTCTCTCGCTCTCTTCTCTCTCTTCCTTCCTAGATACTATTCTCTAAATTTAGAATTTGGGGTGCCTCCTCCAACCCTATGGCTTTAAGAGCATTTAGTAATTAAACACAGGAAAAGATATAATTAGCTTGTCCTCTTTTTGTAGAGCTTGATAGCTCACAAAGTACTGCTATGTGTATTACCTCCAGTTAGAGATCCTGGTATATTTCATTTGACTTCATCACTTGGAATTTTTAGATAAAGAAGATGAAAACTTGTTGGTAAATCACATAACAGTGGCTTTCTTTAACAAAATATTTCAAAACATTAGTATATATCTTCTCTAAAATGTGGTATCTCTGGGCTGCTTGAATCTTATGATACACTTTATCACCTAAACCTGCCATTTTCTCTTTGCTTTTCTTATAAATCAATTCAGAGCTTTTTCCAAGCTGTGGAACAAAGGCACAGTAAAGGTTCTAAGGGGAAACCATTACACTTTTTTTTTAATCCACTAAAAACCCAAACCATAAATATTGGAGACTAAGAAACATTTTAGGTCATTGATTCTGCAATTTCCCAAAGGTGGAGCAATAAGTGAACCAACAGAATCAGTTGTTCAAGAATAGAATGCCTATTAATATCAATTTAATATCTTCTCTCTGAGAAGAAAATTTGCTTTTGAGTGGACACTGTAGTTGTTTCTAGTGAAAAATAATATCTTCTTTTTGAAAACATGCATTTAATGAAGAAAAATCCCTCCTATGGCTGAAACAATGTTCTTCCCCCACATCTACAGTTCTATGGCTAATAAAAGGGATTATCGCGCAAATAGAAATGTAGTTTACAGTTTCAATAGCTCACAGCATTCCTTTTTACCTCAATAAGTAAATCAAGTATTTATGCCTGAAAACTACTTAAAAGTCAACTTTTCAGATCTGTATTATTCTGACAGTGTATAATGAATACTTTGTCATAGCAAGTAACAAATTTTATTATAGCTTTAATGCTTAAAATTCCATCTGTTTCCACAAACAGAACATGAATACAGGAAAGCAACCATTAATTTTAAATGCACTAAAAGAAATTCTCATAGTAAAGGGCTTCTAAAAGGCATTTGAAAATGTTCAGGCAGGGTCTGTTCATGGTGTGTGTCATGCCTCTGTTTTAAATGCATTAGTTACTCAGAGCCATCCATATCTATCCTATAGATATCTGTAAAAGAAAGACAATATTCTTTTAAAATGGGGAAATATGACTGATTTGGTAATAGGATAAGCAAGGATCATTTGCCTACTCATCTATAGTCTTGCAATTACAAGGAAGTAAGCAAACAACTTGAGCCTTTGTTTTCATTATTGTGATGATTTTTTTTCATCAAAATCAACATTCACTTATATATTCATCACATATTTATTGAACACCTACTATGTGTCAAACACTCTGTTAGACAATAAAAATTCGGAGATAAGAAGCACAGTCTCTGTCTTCAAGAAGCTCACAGTAAAGTAAATACAGACAATGCACTAAATAGGCAGGATATAGAGTGGAAAGGTGTGTGCTTGTTAATCAGAGAGGAATCAGAGACTGTTTCTCCCGGGAGGTAACCTATGAGGAAGGTTTTATATAATGAGTAGGCATTCACTAGGTTAAAAAGAAGATAAGTATTATATTCAGGATTATCTTTCCAAGTTTATATTATTCCCTGCCATTTTGTAAATAAGAATGCAAAATATCGAAAAAGTTAAGTAGTTTAAATAGGGTCACTCTGTGAATAAACCTACAACAGGCAAGAATTATTCCACTGAAAGCACCTTCTGTGTTTTTCACATGCAAATATGGGGAAATATCTCACTATTTAATAATAGTTAAGTATTATTAATAATTACAATCTATTGAGATTATTGGTTTGTGAGTTCTCTTTATCAAATAGCGGATTGGATTTATAATTTCATATTTGAGGATTATTTTTATTTTTAATCCTAAACCACTGCTCCTCACATTTGGCTGAGGCAAAATATCTGTAAATGTTCTAATTGTCTTATAATTAAGCAAATAAATAATTAACCTGTGGAATGAGAAGGTATGAATTGTTTAAAAGAGTGTCCATTTGCACTATATATCCTGGTTAAATACCACAGGCATGAAAAGGTAAATGCAAATGAAGAATATGGATTTTCCTAAGTCATAATCATCACAACTCTCCTATAACAGATGCATCCCTGAACTGCTTATATGTGTCTAAATCTAGGTAAAGAGTCTTCTGAGATGACACTAATATGCTGTTAATAGTGATGATGCAAGCGATATTAATGATGCATCCAAGGTGTATAGATAAATGTTTAAAAACCAGCTTCCCAGAAGCAAAATGCTCTCATCTCTATGTAGCATTTCTCAATTTTGTGGTATAAATACTCTCACAATGGCTAAATTTAAGCTACCAATATTAAATCACTGAACTGAATTCAAAATTAAGAAGAAATGCTTACGATTACCTTTTGTATGCTCGTATGACTGAATTTATCATGTCACTGGAAAGGTACAACAGATCTTACTAGATTTACCCAAAGCAAAAGAAGCATCAAATTAAATTTTAGCAAAATTATAGGATGTCACAATTTAGAAAGGCTAAAGCCTCTAAGAAAAAAGTTACCAATACGTGTTCCACTAAAATTTGGGAATTCCCAGCTTCCTTTAAGAGATCAATAAGGCCAAACTATTTTCTTAATAATATTTGCTTTTTGCTGTGTAAATATTTGTAGTGACAGTATGACAGTAGCAATGGGTAAAACTGTGGGTGCTCTAACACAGATCAAGGTAGTGGCACTTAACTGTTTTATCCAGCTTTGCATTCTTCAATGCCACTAATATGCAGTAAAAGTTTCACTTAACAGTGTCCTGGATGAAGCAGTAAAACATTAATTTTTTTAAAAGGCCAACCTTTAAGTTCATATCTTTAATAGTGTGTGAGATGAAATAAAAAGCATGCATAAAATATGTCTGTTACCTTCAGAAATATGGCAGACAGCTTGAAAATTACTGGGCAATTGTTTGAGTCCTGAGCCAAAACAGCTGCTTTGGTTTACAGAAATCTTCTTTGCTTGAAAGAACAACTGACAAACTACAGTTATTTACCTTTGGGTAATTGGCAGAAACTTTCTAAAAAAAAGCATGATGTAAGTTTATCATTTCTATTAAGACAATTAGCATTATTTGATGCCAACAACAAAATTTTAGCCTTCAAGAAAACTTAAGAATTTGGAAAATGTATGTGTTCCACCATGAACCTGACAGCTTCTCAATACTCAAAACGTCTGATGAGATTGGTGGTGAAACTGGTGAATGGAATTTTTTTGATGTATTATAACGAAATGTGTCAACATTTGGAAGATAAGCATTACTCAATGAACCACTGTTTTCCAAATGACAAATGTTTGTGTTATAAAATAAAACATGGGTAAAAGATCCATTCAAAATGCAAGATATTTTAATGAATTTTAATATAAAAGAGAACAAAAACTTTATGATATGGAATCAGATTCCACATTGTAACTAACCGTTAAGAAATTCATAGTTGTTGAGTTTTGTTACAGTATTTAAGAATAGCTACAACTATCTTAGAAGGCTATTAAATTTATTCTTCCCTTTCCAACTACGTATCTGTGCGAGGTCAAATGCTCTTCTCCACTAAAGCGACCTAGGCTAGAATTTGAATGCAGAACAACTATAGCAATTGAACTGTCTTCTATTAAGTCCCAAATTAGTACAATTTATAAAAATGTAAAACAATGCAATTATTTCTACTATATATTTTTGTTTTGGAAAATACAATTAATTTTATTAATAGTGAATTAATGGGTAGTAGATTTATTTTTGTTATTTCAAACAGAATAATATTTTAAAATTTGTTCACAGTTAATTTTGATTATATATGTGTGTGTGTATATATATACACACACACATACTTTAGTAGATTTTCCATCTATACAAAGTACTTTGTAGTTTTCAATAATTTTTAGGAGCGTAAATGTGTACTGAGACCAAAATGATTGAGATCCACTGCTTTAACATACATTAAAAGCAACTGCCAAACTTTAGAATCACACACACACACACACACACACACACACACACCCCATAGAGAAAATTTTAGAAGCCTCTCTTGTAATTCCGATGACTCAATTGAACACTCTGCGTAAAAACGGTTTTTCTTGGGACATCCAGTGTTAAAATTATGTGAACATGAATTTAAATCTGAGTCCCCAAATCCAAAATAAACCCAGGTTTGCTACTTGGCAATAACTGCCTCCCTACCTATGAACTATGTCATATTTATAACTCATACAGGTTAGTCATTATCACTACAGTTGGGGTTTCTCAGTGTTCAAAGTTTTCTGAGGTAGGAGTTCCAATTAGTATAACCTCAGAGTGTTGGTATAATTATTAAATGAGAAAAGTACTTATTTAACATAAATTATTTGAACTATTTTTATGCCTTTTGCTTTTTTTATTATCTTGTTATTTTTACTTTGTTACAATTATTTTGTTAGTAAGTGGTCCCATAGCTTCATTTTTTCATTATCCATGATGGGAATCACCACCCCTTCTAAGACAACATATTTCCCTACTCTATGAAAAACTTTTCATTATTTCATCAGTGTGCCTCTTAGCTTTCAATTTACCTTAAAGCCAACATTCTTCTTTGAACAGCCATTTTTGACAATTATGTAGGTTTATTCAAAGGAGCCCTAGAAAAATAGATTTATTCTTGAATATTAGATTTATCACTATGGTTTGTGTAGCCATTGGCAAAAAACTGAACATTAGTTGTTTCATCTATAAAATGGAGATAATAATTTTTTTCAGGGATATTATGAAATCTGCAAAAACACAGCATATGTTAACCACATATGGTGCATGCTATTCATTCAATTTTATGTCTCATGTGGACTTTACGTAAAGAATTTGTTAGGAGTTAAATGTACAATTATGAGACATATACATGCCCAATCCTTATGAACATTTAAGTCCAGAGTGATCACTTAGCATATAGTGACAAGAATTCTATGTATTTTTGCTTACAGCTTTCCAACTGAGTGCCAATACTGAGAAAAAAAGAATCCGCTCATTTTGCACTACTTTACTTACTGCTTCTAATATTATGGTAATACACAATGATTGTCCATGTTTTCTTACTTTTCTTAGTCACTTCATTTACCATGATTCTTCTCTCCCTGGTATCCTTGCTATCAATCACCTATACTGTGCAAAAAGTATGACCAACAGAATACTCTTTCATTGTACAAAAGAGTTTTGTTTCTTGAAGAAGTATATATTTTTTTTCTGCAGTTGTACAGGTCAAAGACATTGCAGCTAGTGGTGCCAATTGTCTTCCATTAGACATGCAAGCAATCAATCCAAAGACAGTTTTAAAATCCTAAGCCTATCCCCAAGAGTCTGCTGCTAGTGGCATAAACTGACACACAATGGCTTTAAAAGAGGTAATTAACAGATAATTAAATATTTATGGAAAGGGCCTAAGTGCCTTGGTAGGAGGGAAGACACAGGACTTACTGACTGACTTACTTTGCATAGAAATGCAATTGACACTTAGAGGGTAGGGGGTGACTAAAGGGCCCTGTCTCCAGATTTTGACCATATAATCTTAGAGAACTATATCTACACTTACTATATTATTCTGCATTCTGAAAAAAATGGGTTTTTTTGTCTGTTTTATGTCACTTTGTGGGACATAAAAATGAATTAGCTTTCAAGAGCTTGCACTCCAGTGGGATAACAGAATATGTCTTGACACATATAAATTATATGAAAGTCAAATTGAAGTATCCATACATAAAGTTTATTAATTCACAGCTAGGTTCATTTGGCATGAATTGTCTATGAGTGCATTCATGCTCCAACTACAGAGTTGAATAATTGCAATAGAGACCATATGGTGTGCAAATCCTAAGTGTCTAGCCTTTTACAGGAAACGTTTATTGACCTCTGCTTTGAAGAGATTATGAAAGTGTTAAATTTTTCTTAAAACATTGAGATAATGATTGTGATGATGATGACAGTGATAATGGTGAGCTGGAAGAGCATCATGATTATAATCATATTAATTTTTTTTACTATATCTAGGGTTAGACTATTTCTTGCATGGACCATTTTAACAAATGACACATTCAATCGATTGTACAGTGATTCCCATTCATTTCATTACTATAAACAAAATGTAATTTTGTGTTTTTCTGCAACCTTTCATCATTTATAGTCATTTCTAATGTGTTCAGATGCTATGTAATAGAAGTTGGGTGAGTCTGGAAAATATTGTTGCTTACCTAGCTAGCATTCTACACTCCCACTTTTCCTTTCCTTCTTACTATGAGAATACTGCTCTTGTTCAAGAATGGGCATTGTAAATCTTCAGGTACATAATACGCTGAATCCTTCTTTAAGTTAATCAAGCTGTTTCTAAACATCTTAACAAGTGATAGGCTTAGGTATGCACATGTGACTTAATTCTGGCAAAGTATATATGAAACAATGCCTGCTAGAGAGAAATCTCTCTCCATATCCATATTCTTGCCTAATGTGAAAAAAAAAAAGGTGACTGAATCTAAACGCCATAACTGTTTATGAAATATGCCACTGCCTATATAAGGAATGGCCATACTCTAAGGTACAGGATAGAATTGTGTGGTGGGAGGAGGCAGACGTTTAAGTAAGAAAAAAGGTAAATTGATTAAAGGTATACATCCTCCTCAAATAACATGAATATTATTTATTCTCCCTGACTGGACTGCTGACCTCTCCTTGTATCCCCACATGGCAGAAAGTGAGTTATGTAGTTCTTTGGCTTCTTCTATTTATTTTTTAATTTTATTTTTGAGACAGAGTTTCGCTCATGTTACCCAGGCTAGAGTGCAGTGGCGTGATCTCGGCTCACTGCAACCTCCGCCTCCCGGGTTCAATCGATTCTCCTGCCTCAGCCTCCCGAGTAGCTGGGATTACAGGCGCCTGCTGCCACACCCAGCTAATTTTTGTATTTTTAGTAGAGACGGGGTTTCACCATGTTTGGCAGGCTGGTCTCGAACTCCTGACTTCAAGTGATCCACCTGCCTTAGCCTCCCAAAGTGCTGGAATTCCACCACACCCAGCTCTTTGGCTTCTTCTTACAAGGGCATTAATCCCATTCATGAGGGTTTCACTCTCATGAACTAATTACCCTCAAAGGCCCTATCTCCAAATAGCATTATGTTGGGATTAAAGTTTCAACAGATGAATTTTAGGGAAATCATAAACATTAGTTCATTGCAACCATTTATGATTATCCATCTAAATTTTTATATGTTGAATCAATTGCATTATATTTTATTCTTTTTCAGTATACGATGGAGAAATTAAAGTATTATGAGTCCCATGTACTCATCAACTGGCCTTAAGAATCCTTCCCTATAAGCACCATCATCCACTCCCTTATATTACTTAGACACTAATTCAAACTATATCTTTTCATCTCTTAATCTTTTATAACATTAAAATATCAGAATTATGTTTAACATTATGTATAAAATAGATTAATAATAGTTATCTAATATCAGGAAATATCCAGTCAGTTTAGAAATTCCAATGGTTTAATAAAAGTTATAACTTCAATTTGTTTGTTTTACAGTTCTTTGAAATTGGGATCCCAATGTTGCACAGATCACAATTGATGTATCTTATGAGTATTTACAAATTTGTTTATCTCATTTGCTTTTGTTGCTGTTCTCTCTCTTTCTCTCTTTCTTCACTATCTCATTGTTTTAGAAACCGATTGTCTTGTAGTGTTTTGTACAATTTAGATTAGGACTGTCCAACAGAACTTTCTGCAATTATATAAATGTTCTGGGCTGTTGAATATGATCACCACCAGCCACATATGGCTATTGAGTGCTTGAAAGAAATGTGGACAGTGTTTCCAAGGAACTAAAGTAAGGGCTTTTTTAATGTTAAATTTACATTTAAATAGTTGCATGTGGCAAGTAGCTACTACTAACTACTACTTTTGAAAACATGGTGGTAGATTTTATTAATTACATCTTTATGGTGTAGTTTAACATATCTTTCTGTTCTTTTTATTTCCCGTAAATCTGTGGTTGAATATAAACTACAGGTTTGATCATATCCAACTGGTTATTTGTTTGTTTGAAAGAATCCTACATAGGTGATTTTATCTTCTTTCTTCAAGAGGCACATAAACCCTGGGAACCATTCTATTTATGGGATTAGCTGCACTGGATGTTCATATCTAGTGGTCCTAGTTCATTAGAGGTTGCACAATGCTAATATTCTAATTCTGTTATTCTTCTTTCATTTAATATATCTTGGAGAAAATTTCACCCACTATTTGGTTAGCCTCTGATACTTTTTTTTTTTTTTTTGGAGATGGAGTCTCGCTCTGTCGTCCAGGCTGGAGTGCAATGGCGCAATCTTGGCTCACTGCAAGCTCCGCCTCCCGGGTTCACGCCATTCTCCTGCCTCAACCTCCCGAGTAGCTGGGACTACAGGCGCCCACCACCATGCCCGGCTAATTTTTTTGTACTTTTAGTAGAGACGGGGTTTCACCGTGTTAGCCCGGGTGATCTCTATCTCCTGACCTCGTGATCCGCCTGCCTCCGCCTCCCAAAGTGTTGGGATTACAGGCGTGAGCCACCTGCGCCAGGCCTGGTTAGCCTCTGATATATTTTATATATAGGTAAGGCAGTATTCATGGCAAGACAGATGGTAATTCTTTCCCTTTATTTACTAATTTTAAAATAATAATATAGATCCTTAGCACCTTTCAAAATCATGATTGTAAGAATCATTTTAACTTATGCATTTATTAATATTTAATATATTTTCATCTATTGAAGTTATTATTCTTAGTGATGCTCATAATTTTCCATATTTGGCCAGTGGCAGCCTTTTGAGGTTGAATCCTCAGTTCTTTTGAGATGGTGCTAGAAGTCTTCCATAATTTACATATTATTTTAAAATTATTTATGATATAACTCTCAATATCACACAATTTACAGGAAATTTTGTATTATAAGAAACAAATGCAAATATCACTAGCCCCCAAAGACTTGTCTGGGCATATGCAATAATTAACTTCAGTTGTCCCTGATATTGAGTCAGTTTGGATCATAAAAGAACTGCAACATTGCACAAACATTTGATTTTATTATTTTGAAGTTAGATTTGTCAAAAAATACACGTTTTATGTAACATTTGATGGCTTTGTTGTATGCCTCAATATTTAAGCATGTGAATTTTCATTTGTACTCTTGTTCCAGGTCAAGGAACAGAGGTGAGCCTTTTAATTGTATAATTTAAAACAAATTGCAAGTAAATCAATATTTGCTACATTTCATGGAAATGCTTTGTATTTATGGCATGACTGTGCTTAATACTTACTGTAATTTTTGATATAAATAAAATTTTTAATCCCAGTTTTTAAAATAAACTGAGTCTCAGAGATGTTAAAGGGTGTTTCCAAAACAAAAACCTCTTAAATGTTCAAGTCAAGACTAAGATTCAAGTTTTCAATTCAAGTATCTTTTTACTATGTTGGGATTCTGTTTTTGAAGCCATCTTCACTGCAAATTACTTAAGTGAAGGTTCACATTTCACTGCAGATATATTTAAGCATAAATAAGTTATTTTTAAATGAAGGCATAAATATATAAATTAAAATACTTTTCCAAAATAATAAATACATACATAAATTCCTACCATCTTCTTTTTAAACTATTTTACTGTCCCTAGAAATTTGTCTTTCTTTTTTTCTTGGCAAATGCATAGTACTATGTGACTATTTCAGCATAAATGAGGAGAACTTTTTTGAGGTATTAATGGAAACCATAAATACTAAATACTAAATTTTAGACTTTTATGGATTCTGCAAAATCAGTTTTTTGGTTCAAGATATGCCTATACCCTCATCTCTTCCCTAATTCAGAGAACTCTTTTGTCTTCCCAGGAAAAGGTAAAACTGTAGACACTGAAACTATTTCAGAAATGTAAATGAAGGCCCAGATGTAGTACTTGCATCACTCACAGTACTTCCTGCTAGGTGACAACAAAAGTTCAACTTGAAGCCCTATACTTTAGGACTTCCCTCCAGAAATCAAGAACTTAAGATTAACAAGACATCATTCTGTCCTGAGTCATGCATATAATCATAGTGAAGTGATATGAACCGTTTTGAGTATCTTCTGCGTGTCAGGCTGTTTTTGTTTTTTTGTTTTGTTTTTGAGACAGGGTCTCCCGCTGTCTCCCTCTGTCACCCAGGCTCTAGTGCAATGGCACAAATATGGCTCACGGGAGCCTCGACCTCCCAGAATCAAGCAATCCTCCCACTTCAGCCTCCCAAGTACCTGGGACCACAGGCACATGCCACCATGCCCAGCTAATTTTTAAAAAAATTTTTGTAGAGATGGTGTATCACCATGTTGCCCAGGCTGGTCTTCAACTCCTGGGCTCAGGTGATCTTCCCATCTCAGCCTCCCAAAGTGCTGGAATTACAAATGTGAGCCACCACACCCAGCAGCCTTTTTTCATATATGGCAGGACAGCTAACTAAATGAAGGTTTGGTGTGTGTCTGTCTTTTTTGCTGTCTAAAAATAAGGAAGAATAACTGAACGAAATGTCTTTCTCTGTTTATTCTTATTATTCTGCTCTCCCTCTCCAATTCAGAAAGGTTTAAGTTCTGCAGTGCCATCTTTGTCTTTTGTCTAGTGCAGAAGAAAT
Organism: Homo sapiens; assembly: GCF_000001405.40. Classification (NCBI taxonomy): domain Eukaryota; kingdom Metazoa; phylum Chordata; class Mammalia; order Primates; family Hominidae; genus Homo; species Homo sapiens. The sequence continues at coordinate 81,768,819 of NC_000011.10, forward strand.
ACTTCTTAACACTGAAAGATGTGATGTTTTTGTTGAAGGGATTGCTAATGATGGTGTGGGAATGAGAGAGGCAGGGTCTCTGACATTGTGAGTACGGAAGCAGAACTGCCTGAGTTAGAGAAAGTTATCTTATGTCAAAAAGTCACATTTTTTAAAAGGAAATTGCAGAAGTAACACTGACCCATATTCCACATTCACTCTGCATTGTTAAGTAGTGAACAGACCTTCTGATGTGTGACATATGCAGATAAAGAATTCTGTCCCTTCTAGTTACAGACTTCCAAGCTGCAATCTTGCTTTTCCATGCTCAGCTTCATCAGTTGCTGGGATAATCCCATTTTTTAAGGGAGATTTTACCTTAATCACACACCCATTGAAGAGGCTTAACCCTCTTACTCTCCCTTTTTTGTTTGTGAGCTGCCCCTAGGAAAGAGGTTTTGTGGAATCTCCAGGTCCTCTTCCTCAATGTGGAGATACTTCATGATACAGAGCCATGGCCTAAGGCCAGGTCTTCTAACTTGCTTTTTTGTTTTTGTTTGTTTTTCCAGTAATAAAGACAATGTTACAGTTTCATCTTTCATTTTTTAAATGTTATCATTCAAATTGTTCAGAAATCCTGGCAAAGAGAGGTACAATTCATTAGCCTCCTGTGGAGACCACCAACAAGATTTATTCATTTATAACCTATTTTTTTAAGCTACTACTACGTATAATGAATTATTCTAAGTACTGATCCTAATGTTGCAGACATGCACCTAAATAGAACCCTATGGTGGGTTTCTTATCATGATGACCAGAGTAACATTGAAAAGATAGATAAGGGCAGATATATACATATATATACACACACACACACATACACTTTTATGATTTTATTCCTCACTCAATATTTTAGTTATTGTATTTGGAATACAATATGGAGAAGGAATTCAATAAATATGTATGGAATAAACATACAAATTAATACAAGTTTTGGGTGGAGCACAAACATATGATTTTTATACAGTCAGTCCTCCATATGTGCAGGCTCCAAGTCTGGGTATTCAACCAACTCTGGGTCAAAAATATTTTTTAAAATAATAACAACAATAAAAAGTAATAAAAATACAGGGTAACAACTATATGTCAGGCCTCTGAGCCCAAGCTAAGCCATTGCATCCCTGTGACCTGCACCTATACGCCCAGATGGCCTGAAGTAACTGAAGAATCACAAAAGAAGTGAAAATGGCCCGTTCCTGCCTTAACTGATGACGTTCCACCACAAAAGAAGCGAAAATGGCCAGTCCTTGCCTTAACTGATGACATTAACTTGTGAAATTCCTTTTCCTGGCTTATCTTGGCTCAAAAAATCTCCCCCACTGAGCACCTTGTGACCCCCACTCCTGCCCACCAAAGAACAACCCCCCTTTGACTGTAATTTTCCTTTACCTACCTAAATCTTATAAAACGACCCCACCCCTTCATAGACCCCTATCTCCCTTAGCTGACTCTCTTTGTGGACTCAGCCTGCCTGCACCCAGGTGATTAAAAAGATTTATTGCTCACCCAAAGCCTGTTTGGTGGTCTCTTCACACGGACGTGAGTGAAACAATGTAAGTAGCATTCAGATTGTTTTAGGTATGTGAAAGTTGGTTATACAGATTGTGTCATTCTTGACATATCCAACTAAATCAGATTCAAGGGACCAGTGGGGAAAAACACTCAGGGCACATTTACCTACTCCAAGAATTAAACTTTGTACAAGCCGAGCTGCTGAAACAGCCTTCAGTAACCCTAAGACTAGTTTTAACTAGCAGCCACTGAAAGGACCTGTCATGGCTCTAAGGCTAGTTTTACATACCACCATCACTCACCGATCAGTTTTTCCCCTCTCAAAATGAGCTCTTTTTTTTTTTCAAAACCATATGTGACATTTTCCTAATATAACTCCCAACATTCTCTTTGTTCTTTGAACATGCCAAAGACCACCTATATGTGCATTCCTTAAATTGCAATTTTTGCTTCCCAAATAAAACATTTTAAATTTTATAGAGTCATCTCTATATATTATTTGACTTCAGCAGGTATTATAAGTAATTTGGAGATAATTTAAAATATATAGGAGAATATGCATTGATTATATGCAAATACTACACTATATTACATAAGTGATTTGAGCATGTATGGATTTTGGTGTCCGTGGGGTGGTGGAACCAACTTCCCATGGACACTGAGGGACGACTGTACTTGAGTAGGAGAGGATTGGGTCCTTTCTGTGAACACAGACAAACACAAAATCCAAAACTCGAGGTCTGTCACTTACCAGCAGTTGGACCTCTTTGGCAAAAACATTTAACTTTTCTAAGCCTCAGTTGCAATACCTGTAAAATAGGAAAAAGTAGTATGTAGCTTATAGCATATGAAGCTCTTGGCACAAAGAAGGATCTTGGGCACCAAAGTCTAGCTATTATTTAATGACTCATTTTTGAGTTACAATCAAACCAAATGTATTCATTGGGCTCAACATCACGTCTCTTATATGAAATCTCATGCTGTAAAGACACAAGGGAAAGAAACAGTAAATGTAATATTTATCACTCACATCAGGAGAGTCTTGAACTGACCAAAGGAAATACATTTGCCAGTTGATGAAGAAGCAGAATTTCATCTTGGTTGCTTGAGTATACAAGATGAAAGGAAGAAAACATCTAAACTTGAGTCCAATCAGAACTCATTAATTTTGTGACAATGGAACTGTTTACTTTGAAACCAGTGAAAATGAAAATATGAACACAGGGAGACATATAGGTGTTTGTGAAAGAATCAATTTATCTTAGAAAAGAATAAGGGTGATTTAGTGATTAGCCCTTCATAAAAATTCAGCAGTCTTTATATAATGACACCACTGCAATGAATTTCATTCTCATCTTACTCTTCTATAGTAAAAAGCAGTTATGTGAAACTAATATCCATAGGCAAAAAAAAAAGAAAAAAAAAGAAAAGGTCACTTTTGTATCACTTGATGATACAATGCACCAGAAAAAAAAAAATTACCTTTCCTGGAATGGCCCCATTTTCTGGGTTATTTAATTTAGTTTTCTGGGATGAATTCAATGAAGGGTGGGTTTGTGACACACAAAGCAACCCTATTCAGACAGAAGGATCCCAGAAGAATTGTCATGTCTATGAAAATGGGAAGTGAACTTCTCTAAAACAGGAGAAAACATATAGACATTAAACAGAATAGTAAATCACCTAAAGAGATGTAGGATTTACCAAATAGAGTGACATAACAGTTTGGAAACCAGATAAAAAATAGACAAAGCTGATATACAGAAAATGAAAGGCAAGATGGAAGTATGCCTAAATAATATTTCAAGAAGTAGTTTCCCTAACTCACCCTGTCTCTCTCTGTTCTTTTTCTCGAATTAGGCTTTTGAAAGGGCTCACTGAGCCAGGGATATGTCCCTAAAGCAGCAGAATCACTCCCAGAACGTGGAATCTAAACTGGATCTGTTGATTTCAAAAGGGCCTGCAGGGAGAGTGGGTGGCTGGGCTCAATTCCCATCTGCTATTTGTTTTGTTTCCTCCCTATCCCCTCCCCCACTTTTTTTTGGCTCTTTCCTGGTGCTACAGAGACTGACTCATTTCTAGTCAGCACCACGTATTGTTTTAAATTTAAAAAATAATAATAAGTTTCCACAAAAGGTATTGGCTTCAGCATTTTATTATCCAACCTCTTTTTAATGAAATATATATTTTCCCACCGGGGTTTGTGGCAAATCCCCTATAATCCTAATTCAATTCTACCAATGTTGATTGAGTGTATTCATTATATCAATTTAATATTATTCCTGTGCTTGAGGCTGTGAATAAGATAAGATTCCAGTTCTCATGAAAACTTTAACAGTCCAGTGGGAAGGATCCTGTGCATAAATGTAATCACTGACTTAACTGCAAGGATGTGGGAGAGGAGATTTGAGTATCAGATGCATCCGTCTAGATTGGTTGCCTCACACTGGACACATTCATGCTGATGGTTCACTGAGGTGTTCCAAGGAACCTGATTTCCACATCCTCAGTTGATCTACCTGGAAACTCTACCCATGGTTCTCCTTTCCTGTCTTCCTTTTTACCCAATATTGCCGTCTTTCGCTTTCACACTACACAGAAAAGTATATAACACTAAAACATCTAGAGCTTATCATAATGCATTGACCTGAAATGACAAAAACCGATTAAAAAAAAAAGCTCTAGGATGCCAAATACACAGAAAGTAAAAAATGTTAAAATATTGGTGTCAGAGAAGTCTAGTATAATCAAAGCTCTATAATTCACCCACCATATCAATATAAGATACATGTTCAAACATTTAAAATTTTTTGTTAATAATTGCCAAAATTTATGTTATTTGTCTCAACTGTGCACTGCTAATTGTAACTATAATGCAGTCTAAAATATTTTTTTAAGTTATAAAATTTTGCAGAAAATAAAAAAATCTATTTATACACTTCTGTTGTAGAAATATGATAGCATGATTGTAACAATGACATTCAAGTATAAAAATATATTACAGTGTGATAAAATTCTGTGGGAGAAGTAGAATAACAATTTCAAGGAGAAAAAGAAGTAAAGAACATATTCACATTTTTAAATGGATTTTTATAATTAACAATTTACTGTCATAATTGGAATTTCTTAGGTTCATTTAAAACATTCCATGATGACACTTATTCAATGATCTTATTTATCTCTTGTGCGTTTTCTTATAAAATCTGCTTTAACCATTTTGATAGGGCTACACTACACTTCTTTTATTTGTATATCTTGGCATATCTTTCTCCATTATTTTACTTTTAACCCTTATATATACTTTTCTATGTGTCTTTTTAAGTAAAATGCTGTAAAACACTGTCACATGCTACAGACAAATCTTTCATGAAAAGATGAGTCCATCGATGTGGCAAACTTCATTGTTGTCTTATTTTAAGAAACTGCCACAAACTTCAGCAGTCACCACCCTGGTCAGCAGCTATCAATATTAAGGCAGAAAAGATTACTAGCAAAAAGATTACTATTTGCTGAAGACTCTGATGATTATTAGCATTTTTAGCAATAAATTATTTTTAAACTAAAAAAAAACAGTCGATTTGTCATCTTTAATCACTACATTGGAGTGGACATGTAGGTGCTTATATTTAATATGGTAATTGATATTTTAAAGTTACTATTCCACTTTTTCTCTCTTTGTTTAAAAGATAAAGGCCTGACCAGGTGCGGTGACTCAGGCCTGTACGCCCAGCACTTTGGAAAACCAAGGCAGGTGGATCACGAGGTCAGGAGTTCAAGACCAGCCTGGCCAAAATAGTGAAACCCCATCTCTACTAAAAATACAAAAAATTAGCCGAGCATGGTGGCAGGCACCTGTAATCCCAAATACTCAGGAGGCTGAGGCAGGAGAATCGCTTGAACCTGGGAGGCAGAGGTTGCAGTGAGCTGAGATTGCGCCACTACACTCCAGTCCAGGCAGCAGGGCCAGACTCCATTTCAAAAAAAAAAAAAGGTAAAGGCCCATTTACTAATCCTTTAGTGGTTAACCTGAAAACTTCAGCAAACTTTTTTTCTTCATACAAGATACTTATTTTTACCTTCTACCTAGCCAATATCAAATAATTTAAAAATCCTTTAATATCACTTAGCCCCTTCTTGATATATATGATGATGCATTGTCATCTGTTTTAATTATAGATGCATTTTAAATTTAAGTATTTATTCTTGTTCTATAAGGTTAATATCCATTAGATTTACAGTAGAGTTACTATTTTCTTTATATTTCTTTCTGCATTTGAAACTCTGCATTTGGTTATCACTTTCTTTTTCTAGCCCCCAAAATTCTGGTATTTCCTTTCATATGAATCTGCTGATGCCAAATTCTCTCAATTTTTTCTTACAAAAAAAATTTCATTAGACTTCATTTCTGAAGGGTATAGAATCTGCTGAATTGAATTTTGGATAGAAAGTCTTTTGTTTCAGACCTGTTATAATATTACTCCATAATTTGTGTACACACACACACACACACACACACACACACACACACACACACACAGAGTAACAGCCATACTAGTTCTATCAGGTACATGATATACCAAATTTTTTTAAACATCATTTTTTGGAAAAAAGTAAGAAAATGCTAGGCTTCAGATTATTTCTAGAAACACATTTCCAGTAATTTCTAGTATACAGTAAAGCATAACAAAGTCTATGAGGCAGTAAGACAGCAGGATTAAGTATAAATAACGATACCATATATAACTTCTAGTTGTTCTCAATGAGAAACAGTTTATTTAAATTACCCATACTGCCAGTAGTGGAAAAGAGTCTGTGACTTCTTTTCCTGCAGTATAAATTATGGCCATTTACACTTTTTTCACTAGTTAATTCAGCAAAAATTTTTTGAGTCTAATATGTGACAGAAAAATGCTTATTTGAGCAAATTCTAATTTATTACTCTGTGAACTTTGTAACTTCATAGAAATAATACAGGCCTACCAAAAAATATAATGCATCAAGTATAGTAATATAGAAAATAATTAGTGGATTATATTTAATCAGGTAGAGTCACAACTCAAGGAGCCTTCAGAATATCTTTTTTTCATATGTCAGAATTTGTGTTTAAGTAATCGTTTTTCAATGTTTCTATCTTTGTAGGTCTTTTCTTTTTCACATTACTTTTCACCACCACTCCCCAGTCACATAGAAGTACTCAATTTTCCCAGATTATACCAATTACTTTCATATCTTTATTAATTTGTGCATATTGTTTCTTCTTCTCTTTTTAACTTTATTCTTCTTGAGTTCTCCTTTCTTTTTCAAGAAATGGGGCAAGTAGTAGAAACAAATTGACTAGGTAACCTATTAATTATGTGACTCCTAGCCAATTATGTGACTCAGTTACCTGAATGTCATTCTCATCGACTGTAATAAGAGAGTAATAAATCCCTACAATGGCAATGATATTGTGAAATTTGACTTTGATTATTTATACAATGTGCATGTCATATAATAAGGTTCAATATGTGTTAACACTATTGATGTTGCTAGAACTGACTGCATTTGCTTGTAATAGTCTTCTTTTGCATTTTTGTCCCTGTTGAATGTATGATTTATGTTTTATTAATCTATTCAGTAGAATAAAGTAAATATAACTGAAGTTCATTCCTATGCTCCTTGCTACTAGGAAAATCCTAGAAGATATTGAGCACAGATATTTATTCTATCCTTTAACTTTTTAGTTTTTAGCAGATCACTTAGAGCTCATCTTATTTAACTTCTCAGCAGCACTTGACCATTGAGCATGGTCTCAAAACATATTTTCTTTGTATTTTGTGTCCTGTGTGCTAAATTTTCTGAGCGTGTGGTCTTAGAAGTTCTTCTCTTTGATTGCTAAACACCTTCCCTGGGTAATTATATGCATTTGTGCACAGCTGCAAATGCCGTATCTATACCAGTGAATCTCAAATGTGTATCTTTTAAAGAAAGAAATCACTATCTCTTGAACTCAAATTGGTATGCCCATTTGCCAACCTGCCTACTTAAACATTTCCCCCAGGTATGCCATATTCAACATGATCTTATTAACAATAAAGCCATTTTTAAGCATTCTTCTAAGTCTGTTACTCTTCTGCTTCCCTAGCTCAGTAAATAGTACCTATGTTATTTAGCCATGTTCTCAAGTCAGAAACCTAAGGGTCATTTTTGTTCCTTTACATCTCTGTGATCTAATTAAGCACAGCTTTTTGTTAATTTAACCCCTAATACATGTCTTGAGTGCAAACATTCACCATTCCCTAGCATCACCACGAACTTTACACTATCATCTCCATCCTGAGTCATTGGCATAACTATGACAGCTTCTGAACTTTGTTTCTTGCCACTTCTTTTGCCCCAGCAACTAGAGACGTCTCTTTAAACTGCAGATATGATTTTATCTATACCCCACTTAAAATTCTTCAATAATTTTATTGTATGTCATTCATGTAAATAAAAATTATGGCCAAAACTACCCTAATTGATATGGTCTTCCCTTATGTTTCTGATATTATCTCACAATCACACTTTTTCTTTTATACTGGTTTTCCTTCAGTCCCATAGAGGCTCAATATTCTTTCCTGCCCCAGCATCTTTACATAGGATCTCACTTAGCCCAAACTAGCTCTTGTTCATCATGTCAGTCTTAGTGTTAACTCCATTTTCTCAGAGTAGTCTGTCATAACATTACCTCCCCAAACTAAACATGAAGAAGAAGAAAGAGAAGGACAAGGAGAAGAAGAAGAATCAATCCTTTAATCATTTTCTGTTTTTTTTTTTCTTTTTGAGGTGGAGTCTAGCTCTGTCCCCAGGCTGGAGTGCTGTGGTGCTATCTCTGCTCACTGCAAGCTCCGCCTCCTGGTTTCACGCCATTCTCCTGCCTCAGCCTCCCCAGTAGCTGGGACTACAGGCATCCGCCACCACACCCTGCTAATTTTTGTTTTTGTATATTTTAGTACATACAGGGTTTCACCATGTTAGCCAGGATGATCTCGATCTCCTGACCTCATGATCTGCCCGCCTCGGCCTCCCAAAGTGCTGGGATTACAGGCAGTGAGCCACCGCACCTACCCCTTTAATCATTTTCAATTGTATTATATGCTCTTTCTTCAAATATCTTTTTATAAATTAGTCATGTATTTTATCTGGAGGACTTATTTAAGGCCTAGTTTCTCTCTTAGAAGGTAAGCTTTATGAATCAAAGGCATTTCAACTTGTATGCTGTTGTATTTTTTCACCTGGACCTCTGTAGGCGATGAGGTGCTGATTTTCAATATGGTGCAAATGCTCCTACCATGGCTCATTTCAAGCTACCAACTAGATATCACTGAGTATGAATTTGGGAAGACATGCACACAAGCGGCTTTAGCACAGCCCTGAAAACAGGATGATTGTCACCTATATCACAGATTATTAGAAAACTGCTAAACTACATCCAAAGTTATCCTCTCTTTATGGTCTAAATGTGTATTTTTCAAAAAATTTGTGACTCATGAACTATTTGAGGAGAAATTATGTTGGAGAATATTTGAGTTATTATTCTATGTTTATTTTACCACAAACCATTTCAACATTTTATTACAGAAAGAGCTGTACTTTTGATAAATTCAGGTATATAAAATAGATTATTAGTTTCATGATACATTTGAATAAAAGCTAATTTTACTGAGAACCTCAGCATATTAAGGTTCATCAAATGAATAAAATGCACTACATATAAATATATAAAAATTCATAAATAGCATGTATAAATATATACACATATACATATTTAAATTAGCTTTTTAACCTTGGGTAAGGGAGTTGATCTGGCTACGTTTAGTTAACCATATAGCTCACTTCTCCCCAATACACCAAGCACAGACCTATCTAGTGTATTTCTGTAAGTGGAACCCTTTGCAAACTTCCCTTTTAAAATAAGACAGGGAGAAATGAAAAATAAATACAAACCATTGATACATTACTAATCTAAAGAACTTCCTGCTAAGAAAGACAAGGATTGATCTACATAAAAAATGTGATTTACTCCGGAAAGAGAATAATTAAGCATTAGTCAACAGTAAGACATTTTAATAGTATCTTTCTAACAGCTGAAAGTGCATTAAAAGACTAAAATCTGGACCTGAGAAATGCCTCATTAATTAAACAAAAATCCTTTTTCTTCACACTGGGAAACTGTCAAAATGTTTTCTAAAGTGGTTATCAGATGAAGCAGATACACAGTTACACACAGAAATACTTGTAGTTTATATGTGTCCTAGAATCTGGAAGTGTTAGCCATTTGGTGAGTTCAAACTGAGACAATAATTCAGATTATATCAGTATTTTACATATCATAAAAATAAATCAATAAAGCATAGAACATGTGCAGGGCTCCCTCTGTACCCAGCTAAGTCTTGTGAGAAGTATCATAGAGGCTTGAAAAATGTTCCTTATCCTTAAATGGCTTTGACCTGGACTTACAGATCAGAATAGGAAAAGACAAGTGAAATGATAAAAATGTAAATATATCCTCCTTGGATAATACCATGTAACTAACATTTAGAGGAAGGATAAATGAATGTGGGCTTCCTGGAAAAACGGTGTGTGTGTGTGTGTGTGTGTGTGTATGTGTGTGTGTTTGTGTATGTGTGTGTGTTTGTGTGTGCACATGTGAGTTTTGGGCATGGGTAGAATTCGAATGAATGGGAGGGGTATAGTTCTTTTAGAGGGAAATAGCCTGTCCAAAGATTAGGATAAAGTATTATCAATGCATGCTAGGACTAGGGAGATATTTGGAAAACCAGCCTGATTTCCTTGAATCATGTGGGCAAAACAGGCTTTGCATATCACTGTCTGATTACCCTGTAATACTAACTGCAAAAAAATAACAATAATAAAAATAGGTAGTATCATGTCTAAGTTATTTAGATTAATATTTACAACTTTATGTGTTATTTCACTTTACAGATGAGAAACTTATTCTTAGGAAGAATAAATGGCCAGCCAAAATTATATGCTAAAACATGGGAGAGGTGGGCTTTGACTGACTCTAGAGCTGATACCCCACTCTGCCTCTGCCTGCACAGACAAGTCAAGGGCAGTTTACAAAATTGCCTTAATCTCTGCTCTCTAGCAGAGAGAAAGGAACTAACATTTATTGTACATTTATAAACAGCTTAAGCACACAAAGAAGGAAACAGACCCTGAGCCATACAATTTCCTATGTTTCTCTAATTCTTTCATGAATATTTGTCTCTTGTATTCAATAAAGTCCTAAGTAAGCAGTATGATGTAGTGAAATGAGCACGGATACTGGAATCGGTAAGTCTTTTTTATTCCAGTCCTGCTTGGTATTTTATGACTTTGGCCACTTCACTTTCCAATCTCAGCTTCCTGATATTCCTTTCCCTCATAGACTTGGGGTATAAAACCAACCTTGCCTGATTGTTAAAATGTGATAATGTGGACTGTTTATCAAGCACAGGATGTCTGGTTTTAATTATTATGATTCCTTTGTTTCCCACGTAGAGAAAAGCCCAGCTCATATTTTACTGTAGGCCATTAATTAATGGAATCCCAACCACTGAGGCATTATAACAGGAGGAGTTGCTTTCTATTTGTTTTGTTTTATAGTCACACATATACACGTCAGTTTCACCAAAGAACTGGGACTCAGGAGCGAAGACTATGGTTAATTTGGTTGCATACTTCCTCTCTCACCTGGTGAAACATAAAGTGTTCAGAATTTGTTAGACACAATTAGGCAGTGTGCTCTTTAAAAAATCGAGAAAAGCATATTTAGGGAAGGTTGATATGGCATGTTTAAGAAGGCAACCATGGACAGAAATCCTCATTCAAATCATTTTGTAGTATAGGGTTTAGAGTTTGCTTTCTTGGCAACAGCTTATCTATTCTATTCTCCTATCATGGTTCTTAGGATGTTATAATGTAATTCATGTATTTTCATGCCTGGCTTATATTCAGATTAATATCTGTGTTTTTTTTTAACCTTGTTTTCTACAATAACATTCCATTTTTTTCTCATTTTGATTGTAGTTCTACCTTGAGTACTTTGAATATAGGGATTAGTTATTCTTTGCATCTTCATTTCCAAGTATATAGTTGACATATATGGAGTTCAAGAAATAAACATAGCTAACATCTATTGCATGCTTACAATGTGTCAGAATGTGTCAACTATATTTTTGAACCTATTAACTTATATAATTCTCACAACAAGAACATACAAAAGGAGATGCCAATCACACCTTATTTTTTGAGTTATGGTGATTAAATGAGTCAATATGCAGTAAATACTTAGAGTAGCACATAGTAAATGCCGAGAGGATTTGGTCATTATTATCCTTAATGGAAACTGAAATACAGAGAGGTTACCAGGCCAACTTTCACAAGTAGAGTTGGGGTTTAAAACAGATGATATAGTCCTAGAGTTTGCATTCTTAATTGTTTTACTGTAACAAATATATTGAAATCAAATTTCTTTTTTTTTTTTTTTTTTTTTGAGACGGAGTCTGGCTCTGTCACCCAGGCTGGAGTGCAGTGGTGTGATCTCGGCTCACTGCAACCTCTGCCACTTGGGTTCAAGCAATTCTCCTGCCTCAGCCTCCCGAGTAGCTGGGATTACAGGTGCCTGCCACCATGCCTGGCTAATTTTTTGTATTTTAGTAGAGACGGGGTTTCACCGTGTTGCCCAGGCTGGTCGCAAACTCCTGAGCTCAGGCAATCTGACCGCCTTGGTCTCCCAAGGTGCTGGGATTAGAGACGTGAGCCACCACTCCCGGCCGAATTCAAATTTCAATCTACCCACCCTATTGCATGTACCCCACATACACACACGTCCACACACACATACATACTTCTCACTGATACGTTAAAAAAAATCTTAGTATTCTAAGACAGGCCAATGCTTGGAAACGGGGAAACAAAGATATAATAAATAAGGCTATAAACATTAATAAATGTAAATAAAAAAGAGTAATCAATTGTTATAGGAGATACAGTCATATATTATATTGGATATAATGGGACTGCAGAGTAGGGAATGCCCTGCTTTTTCAAGAGCATCAGTAGAGCTTTCATGGAGAAGACTAGACTCTCAATTTTGAAAGGCGACCAACCACTCATTGAAGACAGGTATTGACAGGTAGTTAGCAGATAATAATTGAATGTAAAATTAGACTACTGATGTAAAGTTTTTCAAAGTATGTTTGTCAGAATATTAGATTCATAGGATTTTTTTTTTAAAGACCTGTCTAAATAAGCTAGGCAAACAACCTAAATAGGTTAAACAAAGAAATACGATTTGGATTTCTTCTCGATTGTCTTATTACATAGCTCACTGCAGAATATCTCAAAGTTTTCTCTTTGCTGATGAGACATGACTTTCCAAGCTGGTGGGACTATAGAGCTTGTTTTGAAAATTATTAAAATGCCTTTACCTAGGTAGAATTTCTTAGGACATGGTCCTCCAAAAGAGCCCCTTTTGCAGATGCTGTTTTGGGGTCTTTCGTCTTCTGATACATGTGTAATGTGAATTTCAAGATGTTAATCATTTTTCACAATTGTCACTTCAGTGTGTTTATTACATCTTATTATAGAATACTTCCTTTTGATAATTCTCCAAACTGGATGACCACATGGTTCTGTACAGCTCCTTCTAAGGCTTGTCTCATTTCAGCTAATTATGCACTTAGATAATCAGTCACTGTCCAGTCTCCAAACAAATACATTTCTAGGAATTTGTGCTCTCAAGAGTCAAATGGACATTCCTTCATTAACGAAGATGTGGTATTAGCTTTAAGTGGCCTTTCTTCTATTATTGAAGATAAGTACAAGAAATAAGTATAGGAAAATTTAAAAAGGAGCTAACGTCATTCTTAGTTTTCAAAGCTTTTTGAGTGAAACAGCTCTAGCTGTAGAAGAAGGGACTCTAGGGAAAACAACAACAAAATAACACAATGAAAAATACAAAGGAAATATAATTAACAACAATCAAAATCTTCGTGACTCTTTTCCCACCTGCCCATGTAGAATCTCAGCTTTTTCATAGTTTTCATTGTTTTTCTGGGAGTTCCCAGTGGATTTGTCACATGAGCTTGAGAAAAATCTCATCTTGAAGGTGGTACTGCTGCTGTGTTGCTAGGCATCTGCTGTGTGCCATTTTTTTGAGGCCCAACTTATACTTAAAGCACCAAATCCATTTAGACTCCAAAACTGTGCAATGTGCATTTGTAACACGTGGGTGAATACTCCATCCTATTAGTGCTACTTCCAATGATAGAGTTTCCAAATCAGCAATAATGGTGTCCCAGTTTCTCACAGTTCTTGGTGAAAACAAAAGCAGACAAACAAAACCTATTTTAGTTTCCAGTGCTCTCTCAAATACATTATCACAATTTATCTCCACAACAAGGGGGTAAAACAGGTATCATTATTCTCATTTTATACATGAAGAATGTGAGGCAAAATGGATATCAAAACAAGAGTCCTTTTGTTCTGTTCACATGTTCTCTGAAGCACCATTTTCCAGGGTGGAAACCACTTCCAAATAGGCTTGGAATAGATCTTAGCAGAATCCAAAATATTGGTATCTATGTTAAGGAAAAATAGTTACAGCTGTCTTTCCATATCCTCGGCTTCCTCTTTGCAGATTCCACAATAAAAATACGTGAAAAATAAAAAATAGCAATACATCAATAAAAAATAACTTAAAAGCAATGCAGTGTTACAACTATTTACATAGTATTTACATTGTATTAGGTATTAAAAGTAAACTAGAGGTGATTTAAAGTATACAGGATGATGTGTGTAGGTTATATGCAAGTATTACAAAATTTTATCTCAGAGACACAAGCATCTGTGGATTTTGGTATCCGTGGGGTTCCTGAAATCCATCCCTGATGACTATTGAGAGAATACTGTACTCGTCAAGCTGTTACTATACTAGTAAAATCATTTATTGCTTTATGATATTGACATGGAATCTGCTGAGCAATTGCTAGTACTTCTCAGGGTTTCTGCTGTGGCACTTGTCCAACATCATAGGATCCCTCCTTCTGAGGACTGTGATGTTTCCTGTAAGCCTAAAGCACATTTTTATAGTCTTTATTTGCTCCACATCTCAATTAATATATACACTTCTATAGATCTCATGCTATATTTAAAATAGAACTTATAAAACAATTACTTAGTATACCTGTCCTGAACTGGCCACACCATAACAAGATAGATATTTTAAAATAGATATATCCACACGAATCATCAAAATTGAAATTGTGACAATAAGTTTACATGCCATCATGTCGAAACATCTGTGAATATAGGGCACTGCCTTGGATTTCCCATCTAAACAAGAACCACACATTTCCAAAAAAAAAAAAAAAAATAGTTGCCATCAATTCACATTAATTATTAATCTTTACTGATTTTGAATACAAGAATATTGTCTTCATTTTCCAAATGTGGAAAAGAAAGTTCATGAAATGATATATAACGGAAATGAAGCTAGAGTAATGATTCAGACCTTTGCGTGCCAAAACTTATGCTTTCTTTACTGTAGCTGAATGATCTCTACAGCTTTTATGGACTTCTTGTTCTCTAAGTCTATTCCTTCAATCAACAAGTATGTGTTGAGCATCATCTGTGTGACAAGCATTGTGCTAGGTGCTTGAGATAGAATTTCTTGCTCTCAGGGAGTTTAACTTGAAACTGATGAGTGGGGAATTACAAGGTGGGAGATGTAATAGCAAACAATACATAGAAAGATAAATAAATTCAGATACATTTTTAAAGTGTAAAATTATTAAAGATGGTGGAGGATGTGGAATGATGGGTACACAATTGCCTATAACTTAGTGGTTAAAGAGAACAGTAGAAGATGAGGCCTGAGCGTTAACCTGGACCACCTCATATAAGATCTTACAGGTCATGGTAAAAAGCTTTAAAATTTTTTTCTTAAAGCAACTGGGGTATTTTAGGGAAATGGTATCATCTGATTTACATTTTAATAGATTACTTTGGCTATTGTGTAGAAATAAATTGGCTGGGGCAAAAGCAAAAGTAGATAAACCAGTTAGAAATACATTCCATCATTCAGACAAAAAAAATGTAGTGTTTTGGGCTATGGTAATAGCCGTGGCTATAATTCTTTATAATCCCAGAAGTTTCTGTATTATTCTTGTTTTTCTAAAATATTTAAGTACACAGAAGTTGGGCACTTTCTGGCTCTAATGAAATCATTTCTTCAAAAACTGTTGCCAACTTCAATTCATTCGCTGAGCATGAAGGAACACATGGGTGCACTGGGCAGCTTTTCTTCAATCCATTCCCTCCTGACAACCCTCTTCAGCCCATCACATATAGGGAAGATGGGTTTCTTTCTCTGTCCCCCAAGGAAATTCCTTTGCTTTTTTATATATTTTATTGTCCTAATTTCTGAGGCACTTATTTTTAAACACTGACAGATTTAGAAGAGAAAGATAGATGAGAGTCATGTGTTGCAATGGTTAAAAAAAAAAAAAAGGAGGTTGAAAATACACGACACAGTCGTAGATCAGAGGAGAAGCTGGCAGCGTGGTGAAGACTACTCAGGCATTTCTGATGCCTTTTCTTTGCTTTGATTCAAACACAATTTTCTGGGATTCATTTGCAGCTGGCCAGGGCACAAGGGACCATGCCACAAGTAGGTGATCTCAACAGGAACCAATGTTTGACCACAGGACTACAGTGGATAACAGAGCCTCATGACCTCAAATGGCAGATGAAAACAAAGCACGGTTACAGGACAGGAGGGGCTGGAGTGTCTGGAAGGTTATTGGAACAAATACTCAACATGTAGCTTGGCCTCATACAGTGGGCCTATGAGCCCATTAATACAAGATTCCAAAATCCAGTGTTTATTTCTGTCATCCTGTACCCACCTAACTTGCTTCAGATCTGCTTCTGCATTTAATTTCTCTATCCTCTTCATATTACTCCTGTTAGTCCTTTAATTCAAGTCCCTTTCAAGGACTCTGAATTTAACTTATCACTGCTTTCCTTGCATTGGAGAGTCTCAGCTTATATACCTTCCATGGCAGAGTTCCTTGGATTGGACCAAACTCCCCTTATCTATGACTGGTGGGCACTTTTGTTTTCCCACTTTATTCCCTATTCAGGGAGAGAGTGGGAATTCAGATATTGAAACACTGGTAGAAAAAAGAAAAAAAAAAGACAGCTTATTTTTTGAACTCCCATCAGGAAGGGTACTTCTCAAGAAGCATATCACGAGTCATCTCTGAAGTTGAGGAAGAAGATCAGAAAATATTCTTCAGGCAATATCAGTAACAAATTATCTGCTGCAAAAACAGAATGAGGAATGGTCATAACGCTGGAACTGGGCTAAGCTTGTGTTAGAAATCCTGTGGCAAAAGCTGGGGAGAGTTGTATAATTTAAAAGCCTGGACAAAAATAAGTTAGTTTACCTATACTTTTCTGTGCAGCTGCCTCATGCTCCTCCACAGGAGAGGATATCGTTTTGGAAAGACAGATAACACATTTCCTCATCAAAGGTACTGGTTTAAAAAAATCATTATTTTTCTATTTTATTTTCTGGTATTGTGTCCTTCTATATAAACTTATAATAATGGGATGATGCAATAATAATATATTAATAATTGTAAATAATAATTTAAAATATCCCTAGTACTAGAATTCAAACACATTGCTTTTTGATATTTTATCTAATCACAGAATGGTCTGTATATAGCTTTGTGTATTGCTCTGTCCTTGTTTGTGTGTGTGCATGGATGTGAGTGTGTGTGTGTTTGTATTCTGCCTTTTTACTAAAGATATTGGCATGAATACTTCACTCTTTTAATACACAATCTTCATACATGTTAGTTTTCTATCATTTCCATAACAAACTACCACAAATTTAGGGTATAATACACACAAATTTATCATGTCAAAGTTCTCTAGGTAAGAAGTCTTGGGTTGGGTTGGCTCTTCAGATCAGTCTCACAGAGCTGAAATCGAGGTGACGACAGGGCTGTATTCCTTACAGGAGGCTCTGCAGAAGAGTCCACTTTCAAACTCATTCAGATTATTGGTTGAATTTAGTACCTTGTCGTTGTAAGATTAAATCCTGCATGTCTGTGCTGACTGTCAATGTAGTGGAAGTGGGGACATCCTGATTTTCCAGAGACTTCTCCCTGGTTTTTGCATGAAGCCCCCTGTATCTCAGTACTAGCAATGCCACATCAAATCCTTCTCACCCTTGATATGTTTCTGGATTCATCTTCTGCCTCATGTCTTCTACTCCTTCTGCTGGTCTATCTTTCTCATTTTAGCTAGGCAAAGTTCTCTGATTTTATAGGTTCATGTGGTTAGATTGTTCGATCCAGTTAATGCAAGATTATCTCCTTATGTTAAGTTCTGTGACCTTATTTGCACTTGTAAAATCTCTTTGGCAATGTAAGGTAACATTCATAAGTTCCGCTGATTAGGATGTGGACATCTTTAGGGGGAAGGTCATTATTTAGCCTATCACAATATGTGTCATCTTTAATCACTTTATTAATTTGATATACCACAATATTAAAGAATATTTTTGAAGATAGGATATATATTATATATATTTGAATTTTTGTTTTGCAATTATAAATGATATATCTATTATTATCTAGAGCTCTTGAATTATTTCTTTTAATTGAACATCAGTGAATTAAATTATTAGATACATGGACGCACACAGTTTATTGCTATATTGATTTATAATAGGTTTATACCAATTTCTAAAGCTCAGCCCTAAAAGATTGAATAATTTCATAACTACCTTACCAGCATTGGGCTTAAAAATTTTTAGAGGTTTATTTCTAGCTCATAATTGTTATGGAATGTTAACATTTTGTCACATACGTATTATAATTTATATGCCTTCCTGTGTGAAGTGTCTTCAATATTATTTTTATATTTATTTTTTGGCATTTGGTGTTTTGTGTAAGCTTCTTAAAATTACAGAAATTACCCCTCTATCTGTCACATGCGGAAACAACACTTTTCCATATAGGTCGTTACTCTATTTTAGCTTAGTATTTTTTCAATGTAGATAGTTGATCTTTTTAACCATTTAAACATACCATAGTTTTTTTGATATTGTTCTTTTTGATTTAAGTCTAAGAAAGTTATCATTATTTCACAACTCTTACCAATTGTTTTATTTCTTCAAACCTTCTTATACTGGTGTAAATATAATATTTCATCTACCTTTCAAGAACTGATTTGTGTACTTGGCATTTTTCAACAGAGGGCAGCATTTTACATTTGTTCTGCTTTGTGGGTGCGTATTTCAACCACAGAACACCAAATGTCATTCTGAAATCTGTTCAGCACATACAGCAAACCAGGAGAACAACATGTACAAGTATATTTCTATGGAAACAAAGGATGCATTTTCTTATTACAGAGCTTCTGGGAGATTCTTAAATCTTCTTTGGAATGCTATAAGTGGTTTTCAAATGAATATTTGTGGTGAAAACACTTTTTAAAAAGAAAGTATGTTTGAAAAAAATGAGTCAGTTTTAGAAAGCAGCTATGACAGATGCTCTATACAGATATACAGAGCCTTATTAGAAATGAGTATGACTGAACAACTAAGACAATAAAGCTTGAATTTGCTGCAAACAATGTAACCAATTTGGGACAAGAATTGCTGTTAAAACTCTGTTCTCTATATGACTTAATTTTTTTAAGAAGTCTGTATTGTGGTTTTAATTGTCTTCATGATAAATTTTGAATATTTTCTGTAGCTTGTGATGCCTTTTATATTCTAGCCCCAGGATTCAAAATACAGTCAAGTGTTCTTTCTCTAGTTTACTTTCCAGGCAGGATCAGTATTTCTCACCTTGGCCCTCATCCTGTTTTGCTGTCTATTTTTTTTTTTTTTTTTTTTTTGAGACAGAGTCTCACTCTGTCGCCCAGGCTGGAGTGCAGTGGTGCCATCTTGGCTCACTGCAACCTCACCCTCCCAGGTTCAAGTGATTCTCCTGCCTCAGCCGCCTGAGTAGCTGGGATTACAGGCACGTGCCACCACGCCCAGCTAATTTTTGTATTTGTAGTAGAGACGGGGTTTTGCCATGTTGGTCAGGTTCGTCTCAAACTCCTGATCTCGTGATCTGCCTGCCTCAGCCTCCCAAAGTGCTGGTAATACAGGCGTTGGCCACCGCGCCCGGCCTGCTGTCTATTTTTTACTTTCTTGTTAGACCCTAGACCGTTCTGGGACCAATCATTGTCTTATTATCTGTATATACCAGAATTTGATCATACTGGAGCGCACATAATAAGTGTTCATTAAATATCAAATGGAATGATACTGAGGTTAATAATTTTCTGCTTATTGGAGTGGTGATACTTTTTTTTTTGAGTTTCTAGTATTTCTCTAAAATATGTAGTCCCTGGACTTGGTCTCATCTCAATAAAAAGTATTTTGGTAAACAAGGTGCCTTTTTGTGTGGGGGATTTTGTAGAACATAACCTGATGTTTTTGTAAAACATTTTGAAATTATTGATAGAAACTTACAAATGGACCTATAAGTTCATAAGGAAAGTAAGTTTCAAGGTATATCCACTCTTGATTTCTAAATACATTAGGGTCTTAGGGCTGTGGAGGTGGAAAGCAAAGAAAGAGCTTAGGAATTTTATATTTTAAGAGGTCTGAATTGTCTGGACTGAAATGAAAACAAGAAATAAGGTTGTCCACCACACATTTTTGCAAGATAGCATAAGTGAGTGGAAATTCATAATTCTTTGAAATGGTATGGAATTGACAACAGGCCTGACATTTGGTAAGACTTTAAGTGCAAATTTAAAAAATAATATATATATATATAGAATTTTTTCTTCATGTCCTTAGCCCACTTTTTGATGGGATTCTTTATTTTTTCTTGCTAATTTGTTTGAGTTCCTTGTAGACAAATGATGAACACGTGAAAAAATGCTGAACATCACTGATGATCAGAAAAATTCAAATGAAGAATGCAAGAATGGCCACACAAAAAAATTAAAATATACTAGATGTTGGCATGGTTTCAGCGAAAAAGGAACACTTCTACACTGTTGGTGGGAATGTAAACTAGTACAATTACTATGGAAAACAGTGTAGAGATTCCTTAAAGAACTAAAACTACCATTTGATCCTGTAGTCCCACTAGTGGGTATCTGCCCGGAGGAAAGTAAGTGATTATACACAAAAGATACATGCACACATATGTTTAAAGCAGCACAATTTGCAATTGCAAAATTATAGAACCAGCACAAATGCCCATCAATCAATGAGTAGATAAAGAAATTGTGGTATATATATGATGGAATACTACTCAGTCACAAAAAAAAAAAAAAAAACCGAATTAATGGAATTCGCAGCAACCTGGATGAAACTGGAGATTATTATTCTAAGTGAAGTAACTCAGGAATGGAAAACCAAACATTGTATGTTCTTACTTATAAGGGGAGCTAAGCTGTGAGAATGCAAAGGCATAAGAATGATACAATGGACTTTGGGCATTCGGGGGAAAGGGTGGGAGGAGGGTGAGGGATAAAAGATTGGGTTCAGTGTATACTGCTCAAGTGATGGGTGCACCAAAATCTCACAGATCACCACTAAATAACTTACTCATGTAACCAAATACCACCTGTTCTCCCGAAACCTATGGAAATAAATAATTTTTAAAAATATAAATAAAAATAAATCTCATCTGTTCTCAAAATTAAATAAAATTAAATAAATGATAGAATCCCTCTTGGATCTCCCGTAAATACTCCAACTGTGGCTGCTCCGTGTTGAAGCATTTCAGGAGTGAGTCCAAAGTGCTTGCACTCAATTAATTGAATAGTTACTGAATGTTTCCCATGAGCCAAAGACTGTCATATACATAGGATGCCATAATAGAGAAGATAGTATATCTGTGTAGTGTTACCAAAGTCCTAGAATAACATTGCTCATTAAATGTTCCTTTCTTTTAGATGATTGAAGATCCAGCACATTGACTGCAGATGCTCTTTTCTCATCTGCATTTGTCAACATTCTTCAAAACTCATCACCAGGATCAACTGTCTTAACTCAATTATCTCTGGTACGTCCCATATTTAAAATGTTTCTTTTGGAATACAGTGTGAACTTGGGATATTATTGTGCTGTGACTTACCTAGAGAGGGGACTCCTTAGGATAAACGTACTGTCCCTTACTCATTATTTCTGCCTGACACTAGGCCTAGTACAAAGTGTAGGATTGTAGAATGAATAAATCAATGGATACCTGGATAATAAATGAAGAGTAATTTGCAAACATGTATTTGCTTTTTTATTATAAAGTATTCCAAATAGTAGGAGAATAAAAGTATATTCCCACCTCCCAGACTGAAAAATGAAGATATTTTCCACATCACCTTTAGGTATTTTTAAAAATAGAAATAATTTTTTACAGATGGAACACCATTAGTATCTCTCATTATTTACCCTTTTCCATCCTTTGAGTAAAAATATTCTTAAAATTTGTGTTTATCTTTCATGTTATATTTTAACTTTGAATATATAGCTCCATAAAGATATATAGTGTTATTTACACTTATTAACCATAAATGGTAACACTGCCAATAATGTTTTTACAACTTGGTTCTTTTACTCTATATCATGCTTCCAAAATTTATTTTGACAAATAGATAGATTATTTTTATATAAAGGCTATGCAATATTTATGAATAAAATACAGGTATCCACTTTACTACAGATGAATATTTTGAAAGAATATAATTTATCGATATTATTAAAATGCTAATTAGTCTTTCTGTGCATACCCTCAGCTTCTATAGTGGTATTACTTGGATGCTTGTCCCCTATAAATCTCATGTTGAAATGTGATTCTCAATGTAGGAGGTGTGGCCTAGTGGGAGGTATTGGATCATGGAGGCAGGTTCCTCATTAATGGCTTAGTACTTGTATTAGTCTATTCTCACACTGCTATGAAGAAACACCTGAGACTGGGTTATTTATACATGAAAGAGATTTAATTCACTCACAGCTCCACATTGCTGGGGAGGCCCCAGGAAACTTACAATTATGGTAGAAGGCAAAGGAGAAGCAGACACCTTCTTCACAGGCTCACAGGACAGAATGAGTGCCAGCAGGGGAAATGTCAGATGCTTATAAAACCATGAGATCTTGTGAGACTCACTCACTATCAAGAGAACAGCATGGGGGAACAACCCCCATAATCCAATTACTTCCATCTGGTCCCACCCTTGACACATGGGGATTATGAGAATACAATTCAAGGTGAGATTTGGGTGGAGACACAGAGTCAAACTATATTCTGCCTCTGACCCTTCCAAATATCATGTCCCTTTCACATTTCAAAACCAGTTATCCCTTCCCAACAGTACCACAAAGTCTTAACTAATTTCAGCATTAACTCAAAAGTCCATAGTTGAAAATCTCATCCAAGACAAGGCAAATCCCTTCTACCTATGATCCTGTAAAATCAAAATGGGGGAAATTGGACAAATTGAAGGGGCTACAGGCCCCATGAAATTCCAAAATTAAATAGAGCAGTAGTTAAACTGTAAAGTTCCAAAATGATCTCCTTTGACTACATGTCTCTCATACAGGTCATGCTGATTCAAGTGGTGGGCTCCCATGGCCTTGGGCAGCTCCACACCTGAGCCTCTGAAGGGTACAGCCCCCCTCCAAGCTGCTCTCAGAGGCTGGCATTGAGTGTCTGTGGATTTTCCAGGTGCACAGTGTAAGCTGTTGGTGGATATACAATTCTGGGGTCTGGAGAACAGTGTCCCTCTTCTCACAGTTTGACTAGGCAGTGCCCCAGTGGGGACTCTGTGTGGGGGCTCCAACCCTACATTTTCCTTCTGCATGGCCCTAGCAGAGTTTCTCCATGAGGACTGCACTTCTGCCGCAAACTTTTGCCTAGACATACAGGCACTTACATAAATCCTCTGAAATCTAAGCAGAGAATCTCAAACCTCAATTCTTGTCTTCTGTGCACACGCAGGACCAACACTACATGGAAGCTGCCAAGGCTTGGGGCTTGCACCCTGTGAAGCAACAGCCCAAGCTGTATGTTAGCCCATTGTAACCACAGCTGGGATACAGGGCACCAAGTCCAAAGGCTGAACAGAGTAGAAGTGGGGCTCTGGGTCCGGCTGACCAAATAGTTTTTCCTTCCTAGGCCTCCAGGCCTGTGATAGGAGAAGCTGCCAGAAAAGTCTCTGACATGCCATGGAGATATTTTCCCCATTGTCATGGTGATTAACATTTGGCTCCTTGTTCCTTGTGCAAATTTCTGCAGCCAGCTTGAATTTCTCCTAAAGAAATGAGGTTTTCTTTTTTACTGCATCGTCAGACGGCAAATTTTTTAAATTTTTATGCTCTGCTTCCCTTTTTAAACTTAAGCTTCAATTCCAAGCCACCTCTTTGTGAATGCATAAAACTGAATCCTTTTAAGAGCGCCCAAGTCATCTCTTGAACCCTTTGCTGCTTAGAAATTTCTTCTGCCAGATACCCTCAATCATCTCTCTCATGTTGGTAGCTCCACAGATCTCTATGGCCGGGGGATAATGCCATCAGTCTCTTTGCTAAAGCATAGCCAAGAGCCACCTTTATTTATTCCAGTTACCAACCAGTTTTTCATCTCCATCTGAGACCACCTCAGCCTGGACTTTATTATCCATATCACTATCAGCATTTTGGTCAAAGCCATTCAACAAGTCTCTAGGAAGTCCCAAACTTTCCCACATCCTTTCTGTCTTATTCTGAGCCCTCTAAACTGTTCCAACCTCTGCCCTTTACTCAGTTCCAAAGTTGCCTCCACATTTTCAGGTATCTTTATAGCAGTGCTCCACTACCTTGGTACCAATTTACTGTATTTGTCCATTCTCACACTACTATCAAGAAATGCCCCAGACTGGGTAATTTATAAATGAATGAGGTTTAGTCTACTCACAGTTCTGCATTGCTGGGGAAGCTGCAGAAACCTTACAATCATGACAGAAGGCAAAGGAGAAGCAGTCACCTTCCTCAGAGAGTGGCAGGACAGAGGGCATTCAAGCAGGGAAAATGCCAGACACTTTTAAAACCATCATATCTGGGGAGACTCACTCAATATCATGAGAATAGCATGGGGGAAACCCACCACCATGATACAATTACCTCCACCTGGTCCCAGCCTTGACACATGGGGATTATGGGGATTACAATTTGAGGTGAGATTTGGGTGAGGACACAGAATCAAACCATAACAACAGCATCCCCTTGGTGATATGTGAGTTGTCACTCAGTAAGTTCACACAAGATTTGGTTGTTTAAAAGAGTCTGGGGCCAGGCACGGTGGCTGATGCCTGTAATCCCAGCATTTTGGGAGGCTGAGACAGGGGGATCACCTGAGCTTGGGAGTTCAAGACCAGCCTGGACAACATGGTGAAACCCTATCTATACTAAAACTACAAAAATTACCTGGGCGTGGTGGCACAAAACCTGTAATCCCAGCTACCTGGGAAGCTGAGACAGGAGAATCGCTTGAATCCAGGAGACAGAGATTGCAGTGAGCCAAGATCACGCCATTGCACTCCAGCCTGGGTGACAGAGGGAGACTCCATTAAAAAAAAAAGTCTGAGACCTCCTCATTCTCCCTCTTGCTCCTGCTTTCACCGTGTGATACCACCTACTCTCCCTTTGCCTTCCATTGTGATTGCAGGCTTCCTGGGGCCCTGTGCCCTCAGCAGAAGCAGATACTAGTGCCATGCTTTTACAGCCTACAGAAACATAAGCCAATTAAGCCTCTCTTCTTCATAAATTACCCAGCCTCAGATGTTTCTTAATAGTGATGCAAGAACAGACTAATACATATAGATGCTTCCCTTACTCCACAAAGTGTTTGTAAAACTTTGCATATTCCTAAGCAGAGTGTATTTTTCTGATTACTTAAATCTTCACCAAACTTCAATTCTATTCCATTTATCCTTTTAAAACCTTATGCCACTTCTTCATTCCTTTAATTATTCTAGATTGATACTACATTATGTTAGTACATCTCTTGCTGCTTTTTTTTTGAGACGGAGTCTCCTCTTGTTGGCCAAGATTGTCTCAACTTCCTGACCTCATGATCCAACCACCTCAGTCTCTGTCCTTGCAATAGTTCGCTAAGAATGATGGTTTCCACCTTCATCCATGTCCCTACAAAGGACATGAACTCATCCTTTTTTATGGCTACATAGAATTCCATGGTGTATATGTGCCATATTTTCTTAATCCAGTCTATCATTGATGGACATTTGGGTTGGTTCCAAGTCTTTGCTATTGTGAATAGTGCTGCAGTAAACATATGTGTACATGTGTCTTTATAGTAACATGATTTATAATCCTTTGGATATATACCCAGTAATGGGATCGCTGGGTCAAATGGTATTTCTAGTTCCAGATTCTTAATGAATCACCACACTATCTTCCACAATGGTTGAACTAGTTTACAGTCCCACCAACAGTGTAAAAGCGTTCCTATTTCTCCACATCCTCTCTAGCACCTATTGTTTCCTGATTTTTTAATGATCACCATTCTAACTGGTGTGAGATGGTATCCATTGTGGTCTTGATTTGCATTTCTCTGATGACCAGTGATGGTGACTTTTTCATGTGTCTGTTGGCTGCATAAAGGTCTTCTTTTGAGAAGTGTCTGTTCATATCCTTTGCCCACTTTTTGATATGAGGATCATATTGAATTTTCAATGTTACTTCTGTTGTCCCTTTTGTCTGATTTAGCTATCGAGTTTTCTTAATCTCCTAAAATTAGGAGGGAAGAAGTTTCTATTTTCTGAATTTCTTGTTAATCACAAAGACTTTAAGAGTAGTAGACACATTACTTATTCAATTCATTAAAGGATCATTGACCCAGTTTTTTATTCATTATATTGTATTAATAACTATAGTGTTTTATGTTTTTATGGAAATTGTAAAACTCAATTAAGTTTTAAAACATGTGGTTTTATCATTTAAAGTCTCTTTTAGATATAATTATTTTTCCTTAAAAGTTTGGCATTATTATTGCCTTTTCTTATGTTCTTTTTAGTTTGTTTTTGCTAGAAATTACTAATATTACCTTTTATGGACTTTTATTTTGTAGCTTACATTTTCTTTTGTATTTCTGTATTTGATCTATTTTATTAATTTATTCAATATATCAAGACTCATGCCTCTGTTTTTCTCTTCTTCACTTTATTTGTCCAGAGACATCTCCTGTCTACCTTTTTACTTTTGAAAAATTTACTCATAGCAGGGTTTGCAAATTTAATAGAGAAAAAGAGAGGAGAGATAGAAGAAGTAGCTCATATGTATATATTATATATATAATTTTGACTTCTTTTGTTAAAAATGGGTCCTGCCGTTAAAATATTCTGTTCAAAGACACCTAGCCACTCCCTTGTATGGAAATCCATAGGATCCCTGCCATAGCAAATGCACCTTTCATCCATCATTGCATCTTGGGCCTTCCCTGCCCTCCACCAAACCAGCACAGCCTTGCAGCCCACAACTCCCACACCAACCAGCCTCTTTCTTCCAAAAACCACTGCCTTCCATGGCAGACACAGGCCTCCTCCTTTCAGAGGCAGGCTGGACTTCCAGAAAACTGACTTTTTCACCCTATCCTCATCCTTCTCTGTCTTTAAATTGTCCATCTTCCCTAAAGCCAGTCCTATGAGATTAGACAATGTCTAATGAGGTTTCTTCAAGGACAGCAAAGCAACAACAACACACCCATATATGTTCTTAAGGGGATAAGCCCCTTGAGAAGAGCTCAGTCTATTACTTTTACCAAAACATACCTTTTACCAAAACATAAATGCCTGGGGAAATAAGGGCAAATTGACTCCATTGCTGCTTCTTTTCAAGCCTCACAGGCATCTCGGGGCTGATGGCTAGCCTACCTGTTAACCTAATGCTTATTTATTTCCAGTCCAATCATAACTTAGTTTTGTTTCAAATGTTTGAAGATATCATAATTTTATTATTTCTATAATACTAAAATAATTTATTTAAATGTATCTTCTCTGTTATAAATGAGTTACATAAAGGTGACTTTTTCCTGAAGGATGTCTTTTTTTATTAATACATATTTTTATTAATAATTTAAAATTTAATTGTCACAGGGTCACAGAACTCTGTATTATATTGATTTTTTGAAGTGTACTAAATTGCCTTGCATGCCTAGTGCATGGAATATTAGCTAAAATATTCTAGATGTCTTTGAAGAATGTTTTATATTTATTTTTTGATTTAGATATTTACCTGTCAACTAAGGAGCTAATTTTCCATTCACATTTTCACAACTACTCTAATTTTTAAAAATTTTATCCAGCTTTATTGGGGTAGAGTTGACAAATAAAATTGTATGTATTTAAGATATACAAGGAAATGATTTGAGATATATATATGTATACCTGTATATGATTACTACAATTAACTTAGTTAATACATCTATCACTTTACATAGTTACTGTTTCTAGTTTTTTGACTAATACATTTATCTTTTTTGATTGTGATATATCAAAATTCCCAGTATAATTGTGAATTTGTTATTTTTCCTTTACTTATTTGATTATTTACCACTATTTATTGTCAAACTATATCAAAACCTAAGTCCTGTATTAGTCAGGGTTCTCTAGAGGGACAGAACTAATGGGATAGATGTATATATAAAGGGCAGTTTATTAAGGAGTACTGACTCAACGATCACAAGGTGAGGTACCATAATAGGCCCTCTGCAAGCTGAGGAGCAAGGAAGCCAGTCTGAGTCCCACAGCTGAAGAACCTGGAGTCTGATGTTTGAAGGCAGGGAGCATCCGGTATGGGACAAAGATGTAAACTAGGAGGCTAAGCCAGTCTAGTCTTTCCACGTTCTTCTGCCCAGTTTTATTATGGCTGCGCTGGTAGCTGACTAGGTTGTGCCCACCCAGACTGAAGATGGGTCTGCCTTTCTCAGTCCGCTGACTCAAATGTTAATCTCCTTTGGCAACACCCTCACAGACACACCCAGGAACAATACTTTGCAAACTTCAATCCAATCAAGTTGATGCTAAATATTAACCATAAGTCCGTTATCTCTATTTTATTTATTTATATTTTTGGTTGATCCCTTTTGTATAATTTGTTGCATCTTAATAATTTTTTATTTTATTTGACATTAGTATTACAAAATTAGATACCATATGTTTTATTTTAACTGGTAGTACCTTGATATATCTTTTGATACTTCTTTAATTTGAAACTTTCTCTCTTTCTTCTTTCTCTCTTTATGCTTGTGTTTAAATATGTCCATTATAGACTGAATAACGCTGGCTTTTAAATATATACTCCTAATTCTCTTTTTCATAAATTCATTTAATGATATCTTGTTAACTCATACACCTTAACTTTTTAAAAAACTCTCTATTTGCATTATCTTTTCTTTATCTGGTAGGCAGGCATAGATGTTAATTCTTTTTCTTGTGATTTCCTCTAAATTTGAAGATATAAACTGATCTAAAATCTTTGCTAAAAAATGTAAAGTCAGTATTTAACCACACTACCAAATATGTGAGGTTTTCACGTTTTAATGACACATTTAATAACATATCCTCTTCTACTATTATTACTGTGAAATAAAGTTTCACTTTTCATTTTTTTCCTTTAAAATAGTCACTATTACTTTTTATGCAGCCAACAGTTGTCTACTAGCATATTATCAACATCTGTTTTCACCATTTTCCCCTAAAACCTATTTCTGGATTTCTTTTTTCTGTTGTCAATCTGAATTCTTCAGTAACTCCTTTTTAGTGAAGAACTGTGTGTGCTAAATTCCACTGCTCTTAGTAAGTAGGAAAACATCTTCATTTCCTTTTCACTCCTGTTGGACATCTTATAGAATTCTAAGTTGAGTTTGATCCTTAGAATCATGGACATTTCCCTGTGCTTATTTCTATTGTGTTTGTATGTTCACTTCCCTGTCCTCTTTTATAACTTTTTCTACGCAAATCATCAATTTGCATGTCAAGAGAAAGGAGTAGAGAACACGGATTGCTTCATATTTGGGTGCTTTCAGGATGATGTGACAGAAGGGCAAGGTAAGTAGTGAGCTGAAGATTCTCCTGGCAAAAATTCAGATGACCAGGGACAAAAAAAAAAAAAAGAAAATGAGTGATTTTACTAATTAATTTATTTTACTTATCACACCTTTTGGTGGACCCCACATTAAGAAAATTCAATGCATAGGAAATCCAAACCTTCCCAATCACTTGGAAACTTCCATTCTCATCCTCAATCCTGGCTTAAACTTGTATCCCATGAAGACACCTCACTGTAGGGATGCAATGACTGTTCTATCTAGGTTGTCTTCACTCCTTACTACACCAGTCTAAATTTCAAACATAGCCCATTTTATTTCCTCAAAGAATCCAGCTGCCGGGTACCCTATTGTGAAATAGATTTAACTGGTGATATACTTTGGATGTGTGTCCCCACCCAAATCTCATCTTGAAATGGAATCCCCATTGTTGAAGGTGGGACCTGGTAGGATGTTATTGTACCATGTGATTGAACCATGGGAGTGGACTTCTCATCAGTGATTTATCACCATCCCCCTGGGTGCTGTCCTCATGATAGTGAGTAAGTTCTTGGGATATCTGATTGTGTAAAAATGTGTGGCACCTCCTGCCTCCCTCTTGCTCATGCTTTTGCTTTCTGAGTTGCCTGCTCTTGTTTTGCCTCCTGCCATGATTTTAAGTTTCCTGAGACCTGTCCAGAAGCCAGGCAGATACCAGCATCAGCCTTCCTGTACACCTTACAGAACCTTGACCCAATTAAACCTTTTTTCTTTACAAAATACCCAGTCTCAGGTATTTATTTATAGCAATAGGAGAATGGTCAAATACAACTGGATTTGGAGAAGTAGAGACTTCTCCATCTTAACAACAGAAATTTAATTTTAAATATTAGATATATATATCTCTGTTTTTAACACAAATGAACATATAATACTATAAAAAATAAGAAACTTTTAAACCATTTCTTCAACTAAGGTCAATATCTCCAATATCTAGAGAGCTGGTATTTATTCAGTCATTCTTTCTCACTCTGCTCTTCTCTCTACCAGTCTCTCAGGTTTTCTCTCCTCTCCATTACTTTTTTTGGAAATTGAATGATCTTCAGACCCTACTGTAAAATAATTAAATCTCTCCCTTTGGTTAACCAAGAATGCAACCAAAGCTTTGCTATAAAAATTGTGAGATACCACTAATAGGGTTAGGTTTTTTGTGTTCCCAGATCTTATCTTGAATTATAATCCCCATAATCCTCATAATCCAATGTGTCAAGGGAGAGGCCAGGTAGAGATAATTGGTTTGTGGGGGTGGTTTCCTTCATGCTGTTTTTATGATAGTGAAAGAGATCTCACAAGATATGTTTTTATAAAGGGCTCTTCCTCCTTCCCTGGGCACCTCTCTTTCCTTCTGCCTTGTGAAGAAGGTGCCTTGCTTCCCCTTCACCTTCTGCCAAGACTGTAAGTTTCCTGAGCCCTTCCCAATAATGGTGAAACCTCATTTTTTATAAATTACCCAGTCTTGAGTATTTCCTTGTAGTAAAGAGAGAACAGACTAGAAGTGAGGCATTGCTATAAGATACTAAAAATGTGGAAGCAACTTGGAATTGGGTAACAGGCAGAGGTTGGGACAGTTTAGAGAGCTCAGAAAAGGACAGGAAGATATGGGAAAGTATGGAACTTCCCAGAGACTTGTTGAACTGCTTTGACCAAAATTCTGATAGTGATATGGACAATGAAGTCCAGGTTGACGTGGTCTCAGATGGAGATGAGGAACTGGTTGGTAACTGGAATAAATAAAGGTGACTCTTGCTATGCTTTAGCAAAGAGACTTATGGCATTTTGCCCCTGCCCTAGAGATCTGTGGAACTATGAACTTGAGAGGGATGATTGAGGGTATCCGGCAGAAGAAATTTGTAAGCAGCAAAGGATTCAAGAGATGACTTGGGTGCTCTTAAAAGCATGCAGTTTTATGCATTCACAAAGAGGTGGTTTAGAAATGGAACTAATATTTAAAGTGGAAGGAGAGCATAAAAGATTGGAAAATTTGCAGCCTGAGGATGTTATAGAAAAGAAAAACCCATTTCCTGAGGAGAAATTTGAGCCAGCTGCAGAAATATGCATAAGTAACAAGCAGCCAAATGTTAAATCATGAAGACAATGGGAAAAATATCTCCAGGGCATGTGAGAGACCTTTCTGGTAGCCTCCCCCATCACAGGCCAAGAGGCCTAAGAGAAAAAAAGTGGTTTTGTGGGCCGGGTCCAGGGCCTTGCTGCTTTGTGCAGTCTCAGCATTTGGTGCCGTGCATCCCAGTCATTGGTAAAAGGGGCCAACGTACATCCTAGGCAATTGCTTTAGAAGGTAAAAGCCTCAAACCTTGGTGGCTTACACATGGTGTTGAACCTGGAGGGGCACAGAAGTCAAGAATTGAGGTTTGGGAACCTCTGCCTAGATTTCAGAGAATGTATGAGAATGCCTGGATGTTTAGGCAGAAGTTGGCTGCAGGAGCAGAACCCTCATGGAGAACCTCTGCTAGGGCAGCACAGAAGGGAAATGTGACATTGGAACTGCTATACAGAGTACCCACTGGGGCAATGCATAGTGGAGCTGTGAGAAGAGGGCCATCATCCTCCAGACCCCAGAATGTTAGACCCACTGACACCTTGCACCATGCACTTCAAAATGCCATAGACACTCAATGCCAGTCCATGAAAGCAGCCAGAAACAGGGCTGTACCCAGCAAAGCCACAGAAACAGAACTGCCTGAGCCCATGGGAGCCCACCTCTTGAATCAACATGATAAGCATGTGAAACATGGAGTCAAGGAAGTTCATTTTGGAGCTTTAAGATTTGACTGCCTCACTGGATTCTGAAATTGCATGGGGCCTGTAGCCCCTTCATTTTGGCAAATTTCTCCCATTTGGACTGGGTGTCTTTACCCAATGCCTGTACCTCCATTGTATCTGGGAAGTAACTTACTTGCTTTTGATTTTACAGACTAATAGAAGGGACTTGGCTTGTCTCAGATGAGACTTTGGACTTGGACTTTTGGGTTAATGCTGGAATGAATTAAGACTTTAGGGGACTATTGAGAAGGCATGATTGGTTTTAAAATGTGAAAGGAACATGAGGCTTAGGAGGGGACAGGGGCAGAATTATATTGTTAGGCTTTGTGTCCCCACCCAAATCTCATCTTGAACTATAATCCCCATAATACCCATGAGTCAAAGGAGAGACGAGGTGGAAGTAATTAGATCATGGGGGCAGTTTCCCCTATGCTGTTCTCATAATAGTGAGTGAGCTCTCACAGGATCTGGTGGTTTTATTAGGGGCTCTTCCTTCTTTTCTCATCACTTCTTCCTGCTGCTTTTTGAAGAAGGTGTCTTGCTTCCCCTTCAACTTCTGCCATGATTGTAAGTGATCTGAGGCTTCCCCAGCAATACTGAACTATGAGTCAATGAAACCTCTTTCCTTTATAAATTACCCAGTCTCAGTAGTATCCTTGCTGCAATGTCAGAATGAACTAATACATATTACCCCATATTGTTCCATTGAGTTTCCTTTTTGTCTATTCTTTTGTGAACACAGAACATCTGAGACAGGTCTCAGTTAATTTAGAAAGTTTATTTTGCCAAGGTTGAGAATGTGCCTGTGACGCAGCCTCAGGAAGTCCTCATGAAACATGCCCAAGGTGGTTGGGACACAGCTTGGTCATACACATTTTTGGGAGTTGTCAGGCTGCTGAGCCCAAGCTAAGCCATCATATCCCCTGTGACCTGCATGTACACATCCAGATGGCCGGTTCCTGCCTTAACTGATGACATTCCACCACAAAAGAAATGAAAATGGCCTGTTCCTGCCTTAACTGATAAGATTATCTTGTGAAATTCCTTCTCCTGGCTCATCCTGACTCAAAAGCTCCCCTACTGAGCACCTTGTGACCCCCACTCCTGCCCACCAGAGAACAATCCCCCTTTGACTGTAATTTTGCTTTACCTACCCAAATCTTATAAAACGGCCCTAACCCTATCTCCCTTCACTGTATCTCTTTTTGGACTCAGCCCGCCTGCACCCAGGTGAAATAAACAGCCTTGTTGCTCACACAAAGCCTGTTTGGTGGTCTCTTCATAGGGACATGAGTGAAAGGAGTCATGAGGCTTCAACCAATATATGTAAGAAGTACATTAGTTTCATCCAGAAAGACAGAGACATCTCAAAGCATCCGCCACCAACCTCCTTCCCCACAATGAGGGGCTTCCAGGTCACAGTACGTGAGAGACAAATGGTTGCATTCTTTTGAGTTTCTGATAAGCCTTCCCAAAGGAGGCAATCAGAATATGGATCTATTTCTGTGAGCAGAGGGATGACTTTGAATAGAATTTGAGGCATATTTGCCCTGAGCACTTCCCAGCCTGAAGAGGCCCAAGATATTTTCCTTTCACACTCTCTATTCGCTAGGGCAGAGAACAGTATTAATAAAAATTTAATTAACACTCTATATCTGATTTTAAAAATAAACTACCAGAGACACTAGAATGTCATGAAGTCAATATATTTTATAGTCAGAGTACTGATTGTTTCATAAGTACAAGAAAAGCATCTCTGAAATGCAACTAAAATCAAGGAATCAATCTGCACAAATAATGAATTTCAATTAATTTATGGACAGAAAAATAAGACACATATTTACCATGTCCACTAACACAATAATATACTCTACATAATTGATCCTAGAAAAATTTAACTTTGTAGTGCATCTGTAATGAGGTCATAATGATATCAGCTGTCTTACAGGTTTGCTTTAGATAGCTGAAGGAATTCAGATTGTATCATTTAATGACTCTGACTTTATAAATGATTAAAACTTTTTCAAATCTCATATCTTTATGTGAAATGGAAACCTTAATATCTTATGTCTGAGATTACTGTAGAAATGCAGGAAAAATATATTGTGAGGCTGTTCCTATAAAGTATTAAATTAATGCTCGCTCTTAAAGTATTTTCCTTTTTTAAAAGAGCAGCTCCTAAAATGTAATTTATAAGTATGAAAACAAAAAATTAAAACACAACTAGAACTTGCAATTTCAAGAAAGTAGTTACAAAAGATTATAATATGTTTTCCCTAAGCCAGTCTTTGATTTCAGATTTTCTTTCCTAAATTTCTTACTGTTTTCATTCAACTGCTTTTGGCTCTCAACTAACACGTTTAAAATGATGTAAAGCAATCTGACATGGAAATTACTAGAAAGCGAAAGGAATTAAGCACACATAAGACCAGGAACAATCTATATTCCTTTGGGAGAAGCGATTGCATAACTACAGATGAAAATTGTAAGAAGTCTTATTTACCAAGGCATTTTCCCTGTTCTTTCAATATTGGATATAAAATCGACATAAAGAGAGCTGCCAGGCCCTATACATTTCAAATGACCCAATCAATCTCATTTTCTGTCTTCTTGCTCAAACATAATGCATTTTCTACTGTTCTTATTTTTACTAATAAGAGAAAAGATATGCAAATTAATGCCTGTTATACAAAATAATAAACCTATTCAGGCCAGACATGAGCTGGATAAAAAAATAATTCAAAGAAGTTTCAGAAGATTTAAAGGTCTTCATCTATAAAGTGGTGTAGAGATAACATCAGCTGGTTTATTTTGGAGGGAGAATTAAATGAAATACATGCTTATATCATAAGGAATTAATTCAAGTAATGTTGCATAGAGTGCTTCTCATTTTAAGTTGTTATTTTATAGTCCATGGTTAGAGGACTCTAGGCAAGCATGAAGTTCAGTTCTTCCTGAGATAGTCATATACTGGTCTTATGTATTAGTTTCTCAGAAATGTAAAGGGAATGGCTCACATTATCTATCTCTCCAGCTGATGAGAATGACAGAGACAGAAAACCTAGTGATTAGGAGCTCAGGCTTTAGAGCCAAACTTCCTGAGTTCAATCTATGTGATGCTGGGCAAGACATTTACTATATATTGAAATAGGAAAAACAATGTCTCCTTATTTTGCAGGTTTTTGTAAAGATTCAACAAGATATACATATAAATAACTTCAAAAATATGCGGCACATAATAAGTGCTTAATAAATGTTAGATGTGTACATTTCCAGGCTATGATAGTTTGGTACTTTAATACCTCTCGTTTATAGCTTGCATCTAGCTATGACAGACCAGCAGGAGATTTCATGGACATAATGATTGTGATGGAAACAGGAGACAGACAGATACCTGAGTAGGTAGGGTGGTGTCCCTGGTGAAGCCTCACTTTTTGGCCTCGAGTAGCCTGGGGGCTGAGGGACTGGACTGCTGGTACCAGATGGGGCCTGTGACCCAGGGCGAAAGCTTCTGACTCTGTTTGCTAGTCTTTTCCCAACTGATTCTTTCTGTATAATGTCTTTTAACCAAACTAATATTGCCTTTTCCAATACTACTTATGGCCAGACATGAGCTGGATAAAAAAATAATTCATAGAATTTTCAGAAGAAAATTCTTTGCCTGGGCATGCCTGCCTGTGCTCTGTGGGAATGGGGAGAAGTGACAGGAATTCGTACCTCATGCAGGGGAGGAGCCTGGCCTCTTCAGCTCATGGGTGGTAGCCCTGGTATTCAATTGTGAGGGGGAAACCTGCTTGGAGAACTCCTCTCTTTGCTGAGAGCTTTCCTTTCACTTAATAAATTCTGCCATCCTCACTTTTCAATGTGTCTCCATGCCTAATTTTCCTGGTCATGAGACAAGAACCCAGATTTAGCTGAACTAAGAAGCAAAAATCCTGCATTAATTATGTCTTTTTGAACATGACAAGGGCCCTGAACTTCCTGTAGGAACTGACAGGAACTTCCTCCATTCAACACCTGGTTGCCATTTATATAGCTCTCTTTACACAATTAAGTGTCATAAACTTTACAAACAAAAGGAACCTGTATTTTGTAATCATTGCTATTTTTCCATTAATCACAATCAAACTGGTAGTTATAATGTAGGGAATATTAGTCTTCTATTGGGGATTGAATGCATTAAAACATGAATATAGGATTGATGGTATAAAATTATCCAAATCATTCCTGTTTTCTATAAGGTTTTTAGTAGTAGAAACATCTATTTTGACCCTTAATGTATTAAAAAAGACATTTAATCTGACCATGTTGTGTTTCTCCATAAAACCCTGTGGCTCTTCATTGCCCTAGGGTTAAGAACCCTAGGGCATTTTTAACATGTGTATCTGCCTAGCTCCTGCCTTATTGTGTACCAGCGTTTTCTACCTATATGCACATCACCCTTTTTTAGGTTTCCCAATGTGCCGTGAATTCATGTAACATCAATTAGTAAAATATTCCATAGGATATACAAGCATCACCTTACAGTGAGTTATAAACTCAAATTAATAATAAATGGGAACTCATCAGATCGCATAAAAGACACAACTGGGTTAGGATTCAAATGATGTCACCTGGACTCTTGAACTTTTTCTCTAGGCTGTTTTTGCTCTGGTGTGGTTTCACCCTCCAGGAGGCTCAGGCAAAGGTATGCAAGAACGACCATGGTGTTACATCTTCCTCATAGCTAGGGATCCCAAATCTTCTCTTTCTCTCCTATTATCCAGTGTGTTAAAAGACCTGAGTAGCTCTGTATGAGAATGCATGCTCTTCCAGAAACAATCTAAGGGAAATGCCTCAGGAAATGCTATCCCTGTATTGCCAAAGGTCATATTGGCAGGCCTCTGAGCCTAAGCTAAGCCATCATATCCCCTGTGACCTGCACTTACACATCTAGATGGCCGATTCCTGCCTTAACTGATGACATTATCTTGTGAAATTCCTTCTCCTGGCTCATAAGCTCCCCTACTGGGCACCTTGTGACCCCCACTCCTGCCAGCCAGAGAACCCCCGCTTTGACTGTAATTTTCCTTTACCTACCCAAATCCTATAAAATGGCCCCACCCCTATCTCCCTTTGCTGACTCTTTTCAGACTCAACCCACCTGCACCCAGGTGAAATAAACAGCCTTGTTGCTCACACAAAGCCTGTTTGGTGGTCTCTTCACACAGACACCAATGAAATTTGGTGCCGTGACTCGGATCAGGGGACCTCCCTTGGGAGATCAATCCCCTGTCCTCCTGCTCTTTGATCTGTGAAAAAGATCCACCTACGACCTTGGGTCCTCAGACCGACCAGCCCAAGGAACATCTCACCAATTTTAAATCAGGTAAGCAGCCTCTTCTTACTCTCTTCTCCAACCTCTCTCACTATCCCTCAACCATTTTCTCCTTTCAATCTTGGCACCACCTTTCAATATCTCCCCTCTCTTAATTTCAATTCCTTTCATTTTCTGGTAGAGACAAAGGAGACACGTTTTATCTGTGGACCCAAAACTCCGGCGCCGGTCACGGACTCAGGAAGCCAGCCTTCCCTTGGTGTTTAATCACTGCAGGGACACCTCTCTGATTATTCACCCATGTTTCAGAGGTGTCTGACCACGTGGGGACACCTGCCTTGGTCCTTCACCCTTAGCGGCAAGTCCTGCTTTTCTGGAGAGCAAGAACCCCCCAACTCCTTCTCTCCATGTCTCTACCCCTTCTCCGCCTTTCTGGGAGGCAAGAACCCCCCAACCCCTTCTCCTTCACCCTTAGCAGCAAGTACTGCTTTTCTAGGGGGCAAGAACCCCCCGATCCCTAATTTCCATGTCCCGACCTCTTATCTCTGTGCCCCGATCCCTTATTTCCATGCCCCGACCTCTTATCTCTGTGCCCCATCCCTTATTTCCGTGTCCCGACCTCATATCTCTGTGCCCTAACCCCTTATTTCCGTGCCCTGACCTCTTATCTCTGCCCCAACCCCTTATTTCCATGCTCCAACCCCTTTCCCGCTTTTCTGGAAGGTAAGAACCCCCGAACCCCTTCCCTCCATGTCTCTACTCTCTCTTTTCTCTGGGCTTGCCTTCTTCACTATAGGCAACCCCTCACCCTCCATTCCCCCTTCTTCTCCCTTAGCCTGTGTTCTTAAAAACCTACAACCTCTTCAACTCACACCTGACCTAAAACCTAAATGCCTTATTTTCTTCTACAATGCCACTGGACCCAAATACAAACTCGACAGTGGTTCCAAATAGCCAGAAAACAGCACTTTCATTTTTTCCATCCTACAAGATCTAAATAATTCTTGTCGTAAAATACGCAAATAGTCTGAGGTGCCTGACGTCCAGGCATTCTTTTACACATCAGTCCCTCCATAGTCTCTGTTCCCAATACAACTCGTCCCAAATCTTCCTTCTTTCCCTCCCGCCTGTCCCCTCAGTCCCAACCTCAAGTGTTGCTGAGTCTTTCTAATCTTCCTTTTCTACAGACGCATCTGACCTCTCCCTCCATCGCCAGGCCAAACTAGGTCCCAATTCTTCCTCAGCCTCCAATCCTCCACCCTATAATCCTTTTATCACCTCCCCTCCTCACACCCAGTCCAGCTTACAGTTTCATTCCATGACTAGCCATCCCCCACCAGCCCAGCAATTTCCTCCTAAAAAAGTGGCTAGAGATAAAGGCATAGTCAAGATTAATGCTTCTTTTTCTTTATCCCACATCAGAGAGCATTTAGGTTCTTTTTCATCAAATATAAAAACCCAGCCCAGTTCATGGCTCATTTGGCAGCAACCCTGAGACGCTTTACAGCCCTAGACCCTAAAAGGTCAAAAGGCCGTCTTATTCTCAATATACACTTTATTACCCAATTTGCTCCCAACATTAAATAAAACTCCAAAAATTAAATTCCAGCCCTCAAACCCCAAAACAGGACTTAATTAACCTCACCTTCAAGGTGTACAATAATACAGTGAAGGCAGCCAATTGCAACGTATTTCTGAGTTGCAATTCTTTGCCTCCACTGTCAGACAAACCCCAGCCACATCTCCAGTACACAAGAACTTCCAAACGCCTGAACCACAGCAGCCAGGCATTCCTCCAGAACCTCCTCCCCCAGGAGCTTGCTACAAGTGCCAAAAATCTGGCCACCAGGCCAAGGAATGCCCGCAGCCTGGGATTCCTCCTAAGCCATTTCCCATCTGTGTGGGACCCCACTGAAAATCGGACTGTTCAACTCACCTGGCAGCCACTCCCAGAGCCCGTGGAACGCTGGTGCAAGGCTCTTTGACTGACTCCTTCCCAGATCTTCTCAGCTTAACGGCTGAAGACTGATGCTGCCGAATTGCCTCAGAAGCCCCTAGACCATCACGGACGCTGAGCTTCAAGTAACTCTCACAGTGGAAGGTAAGTCCATCCCCTTCTTAATCGGAGGCTACCCACTCCACATTACCTTCTTTTCAAGGACCTGTTTCCCTTGCCTCCATAACTGTTGTGGGTATTGACGGCCAGGCTTCTAAACCTCTTAAAACTCCCCAACTCTGGTGCCAACTTAGACAATACTCTATTAAGCACTCCTTTTTAGTTATCCCCACCTGCCCAGTTCCCTTATTAGGCCGAGACACAGTAACTAAATTATCTGCTTCCGTGACTATTCCTGGGCCACAGCCACACCTCATTGCTGCCTTTTCCCCCAGTTCAAAGCCTCCTTCACATCCTCCCCTTTGTCTCTCCACCTTAACCCACAAGTATAAGACACCTCTACTCCCTCCTTAGTGACTGATCATGCACCCCTTACCATCCCTTTGAAACCTAATCACTCTTACCCCGCTCAATGCCAATATCCCATCCCACAGCACACTTTAAAAGGATTAAAGCCTATTATCACTTGCCTGCTACAGCATGGCCTTTTAAAGCCTATAAACTCTCCTTACAATTCCCCCATTTTACCTGTCCTAGAACCAGACAAGCGTTACAGGTTAGTTCAGGATCTGAGCCTTATCCACCAAATTGTTTTGCCTATCCACCCCGTGGTGCCAAAATACTCTCCTATCCTCAATACCTCCCTCCACAACCCATTATTCTGTTCTAGATCTCAAACATGCTTTCTTTACTATTCCTTTGCACCCTTCATCCCAGCCTCTCTTCGCTTTCACTTGCACTGACCCTGACACCCATCAGGCTCAGCAAATTACCTAGGCTTTACTGCCACAAAGCTTCACAGACAGCCCCCATTACTTCAGTCAAGCCCAAATTTCTTCCTCATCTGTTACCTATCTCAGCGTAATTCTCATAAAAACACACATGCTCTCCCTTGATCATGTCCAGCTGATCTCTCAAACCCCCAACACCTTCTACAAAACAACAACTTCTTTCCTTCCTAGGCATGGTTAGATACTTTCGACTTTAGATACCTGGTTTTGCCATCCTAACAAAACCATTATATAAACTCAGAAAAAGAAACCTAGCTGACCCCATAGATCCTAAATCCTTTCCCCACTCCTCTTTCCGTTCCTTAAAGACAGCTTTAAAGACTGCCCCCACCCTTCCTCTCCCTGACTCATCCCAACCCTTTTCATTACCCACAGCCGAAGTGCAGGGCTGTGCAGTCAGAATTCTTACACAAGGACCAGGATCACGTCCTGTAGCCTTTTTGTCCAAACAACTTTACCTTACTGTTTTAGGCTGGCCATCATGTCTCCGTGCAGTGGCTGCTGCCGCCCTAATACTTTAGAGGCTCTTAAAATCACAAGCTATGCTCAACTCACTCTCTACAGTTCTCATAACTTCCAAAATCTGTTTTCTTCCTCACACCTGACACATATACTTTCTGCAACCTGGCTCCTTCAGCTGTATTCACTCTTTGTTAAGTCTCCCACAATTACCATTGTTCCTGGCACAGACTTCAGTCCGGCCTCCCACATTATTCTGGATACCACACCTGACCCTCACGACTGTATCTCTCTGATCCACCTGACATTCACCCCATTTCCACATATTTCCTTCTTTTCTGTTCCTCACCTTGATCACATTTAGTTTATTGATGGCAGTTTCACCAGGCCTAATCGCCACTCACCAGCAAAGGCAGGCTATGCTATAGTATCTTCCACATCTATCATTGAGGCTACCACTCTGCCCCCCTCCACTATCTCTCAGCAA
This sequence comes from Homo sapiens, assembly GCF_000001405.40. NCBI lineage: Eukaryota > Metazoa > Chordata > Mammalia > Primates > Hominidae > Homo > Homo sapiens. Next base: position 81,810,517 of record NC_000011.10, read on the forward strand.
GCTGAATTAGTTGCCCTAACTGAAGCCCTCACTCTTGCAAAAAGATTACGTGTCAATATTTATACTGACTCTAAATATGCCTTTCATATTCTGCACAACCATGCCGTTATATAGGCTGAAAGAAGTTTCCTCACTATACAAGGGTCCTCCATCATTAATGCCTCTTTAATAAAAACCCTGCTCAAGGCCGCTTTACTTCCAAAGGAAGCTGGAGTCATTCACTGCAAAGGCCATCAAAAGGCATCAGATCCCATTGCTCTAGGCAATGCTTATGCTGATAAGGTGGCTAGACAAGCAGCTAGCCTTCCAACTTCTGTCCCTCACGGCCAGTTTTTCTCCTTCACATCAGTCACTCCCACCTACTCCCCCGCTGAAACTTCCACCTATCAATCTCTTCCCACACAAGGCAAATAGTTCTTAGACCAAGGAAAATACCTCCTTCCAGCCTCACAGGCCCATTCTATTCTGTCGTCATTTCATAACCTCTTCCATGTAGGTTAGGAGCCACTAGCCCATCTCTTAGTACTTCTCATTTCCTTTCCATCCTGGAAATCTGTCCTCAAGGAAATCACTTCTCAGCGTTCCATTTGCTATTCTACTACCCCTTAGGGATTGTTCAGGCCTCCTCCCTTTCCTACACATCAAGCTCGAGGATTTGCCCCTGCCCAGGACTGGCGAATTGACTTTACTCGCATGCCCCGAGTCAGAAAACTAAAATACCTCTTAGTCTAAGTAGACACTTTCATTGGATAAGTAGAGGCCTTTCCTACAGGGTCTAAGAAGCCCACCGCAGTCATTTCTTCCCTTCTGTCAGACAATTCCTCGGTTTGGCTTTTCCACCTCTATACAGTCCGATAGCAGACCGGCCTTTATTAGTCAAATCAGCCAAGCATTTTTTCAGGCTCTTGGTATTCAGTGAAACCTTTATATCCCTTATGGTCCTCAGTCTTCAGGAAAGGTAGAACGGACTAATAGTCTTTTAAAAACACACATCACCAAGCTCAGCCACCAACTTAAAAAGGCCTGGACAATACTTTTACCAGTTTCCCTTCTCAGAATTCAGGCCTATCCTTAGAATGCTACAGGGTACAGCCCATTTAAGCTCCTGTATAGACGCTCCTTTTTATTAAGCCCCAGTCTCATTCCAGACACCAGACCAACTTGGGCTGTGCCCCAAAAAACTTGTCATCTCTACTATCTTCTGTCTAGTCATACTCCCATTCACCATTCTCAACTACTCATACATGCCCTGCTCTTGTTTACACTGCTGGTTTACACTGTTTCTCCAAGCCATCGCAGCTGATATCTCCTGATGCTATCCCCAAACTGCCACTCTTAACTCTTGAAGTAAATAAATAATCTTTGCTGGCAGGACTATGCTGAATCTCCTTAGGCACTCTCTAATTAGATGTCCTGGGTCCTCCCAATTCTTAGACCTTTAATACCTGTTTTTCTCCTTCTCCTATTCCATTTAGTTTTTCAATTCATACAAAACCGTATCCAGGCCATCACCAATAATTCTAAATGACAAATGTTTCTTCTAACAGTCCCACAATATCACCCCTTACCACAAAACCTTCCTTCAGCTTAATCTCTCCCACTCTAGATTCCCACGCCACCCCTAATCCCGCTCGAAGCAGCCCTGAGAAACATCGCCCATTATGTCTCCATACCACCCCCAAAAATTTTCACCGTCCCAACACTTTACCACTATTTCATTTTATTTTTCTTATTAATATAAGAAGACAGGAATTTCAGGCCTCTGAGCCCAAGCTAAGCCATTATATCCCCTGTGACCTGCATGTACACATCCAGATGGCAGGTTCCTGCCTTAACTGATGACATACCACCACAAAAGAAATGAAAATGGCCTGTTCCTGCCTTAACTGATGACATTATCTTGTGAAATTCCTTCTCCTGGCTCATCCTGGCTCAAAAGCTCCCCTACTGAACACCTTGTGACCCCCACTCCTGCCAGCCAGAGAACAACCCCCTTTGATGGTAATTTTCTTTTGCCTACCCAAATCCTATAAAATTGCCCCACCCCTATCTCCCTTTGCTGACTCTCTTTTCAGACTCAGCCCGCCTACACCCAGGTGAAATAAACAGCCTTGTTGCTCACCCAAAGCCTTTTTGGTGGTCTCTTCACACAGACATGCATGAAACATACTACTGTAAACCAAAAATAAATCTAAGGCCCCTCAACTATCTGAATGGACTTTCTCCTGAGCCAGGGCTCTTTTAAAATTTAATCTGAGAGACTGTTTCAGACCTTGAAGGGAAGTGAGGGTTGAACTCATTATACCTCTCCACTATTAACATGAACATACACTTTAAGTCTGATAAAAAACATTTTACAACCTATTCTTTCTGAAGCCTGGTAGCTAAAAGCTTAATCTGCATGATAAAACTGTGGTCTCTACAACTGATTATCCCTTCAACCAGACTTGTACTTTCCCTGTGATCCCAGGCCTTTAAACAAACTCAACCAATTGTCAACCACAAAATGTTTAGATTTACCTATAGCCTGGAAGCTATCCCCGCCCTCCCAATCCCACCCTTTCTTGGAGTTGTCCCTCCATTCTGGACCAAGCCAATGTATTTCTTAAATGTATTTGATTGATGTCTCATGTCTCCCTAAAATGTATAAAACCAAGCTGGACCCCAACCACCTTGGGCACATGTTCTCAGGACCTCCTGACAGCTGTGTCACAGGCCATGGTTACTCATATTTGGCTCAAAATAAATCTCTTCAAATGTTTTGCAGAGTTTGAGTCTTTTAATTGACAGTACTACCCTTGTGACAAGCAATGGCATGGTTCAGCTCCATCCAAGCCATATGGAAACAAAGGCTGTTTTGCCACAGTAAAAGAAAAAGATGTTGGATAGGAAAAAGGAGCATATCTACAACATGTCTCCTTTTTCTTGCTAACTTCTTGCAATTATACTGACTCATCAAATGTGGTTTCCCTGAAGTTTGGCCTAACATAATTTTATCTTTTATCTTTTTTTTTTTGAGATGGAGTCTCACTCTGTCACCCAGGCTGGAGTGCAGTGGCATGATCTCGGCTCACTGCAACCTCTGCCTCCCACGTTCAATAATTTTTCCTGCTTCAGCCTCCCAAGTAGCTGGGACTACAGGCACGTACCACCACACCTAGCTAATTTTTTGTATTTTTTAGTAGAGACAGGTTTCACTATGTTAGCCAGCATGGTCTCCATCTCCTGACCTCGTGATCCACCCACCTCGGCCTCCCAAGGTGTTGGGTTTACAGGCATGAGCCACCAGGCCCAGCCAACTTTTATCTATTTTTTAAAAACATTTTTGTCTGCATTTGGCCAAACTGAACTGATAATATTGTTAAATATAGAGTTATATTTCTGAATTCATTAATTTTAATTTTCCACAAAATTCCTTTTTTGATAATATAAATCACTCTATTACAAAGATACATGCACACGTATGTTCATGCAGCACATTTTACAATAGCAAAGACATGGAATCAATCCAAATGCCCATCAATGATAGACTGGATAAAGAAAATGTGGTGCATATACACCATGGAATTCTATGCAGCCATAAAAAGGAATGAGATGATGTCCTTTGATGGGACATGGATGAGGGGAACAACACATATCGGGGCCTGTCAGGGGGTGAGCTGAAGGGAGGGAGAGCATTAGGAAAAATAGCTAATGCATGCTGGGCTTAATACTTAGGTGATGGGTTGATGGGTGCAGCAAACCGTCATGGCACACATTTACCAAACATGGTACATATACACCGTGGAATACTATGTAGCCATAGAAAACATGAGATCATGTCTTTTGCAGCAATATAGATGGAGCTAGAGGACATAATCCTAAGCACACTGAAACAGGAACAGACAATCAGGTACCACATATTATCACTTATATGTGGTAGCTAAACATTGAGTACATGTGCACACAAAGAAGGGACCAACAGACACTGGGGCCTAGTTGACAGCGGAAAGTGGAAGCAGCGAGAGAATTAAAAAAAAAAAAAAAGTGCCTAATGGGTACTATGCTTATTACCTGTGTGACAAAATAATCTGTACATCAAACATCAAATCATGCAATTTGCCTTTATAACAAACCTGCACATGTACCCTTGACCCTAAAATAAAAGTTAAAAAGTATCTTTTGGGGAAAGGAAGACATTAGAGAAAAGAGCAGTTCATAAAGACATGCAGTAAAGATAACAAAGTTTGGTATACACATACACATACTTGCACCTGCTGAATATTAGAGTCTTTTTATTTTGTCTATTATAGTTTGCAGAGGAGAACCCTCAAACATATTTTTACATTTAGATATTCCAATAAATGTAAAAATTGTACAGACAGACTATCCTCATCTTACTTTTTTTTTTTTTTGAGGAAAAAATATTTGGGAATTAGAATGGTAAGTGCTTTTCTGAAGTTTGTATAGTTAGTAAGTCATGGAGACTATACACAAACTCAGCCTTGAGATTCAACCTCCACATTGCTGTCCATGGCACCAAGTTCACAAATTGAACAGGAAGAAAGTTTATGCAATCTAGAAGAGAACATTTTCTTAGACACAAATGATATAAAAGAAGGCTTGTTCTTCTCCTAAACTGTGAAGAGACATTGATATTATATTGAAAACTTGTACCTGGAGAAAATATCCACAGCTTCTTAGTTTATGCAGAATATAACAACTGATCTGATGTTATAAGTTCTACCACAGCAGAGCATACTACTCTCAAGTTATCACTTTTGGCTTCAGTTTCTAATTAACAAAAGTTAATTAGTTCTAGTAAGAAAAAAACTGGGGTAATTAATTACAAGATTAGTGTCCAGGAAAGGGAGGTTACACATGGTCTATTTTAATTTCTACTGAAGTCGATCAAAATGATCAACTCTGGGTGTGTATGTATTTGTACATGTTATTGTCTATTGCAAGAAGGTAATTTGGGAAAGAATTAACTGAGTATTGTAACTGGGTGCAATATTGCCCTTTTTGTGTTCTCATCAATTCCCCCAGACTTCTCTCTTTTATTACTATTATTTTTTTTTTTGCTACTTCTCATCTTTAGTAAAATGGAGCATTTCAGATATTAGAAATAAAGAATTAAATACTTTTTTGGAAAGAGGAAGGTGTTTGGTGGCAACTATATCTGAATTCAAAGTTAGAGTCAATACTTCACTAGATGTGTCAATCTGAGCATGTTATTTAACTTCCCAGAAACCTGTTTCCTTATATGAGAACAATAGTTATTGTTGCATTCTAAAATATATGACCTTAATTGCTTCTAAAGTCTTTTTATAATATTCTTATTAGGACTTTTTAAAACTATTATTTTAGGTTCAGTGGTAAATGTGCAAGTTTCTTATATAGGTAACTTGCACGACACAGGGGTTTGATGTACAGATTATTTTATCACATAGGTAATAAGCAAATAAGCACGATACCCAATAGGCAGTTTTTTGATCCTCTCCCTCCTTCCACCTTTCACTGTCAAGTAGGCCTCAGTGTCTGTTGGTCCCTTCTTTGTGTCCATGTGTACTCATTGTTTAGCTACCACTTATAAGTGAGACCATTTGGTATTTGGTTTCCTGTTCCTGTGTAGTGTGCATAGGATGGATTATGGCCTCCAGCTGCATCTATGTTGCTGCAAAGGACATGATCTCCTGCATTTCTATGGCTGTGTAGTATTCCATGGTGTATACATACCACATTTTCTTTATTCAATCTACCATTGATGGGCATTTAGGTTGATTGAATGACTTTGCTGTTGTGAATAGTGCAATGATGAACATACGCATGCATGTGTCCTTATGGTAAAATAATTTGTATTCTTTTGGGTATATTCCCAATAATGGGATTGCTTGGTCAAATGGTAAATCTGTTTTGGGGTCTTTCAGAAATCCCCAAACTCCTTTCTACAATGGCTGAACTAATTTACATTCCAACCAACAGTACATAAGCATTCCCTTTTCTCCACAACCTTGCTGGCATCAGGTATTTTTTGACTTTGTAGTAATAGCCATTCTGACTGGTGTGAGATGGTAGTTCACTGTGGTTTTGATTTGCATTTCTCTAATGATTAATGATGTTGAACATGTTTTCATATGCTTGCTGGCATGTGTATGCCTTCTTTTGAAGTGTCTGTTCATGTCCTTTGCCCATGTTTTAATGGGGTTGTTTTTTGCTTATTAATTTGTTTGAGTTTCTTATAGATGCTGGATATTAGATCTTAGTTGGATGCATAGTTTGCAAACATGTTCTCTCATTCTGTAAGTGGTCTGTTTATTCTGTTGATAGCTTCTTTTGCTGTGAAGAAGCTTTTTAATTTAATGGGACCTAAAAGGATTTGCCTTACTTTTCTTTCAGTGAATCGGTGAACGTTCTCCTCCCTGGAGTTCTTCCCTCCTTCCTCCCCTTCTTCCTCAATCTCGCTCTCTCCCCCTTTCTTCTTTCCTTTCTACTTTCCCTCTTTTCTTCCTTATTTTCCCCTTTTTGTCTTATATACATAACTTTCCATATAATACTCTGAATATAAATAGCCTTAACAAGTTTAACAATCACTCAAACTATGAAATTGTCACTTTGTCATCACCATCACTGTGAAACAGTAATTGTCATGTATGCACCATTTTATAAGTTAAACATGCTTTCTTGTGTCAGCTTATTTTATTCTGACTTCGCCAATTTGAAAATATAGACAGACATCTTTCATCTCATATTATGATGCATTTATATGTTTTTATTTCTGTGGACTGAAAATACAAAGAGGAAATGTAATATTTTATGATATTGAGCTACAATAGAGCTTAGTGAGAAACAGAAAAAAAAAAAAAAAGGAAACTAAGATTGTGCTTCTGATTTGGTCCAGAAAAAGTTCTAGGTACTTCATATGCAGATCAATATCAAAAAGTTCATTTTTTCAATTAGGTTATTGAGTCAGGGTTAGTAAGGTTTAGGAATTTGTCCCTGGGTCAAGGGCACAGTCTGAGGTAAAAGCAAGACTGTTGGTTTTCAAGGCCAACGTGCTTTCTGCTGTACTTAATTACTTAACTTCCTTCTGAGAAGGAAGTATATTTAAGCTTATGTTCTTAATATTCACAGGCAATTAATTGGACAATGTGGGACAGAGTTTTGACTCTTGTGACATTGAATTCTTCAACATTTAGAATACCATAAGATAATTTATTAAGCTGCATCTTTGTTGCTCCAAAGTTAATTTAACTTTAAAAATTTTTCTGAGTTTTAAACAGAGAATGATTTTAGCCCCTGAGAAAATATGATTCAATAATAACAATTGAAATGGTAATAAAATATGTAATTTCAGCATCTTAGATTTGAAAGACATTAATGGGACTTTTTTATTGATCTGGGCCTTTTCTCAAAATTTGGGTGCTGTGAAAACATTCCTTAAATCAATTGAGCCATTTATTTCCTGGTGTTCTCAGCTTTCTCTTACACGTGATGATTCTGCTTCTCTTGAATAACTGCAGATTGCAAATCATTTTAATGTTTATTTCCCCAATTGACTTTCTTTTCAGATGCGAATAATTCATCTACACCTCTTTCTGTGAGTCTCAAGTGCCAAATCCTATTGTATGAAATGCTAATGTAATCTTGATGATTTTTGTGCAAGAAAAATGGGAGAACAAAGTAAATATATATATACACACACACCTACACACATATCACATATATATGTATGTGTACACACACACATCTACACATCTATATTTTATATATATATATATATATATATATAGCCTTAATTGAATTTTATGTGGAGAAGAAAAAATAAATTGGTTGGAATAAAACATTTTTGCTGATTAAGTACCACCTATTAAAGTTCTGTGAGATGTTTGGTATTTATGTTATGTTATGGGCCATAAATGTAAAAAAATGATGACTGTCATATTATAGAAAAATAGAGTATCTTTTCAAAATCCCACAATCAAAATTTTATATCATGAAATAAAATAGTTTGAGTTAGAAGACATAGCATAATAATATAATGTGGCTTGGTTTAATAAATTTTAAAAGATAATAAAAATGTTATTTTTTTCTCTTCAAATGAGTCCCAATATTCTGGTGTTTCTGCAAACTTTGAAAGAAATTTGATTTGTAGACATAAACATTTTGGGAATACTAGAAGAATACTAGAATACAGGGAAGAATATAGAACAAAACATTTTTAAAATGATGTATTTCTGAATGGCTGTATATCATGACTTACAAAGATGGGAGAAGTTTATTCCCAAGAGCTAACATATTCTTTCTTTACAACTAATAAAACAGAGGAACTTAGAGGCATTGGGTAACTGTACATCAGCAAGATCATTGAAGTAGCCTCTTTTGACCACTCTGTAGAAGAGATAAACACATAAACAGAAGCTAGAAATGTTAAATCTAATTAGAAACTAATTGGATAATCAAAATAAGGTTTTATTAGCTAGAATGAGCTTTCTAGGGATTTAACCAAAACTTTGTCTATGGACCCCTGTACTCCAATTTTAAAGTTACACCTGTGGCTTAGTAATGATAACAAAGAAAAACATACCAAATTGGCAGTGGCTTTGAAGCTGGGACAAACTAAGAATGCATAGTCTAGGTATACAAAAAAGAGCTAACAGATATTTTGCACTGTGCTTCAGGCTTTTTATTGTCTCTCTCTCTCTCTTTTTTTTTTCTTTGAGACAGTGTCTCGCTCTGTTGCCTAGGCTGGAGTGCTGTGGCATGATCTCAGCTCACTGAAAGCTCCACCTCTTGGTTCACACCATTCTCCTGCCTCAGTCTCCAGAGTAGCTGGGACTACAGGTGCTCGCCACCATGCCCGGCTAATTTTTTTTTGTATTTTTAGTAGAGACGGGGTTTCACCATGTTAGCCAGGATGGTCTCGATCTCCTGACTTCGTGATCCACCCGCCTCGGCCTCCCAAAGTGCTGGGATTACAGGAGTGAGCCACCGCACCAGGCCTTTTATTGTCTCTCTTAAACTTCACAACAAAAAAATGGGTGACGTTACTCTTCATTTTTCATAAGGAAATTAAGCTTTAGATGTAGGACACAATCATAAACAGTGAGACTAGGGTTCAAATGATAGACCTACATTTCTCATAGCATACTTTAAAAATGTCTGACCTCAGCATTTTCTATACACTTAACATCAAACTACAGTAAAAAGATAAGGGAAAGGTGAGATAATACATCAAACCTATTAAGCTGCAATAATTAAAAAATAACATCTTCCAAACATATTTAAGGTTATTCTCTGTATCTAAAATAATCTCCCTTTCAATAATCTATCTTTGATATCCCTACTTATTTTTCTGGACTTGGCTAAGTGGTCACCTCCTCTATGAAGTCCTCTCTGTCAGCCTTCCACATAGATTTGATCATTATTTTTCCCTTTTGTTTTCCATAATGATTTGAGCATTTGATATACTTTTCCATACCTTCTCTTTTTTAATTATTATAATAACATATAATATTTATTTATAAAAGCTCTGTTTTATTCAAATAAATGTTAAGCTCCTTGAAAGTACAACGTCTATTTTTAATTTCCATGGACTATACAACATAATATGCATTCAGCAAATACTTGAATAAAAATGTGAAAACACCTGAAGAACTAAAATAAATCATTTATGTGAATATTCAACATTTATCTATGTTGTTTGGATATCCAATATGTCTAAAGCTACTAGGAGGAATTACCTCTAGAGGAACATATTTCAAATAATTATATTAAATAAATATTAATATGCATGAGTTTAATTTCAACTCCTTGATAGTTCCCATCCATAAACTGCTGTCAAATCATATCAAATTGTCACTATCAATCAGTATTTTCTCCATGATTTTTTGAAAACGCCATCTGTGTTATGCCACTTTTATATTGCTATAAATAAATATCTGAGGCAAGATAATTTATAAAGAAAAGAGGTTTAATTGGCTCATGGTTCTGCAGGCTCTGCAAGCATGGCTCCAGCATCTGCTACCGGTAAGGGCTTCAAGAAGCTTACAATCATGGCAGAAGGCAAAGGGGGAAGCTGTTGTATCACATGGTAAAAGAAGGAGCAAGAGAGAAAAGGGAGAGGTGCCACACACTTTTAAATAATCATATCTTGCATGAATCGAGAGAGAACTCACTTATCACCAAAGGGACGGTGCTAAACCATTCATGAGAGATGCGCCTTGACGATCCAATCGCCTCCCAACAGCCTCCCTTCTAACATTGAGAAACACATTTGGACAAGAGATTTGGAGAGGACACACATCCAAACCATATTACCCTCTCTGTCTAAAATGACTGACCCCATTCTTTTTTCTACTCATGCTTGCAAGGCCTTCCCCAAGAAACTTTTCGGACTGCTCTCCTAACCCTTTGTCCCCATTTCTGGATTAGATGCCAGTTTTTACAGAAGTATTCTGGGAATGCCAGCTGCCAATTATCTGGAAGCTGACTCTGTGGGAAGCTGAGTTCAAGGTTACACCCCACCTAGATTAAGTGAGAAAGCCCCATGTACTGGCTTCTGTTTTTCCAGGAAACCCAGAGATAAAGATATTCATAGTGAAATTTGAATAATTCTTCTGTTGCACTACTATACTTAACTGATTGTAAAGTGTACAAATCAATGTGTAAATTAGATTCTGAATGAGTGAGCTCGGAGTACATTTTTACCAGGAAGTACTATGCATTGGGTAAGATACAGTGAATAAAATGTATTAGACAACTTCAACTCAATAATATAAAAACACAAATTGCATTTTATTCCCTTTATACTCGTTCTAGTTGTTACATTTCCTGAATGTTCAATGCCAAACTCTTTACCATAGTCTTGTCTTAATTTAAAGTTTTGAATTCTTGTTTCTTTCATGCTTCCTGGGTTTCAATCCATATTTCAAAGGGAATGCTACCAATTCCAAGAATGCATCATGGTTCTTCACAGCTCATGCAGTTCCTTCTCCCTGGACTTTCCTTAACCCCTCTTCTTTAACTTGAAGACTCCGCCTTCAAGACTCAGCTTAAAGTTCAACGTCTTGAAGCCTTTACTTCTTCCTCTGAGCTCCACAATACTTAGCAATAGAAACTTCTGCTAAAGTATCACTGTAGCGATTGCACTTTTTTCCCCTTTTCTTAGATTTCAAGGTATCCCTCCGTCCTACCACACCGTTCAGATTTGAGTGATAATTAACAGAAACAATCCATCTGTATGTAAAAGAAAGAATGGAATGCTTCTTTATGACCAACTATAAAGCAGATACATTCAATATTTTAAAATATTTGCAGATATGGAAATACAGTGTTGTAGTGTGGAATTTCACATTTTAAAATATAATACATTCATGCTAGGTAGCTTTATTTCAGATATTAAGCAGAGAACATCCAACTTAAGATATCTTGGCATAAATCTTATAAAACCTTACTGTAAAAACTAAATGCACATATGAGCATGTATTTGTTCAGTTGTTTGTATTACAACCTTCTGATAACTAAATAGAAATGCTTGCATGTGCCCAATCACAGAGATAGAAGTAATTGTTATGTGGAGTCAAGACAGATTAGAATAAGATTCAGTCATAGGAAAATACTTTTGTACTTTCAGTGCTGTCAACTGAACTAAGGGCAAATGTCTTCATTCTGATGGGAGGACTCATGAAGGGTAATAAACAAACTCTGCTCTTTTCATGCAGCTGAGTCTTAAGAAAGGATTCTCAGCCTCGAAAGCAGATTAAAAACTTGAGTGAGGGGAAGGAAAGAAAAAATGGAGAGAGACAGAGTAGCTAGAAACAGATAGATAAAGTAAATGTAATGCCATTGCCAGACACTGTAATTGGTTCCTAAAAACTGGACAGACAAGTTGGGGTAGTAGCAAAGGCAGTGGCTTAAATCATGGCTCTGTCCCTTAGTAACCATGTGACCTTAAATTAAGCTACCTCAACTTCTGATTACTCATGCATGCGCAAAATTAGATTGATAATATCTCTTTTGTGGTGGCTTTGAGGATTAAAGGAAATACTACATGTAAAGTGATTTAAAAAATTGACATTTCAATAAATATCATATTTTTTGTTATTGTTATTTTTAATGAGACTGATTCCACAATTCACTTGCTAAAATCTCTCTTCTGGATTCCTGTTTTGGTCAAAAGGAAATCTAAACTCACACTGGGTGCTCTGGCCTCCTCATAGGCCACCTCTCCTGTAATCTCTCTATCCTTACGTTCTCCTAGACTACCGTGTGTCACACTGACTTACTTTCAGACCCTCTAACAGCATATTTCAGAACCTTGTAATTTTTATCTGATAGGGACATTCTCCAGTAAAGTCTACATATAGATAACTTCTCCTAGTTCTCAGGTCTTTTATTGAATGTTACCTCCACAAAGGGCCTTTGCTGGCCACACACTAAAGTGGTATCTGCCCTGGTAAACACATATTTACTCATCATTCATTATGCTTGCAATATGATACTTTCTATCTTGGTACTTTCAAGCTTTAACTACATTTGTTTGTTTACTTGCATATTCTCTGCCTCCTAGCTACATTTTAATCACCTTGATAACAGAGAACACGTTTCTTTCCTTAGGTGCTCAAGAAATATTTGTTGCATGCAGTTAGGAGGAAGAGACATGAAGAACAGTCTCAGTTAGGTAGTTACATCCTACTCCTTTTTTCGAAGACCTGCTGAGAAAGACCTTAGACTTGCAATAGGAACTTTGGGAAATCAGAGCAAAGACAACCAGCATCATATTATCTTACTAGAGAGAAAGAAAAATTGAATGAAGAACTGTGTGACATATATACAAAGGAAAGGTAATGGCAAATAAAGTACACCAGAGAGCATCAATTCAAGGAAAATATTTTTACAGAACTTTGATAAGACATCTGCCAATTTAATAGTAAAGACAGAATGAAATTTGTAACAGAACTCTATGCTGTTTGCAAATGCTGTCAGCTCTTAAGGAGAACTAGCTACCTTGAGTGGACATGTAATTATTTTAGGCAAGATCTCAATCTTCTCTCATGCATTGTTGGTGGGAATAAAAAGATTACAATCCTTTCAAAACTATTATTTAGTGAAAGACACAAAATGCATGTACCATTTCACCTAATAATTCTACCCCTGGGGTTCTATCCTTACATAATAGTACAAAATACAAAATGAGCTCTGTGCACAAATATGTTTTCTATAAGGTTATTTATAGCAATGAAATAGAATAATCATCGTAAATGCATTCACAGTTACTATCACGTAGTAAATAAAATTCATTTCCAGTGAGTTTATGTTATAGGAAATGCATATATTTTAGTGAAAACAGATTAATTTAAATATTTACAATAATAACTTATCTCTCCTATTTTGAATTTTTAAAAATAAAAATATATTACTGTATCAGGGTTCAACTACAGAAGTAACACCAGTAGTATGTGTGTATGTGTGAGTGTGCATGGCATAAACCAATTCTTTTTATTAAGTATGTTTGATATGATCCATCAGTTTATGTAATTTTACTAGCTAGCTAAGCAAGCCTGAAGTTCACATAAAAGGAAGAGTAAAGAGAAGATTATGAACAGGTTATAATCCCTATGGCATGGGTTGAAGCTTGTTGTCCACAAAAGGCAGTCAGGAAGAGGATTCATAAGGAAGGAAGAGCAATTGCAGATCCATCTGCTGTTTGGAGCTTCTCAGCTGAGGGAAGGCTGAAATGCTCTTCAAAAGGGCTGCCAACTGATTGAATCAGGCCCACTCAAGATAGTCTTCATTTTGATTAACTTGAGGTACATCAATTATGGGTTTTAATTATATCTGCAAAATCCCTTCACAGCCATACCTAACAATGTTTGACTGAATACCTAGAGAAGGTGTGTGTTGGCTGCAAATGCCTGCTGCCTGCCTTCCACCCTCCAAATTTCTTGAGAAAATATCCTTGTAGCTAACCCTAACTAGAAACATGCTAGAAAAGGAACTTGGGGACTGTAACTCAGACCAGCCTAGTTGACACATTACAAAGCCTTCACAGTTGCTTTTATAAACAGAAAAGGAAAAATAATTATTAAATATTATTACCTGTAACAGTGATAGAAGTAAAAAAAAAAAAAAGACTACTTATTGAGACCTGCTATGTGGCAGTTACTTGACATGTATGATGCAATTTACCTAATATTGTAAAATATTCTTAATTATTTTGTTGGACTCGATTTTTTTATTTGTATATAGTTATGGGGTAAAAGTGAATTTTGTTACATGCATAGATTGTGTAGTGGTGAAATCAGGGATTTCAGGGTATCCATCACCCGAAACATACATTGTACCTATTAAATAATTTCTTAACTTGACTGAAACTTACACAAGAGAGGAACTTGGTTCTCTGGTCAGTGTTATATTTCCTGCCTGGAAAAGGACCTGTTACAGAATAAATACTTGGTAAATAAATAAATAAGCAAAACCAACAAACAAATAAATGTTCACATCAAGACTATGAACTAAATACTGTTATCCTTTACAAGTAAGAAAATAGAAATTCAAATAACCTTCCCCAGAAATAAAACAAGTAGATATTTAAACAAGTGTTACATCCTTAAGACATTTGGTTTCAAAATCCGAGTACAATACTACTATATTTTCCAAATAAATGTGTTTATTAGCAGTAAATTAATTATAAAGACTACATTATTTTAATAAATATGTTGTGTAAATTAAAAATCATAATCAGTAGCTGCACTGGTTGTATCTGAAATAAGGTGAGGGGGAAGGAGGGAGGAAGGCATGAGTGTGATGAGGATGCCTGCTTCCATGGAGGCGAGGCTGGGAGGCAGAGATCATGGGCTGTGGCAGGTGAGGTCAGTGAGAGGCCATTTAGTCTGGAAGTAGTCCCCTCAGGCAAAGCCAGGTTTTAAGATGGACAAGATCAATATGAAAATCAAATGCATTATCTTTGTTTACATCCTAGGTACTGGAGTGTGGAGTCTTTGGCAAGCAAGGGAGCAGGATTGCAAGTGATGGATGTACCACTTAAATGATGCTTTGCAAAGCCTTCATCATGTTCTGGCAGAAGAGTCACAAGAGAATAAATGACTTTCTTTTAAATTCCAAGAGCAGGAAGGAGGAGACAGACAGTGTGAATGTCACAGTCCCCATTCAATTGATTTCTTAGTCATCAATGCTAAAGAGCAATCTCCAGAGGAAAGAGAAGCTCAAATACACAGACCCATGGAAGTTTGAGTTATCTTTAACGAAATCTAAAGAATTTCATTGTTTTTATTTATTTGGGAAGAAAATTATTTACACATCATTAAAAAATGTAAAAAAAGAAAACTGCGAAAAGATGGAAAATAGAGAAGAGTAAATAATCATTATGTTTTCCACCACTCATACAGTTTTACTTTTCAAGTTTCTCTTTCTAATTTAATAGAGCTGAGTTTCAGGATTAAAGTTACAAAGTGGCGAGAATACTCATAAATCATTTAGTTAAGTTTCCCATTAATAAAATCAAATATGTTAAATAGTAAATTAATAAATTACTAAATATAATTATAAATTATTTGGAATTTGCAGTTATTATTCACTTGCTCATTGTAAACTCTTCTATAAAAGAAGTGTGTTTTTCTAATGTATATTGGATTCACTTATTGACTACAAAGTTTATAGGAACATAAAAGATGTGTGAGAGCAACAGCAACATTTGAACCAAAATACAAAAAAA
Source organism: Homo sapiens (assembly GCF_000001405.40). Taxonomy (NCBI): domain Eukaryota; kingdom Metazoa; phylum Chordata; class Mammalia; order Primates; family Hominidae; genus Homo; species Homo sapiens. Next base: position 81,826,232 of record NC_000011.10, read on the forward strand.
AATTAGTGATTTTTAACAATATGAAATAAAGGTAGTTACATCATATATCTAGGGTAAACTAGAATTCAAGTTACAAAAATATTAAAATACACCTTATCAGGAACACATTCTGTCTATAAAATAAGCAATGCCTTCCTCTGAGAATTAACTATTCATTTGAAGGAGGGTAACCCCTGGATAGGGACCGGATGAAGTAATTACACTAACTAGGGAAAGTCAGTTACTTGAAATAGCACTTCTTCTCTTCTGGGTTTTAATCTTTAATACATTCACTCATCTCTCCAAATATTTCAGCTTTTATTGAACATCCATTCTAACCTAGGTCCTGTCTTGGATTTGGAAATCCATTAATTAAAAGTTCAGACTTCTGGTTTTCAGGAGGTCAACTGGAGAAATGCCAAGTAATAAGGAATCTCAATTCTCCATAAATAACTAATGCAATAAAATAACTGATGATGTGGTTCTGGGGACCCATAGGAGAGACACCTCAACTCTTCTCAAGATTTTATATATATATAATATATATATTTTTTCAAAAAAGGTGATGTTTAAGCTGAGGCTTGAACACAGCAGAAGGTATGAGCAAGACGAAGAGGTAGAGGTGGGGGTGGAAAAGAGGAAACAGCAAACACAAGGCTTGCACTCAGAAGGGCATGGCTCACTATGGGAAATTAAAAATAGTTTACAGTGATTAGAGCATATAGATAAGGAGGAAATTGGTTTTAAGTGAGGCTGAAGAGATAAGCAGGGACCAGATTATAAAGAAATTTGTAATTCAAGGTAAGCCATTTTGTTTTTATCCCAAGAGCAATGGGAAAACCACTGAATTGCTTTAATCAAGGGAGTTCGATCTCTCGATTCCGGAAGATTCACAGTGTCAGTCCATCAGCTTAGGTATCATCAGGATGGAAGAAAGGGGATGGGACGCTTTCCCAAATATACTCATCCTCCACCCTGCCCCTAGCGTTTTCCTGAGGGAACCTGCATAAAGCTGAAGTGAGCTCCGATTCACCACATAGGGGAAGCCCAAGGCAGTGTTTGCTAAGAAGCCTCCAGAATATACTCCCACTTTAAGAGTACACAATTCCAGATGTAGCATGAGCCTGGCAAAAGAAAATTATAGCCATGTATCAGTGTCCTATGGTTTTAGTAAAGACAGTTATAACACCTCTACCCAACTGGCTGTGGAATTCTAATCCAACATACTCCAATTTTGAAAACGGGAACTAAAAAGATTGGACATCATCAGAACAATTGTCTGTATTTATATTGCATTAGGACTCTACTCAGCCATGTGTAAAGCCACATTCTCTTAACAGTACCTCTGTTATGTGATGTCTATATTGAGATGGCTGTGCAAGACCTAAGTCCTTGAGCTTCATTTTTATTATTATTATTATTATACTTTAAGTTCTGGGGCACATGTGCAGATCGTGCAGGTTTATTACATAGGTATACATGTGCCATGGCGGTTTCCTGCACCCATCAACCCGTCGTCTACATTAGGTATTTATCCTAATGCTATCCCTCACTCTTGTTGCCCATGCTGGAGCGCAGTTGCGCGATCTCAGCTCACTGCAACCTCCGCCTCCCAGATTCAAGTGGTTCTCCTGCCTCAGCCTCCTGAGTAGCTGGGATTACGGGCGCCATGCCTGGCTAATTTCTCTGTATTTTTAGTGGAGACGGGGTTTCACCATGTAGGACAGGCTGGTCTTGAACTCCTGACCCCAGGTGATCCACCCGCCTCTCCCTCCCAAAGTTCTGGGATTACAGGCATGAGCCACCACGCCCGGCGAGCTTCACTTTTAAACTAAATGTTCCTTGTCACTTACAATAGCTGCCCTTTTATATCCCTTTCCTCAATTGATACTGCCTAAGCCATCCTTCCTCTTTACATCTGTTTAGACTCTACTAGAGTTCATTCCACTCTGCATTAGAAGCATAATCTCTTTTGATATTTCCCACCCGCAATGGACCCCAAGCTACTAAAGGGCAAAGAACAGCATAGGGAAAATCGCCCCCATAATCCAATCACCTGCCACCAGGTTCCTCCCTCAACACTTGGGGATTACAATTTAAGATGAGATTTGGTGGCACACAGAGCCAAACCATATCACCACCCAAAAGGGTAGGGGTGAAAGACTGAAAGAAGCAATCATTTTGGGTTGCTGGTAATTTTCTACTTCTTTATCTGTGGGCTTGGTATATGGGTATGTTTCCTTTATGAAAATTCATTGAGCTATACATTCTTAATTTGTACATTTTCAGTTTATATGTTTAACTTTGACAAGATTTTATAAAAGAAGGTGAAGTTAAAATGTTTTCAGATAAAAAGTTGCCCGCCGGGCGTGGTGGCTCCCTCCTGTAATCCCAGCACTTTGGGAGGCCGAGGTGGGTGGATCACAAGGTTAGGAGTTCCAGACCAGCCTGGCCAACATGGTGAAACCCCATCTCTGCTAAAAATACAGAAATTAGCTGGGCGCGGTGGTGGGTGCCTGTAATCCCAGCTACTCGGGAGGCTGAGGCAGGAGAATTGCTTGAACCCGGGAAGCATAGGTTGCAGTGAGCCGAGATGGCACCACTGCACTCCAGCCTGGGCCACAGAGCAAGACTCCAGAAAAAAAACAAAGAAAAAAGTGCCTAGCAGAGTTTCTGGCCTACAATAGACATTTAAACACTATTTTTAGACTGAACAATCCATATAATTAACAAATAATAAGTACTTAATAAACTCTCTCTAAAGATCCAAAGATATACTCATAGAAGTCACACCTATGTCACCAAGAGTTTCATTCCAGTTAGTCTTTTTCTAAGGAAAAAGCATACAAATATGAGCGAGGACATTTATTTATTTCTACTTGGTTCATTTAATTTACAACAGTTTCTTAAATATTATTTCTTTTAAGATGGCACTTGAATTGATTGTTTTTATAAAGTTGCTGGGATTCATCTTCAAAATCAGCAAACAATTACGAGCATCGATAATGTGCTAAGGATTTTTCTAAATGCTCAATTCGATTCTAATAGAAAAATTTTAAAATGTTATTTCTTATCCTTTCAGAATGAGAAAATGGAATCCAGTGGCATTTAAGTGACTCACTCTTAAATTCAAGTCCTCCAATTCTAGTAACAGTGACTATACTTCTACTTAAAAAAAAAAAATGGGAGTGGGAGTGTTCGTAGAAGACATTCATATATCTGCTTCAGCTGGTTTTTGTGTCAGTATTTTTTTTTTCAGGGCACAAAAGAAGGGCTTGTGACCTTTTGCATTGGTTCGCAAGGCATTCTTGGGCTGATAACATCCGAAGTAGCTTGCCTAAATTGCCACGAGAGCTGTTGAGACCTCTTTTGGGTTCAGAAAAGGACGTACGAGACATTCTTGACAGCAACCCAGCAACAATCTTTATTGCTTTTTTTTTGTTGTTGTTGTTAAAATATGTACTCTGTAACATGGCAAAGAGGACAATTTAGAGCCTAACCTAATTATATTTTTCCCTCCAGCACTACATCTCAAATGAAACATTATTGGGACATCTGTGGATCTATATACTGTGGTACAGAGATTTGTGAACAGTTATGCAAAGTTGACAGTAGGTATAGGGTTTATGTAAACAGGGAGCATAATGTGTTAGAAGAAGCATACATTTAGAAAAAAATATAATTAAAGAAATATTATTTAGGGAGTTTTTACCAAGTGTCAGGTACTTAACATACATTATCTTATTTCCACACTATGTTAAGTATCTCAACCTCAAATTATGGCAGCTAATCTTGAGTCAAAAATGTCACCAATCCATGGAATTAAGCCATTCATATCAAGTCAAACTATTTCAAAAAGATTCTTCTGGCATGTCATTTTTCATATGAAATCTTCCCCAATGACAATTTTTTTCAATCATTCTTCTTACATTCCTTTCCTATGAAGGGACCCTGTAACTAGCTTAAGCCTGGGAAATATTTGATGACTGAGAGAACATTCTGGCTTATACAAAAAGAAGATTCTCTCTTCCTTCACTCAACCACTTTCCCTTCTTTTTTTTTTTTCCTGAATTAGAGCTGGCTGTTTCCACCTTTCTCAAATCTGAGTCACAGATTGTTCAGCCTTGGCTTACTGCTTTATTCATTATACATTATAACTACCCTGTTCTAATTAGGAAGGCCATCCAGAAGTTATACATTTCAGAAAACAGAACATCTAATTTACTGTGAGCTCTTCCTCACACCTCAGTCCAACTCTTCTTGTTACTTCCTATGTTTATCTATTAGCATTGACACTAATGGGTCCTTCTTATTCTAGCTGGAATATTTATTTCTTTCAGCCTCAATAATAGTTTTCTGTATTTATTTTTCTATTAAACACATATACAGAGAATACATTTCTCTACTGTTAGTAAAAGTCTACTTAGCAACAACCAAACAATAGTGAAGCTTGACAGAAAACTACAAACTAAATTTTATATTTCCCACTTAATATGTATGGTAACTAAATATGGGGAAGGTAAGCACCACCAACATCCCCACCCAAACACACCACCTAGAAACATGAGAACTGGTCTGCCCAGCCCACTGAAGATACCACTGACATTAACAAGTACCAAATGGGAGCCTGAGAATTATCCTGCCACCACTACTACTATCACCTATGCCAAACACACTGTGAAGGGGTCTGAGGACCTGCCCAACTGTCTGGTTCACCACTGCCACTGCTAGTACTCAGCCAACCTGCCTGGAGGCCCAATAATTGGCCTACTTGGACCTGCTAACACTGGTGCTTACATATGTCACCCAGTGACCCAAAGTTAGCCATGCTCAGCCTGCCATTGCCATCACAGGGGGCTGTAAACTGGCCCACCTTGCATCCCCATACTCAGAAAAACCTCTCTGCAGCTTCCAATAGTAAAATAATTCAAGCCACTGAGGAAATTACAGATACCACTGATGCTGTTAACAGACAAAGAAATCATATGATGACATTGCTGGATTCATCCAGAATCCAAACTAAAGTACCCTTGCCACCTATCTCCATAGACACATCCTCAGGAAAAACCTTCCTGTACAAAAGTTAATACAAAAATTGAAAGGAGTAACTGTTATACCAGATATGCAAATATTAATGTAAGGTCACCAGAAACATAAAAAAGCAAAAAAAAAAAAAAAAAAAGAACCCTCCCACCAAAAAAAAAAAAATCACAGTAAATCTCAAGCAACAGTTCCAATCAAAGGAAATTTATAAAATTTCAGAAAAATAATTCAAAAAGTGCTTAAGAATTCAATGAGATACAAGATAATACTAAAAAATAACACAAATCAGAAAAATAATTCAGGATATGAATAAGAAATTCACAAAATAGATATTATAAAAAATAAACACTGAAACTAAATAATTTATTGAATAAAGTAGAAAAAAAAAATAAACTGCTTCCTATACTAACCAAGAGAAAAAGAGAGAATATTCAAAGAAACAAAATCAGAAACAAAAAAGGAGACATGACAACTGATACAACAAGAATTTTAAAAAGATCATCAGAGACGATGATGAGCCACTATACAATAACAAACTAAAAGAAATAAAGAATACAGGCAAATTTCTAGACACATACAACCTACTGAGATGGAATGAGGGAGAAACAGAAAACTTGAAAGTATCAATTGTGAGTGATGAGATTATCACTGCAATAAAAAGTTTTTAAACGAAGAAAAGTTCAAGCTGCATAGCTTCACTTCCAGATTCTACCAAACCTTTGAAGAGCTAATACTAATTATCTTCAAACTATTCCAAAAAATGAAGAATAGAGAATTATCCTTAAATCATTCTGTGAAGCCCCATTACCCTGATAACCAAAACCAGACAAAAACATAACAATAAAAAGAAACAACAGGACCAAATCCCTGAGGAATATAGAAGTAAAAATCCTTAACAAAATATTAGTAAACTGAATCCAGCACCACCTCAAAAAGATAATACGTCAAGAGCAAGCAGGATTTATCCCAGGAATTCAAGGATGGTTCAACATATGCAAATTAATGAATGCAATATATCACATCAACAGAATAAAAGACAATAACCATATGATTATCTCAATGGATGCAGACAAAGCATTTGATAAAACACAACATTCCTTTATGAGAAAAACTCTCAACAAACTATACGTAGCAAGAACATACCCCAAGATAATAAAGACCATATACAACAAATACACAAAGAACATCATACTGAATGAAGAAAAGTTGAAAGTTTTTCCTGTAAGAACTGAAGCAAGACAATGATATCTACTTTCAGCATTCCTATTCAACATAGTACCAGAAGTTCTATTCAGAGCAATCAGAAAAGTGAAAGACATAAAAGGCATCAAACTGGCAAAGAAGAAGTTGAGTTGTCCCTTTTTGCTGATGATATGCTCATATCCAGAAAAAACTGAAAGACTCCAGCAAAAAAAAACTCTTAGTCCTGGTAAATAAATTCAGTAAAGTGGCAAGATACAAAATAAATATACAAAAATCTGTAGCATTTCTATTCATCAGTAAAACAACTGAGAAAGAAATTAAGAAGGCAGTCCCATTCACAATAGCTACAAAAAATACCCAGGAATTTTAAGCAAGGAGGTGAAAGGCCTCTACAAGGAAATATACAAAACACTAATGAAAGGAATTGAAGAGGATACAAATGAGTGGAAAGAATTAATCCTTTGCTTAGGAAAAGAAAGAATTAATATTGTTAAAATAATCATACTGCCCAAAGCAATATACAGATTCAATGCAATTCCTATAAAAATACCACTTTTTTATAGAAATAGAAAAAAAATCATAAATTTTATATGAAATAAAAATGAGCCCAAATAGACAAAGTAATCGTGAGTAAAAGGAACAAAGCCAGAGGCATCACATTACCTGCTTCAAATTATACTACAAGGCTGTAGTAACCAAAACAGCATAATATTGGCATAAAAACAGAAACACAGACTAATAGCATGGACTATAGAACCCCCCAAAACATCCACATACTTACAGACAACTGATTTTTTTGAGAAAGGCATCAAGAACATACAATGAAAAAAGGACATCATCTTCAATAGCTAGTGCTGTAAAATTAGATATCAACTTGCAGAAGAATGAAACTGGATTTTTATCTCTCACTATATGCAACACTCAACTCAAGATAGATTAAAGACTTAAACATAATACCAAAAGTTGTAAAGCTACTGGAAGAAATTATAGGGAAACTCTTCAGGACATTGGTGTATGCAAATAATTTATGGCTAAGACTTCTAAAACACAGACAACAAAAACATAAATAGACAAATAGTACTGTTTTAAACTAAAAACCTTCTGCACAGCAAAGGAAACAATCACCAGAGTAAAAATACAACCTGCTGAACGGGAGATAATATTTACAATCTAGCCATCCAAAAAGGGACTAATAACCAGAATATACAAAGAACTAATAAAACTAGCTCAACAATTAAAAAACACAAATAATTCCATTAAAAAGTGGGCAAAGGAAATAAACACACATTTCTCAAAAAAGACATACAAAAGGCCAACAGATATATGAAAAATGCTTAACATCATAACCATCAGGAAACACAAATTAAAACCACAACAAGGTATCATTTTACCCCAGTTAGAATGGCTTGGCTATTACTAAAAAGATGAAAAATAACAGATGCTGGCAAGGATGCAGAGAAAAAAGAACCCATACACTGCTGGTGGAAATTTAAATTAATGTAGTCACTATGGAAAACAGTAAGGAGATTTCTCAAAAAACTTAAATTAGAACTACAATATGATCCAGTATTCCCACTACTGGATATTTATCCAAAGGAAAATAAATCAGTATATTAAAGAGATACCTGCACTCACATATTTATTGCAGCACTGTTCAAAAGAGCAAATACATGAAGTCAACCTAAGCATCCATTAGTGAATGAATGAACAAAGAAAATGTGGTATATATACACAGTGGAATACTATTTGGCCATAAAAAAGAATAAAGTCATGTCACTTGCAGCAACATGTTTAGAACTGGAGGTCATTACGTTCAGTGAAATAAAACCAACACAAAAAGACAAATATCTCATGTCCTCACTCATATGTAGGAGGTAAAATAGTTGATCTCATAAAGGTGGAAAGCAGAATGATACACACTAGAGGATGGAAAGTATATGTCAGTGGCAAGGGTGAATGAAGAGAGGTAGCTTTATGGGTAAAAACATAAGTTATATAAAAGGTGTAAGTTTTATTGTTAAACAGCAGAGTAGAATGACTGCAAGTAGTTAACAACAATATATTGTATATATGAAAGTAGCTAGAGGAGAGGAGTTGATTTATTCTCAACACATAGAAATGATAAACACTGAAAGTGATAGTGATAGGATTTGGCTGTGTCCCTACCAAAATCTCATCTTGAATTTTAGTTCTCTTAATCCCCATGTGTCCTGGGAGGGACCTGGTGCGAGGCAATTGAATCATGGGGGTGGTTACGCCCCCATGCTGTTCTCGTGATTGGGAGGGAATTCTCATGAGAGCTGATGATTTTATAAGGGGCTTTTCCCTGCTTTGGTTAGCATTTCTCCTTCCTGCCACCATATGAAGAAGGACATGTTTTCTTCTCCTACCACCATGATTGTTAAGTTTCCTGAGGTTTCCACAGCCCTGTGGAACAGTGGGTCAATTAAACCTCTTTCCTTTATAAACTACCCAGTCTCTGATATGTCCTTATAGTAGCATGAGAATGGACTAATACAGATGAATATCTCAAATACCTTGACTTAACCATTACATATTCCATGTGTGTAACTATCACATGTACCCTCATAAATGTGTTAAACATAATGTATCAATAAAAATTTTTTTTAAAATGGAGAAATTAAGCAAACTGATTAAAGTTACACAATTAGTAAATAGCAGACTTGTGATTCAAACTCAGGTCTCTATAAAGAATCCAAAATCTGGGATTTCTAACCTGTGACTTTACTGATAAAGAAGCCTGCCATTGTATCTAGACTAAGCCTTCTTATTTGTTTTGCTAAGCTTCAATTTCCTCATGTTAAAATTGAACATCTTAACATTTTCTTTAAACAATTTACTTTATGGTTATTAAAATTAAAGACTTGTATGTTTTATGATGGCTTAATAGGTAAAACAATATTCAAATATTATCTAATATCATTATTCTAACTATGTGAACACTCTACTCTATGGGTTAATTCTTGTTTTTTTTTCCAGGTTTTCTTTGTAAACTATCCCAGAGTTTCTGTGCTAAAAGTCTGGACCATCAGATAAATTTCCAGTGACAAGCATTTAAAACATATGAAAAGGAGTAACTAGACTTAGAGTCCGTCGGGATTTTGTAATTTTTTTATTCTCCTAAAGGATTTTTCCTCAGTTCTGTCATGTTAAATGATGAATAGATGGCTGATTAGTTGATATGATTTTCTTCTAAAAACTCCTTTAAAAATGAGATCCCAAAAAATCAATCCCTGAATATTTGTCAGTTATGTATAATATCAAGCAGTGGGTAGCTAGAGTAATTGAAGAAATTATGATTGCTTTCTGTGTCTGTTAGTAATCCATGCTAGACACCTTGGAGTTGAAAGAGGCTGAATCTGAAATTATCAGCAATGGCCTTTTGTGAATGAAAGAAATTTTGTTTTCTCTACACCTTGTTTCGTATTTTGTCATATTTATGCGTGGTATAATAAGTTATAATATTTTAATGTTTTACTGAAATAAAAAAACACACAGAAGTACAGAAAATACATATCAGAAAATCATTTTAAAATGGGCGTTTGCATTTATTTTGTAAAAAATTTAATATTACTCTCTAATTCAGTTTTTAATTTTTAAAATTTTTTATGAGTACACAACAGGTACTCATTTATGGTGTATGTGAGATATTTTGATATGGGGATATGATGTATAATAATTGCATCAGGGTAAATGGGGTATATATCACCTCACATACTTATCATTTCTTTGTGGTAAACATTCCAATTATACTCTTTATTTTCAAATGTACAATAAATTATCATTGACTAATTACTCTGTTGTGCTATCAAATACCAGATCTTATTCATTCTATCTCAGTATATATTTGTACCTACCATCTCACTGTCCCTGCACCACTAACCTTCCCACCTCTGGTAACCATCATTCTACTCTCTATCTCCATGAGTACACTTATTTTGTTAGCTCCCACAATTGAGTAAGAACATGCAAAGTTTGCCTTTCTGTGCCTGTTTTATTTCACTTAACATAATGACCTCCAGTTCCATCCATGTTGTTGCAAATGACAGAATCTCATTCTTTCATACATCGGAATAGTACTTCATTGTGTATATGTGCCACCTTTTGTTTGTCCATTCTTCTGTTGGACATATAGGTTGATTCCAAATCTTTGCCATTGTGAATAGTAATGCAATAAACATGACAGTGTAGATATCACTTCAGTGTACTGATTTCTTTTCTAGCAGGGGTATATATCTTGCAGCAGAATTACTAGGTTATATGGTGGTTCTATTTTTAGTTGGAGAAAACTGCATAGTGTTCTCTATAGTAGCTGTACTATTACACATTACCACCAACATTGTATGAATTCAGGTTCCCATTTCTCCACATCCTTGGCAGTATTTGTTCTTGCCTGTCATTGAATAAGAGCCATTTTAACTGGGGTGAAATGATATCTCATTGTAGTTTTTATTTGCATTTCTTCAATGATCAATGATATTGAGCTGCTTTTCATATACCTGTTTACCATTTGCATGTCTTCTTTTGAGAAACGTCTATTCAGGTCTTTGCCTATTTCAAAATCATATTATCAGGTTTCTTTTCTTGTTGAATTGTCTGAGCTTTTTATATACTCTGGTTATTAATCTCTTGTCAGATACATAGTTTGCAAACATTTCCTCCCATTCTGCAGGTGTGTCTCTTCACCTAGTTCATTGTTTCCTTTGCTGTGCAGAAACGTTTTAACTTAATGTGATCCTATTTGTTTATTTTTGCTTTGGTTACCTATGTCTTTTGGGTATTCCTCAAGAAATCTTTGCCCAGACCAATGATCCCAAGAGTTTCCCCAATGTTTTCTTGTACTAGTTTCATAGTTTGAGGTATCAGATTTAAGTCTTTAACCTGTTTTAATTTTTATAAATGGTAAGAGATAGTAGTCTAGTTTCATTCTTCTGCATGTGGATATACAGTTTTCCTGGCACCATTTAGTAAAGAGACTGTACTTTCCCCAATGTATGTGCTTGGCAACTTTGTCGAAAATGAGTTCACTGTAGATGTATAAATTTATTTTTGGGTCTCTATTTTGTTTCATTTGTCTCTGTGTCTGTTTTTCTGCCATTACCATGCTGTTTTGGTTCTATAGCTGTATAGTATAATTTAAAGTCAGGTAATGTGATTTCTATCATATCTAACTCGGTTTTTACAGTTATTTGATAAATACTATATAAGGATATCTGAGATGTTTGCTCATTGAGACACAGATTTTGCATACTTCTTTTCTTGTCCAAATTATATGTATCCATCAAGCCTTAGCATAGGTGTCACTTCCTCCAGAAAGTTTCCTAAATTCTATCAAATGGATATAAATGAACTATTACAGCATTTTTTCTTTTACTTTCTTACACCCTCATTTTCTAATTTGCATTAATAAGTAGTGTTCATGATTATTCTTGCTTGTTAGGCATAATATTATTGAGAGCTGAATTGATTTCTTATTTATCTTTGTGTTTCCCCAAACTACTGTTACCATTTAATGATTACCTACAGTGTTGCAGGTCTTGTACTAAATGCTTTGCTTATATCACCTCATTTAATTCTTGCAATGACACGAAGAGTTAAGTATTACTTTCTTTTGCATTTTATAAGTGAGAAGACTTAAGTTAAAAGGCTTTAACCCGGATAATAATATACTTATCAAATAGCAAAGAAGTGAACTCCGTATTTTTATTAAATCCTTTAAGTTTATTAAATTCTTAATCACTTTAATGTAGGTCTATTTTTACTATGACTATAACGTTGCCTAATTTGTTTTAAAAAAATGAAAGACAGCCTCTGCTCTGGGGAAAACGGACATATATTAGGCTGAAAAATTTGACATTTGCAATTATAAAAGTATAAAAGATTTGCCTGCGTACAGGGAAGCAGATAATTTTTCTTATTGGGACCTTTTGACATTTTAGTAACATATATTTTTAACTCATTAGTTCCATGCCCAGTTATATAATATTAGCTTTGGGGATGTGGGGTGGGAAAAGAATTATACAAATAATACACGATTTCCAAAACTTCTTTAAAAGAAATTATAGAACTAAAAGTTCCATGAAAAACATACCAACAGTATTCAACCAAAATTTATTGAACACGAATGTTCCAGGTAGCATGATTAATGTAGAGATAATAAGATATGGGGGTCAGGTGCAGTGGCTTACGCCTGTAATCTCAGCACTGTGGGAGGCCGAGGTGGGTGGATCACGAGGTCAGAAGTTCAAGACCAGCCTGGCCAACATAGTGAAACCCCGTCTCTACAAAAAATAAAAAAGTTAGCTGTGCATGGTGATGCATACATGTAGTCCCAGCTTCTCAAGAGGCAGAGTCAGGAGAATCGCTTGAACCCGGGAGGTGGAGGTTGCAGTGAACCGAGATCACACCACTGTACTCCACCTTGGGCAACAGAGAGAGACTTCTTAAAAAAAAAAAAAAAAAAAAAAAAAAAAAAAAAAAAAAAAGACCTTGCAGGTCAGAATCTAGTACAAGATATAAATATTCAACACATGAATGCCCACAGTCTTAGGTTGCGTTCCCCCAAACCTGACCCAGGACAAAAATTTAATTCAAGAGGTTCCTTTAGGTTGTGAGCCCAGGTAAGGGAGTGAGAGAAATGAGAAAATGAAAGAAAACAAATGCAGGGGTGTGTGTCAGTGAGCAGGTTACCACTTTAGGCAATTGGGGCACAAATTGATTGTTGTCTCCTGGTGAATGGTGCAGTACAAGCCTCTAGGTGGCTACTGTTGAGGTCTGTGCTGACAGTTCTTAACTTTTCTGAAAGCAAAGAGAATATCTGGGGGCAGATTAACAGGCGCTTGCAGTAGTTCTTATTAGGCATGATATCTGATAGGATTTGAGACGGGCACAAAATAATGAAACACATGAAATACCACAATTGAATAAAAAGTGCCATAGAGCCTGCACAAATCAACTTCACTTGGGCAGGTAGTATCAGGAAACATTGCAAGCAGAATAGTTAGGAAAGTTCCTCCAAGGAAGATAATATTTTATCTGAGGTTTGAAAGAGGATTGGACACTAAATGAACTCAAGAAGTAAAAGTATGGTATTTGAGGCAGAGAGTATTCTATGTGCCGAGATACAGAGGCATGGATTAGGATGGGTCTTCATCTGCACAGTGTTACTAAAATTGTTTTCATGTGAGAACGGACTATTTGAATGAGGTAGTGGTTGGTGACATTCACAGCTAATAGTCACTGTAATTCCACCACTTTTCTATAACCAATTTGGTCTATTTATTTTAGTTCTAAAATGTATACATTTTTATATAGTTAAATTTCTCTTGAAAGAGTTGTTACTATAAGATCTTAGAGAACAGAGGTTGAAATATATCAGAGTATTAGTCCGTTTTCATGCTGCTGATAAAGACATCCAAGACTGGGAAGAAAAAGAAGTTTAATTGGACTTACAGTTCCACATGGCTGTGGAGGCCTCAGAATCATCGCAGGAGGTGAAAGGTACTTCTTACATGGCAGTGGCAAGAGAAAAAGAGGATGAAGCAAAAGTGGAAATCCCTGATAAACCCATCAAATCTTGTGAGACTTATTCACTATCACGAGAAAAGCATGGGAAATACCAGTCCCATGATTCAATTACCTCCCCCTGGATTCCTCCCATAACACATGGGAATTCTGGGAGATACAATTCAAGCTGGGATCTGAGTGGGGACACAGCCAAACCATATCATCAAGACAAAAACTCTACAAGCAGTCTGAGTGAAAAAAGTATGAATAGAGAATGTTTTTTGCAGAATCCAGAAGAACATTATATTAGAATAATTATATCAAGCAGTGATTGGAAAGATACAATGTTTGCAATATTAATTATTCTATTGCTATGAAACAAATTACCTTAAAATTTTGTCTAATGCAACAACCATATATTTAACTTAACAACTTTGCTTGGCCATTTTTCTGGCCTGGGTCATTGTTGGCTGATCTTAGCTGGGCTTGTTCATAAGTGTGTAAATTGGCAGGGGACTAGCTGCTCACGGATGTCCTCACTCACGTGTATGGCAGTTGGCTGGCTATCTATTGGAGCATTATCTGTGACTGGACCAAATGTATCTCGTCATCTAACACAGAAGTCGAGCTGTTTCCACAATGGCAAATTTCCAAGAGCCGCAAAAATAGAATCAAAAAAGTCTCTTGAGGCCTAGACTGAGGAATTTACTTTCACTGGATTTTTCTGGTCAAAATAAGTCACACAAAGTGCATACACACACATACACACACACACACACACACACACACACAAAACCAGTCCAGAATCCAGATATCTTCAACACAGGAAAAGCAACAAATTATTGTGGCCCTTTTTGGAATATACAACTTTCAATGTCTAATGTAAGTTTTAAGTATATTTGTATTTATTTAATAAATTATTTTACTCTTATTAATAACTTACCTTTTACTACATATGTCTTATTTCATTTGAAGAGAGAAAATATATTTTTTCCTAATTATAGAATGAAGTGATTTTATTTTTTCAAGGGAAAACAATTAAGGTTTTCAGGACTGAGTTTTATTTTTCTCTTTCCGATTCTAGATGATTTTTATAAAAGTTCACAAAATGAAGCCCCTATTTTTAGGTTGCATCCACAGGAAATCTACAAAAAAGTACTTCAAATACCTTCAAATATAAAATAATAGTAACATCACAACTTTTTAAAAGTAAATTTCCCGATATATCCTTAGCAATACAAAAATATTTTCTTTAGTCATCCTGTGTCTTTACTCCTTGAAATCAAAACAAACAAACAAAATCTACACTAAGACTGATCCTTTAGTATGGCTTGAATTAGCTGGGAGAATCAAAATCACTCATTGTCATGAAGGTTATGTTAACAAGGTATTATGGAAATGGCACATGGGAATGCTAAGATTTAATGGAGCAGAAAGGAGTCCAAAATCTTGACACATGATCAAATCCAAAGCCACAGAAAAATAGATCCATTAAAGTGAAAGTGTTTTTAGACTTATTTATTTATGGCTATAATCTAAAGGATAGTTGCTACAAAATTATGTAAAGAGTTTACTTTAAAAAATCAGAAATAAATGATATCCAGCTCTCTAATTTCCTTTCTTAAAATAGTCTGATACAATAGTTCATGAATGTAGCCATGCACTCTGTGTTTTTAAAATGACCTCCAGGTTCTAATTTATGCATAACACATTATAGGAATCTTTCACCTCACTCAATCTCCCAGGGTCTGAATCCCCACAAAACAATTTTAACAATGGTCAAGTCTCTGGTTTTACAATAGTAGTGACAAGAAACTCACTATATTCTCAATTGTCTTATTTTTGATGAATTTGTGGTTAATTTTTGTAAAGAGAAAAAGGGCTTATCATGAGAAGAAAGCATAAGAACCTCAAATGTGTCCAAAAAACCCCTTTATTTTGTCATCCAAACTATGTTTGACAGATTGTCTCTTTCAACTTAAAAAAAAAAATCAAATTATATGCCACTTTTAGCTGAATATTATGATCACTATAGCTACCATATTATATGCAGGGTTTATGCCAAATTTATACAAGATAGTCACAGTGATGTTCATGCTGTATCTGTGAACATGGAGCTGTCTTTATTAAGAAGGCAATCTCCTTAACTTTCAGTAAGGCTAGCAAGATTTTGACACTGGGTGTGTTCCTGATAGCTTCTCTTTTGTGATTCTGTTTCTTTCTGCTTTGTTAAGTCACTTTTGCTCTCAGTAGAAACATATTTTTTAAGTAAATTCATTGTGGAAACTCATGGAATGTAAATAAAATATAAATCTTATCTTCTAGATAGTAAAATCCCAGGCAATTTTTACTTGGGGAAAATGTATGAATTGTCTGCCTGGTGATGCATTTCCTTTAATCACTTACATCTCAAAAATTTTTTTATGACACTGAATTTTATTTATTCACATCTTGCATTTGAAGTACTCTTTAATGAAATCCATATCCTCAGATTACCACAGTCCTTAAATACTACAAAACTGCACTCAATCACTTTATAGGATTTTATCCTTTGGTTTTACAGAGCCCTGCCCAGTCCCCTAGTTTCTTGTCATCAATCTTAATTAGGTCAGTTTAGTGTTAAACATAAAGGACCTCTACCAACTAGAGATACATAGGCTTATCACAATTGGATGCAAGCACACAAAGAAAAGTTCAAGACCAAAGTTAAAGAAATAAAGAAAACATACCAACTCTAGATTCCAGTAACGAATATATCAATGTGAACTGATTAGAAAAAGCAAAGTTTTTCCATAGTGGTTGCACTAATTTTACATCCCCACCAACAGTGTATGAGCATTCCCCTTTTTCTGCATCTTCATCAGCATTTGTTATTTTCTGTCTTTTGGATAAAAAACATTTTAACTGGGGTGAGATGATTTTTCATTTTTATTTTGATTTGCATTTCCCTGATGATTACTGATGTTGAACATTTTCTCATACACCTCTTGGCTATGTATATGTCTTCTTGTAAAAAAAATGTCAGTTCAGAGCATTTGCCTAATTTTCTATTGGGTTATTATTATTACTATTTGCTATCCACTTTTTTGAGCTCCTTATATGTTAAGGTTACTAACTGTCAGATGAATAGTTTTGCACATATTTTCTCCCATTCTGTACGTTGTCTCTTCACTTTTTTTATTGTTTCCCTTGCACTGCAGAAGCTTTTTAGCTTGAAGTGATCCCATTTGTCCAATATTGCTTTGATTCCCTTTTATTTTGAGGTCTTACTCAAGAAATATTTGCCGAGACCGATGTCCTGCATCATTTCCTCAATGTTTTCTTCTAGTATTTCTAAAGTTTCAGTTCTTGCATTTGAGTTTTTAATTCATTTTTATTTAATTTATATAAATCTTGAGAGAAAGGGGTCTAGTTTAATTCTTGTACACATGAATATTGTTTTCAGAGCACCACTTGTTGAAGAGACTTTCCTTTCTCCAATGTGGAGATTGGTCAAAAAACTACAAATAGAATTACCTTGTGATCCAGCAATTCCACTACTGGGTATGTATTCAAAAGAAAGGAATAAATATATCAAACAAATATCTGAATTCCCATACATATCACAGCACTGTTCACAATAACCAAGATATGGAATCAACCCAGTTGTCCATCAGTGGATAAATGATTAAAGAAAAGGTAGCATATATACTCAATAGACTTTTACTCCACTATAAAAATAATGAAATCCTGTCATTTGTGACAATATGGATGGAACCGGAGCCCATTATGGCCCATTATGTTAAGTAAGCCAGGCACCAAAAGACAAATGTCACATATTCTGACTCGTATGTGATAGCGAAAACACTTGATCTCATGGAGGTATTGAATAGAATGGTGGTTACTAGAGGCTTGGAAGAGTAGTGTGGAAGGGGAATAGATGGCTGTGGTTAGTTGATAAAAAAATACAGTCAGAGAGAAGGAATAAAGATCAACTGTTTGGTAATACAATAGGGTGAGTATAATAAAAAATAATTTAATGTATATTTCAAAATAGATTTGGAATATTCCCAACACAGAGAAATGATAAATGTGTGAAATGATAGATATCCTATTTACCAAGATTTGATCATTATGTATTGTAAGCTTCTATTAAAATATCACATGTACCCCTTAAATATGTACAAATATTATATATCAAATTGATTTAAAACATTAAAGTGAAAAAAGGGCTCTGAGCTCATCACAAAAGGGAAACTAAAGCAGTCACATGACATTTACTTATAGACATAAGAAGGGAGACTGATTTCTTAAGGTGAGGGACTAAAAACTTTACTGGTGTAAAATACTAGGTGTATTTTATACAAATAAATGTTGTGTAGTGGATATAATTGCTGTGGCTTTATTTAAACCAAAACAGGGCTTAGATTAATTTGATTGGTGGAAGGCTGGTATGGTTGTTGGACAAACTTTCACTAATACACCTTCCCTTGGTTATTTGTTAGCACATTTTCTAATTCTTCTCTTGAACAAGCAAGGGTGGGGACAGCTCTTTGAAGCCAGGCTTGTAAGGTCTCTAGAGATATTACTCAAATAATGGTTCTATAGCAAAAGAAGCAACAAAGACTGCACCCACGAACAAAAGCCATCTTGAGAATTAGAGAAAATATGGAAACTAAAAGTTGAACCTAATCTTTATAGAGAAGTAAATAATAATTGAGTGATTAACAACAACAACAACAAAAAGGGACTGTAATACACAGCAAAATAGGCTTAGGAACTTGAAAAAGAGTTGTGGCCCAGAGTTTTTCTGAAATGCTGGTATACAGAGTTTTATGGAAACAGTTCTGTTTTAAGGATGTATTCTGCTTCACCCTTGGTAGTAAATGATATGACAAACTTATAAAAGCTATTAAACTATTTGGAGATGAATAGTGCATGGGGCCAAGATGCTAAAAATAATTTGTGTGCCTCTAGCTTGGTATTACCTATAGAAGTGAGGGATTCTTGCTAATTCACAGAAATAGATTCAGAGAATGGGAAATTTAAAACATTTCCTTCTCTGTAAAACATTTACGGCATACTGGTTAGATTAGATGCAAAGAAAATTAGCTTAATTGGCTACTATGCCAATGATGATTATGGAAATGTCATGTTTACTACATTTAGGTTCATATATATATATATATATATATATATATATATATATATATATATTTTTTTTTTTTTTTTTTTTTTTTTTTTTTTTTTTTTGAGACGGAGTCTCGCTCTGTCGCCCAGGCTGGAGTGCAGTGGCGGGATCTCGGCTCACTGCAAGCTCCGCCTCCCGGGTTCACGCCATTCTCCTGCCTCAGCCTCCCAAGTAGCTGGGACTACAGGCGCCCGCCACTATGCCCGGCTAATTTTTTGTATTTTTAGTAGAGACGGGGTTTCACCGTTTTAGCTGGGATGGTCTCGATCTCCTGACCTCGTGATCCGCCCGCCTCGGCCTCCCAAAGTGCTGGGATTACAGGCGTGAGCCACCGCGCCCGGCCAGGTTCATATATTTTTGATCTACCTATGCTAGATATGGTTTTACATTGGCTAATGACACACTTTGACAGTAAGCCACTGTAATTCAAACCGCTTTTTCATGTACATTAAACTTGCAATAAACTTTTTGTCTATCTGCCATCAGTACTAACTGAAAAAAATGAGATGCCATTGAATATTACTGGGATTTTTAATTGAATACATATTCAATCTATATCTGTAGCTGGGACTCTACACTTAGCTGATTTGAATATGTTAAGGGACCAAACATTATTAGTCAAATCAATAAGACTGAAGTATGTACATACACACCAACGACTGATAATTTTTGTCCATGCATTTATTCTCCACTTTCATCTACATTTAAGAATGCTTGTAAATGTAAATATATTATAAAATAATAATCTTATTTATTGCAGCATTATTCACAAGAGCCAAGACATGGAATCAACTTAGTTGTCCAGTTAATGGATGAATGAATAAAGAAAATGTGGTACATATACACATAAAATATTATTCAGCTGTAAAATGGGTGAAATCTTGTTATTTGCAACAACATGGATGGAACTGCAGGACATTATGTTAAGTGAAATATGTTACGTCAAGTTCATTGTGTTACGTGAAATAAGCCTGGCACAAAAAGATAAATATCACATATTCTCATTCATATGTGTGAGCTTAAAAAAAAAATGAACTCATGGATATAGAGGATATAATGATGGCTACCAGAGGCTGTGAAGGGTAGTGGGGAGTTGTGGGAATAAAGAGCTGACGGTTAACAGATACAAAAATACAGCTAGATAGAATGAATAAAATCTATTATTCAATAGCATAATAGGATGACTATGGTTAACAATAATGTATATTAAAAAATAACTATTATAAAAGGACAGAATTAGAATGTTCAAAACACACAAAAATGATAAGTTTGAGATGATGGGTACCACAATTTTCCTGATTTGATCATTACACATTGTATGTCTGTAAAAAAAATCACATGTACCCCATAATTATCTACATTATTAAGAATCCATCATAAATTACAAATTTAAAAATAAAAAAAGAACTAAAAAGATGAAATTCTTCTGGTTGAAATAAGTCACAAAGACTGAATGGGATGGGTGATTAAATTTAAGACCTCTTCTAATATAAATATGATTTCATCGAGGGTGGTAACTGCAATAGGTGAAGTAGGGAAGCTTTCCCCTTACGGAAGGAGATATAAAGAAACATGCCTGTTAAGAACTTGACTAGGGTAGAGAAGATTGAAAAATCCTCCCAAGAATCTTTAAAAATTAACTCACCTCCAAACGTTTTTGAAATGTATAATTCCTGTTAAACCTAGAAGAATATAAATAAACAGTTCAGTTTAAAGACATACCAGCATGGTAATGTCTCATGTATCTAGGGAGGGCAAATACAAATCTTCCGTGGAGCAATATACATTAAACTTGGGACTCAAATTTTCTGAAACACAAATTCCTATCATATTAGTTTAAATTAAAACCACAAAGCAAAATAGCCATAAATAGCATGAGTGGAAAAAACAAGCTATTGTTGCTGCCAATAATTAGTGCATGTAGGATTTGAAATAAATGTATTAAAGATTTAAAGAAATAAAAGATAGTAAAAGTAATAAGATATTTTCAAAAATGAAAAAGTATACTAAAAAGTTTAATAGGACTTAAGAGACATAGAGAATAACATAAGAACATTTAGTGTATAACATACTGAAATTTTAGAAAGACTAAGTAGTGATTGATATTGTGGCCCAAAAATATCTAGAAAGTTATTCATTGAAAATATTTTATATTATATGAGATCATAATTATTGAATCCAGTAAGACAAGGAATTCTAAGAAGAATAAATTATAATATATCAATGTCTAAGCACATTATAGAAATGACTTCACAGCACCATAGGCAAAATAAAAAAGATGTAAAACAGCCAGAGTGTCCAATCACTTACAAAGCAAATAAAAATAGTTTGACAGATAAAAATGTCAGATTTCCCGATGACTAGACCACTGCAACCTAGAAGATCATGGAAGAAAATCTTCGTTATACCAAAATAAAATAAATTCTCAACTTAGAAATCTATATTCAGTAATACTACCAAATTAAAGACTTGCTAGCAAAAATTAAATATAATAAAAAATTACTATTAACAGATTTTTGCTCTTTTTACTTTTCACTAAAGGTACTTCTGAGACATATTTCCTGGTAGCAAGAAATACATCTTCAGAGGAATGTCGAACAAGAAGAAAAGTAAACATTGAGAAGAACATGATCAACATGTAAATAAAAAGCTAAATACTATTGAGAGTTTAAGAATAAAAGTAATGTCTTAGTTGTTCAGTAAAAGAAAAATCATATTAGAACTAAAATACAGGTCATGTAGGTTAGCAGAAGTGACAAATTGTGATGAAAAGACTAGAAGTATTGAGTAAGTTTAGGCTTCAATAAATTAAATATGCATGTTAAAATATTAAAGTACCTGTAATTATTTGACTAGGTTACGTAATTTATAGATTGGTAGAAGAGAAACATGCAATTAAAAAACACAAACAAGCAAAAAAGCCCCACGAAATTTAACTAAAACAAAACAAAATAATGGGAGTTGGGTAGGTGGAGGCTGGAGCTTGAGTAGTAAATGAAAAAGGGAGAATAAAAAATAACATCAAATAGAATGTTCAAAATGAGTCAAAATATAAAATTATTCTAGCAAACTCTTCAGTGAAGAGGTAAATATACTATTTGTGTCTGTGTATGTGTGTGTGTTGCAAATTTGTATTTGTTTTTCTTAAATGCAATTCTGGTATTTAAAAGAGATACCTAAAAACATTAGGTCACAAAAGTTTGAAAGAAAAAGACAGGAAAAATATAATCAAAATAAACCTGGTGAACCTGTATTATTATCAAATAAAATGGACTTTGATACAGAAAAAAATAAGAGGTATATATTTATGAGAGTTTTAATTTACCTGACAAAGGTAAACTCAAGTGAACTAATCATATAATTAAAACATATAGATGAAACTGACCAAAAAACCAGGTTAAAAGAGTAACTCTATTATCATAATGGGACAATAAAGCATATTTCAAAAATCAATCCTTGAATAATAAATCTCAAAAAATGAATCTTTTTTTTTAAAAAAAGAAATGTATTTGTTTTAAAATATATAATTAACAAACTTGACATACTAGAATTATATAGAGAGCTATGCTCAACAACTGAGGAACATACATATCTTTTCAAGTACACACAAAACATTCATAAAACAGCAGTGTTGCCTGTGTTCCTCCACCAAATCATATGGAATATTTTGTTTGCAGAGTTATTGAACATTGTTGCTCACAGCTTTTCACTCTGCCTATCAACACTTTAGGGAAGTACTTCTTAAAAGGTCATCTTCATAAATATCTTTTCTACTTAGAGATTCCTCTTGGCATCTTTCAAAAAGCTTCCATCCTTGTCTTCATATAAACTGCCACTACTACTATTATCATTATCTCTATTATTTTATTTTAAAGTAACATTTTTAAATAACTGAAGTATTCCAGGCATTAAATGAAATCATGGAGGCAAAATATGAATAGATGTAACGTGTGTTACCAAAGATGTGTTATCAAAGAGTAATTGAGCACCTGTGACATTTACTGGTTTCATTCAGCCATGACAGCAGTTCTTTGAGGTACGCATTATTCTCATATCTCATTTTAAGGAATAGGAAAACAAGGCTCAAAGAGATTAAGCCGTTTTTCCATGTCACACTGGTAAAAGGAGCAAGAGCTGCAATTCAAATCCCAGTGTCTCATATATATGTATATTCATATATATATTTATATATATACTATATATATAAAAGCTTGTGTTTTGGAATTCTACTATGCTTTCCTTTTATATGTCAAGCATTATGCTAGAGGCTTTCAGCAGTCGTAGAGTGTTTAATGGTTCTAAAACTTGAAGCGAAATAATATATCTGGGCAATAAAGGAGGAAAGGGGCATTGCAAGCACAAGAAAAAAAATTCTATAAAAATATACGCAGTTATGATATGGACAGATATACCGGCCCAGGCAAATATTAATTGTTCATAGTGACTGAAATAGAGGGTCAAATTGGACTTGTGGCTGGAGAGGAGGGAGGGACAAATTACAGTGTAGAATGTGATTTTTATTCTAAACTGAAAAACCTATTGAATGTTCTTAAGTGAGAAGCATGATCCAGTTTGTATTCAGGAAACTTTATCTGACCTTCCTAGTAACAATGATACTGGAAAGAAAGTTTAGTGGTTCAGTCTTTGAATCTGAAACTAAACAAAATTGTATAACCCTATCAAGTGGCTCCGGTGCTGTCAGCATCAGTTAATTTTCCAGTGGAAAAATAAATGTTAATAAAACTTGACTTTTTATCTTTCAGCAATACCTTGTTTGAAATTTGAGAAACGTGTCATTTTCTAAAACTTAAATGATTTTTAACAATATATGTTTGCTTTAGGCATTTCATCATTAGTCAGTGTTCTTGACTTTGAACAGAAATATATTACCAGAATGACCTATAGCACTTATTTTACAATTACTTCTAGTGCCACTATAAATTAATAGAATATTGATGCCTGCAGCATGGATTCTATATTCAGAAGAGCAAATGGAAGACACTGTATGACTTCTCTGAGGACAAGGTTTACCAAAGTTTACTCTGTGTTATGTGAGATATTAGTAGTTTTTATGTAAATGTATCAAATAATATCTCAATACTTTAATATGCCTTATAGTCCTCATAAATAATTGTATGTGCTATACTTGTATATGACTAGCAGTGTGGTAGGTTTATGTACACCAGCATCACTCCAAAACATGAGTGATGTGTTGCGCTGTGATGTTACAGTAGCTACAACATTACTAGGCCATAGGAATTTTTGTGCTCCATTATAAGCTTTTGTGACCACTGTCATATATGCAATCCATCATCAACTGAAATATGGTTATATAGTGCCTGACTGTAATTATGGGCTATCTCAAAAATCAAGAGAAACTTAAAGTCTTAAATAATTATAAGGGAAATGTAAAAACTTGGTAAGAGGTCCAATAGGACAAATCAATAAACACATTTTTTAAAATCTCAGGAAAAGAAAGCCTTATGTTGATATTGTATATTACTATAATCCTGAATTATTAGAGACAGTCTTTCTCTTACTATTTTCACGTGCATGTGACTATGTGACTGTGTCTATGTGAGTGTGTTTGCCTTGACAACAAACTTTAATATGAAATTTTATTATCTCTGCTGTGTCTATCTCTTGCAATGTCTCCTGGATTTGTTTCTGACATTATCGCAGCATTTCTTCAAACATTGTTTTCAGTGTGGGCAATTGAGTGGTAAATACTTCTTATGACTTCTTCTTAAGAGAATAACTTTATTATGTCTTAAAATTTGATTGGAAATCAGATTTTACACAAATTACACAACACGTATCATTTTCATTCAATAACTACGAAATATATATTATCTTCCTGTCTTTTTATATCTAACATTGCTTTTGAAGAGCTAATGTCTCCAACTTCTGGCCTCAAGTGATCCTCCTGCCTTTTCCTCCCAAAGTGCTGGGATTATAGGCATGAGCCACTGTGCCTGGCAATAGAGAGGCTAATGTCCATATCAAACTCAATAAAATTTTTTTAGTAATTTTTTCTTCTTTTCTGAAAGCTTTTAGAATACTATCTTTGTCTTTGATGCTCATTATCATTATATTATCACTGTAATTATCACTATATTGTGATAATTATATGTGATTTGAAGATTAACAAAGAGAAGCAAGGGAACCGGAACCCAGGTGCCTTGCCTCCTGGTTCTGTGCCTTTCTACCTCCCTAGAGACACTGGCTTTAGCCCTCTAAATTTTGGTCATAATATTAGTATTATTCTATCATATGAGAAAAAATAATTTTCTCCCCAGTGGTTCCCAAATACAAACATTTTTCGTATTATCAGCTGCCCAACACCATAGAAATGAAATCCACAGCCAATGTGTATAATTGGCTTTATATTACCTTTTAAAATGCATATAAGCAAGCAAAGAATCTTCTCAAAAACTGAGGCTATCTTCACTGCTCAGCCCTGTTTATCATAATGACAGGTTGTAAGATATTTTAAGGGAGGTAATAATGGATTGAAAACAAGTCTGCAAACCATAACTTTCATGATAATAAATTAAGAAGCCGTAACTGCCAAGCTATGAAACCTAACTGAGGGGCAGGTAGCCCTGGAACAAAGAAAATCACAACAACTCTTAGAAACCATTAAAACTGATGTGATAATACATCTGTCCCTTAAAACCCAGGAAGTTGGTAACACTGTATTCCAACAGGCCAACTTTGTGAAAGTGTCTGTTAATGATATTTAAAATAAACACTGGGAGGAAAAGTAACACGTTTCTCTGCTACACTTAGGAGAATAGACAAACTGAGTTAGACTTTATCAAACACCATTAATGAATAGTGTGCATTTCATATATCATAACACTGTGTTAGGGTATATCTGAAGAACTTACATGTCTGCTAGAAATCAAAGAGGTAGAATTTCTTTTACGATGGAAAGGAGCCCAACACCTGTGTCTTCATTTCTCTGTGTCTGTGGGTTGATTTATTGGCGAGGGTGGCAGGGGAAGGAGGAAAGAGTACCTGGGCTAGAATGTCAGATTGATTTCTTTCTTTGAAGGTCAGAGATGGATGAGCAAGATCAAATATAGAGATTTTAATTATTTTTTGTGGCATACATGATGGAAAATAAAAAGCACACATCTTAGGTGGGAATTTCCATGAGTTTTGGCAATTGTAATATGCCTCTATAACAATCACCCACAGAAGATATAGAACATTTACATCACCACAAAATAATTGCTTGTTCTCTTTCAGTCAATTCTCTCCCACAGGCAGACTTGTTCAATTTATATCAGATAGATTAGTTTTTTCATCTGCAAGCAAATAGAATCATTCAGACTTCTGCTTCTAGCAAGATGAATTAACTGTGATTGGACCTACCCTCCTATTTAAAACAACTAAAAACATTAGATGAAATATATTTAAAAACAGTTGTATGTCATTGGACATCAGACAACGAAGATCAGTGACCCTCGTGTTGAGATTTCTATTGTAATTTGGTCTTGATGTCTCTCTCTTGAAAATGTCAATAAACCAGACACCCACTCTCTAGGAGAGCCCCGATCGGTGGGAAAATTAGGTTCAGGTAGACGTATTAGGGAGTGAAAGCAAAACGTATAACATAGAAGAAATGTGTTACTTACAGGTCCAGAGAAGTTAGGGGTGCCAATAGGAGGCCAAGGAGAAGTTTGGAGGAGTAAGGGAACTCAACCAGCAGGTAGGGAGTGATAGAGAAAGGAAACCTTTGGGATTATGTCTTTATTAAGGTTTATGGTATTTTCCTTTAGGCTTTTCCTTAGGGGTTGTGAATTGCCTATTTTAAAGAAAATGCACATGAAGCTGGGAATTTGTTTGCATGACTATGATGTTTAACATTAGGCTTTATTACAGTTGGCAGCTGTGCAATACGTTGGGTTTTGGTTCAGTGAGATGAAGAACAAGCAGGCTATATGGCAAACAGCCATATTAGGGAGGGGGGTTTTAACTAAGCCAAAGATGGTGGGTTTCATGTATTATGCCTAGAAACAGCTGCCTAGGCAGCAATTATATTAAACAAATTTATGACATCTGATAAAGAGAAAACAAACAAGGTGAATCTTATGATTGCCCCAGCTTATTTTCAGGTAGCAGCATAGATTTTGAGAATTCTGGCAGAGCTAGAAAGATTCAATGAATAAAGGATAAAGTCATGAGTCCAGAGAGAACAAATTGGCTAGAGTTTGCACAGCAAAGCACCAGAAAGAAAAGAGCCGCTCAGAGACAGGATTCAGATCTACACAGGCCTCCTCTAAGCATTCAGCAGAGTAGTAATCAGAGGATTTGTGTAAGAGAAAAATGTGCAACAGAAAGTAAGCAATCACTATGAATAAATTATAAGAAAGAGTACCCAGCACTCTCACAGAACCAAACGTAGTATCAGGCATTAGCCAGAGTAGAAAATCACATAGTTTATAGGGCATTGGATAGAGTATTCAAAAATGTTTGCCTCACTAGTAGAGGATAATTATCCCTAGATTAATGATTGCCTTTGTCCCATATAACATGTTTTAAAAGCAATACCTGACAAGATTAAATTATTTCCAAGTAACTTAATGGCATCCTAGAAAAAAATAAAAGATATCTATATATTTATAGCAACAGAAAAATATCAAGTAGTTAATAATGTAAATTCCACAATATTTGGCATCCAATAAAATAGCTCATCAGGCATGCAAAAACACGAAGGAATATGATCCAAAATTAAGAGAAATATCAATCAATCTAAATCTACCAATAACTAATACAGATGTTTGATGTTTTAGATAAGATTATTAAAGCAGTAATTTATAATTGCACTTAATATGTTTAAAATGTTAGAAAAATATTAAACATTTAGAGCATAAAATATATAAAACCTGGGAATGAAAAGTATAATGCCTAGGCAGAAAAATATCCTGGTTTGGATTAGTGGGGCAGATTAAACACTGCAGAATAAAACATTATCAAATTTGAGGACATAATAGTAGAAATTATCCAAACTGAAACAGGTAGGTTTTTTAAAAACTGAAAAAAAAAATCAGTGAGAAGTTGCCTAAGATATATGTAATTGATGTCATTAACAGAGGACAGGGAAGGAAAATTATTTGAAAAAATAGTGGCCTGTCCCCTCAGGTTTTCAAATATAATAAAAACTATAAATTACAGATCAGAAGAGTTTATATAAATTCACACAGAAAAAAAATGAAGAAAATTACACCAAGGCATATTATAACCAAATAAAATTTGTTCCAAATAGAAGGTAAAGATAAAACGTTAAAAGTAGAAATAAAAGAAAGATTCATTACATACAGAGGAACAAAGAAATAAATAGCACATTCTTGTCAGAAACAATGCAAGAGACAATACAGAAAACATATATTTTATATATTAAAAAGATAAAATGTCAAATTTGAATTCTATATTCACAAAAATAAAAACAAAGGTGACATAATGACTTTTTTGGACATACAAATCCTGAAGACATTTATCACCAACGGTTTCTCACAACAAGAAATATTAAATAAACTTCATCAGTGAAAAGGAAAATGATACAAGAATTGTGAATGTACCCAAATAAATGAAGAGCACCAAAAAAAGTTAACCACTTAGGTGAATCCATAAGAGTTTTTCCCTACACTTTCATAAGACTAACTCAAAAGGGCATGGCATAATTTTTGTTATTATTGCCAAAAATGTATAAACTCAGTCGAATCATGAGAATACGAAAGATTGAGGAACATTTAACAAAATAATTGACCAATATTCTTCAAGAGTTTTAGATCACAAAAACAGGAAAGAATGAAGATCTTGCATTTTGACTCAGTCTGATGATTTTTGCATTTGTTAGAAGTTCAGTTGATTTATAATTAGTGTAATTATTGACATGGTTAAGTCTCTCATATTGGGGATTGTTTTCTATTCATCCTATGGGATCATATTTTTTTCTTTTTCTCCTTTGCTCTTTTCTACTAGGTAAATCTCATAGTTTTTACTTTTCTATTGTATCTTCCGTATTCTAACTCTACTGTTGTGTATGTGTACTTGTGTATGCCTGTATGTGCATATATTTGCTTGTGTGTTGCTTTTTAGAATACAATGTGAATCTTCATTATCACTGCCTACTTTCAAGTTATACGCTATTTAACAAAGAACAGAACAATTTTAAAACAATACAATTCCACTTATCAACCAATCCCCATACTTTATGTTCTTTCTGCCTTATAGGATTTTTCTACAAAGGTTATCTCCAAAATACAGTGTTATTAATTTGCATAAGCAGTCCAATATTTTTACAGTCAAATCTTATAAGATAATGACACAAACTAAAGATAGATATGAAATTTAAATAAGAGGTCTCTTACATTTACCCATATAATTACCATTTATAGATATCTTCCCCTTTGCACATCTGAGATTCAAACTGGCATCATTTCTTTTTGCCTATAAAACTTCTATGAGGACTTAGAATTTATTTTTCCTGGAAATAAATTATCTCAACTTAAAAAAAATCTGCTAATGCCTTTGTTTCACTTTAATTATAAAACAAATTGGAATAATTTCAAACTTAAAGTGTTTACAAATAATTAAAAAAATAAAAATTGTACAAAATAATATGTATACCCTTTGCACATACTCTCCCTTTTTAACATTTTACCCCATTTGCCATGTCATTTACTATCTGTCTGTTTATCTATCAGTCATCTATCATTTTTAATCAACTATAAATAAATAAATATTGTTTTATATAACCACAGGACAGTTGTCAATTGTAGTGAATCTAACTTTGATTAAATACCTTTATGTAAAGTACCATTTGCATTCTAATTTTGTTAATTGACGCAATAATCTTCTTTATGATATTACCCCCTTCTAGTACAGGCTATAGTATAGGGTGAGTTACTGAATTTAATCAAAATGTATCTTCAGACTCCATAAATCTGGAATATTTACACAATCTTTCTTCATCTTTTATAATATTGACTGAGATAAACAAAATGTACCCCCTGTTCCCATTCCCACACACAGACTTTCATGCTTTAATCTCTGGAATATTTAAGTATCTTATGTTAAATGGCAAGAAGAAACTTTGCAGATGTACAGTTGATTCTTGAACAACACGAGTATAAACTGTGTAGGTCCACTTATGCATGTTTTTTAAAAAATAGATTGAAAAATTGGGGGAGATTTATAATAATTTGAGAAAACTTTCAGATCAACTGTATAGCCTAGAAATATTGAAAAATTAGGAAAAATGTAAGTATGTCATGAATGCATAAAATATATGCAGTTATAGTCTTGTTTAATCATTTGCTGCCATAAATATACACGAATCTATTATAAAAAGTTAAAATTTAACAGAATTTATACACACAAACACAGACTCTACATGCTACCTCTCCCAGTCGAGAGAACTGTAAATATATGTGGTACGGTGTTAAATCATAACTGCATAAAATTAACTGTAGTGCATACTGTACTACTGTAATAATTTTGTTGTCACCTTCTGTTGTTATTGTGGTGAGCTCAAGGGTGGCAAATATCTGCTTAAAACCCCATGTGAGAGTAATCATCTCTGTGTGAGCCGTTCATCTGTCCAGTAAATTGTGTAACGCAGTAAAAGGTGATCCCTCTCGGTTCTCACGTATTTTTCATTGTG
The DNA here is from genome assembly GCF_000001405.40 of Homo sapiens. Taxonomy (NCBI): domain Eukaryota; kingdom Metazoa; phylum Chordata; class Mammalia; order Primates; family Hominidae; genus Homo; species Homo sapiens. The sequence goes on from NC_000011.10 coordinate 81,856,831, forward strand.
TTTAGTGCAATATTGCAAACCTTGAATAACACCATGGGAGCCACACAATGTGCCAATAGTGGTGCTGAAAGTGCCCCTAAGAATCAGATAAAAGTCATGACATACAAGAGAAAGCTGAGTTGCTTGATATGTACTGTAGATTAAGGTCTGTAGCTGCTGTTGCCTGCCATTTTAGACAGACGATTCATCTTCTAAAGAGATGACATAAATTTTGGGTATTGATAAGTACAGAACAGTACTCTCTTTCTTATGATTTTCTTAATAATATTTTCTTTTCTCTAGTCTTCTTTATTGTAAGAATATAATACATAATACATGTAACACATAAAATATGTATAAGTCAGCTGCTTGTTATTGATAAAGCTCCTGGTTAACAGTAGGCTACTAGTAGCTAGGTTTTGGGGGAATCAGAAGTTAAATACGGATTATTGACTGTGTGGGGGAGGTTGATGCTCCTAATGCCTGTGTTGTTAAAAACTCAACTGTAATTAAAAGGAAAGAACTTTTCATAGGGAGATTACCTTGGATTATGAAGGTGAGTTCAAACTAATCACACATGATCTCTTTAAAACGGGGAACTGTCACTGGTTGGAGTCAGCGAGATGTGATAGTAGAATTCTGAGACATTAGAAATGTGTGAGGGGCTAGAAATGCTATTATTGGAGAAGGGCCATATGGAGAGTATGAGAAGGAATTTAGGACAACTCTAGGAGCAAAGACGCATTCCCAGCTGACAGCCAGCAAGAAGACAGGGTTCTCAGTTCTGTTTCCAAGGAACAGATTCTGGCAAACAACTTTGTTGTGACTTTCTCTCTCTAATTTAGTCTGAAGGTTTCTCTCTGGAGAGTGGCTGTAAGTTACAGCTCTGCACTCGTGGGGCTCCAAGGAAAATGGTTGTGGATGTTTACAATGTACCTTACATGGGATACTACTTTGCCCTTGCAAACAGCCTGAAGCCTAAGGGTCCAACCCGTGACCAGTGTCCTTCTCACAGGAAATGTCTTTATACTGGCAGACACTCTGGTGGTTCTTGTGTGATCTGTATCCAGTTTACTCCTACCAATATAGTCAACCTCTAGGAGAGCCCTGACTGAGAGGAGAGTGAGACACTGAGGAAGCAGCATAACAAAACACATGAAATAACAGAAGCAATTTATTATTCAAAGATCCATGAGAGAAGAAAGGTGCCTACAAAGGCCTATGGGAAATCTGGAGACAGCAGGCTGCACAACCAGCAGGTTGTGAGAGAGAGGGAAACTTTGTGGGACCACACCTTCATTAATGTCTATGGGTTTTGTCCCTTAACCTGAGGGACAGCCTAATGAAATTATCCAATCAAAGACATTCTGTGGGAGCTACCCTACATGCCCACTTTTTTAGCTTTCAAAATGTTATCCATGTATAGAGACACAGTTGGATGAGATTATTTTAGCCACTGAATATCTATATAACTTTTGTTTTCAATTTTAAAATAAAATTATAAGGTAATATATATAAGAACACTTATTTTCCTGTAAAGCACTCTCCTGATAGGTACTGTCATTGTGGCTATTTTATCCTGAGTCTCCTCCCCAAGCACTAATCCCAATTTTTCTAGTAGAATTATTACTTTATCACTATTTTTCTCAATGTTTTCTTCCTCCCTTACCTCACTGTCATAATCCATAAAGGCATATAGTTATGCATTATATATTTTTGTATTTATACTTTCAAACTTTTTTCCTCATATATAATGAGAAATCAAATGATGTTAAACATTGATTGAATATGATTTTATTGAGTGGTCAATCCAAGGTAACGCCTGTACCCAAAATGAGAAGAACAAATTAAGCAATATGGGTTACATATGAATAATAAATTTTTACATTTTCCAAATAAAGTTCCCCAATCAGGTAACTACCACAGGGAAATTAACAAAAATTGAGGGATTTTTTTGAAAGTAGCACGTCATAGTAGAAAATGCATTCATTGATTCTATAGTGAGAAAACTAGATTTCTAGTATTTCCTTAGCTATGCTTATTTCACTTAGTATAATTTTATCCTTAAGTTTGTTATCAGTGACATATCTTTACAGTCCTCATACTGACTCTCTGAACCTTTAGTGTTTTTTCCTCCCATTATTAAATAGTATCTCCCTCATGAGGCTTTTCCATTGTTGATCTTGAAAAGTTATTTGTTGTTTGTAAGTGCATGGATTGATATCTAGACTCTCTATAGTGTTCCATTGGGCTATGTGTCTATTTTTTTTCTATTTTTTAAATTTTACTTTAAGTTCTAGGATACACGTGCAGAACGTGCAGGTTTGTTACATAGGCATACATGTGCCATGGTGGTTTGCTGCACCTATCAACCCATCATCTAGGTTTTATGCCCCACATGCATTATGTGTCTACTTTTATGCCAATGCCGTGCTATTTTTGTTACTATAGCTTTTTAGTATATTTAAAAGTCACATAGTGTGATACCTCCAGCTTTGTTATTTTTGCTCAAGATTGCTTTGGTTATTTAGGGTTGTTTGTAATTCCACATAAATTTTATAATTTTTTTCTCTTTATTTGAACAATGTCATTGGTATTTTCTTAGGAATTGCATTAAATCTGTAGCTTGCTTGCAGTAGTATAAACATATTACCAATATTAATTATTTCAATAAATGAACATGGAATATGTTTCCATTTGTTTGTGTGATTTTTTCAATTTCTTTCAATGCTTTATAGTCTTTATTGTAGAAGTCTTTCACCTTCTTTGTAAAATTTATTCCAAAATTTTGTATTTTGTGTAGCTATTGTAAATAGGATTGCATTTTTATTTCTTTTTCAGACAGTTCACCATTGACATGCATAAACGCTGCATTTTTGTATGTTGATTTTTGTATCCTACAACTTTACTGAATTTGTTTATTAGTTCTAATAATTTTTTGTCAAATATTTAGAATTTCCTGTACATACAATGATGTCTTCTGCAAACATGGACAATTTGACCTCTTCCTTTCCAATTTGGATGCCCTTTATTTTTTTCTCTTGCCTGATTGCTCTGGCTAGGATTTCCATTACTATGCTGAATAAAAGTGGTGAAAGTGGGCATTCTTTTCTTATTTCAGATCTTAGAAGAAAAGCTTTCCATTTTTTCCCATTTAATATGATATTAACTATGGGTTTATCATATATGGCCTTTATTATATCAGGTACATTTCTTCTATACATAATTTAAGAGCTTTTAGTCATAAAGAGATATTGAATTTAACCAAATACTTTTACTGTGTCTATTGAAATAACCACCTTTTAAAAATTCTATTAATGTGATGTGTCATGTTTATTGATTTGGCTTACATTGAGCCTTATTTGTGTCCCTGGGAGGAATCCAACTCGGTCATGGCGAATGACCTTTTTAGTGTGCTGTTGAATTTAGTTTGCTATTGTTTTGTTGAGAATCTGTGCATTTATGTCCCTTAGGAGCATTGGCTTGTAGTTTTCTTTTTTTGTTGTGTCCTCTGGTTTTGGTATTAAAGTGATGCAGGCCTGGTAGGATGAATTTGAAAAAATTATCTCCTCTTCAATTTTTTTTAAAAAAATAGTTTGAGTAGAATTGGTATTAGTTCTTCCTTAAATGTTTTGTAGAATTAAGCAGTAAAGCCATCAGGTCCTGGCTTTTTTTTTTTTTTTTTTTTTGGAAGACTTCTTATTTCTGATACAATCTCATTACTTGATATTGGTCTGTTCAGATTTTCTAGTTTTTATTCATGATTTAATTTTAGTAAGTCATATGTGTCCAGAAATTTGTCCATTTCTGCTAGGTTTTCCAGTTTGTTGGCATATACTTCTTCATGATATTCTCTTATGATCCTTTATATTTCTTTGGTATCAGTTGTAATGCGCCCTTTTTCATCTCTGATTGTATTTATTTGAATCTTCCCTATATCTCTTTCTCCCTCTTTAGTTAGAATGCACAGGATTAGCTTGGGAAAGGAAACGTCTCTTCAATAAATGGTTCTGGGGAAACTTGATATCTATATGCAGAGAAATGAAGCTAGAGCACTATCTCTCACCATAGCCAAATACCAAATCATAATGGATTAAAGACAAATATAAGATATAAAACTATCGGGAAAAAACATAGGGGAGCACTTTATATCACTGTTCCGAGCATAGATATTTTGGATAACACCTCAAAAACTTAGGAAGCAAAAGCAAAAATAACACAAATAAGATTACATCAAAGTAAAATACTTCTTCACGACAAAGGAAATAATCAACAGAGTGAAAGAACACCCTAGTCAATGGGAGAAATATTTGTAAGCTGTGCATCTGACAAGAGGTTACTATAAAAGTATATAAAGAACTTGAACAAGTGAAGAGCTAAAAACAAATAATCTGAATTTAAAATGGGCAAAGGACTTGAATAGACATTTCTCAAAACAAGACATACAAATTGCCAAAAGTATATAGAAAAATGTACATCAACATTACTCAACATCAGTAATCATCAGAAAAATGCAAATCAAAGCCACAATGAGATATAACTCACCCTAATTAGAATGGCTATTTTCCAAAACACAAAAAATAACAAATGCGAGTATTGAGGTGGAAAAAAGGAAAACTCTTGTACACTGTTGGTGAGAATGTAAACTGCATAGCCAGTGGAAACACTCGAGAGTTTCCTCGAAAAATTTTAAAATACATACACTATGTGAACCTGCAGTCCTACTTCTGGGTATTTATCTAAAGGAAATGAAATCAATATGTTTAAGAGATATCTGCACCCCCATCTTTATTGTAGCACTATTCACAATCGACAAGGTATGGAATCAACCTAAGTGTCTATCAACAGATGAACAAAGAAAATGTGGTATATATACACAATAAAGTACTATTCAGTAATAAGAAAAAGAATGAAGTCTTGTTATTTATGGTAACATGAATGAACCTGAAATATTCAGGTTTTTAATAATATTCATGAATAATATTAATGATCGAACCATGAATAGTAAGTTAAGTGAAATAAGCCAGATACAGAAAGAAAAATACTACATGGTCTCAATCATTAGTAAAATCTAAAAAAAGCTGATCTTGGAGAAGTAGAGTAGAATAATGGTTACTAGAGGCTGAGGGGGGCAGAGGAGAGGGGATGATGAGATTTTCATTGTTATTATTGGCACTGTTATCATAGGAGATGACAACTCCATGTTGTTTTGTTCCTGAAGTGGAACAAAATGTGGAGGTGTAAGACAGTGATACCGATGATCCTGATGTTTATGTAGGCCCATGGTGATGTGTATGTCTTTGTCTTTGTTTTTAACAAAAAGTTGAAAAAGTAAAAAAAAATAGTAAAATGTAACAATAGAAAAAAGCTTATAGAATAAGTACATAAAGAAAGAAAATATTCTTGTACAGCTATAAAATGTGTTTGTGTTTCATGCTAAGTGTTACTATAGGAGTCAAACATTTAAAAACAATTTGAGTTTATAATGAAAAAAGTTACAGTAAACTGAGGTTAATTTATTATTAAAGAAATAATTATTAAAATAAATTTAGTGTACCCTAAGTGTACTGTATTTATAAAGTCTACAGTACTGTACAATAATGTTCTATGCTTTCTCATTGACTCACCATTTACTCATTGACTTACCTGGAGCACCTTCCAAACCTGCAAGCTCCATTTGTGATAAATGCACTCTACAGGTGTATTTTTTAAAATATTCTATGCTACATTTTCCTGGAGCTTTTCCATGTGTAGATATTTTTAGATGCACAAATACTTGCCACTGTGTCACTTGTATTCAGTATAGTACAACATTCAGTATAGTAACACGCTGTACAGCAAGCTTTTCCAACCCAGGGACCACGGGTCACATGAAGCCCAAGATGCCTTTGAACATGACCAAACACAAATTCGTAAACTTTGCAAAACATTTTGAAAATTTTAGGCAATTATTTTTTTTGCTCTTCAGCTATCGTTAGTTTTAGTGTATTTTATGTAGTGCTAAGACAATACTTCTTTCGGTGTAGCCCAGGGAAGCCAAAAGAGTGGACACCCTGCCAGGTTCACAGCTTAGGAGCAATAGGCTGTACCACATAGCCTAGATATGTTGTAGTAGGGTATATGATCTAGGTTTGTGAAAGTACACTTTACGATGGTCATAAAAGGTGAAATTACCTAACATCACATTTCTTTGAATGTATCCCAGTTGTCTTGGCATGGTGGCTCACGCCTGTAATCCCAGCAATTTGGAAGGCTGAGGCAGGTGGAACACTTGAGGTCAGGAGTTCGAGAACAGACCTGCTACCATGGCGAAATGCCATCTCTAACAAAAAATACAAAAATTATCCAGGTGTGGTGGGGCACGCCTGTAGTCCCAGCTACCCGGGAGGCTGAGGCAGGAGAATCTCTTGAACCCAGCAGGTGGAGGTTGCAGTGAGCTGAGATCATGCCACTGCACTCCAGCCTGGGTGACAGAGCAAGACTCTGTCGAAAGAAAGAAAGAAAAGGAGAGAAAGAGAGAAAGAGGAGAAGAAGGGAAGAAGGGAAGGAAGGAAGGAAGGAAGGAAGGAAGGAAGGAAGGAAGGAAGGAAGGAAGGAAGGAAGGAAGGGAAAGAAACCCAGTTGTTAAAAAATGCATGAATTTTATGTGTTTGTGTATCTATATATATAATACACATCTTTTTCAAAATAATTTTGTTTTTATTAATCTGCTACTTTCTTGCTATTATTTCCAAGCCTCTCTTTCATTAATATAAATATATTAAAAATAGTTATTTCATATTTTGTAATGTTTGAAGTCTTGCAAATTTGGAATTTGGTACCTGTTTTGTTTTCCCCATACTCTTCATCCGGCTCTTATTCAGAAGTCCTTTTCTTCTTAGGTGTTTTGTGATTTTTAGATTGCTTGGAACCTTACCTGTGTCTACTTTTTAAGGTCTGGGTTGAAAGTGCTTTCTCTAGAGAGAATGTGTTTAATTTTGCAATATGTTTGGAATATTAGCAACCTAAGGCCTCCTTAAATTGAATCTTTACTGAGGGTTTATTTTATACTATACAGGATGATCTTAAATGTATTTGCAAAGCTTTGTGAAAGCTGGCTGGCTATTGTAAGGTCTCTGGAGAGATTTTGTTTAGCTTTTGTCCAGTGCCCAAAATAATACATACAACTTTTCTTGATTTATTTTGTGTGATGGGATTTCTGTTTGGCATTATTCTGATGGTAGGATCCCATAATGATGGGTTCCAACTTTACAAAGGTCTTTTTATAAGACAGTCAATCTTGGGTAGGCAGTTCAGCTATAAAAATTATCTTTCATGGTATATATATACCACATTTTCTTTATCCAGTCTATTATTGATAGGCATTTAGGTTGATTCCTTGTCTTTGCTATTGTGAATAGTGCTGCAATGAACATACATATGCATACATCTTTGTAATAGAATGATTTATATTTCTTAGGGGTATATATCCAGTAATGGAATTGCTGGGTCATATGGTGTTTGTGGTTCTAGATCCTTGAGGAATCGTCACACCATCTTCCACAATGGTTGAACTAATTTACATTCCCACCAACAGTGTAAAAGCATTCCTATTTCTCCACAACCTCACCAGCGTCTGTTGTTCCTTGACATGGAATACTATGCAGCCATAAAAATAAATGAGATCATGCCCTTTGCAGGGATGTGGATGAAGCTGGGAGCCATTATCCTCAGCAAACTAACACAGGAACAGAAAACCAAACACCACATCTTCTCACATGTAAGTGGGAGCTGAACAATGAGATCACATGGGCACAGGGAGAGGAACATCACACATTGGGACCTGTCGGAGGGGTGGGGTTGGGGGTGGGAGAGTGTTAGGAAAAACAGCTAATGCATGCTGGGCTTAATACCTAGATGATGGGTTGATAGGTGCAGTAAACCACCATGGCACACTTTTACCTGTGTAGCAAACCTGCACATCCTGCACACGTACAGGATGTGTAAAAGTAAAAATTAAAGTTAAAATTAAAAATTAAAAAAATACACACTTCAAAAAATTATCTTTCAAATGAAAGCAAAATAACAGTAAACTGAAACGCAATTTTCAGTTGTTATATTGGAGATAGAACATTACTAGCCAGGTAGCAATATATACAAAACAATTCTTTGATCCCGCATTTCTAATTTATAGAATTTATAAAGTAGATATACCTTAACACATACAAAATGGCAAATGAACAATGTTATTCTTTGCAAAAATGTAATAAAATAGTCAAATATTGGAGGATTGTTAAATCATGGGATTCCATACACATGATGAAAAACCATGCATGAAAAGAATGGAGAAGGATTTTATGTAGCAATATGGAAAGCCCCCAGAATTTATTAGGGAAGAAAATGAAGTTTATAACAGTATATATAGGATGATATATTTTGTCTAAATAAGGAGGAAAATTAAAAGGTAGATTTTTTTTTGTATTTGTATAAATAAATGACAAGAAGGATGCAGATGCACACAAAAAAAATCCAAAAGCTGTGTATGTGGGGAGTGAAAGTTATTTAATGTGGTCAAAGGTGGAATTAAGAGTTTCCACAGTTCACATTTTGAGTAAAATTTATATTTTTTAACCTGTAAATATGTAAGAAATTTAAATAATTGAAAAATGTATGCTTTAGATTTTATGTACTTTCACTTCTTTTCCATCAGCATCTAATCCACCAGACTGTCAGAAATAGAAATCACCTAAAAATCATTTAAAGTAATGCATACTTATAAAAATAGAAACCTATAAATTGACCCTCTCTGAAAAGAAGAATATAGATTTATATTTGTTTATATTTACATGTAGAAATAATTGGATACACAAAAATAAAAAATATTTACATATGATAACTAATTATATCAGTTGTTTCTCCCTGAGTCATAAACATTATCACAAAAACAGCTGTTATTTCTTTTTTGTGTGTTTATGTGCATACATATAATGCATGTTTATATGTGTATATGTGGAGAGAGATTATACATATACATATATAATCTAAATAATTATATGCATATTATTTTTCCTGAAAAATATTTATATTAGGTATTGTTTTTCTCTTAATTATATTATGAAAATAATTCCATGAAAATACTTCCAAGGCAGTGAAGAATATTTTAATATCTAGCTGTATTTTTTATTATTAATTCAAATGATTCCCTTTGCTGGGAATTTAAGTTGTTAATATTTTTAAGTTACTGAATTGTTACAGTGAACATAATTGCATGTTGTTCCATTTTCAGGTCATATTATTATTATTATTATTAATTTTCTTATATTCTTTCTGGAACAGTGGGAAACATAAATAAAATATTTGGTACAATAGTCTTTCTAGAAAGACTATTATAATTTTTTATTTTCTTCTATATTCTTTGTTGGGCCATAAGCTCATGAAGAAAGAGGTTATGAGAAATCTTCATTTCTGTATTCTTAAAGAATAATGTCTTCTTTATAAAGGTATTTAGTGGATGTTTAAAGAATAAGCAGCCACATTCTTTCTAATTTCTATAAGCAAAATAAACAGCCACTGGCGCTCTCTGCCCTAGGAACATAGGTGCGTGTGTGAATATTTTTGTGTAATGTACATATATGTGTATATATATGTGTAAAAAATTATACATATGTATGTGTGTGTGTGTGTATATATATATAATCTTACTCTATTCTGGTATAGAACAAGGAACAGGCACAAGATTATTTACTCTTTCTTTGGATTTCATTGATTTTTGATTCATAACCTTAAATGCTTTGAGCTTTATGAGTATTAAGTCAAACACTAATAAAAGTAATTATTCAAATATTATACACATGCTATGTTTCACTTTAGCCCCTGTCCAAAAAAAAAAAAAACAAGTTTTTCCCTTGAAATCTTTTTTTTCTTATACTGAAAATTGCATTAACTTTCACTTATAAGTTTTAACATCTCTCTTTTTTCAGACATCTTTGCTTAACTTTCAAACAATTGCTTTAACTAAATTTCTCTCAGTACAACTATAAAATCTAAGTAGCCTAACCAGGGCATAGTTATGTGGCTAATAACCAATATCTGAGCAAAAACAACCATTCATCTTTCAAAGTCTAACATTGTATTTTCTTAGGACAAAAGGGGAATTTGTTTTAAATTCAAACTAAATTATTGTTTGTCAGAGAAATTTATTACATTTTGAAGTACCGTAAGATAAGCATATTTCAATATAGCCTGCAATTTCTTTTTTGCAAGCCAGTATTTATTTAACACTATTTTGCTTTCTCTGTGCATATTTCTGGCTTCTCCTCCCAAGCTGTTTGCTGTTTTATAGCAAATGAAAATATGTTTGCGGAAATTGCATATAAAACTGTTTATTGAGACTTAAATCTTCTGTGGCTGTTGTTTTTCCCTCAAAGCTCCCAGTTCTAGTTCTCTCTCTCTCTCTTTCTCTCCCTCTCTCTCTCTCTCCCTCTCTTTGTCTCTCTCTCTTTTTGTGTGTGTGCGTGTTTAATATAATTAAATTTCTATATCTTATATACCCTTAGTCTATCATTCATTTCGAGTTGGGTTAGGACGATGGGAGGTAAGTCAGTTTTTTAATGCACCTAATGCTCCTGAACATATAAGTAAAGAAAGAAGAATTTTGTGCTGGATCCAAGAGCATTTATATTTAACTATATGTAAGAAAAAAGATAATTTTTGACACTATATTGTTCATAATTTAAGTTTGGTTGCATATGAATACTTAAAGGTCTTTAACTAAAATATTTGCCATTACTTTTAATGGCAAAAACTGCAATTACTTTTGCACTAACCTAATGGAATGTTATTATTTTCTGAAGGTAAGTCCAGGTATAAGCAAAGTAGGGCTGTACAGCATTGAAGAATAGTCAGATTGCTGACCAATCTGATCCTGAGTAGAGTCTTTATCCAGTACTTGCTATTTGTATTAGCCAGTTCTCACACTCCTATAAAGAACTACCTGAGACTGGGTAATTTATGAAGGAAGAGGTTTAATTGACTCACAGTTCTGCAGGCTGTACAGGTGGCATGGCGGGGCAGGCCTCAGAAAACTTACAATCATGGCAGAAGGGTGAAGGGGAAGCAAGCACGTCTCCACATGGAGGAAGGAGAGAGAGAGAGCAAATGGGGAAGTGCTACACACTTTCAAACAACCAGATCTTCAGAGAACTCACTATCACGAGAACAGGAAGGGGGAAATCTACCCCCGTGATACAAGCACCTCCCACTAGGTCCCTCCCCCAACATTAGGGATTACAATTCAACATGAGATTTGAGTGGGGACATGGAGCCAAACCATATCGCTATTGTTCACTCATTCATTCTCTAGAAACCACCTATCAAAATCCCCATTTTTAGCTGTGTAGTATTTTATGTAAATATCTATAATATACCTACAGATACATGTATAAATTTTAGAATAGTATTAGATTTATAGAAAAATCATGAAGATAGTAGAGTCTGTGTATTCCTCACCTCCGGTTTCTCCTATTATTATCTTATATTACTATGGTGCACTTGTCATAAATAATGATCTAATATTGATAAATTGTTATTAACCAAACTCTATAATGTATTTGAAATTTATTAGTTTTTTTCTCCTTCCTCTGTTTCAGGGTTCCATCCAGGATACTGCATTTAACTGTTATTTTTCCTTAGGGTCCGCTGGTTTGTACTGGTTTCCTAAACTTTCTTTGTTCTTGATTACTTTAACAGTTTTGAAGATCAGATATTTTATGGAATGATCCTATTTTCAGAAGCCCTCAATTTAGTCTCCCTAATGTTTTTCCCAAAATAAAACTAAGGCTATGTGTTTTGGGAAGAAAGACCACAGATACAGAGTGCCGTTCTCCACACATCCTGTCAATTATACATAATATCAACATAACTGACCCCCAACAATATCAATCTTGATCACCAACCTGAGGGTTGTCACGTTTCTCCACTGTAAAGTTACGCTTTTTCCCTTTCTATCCTGTCCTCTTGGGAGAAAAGTCACCATGCACAACCCACACTAAAGGAGTGGAGAGTCATGCTCCATTTCTTGAGAGTGGAGTATCAAATTTATTTGGAATTCTTTTGCATTGGATGTTTGTCTGTTTGCTCCTATTTATTTAATATAAATTTAAATCAAATGTAATTAAATTCAGTATACTTTAATCAAATCTATTTAATATAAATGAACTGTTTAATAAACAGTTAAATATAACTGGACTAATTTATATTTATTTTATACTTTGTGTTATAACACTAAAGTTTTACTTAGTCTGTTGCACAAATTGCTCCAGCTTTGGCCATTGAGAACACTTATGTCCCTTTTTGATACACCCATCATTATGGGATTTTTAAAATCATTTCTTACTTTCTGGAGCTATAAGATACTCTAAGATACTCTAGTATTATCTTGTCTATTACATTCTCCACACCAGAAATTTGATATTTTACCAAGTTGCCTCAGTTCCTTTTTTTTTTTAGCAATTAATATTAGAATCAAATGTCTGGGCACTGAGTTTGCTTGTTGTTAGAATATCAGCATGTTATTGCTTCAGTGAGCAGAGCTAGGAAATATGTGTGTGGGGGGAGAGAGAGAGAGAGAAAGAGATAGGTGTGAAGGGACTCAGCAGAATGGGCGAGGGGCATATGCCAGTCTGAGCAAATGAAGGTTTATGCCACACTTCATCTTTGCAGTTAATCTGTGAGGCTGCTGAGAAACCAGCCTGTGATTCCCCTGTTGCTTCAGCAGGAGACATATGCTGCATATCACTAAATATTACACCCCAAATGGCAAGACACTGTGAAACAATGGCTCTTATTTTTCCCCTTAACCCACAGAGCAGTTCATGTGAAACAGCTTTGGTGATTTGATATGAAAAGGAGTTCCATGTTGTGTGAAGAGGGATATAAAATCCAGAGGAATAGAAAATATCTTCTCATGCTGCTCTGTGGTGCTTGTATGGCATCTAGTACAGATGTGACATTAAGGTAGATTAGATAGTGTGGTTATATGCTCTCTTAAAGAGGAACAAACTTACCAAATAGATGGAGAGAACAAACCACTCAATAGTGGCCAAACCACATCCTGGGCTTGTGGTTAGAGCATCCTGCAGCAAGGAGGTAAAAGAACAGAAGGGAAAATCCCCAAATTCATGCAAATGCAGAAACCTATGATTAGTATACTTGGGCTGACCTATGCTCATTATAATAATGAAAACCACATCAGTGGGTGGAGAATTAAAATGCTAATAAGACATATGAGGTATATACTAGCATGTACAACAATAGCACATGGGCATTAAGGAGACCACCCACAATACGCTTAACAACAATGCACATTTCCACCCCTTCACAACTAATCATGTAAGACTCCTGTAGAAGGAGTTTCTCCAGTGTTAGTTGGTGTTGTCTCATTGTGGAGCAGCCTACTGTGACCTAGCAGAGTGTAGTTTCACTTTGCAATAAAGTTTCCTCGCCTACCTTTACTTTAGACTCTCTCTCAAATTCGTTGGTGCAGCAAAGTCAAGAAACTGAACCAGCCCACTAACAACAACTTTAAGCACATTCTTTTACTCTCTCTGTATTAAGAACATTCAGTGGTCCAACCACTGTGGATACAGGGATGAAAATGGAGAGCTCTTGTACCCAAAACTCTCTGGTAAAGGATAAAGAGTGAAGATCCATGTAAAAGAAAATAACAATTGCAATATAGTCCCTCTAATAGATTTATGAGCAAAAAACCATGAGAACTTGGTAAAAGAAGTTTAATTTTAACATTTTAGTTGTGTTTTGAGACAAAAAGAAACATTATAGTGACGATGTTCTAGACATTAAAGTAGACAATTTACATATGCTAAATAGCAAGCTCCTGGTAAAACAGCTATCAACTGAAGTAGCATTTCAAACACAGACTTTAACAGTGCTATGTCATTATACCACACTGCTTCCAATAACTATTGTGTGCTGAGTTATAGTATTCCAAATGGAAAGAGGTTACCCAGGATAAGAAAACCCCGAAGCACTCACTTAGATGTTCTCCTGGCCTTTGAACGGACTTCCTGAAGGTGCAGTTGGTGTAAGACCAACCATTGGTCCTAGGTTTCCTATAATAAAATACTTTCTAATATTCATAACTACCAACAAATAGAAACCTCTTTCTCATAAAGGAATAAGACTTCCTGTTGCTGAAAATTTTCAAGTGGAGACATGATGACTGGTGAGTCAATGATGCAAATAGCCTAGACTCCTTTCAAATTCTATTATACTGCTCATCAATGAAAAAAAAAGGTCCATGTGAGAAACATTAAGACAAGCTCAAAAGTGGAATTATACATGCACAGTGACATTTAAATAAAAGAAAGCTTAGAAATCACCAAGTTCAACTCCATCTTTTATTATACACTTGAAGAAGCAAGGTAAATAAGCTAAAAGATATGCCCATGACCAACTCTACTCTGTTAGCACTATCACAACAAAATCTTGGATATAGGGGCATAAGTCAGTCAGTATTTTAAGAGAATAAGAAAAGGTTCAAGGCTAGGAATATTTGATGTAGAAAGACCTGGTATGTGGATGTCACAGTAAGGAGTTATGGAGAGACAGAAGGTTCTGGTTTAGTGGGAAGGCACTTGGTACATAAGAATTAATTTTTAAAAAGAAGAAAAGGATGATCAAAGGGATACCATGTTTTACAACTAGCATTTTAAAAAATTAGCTAAACTTTACCACTCATTCTGACCATGCCATGTTTGTATTTAGAACTCAGCATGTCAATGTAGAGGCAGAAAAGCAATGCCTTCATTTACGTGCTATAAAGCTCTCTATTGAAAAGGTCATGAGGTGTTCATATATTAAACACATGCATGAGAAACTCTGCCAAAGATGGAGAAATTTCATGGATTTTCTTTAATGTGAAAATGCTCCGGTCCAAAGCCAAAGCTATCCATAGGTATTATAGATCATGTGTAGTATCTCATGTAAACTCAAGGTATTAATTTTGGATGCAAAACTGAGGACTAGCATATTTCCATAAATTTTATACACAATTGAATTATGCATTGATTAGAAAAATATTACTATAAGTAGAAAAGTATACCATATCAAAACAACTTAATATCTTGGCAAACAATTTACTCAATTAATTTGATATAATAAATACTTTCTCACTGAGAACTATCTCTGTAATCTTGAGCACATTGTTATACCTCTCAGAATTTTTGTTTTCCTCTTAGTAACTTAAAATACATTTTACTTGCCTATTATTATTGCTGGAATCAATGAACAAAACACATTTTTATTATTCTTTAATATTTCTATTTTCTAACAAATAATTGAGCATCTGAATAAATAACACATGCTGTAATCAACATTTGGAACAGAAATGTAAATAATGTACATACAACCCAAGTAAATGACCCCAGAACAGTGAAAAGCACCTAGTGAGCACTCAAATGATTTTGACTATATGGTTCATATAAAAGTTTCTAAGTAAATGTTTTTCAGTTGAATTATGAATTTACAATGATAATCATTACAATAATAATTCTACATTCTTCTATGTTTCTTCTATAATAAAACACTGGAGATTAGACAAGTGGGAAGTCAGTAACTGATGATTAAATTTTATATACTGCTTTACCGTTCACTGAGTTCTGTCCCTTACATTATTACATTTGCTATTCACAAACATCTGTGGTGTTAATGTTTATCATATTTTCTATAGTTTAGACAAAGATATTTAAGCTCAGAGAAGTTAACTGGGTGTTTCAACAGCACCTAGTTAGCAAGTTGCAGACTTCAGGTTATCTGAATCTCAAAGCTGATTGTTTCTTTCTAACCCAGGGTGTCCCCCCGATAAACTGCATTATACTCAAAGAGGACTTCATGTACAAAGTGGGACTTAAGTGATGTCTGCAATTTTGCAAGGGATAGCAGAGAGAATAAAAGGATGATTCCAGTTTATATAATAATTAGATATAATAACTGAATGGTAACTACATCTGGTCTAAAGTTATTTTGGTTGTACATTGTTCATTTGTCTCTAGAACTAAGTAAAGATTGCCATTAGTGCCTTCTACTCATTTGTCTTAATTATCCCCAGGAGAGAAACTGTAACTGGAGATGATAAAATGTTTACTTTAATTTCACTTGTTTGAGGTAATCAAATCTGGCACCGAATGCATTTGTGTGTCTATCTTTAATGATTCCCACCTCAAAAGACCTCTATTTCTCTCTATCTTTTTGTGTTAAGACTATTAACGTGTTAAGTGCACAGTTACTGCTTGATGGAACAAGGCTCCAGACAGTCTGAGTTGAGAAAAAACAGCACAGTGACTTAGTTGCCACAAGATACTGTTGATCAAATGGTAGGTAACTGGGGATAGTATTAAATTAAAGGTGAAAAAAGTCAATAAAGGAAGAAGAGGGAGTACTTCAGAAAGGATTTCATAGTACAAAGTTTCAATAGAGGTGTGGATGGTTTCTTCAAGGTCTTAGACTGACATAATTTTGAAATAGGTAATAACTTACAGAAAAAAAGAAAAGAGAGAAGAAACATTTTCTTAGGTCATATAAATGAGACAGTTTATATTATTTGTATTCCCTTATAGAAAGCAGAAGTCTCACTTAGAAGTGCATATTTAAAAAGAAGTATTTATACATGTCAACACATTGATTTTGTTTTAAAACCTTAATCTGTCACTAAAATCCTCAAAATGGTCATAGGATAATATCTTATTAAAATAGTATTTAACATTAAATATAAATTGTTAATTTTAAAAAGTTCTTATTTAATACATTTTGTGATCTATAATTCTCCTTTTGGAATTCAGAATTCTCCATGTTTCAGTAAGGTAAACCTCTTTTACTTATTTTGTAGTTTTCAAAGAAAAGTAGGTTTACCTGTTTCCTTATTATTTACAGTTCAGAGGAAAGACTTTTACTCTACTGGGAAAGTTTTTTGAGGGCTCTATTTGGGGGTTTTTCTAAGATAATAAGACTTCAGGCTTTTCACACCCTTAGGCGATACACCCAAGAGATAAGATATCCTAGAAAAGAGCTCTGATGAGAATTTTGAGCTATTATACCAAATGAGCATGAGATGAGCTGGACAGGGAGACTTCTAAATCCCTCCCAAAGGTTTTGCTTTCATAAGAACATCTTGCAATTTAAAAAGACAAGCCTTTTACACTTAGAGAGCTCCTTGTGACTGGAAACAATATTGGTATCAATATCCTGTTATTGCACAAAAAAAAGACTAAATCATTTGGGGAATAGATTAACTGCTATAATAAAGTTAAGCCTTTTTCCTTGGGCTCAGCTCTAAACGCCAAGTTAAACAAGCAAACAAACAAAAGAAAACAAGACAGGAAGAGAAGCACAACTTAGGTCTACGTCAACTAATATTGAATTTCTGATTCCATAATCTGCGAAAGTCTAAAGCTCTGTGATTTCTTCAAATCTCTCATATTTAAATTCCTCATAGCTCTTCTTCAGAACTCTCTTTGCCAAGTGTTAATCATGTTCCTTAGCAATAGGCCTGCTCAAAATTAAGCCTATTGTCCAATGTTAACATAATGCTTTCACACCATGCAGCATATGCTTTCTTACATCTTATGCAAGTTTAACAGGTTCATAGAGAAGCACCAAATCAAGATTATACAGTTTCTGTGACCTTTCTGTCTTTCGCTCTCTTATCAGAATTCCTTTCTCTTTCTCTGGTTTGTCTCCACTAAACAAAGTGTTTTCCTTTTCTACTTAATCCAGGAATTCGGGCCCTTTCCAATTTAGGACCCAGACAAGGAAAGCATATTAAAGAATGAAGAACTTTCAATTAAATAGCCTTTGCAGTCCTTCCCAAATGTCTGACCATATTGGAGCATGTAGAAAACTACATATGTTCACTACTATGTGATCAATCAACAAGACTCTGGGAACCTAATTTGAATGACTTGAAACCTCCAACCACCAGAGCACTGAGAGAACCAGCACTCCATCACATCTGTCAGTCTTTTGAGGCTCAGCCACAGGCTCAATCAGATATAGTGTCTACTCGGATTTCGGCTACAGCCTCCACAGGAAACTGATGTAATTTAAAAAGACAAAAGAGAAAGAGAAAGAGAATGGCTACATACTTGATGGAAGAACATGTTAGGAATTATTAAGGCATATCACCAGATACCATTTATCCAGAAGAAAATAAACTATTACAGAATTTTGGAGCTGAAAATGAGAACATTTAAAAATTTCAATTATACATAAATTTTCATCTCCAATCCAGCCTTCTCTTTTAAGCTCCAACTTCTTACCAAATGGCTCCACTTAGTTTTTCCTCATATTTTTTAAACTTGATTTGTACCAAACTTATATTATCATTTTTCTCACAAAAGTACTCTTTCTGCAAGTATTTCCAACCTCAGAGAATGGTGACATCAATCACCCAGGTGCACAGGCCAGCAGGCTGACCTGCTATTTTTGTCATCACTCTAAAACATCCAGTAAGTATTAAGTTACTCTATTCTTCTACGTGCTTCTTTAATTCCTCCTCTTCTTTCCATTCCTTTTCTAGATACCAGTACAAGCTATAATTGGCTCTCATCCCAACTACTACCACATCCTCTTATTTGGTCTTTCTACATTTACTCTCTTTATACCATTTTCCACAATACAACCAGAGTTATTATAAGAAGGAACCATGATCATGCCATTCACAGTTTGAAATTTTTCAGTGACTTCCCATTGCTCTAAGATGAAGTCCAAAACCTTTTGAGTGGCTTCTGAAATCTTCCACAATCTTGTTGCTTTCTGACCTTTCAGCCAATTTTCCCTACATTTACCTCCATCTAACTTAGCTAGACTTTTATTCAATTCCTCAAGTATACTACATTTACCCCTGACAAAGGATCATGAGGCTAATATTCAGCATCTGAGGAAATTAAAAACCTGAATGTTTGCTTCTTCTAGTAAGGGATTGATATGCTGCTTAGGCACAGAATTTCTGAGGAGAGCAGAGTGCTGATGTTATGTAGGGTTGTAGGAATATGTAAAATTCAGGGATTTGTGGATTTTCAGGGGCCAACATTGGTTGATATTATCTTTAAATATTTAATAGTTGGGTGGAGCTAGTTTTGATTAGTTGGCAGCCAAAAGAGTTTTAATTGAAATGCGTTTATGACTGATATCTGACTTTTAATTGTGAGGAACTGACATTGATTTGTTAGCTTGTGAGAATGTACTCACTGAACTGAGTTGTCCTCAATGATTGATTTAAAGAGTTTACATCATATTTCTGATGCCTACTTGATACCATGGCTATAGATAAATAGGTGGTTTTTTTAAAGGGTGCAGGGATTTATTTTATTCTGATTTTCCCTATTCTTGTCCTTATTTGCTTAGCATCTGTTTGTGTTTTAAGATTCAGCTTATGCGTTACTTCTTCAGGAATGGCTGTCCTCACTGACTGATTATGTCACCCTGCTAAATGTCCCTATTTCATTCTTTCCTCCTGTTCCTAAGGAATATAATATTGTAAACCACTGTTTCTCTTTCTCTCTTGCCTGCTAGGAATATAATCTCCCTTATGAGAGAAGCCATATCTTTCTTGTTTACCAATGTATATTTATTCTTATCTGTAGGAAATGTGGGTTAGAAAAAGGCTGCAATTAGCCAACAGTTATGCCCCAGATCACGCAGATTTATTTCAATTCCATATCTTCTTACACTAAAACCAATGCTTCTTCCACTATATGCCATGTGCCTCTTACAAGTAACGTTAAGAAGAAAATGACAAGAGCCTCTGAAATCTTGTTTTAAAATGCATTCTCATTTTTCTACCGAACCTTGGATAATTTTTCTTAATACTGTTACAAACCTTCTTCAAAGCAGAAGAAAAGTACCCTTTGTAAAACTTTAAGCAGTGAGTAGCCACTGTATCTCTCTAATATATTGTGCTGTTAAATTATTACATTATTATAGCGACAATGAGATATGCCAGGGAATGATGGAATGCCAACCAGCTTCTACAAACAAGAAATATATACTTATATTCTGTGAAGGAAGTCAGTCAAGCAGAGACTTTTCAAATAACTGGCAGTATAACAACTTTCACTGAAAGCTGATGGCCTTGTGACATTATTTAGAGGACGCTCTATAGATATTTTCACTTTTATTATTTTCCTTATTGGTGGGGAAAATTTGAATCCCAAATATGTAGTCCCATTGTGTGTTATTTGAACATTCACTGAGCATCCCCATCTATTATGGCCAATGCTGATAAATAAGTAAAGGTTGTGTCAAGTGTGGGCTTATTTTTATTATGTAGAACTTTGTTTTCCTTTTTTTACTAATTTATGTGGTACAATTTTATTTCACTTATTAGGAATGGCTGTGATTAAATGCTTCATCTAGAATTTACCAAAAACACTTTTTCTGAGTATTTCTGGTTTCAAGATGGAAGCTTAAGCCTGTACACATGTAGGTTTTCATATATTAAGGCTCAAGTCGAAGTACATAATACATAAACTCGCAAAAAGGCACAAGTTGTTTTACCAAAAGGAACTGATCCTTGTGGAATAGAGAATCAAAAAGATAGAATAAAAGCACTTTTTGCTATTCAAAGGGAAAGAGATTTTTTCAAATGAGCTTTATTGGTAAGTGTGCAGAAATGTCAAAATTATATGATAAACATGGTTTCTGGTCTTGAAGGCTCGATTTTATCCAATGATAGGTAATCTAAGGAAATTATTATTTATATTAAAACAAAATAAATAAAGAACAGACAATATCTTATAAATGTTTGCTTCAAGACATGTCTTTACACTTCTCTGCTGTGTTTCTGGACTAGAGCACTTTGAGAAGCATTGCAGTAGAGTTGATGTTTATCTTTTTTTTCCCTTCAGCCTATATTCTTCACGAACTTGAATTTTAAGTAGAAATATCTGTATTTATGAAGTCTGTAAGAGTCAGGGAAACAAGAAAATTATATTTTGTTATAGTGCATATGGGTTTGAAAACCTCTGGTGCCGAACACTCAAAAAAACACTACCACAGACATTAGAAATGAAAGGGGAAGTTTCCCAATGCTTGCTAAAATAATAACAGATATCAATAATAGCTAGGTACATTTTTTATCACAGTGAATAAGATACCCCATAATGATTTTCTGAGCTGATTATGGAGATATCTTGAGCTTCTCCAACTCTGTAGTTGAGGATAAAGTCATAGCAAAACTGCTTTTTAAGGTTTTCTTTTTTATATATATCAAAAATTTTATTAAAATATTAAAGTAAATTTTTTCACTTCACTCAGTATTTTATGAGTATGCATTTTGTAATTTGAGTATATTTCAATAAAAGACACTGTCTGTTGAAGACATTGCAGAGCAGGTAGGTTTCAAATTAACCTGGTGAGGGAAAAGGAGTTAATCTCTGCTGACAGTTTCCTAATACTTTGTATTTATAATTTAGAAGCTAAAACAATTCAAGAAAATATCCAAAAGATTGCAACAGCTCCACTGTAATGCAACGCTCCACTTACTGCATCTAATGTGTAATATGCCCACCCAAATAAGTGATCTAACCCTTTGTTGCCTATGATATAAAGCCATATAAGTAATTAATACTTTAATAAAATGAAACTTTTACATCACTGGGGTAACAATCATTACATAATCTCCCCAAACTCTCCAAACTCTCTCTCTCTCTTTTTTTTTTTTTTTGGTTTTTTGAGATGGAGTTTCACTCTTGCTGGGATTACAGGTGCCCGCCACCATGCCCAGTTAATTTTTGTATTTTTAGTAGAGACAGGGTTTCATCATGTTGGCCAGGCTGGTCTTCAACTCCTGACTTCAGGTGATTTGCCCACCTTGCCTTCCCAAAGTGCTGGTATTACAGGCGTGAGCCACCATGCCCAGTCATCCCCAAACTCTCAAATGTAATCTTTGCTCACCTTGGCAATTTAAATTGTCTATAGATCTGTACCATTACTTTATGAGGCCAGTAACATTTTCTGAATTGGCAGAGTTAGTTTTCCAGAAGTTTTTGTCACCAACACACTTTAGTCATGTCCTGGAATTTAGGTGTTTTATTCTGAGTTTAATATGTAATGACTTCCTCCTTAGGTACTTCAAGCTCCCTGGTAAAGAACAGGCTAAATCCAGAGAAATGCTTTATATTTGCAACTATAATGCTAAAACCATCTTTCTCCTCTAATTCAGAACTATGAGCCACATATTGTGTCCCAGAGAAAGGCCAAGAGCAAATCATAATGCTGGATGAAGAGGACAAGGTGCTCCATGATGAAACAAAGACAGCCCTGTTCAGAAAGAAATCCACTTACTGGGCTTCTTTCCATGACCCTAAGGATTCACAAGTTATCCTGGAGGTGCAGCTACAAAACGGAGGCTACAACATAGTCCAGGAAATGTGACACAACCGTCTTGCAGTTTGAATTTATATTGTTCATGTCTCTTTATTCTTTTGAAAAAAATAGTATGTCTGTAGGGCTGGAGGGAGCATTATACATTTAGATAGAAAAACATGAAATTTCTCTTTTGTAGGAAACTAATGACCATACATCAATATATAATCTGAACTAACATATTTATTTAATGGTGTTTAACCATTCATTCTGTTAGTATTTAATTTTAAAAAACAATAATTAAGCAAGTTCTTTTTTGCTAGGCAATGTATCTGACATTATGTAAACTTAATAAAACTAAGGTCCCAATCTTAGTAGCTTACAATCTTGTGAACATAACAGTGTGACTAGTGCTAAGTTAGACATGGGCATCTGCTTCTATGAAACCAGGAATGGCGATGGTGCTTAATTCAGATTGGTGAGGTCATAAAATTCTCTAGAAAGGACACTAGCCAAATTTGAAAGAGAAAATATTGCATTAGATATTTGACAGAGGAATAAATATCTACACATAAAAATCTGTGAACTTATAGAGGCTTAAAGGATTGATAAATATTTTAGGGACTACAGATAGTTTAATGACTAGTGCTTATGAAATATTGTAAAGAATGACAATAGTCAGGACGGTGTATTAGCTATTTATTACTATGTAACAAATTACTTAAGAGTTTAAAACCACATTTATTATTTTACAGGTTTTAAGGGTCAGGATTTGGAAGCATGTTACCTGGATGGCTCAAGGTCTCTCATAAGTTGCAATGTTGCTGGATCATTTGAATACTGGACTGGGGCTGGAAGATTTACTTTCAAGAAGAATCATTCACATGACTGTTCTCTGAGAGACAGAGACCAAGATGGAAGCATGGAAGCCTTAGTCTTTTATACCCTAATCTCATAAGCGACTTAACATCACTTCTGCCATACTTACACAGACCAATCCTGTGTGGAAGAAGACAAAACAAGGGTATGAATTTCAGGAAGTGATGATAATTGAAAGTCATATTGAGGCTGCCTATCATAGAAGGTAACATGTAGTAAAAGAAAGACACTAAGTGAAAATTACAAAGTAAGGCGTATATAAATTACTAGATTGAAAACAAATAGCTTTCAGCAAATGTACATATTTGCTTTTGCATTTTCAACTTACTCAAAATATATATCCTTGACTTTTGCATCTCAAATTTACACCTAGACCAGTTTTATAAAAATGAAGAAAAGTGTGGAAAATAAGCCATTTTCTCCAACAAGATCTTATTCAGCTGAACTGTGACAATCACTTACTTCTATAGAAACATGAAGCTTAAATGGATAGTCATGATTATTCAGCCAATCACTTCATAGTACAAGTGAGAGAACTTACGTTTATGTGCAAATTCATATCTGCAGCTCATTAATTATCTGCGCTGAAATAAAATTCCATCCTGAGCCCCTGCCCTACTTTATATCTTCTGCCCTGCACTGCCTTCTTTATAGCCACACATTGCAGGATTGTCCAACTGAGTCTGCATATTTTTCACTGTCTATAGAGTTGTGCTGTTCAACAAGGTAGCCACTAGGGTACATGTGATTATTTAAATTTCAGTTTAAGTTTGTATGTATTAAATACAATTTTAAAAACATCAAGAATTCATGTCCCCCATTGTACTAGGCACATTTTAAGTGCTCAATAGCCACATATGGCTAGAACTGCCATGTTGGACAGTAACGACAGAGAACACCTCCATCGTCACCAATAGTTTTATTGAATAGCACTGATCTGTAGTATATCTCAAATTACCTTTCATTTTCCCTATGAGAATATGATAGACTAAATACTATGATTCACTCAAATCCAAACATTTTTCCCCTTATGCTTAAATATCTGTGATATAGGTTAGACTGTGGCATTTAAGGGATAATTAA
This sequence comes from Homo sapiens, assembly GCF_000001405.40. Classification (NCBI taxonomy): domain Eukaryota; kingdom Metazoa; phylum Chordata; class Mammalia; order Primates; family Hominidae; genus Homo; species Homo sapiens. The sequence continues at coordinate 81,881,131 of NC_000011.10, forward strand.
TTTTGAAAGGCCAAGATGAATATTTTAATTGGTTGTTCCACATCCTTTATAAAAATATCCATGACTATTTAATTAAACTTCAGGAACAATTAATTAATTAGACCACAACTGAAGGGAAACACTTTATAAGAACAGAGCTCTATTCTTTGCAATGATTTTGTTTTGGTTTGGTTTATGTTGAAAAACCTAATGACTAAGAGAAATTAAGTGCAATACTACATTTTCCTTAGTCTGGGCTTTTCTATCTGTTTCCTAAGCTTTTATAAAAGCCACCTATTTGGTTGTCCTGCTTTCATCTTACCCCACTGTAGTTCACCCTCATGACTAGCAAATTAATTTTTCTAAAACACTAATCTAATCAAATCCTTCCTCTTAATAAGGTATTGAATCATTGATAAAATATAACTCCTTAACATGCTACAGTAAGGTCTGCATAACCAGAAATCAATCCACCTCTCTATGCCTGTTTCCCACCATTCTTCCAAACTCATCATCCTTTTCTTTTCCTTATTTCCAAAACTCATAAAGCCCTTCCTTCCTTTTAAGGTTTTGCATATGCTATTGTTTTTCTTCCTTTAAAAAATCCATATATATTCTCTAAGACTCAGCTTAAATTTTACTACTACCTACACTTTATTAGACAAAGTTAATAAGCTGTTCTTTGTGCTGTCTCAGTTATAACACATAAACCAAGAGATAATTATAGCACTTTCTAACTTATATGAAAATGTCTCCACCTTCTGCTATTCTATACACTTTTAAATAATAACTATAACTATTGATTAATGACTGTGAATAGCATTTATCACAGTGCCAGCCCTAAAACTTAGTTTGAAAATGAATAAATGGATGGACAGATAGATAGTTGGATGGATGAGTGAATGAATGAACAAATGAATGAATACACAAGTACAGATAAGTAATCCAAGAGAAACAATCTAGGGTATGTTATGCTTTAATGAACACTAATTAGTAGTGAGCATCAATTGGAATCTCTTCTATGTTTTGGTGAACAGTACCTACCTCAAACTTCATTGTTACAGCCACAAGTTTCAGGAAATAATATAATAAAAACATGATTGAATCTTGCTGCTCCTGCTGAATGAATGACAACTGGACATCTGGTCTATGCTTGTCAAACTAGCTGTTCCCAATAAAATTTAGATCTGAAATTAGAAAATCTCACCTTTGGTTTCGCTCCTTTTGAAAAATGAAGGTAGATACATTACCAAATGAAGCAAGAATTGATTTCCTTTATAAGTAATTAAAACAGCCCCAAATAATATAGCATCCATTTAAATAGATTCATTTAAAGAAATGAAGCAGTATCATAAAAAGCTTCTGCTAGTACTTTAATTAAAAGATTCTTAAGAAGAGCCTTTTAGACATCTGCTGCATTGTCTCACTTCACCAATCTCAGACTCAATCTCTTATCTTACATTTTCTTCTTTTAATGCTGCATTATTTCTGTGTAGTTATTTCTCTATTTATTTTTGTCCAATCTTATATTTCTTGGTGCTTTCTTTACTCCCAGGTGTTTCTATAGGAAGCCTATAACTCTATTCAAGAACTTTATCTACTCACTGCTGTTTTAATGCAACAAGTCATGCTCTTTCTTTAAATCTCTGTATACATTTAACGTGCTGTTGGAATTTTAATTACACAAAAGCAATGAACTACTATAATGTCATATATTTAACAATCATCATACGTTGCCTGTTGGAACGTGGCTTGCAACTAATTTTTTTTTTTTTTTTAACGGAGTCTCGCTCTTTCGCCAGACAGGAGTGCAGTGGCATGATCTCAGCTCACTGCAACCTCCGCCTCCTGGGTTCAAGTGATTCTCCTCCCTCAGCCTCCCGAGTAGCTGGGACTACAGGCACACACCACCATGCCCAGCTAATTTTTGTACTTTTAGTACAGATGGGGTTTCATCATGTTGGCCAAGAGGGTCTCGAACTCCTGAGCTCATGATCTGCCTGCCTCAGCCTCCCAAACTGCTGGGATTACAGGCGTGAGGCACCATGCCCAGCTGCAACTAATTCTCTAAATTTGCTGCTGGTCAAGATTCAGCTTATATTATAATGTTGCTTAGAATATTTTTGTGTGTGTGAGCTCACACTGGCCTGCAAAACTCCCAAAATATTAGTATAGTTCATTTTAGTTTTATAAGCATTTACTGAGGAGCTATCATTTGTTAGTCACTCTGTTAGTTCTCTTTTATCAAGTGGATCAAAATACATAATGAGAGATGGATATAGGAAAAGGCAATTGCAATAGAGTTGCTCACAGAGATATGCATGATAAGTAGGGAAAACAAGAATGAGCATAATCCTCAAGTTATCTGAAAATATATTAATAGGAACTATGATTATCCTCTATAACTTGGGAATATGTGGCAAGGTGGATAATAGGAGAAGATACTGGGCAGTCAGGCAGGGTTACAGTTTATGAAGGCTCTGAGCTTTATCCTATAGGCAGTGGGTATTAATTAAAGGATGTTAACTAGAAATATTATATTATTACATAGGTATTTATTAATAATTTTGATACATAACTTCTTTGTTTACAAAATTACAAAAATCTGATACTTGGCAAATGAAAATTTACTCCAATCCCACTCTGTAGATATAATCACTGTTAATAGTTTAGTATCAATATTCAACATTTCCCTATGTACTTAATATTATTGAAAACATTGAATCTTGGTACATATACACTTCTGGAATTTGTTTTTGTCAATAAATTATAGAATATATAGAATGTCAATACAGACCATTTTGCATTTTGCATTCTTTTGTAACAGCTGCAGAGCATGTATTTCATTATTTATATGCAACATAATTCACTTACACAGATCTCTTGGTGAACATTTAAATTATTCCTGCTTATTTATTCAAATGGTACTGTGGCACACAATTTTCTATATATATCTGCTCTGTTTGCTCCTTTTTCTTTGAAATAAATTCTAAGAGTCTGTGGGTCAAAGACAGGGCTACCACATTGAATTATTCCAGAAGACATCATTCTTGTTGTAATCTAAGGGAATAGTATCTCTAAAATTATACAGCGCATAGCCTCCAACTTTAACACTCTTAAACATTATGTTATATTGCTTCTTGGTATGTGCTATACATTGTTCTCAGTGTTTCACATGCAAAAACTCATTTTTTTAAACAACATCATGAAATGGATATTTTATGCCCATTTTACAGATGAGATATGTAATGCTTACAGGGTTAAATGATGTGTACATATTCACATTAAGCTTTCAATGAAATGTGAATTTTGGTAGATAAATACAATGGAATGTCAATTGTAGAAAATCAGGAACTACAAAATATGCTTCAAAACCTAGTGCCAGAGCACCTCTTGGGAGACAAATAAGTTAATATTGAGTCTGCAAAAATGTATTGTAAAGAAACAAAGAAAAAAAAAACCTACTAATGAAATTCCCTTCCACAAATCCACTGAATTCACCGTATCAGAGGGAAGTGGAATGAAACTCTCAGGCCAGCAGTGGAAACTGTAAATCTGGGGCTTGTGTCATGGCATTAAATTATAGAGTCAGAAATAAGGATCTAAAGCCCGTCAGTGGTATAAATAACTGAAAAGAAATTACAGTCTAAAACGGGCTGCATACATATTTAAAAAGTGCTGTGTATACTGCTTGGAAAAATATATGATGCTAAATCTAATAGCCCCATCTTGCTTCCTAGCTCTTAAGCAGTAATTTAAAGGCCCAGCATCTTGAAAGGGGACAAAAAGGATCATGAATATCCTGAACACATGTAAAGTTAAGATATACTAATGACTGCTATGGTATAAATGAAGGGCCATCTCTTAGAGCCATGCTATTCTTTATTCTGTAATAAATGATGCTTATTATATTAAATAAACAAGATAGTCCTGCAGGTCTCACGTTTTAAGAATAAGTCCTTGTGTGTCTTTCTACCCTCTTGTCTTTTTTATAGGGTGCAAGGACAGAGCTCTTAAAGTTCATTTCAGGCTCAAATGGATTATATAAATACATATCCACATAGACTTTTTATTTTCATCTTAAAGACACAACAGTAGATTCATCTTATTGCTGTTATATTTGCCTACAATATCACTCTATTTTATCATGGAGAAAAAATACAATTTTTATTAGTTGTCTTTGGCATAAAGAATAATAAAAATGCCCTTTCAAAAAATAATTCAAAATTATGAAGTATTAGTTTCATTCCTATTTAATGATATTCACTAAAGATCTCTCTGAAAAAAAGCATATTTTTCAAGAGAAATTGGGAGAGAAAGCAACCTGATCAGGAAAGAACATTTATTTTAAAAGTTTTTTATTTCTCATATGAAATGACATTTCTATGAAAATTGAAGTGTAGATGCTCTTAGTTGGTAAGTTAAATGCTTCTAAATGTCACCTTTAAACATTCAAAAATTGGTTATTTAGTTATTTTATCATAAATAGGTTTATTGCTGAGTACGCTGGGAAAAAAATATGTTAGGTAAGAGGTTTCTGAATCTTCCTGAAACATCACTTCCCTTTGTATCTTTCCACTGTGAAGAATTTAAAATTTTGTGCAACTATTCTCAGAATCTTCACTGAATTACTGGAAGACTCCCACACAAATTTACAGTTTATAAAAATGCTGGAAGAAATTGAAATGTTGGCATATATTAGATTTCAGCAAGTAAAGCGAACTGGCTAATTTATGTCAGTCAGGCCAGAGGATAGGTATATGTGTAGAACTCTTTTCACTTGAAATGCGGTATTAATGGTTAAGAAGGGATACATACTGGGAACCCAAATCCCATCCCAGGCCTTTTCTTCTACTACACTATGCTTGCCTCCTCTACTGCCAGTTCTGATGGCATTTCCAAGCACTTCTCTAGAAATCAACTCCTGTTTAATAGGATTCTGGATGGAAACAGATGGTACACCCAAAAAGAAAGAAAGACAGAGAGAGAGAGAGAGAGAGAGAGAGAGAGAGAACTCTTTACAGATTTGTGCAGAGAGATAAAGAAATCAACAAGAGACAGCTAAGCACTCATGCATGAACTATTTTAGGGAGTCTTTGTCACTCAACTGGATGACCAAAAGGACAGTGGAAGGGAGAAGACTTTCTGGAAGTTGTGGCCAGGAGAGTTTAATCATCTGAGGGAAACCGTGGTCATTGGTAGAGCAACACAGCCACTGTCCCTATCAAGGCACTACTGTCCCATGATCTGTCAGGGAGAAGGTGAGGGAAATCAATAGCCTAAAATCTCTGTTCTTGCCTCTCCTGAGCCTACAAAAGTAAAAGCAGTCTTTTGAATAGCAAAGAATAGATCTGGTATCAATTTTGCCACCCACCACTACCAGTGTCTTTCTTTAAGTGAGAAACATACATACAATCTATGTTACCACAAAGAGAAAACAGTCATGTTAGTCACTGTGTCACTGCAGGGTGTTCACTTCAGTGATATTCAGTGATATCATTGAAATCTCATTATGAAACTAGCCACCGTCTGTGCTCTACATATAAGAAAGCTGAGCCAAGAATGGTGGCTGACACCTGTAATCCCAGCACCTTGAGAGGCCAAGGCAGGAGGATTCCTTTAAGCCAGGAAATTCAGGCTGCAGTGAGTTATGATTGAATCACTGCACTCAAGTCTGGGTGAAAGAGTGAGAAGAAAGAAAGAGAGAAAGAAAGAAAGAAGAAAAAAGGAAAGGAAAGGAAGAGTAAAAGAGAGACAGAGAGAAAGAGAGAAAGGAGTCAGAGAGAAAGTTGTGTGTGAGGATACGGTTAGAGTAGAGAAAATGGTTTAAGCCAATAACCCACTGTGATTGTCCCTGCCTCTGTAGCTGGTCACAAAAATTAGGCTGATAATCATGGATCATCATTCCACTTACTTTTTTCCATTCCTTTGGCCTTCTGTCAGAACTTAGCTGCTAGAGCTATTTAATCTGGTGGGATAACCTTAATTGTCTCAAGCTTACAGTTCCTTGTGGCATTCTTCATAGGACTGCACTTTTTCATGTGCCACTATTTGTGGATATGGAAGTACTGAGATATGTATCAATGATCTAATGGACTCCAAGCATGATTCTCATTCCTTCTTTGTGGAACTGCCATCAACTTGTATTCTTCCCTTGAGATCTAATACCTAAATCTAAATCTAAGATTGTAAGAATGTAGGAATGAAAAGCAAAATATCTTTAAATGTGTGTTTAGATATCACAGTTGAATGCATTCTTGAATGGCCTCTGAATCTCAGCAGTTCTGGATAGCATCGCCGTGTGGACCGTGACTGGCTGAGTGATATTGTTGAAATATAATGACATTGTCTGGAACTCACTTTTTCATCTATAAACTAGAATATAAATTTGAAGATCTCTTCCATCACTAATATTCTTTCATTATATGATTATAATACCAATTAATTGCAACCAAAGACATCTAGATATTTTATGACTTTCAGGGGAAAGATGCAGAAGCATAGAATAGCAAAAATAGTAATGATATCAGCTAATATTTGTAGAGCATTTATTTTGTGCACAATACAATGCTAAATCCTTTGCATGTGTTATTTCATTTAATCCTCAAACAACCTGTCTGCAAAAGTACTGCTTTTTTCAGACTTTACTTCAGTAACCCAGATTAATAATTTAAATTCAGGCAATTTAATCTAGTAATTAAACACAGAATGTTTGAGAACTAAAATAAATTGCCTGCTGTAAGCCAGAGGGTCAGAATGATTGATGGCTCAGCAGTTTCTGTCTCCATTAAGATATCTAAAATGTTTATAAATAATATACTATTCAGCCACATTATGAAAGAATGAAATAAGAAATGAGTTTGGCTTTTTAAAAAAAACTTACATGGGCTACTGTTTTCTAAGCTACCTATTATAAAACACTTAACATGCTAGGGACTTCCGCTATAGTGTATTTATTATCATATATAGAAATTCTATGGAATATTGATCACGAGCTCCATTTTACTTGCAAAGAGACTTATAGAAGAAAAATAACTTGCCTGAGTTTATACATCTAGTAAATGCTGGGTTTAGGGTTTCTCCTGAAGTCTAACCTAACCTGAAAACTGTATTCCTTACAGCTGGTCTTTCTTTTCATCTTAGACAATATCTACAGTGGAGTAAGTATTGATGGGAGTAGGTTATGCTGTACTCAGGGCTTAGCCTCAAGCAAGATTGGAGTGAAATTTGCAAGCAAACAACCCCATTCTGGACTTGTGAAACCGGCCCAATTGTCCCGTAAAGCTGATGTTGTTTCTTTGAATAAGCATAGAAATTGATCCTCTCAGTCTTAAAACTTGAGAAAGTTTCCTTTGTCTTACCTGAGTTCCTTTCTCAGGGAACCAACCATCAGGTCTCTCAGATAATATCACAGAGCAGAAACACAGCAGGTCACTGCTGTTGGACAGTGAGACATGAAACTCCTCAACTGTCATGATTGCATAACCAACCATCTGCTTCCTGTTGACCAACTCCTCTTCCTTACCCTTTTCTAATTCCTGTTTTCCGACTCATGGTTACATTTTTTCCTTGCTATACAAATCCCTAACTTTAGTTGGTCAGGGAGATGGATTTGAGACTGATCTCCCATCTCCTTTCTTGCAGCACCCAATTAAAGCCTTCTTCCTTCCAATACTCATTGTCACAGTGATTGGCTTTCTGTTTGGCAAGTAGCAGAACTTAGATCAAACTCCTGGTGTTTTGGTAACACTTACAACGTCCGTCCTCTTTCTTATCCATATCCAGGCTTAAGTGTTCAACACAGTCATGGTAATGATTTGACCACCACCTCTAAAATACCTAAAATGCCCTTATTTTCAGGTGATCTAAAAGGATGATAAAGACTGGAGGTTGCACAAATGTTCTGCAAACAGCTGGCACTAAAATACAAGAAGGGGCATCTTGTAGATTTACTCATTCTTAGGACTCACAGGTGACACAAAGTCTTCTCAGGCTTCAGGACGTACAGCGAACTGTAAAAAACTAGCTGTTGACACCCTTTGTTTCCTAGTTAAAAGAGCTAAGCATCTCATCTCCAAACTTTGGATATGGTAATACATCAGGGTACACTTCCAGTGAAATTGCCATAGATTTTACAATTATCTGCTAGCACAGGTGATATACTTTCAGCTTTCCTATTTGATATATAAATCAAAGATCTAGCTCAACTTGGATATCAAAGACCCAATTTAACCTTTCAAATATAACACATGGGCCTATTCACCCACCTAATCCATCTCTCAACTTATTTCTATGGAAATAGCCAAAGAATTATAAGTACCAAGGACAATTTGAATTTACTTGAGAAATGATAGTTTATTCAATAAATGGTGCTATGACAGTTGGTTAACCAGTATTCAAATAAAAAGCATTTAATCCCTACCTCATACCATAAAACAACAAATTCCAAATAAACTTAAAATAAGATCATTTAATAGAAGTTTAAAGAAAAGTTAATATGTATTAATGTAGCCTAAATGAAAGCTTTTCTAGGCTTTTAAGGAAAAGAAAAAATTATAAATAAAAATTGAAAAGTAAATTATGAAAAGAATATAAGGGTGAGCCAAAAATAACATAAGTAAATTTTAAGCCAAATACTAGCTTAAACCAACCTAATAACCAACCTATAACAATAACACATACACACACACACACACACACACACACACACACACACACTGAGAGAGAGAGCGAGAGAGAGAAATGTTTCCTAATATATGACAAAACTGAATATCTGCTAACATAAACAAAAATATGTCCCCAATAAAAGCATATAAGACAGCAAGAAAAGTTGAGCAAAGATAAAAAAAATACAAACCGTCAATAAGTACATTAAGATGCCCAAATCTATTGCTACTAAACGAGGGCAATTTAAAGCAGCACTGAAAATATTTTTATTTAACATATTAACATGACATTAAGTGGAATAAACGCAGCATAAAAGTGAAACTACTCTGTGTTATTATATTTTTAAAATGTTAAGATTATGATCTCAAAGTAATAATAATAATGGTCATTTAAAATTTTAACACAGTTTTGCATTTTTAAATTAAAAGGTATTTTAATAATAAAGCATATGTTATAATACAAGTTTTCATACAGGTCATAATCTGTTTTCACAAGACAAACTGCATGATTTTTGGTGATCTTGACAGTCACTAAAACTCAGATCCATATCAAATTGATAATTTGATAAGCCACTAATTAGCACATGCTCTGTGTAGGGCCCTGAGGTAAGAAAAGCCTTAGTCTACCTGTACACAGAGCTGATGTTTTCTGTCACAGAATATTGAGGTATTTTATGTATCATCACAATTTTAATATATTATCTCATTTAATAAATCAACAGCTCTGCTAGGAAGGTGTTATTGACAGCACCATATAGAAGATAACTAGAAATGAAATGTACTTCACTTACAGAAACCCAAGGGAAATGAGTAGACTAAGTCTTTGGCACTACCTCTAGCTAGAAAATGCTTTTATTTGGCTTCCAACAGCTTACTTACTAGTCCTGAGCCCCTCTGGGTGAATTTACGTCTAGTATTTATGTTTGAGCCAGGTGGTTATCTTTAAGTTACATTAGCATAGGCCATATTGGTTCAGAAGTAGTCCAGCTCCCACTGCTTTGAAAAAAGGTTTTTGATCACCTCATGTCTCTGCTGATTTAGCTGGCCCTCTTCTAAACTCATAGAAAACACTGGGGTTTTTTTTTTGTACCCCAGCATATATGACATCATCTTACTATTTTTGGAATATTTTGTGGGGTTTTTGTATTAATAAAATTTACTTAATTGTAATTGTATAGAATGTAATTTGTGACCTGGTTGTTGAACAAACTTCTAACAAAATTTCCTGAAATTTTAAAAAGCAGCTCTGATGAGTTAGTACAAAATCAGCTCTATCACAAAACTTTGTAACTCATATAACCAAAAGCTCTTTAGGGTTCCCTCAATTATTATTTTTAGTTACATTTTTGAAAGCGATATATAGTATTTGTACACATTTATGGAGTACATGTGATATTCTGATACATGCATGGAATGTGTAATGATCAAGTCAGGTATTCAGGATATCCATAATCTCAAACATTTATTATTTCTTTACATTCAAAACATTTCAAATCTTCTCTTCTACTTTAAAACAGAATATATATTGCTGTTAACTGTAGTCATTCTATTGTTCTATCAAACACTAGAACTGCTTCTTCTATCTAACTCTACATAAATAACCATTAACCAACCTCTCTGCATACTTCACTTTCTACATTCTTTCCGTTCTTTGATAAGTATCGTTCTATTCTTTCTCATTTGTGTGTGTGCTTTACCACTAAGTTTTAAAGTACCACACTTTAATGTGTTTTCATGATGGTAGGAGTCACCCTTTTATTTTCAGATGTATGACTCTCTTGAGCATTGTTTTGTGGGGCCAGTCTAGAGGTGATAAATTCTTTCAATTTTTCCTAGTCTTGAAAAGATTCCATTTCTTCATGATTTTTGAAAGGTAGTTTTTCTGGGTATGGTATTCTTGCTTGACATTTCCCTTTCAGCATTTTGAATATATTATCCCATTCTCACCTCCGCTGTGAGGTTTCTGCTGAGAAATCTGCCATTGGTTTGATGGGGATTCCTTTATATGTGACTTCATGCCTTTCATTTTCTGTCTTTAGATTTCTCTCTTTGTCTCTGACTTTTGAAAGTTTGATGATAATGTGCCTGGGAGAATACCTTTTTTGGTTGTATTTACTTGGGGATCCTTAAGCTCTTTGCATTTGGATATCTAACTCTCTTGTAAGGGTTGCAAAGTTTTCAGGGCTTTATTATTATTATTATTATTATTATTATTATTATTATTAAATAGGCTTTCTATGACATCTCCCATCTGTAATCCTTTTAGCACAATCCCAAAAATAAAATATTGCGTTACTTGACCGTGTTCCTTTGTCACTTAGGCTTTCTTCATTATTTTTTATTCTTTTTTTTCTTTTTGTTTAAGTTCAGAAATTTTTTTCCCTGCTTGATTTGATCTATTGTTGAAGCTCTGGATTGCATTTTTTATTTCATTTATGAATTAGTTCAAGCATTTCTGTTTGGTTCTTTTTTATGTTATGTAACTTGTTGAATTTATATTTCAGATCCTAAATTGTTTTTAAATTTTCTTTTGTTGTTTATCTGTATTCTCTTGTATCTCACTAAGCTTCTTTAATATCATTATTTGAATTCTTTTTCAGCCATCTCATAGAGGCTGATTTTTTCAGGTATTTCATAAACCTTTGTTGGAATCTGTTGCTGAAGAACTATTGTGGTCATTTGGAGGCCTCACATTTTCTTCCTTTTTTATGTTTTTCATGCCCTCAGTTTATATGTGCATATTTGGCATAACTGTTGCTTCTTTCCAATTATTTTGTATGAGCTTTTGTAGGAAAAGCCTTTTTCCTGAAGATATATCTATAGTATTGCTTGATTAAGGTATTTTAGCTTTGATTTTGGGTGAGTACAGCAGTGTAGTGTCTTTGTATGAGTTCTTTGGCTGTAATCAGCATCAGTGGTGTCTGTGAGTTCCTCAGTGGCTTAGGCTGTAGTTGTTAATGGAGTATGTGGTGAGGCTTTGCTGGGGATGGGTAAAACCCAGTGGTGATGGTGGCGGGCCAAACATGCCTGTCCTTGGGTCCACAGGTGGCATACATGAGTACCAGTGATAGTGGGTCCAGACAGGCCAATTCTTGGGTTTTCAGGTGGCTTCCTTGGGTGCTGGTAGTAGCAGTATTAAGCCAGGCAGGTAGCCGGGTAACTGAGCCACTGGGAAGCATGTGAGGTATTAGCAAATACAGTGGCAGTGGCAGGCCAACACTTGGGCTCCCAGGTGGCATGCACTAGTGCTTGCAATAATAGTGACAGCCTGGATAGGCCAGTCACCAGACCCCCAAGTGGTCTGTGTAAGTGAATACCCACAGTGGTGGTAGTATCAGGATGTGTGAGTCTATCCTCAGGCCCCCAGGAGGAGTATGTATGTGGACACTAGCAGTGGTAGGTGGGGCAAGGCAATTACCAGGCCCCCACTCAGTGTGCTCTGGCACTGACGATGAATGGGCTTGACTTATTGTCAGGCCTACCGATCGTGAATCTGCATGCCCATGGCAACAGATGGGGCAGATGGATTCCCAGGCCCATGGATGGTACACTCAGGTATTGCAGGGGTGGTGTGGCAGGCAGTGCAGGCCTGTCCTCAGACCCACAGTGTTGGACTGTGGTTGGCAGGGCAGGGTGATCTCCAGGGCCTGGTGTATCCAGGTGCCAGTGGTAGGCAGGCTGGGTCTTCCGTCAAGTCTCCTGATGGGGTTGGTCTCCAGGCCTACTGATGGCGCATGCTGGTGTCTGGCATCCCTGCTGCTGGGAGGCAGCATTGCTCTCAGTGGTAGGAACCCCTGCTGGCAGCTCTCAGGCTTTGGGGAGAGCACATTTTAGCTCTCTTTGTTTTGAGGGCATCCTCCTCAGTGCACTTTACCACATATTCCCTGAGGTGTACGACACTATGGTCCAGAGTGCTGAGGACCTGGACACACTGCTGGGTACAGCCAGCATTGCACTGCTGCAGCCCTCTGGGTTGATATGGGTGTATATCAGTGGGGGTCCAGAATGGGTAAAATAGGGTATATTGGGCCCCAGGGTACCCAGGGTAAAATGTAGTATAGTGAGGGCTGTCCTCTCCAAATGGTGCCATGCTGCAGCTCTTTAGGTCCAGGTAGTGTGTAGGATCCAGCATGAACTCCCTCTTTGGAAAAATGCTGTTACACAGATCTAGGCAGCTCTCTATACAAGTCTAAGGGCACTAGAGGACCAAGGAGCTCTCCTGTGGCTAGGATTACAGGAGTCTGTAATGGAACTGTAGACCACTGGGTATCTCTCACTTACCCTTTCCCCACATTGTGAAGCCTCTCTGAGCTCCCAGTAAATCTTGGCCAGTTGGCTGCCTCACTTCTCCCTCCTTTCATGCCTTACAAGTTCATTATCACTTCCTTGCTAAATTCCAGTGTTCTTTGTTAAATGCTCTATTTGCTGTGTGATTATCTACTTGCTCTTTTGGTCCTTTTCATGGTGACGACTGGATGCCTCTAGTCAGCCATCTTGAAGCCTCTCCCCTCAAAAATGTTAAAAGCATAAACTTGTTCTGAGATCCAAAGTTTGAGAGCCACTGTTCTAAGAATGATCTGTACACTGAAAGCTGGTGAAAGGTAATCAAGACTGGTGATTGGATTAAAGAAGAAATTTAAGAGGGAAAAGTGTGCTGAGCAATGAGAAGGGAATCAGGAGCCACAGAGAGGGGATTTTGTTAGCCTTGGTAAGTATTTCTTTTTTTGCCTACAAAATGGCTATCACTTTGAGTGTAAAGTTATATTTTATTTTCTTATGTATCTTTATATCCATAATATATATAATACAATCAAGTCTGTTGTTGCTGAATTACTGTTTCTTATGTAGAATCAATCTACAACATCAAAGAAATTTCAAAAAGTTTTTGCCTAGAAACCAGGGCTGCTTCAAAAGTGAATAATGTATATTTAAGTAAATATTCAGTCAAACTGTCTCCTCAGAGAACAGTGTATTTGTCTAAACCTATATTGTTGAATTAAGTTTAAAGTTCAAAGACTTTATTTCAAATTTATGGATTATGACTAATATATTGTCAATTACAGTGTAGTTTAACCAAGAGCATTGTGCACAGAGAGAACTCATAACTGTGTGTATAAGCGGATTGGGAAGCCTGGGTGATGAGAGCACTATGCTATGAAAGTGATTGCCACTTAACAAATATCTATCTATCTCTCCACCTACACATACACACACACACACACACACACACACACACACCCCTATACTATTTTAAATAGGAATATAGTCTGAGAGAAAACTAAAGCAGGAAAGGTGGATAGCAAGTATGAGAGGTGGAAGGTCTCATGTTTATTTAGGTTTATTAGATTTTTTATTTGATTTACTGTTATTAGGTTTATCAGAGAAGGCCATACTGATACATTCACATTTGAATAGAAGCCTAAGGGAGTGAAAGAGCTGTCACAGACATATCAGGTCCACATTCCAGAACAAAGATCTTTGCACCTGGTGTACTTGAAAAGTCTCCTGTCGTTTTAAGAATAAGAATCTCATAACCTCAAAAAGGTTTCTAGCAGTAAAAAGTTATTTTTGCTTACTTCATTAAGACTTAGATCTCTGATACGCCCTCTGTCAGTAATGGGCTTCAACTCTCAGTTCATTCATGGTCTTAGTTACCTACTTTTGGTTCTGAGCTGCATGTACCAATTTCCTAGCACTCAGTCATAAGTGTCATCTCTGAAACTACATGCAGGGCAAGGCCCAGGGCACATGAGAGTCAGAGAGCCATTTGTGGGAAACAGCACCTCAAATTCTAGTCTGTTCTTCAATTCTTGGTCTGGACATGGCTCGATCTGGTTGGCCTATTTCTAGACTTTGCCTCTTTTTGCCTGTGAAGGCAGACTCAAGAGTAGAAATATTGTGAATTGTGGAGTCAGACAGACCTGAGGCTGAATCCTCTTGTCGTCATTGACTGTGTGTGGTTTCAGGCAATGACTAAAGCTGTCAGGGCCTTGACTTTCTACAGCTGATAATAATGGTTATGATATCCACTTTTAAAGTTTCAAAATCATCTGAAGTTCTAGTAAAAATACAGATTGCTTGGCCCATTTCCCAGCATTAATAGTAGATCCCAGTAATTTGTATTGATAGCAATCTGCTAGATTATGCTGATGCTCCTGCTCTAGAGACCACATTTTGAAAACTATTGATAAAAATTGAAAATATTACAGAAGATGATTATCTTTATGCCTACTATGTGCCATTCACCATTCTACAGGCTTCATACAGGTAAAATACCTATAATCATGTTTGGCTTTCCTCCTACTACCAGTACTAGCTGTGATAATTCAGCATCAAAGTATTTGACCTCTGCTAGGGCTCAGTATACAACTTCTCTAGTCATTTATTAGTGCTTACTGCACACAGAGACCAATAAGAACAAAATTGGGAGGTGGGTTGGTTACATGAGCTTCTGAGCCATAAAAGGTTGGCTCCTAGCATTCTTGTTAATTATTTTATATTCTCTGGCCCTCGTTTGTCATATTTGTTTTTCTTATAATACAGATATTTTTATAAGTAGACTTAGTGACTAATGGAATTACCTTTCTAAAGGACAGCAAGCCACACACCTATGCCCATTTATCTATTGTTTCCAAGGAGTTGGCATCATTTTATATTAAATTGCTAATTGTTATTAATTACCTTGACATTTCTGGGAAGCACATTAATCTTAGCAGAGTCATTTTGTATTTCAGTGGGAGCATCACTTGCCTCCCATCAGAAGAAATTTCTTTCTTGAGGGCTATTCATAAATGTGTCATTTATTGTCAATCACCACTTACAGAAATGAAATCTAACATCTGGTGGAACATTGGTAAGGTCAAATATGTCAGGGCCAATTTCAGCCCCTTAATATTTAGATCAATCACTCAGTTCCCATGCAGCACCACTACAAAAATGAGAGTTTTAGAAGAAGGAATAAAGTATCCCACTACTGAATACATAAACAGATATTGATGCTATCAATAAAAATAGTAGTACTAATTGCTAATAGGCATTGTCTCTTGTTATGTGCCTGACAATATAATTAGTGCTTTACACGCACAATCACTTTTAATCTTTACCGTATTTTAATGGAGTGGATGTTGTATTGATTCCATTTTACAGATGAGGAAACTGAGCCTTATTATTATTATTATTAATATTATTATTAGCTTGCAAATAAAAATACTGTGACTTGAATCCATGTCAGCTTGATAACAAAATCTGAATTAACCACAGATAAGACATGGACCTTGCCACTGAAAAATCTAGAAACTTAATAAAGGAGGTGGTAGACATGTAGATAAACTGGAAGACCAATTGCAAAATCATATTCAAAAAACTAAGGAACCAATAAAGAATATGGGAATATCTGGGATTTGAGTGAGATTTAGGCATTCCATGTGTTTTGGATTCAAAGCTGAAGCCATAACTCAGTTTAGTCCTCATTTGCTAATTACCTTAGAAATGGTATTGAAATGTGCCTTGATTTCATTGCTTAAAATATGCATGGATAATATTATGTATATGTACCTCATAGTGAGGATAAGATCAGATAAAATAACATTCTTAGAACAACGGCTGCTATGTAATGGGTGTTGTACACATGGTAGTTCTTATTTGTGCAGCCTAACAATGATGAAAAAAATTGACCAATATGAAAGTAAGAAAATTCCAGGAGGGTACAGTGTGAGTAACTTGGTCAAAGTGTAGTCTATTACGCATGTTTGAGGAGGATGTCCAAGAGTGAATTGATTCTAGAGTGCATTAGGATATGTAGAAAGACGTAAGTAGGAAGAAAAATAGTGACTATCTTGGATGGAATCTGTGTGTTAGGCGAGGCAACCTCAATTATATTTAATATTTGGAAGTGAACAACTTAAGATTCCCTAGGGTTAATGTGTCATGAACACTGCTATACTATCAGAATGTAGGACCAAATGTAATGCATAGATTGGTGCAGAAAAATCTTACGGAGAGAAATTAATTAGGACACTGCTCCAGTAATTCCTAGGAGAGAAGAATCTGAGTCATCAGTGAGATTGAAATGAAGGCAGTGTTGGGAGGAGCAGAAAGCCTGGAAGAGGTGTTGAAATATTTGGTAAACTGATTGGATGTGAAGCAATGGAGACAGAAAGGAGTCAAAGATGACTGAGGTTTAATATATGAGTGCTGACTTTGCCTAGAGAAGAACACAATCCTTTACACCAAAACCGTGTTCACTTAGCCTTTTTAATGGAGCAGTGATAACATTTAGAATAACGTTCACTGAATACTTACAAGGTACTAGTTCTTCAGACATGTTATCCTATTTTCTTCCTCCAAAATCATAAAAAGTGATATCTTCTAATTTTAGAAAGGAGAAAACCCTATGGTACAGTAATTTCCTGAAGAACACACAATAGCAAGGCCTGGGTATAGTCTAGAATTACTTGACTTTAGCACCTAATACTCTTTCAGTTTCTCCACTGTGAATCTCAAAGAAGTGTGGTATTTTAGAGGTGACTCCCTACATGTTTCAGTGAAAGTCCAGGAAGTAATCCTGAGGACAAAAAAATTTTAAAATGAGCTGAAACTTAAAATGACCTTTCCAGTTTAAGTTCCCGAAAAACATAATTGGCATAATTTTAATAATAACTTCTATATTGATATACAACTTTACAATTAAAAATATTATTTATAAGCTCAATGCATTCTTATACTAGTCATGTAAAGTCAACAAGGCAGGTGCTATTATCAACATTTTATAGGTGATGACAATTGGGTTTGTAGACAGATGACAAATGATATCCAAGGTCATGCATTCAGAAAGTGGTAATACTGGACTCACACGCCAGTATCCAAACCACAACAGTGTTGTGTCATGTATTTCAAATAGTTGTAAATAAAAGAGTGTAACTTACTCTGCCATAAAAAATGGCTAAAAAAATTAAACTAATGCCAGAAATAACAGATATGTTTGTAAATAGCATTTTAGCAGGAGGCATAAGATGGAAGCACGCTTTAAGACTTTTTTTCTTTTTATGTTACATTAGTCAGACTCCTATACAAAACATTCTTGGTACCATTGTTCATTTTCCTTATATAAATACTGTACCTACCTTGGGGAAATTTCCACTTCTCAATCAACAATCACAATATTTTCAAAACATTGGGCATTCGAAAAGAAGGATAATAATATCTGGTAAGCAGAAAAGAAATGAGATGAGGCTTATTACTGTCCCAGCTTTATGCCTTAAGAGAGTTGTCAGGCTGCAGGGTAGAAAGAGGAAACTCAAACATAGCCTGGAATACTCCCTGAGTTGAGGAGATGGAAATAAAAAATATATGTTTATAGGATAGACTATGGAAGAGGAGAAAGATGAACAGAAAGAGAAACCCAAATGTCTTAGAAAGTAAGCCTCTAAGAACCCTCTAGAATTCAGTTGAGTACTGATTAGTGCATAAGTATGAAAAAAATACACATATCTGGACAAAAATTACCCAAAAGCTTAACAGAAGCAGTATCTGACACTGACAGAGGGCCAGGAATAGTGCCAGCTCCCACAAGTCAGAATGGAAAAACCTCAAGATTTATGGGCATTGAGCAGAGTACATAAAAGAGACTTGGCTCAGTAGTAGGGAGTAATTAGCCGTATAATTATTACTATTCCAGTCCCATCTAAAAATAATAACTGCAAGATGTAAAAGGATAGAACTATTTACAAATTAATCAACTTTGTTCTAGAACAAAGCTCAAGAGTATTTATGTGAATATGAAAAGTATCAAGCACCAAAAAGGTAAAATGTCTGGCATCCAATTAAAAATTACCGGTCACGAAAAGAAGCAGGAAAATAAAACCCTTCACGAGTAACTAAATCAATCAGAACTGACACAGATATTAGAATTAAGAGACAAGGGCAGTCAAAGAGCTTTTATAATTATATTCCATATGTTCAAAAAGTTAAGAGATATGAATGATTAAAGTAAGCAAAATTAAACTTCTAGTGATGATAACTACAGTGTCTAAGATGGAATGTTGTATAGATAAGACTAATGGCAAATTATACATTGCAGAAGAAAAGATTTGTAAACTTGAAGATGCAGCAATAAAACTATTCAAAATAAAACTGAAAGAAAAAGGAATAATTCAAGCATATCAGCAGAGTATTAGTTAGCTGTGGGACAAATCAAGTAGCCTAATATATATAATTAGAGGCTAGAGTGGGGAGGCTGAAGAGGATAAATACTGGAAGACAAAATGGCCCCAAATTATAAACACATAAGTGCAAAAACTAAATGAACCCTACATATTTAGGCAGAAAATAAAAATGATGCCACATGAAAATATAAAGCTGTGAAAATGAAAACGTACACTGATTAAGGTAACTACATGGGTAAATTGATAAGACTTATTTCTTACTTAAACTTTTTAAAGGATATATCTTTATTTTAATGAAATAACAAGGCAATGTTGAATTTGTTACACATATGGAAATGAAATATATGACAATACTAAAACAAAGGTCAGGAGGTAAGTAGTTGAATAATGCGATTGTAAAGCTTTTATGCTGCACGTGAAGTGGTATAATTTTACTTGAAAATAGTCTTTGGTAAGTTAAAGATGCGTACTATAAATCCTAAAATAGCCAATAAAATAATAAATAAGTATAGCTAATATACCAATATCTTAAACATTAATACATGTAATAACAGAGCTTCAAAGTCCATGAAGCGAAAATGAATAGAATTGCAAAGTAATTCAGAAATATCTACAATTATAGACAGGTGTATAAGTCTCTGTCTATGATTGTGGATATTTCTGAATTACTTTGCAGTTCTATACTTTTCAATATTTGGTGTACAAATAGAGATAATTATCCATGTACAAATAGAGACAATTATCAGTTAGGATATTAAAGATTATAACATTATCAACCAACTTGGCCTAATTGACATTAATAGAACATAACACTCAAAAGCAACAGAATATACATTGTTTGTATGTTCACATGGGCATGTAGAATATTTCCCAAGATATATCATATTCCAGGCCATAAAACAAGACTAAATACATTTAAAATGATTCATGTAATAAAAAGTATGTTACCTGATCACCGTAGAATTAAATTAAAACTCAATAATAGCACCCCCCAGTAGAGGCAGACTGACACCTCACACGGCCGGGTACTCCTCTGAGACAAAACTTCCAGAGGAACGATCAGGCAGCAACATTTGCTGTTCACCAATATCTGCTTGCTGTTCTGCAGCCTCCGCTGCTGATATCCAGGCAAACAGCGTCTGGAGTGGACTTCCAGAAAACTCCAACAGACCTGCAGCTGAGGGTCCCGACTGTTAGAGGAAAATTAACAAACAGAAAGGACATCCACAACAAAACCCCATATGTACGTCACCATCGTCAAACACCAAAGGTAGATAAAACCACAAAGATGAGGAAAAAACAGAGCAGAAAAACTGAAAATTCTAAAAATCACAGCACTTCTCCTCCTCCAAAGGAACACAGCTCCTCACCAGCAATGGAACAAAGCTGGACAGAGAATGACTTTGACAAGTTGAGAGAAGAAGGCTTCAGACAACCTAACTATTTCGAGCTAAAGGAGGAAGTTCGAACCCATTGCAAAGAAGTAAAAAACCTTGAAAAAAGATTAGATGAATGGCTAACTAGAATAACCAATGCAGAGAACTCCTTAAAGGACCTGACAGAGCTGAAAACCACGGCACGAGAACTACGTGATGAATGCACAAGCCTCAATAGCCGATTCGATCAACTGGAAGAAAGGGTATCAGTGATGGAAGATCAAATGAACGAAATGAAGCGAGAAGAGAAGTTTAGAGAAAAAAACAATAAAAAGAAACGAACAAAGCCTCCAAGAAATATGGGACTATGTGAAAAGACCAAATCTACATCTGATTTGTGTACCTTAAAGTGACGGGGAGAATGGAACAAAGTTACAAAACACTCTGCAGGTTATTATCCAGGAGAACTTCCCCAATCTAGCAAGGCAGGCCAACATTCAGATTCAGGAAATACAGAGAATGCCACAAAGATACTCCTTGAGAAGAGCAACTCCAAGACACATAATTGTCGGATTCACCAAAGTTGAAATGAAGGAAAAAATGTTAAGGGCAGCCAGAGAGAAAGGTCGGGTTACCCACAAAGGGAAGCCCATCAGACTAATAGCGGATCTCTCGGCAGAAACTCTACAAGCCAGAAGAGAGTGGGGGCCAATATTCAACATTCTTAAAGAAAAGAATTTTCAACACAGAATTTCGTATCCAGCCAAACTAAGCTTCATAAGTGAAGGAGAAATAAAATACTTTACAGACAAGCAAATGCTGAGAGATTTTGTCACAACCAGGCCTGCCCGAAAAGAGCCCCTGAAGGAAGCACTAAACATGGAAAGGAATAACCAGTACCAGCCACTGCAAAAACATGCCAAATTGTAAAGACCATCGAGGCTAGGAAGAAACTGCATCAACTAACAAGCAAAACAACCAGCTAACATCATAATGACAGGATCAAAATAAAGGGATGGAGGAAGATCTACCAAGCAAATGGAAAACAAAAAAAGGCAGGGGTTGCAATCCTAGTCTCTGATAAAACAGACTTTAAACCAACAAAGATCAAAAGAGACAAGGCCATTACATAATGGTAAAGGGATCAATTCAACAAGAAGAGCTAACGATCCTAAATATATATGCACCCAATACAGGAGCACCCAGATTCATAAAGAAAGTCCTTAGAGACCTACAAAGAGACTTAGACTCCCACACAATAATAATGGGAGACTTTAACACCCCACTGTCAACATTAGACAGATCAACGAGACAGAAAGTTAACAAGGATATCCAGGAATTGAACTCAGCTCTGCACCAAGTGGACCTAATAGACATCTACAGAACTCTCCACCCCAGATCAACAGAATATACATTCTTTTCAGCACCACACCACACCTATTCCAAGATTGACCACATACTTGGAAGTAAAGCACTCCTCAGCAAATGTAAAAGAACAGAAATTATAACAAACTGTCTCTCAGACCACAGTGCAATCAAACTAGAACTCAGGATTAAGAAACTCACAACCGCTCAACTACATGGAAACTGAACAACCTGCTCCTGAATGACTACTGGCTACATAACGAAATGAAGGCAGAAATAAAGATGTTCTTTGAAACCAACGAGAACAAAAACACAACATACCAGAATCTTTGGGACACATTCAAAGCAGTGTGTAGAGGGAAATTTATAGCACTAAATGCCCACAAGAGAAAGCAGGAAAAATCTAAATTTGACACCCTAACATCACAATTAAAAGAACTAGAGAAGCAAGAGCAAACACATTCAAAAGCTAGCAGAAGGCAAGAAATAAATAAGATCAGAGCAGAACTGAAGGAAATAGAGACACAAAAAACCCTTCAAAAAATTAATGAATCCAGGAGCTGGTTTTTTGAAAAGATCAACAAAATTGATAGACCGCTAGCAAGACTAATAAAAAAGAAAAGAGAGAAGAATCAAATAGATGCAATAAAAAATGATAAGGAGCATATCACCACCAATCCCACAGAAATACAAACTACCATCAGAGAATACTATAAACACCTCTAACTCAAATAAACTAGAAAATCTGGAAGAAATGGATAAATTCCTTGACACATACACTCTCCCAAGACTAAACCACGAAGAAGTTTAATCTCTGAATAGACCAATAACAGGCTCTGAAATTGAGGCAATAATTAATAGCTTACCAACCAAAAAAAGTCCAGGACCAGAGGGATTCACAGCCAAATTCTACCAGAGGTACAAGGAGGAGCTGGTACCATTCCTTCTGAAACTATTCCAATCAATAGAGAAAGAGGGAATCCTCCCTAACTCATTTTACGAGGCCAGCATCATCCTGATAGTAAAGCCTGGCAGACACAAAACAAAAAAAGAGAATTTTAGACCAATATCCTTGATGAACATCGATAAAAAATCCTCAATAAAATACTGGCAAACCCAATCCAGCAGCACATCAAAAAGTTTATCCACCATGATCAAGTGGGCTTCATCCCTGGGATGCAAAGCTGGTTCAACATACGCAAATCCATAAATGTAATCCAGCATATAAACAGAACGAACTACAAAAACCACATGATTATCTCAATAGATGCAGAAAAGGCCTTTGACAAAATTCAACAGCCCTTCATGCTAAAAACTCTCAATAAATTAGGTATTGATGGGATGTATCTCAAAATAATAAGAGCTATTTATGACAAACCCACAGCCAATATCATACTGAATGTGCAAAAACTGGAAGCATTCCCTTTGAACATTGGCACAAGACAGGGATGCCCTCTCTCACCACTCCTATTCAACATAGTGTTGAAAGTTCTGGCCAGGGCAATCAAGCAGGAGAAATAAATAAAGGGTATTCAATTAGAAAAGAGGAAGTCAAATTGTCCCTGTTTGCAGATGACATGATCGTATATCTAGAAAACCCCATCGTCTCAGCCCAAAATCTCCTTAAGCTGATAAGCAAATTCAGCAAAGTCTCAGGATACAAAATCAGTGTGCAAAAATCACAAGCATTCTTATACACCAATAACAGGCAAACAGAGAGTCACATCATGAGTGAACTCCCATTCACAATTGCTTCAAAGAGAATAAAAGGGAACTCCAGGCCAGGATATCTTCACTGGTGAATTCTAATAAAGCTTTCAGAAAGACATTTATACCAAGTGTACATGATTTCCTACAGAAAATTTGAGAGGAGCAGAATTTTTCCAAAACGTTCCCTGACACTTTTATTAATCCATTACCCAAACCAGAGCTGTCACGTAAAACTATAGATTCTGTACAAAATTTCAGAAAATTGATTCCAACAACATAAAAAAAAGTTACGTTATGACAAAGTAGGTTTGTCTCACAAATTCAAAGTTGTTTTAACATTTGAAAATAAAATAATTTAATTCACAATATTAACACTCAATATTTTGAGATGGCAATGCTACTCAAATTGATCTAAAAGTTTCTATGTAATCTCAATCAAAATTCTGTTAGTTTTGTTTTTGTTTTAGCAATGTATAAACTTATTCCAAAATTCATGTCGTATGGAGATACAGAAGATCTAGACTAGCCTAAACAAAAGAAATAAAATTACTTAATTTCAATACTAATCTAAAAACTACATTAGTCAAGACAGCATGATACTGGTGCAAAGACAGTCTCAAATAACAAAACAGAGATTCCAATAATAGACCCTTACCTATATGGATAACTTTTTTTCAAGGAAGTTTCTGGGGATGATAATATGTTCATTACATTGATTGTGATGATGTTCTTTGGTGTAAAATTTATCAAATGGTACATGTTAGTTATTCACAGCTTATTTTATGTCAATCCTAACTCAGTAAAGCTCTTAAAAATATATCATCCACCTTCAGTCTTTCACCCTCCACATATTTCTTCCTTCCTTCCTGAAGTTTCTCTTTTTAATTCCAAAGAATAGCTTCTGAAAAGTTGGAGGAAAGCCAAATTTTTATTTCATTTTCTCTCTATTGTTACTTCAGGTAGTCATACTCAGAACTAGTGTGGCTAAATGCAGTGAGGATAATATAAGTCTTCGAAGTTAGATGTCAATAGGTTCAAGTCCCTGCATTCTCTCTTTGCACGTGTGTGACTTGGAGCAAGTCACTTACTCTCTCTTAACCTCAATTTTCTCATCTGCAAAACCATGGCAATTATAGCTTTTCAGTCAATGTAACATATGAAGTGTAGTTAAATAGTACACAATTTGAAGTAAGATTCTTTATCTGCTTGAGCTTCAATTCCCTAATTTAAAAAATATAGGGAGAATTGTAGATAACGTCTTAAGATAATATAAGCATTAAATTTAGATAATGCATGCTAACATTTCTCGTCCTCAATACTAAACATGATAAATTTTCTTCCCCTTTTTTAGAAAGGGTATTTCTGTTTCTTCTTTGTACAGGAGGTAGAAGTTTACTTCTAACAATGTTAGAATTGAAAATAATCTTAGAGATAATACAATTTCAAAGCCCTTATTTCCATGAAGATAGAACGCTGAGGTGCAAAAACCCAAAATGTAAGTTGTATGATTCAAGACTGCCTGGAAGTTTGTGTGCCTCTCAAACCACTGTATTTTTCTGCCACGAACTGTATAAGATTGAGTAGAAATCTCCTTAGGCCTCTAACAGTGCAACTGCTCTATCTGACTCTTCAGGAAAGATGGCGATCACTAATTCTAGGCTCACTTCATTACTGCTGCTTGCTATGAGAAGCTAGTACTGTCTTCCCTGCTGCTCTCTTGCAGCCTAACTGTTCAGAGTAATGAGGTCTAACTGGAAGCTCCAAGTTTTTCCTCAGTCATTGTAACTTTTTATGCTTCCTTTGCCTGAACTGCCTTCTGTCAATAGAAATCAGGTTGAGAGCCGTCCTTTCCAAGCAGCCCAGCCAAGCTCTGCATTTTTAACATCATTTCACCAGACCTTGAACGGATCTCTGCTTGGGCTGAATAAATTGTCAGAATAGAGTTCAAATATGTCACAATTTGATAATAATCAGCTGGAGCTCTCACAGGAGGAGAACAATGAGTTGCCTTTCTACAAATATCTAGGCTGGGTCTGTAAAGGGCAGGCATTGGCCTTATTTCTCCTTGAGGTGGGATTTGCACGGCCCATAAGGGCCCTTCACTATTTAGAGTTGTACAGCCATCTTCAACTGTGCACAACCCAAAGGAAGCAAATCATCTTCTCCTTCAAATGTATTCTTCCTGGATGTCTCAGTACCACCATCTTACCATCCTATGAACACGGAAAGAAGTGTCAAAGTCTGATAGGCAAATGTGAGGGAAGAAACTTTGCAAGGGAAAGCTAAAGTAAAGTGTGTTCTGTGAACTAACACTGATCTAAGAGTTGATCTCTTTTAACAATCAAACAGACCTTTGAGATATCATTCCTATTTCACAGATGAGAAAACTGAGGCATAGAGAATTGTGATAACTTGCTGAAAGGCACAGGTCTGCTAAGAATGGAATTAATTGACTTTACAGCTCATGAATGATCATATAAATCTGTATTTATTGCCAAATATATATTCATTAATATGTATATTAGAAAAAAAATTAAATACTGTGAAGGACAAATATTAGCATAAAGCTACTTTTGTATTTAAATTATGTCTTTATAAATATGATCACTCTAATATATTTATCATATTAACAACGTGACTTACTAACTTTTACCAACTTAATAGTCTACAAACTTGTTTAAGTTTTCTCATCTCCCTTCATTTTCCCCAATTTTAGATTTCTGATTGCTTAAAACATTCAAAATGATATCAAATAAAGCTCAATACAGACACTAGCAGGGAGGACTATAATACATGATTCGAAATGAAAATTCCTAGTAATTGAGGTAACCACTATTTATATAATGCTTTATAGGTTATCAAGCCTATTTTTCTAGATAACTTCACTTATCCTGACAAAAAATGCTATCAGAACATATTTAGTCCTTTTTTAAAAAAATAGCTAACACTGAAGCATGAAAATAAGAAATGTGCATTGCCATAGATGCCAACTCTCACCTTTAAAATTGGGAATGGAGGCTTAGAGAAGTTAAGCAATCTTGGATACTCAGACAATAGTGTTGGGGTTGAGATACCTACTTGGTTTAGTCTTACTCTGATTCATGTCCCTTCTGCTAAAGCATTTTGCCTCCCTCAAAGTAATCAATGACTTATCCCCACTATTACTCTCTCATCACAAAACATGGCTACATTCAGTGTGGAATCCCTTCATCCTTGGAATTATTCTTTCCTCTAAAATTTAGCTAATATTGGTGGCTGATGCATTTCAATTAGGATCAACATTTGTGATAAGGGTATGATAAGACTGCAAAAATGACCACAAATTGTTCCTCCCCATCTATAGCCTTTGTAAATGTGCTCCCATACTGACACTGAGAATGACCTTGTTACTTCCTTGACTAGTGAGACATTAGTAAATGGTTAGAGGAGAGAAAGTCTTGAAAAGTGCTTATTCCTGAGGATGTGCTACTCATGGGACCCCTATCACTGCCACAATGTGAAGAAGACTGGCTAGCCTGGTTAAAAATGAAGCACAATATGTTCCTGGAGCCTTTCATCCTGGCTGAGTATGTCACTGCCAGATTGGGGGGAGGTCATTCCAGATAGTTTAGCCACCACCTGACTGTCAGTTAACTTGAAATAGATGAGAAAGCCTAGAAGAGATCTGTGAAGCCAAGCCAGACCAGAAAAAGTTCCCAGATGTCCCACAGAATCATGAGCTGCTTTAAGTGGGAGTTGCTTTAAGCCACAAAATTGCAGTGTGTTTGTGACACATAAAAAGTTATCTAATGCCAAAGGTCTATATTTTCCCCCCAGCAGGCATTTGCTGTTAAAGAGTAGCTGTACTTTCAAGATTTCTTAAGCTTGATGCACAGGCTAAATGGGCCTGCTGGTCTCCTCTCTCTAAGATTCTTAGAATTCCTCAAACATAACATAATTTTTTAATTCTAGTCCTTGTCTATTTTCGATTTTCTGCAACCTAGAATATTCTACGTTTCATCAAACCTTGGTACAGCACCCTTAGTTGTTTATTTTACAGTTGTGCAATGTGTTTCTTTTTATGTTTCCTTAAAGCCTGTGACTTCAGAGTAGAGCATAAATAGTATATATTCACACGGCTCCATAAACAAATTGCTTTTGTCTACTTACGTTTTAATGTAGAAATTTATGAACATGTTTTGATTATGTATGAGTTTGTTTGAGATGATGTCTCAAAAAAATTTTTTTTGGTCTGTTTATTTTCATGAGTAGTGATATGGTTTGGCTGTGTCCCCACCCAAATCTCATCTTGAAATGTAGCTCCCACAACTCCCACGTGTTGTGGAAGGGACTCAGTGGGAGGTAATTGAATCTTGGGGGCAGGTTTTTCCTGTGCTGTTCTTTTGATAGTGAGTAAGTCTCATGAGATTTGATGGTGTTATAAAAGAGAGTTCTTCTGCACAAGCTCTCTCTTGCCGGCCGCCATGTAAGACGTCCCTTGCTCTTCCGCCATGATTGTGAGGCCACCCCAGCCATGTGGATCTGTGAGTCAAACCTCTTTCCTTTATAAATTACCCAGTTTGGGGCATGTCTTTATTAGTAGCGTGAGAACAGACTAATACAGGTAGTGAGAGGTAACTTAAAAAAACAAAATGTCATGACTTAGAAAAGTTGCTGTTGAGCTGCTTCTTACTTGGACAACACTACGTAGCTTTCCTTGGGATAAGTTTAACCAGTTACCTATGTTTTACTCAGCCACATAGAGGATACTAGCTAAGATGCTTTGCATTTACACCCAACTCCAGACTAAAATTTTCTCTCTCAGAGTTCAGGATAAAACACATCATTGGTAGCCTAGCACTGTGGTTAAGAACATGCAACGGCCTGGGGCCAAGGTACTACCACTACCTCCCTGGATATTTAGTTAATATTTGTAACGGTACTTGGTATGCATCTAGTATGAATTCTCAGTAATGCATTAGTTACATTAATTTATTTATTTCAGTGAAAGATGTTTGGGGAACGTAAATCAGTGGGTATGATTATCTGAAGCACTCTATCAGCAGTAATCTCAATTCTCTTTTATACCCCCCATCAGACAAAACTCCAATTTTGACTCATTTTTATAGTCTGTAATTCCAGCCCAATACCTTGCTCTTGACGTGGACTGAGTGTCATGTAGAGACTAAGACCATGGGCTCTGAAGTCAGATACTTGGATTTAAATATTCATTAAATATTCATGGCAGCACTGTTTTGTTACAAAACTCTAGGAAACTTAAATAACTGAGGCATAGTATCTTCATCCATAATATGGGGGAAATAATCACATGTTTTTCATGTTGTTGTTTTAAAAGGTAAATACAAATATAAATGCTAACTGCTAAAATCAGTGTTTGCAATATACTAAGCACTGGTAATTTACTGTGAATATGATTATACCCAGATTGCTAAGTGTTGCTAATAAAGTCAACTAAAATATAGCCATGTACCACACAACAATGTTATGTTCAAAAACAGACCAAATATAGGACCGTGGTACCATAATAATACTGTTTTTTATGCATCTTTTCTATGTTTAAATATATTTAGATGCACAATACTTACAATTGTGTTATAGTTGCCTACAGTACATGCTATAGTGTACAAACTTGTACATGCTCTATAAGTTTGGAGCCTAGAAGCAATAGGCTATAACATGTAGCCTAGGTGTGTAGCAGGCTACACTGTCAAGGTTTGTGTAGGTACACTGTATGATGTAGGTACACTGTATGATGTAGGTACACTGTATGATGTAGGTACACTGTATGATGTAGGTACACTGTATGATGTTCACATAGGTAGAAAATCACTTAATAATGCATTTCTCAGAACATATCCCTGTGTTAAGTGACACATGTCTGCATATACTGGAGCTACCACAAGGCCATGCCTTCCCAATTCACCTGGATTGTATGATTATTTTCATTTTACTTAACTCTTTGTTTTTTCAAAGGTTAATTCAAATAGCATTGTATTTTAAAAAGGCATGGATTTAATGAAAAATATATAGATTCATATCTAAGCTCTATTTTTTGCTGAATGAATAAACTTGAACAATGTAACTCCTTTGCATCTTAGTTTATTAATCTATAAAGATGAGTAACAAGATATAACTCCTACAATTAAAGAGTAAATGAAAAATCATATGTAAAACGTCTGACACAGATACTCTCAACATTTATAAGGGCGAGTGCAGTGGCTTACACCTATTATTTCAGCACATTGAGTGGCTGAGGTGGGAGTATTGCTGGAGCACAGCTTGAGCAACATAGCAAGACCCCATCTCCATATATTAAAAAAATTTTAAATTAGCCAGGCATGATGGAATATGCCTGTGGTCTCAACTACTCTGGCAGCTGAGGTGGGAGGATCACTTGAGCCCAGGAGGTAGAGGCTGCAGTGAGCCATGATTGCTCCACTGCACTTTAGCTTGGGTGACAGAGTGAAACCTTGTCTCAAAAAAAAAAAATATATATATATATATATATATATATGAGATAAACATTAAATTTTTAGTTATGTCTTTTTTTGACACTCAACAATTAAGTATATTTTTAGAAAGTGGTAGAAAATTGGTAAAGCTTTATTTTAATGATGAGATTTCACAACTAAGTGGAATATGGCTTCCTATTAGTGGAAATCAAATTGGTAGTATTAGTTCCTATTGCCATAGTAAGCATAACTTAGCAACAAGAAAAAGAGAGGAGAATACCTGTTGTACCAATGTGATGCTGCTCTGCTCACATTTTCATTCAATAATATTTCAAGAATTCTATTATTGATAGATCAAAGTGATGATTGGAATTAAGACAATACTGCCTATCAGTTATATTGAATTGTTCTATTTATTATAACACCCAGATTGCCCTAATTTTATTGGAGTAATAGCTGCACTACAGTACTTTTCTAGTAATAGTGCATAGCAGCCCCTTTCCAGCAACAACCGAATATTCTATATTACATAAAAGTGCAGACCTCAAAAAACAAGTAGGAATTTCTGTAAATGTAAATATCAGGGCAGTGAGGGCCAAAAGTAACTGAAAATTCTATGAAGTCATTTGATTTGCAAGAGAAGAAAAAAGAACAGATTACTATCTAAAGATTATAAAGAGACATAAAAGACACACTTTTCCTGCTTTGGAATGTATCCATTTTTACCTTCGTCACCCTTGGTTAAATGGGCTCCAATATTATACAAAGTCTTTGATGTGAAATATTCATTTCTTCATTCTACTCAGAATCTACTGTATTTAAGGCATTTTGCTGGGTTTTTGTTAAGCAATAATTGACAAAAATATTCAAATTTTAATTCTATCATTCCTTTAAAAAGCAAATATGCAAGTACCTGCAGAAAACTATTATTTTTCAACTATAAAAATGATTTTTATCACTCTGGAGATTCAAAGACATACACAAACAAGTGTGTGTGTGTGTGTGTGTGTGTGTGTGTGTGTGTGTTTGTAATTGCTAATATTTATTGAATGTGCCTCATACAAAAAGCATGCTTTTAAGCTCCTCACATTTATTAGGACGTTTAATCTTTCTAATGACATTATGAGATGGGTACTAATTATCCCCACTTTATAGAATAATTAGATATTATAACTATCTCCATTTATAGGTGAGAAAACCAAATGACAAATGAATTAGGTAACTTGCCTAGAGTCATATATCTCATAAAGTAGTGAAAAATTGATAGGGAACCCTGACAGTCTGACCACATGCTCACATATTGCTTGATAGTTAATGAAATACATAATATAGGACCTTGAATTTGGAGATATTCAATGAACACCGGTTCAGTGCCTAATGATGCACTTGGTTTTCAAGCTGAACAAAAGCCCAGAGAACTCCTGGCCCTACCTTCTTATTATTATACAGTTGAAACATCTGAGTCACCAATATATAAGATTTGCTCAAAGTTACAACATGGCAGAGCTGTAACCCAAACTCTGATCTTCAGACCTCTTGAGCTATACTGAAATTTTATGGTACTCTACTGCTACTGTCAATTACACACATTAATTTGTTATATAAATATCAGCAAAAATGAGCACAGAAGTTGGGATAGAATATCAGAGTTCTTATTTTTAGCATATGTTTATTTTTACAACTGCATCAAATAATCTTGATTGCAAAGTAAATTGGTTTTGAGGGCTGACAATTTCAATCTAAATCAGATTTCAAGGGTAATATTTTCAATCCAAGAAAATAAATCATATGAAAGAGAATGACCACTGCATCCTTTACTAGCCATTAAGTATCCTACCATGACGCCTTCTGAGCACACCCTGAATTTAACTTCTTCATCAGTGGGAAGCAAATTCATCATAAGTGACATTCTGTGTTTTTTTATTACACAACTGTTTTTCGTTTTGTTTTTGTTTTCATTTTTATTTGACTGGGTGCTTTATTTCTTCTCTTATTCTGCCTTTGTAAAATCTTCACCTTCTGTGCACCAAGCTGAAAAGTGGAAAGTCCTGTCGTTTTTTCCCCCCTCCTTTGTAGAATACCAATAAAATCTCCATCTGTGTTAAAAAATTAATATTGCTGTGCAGATTGAGTACAAAAACGTTCCTAGGCAAGCTTCAAATAAGTTTTGGTGATTCCATTAAATCTTTTTAATAGCCCTTGTCAAGCCAAACCCCATGTTCTCAGAGAAAATGACTTGCAGTATTTCTTCCACATAAGTATTTGACTTTTTTCACAAAACAGCCTAAAGCTAAAATAATAGATAATTAGTTTGGTTAAGACCAAATTAATTAAAACTCACTGGCTAACTTTCTTCGTGTAGCATTTAACAGATGTGCATGTTTTAACACAGAACAAGAAATCTAACTTAATAGATTCATTCTGTAACTTATTGGACCACATGAGAATTCTGTGTTTTCTGGATCAAGAGTGATTTTCAAATTACAAATCTGGAAAGAAATTGTGACATGGAGTTGGAATTCTGCTGTCCTGTGATTGTAATCAGAGTCCTCCTACAGAACTGTCAATAATCTATTGTTCTCTGGGTGGCTCAGAGTGTTCAGGGATTATTTATGGTTTCCCCATGAGGGGTAAAGCTAATCAATGCTTGAATTAAACCTTCCCTGTCTAGGTTTTAGTGTATGGAATATTTTCATATACACTGGCAGAAAAGTTATCAATATTGCATCCAAATGAGGGTATGTAGTAAATGCTCAGAGGATATTACAGACTAAAATGTGAAGATGGATCCAAGAGAAAATTTGTAGTCCCAGGGGAAAGAAAGATTTCAAATTAGCTCTTAGCGTTTGTGACCATCCTTCCACAAGACCACAAAGGATTTTTTTTAATATAAGCAAAATTAAAATAAAGCATGCAAAAGATGAAAAAAATTAAAAACAAAATAAAATAGAGGATAGAATAGAGAAGGTTGAGCATAGATCACTTCAAAAAAAGTTTACCTGCCATTATTCTGCATCAGGCACCATATTCTGTGCTAGGCATACAGACTGTACAGGTAGTAAGGGCAGCAGACACATGAATAATCAATTAAAGTTCAATGCAATAAGTACTACCATAAAAAGATGTATATACAGTGTTGAGGGGAGATACTAAAAATGAAACTTGCAATGGTAGGGCCCATGAGAAGAGGTAATAGTTTCTTTTTAAAATTCTATTTTCATTCTTAGCAAAGTCCCTCAGTTCCTCAGTTGTCATCTCTAGTTTGAGGTTTTATTTCCTAGAGGACTTCAAATCTTTTTTTTTTCTTTTTTTTTAGATGGAGTCTGGCTCTGTCGCCAGGCCAGAGTGCAGTGGCAGGATCTCGGCTCACTGCAATCTCCACCTCCCAGGTTCAAGCGATTCTCCTGCCTCAGCCTCCCGAGTAGCTAGGACTACAGACCGTGCCACTATGCCCAGGTAATTTTTGTATTTTTAGTAGAGATGGGGTTTCACCATGTTGGTCAGGATGGTCTTGATCTCTTGACCTCGTGATCCACCCACCTCAGCCTCCCAAAGTGCTGGGATTACAGGCATGAGCCACCACGCCCGGCCCAAGGACTTCAAATCTTTCAATTGTTTCCTCTGTTTCTGGCTTCATTGTTCTAAATTCTGTTAATACCGTTTTCATCTGCTTTTGATTTTTGACATTATCTATTGAAAGCTTCTTGCTAACACATTTTCCACCATTTTGTTTTTTTTCAGTATATAGTTACCACTTTTTATGACTCTGAAAATACTGATGAATCAAGTTGAAAACTGTAATTATGTTTATTTTTTTCCTTTTTTTGTTTTCCTTCGACAAAAAAAATTCTGGATTCTAATTATTTTTTAGTTTGTATTTATGAACTTATTGTTAAATTATTTGAAATGCCCCTAAGAACTATAAAATATATACTAATATTATCTTCTGAATGCTTGAATTCCTCAAATATACTATCAGTTAATTTTCTGGTTGTTGTTTTTGTTAGGTTGTGTTTTTTCCTTTGTCGCCTACCACTGCATGTCCCAGAATTCTCCATCCTCCTACCCCAACATGGACTTTTGGCTCCGTATCCCTTCTACACAATCAGTCTTCTGGTTTTTTTCTTTGACTTCACCCTAGGGTTTTCTTCTCTGTTTTCTGATATTAGTTCCCCTGTGTAGCTGACATTTGTGATTCTATCTGGTATATGAAGACATATGAGGCCTTTATATGCAAGTGAAATACCATACTTTGTAAAACAGACTCACAAAATAGAAGCCAAAATGGCCAAATAAAGAATTTCCTGGCCTCCCTTACAACAATGGCATGCACATGACCTGGTTTCCATAAATAAGATCCATCAACTTTGGACTTTGAATTAGGAGCTGTTGACACAATTAAACAGGAACCATGCAGCTCAATCCTGTTGTGGCAGTTGCAGCAGCAGTGGGAGGAGTTGCAATTTTAACAAACCATATCTGCTGCTGGAGGTTTTGGCAATAGGCTATGTGGTGTCTATGCCAACAACAGCAGTGCCTGTGTTTTCACAGATCAGCTTGGAAAATTACTGATATGTTTTAGTTTTGGCTTCTGTTTATCTTTCTGAAACTTCTATTAGTTGAATGATGGATCATTTTCATATTCTTCGTCTTCCACTTTTTCATTTTCTTTTTTAATGAAATGTGTGTGGGGTGGGGTGGGGGAGCTTACTTCCAGAGAGAATCTCTCCACTTCGTCTTCCACCTCCTCTATGATTTCTTCTCTAAATTTACCATTTATATTTTTAATTTTAAACAATGCTTTCTTGATTTTCCATTGTTCCATCATTATTTTGGTGTTTGTAATGTTGTATTGGTTTATGAATATGACATATTTTTAACTCTTTATGCATAGTATTTATAGATTTTATTTATTTACATTTTTTTCTGGCCCCCATATATTTTCTTTGCTTTGTATGAGTACTTATCTTCTGTGTTTTCTTCCTCCTTTCTTGTGGAGGCTTTATTCATATATAGGCTTATTTTTGTATTTCTCTTCATAGTTAAGAGTAAAGTGCTGAAAAGCTGATTTAGAGTCAACATATGTAGACAGAGCTATTGACTGCTATCCTTGTCTATACGGTGATAAGGTAAAGATCTGTATTTTTCTACTAGTCTATCCCGAAATATTGGATCTGGAGATTTTTTTTGGTTCAGTTGCTCCAAAAACAATCTAATATTCTACCAGGAAAAGCATTCCTGACTACTGATGTTTTAGGTCCAGAAGAGAGAGCTGCACACCCTGCCTTTCACTATCTGGCCCTACTCTCAGTTTTTGTCCTTATGACTCTCACTGACCTCTCCTATGCCATTTGCTCCAAGTTGGGTGATTACATAATTTAATATGCTAGGTAATTAACCTTGCACCTGATGATGTCAGTTCAGGGAGAGGACATGGGGGCTCTCAAATCACTTTTTAAGAAGGCTGATAAACTATCTTCTATTCTTATCTTCCAGCTTTTAAAACTACTCAGTGCCTCAGAGTTCCAATCCTCTTAGGGGTTCTGCGTGTAAGTCCATTACTTCTGTCTCTGCAGGCCCTTGGGTTGCTTCTGTAGGTATTACTATGTCATAAACATCTCACCTTCAAAAATGTATTTAACTCCACTGTTTTCTCTGCAGCCACTCTTTGTTCTGTGAGAATCTAACTTTTCTCTATTTTGCTGTTATTTTATGTGTAGTCTTGAGAATGAGCTCAGATAAATGCATGTGAAAAATCTGCCATATTATTGGGAGTGCCTATATAAATTTTAAAAGATGAGTAAGATCCCACTAAGTAGGTAAGAATGAGAAAGTAATGGGAATGGCATTCCATATTGTTAAAGGGATAAACCAGAGTAGACAGTTTAGTTGAAAATACACAAGTAATTAAATGTAGTTAGAACAGAATACCCAGCCATCCCATTACTGGGTATATAACCAAAAGATTATAAATCATGCTGCTATAAAGACACATGCACACGTATGTTTATTGCAGCACTATTCACAATAGCAAAGATTTGGAACCAACCCAAATGTCCATCAATGATAGACTGGATTAAGAAAATGTGGCACATATACACCACGGAATACTATTCAGCCATGAAAAAGGATTAGTTCATGTCCTTTGTAGGGACATGGATGAAGCTGGAAACCATCATTTTTAGCAAACTATTGCAAGGACAGAAAACCAAACACCACATGTTCTCACTCACAGGTGGGAACTGAACACTGAGAACACTTGGACACAGGGTGGGGAACATCACACACTGGGGCCTGTCGTGGGGTGGGAGGAGTGGGGAGGGATAGCATTAGGAGACCTACCTAATGTAAATGATGAGTTAGTGGGTGCAGCATGACAACATAGCACATGTATACATATGTAACAAATCTGCACATTATATACCCTATATACCCTAGAGCTTAAAGTACATTTATATATATATTTATATATAAAATAAATATATATATTTATTAATATATATTTATAAATATATATTATATATATTTATATATAATATATTTATAAATATATATTTATATATAATATATATTTATATATAATAGATTTATAAATATATATTATATATATTTATATATAATAGATTTATAAATTTATATATATTTATATATAATATATTTATATATAAATATATATATAATATATATTTTTATATATATATATATAGAAATAGAAAAAAAAGAATAGAATATACCTAAGTGCAAGATAGAAGTTTGTGGGGAGGAAGGGTTGTAAATCTGGGTAGACATGAAAAATCGAGCTAGATGTTGAAGGGCCTTTTTTCTCATAAGACATTTGACTGTCAGCCTATAGGCAACCAGAAGAGTAATTCAATGCACTTGAAGGAGTAAAGACTTAATTAGGCAGAGTAGTGTACTGACCAAAAGTTAAAGCTTTGTAACCATACAGGTGAGAATATAAACCTTCCTACAGGGCCATCTTAAGGTAAATTGGCTAATATCCCTGGATCTGTTTCTTCATCTATAAAGGGAGGATTAGAATATAAAAATTAAATATTTGTCCTGAGGAACAGATAAAGTAACACTTATAAAGCATTTTTTAGCGCAGTGTCTGGCCTGTAGTAAATGTATAGTTAATTATAGGCAGTTCTCGATTACTCTGCGAAAAACGTGGAGGATGGATAGAGACAGTGTAATGCTGAAGAAAGAAGAGAAGCTATAGTTATTTCAAGAATCTGAGAAAAAGACAAGACATTTTGGAAAGGGTGAAGGAAAAGAAAAAGTCTATAATGGTACTCAGGTTTGTGGCTTAAGGATCTGAATGAATGACAATTATATATTTCTAAATAAGTGAGGTAGAAATGTTTGATGATGTGTTAATCCACGGGTAATAAACAAGTATCAGGGAAATTCAAAAATGGGAGAGTAAATATTTTGGTGTAAGGAGAAAGTTTCAGTGTAGCAACCTACCCTTGAACATTTGGAGTGATTCAATAGATGGAGAAGGATGGGAACTCATAACTTGTGACCCGTGAAACCTAATCTCACCAAGACTGTCAATCAATTTCCTTTTTCATTTTCCATTAGTAACCTCTTGTCTTCATTTTATTTAAATAATAATCAACACTTCCTTGACTCCATCTCTAATCTCATCTATCTGGATGAAAAATCTTATTTTTGAACCTAGACAAAAAAAAATTTATGGCTTTGCACCAAGCAGACTGTAGTTTGGAGAAAATCTACCATTAAGGAAGGTAGATCTTACTTTAAAATCCTGATCAGATATCAAAAGGTCCTTCAGGATTTCCTGGAAATTCTAACATATTTCTATATTGCTGTCTTATCTTTCTAAGAAAATATTTTATGAGTTCTCATTAAATTATCTTTATAATTTTCTCATTTTCAGATAAAATCTCATCTTATTATTTGTTACAATGTACATAAAACATAAATATATGTATGTGTGTTTACATGCATGTGTCCATTTTCATGTGTGTATGTATATATGTTTTTCTTTAATTTTTTTCTATCCCTTCCTCAATTACAGACCCTTTAAATACCTAATTTCTAAAAGCTAATTCTTTTCCATCTTTTCTTTCCTGCACAATCTAGATCTTCTCTCTTCAATATTATAGCCATTTGCTGCTGCATGTGGCTGTTCAAATTAAAAATTTTAAAAATTAAAATTTCAGTTCCTTAGTCACATGAGGTTTATTTCAGGTGCTCAATAGTCACATGTAGCCAATGGCTACCATATTAAACAGCACAGACATAGAACAGTTTAATCATAAGTTATATTCGACAGCACTGATCTAGATTAATGGATTGCATTGCCATAATTTTAAATAACATATGCTGAAGACTCCTGAATCAATTTCTCTATCTATAGTAGACACCATAGGTAAGCTCACTCAACTCCAAATCTCATTTCCTTTCTTTCTTGTCTGCCTCTACTTTAGAGGCTGTAAAAGTAAATACTCACTTCCAAGATCTCATGTGGATAGAGATAGGAGAGTCATTTGGTCATGGTTTTAGTGCAAATCTGCTTGCCCGGTTCCCTTTTGCTTCCTGCTTTGACAGTAAGTCATGGCTGAAGCTGGAGCCACCATCTTTTATTCATAAGGAAATATAAAAGTATCACAGGGATGCAAACCCTAAACCATTGCCAACAGTTAGCTACCTCCTGACATTTGTTATATGACAAGTAAGTTACTACTTAAGACTCATCATTTTGTCATTCTGTTGCTTGAAACGAAAGAGCTTTTCCAATGGACACTCCAGGAAAATCTGTTAGGAAGAACAGATGCTTCCATAAAAAATGATTATTAAACACATTTCCTACACCATCACAGTGATTACCAACCCCAAAACAGGTTCACTGGCTCTGTCTTTGTGGAATATAAGCTCAATGAGGTCTCAAACCTGGCCTGTCTTCTCCATCATTTTATATTCAATGTTGAGGGAAAAAAATTCTCATATAGTTAGTATTCAATAAATACATGTTGAACAAAAACTAAATAACATGTGTATTTCACCTAATGGGCAGAATGAATACAGAATTGAAGACCCTGAGATTCACAGACTGTGAAATGTACTGAGATAATAGGTCACCCAGCTAAAACCGTTTGAAATAGAAAAGTCCAATATCATTTAGAGTGGGGGGCGGAAATTATGCCTGTGAAGGGAAGCAGTGAGACAGAGACTTCTGCTATGCCTTTGTAAATCCCCAAAGATTTTGTTTTTGTTTTGTTTCACTTTGACTTCATTTTACTTAACTGTCCAGTGGAAATAATAGAAGCTATTCTAAGTAATAGTAATCTCTAATAGAACCCTTAACATAAGTGTCCCAACTCTACGTGCCATAACATATTGGTTATGATTAAAACACTAATTGTCCTCATTTCAAACTGAAGTGCTGAGAATTTGCACTATTCATGTAATATATGCAGTCCTTTAGAGGATGAGCCAATCCTGGGACAAATCATTGCCCATCAGACACAGTTTTATTAGTCTCATGACATCAAAATGTGCATTATAAATGGTTCTTTATGACAACAGTAAATTCACATCTTCCCACAGATGCCTGAATCTTTTCAAGATCAGTATTAGAAAGATACACAGTTGGAGATGTTTGTCATGTTGTACTCTGATTTCTAATAAATTATCAGAGTGTGCTAGGTAGCCATAATTTTACAATTTGTATGATATAGTGAAATTATTTAGTTCTCTGTGATAGAAAACTGATATATAGCTAAATGTTAGCTGTCACTTGAGTCTCCCAGCTTACCGGGTATTATTAATCATTCTGTTTGTGCTGGCATGTGGCTCAAAATAATCTAGTACACACAAAAATTCATTCAAAGTATTTCTTAAATAACAGTCTTATTATGTATTGTATTTGAATGCCTTGTTTTCACTTAGCATGAGGCCTACCCTTAGTTTCTCACTTAGCATGAGACCTATCCTCTTAACACATTTTTAAGTGTACAATATAATATTGTAATCTATAAGCACAATGTTGTACGGCAGATATCAAGAATTTAGGCATATTATATAACTAAAAATGTATACCCCTTCAAATATAACTGGCTGTTTCTCAGCCCTTGAACCCCAGGGAACCACCATTTTACCCTCCATTTCTCTGACTTTGACTATTTCAGATACATTCTATATGTAGAGTCATGCAGTATTTGTCCTTCTGCAACTAGCTTCTTTCACTTAGCCTAAATCCTCAGGGTCCATCCACGTTCTTGCATATGGCAGAATTTCCTACTTCTTAAAGTCTGAATAATGTTCCATTTTTAAATATACATACACACATATGCATACATATATGTGCATATATATGCATAAATATGTTATATATAAACATATGTTATATATGTATATACATATATGTGTATATATGTACAGATATCTATGTCATACATACACATACATATGTCATAAACATGTTTTATATACATGTATACATATATGTAACATTTTCTTTATCCATTCATCTATTTGTGGCCACTGGATGAATAACTTTGGCCAATTTTGTTAGTATAAAATATGATCATATTTAGTTTTTATTTTTATTTTCTTGATTACAATTAAGTCAGAAACGCATTCATGTATTTACTGGGTATTATGACTTCTTCTTTGGAAAAAAATGGTGTATGCCCTTTGGTCATTCTCTCTGTGACATGGTTTGCTTGTTTTTACATTGACATTTAGAAGATAGTTATATATCTAGATAGTAATCCTCTGATAGTTATGTTTATTGCAGATATCTAATGAGAAAGTAAACTCCATAGAGGCAAGATTTTTGTTTTCTTCACTGATGTATCCCTGTAGAACAATGTCTGCCACATAGCATGCTTTAGGAAAATTTGTTGAGTTAATAAACTAAATTTTTATATTTAATGCATTCCTTTATGGATTGCACATTTGAAATATTTTAATGAGAAGTTCTTCATTGCGCAAAGTCATAAAGATAATTTTCTATATTCTCTTCTAAAATATTTTGTTTTCCTATGCATAGGTAAGTTTACTTTTCTAATCCAGCTAGATTTTAATATTGCATATGACGTGAGGTAAGGATCCATTTGCAAAGTTTTTCAAGTGTCTGAGCATTATTAATTCATAAGCCTATCTTTCCCCAGTGAGTGGCAAAACAGGCTTTTTATATATCAACTTTGCATATGACAATGAAAATATTCCTGTGTTCTTTACTATTTTATTTGTCTATTTTCTATTTTCAATCCAATTATTTCCACATTATGAGTAAATGTTCTAGTTACTATAAATTTAGAAAATTATTGATACCAAACAGAATATATACTTCCACTCTGTTCTTCATTTCCTTCAGAAGTGGTTTGGCCCTTTGTGGCTTATTGCTATCATAAAATTTTAAAGCATCAAGTTCATTTAAACAAAGAAACTATTGGGTTATTAATGGGATTTTATTAACACTAAAAATCTTAAATTTACAGAAAAAAGTCTATAATATTGAGAGGTTTTTATTGAAGTCCAAATTATATTTTTCCCCTAATTTAATCTTCATATCCTTCAATATTTATTTCTCAACTTTACAGTGAGATCTTACACTTCTTTGATTAATTATATTTCTACAAATTCAACATTTTGTTATTATGTAAATTGTAACATTTTACAAATTACATTTTGCATTCTGTAACTACTGTACAAAATTGCCATGGATTTTATATATCTGTTTTATATCTGGTCATCTTGGAAAATATTTCTATTAATTGTAACAATTAGCAGGTTCTTTGGAGTTTTTCTTATTCTAGATAATTTTTTCTGCAAATATTGGTGGTTTTGTTTCTTGTTTTATAATCTTTAAATTTTAATTATGTTGCATTTTTTCCCTTGGTTCAACACAATGGCAAGAATTTCTGATATATTGAATCAGAAACAGAGTTCATGAGCATTTCAATCTTCTCCCTTACCTTACGAACTGCTTTGCCGTAGGTTTTTGGTACATAATCTCCATAAGATTAAGGAACTCCTTTCTATTTGCTACTAGTTAAGATATCTTAATGGATATTTTCTATTATCAAATGCTTTTCTCTACATTTATGTAGATAATCACATTTTTAGTTTTCTCTTTTAATCAGGTAATATGATGGATTTCATCATTAGATTTCCTAATGTTAAACCCACCTTACTTGCACAGTAATCTCAGTTTGCTCATGAATTATAATCTCTTTTATGCATTGCTGGATTTCATCAGATAAGATTTTGTTGAGGGCTTTTTAAATTCATTCGTGAGAGAAATTTACCTGTAACTTTCCTCTTAATCAAGCCCTGGCAAGGTTTGGTTATCAAGATTATATTAGATTCACAGACTTAACTGAAAAGAGCCCTTCTTTGTGAATATATGTATTCACAAAATACATATATTCACAAAGATTTTTTGCTTAGCCAAATTTTAGTCAGGCATTTGAACCTTCTCCTAACCCCATCTGTGTAACCACTTGTAAAATCCAGTTCAGCAAAGAACTCTGCTAAAGTCAATTTAGCAAGAACTGCCCACCTTCCATATCTAATCGCCCTTGAGATCCGATATTGTTCCTTATCCTCCATGATGCCTTAGGTGACGGCTGATCATCCTGGTCTGATCACCCTGTCTTATTAGCAAGAATTTTATTAGGTTGGTTTAGCCAGAATCCTCCTTACATCTGATCTTTTTTTTTTTTTCATCTGATCTTTCATGTTAGCAATTTTCCCTCCACTGACACCCACTGCAAGACCACCCAAGTGTAGCGGTACCTATACTTATAGTGATGGTCGGAATAAAGTCTGCCTTACCCTGCTTTAACCAGTATCAGTTAATAATTTACACACACACATACACACACACACACACGTATGTTTATTAAAGTTATGCTGTTATTATGCTTTTAAAATTTCTGTTGTAGGTATGGTAATGCCATTACCATTTTCATTCCTATTGTGGTTTTGTGTCTCTACATTTTACTCATTTTATTTTGCTAAATATTGTTTATTTCACTCTTTTTTAAAGAAAAACTTCCATTCTTTTGTTTGTTTTGATTTCCACTCTAATGTGTATTGTTTCATGTTTTATTTATTCTTAAATTGTATTCTTGGCTCATTAATTTTCAGTATTTTATTTCTGTCCTAATATAACCAATTAAAGCTCTACATTTCCCTTAAATTTCCAGCCTCATATTCTTAATAGAAAAAATGAAACAAACAAATAAGTTTATTAGTCAACTCAATACTAAGCATTAGAAAAACTGTTATTTATCTTATAATCCATAGCTTAGTTAGAAACAGTTTTGGTAATTTTCAGATTCATTAGGGGCAAGGATATCTCATATTTGCTAATTTCTGATTTAACTGCATTTTTTTTAAAAAAGTGGAACATACGATAAAAATGTTGCATCATTTTGAGATATTGCTTTATGGTCAGGAACACAAAGTATTTTGTAAATGTGTTATGTGTGTTTAATTAAAATGAATTTTCCCTAATTTTGATATACAGCATTCTGTATATTTCCATTAAATCAGGCACTTTGTGTTAAATTTTCTATATCTTTACTAGGATTTTGTCTCCTTTCTGTATAAGTGATTAAGCAAATTATGTTTTTCATGTTTTATATAATTTTCCCTCTGATATATATATATATATATATATATACACACACACACACACCCACACATATGATAGATATCATATATGCATTATATGTAGTGTTATATTTAGTACCTATGTAATAATAATTTATATATAATATACATGTATCTGTAGTTATAAACATGTATGTATATATTTAAGATTACTTTGTCAGGTTTGCAAAATGTGTATTTGTTCATTCTTTATTGCAATTGAATGTACTATTATTTCATGTTAAATTTCTTAGTTTCTAATTATTTTTTCAAATAAACTTTATTTTAGAACAATGTAAAATGTACTGAAAAATTGTAAAGATACTATAAGAGCTCCTATACCCAGTTTTCCCTATTACTAATATCTTATATTAGTATGATGAATTTTTAACAATTAGTGAACCAGTATTACTATATTATTAGTACCTGAAGTCCATACTTTATTGAGATGTCCTTAGTATTTGCCTAACGTCTTTTTTTTTCTTCTTTTCCAGGATCCCAACCGATATACTGATTACGTTGTGATAGCATGTCTCCTTAGGCTGCTCTCGGCTTTGGTAATTTCTCAGCTTTTCCTTGTTTAGGATGACCTTGACAGTTTTGAGGAGTACTGGTCCGTTGTTTTTGTCTTTCTATTGGGATAAGTTCGATGTTTTCCTGATAATTAGACTGGGGTAGAGGTGTTTGGGAGGAAGACCACAGAGGTAAACTGACATTCTCATCAGATTATATAATGGGTACATTCTATCAAAATTACATGTCAGTGTTGATATTGACCTTGATCACCTACCTCAGACAGTATTTGTCAGTAAATACATGAGGTTATCAATATCCTAAATACCTTGACTTGATCATTACACATTCTATTCATGGAAGAAAATATTATATGTACCCCATAAATAGGTACAAATATTATATATCAATACAAAAAATAAAATTTTTTAAAATAATGTTACTTCCCTTCCCCTTTCCATGCTGTACTCTTTGAAAGTAAGTTACTATGTGTAGACCATGTTAAAGAAGTGAGGAGTTATGTTCTGCTTTCTGAAAGTGGAATATCTACATAAATTATTTGGAATATTTCATAAATTATTTGGAATATTTACAAGAGATTTGTCTTCACTTTCCCATTGATTTATTCAATTATTTGCTTATATATACTCAAATATTTGCTTATATTTCTATGTAGTCTCAATAGTTATTTTACACATTTATTTCT
The DNA here is from genome assembly GCF_000001405.40 of Homo sapiens. NCBI lineage: Eukaryota > Metazoa > Chordata > Mammalia > Primates > Hominidae > Homo > Homo sapiens. Next base: position 81,925,699 of record NC_000011.10, read on the forward strand.
ACATTGAGTTATAATCCAATAGTGCTTTAATTTTTCAGAAAGTTTTCCAGCTTTGGCCTTTGGAAATTCTTTTAGTTGACTCCTGTGTCTTTTTTTATACCTCCATTTTTGTGCTTACTTTTGTTGAATTGATTTTATTTTCAACATTTATCAAATTTTATTGCATTACAAGATGCCTCAGTACTATCTTCTGTATCTCCTGCCCCAGTCCTAGAAGCAGCCATTTCTATAAGCAGCCATAACTCCTTCTATTGAACAATTATATTAGAAACTATGTTGTAGTTGTCCTCATTGCTTCTTGGCTTTCTGGACTGCCAGAGCAAAGAAATGTGTGTGTGTGTGTGTGTGTGTGTGTGTGTGTGTGTGTGTGTGTGTGTGCGCGCGCGCGCGCGCATTAACCAATGAATATGCATATATCTATAAATTTTTATATATATATAACCATCTCTATCTGCATGAAGCCAAACATACGTTTATACTGATGTCTTTAACTCTAAAGCATTAGTATGTTTTATTCACTAGTACTTTTTTTTTCCTTTTTCTTCTTCTTTTTTTAAGTTCTGGGATACATGTGTAGAACGTGCAGGTTTGTTACATAGGTATACATGTGCCATGCTGGACACAGGGAGGGGAACATCACACACTGGGGCCTGTCTGCGAGTCGGGGACAAGGGGAGGGAGAGGATTAGGACAAATACCTAATGCATTCAGGGTTTAAAACCTAGATGATGGGTTGATAGGTGCAGCAAATCATTAGTACTTTTTAACTCTAATTCACTATATGGACCATAGTCACTTCTTCCCCTTGTTAATTTGAATCCTCCCACTCCAACAGTGAAAATCCTGGGTGACACCATTGGTTATCTGTTTACATGATTGTTCAATTTCAGAATATATGGTTAATGATATTAAAATCGTTAATTCATAATGCCACAGTAAATAACTTTATAAACTACAATGCTATGTACACAGTTATTTTGGCCTTTAGTTTTACACACTCACTCATTAGTTATTCAGTTAGTTAGCCTAAGTTATTTAGTTCAGCATCTTTTCCCCAAATCCTTCTGTAAAATGCTAAATATGTTTGTAATACAGGCAGATTCTTTTGTCACAGTCTGCATTCCATGCCAGTAATCCCTAACCTCCCAAATATTTATAAAATTGCATATCTAAGGTTTAAACATTTTACTTCAGAGTTCTATGGATTGTGGTAAATATATAGTGTCGTATATCTGCCATTAGAATATCATATATAATAGTTTCACTGCCCTAAAAAAAATACCTATGAATCATCTATTCAACTTTTCCTCCAAAGACAGGAGAATAAGAAAGCTTAAGATGTGTGCAAGTGAGTGACTAAAATGACTATAAATGGAATCTGAACCCATCTAGTTTCTCACTTATATTTTTAATGTTATTTATTTAATTTTAAACATTTTAGATGTAGTTATTTTATATTCTATGTCTGATAATTTCAATATCTGAAATCTTTGGTGATCCAAAATTTTTGTTATTTCTACTTACTTCTACTCATAGCAGTTTATTTCCTCTTGAATATAGTAAGTAATATTGTTTTGTATTGTTAGTTCATATTTCACTGAAGTTAATCTGTCAAATTCTGGAAAACCTGAGTTGCAGGTTCTTACCTTATAAGAAAATCTGCCTTGTTCGCGCTGGTTGCCAACAGATGCCATATAATTGGGATCATTTTAATTTAATGTATTTGTTGGAGATTTCCCTGACTGCTTAGATCAGGCCAATGATTGCAATTAGCAAGAGAAGGCAATTATTATTGTGTCATGTACTACCCATTGGTCTCATTTCATTAAGTATTTTTGGAGGGATCCCTTAGAGTTTTCCTTACTTTTATAATCACAGAGAAACGCTTTTAGGGGTATGCTTTTTTTTTTCATTTACATAGGATCTAATTATACTAAATTAGGAGGGATCTTTAGAATATCTAGAATGCCATACTTTCAGATGAAATCCCATTAGTTCTGTTTTAATCATGTGGACTGTGAGAACTCCATGGAACATCTAAGTAGTCATATGAAGCAGGCACCTAGAAATAGGAATCAGCTGCAAGCTTTAGTTTTGGGAGTCATCCGCACAAAAATGAGAATTGCAAATATAAAAAAATGATGATTCAAGGGATATCGATAACACATACATGTATTGAATATCCTCTCAGAGGGGCTCATAGAATTAGGCAGAGTCTATTACAATTTAGTGACACACATACCAAGATAAACATATGCACTAGGTTAGATGGGAGATAAAGAAGGTTCATGTGATCATTTTCGACAGGCAAAGTTTTTTGTAGATGACAGCAAAGTTATCATCAGTCAATGTATATGTCAATTAGCAATGCACATTTTCAAAAGAATAGGCTGATAGTAGTTCTTAAATTGTGATAAAGCTACATGCATCTATATTATTTTGTACAACTTCTAAGCTTACTTCTTAGTAAATATTAATATTAAGCTGAAAAGGATCCACATCTTCTCCCACGCCAAGACCTTTGTGATTTGGTCCTTTATTATGGTTCCATCATTATTTCTTACAAGCTTTTCTTTCACCAGAATGTTTCATGAACTCATCAGAATATTTATCTGGATATTCAAACTCATTTTCCAGAAATAAATCTTTCAAAATCCTCTCAGGTAGTGAGAAGCCACATTTTCTTTGCTTACTTCTGCTATAGTTACTTTGAATATATTCTACTTCTATTCTGTTTGTCTATTTTCTAGTCTGTAAACCTAAAAAAAAGTGAACAATAGTGTTTTCTTTACTAACAGATTGAAATTGATTAACAATATTATGTTGTTGTCCTGAAAAATCTCATCCTGGGAAACAAATCTAAAATATACGTAATTCTCAACATACAATTACGAGATTGCTATAATTACCCCCTTCTTTTGGTTAGAAAATAAGTCTCAGAGAGTTTAGGTAATATGTCTAAGGATACACAGCTTTCAAGTAACTTAAATAAGCATCTATTCTAGTTATTTTTTCCAAAGCCCATAATTCCTAAAGATGCTGTCAAAGCCAGTTGCTGTGGAGAGGAAAAAAAAAGATGATAACTAAAAAAAATCAATAAATTCAGTGATCAGAAATCCTCTAGTCACCTTAGAGAGCCTAATTACAATAGAGAAGAAAGATTAGTAAAACATATTTCAAAATATTGTAGACTCTTTTACAGAAAAAAAATTGTTCTTGGTCCCAAATATATAAGACCAATGAATTAGTTCCCCAGTATTTGAACTCTTTTCCTTTTTAAAAAAAAATTGTTATTTTTTAAACCACTGAAGCATGACCCCAAAACTAAGTGTCTTTTTTACATATTGAAACATCCAGTAGAAACATAGAGATGTGAAAAATGTCCAGTAGAGGACTCCTGGTTCCTAAATTTGGCTATGGCCTTAAGTCTAAGATTTGAACTCTGAAAGCATTAAACACAAAACAAATGAGTCTGATGAGTGGTAAGAAAGATTGTGTGTGTTATGAGGACAACATAGATCTAGAAAGGCTCGCAAAACCAAAAATGAACAAAGGCGTCAAGGAAGATTGTCTACAGAAGGAGCAAGTCAGCAAATTAGAAAAATAGTCACAGGCCAGTGCATTAAAGTTGGCAGTCCTAGAGAACACATGGGAAAGGATTCAGCCATCACCCCTGAAGAGTCATCTCGATGAAGTGTGACAAGTGGAAAGCAGAGATCTGATGCTTTTATTCATCCTTAGAAGTCTGAGCTCGGCTTGCTTTCACCTGCTAAGCCAGAGCACTCTAGCCTGCCAGGTCACCCTTACTCCTCCTTAGACATCATGCAGAATTAAAATACTTGGATCTACCTGTAAACTGGCTTTTCAACATCTCTTATGAGTCTTATTTCTGCCATTGCTGACCAGGATGAGTGGAACCTGAAAAGGCTATTGTTAGGTCCTTCAAGCTTTGTGACACTTGGCATGTCAATTTGTTGGTTCATTCCTTCATTCCTTTCTTGCTTCCTTCCTTCCCTCTGTCTCTCTTTCCTTCTGCCTCCCCTTCTTTCTCTCTCTCTCTCCTTTCTTTTTTCCCTTTCTCCTCCCCTCCTTTCTTTCCTCCCTTTCTTTCTTCTTTTATTCCAAGAAGCTTGGTTCCTTTATTGGATAATAGGATAAGAAACCAATATCTGGGTGCTAAGCATGCTCATTGCTGCTAGGTGTTGTTTCTTTTGGACCCTCCTAGCTGACAGGGTAAAAAATATATGCATTCATACTAACCTGTGTCATGTATTTAACCAACTATATATATATATATTATATTATATATAACCAATAATATATATGTCAGTTACATATAGAAAGTTATATATAATATATAGTTATGTATAACTATATATAAAACTATTTCTATATACAACTGTATGAATCTACATTTAGCTAAGCATGAGCTCATACTGATGTTTAATCCATAATCATATCAACCCATATAGTTTCCTCCTTGTCACATACTCAAAACTCTCACTCCAACAATGAGAAGTGTAGATCCTACTATGTGCCATACATTTACTCAATAGTTCTAATCTAGTATATATGTACAGTAGGATCAGAATTGATAGCTTGTACTCCCGTGGCAAACAAAATTTTGCCTTTTGCCTTTAGTCTTATAGATGTCCATTGTCTGGATGTCTCACAGTTTATTCATTCACTTACTGAAGGAAATCTTGATTACTTCTAAGTTTGGGCAATTGTGAATAAAGCTGCTATAGATATTCTGCTTACAGATTTTGGTGTGAACATAAATTCTCAACCCCTTTGGGTAGATACCAAGGTATGTCCTTGCTGAATTGTATGATAAGAGTACATTATGTTATTAATAAACTGTCAAACCATCTTTTAGAAGAAGATAGAATGTATATTTTGCTGTTTTGGGATGAAGTGTTCTATAAATATCCATTAGATTCAACTGTTTTTGCATTTCTCTGAAAAATAAATCCTTCACAAGTGGAAAGTGCATCTTGCAGTTCTTTCAGCTGTAATCCACTCTTACACTGATGTGGTAGTTGGGTATGAGGAGAAAGGAAGCTTTCTATAACCCTACAATTAAGCCTGAGTCTTTTTCTTAGTGACTTGTTTTATGAACAGTTTTTCTGAGGTATAATTGGTATATAAAACACTACATGTATTTAATGTATGCAATTTGATGAGTTTGGACATATGAATACATCCATGAAGCATCGTCATAACCATCACCTCCAAAAGTTTTCTTGTGTCCCTTTGTGTGTATTTGTGTGTGTGTGTGTGTGTGTGTGTGTGTGTGTATGTACTATAAGAACACTTAACATAAGATCTTAAGAAATTTTCCAGTGAACAATATAATATTATTAACCATCAGAACTATGCTATATAGGAAATCTTTGTAACTCATCCATACCACATAACTGAAGTTTTGGCAAGTTCTTAACTTCCCATTCTGTCATCTGTCTAATAGGGATTATGGGAAATACAGTGTCTAGCACATAATAGATTCATGATAAGTTTTAATGGATAATTTCATAAATGCTCAGTGAAACTCTGTGTAAAGCAAATAGTACAATTGCTTAAGAAATTATAGTTGTTAGTGTTAATATTATCTTACGTATCATAATGCTACAAAAATGGCATTTTTGACAGTAGTTAGAAAGGTGAGCATATCTCAGTTCAGCAGTTTCAAAAATTATTTTAAAATTTAATATATATATTTGTAAATAGAAAGAAAGGAGTTATACCAAGGTATGATTTTCCATCTTTAATATCCCATTTCTCATTCTGTAATGTATATAGATCTGACAGTAGCTGCCTACTCTTCCCTAATTCTCCCATGGGTAACAGAAACATAGATAGAAGGAAACTAGGGGATGGATAATCAAGTATTATCCCTTCATATCACCCTAGAAGAAATTGAGGCTCAAAGATGCTGAATAATTTCCTCATGTTCCACAGCTAGTTAGATTTTTCTTCTAAATAAGCCTAATGCACTTTACAGCTGCTCCCTAGGCCTGCAAAGTTGGTAACATCTTGCAGCTTTCAAATATCCTCACCTAATATAACAGTCATTAATTAAGTAGTTCCAAAATCAACTGAAAATATCTCTGGCTATGCTTTGATGAATACAGCCTGCAACATTTTCAATGTGATTTTTTTCCTTGATTATGTTCTTGGAGATTATTTTGGATACATAAAGCCATTTTCTCAAAGATAGGGAGATTGTATTGTCCATTTGGCTGACAAGAAATGATTTTAAATTGTTTCATAACAATCAATTTAAAAGGAGTATTTTGAATCCAAAGTATTTTCAATAAGGGCTCAGTGATATAGAATGAAAAGAGAAGCAGTGAACATATTACATGTAGGATAAAGAAAAATCAAGTAAGAAAAATATACCTGAGATTCTTGAAAAAATAATCTTGTTTAAAATAATCACTGTTTTGTTGAGAGTTTTAATATGAAAATTACTCAAATATATGTCATTTTAGTGTTCTACATTAACAACTCATATGGGTACCTCGCTAATATTTTTACTCTCATCTCTCTCACCAATCCCCACCATCAAGTCTGTAATATCTATTTTTTCCTGCATGTCTTACCAAATACAACATAGATCAATGGCTAGAGTCTTGTATATAATAAATAGAAAAAAATAGTCATGGATTTTAAATTGAGATAAGCTGAGACTATGTCCCAGTACCATCATTTATTATACAACTATGAGTAGGTTACTCGAGTGCCATGAGGCTCACTTATTCTATTGATAAAAGCTGAAAACAATAAATAATAAATAATTATGATAAATTATTTTATCATAATTATATTTATAATTAATAATTATGATAAATAGAAATGAAATAAAATCTGTCGAATAATAAAAATAATAAAATCTGGTCAAATAATAAAATCTTGCTTACTGCAAGAGTGAGTGAAAACATATATACAATACCTCAGTGTAATTCTTGATATGTAATTGATATGTAAGATGACAGGAATTGTAGCTGCAAGTATTATTATTGTCTATGAATCTGAACAGCCATTATGAGGCTAAACCTCCTCTTCCTAAGTTGTTCTGCCTTGTACAGCCTTCTACCTTGTGCTGGTGTTTCCAAGAGCAATAAAACAGAGGACACACTTTAATCAAATGTAGTACTTATAGCTGAGATTGGAGCAGAACTTTGGTCCAGTCTTTCATTTCGTTCCTGCTTATTGAACAGCATCAACCTATTGGTAAAGAAGTAAATATTCTTTTCTTTATTCTGTAAAACTGAGAGGTTGGGGGTCTTAATGTATTACATAAATACTAAAGATTGAGTTTGCGCTGAACATTTGTTGAAAACTGGGTGTGCATTGATAAAAGACAGATTCTTCTCTTAGAGATCTTATTGTTCCTGTGAGATTTAGTAGGTAGTATTTATACTGATTGTAAGGACAAAGTCAGTAAGAACTTAAATGAGGGAGCCTCAAATATATCAGGGACATCATGAAGTGTTTACAAAAAAGGTGAAACTGAAGGTTGTATCAGAGTTTAGAGACAAAAAAGGGAGCATGTTCTAGATAAAGATGAACAAAGCTATGTAGCTGTGATATTATGTAATACACAGGAAAATACAATAAATAGGTATCCTTGGATTATAAAATATTAAAGGGAAAATGTCAGAGGTTTAGGTCAGAATGGCATCTAACATCAGATTATCCAGGTTTATGCTAAAGGTGCTGGATTTTAGTTTGTGGGCAGAGAAAAGCCATTGAAGGCTACTGAGTAGGGGAATCACAGAATCATATCATCATATTATATAAGTCACCTATCAAGCCTTGTATAAGGAGAACTAGAATTGAACTGGTCACTCGTGAGAGAGTGACCAGTGAAGAGGCCTCTGCAACTGTCCAGGCAAAGCTAATATAGGCTTGGATAGAAGTTGCAATGGTAGATGGTGATTTAACAAGTATTGCCTAGATTTAGTAATTTTGGGGAAAAGTGAAAGAAAATGAAGAGTTTAATGATAGAAGAACTTCCTAGATTGGGAAACTAAGTGGTTAGAGTTGCTTTTAACCAAAGTCAGAAACTGAAAAGTAAAGCAAAAATGGGAAAACTGAATTAATTTGGAAATATTCTTAACTTGAGGAAGCTATGCGACACCCAGAGTGACTTATAAAATGATTGACTTAAAAATATGGGTTTAGCAGACATTTGTGACCACTAAAAGTCACTGAACACAGGGAATCCATGATGAGATTTGCATTTTAATTCCTGTATTCATGGAAGCAAATTAACTGGTAGCAGAATTCTGGAAAGAAGATGGTTAGAGTCATCCAGATGACTGCTAGAAGTGGCTTTATTGTGATCATGACAGAGAAGATGGATAAAATTGAAAGAATTGTGAGTTATTAAGATGTCAGAAGAGTAGTTGACAGTCACTATCTGTTAACAAAGGTGAAACAGAGAGACCCTGATGACTACCTCCAAATTGCTACTTTAGAAGGCTGAGCAGAGGATGATACCATAGAAGGACACAGTATAAGAGAGGAAGAACCTATTAGTCAAAATATAAAGTTGCAAGTGACAAAAATTACTTCTTCGAATTAGCTTACACAAATAAACAAAATAATCTATTGGAAATGTACAGCAGTTGTTCACAACATCAAAGAAATAGCTAAAGGAAGCATGACAGCTTGGGATACTTTGGAGATCAGAATGAAAGATATTGTCATCTGATACTGACTTCTGTTTTTCACTTTATCTCTCCTACTGTGTATGTTTTTTAAATTATGCTTAGAAATATGGCTCCCAGCACCTCCAGTTTAAATGTATCTACTTCAATAATTCAGGAATCAAGAAATTTGCCTCTCTTAGCTTCTGAGTGAACCAGCCTCAGTCATATGCATACCCCATGAACACATTTCTGGGACCAAAGACCAGTAATGAATAGGCCTGCCTGGGTTGAATGAGGATGCAGGGTACACTGTGGGTGTTGAGCAGACAAAAACAAAGAATGTCAACTTCAAGAATTGTAGAATACAAATCATGAGTTCTGATTGGGAAATACTGAGACCAAAGTTGCCAGTGACTTATTTGAGTACAGTTGCCCAGTGATAAGTTGAATCAAGTAGAAATAAATTCTGGACTTGTGTACAGAAAAGAAATTGGCTTAAGGTACAGTACCGTGAATGCACTAATAAGATCCTTGGTGATTTCTGTGTAGTGAATGACCTGACTGAACTTTGCATCTACCAGGTGAATTTCCCAGTTGGGTGTTAGAAGGATTATATAAGACAGCATGAATGGAAGCAATTGAGAAATAATTAGGAGTCTGTACATGGTACTTTTTAGCAATCAGTGCGTTGGTCTTATAAATTCCTATGTTCAAAGTATATCATCAAATATCCTTTCTCCAAATGGAAAGCCATATGTAGATTTCTTCTGCAGTCTGCTAGCAAGAAATTTCCATTGTTTTCACATCACATGAAGCCAGGAACAGTAGACATATTCTTTGTGAGGATACTCTAAAGAAGTGTATGAAGTGTTAAATTTTTCTTGACATTTGTCAAGTTTCTTTTCTTCTACTCTCATTTTCAAGACCCTCAATTCATCATTTTGACAGGTATCTTTTGCTGTTTCTTTCATCCCAACTTTTTTTTTTTTTTGAAAAAAAAATCAAGCTCTAAACTAAGGTTATAAATTCACTGTCTGTTTCACACTTTGCTGAGAATGTTATTTCTACATAACTTTTTGTTTTGCAATAGTGTCTTCTTCAAGGTATCATTTAACCAATCTGTTCAAACACAGTAGAATTTCTGGCTCCATCACTGACCTCTTTAATAATGACTTCTTCTCCGTGCAGAAGGGATTTCCAGGAAGGGCATTGCTGGACTGGAGGACATATCAACTGTCTCTTCCTGTCTAGTGTGGATAAGGTGTCTATTTTTCTTACAGATATTGTGTGTACTAAAAATATGTGAGAAAACTAATGACTTGACCTATGAGTAAGTCCTCCTAATAATGTATTGGCCTGCCAACCAAATTCTATATAACTTCTCATTGAAGACAAGTCTCTTGGCCCTCAATATACAAGAAAAAATTATCATAGCAATATTTTCCTGCACTACTACACACTCCATGTATCAGTCAGCCTGAAGTTTCTGGAGACCAGCACATACTAGTTCATGTGAAGAATGAGACGCATAGTTTGAAATTTGAAGTAAGGCTCACATCAAAATAACCTAAACAATAAAGGATGATAGGAAGAAGGGGAATCAGAGCCAAATAATTACTCATACATAAAGGAATAAGTAAAGAATGAAGGAGTAATACTAACCAGAAAATAAATGGATGGATTCTTCATTATATATAAAGTAATATTATTATTCAAAACTATAGATCATTGATCTGTCCATGTCTCATCAGTAGTGTCTCCAATTGGCCCATATAAAATGAAGAGAAGTATGTGATGAGACCCATAGATTAAAACATACTTAAGAAATTTATAGTGATGCTTCAATTTTGCAAATTTTTACAAAACTGGAGTTTCAGAGTAAAGAGTTATTCTGAGAAAGCTGATGAGTCTGACTTCTGGGACCAAAGACCAATTATGAATATACCTGCATGGGTTGAATGAGGATGAAGGGTAAGCTGTGGGTATATGTAATTCTAAGAAACAGGTTAATGTCTAGATGTCCATTTCTAGCAGGCAGTTGGCAATGTGGATCTGCATTTGCAAATTGTTCGCACTATTATAACATCGGGTTGATTCCAAAAAAACCTCAATATATTAAATACCTTATCTATATAATTCTAAGAACTGCAATTTAAATGAAATGGGTTGAAAAACATGACTTAGACATTCTCTATAATTTCCTGGCCAGAATGGATGCTTTCAGCCAATGTTCATTTGATTCATAGGTTTCACATAGTCAGAGGCAAAATTTCCATAGATGTGATGGTCAAAAGCAAAACATTCTAAAGCAAAGAAAGAAGATGGTGAAGGCTTCTGAAGGCCATCATTGAAAAACAACTGACTTCCTTCTCAACAGGATAGTAAATGGAAGATACAACAGTAATTTTCCAAATGCTGATTGTAATCTAAAATGTGAAAAAGTTATTTTACCAAACTGGTACATATTATTGTATGTAGGTATAATTAATCAAATCAGTGGTTAATATCACATTTATAATTAAAGGTAATACAAAATGTAGACTTACTTTAAGAAGACAACATTTTATGAGAGAAGACTTACTTTGGAGCCTCCAGATATTATATGACTCTATGTATTTCCAATAAAAAGTTAAATAAACAATGTTGTAATTTCCAAGCATATTAATTATATGTTACTAAAAGTATTTGTTTTAGTTTAAACTTAGAAAATGAATGAATGAATGTATCCGCATATCTTAATCCATGTATTACTAACTTACGTTCTTTACTAAATATTGACTTCAAAGCACATTAGTTTATTTAAATTGATGGCAACTTTTTACCCTTATGTTTTTACCCAAACAGAAAAGATTGAAAAAGGGCTGTGTCAAAAATCCCAATGTCCAAATCATCTTGGATTTTAAAAAATCTCTAAAATGTATTTAAAAAATCAGAAAACTTTTTTACGTGAACATTTATTTCTCAAGATAAACTTATTTTAACACATGCATATATTAAAATAATTTTAAATAAATGATCATCACACCACATTTTAAAAGAGTGAAGAAAGTTTTTCAAAGGATTCAAGAATGTTAGTTCTTTACAAACATTCTTCAATTCTGTAGGAATTCATATTTCTCAGGTTAGAAAACAGCTCATGTTGGTTAGATGACAAATTATAGATGCTAACAAGTTCTACAACTCTGATCAGCATCTTTTCCACTGTATGCTATCATTCTGCTATGCCATATAGCTCTTGATATTTTTAAGTTTTATCCAGATAGTATTTCTACTAAAGATATACAAACTTTTTATTATTCCTGAAGATTCTCCTTTTAAAAAAGAAAGTTAAATACTTGGGTATTTTATCCATTGTTTCCCACAAAAAATCTATGCATTACTCTGGTGACAGTATCAAACTGGGTTACAATTAGTTGTTTACAAATTATCTGCTGTGGTGTGAATGTTTGTGTCCCTCCTCCCCTCCGCTAATTCAAATGCTGATACCTAATCCCCAATGCAATACTATTAGAAGGTGATGTTCTTGGGAGGTGATTAGGCCATCGGGGATATCCCTCATGAACGAGATTACTGCCCTTATAAAACAGGCCTAAGGGAGCTTGTTTGGCCCTTCTGCCATCTATAAAACAGTGAGTGAGCCCCCACCACATAGAATCTGCTCGGGTCTTGATCTTGGACTTCTCAGCCTTCAAATTGTGAGAAATAAGTATCCGTTGTTTAGAAGCCATCCAGTCTAAGGTATTTTGTTACAGTAGTCCAAGTGGACCAAGATAATATCTTTCTCCCTAAAAAGTGACATATAAGAAACCGGGAGGTCGGGCGCGGTAGTGCACTCCTGTAATCTCAGCACTGTGGGAGGCTGACGGGGATGGATCACGAAGTCAGGAGATCGAGACTATCCTGGACAACATGGTGAAACCCCGTCTCTACTAAAAATATAAAAAAATAGCTGGGCGTGGTGGCACGCGCCTGTAGTCCCAGCTACTTGGTAGGCTCAGGCAGGAGACACAGGAGACACGGTTGAGCTCAGGAGGCGGAGGTTGTGGTGAGCCGAGATTGTGCCACTGCCCTCCAGCCTGGTGACAGAGTGAGACAGGCAGAAAGAAAAGAAAGAAAGAGAGAGGGCGGGAGGGAGGAAGGAAGGAAAGATTTTTTCCCTTGGCACAAAGCCTCTCTCAATCATGATAAATGACTAAAAATATTTGATGACACCCGTCAGGAAAAATTAGTAATATAATAAGCATATTTTTTGAACATTAACTATGTGTCAAATGTACAGAAAAAGCATATTAATAATCTCACTTTATTTCTCATAAAATTTCATATGATAATTATTATAATTATTCTCAATTTCAAAAGATTTAGAATCTGTTTTTGTCATTCCAGTAATTCTGGAATAGCTTGGATAGGCTAATCTTCCTGCATATAACAATTATAAAATTCAAAGAATTATTAAAAGTATGTATGTAGACACTCGAATGTGACCAAAATCAGGCAGAAATTTTAAGAGATCCTGTTTTGAAAGACACACTGCAGCATGTGTGATTTGTGATTTTTTCAGTCTATTGTCCCAGGGTACTTTACAGTCCTCAAAATTTGGGTGGCAAAAATCCAGCTTTTCTGGCTTGAGATGTCAGATAAAAGACTTCAGGGATGTTAAAATAGCAATATGCTTAATGAAGTGGGGAGAAGAATGTTCTTGGAAAGTTATACGCTTTAATATGTGTATTAAAATTTATCCAAATAGTTGGCTGATTATATTACATATATTCAAACCAGATCTCAGAGGTTACAGCAAGAATGTACCAACAGAAAGTGGAGAGAAACATATCTCAGGTGCTGCCTTCTACAAAGGAGAATGAGTTCCAAGTTTGACAATGAAGTTAACTCCTCATTAAAACAGAAAACACTTTTTTGAAATAATGAGAAAATAGAAAATCCAGATCCTCTGCAAAATACCATTCACAGATACCATTATCTCATCAAGATTATTAGACATGTGAAAAACAGAAAAATGTGATGTATACTTAAGAAAACAAATAGCTAACATTACAATATTAAAGCAGATATAATAAATATGCTTATGAACTTAAGGAAAATATAAACATAATGAGTGAACTGGTATGGAATTACAACATAGAAATTGAAAGTACAAAAAGAACCAAATGGAAAATCTAGAACTGAAAGGAACAACAACTGAAAAATAAATCACTGAATTGGGATTAACAGAAAACATAGTAAGATAAAAAAGAGTCAGTATACTTAGAGAGAGACCCATGGAAATTAATAAACCTGAAGAGTGCAAAGGGAAGAAAGACTAAGAAAACAATACAATCTCAGAGGCTCTTATCATCTGTGGAATAATCTCGAGTAGGTTAAATACATGTAATTAGATTCTCAGAAAGAGAGGAGAAAAATAATAGAACAGGAAAAAAATAGAAAAATAATAAAATCCCCAAATCTCCTGAATTTTAGAGAAGGACATAAAATTCTAGATCTAAGAAACTCAATGAAACCCAAGCAGGAGAAGCAGAGAAACAGAGAATAAAACACACACTCAGGCACATCATACTCAAATAGAGGTCTGGATGGAGTACTTAATCTGATATCTGGGTCAGGTCATTAAAGAACTTCAAGACAATAAAATTATGCTTCCACATCTCTTATCAGCTACACTTAATGCTGATATAAGCTCAGGGGTAGACCTTGGAAATAGGTATATTAAAGAGATAGAAGAGTGGGGTGATATATCAGAAACCTCTATTTTAAGGAGGAAAGAATGTAACCTGGGAATTAGCCCCTTAAAAAGACTTACAAAGGACTAAAGGAGCAGAAAGAGACAACAAATAGTAGAAACAGTTTTCTCCTGAGGTCAGCTCTAAAGAGAAGCCTAGGTGAAACATTACACGTGTCTAGCTCAGAATATTCAGCTCTTTCCCATCTTAGAAGGCTATTTCACTTTTAGAACAGCTTATTTGACATTCTCGCTTCTGTGATGGAGAAATAAATTCAGCTTCATTAATCACTATTTTAATTGATACCTACAAGAGCATGCTGACTTTCAAAGATGTATAGTGTTGGATTAAAGTATAACTTTTGGTGACAGACATAGATTTAAACCTCTGCAATATCATTTTCCAGTCCAGTGACTTAATACAAAAAGACACCATATTATAGAAAATTATAGCAAATTATGTACTGAATAATTACTGAGTCAGACACTGTTCTAAGAGTTTAGGTATATTAGTATATTTTGTTTTCATAAAAACTTGATAAGATTTTATTTTGTTCTCATTATTCCTGTCACTCTTATTTTGAAGTTGAAAAACAGAGACAATTTAAAATCAGTTCTGATAAATTTGGGCCTTTTTCCATCATTTCTACAACAGGGTTATTATTAGGGAAACATGAGGTATTACTACTAACACACCAGTATTATTACCACCATCCTGTCTACCTCCTCTGCTAATTATCACTACCACTGTGACAATTATAAAATCACTATGTGCCAGGCATGTTGATACACACTTTTATAACAATTATAATAATTTCAATAATGTAATCCATATAAAAACTCCATGATATAAGTACTATTGTTGTTCTCATTTTATAATTGAGGACCTCATATTGTAACTCATCAGGTTATACAGTTAAAAAGAGATAAAGTCAGATCTAAAATCTAGATATAAAATCAATCTAGCAACTTATTAATGAAGAAAAACCATGATAATAATGACAATGAGGATAATAATGATGATGGAGATTATGGCAGATCTTTACTGATAACTTTTTCCTACAACAATCACTACTTACCTTACTAATGTAACATTCTCACCCATCCAGGAAAGAATCAGCAACTGAGATATTAAACTTAAAAATTGTATCAAAGAGTCCATGCTATAGCTTTTTAAACTTTTTTCTCGATTAATTGTAATGTTTTCCAATGCATAGTGGATTGAAGTAGTGCTTTGATGTAAATGCTTTGGATTGAAATAATTATTCTAATAACAACAGAAAATAAAAGATGACAGTGTTTCCGGAAGAAAAAATATATAGTTGCAAAAATTTGAAAATCACTACAATGTGTAGAGCAAGTATCTCCATTTAATTCAATCATGAATGCAGTCATCACAATAAACTAATGAACATGCATGCTGTTCATGCTGAGTTTGAAAAATAGTGAAAAATCTATTTTGAACACTTTATTTTTAAACCAAGAATTCATGTAAAACAATCAGAAATTATTTTAACATTGAATCTTAACACAATATGTGTTGCCACAGGCAGTCATAGAAATAATGAAAAATTGAGTCTTGGGTTTTATTTCCATCATTTTAGGTGCATATCAGACTAGCTTCAAAGTCCCTTTCACCTCTACCATTCTATAATTCAGTTAAACATTTTTGAAAATGTGCTGAGATAGAGGTCTTTATTAAAAGCTTGTCAGATAAGTTAGGGATTAATGTCATAGACAGCAAGATAATGTTTATATTCTAATTCATTGGAACTGTGAATTTTTATGTCCCCCCAATGATCACATCTATAAAAATTTATGAATTCTAATATAACAATTTACTAACCACCTAGAAGAAGGGATTAAAAAGACATTTTTAATGTTAGTTGTGTTATAAAATTACATTTTGGTTTCATAACTATTAAGGCTATTATGTATGTAATATATATATTTTTATATATAAATATATATATGTTCCTATTTTCTGTTGTTTTCTTTGTGAATAGGGCATATTGCATAGTCTCTATACTCATTTATAGAAAAGATTAAAACTATAAATCATTGCAACCCATACGCTGCCTACTTGAAGCTGAACATCCAGCACAGCGTAAGAAATGATGGAGATTTATGATGCTCAGACAGTTCCTCTTACCCAACTTCAAGAAGATAAAGGGAAGGGGAAGATATCCAATTAACTCAGTGTCCACAGACAATACTTATATAAACAGATGGGATCAGCTACCTGGAGGATAAAACCTCTGGGACTGGAAGAAGAGTGCATGAGAAGAGGTAGGAATGTACCAACTCTTGTATCTTCTAAATGTTGAGATCTCACCTTTGCATGAGGTCTAACTGAAGATGCCTGCTTTTCTGACACTCCGTCCAACCAATAATTATTCATATTAATTTTCTACTGTTCTAATCTCTAGTACATATTATTCTTATACCATATTCAACTACATATAACTCTTTTTGCAGACATGTTATGTCTTATTTAATTCTGTAAATATAATTTTAAAGCTATTTTGAAATAATCGTGATATTTACCTTATTAGTACAACACACAACTTATTTTTTCTGTTTGCTAGTTTTGTTGTTTCTCGCTGAGATTAGGTACTGCTAATGTAACCCTTTATTCCCCGAGTTCAATATTAGACTACACTTTTCTTGCAGGTAGGTGTGGGCTTATGGTTACCCTCTGCCAATGGAATAGAGAAGGAAGTGATTCAGCATAGAGGTTTCACTGCAGTACACTATCTTTAAGCAACACTACATAGTTATTTTCTCATATTTCCTCATTCCTAGGACTTAAATACATTTTGTCTTTGATAATTTTCTCTGTCTCTCTATCTTTTTCTTCCTCTGTCCCTTTCTCTATCTTAGCATTATCTGCCTCAGGCACTATGAATTTTAAAAATTTCTTTATATACTGGTATCTAATTAGGAACATATGTCATTGGTGTAGACACAAAGGAGAAATTTCCCTTTTGCACTTTGAAGGTTTACTGAAAATCAACTGGCAAAAGGCAGATTGATGGACATACACATGTATCAATGTGCTTGGGGGGTGAATCACCCCAATGCCCAGTGTGGTACAGATGCTTATATACCATTGTTCTTAGAGGGAAGGGAGATGAGGAAGTGTGGATGATTTTAGCAGGGTAGTAATAATGTTTAGGGGGTTCAATGGGCTTGAATAACATTCAGTGGCCTGGGACGAAATCTGTTGGGCATGTAGAGCAGACAATAGTTTGTGACAAAATATATCCAGGTGTGTTTACAGACTTCAGGCTTTTCACAGGGATATGAGTGTAGTTAACGAAAACTCAGGGAAGGGAATGGAGGTAATTGTTTTCTTTTTGGTTGGGTCCAGACATTAGGCAGATAAAAGAACTGCAGAGAAAAGCTTCATCTTGTGCTTTGGGAGAGAGAGAATTGAGAGGCAAAGGTGGTCCAGAATGAAGGTCAGAGGGAATTTGAGGCTTTTCCTTCAGTTCAGCATCTTAAGGTGTCATTGGTTGGGGGTTATTAGTTTCTGAGCCCCAACACTGGAAAACTAAAAGATTAAGTTCTTTTATAAGAATGTAAGAGAATTTGACCAAAAAAGACTGGTCAAGAGGGGTGCTACAAACTTTGGTGCAACTAAGCACATAAGTCATAGTAAACTGTACTACATGAACACAAAGACAAGAAAGAGAACATTTTGATGACAACCATGTCCTCTTAAAATCCCTATAAATACTTGTAATTTCCCGGCATGTCTTTGTCAGTTTTTGGTATACATATATATTCTTCTTGAACAATATAATCTGCTTATATGGCTTTGAGATTTGTGTCTTTCAACCACATCTCTCCTTAGATTCAAACTTGCACCTTAAATTGCATACCTGGAATGTCTAATTAGATGTCACCTTATCTCAACACACTTAACAATTCTCAAAATGAAACTCATTGTTCTTTCCTGAAAACGTGTTTTTTTTTTAAATTATCAATATTATATAAAATAATTATATACATTTTTCAAGACAGATTTGTGATTTCTTTCTATGTCTTACTCCTCACTTATCTAGTTATTGACCAAAAAAGTAAAGTTTATACCTCCTTAACCTCTATTTTAACTTTTGCCCTAATTGTGCAACTTAGTATATCTTCCTTGATTATTGCTATAACTTCTAAAAATGATATGATGCATCAGAAAATAAACACCCAACAGCTAAAATTACATTTTTATAATGTAAGTTCAACTATGTTTCCCTAGTTAAAAACCATTCATTCAACACTTCTCCATTGCAATAGTGGTTTATAAAATTTGCCCTAAGTAGGATTTTTTGTTTGTTTGATTACCAAAGAAGCCTTAGAAAACAGGCATTATATAAAGCAGATAAAATGATATTAAGACAAATTAACTTTAGGTTTCAAAACATTCAATACTGAGCTGAGTATGGTGGCTCATGACTGTAATCCTAGCACTTAGGGAGGCCAAGGTAGGGGGATGGCCTGTGTTCAGGAGTTCAAGACCAGCCAGGGTAACATAGCAAGGGACAGTTTCCATAAAAAATAAGAAAATTAGCCAGGCACAGTGGCACGTGCCTGTAGTACATGGTACGTGCCTGTAGTCCTACTAGAGAGGCTGAGGGGAAGGATCATCCGAGCTCAGGAGTTTAAGGTTATAGAGACCCACAACTGCATCACTGCACGCCAGCCTGGGCAACAGAGCCAGACCCTGTCTCTGATAAGTAAGTAAATAAATAAATCACTCAATAGCCACAATTTATATTCAAGTATGTTGTAAGCAAAGAGAGATTGCAACAGTCTCCACTGTAAGTTGATGATAGCTTCTTTAGTTTATGTCAAACAGAATTTAGTTCAAGGCGAGAAAAAAGAAAATTAATTTGATTTAAATTCAGTTAGATATGAAGTCACAAAATAGGCATAAATTATGAACTATTACCACTTACAACATTTTAAAATGTTTATTGCACTACACAATTGTCTATAACATACTTTTCAAACCTAGATGCTTGTACTAACATATAGCTTTTCATTTCAAAGTTAAAAATAGACGTTCAGTTTTATTACAACTTGACAAATGGAGAGTTATTATGACTTTACACAGATGTCAGGAAAAGAAAATATAAGACCTGTTAGTGATTATAGAGTACATTTATTATAATTTGGTCATTTTGCTTCAGCCTGATAAACCATATTATTTATCTATTGTGTTAGGTTGCAAATATTCTGGATTGTTTCAGCATTGTTAATAACTTAGAAAATAAAGTATTTGAATAAACAAAGTTATTCTAAGGTCCATATCATTTGTTCTGAAATTTCCCATTTATTAAGGCAGTTTTCTCTCTGACAGTTTGATACTTCTGAGGTTTCTCTAGCAACCATATATATATATATATATGTCTATATATATGTCTATATATATGTCTATATATAATGTCTACATATATATATCTCTCTATATATATATTTATATATATAGTTCTATAGGGCTTAAGGACCACACATACAGGAAAACATCTATTGCTTAATATAAAGTCGGGAATCTGTCTCTTGTTAGAGATAGGCGATCAGAGATGGAACACACAATCAAGTATCATTTTACTCTCTTAAAAACAGGGTGTAATTAACCATTATTTAGGTTCAGTAAAAATAACTTATTTTAAAATTTCAACAATTAGTTTGGCATCTTGTCTTTATTGTGATATTTTTATTGAAAGTTTCATCAACCCTAGTAATATAATTGACTCATCACTGATTATAAGAAGTAGCCTAGAGCAGAAAGCAGAGTAAGGAGTCCTAGGTCTCCAATCTGGTTCTACTTTTTCTTTGTTGTTTTATAATATGTGAAAAGCCTACATCTCTGAAACTCAGTTTAATTCTCTGAAAATAGAGATAATGGTATCTACTTCGGGGGAAGTGGTTAGGAGTAGGATTAATTCAGGTAGTATCTATCATATCTGTAGATAAACTAAGTACATAATAATTTGTCAATATTTTTATTTTTGTGGTTTTATAAATTTAGCCATCATGGAATAATTGAAATTGAAAGAACGTAAATTTATATATGATGCCAATATGAGAAAGATAATATTTCAGCTGTAGAGTAACAGTCAAATCATCTCTTTATACAGCCTTATGATGTCAGGTCATAGATATTAAGATAAATTTTCCACACCATACATTACAACAAAATAAGAAGCAAGATCTATCAAATGACTCATAATAGTTTCCACTCATGGAATATTATAGATGTGATTGAATTTCTTAAATAAAAATTATGACACCTGGTCATCCTGATTTTTAAAAATGTGGCAAGATAAGACTACTTATTGTAAATGTAGGAGCACAACATTGTTTTGTTGTTGTTGTTGTTGTTGAAAGTGACATTTGAAGGCAGGTAGATTTTAGTGAAAACATGATTAGGAAAGTAAAGTTTCTTCCCAGGCCAGAGTAAGAGAATCCCACAGATTCCAACTCTTAATGACATGCTTTCTAAGATATAAAGTATAAGATAAACCTTCATAGGAGACTCTGGGTATTATACGATCTAAAATGTGATACTGTAAAATGTGAACTTTAGAAAAGTGTTAATCCATATTACAGAGTTTCTCTCATGTCATAGCCACAACATTGTTCAATTATCACTCATTCCTAAATCCTCATATTGGAAGTTGTCAGCTGTATGTACCAACACTTAAAAGAGATTGAGAAGTGGCCAGGATCTAGAAGATGCAGTGATGATAAGTAAAATTAACATGTATAGACTAATTGTGAGAAGAATGAAAGCCGTTTAAGGCTTACCCTTTGGTGACTATGCCCATCTCAAGCTGGAGTTGCTGTCTGTTCCAGTTTACAGTCACGATGGAGCAAGGAGTAACAAGAGACACACACATGAGTGACCAGATCCCATATGCATATCCCTGCCTGTGATGGCTCATACGGAGTGTCAACTTGATTGGATTGAAATATGCAAAGCATTGTTCCTGGGTGTGCCTGTGAGAGTGTTGCCAAAGGAGATTAACATTTGAGTCACTTGACTGAGAGAGGCAGACCCATCCTCAATCTGGATTTTCACCATCTAATCAGCTGCCAGTATGGCTAGAATAAAGCAGGCAGAAGAAAGTGGAAAGAGTAGACTTGCTGAGCCTTCCGGCCTTCATCTTTCTCGCGTGCTGGATGCTTCCTGCCCTCGGATGTCAGATCATCAGACTCCAAGTTTTTCAGCTTTTGGACTCTTGGATTTACACCAGTGATTTGCCAGGGGCTCTCAGGCCTTTGGCCACAGACTGAAGGCTGCACTGTCAGCTTCCCTACTTTTGAGGTTTTGGGACTGGGACTGGCTTCCTTGCTCTTCAGCTTGCAGACGGCCTATTGTGGAACTTCACCTTGTGATCGATCTGGTGAATCAATATTCCTTAATAAACTCCCCTTCATATATATATATATATATATCTCCCATTAGTTCTGTCCCTCTGCAGAACCCTCATACACTGCCTTGATTGTGTAATAACAACACTCCCCCTGATAAACGAGCTCAGAAACTGACCAATAAGATGACTTCTTGTATTGTTTATCTATTACTGCATAGCAAATTACCATAAAACCTTGTGGCTTAAAATAACAAACACTATTTCACACAGGTTCTGAGCTTCAGAAACCCAGAAGCAACCTATTTGGTGGTTCTGGCTAATGTTACCTGTGAGGTTGTGGCAAGATACAGACCAGGTCTGCAGGAATTTGAAAGTTTGACTAGGCAGGAGGGTCTGCTTTCAAACTCACTCCTGTAGCTATTAGCAAGAAGCTTCAGTTCCTTCGAATGGCTCCTCATGATAGGATGTTTGTATTCCCTCAGAATGAATAATCTGAGAGGGAGGGAGGGAAGCGGGGGGTGGGGTGAGAGAGAGAGAGATAGAGAACTGAAGTTGTACTGCCTTTTTAAAATAAACTAGACTGAATTTTCACACTACTGCTTTCTCTTTAAAATGAAAAGATATAGTGGTTAAAGATTTAACTACATTATCATAATTCTTATCAGCAATAGTGTTTCCTTATATAGTGTAATAAGAAATAAAAACAATCACCTACATAGCATTCTTGCCAAAATATTTATGTGGATCTCTTCATAGGTAAGTATCAGACAAATCCAAAATATGAGACATATGCCAAGATAACTGATCTGACTTCTTAAATATAATAAGGTCATTAGAATTTAGAGACTTAATATAGCCCAACGCAATATGCAAACATAGACTAGATTCTGGTTTGGAAAAAGAGGGCTATAGAAGACATTATTGGGAAAATTGACAAAATGTGAAGGTTTTGAAAATGGATTGAATATTTAGGTAATTTTATAAAATTAGTATTGATTTTCTAAGATTTAATGATGGTATTGTGGCTATATTGGAGAACGTCTTTATTGTTAGAAGATACATGATGAAGTATTTAATGATAATGTGTAATGAAGCCTGAAGCTTTAAAAGAATTAGAGACATGGATGAAGCTGGAAACCATCATTCTCAGCAAACTATCGCAAGGACTAAAAACCAAACACAGCATGTTCTCACTCATAGGTGGGAATTGAACAATGAGAACACTTGGACACAGGAAGGGGAACATCACACACTGGGGCCTGTCATGGGGTTGGGGAACGGGGGAGGGATAGCATTAGGAGATATACCTAATGTAAATGACGAGTTAATGGGTGCAGCACACCAACATGGCACATGTATACATATGTAACTAACCTGCACATTGTGCACATGTACCCTAGAACTTAAAGTATAATAAAAAAATAAAATAAAAGAATTAGAGAAAATAATGAAAGAGAGAGAGAGAGAAAGGGGAAGGAAGAGAGGGAGAGAGAGAAGGAAATTCAGAGAGGGAGAGAGAGAGAACAAATGTGGCAAATGTGGAATTATATTACTTGGTAAATCTAGGTAAAGAGCAACAATATAGTGATGTTCATTGAACTTTTCTTCCTAAGATTCTCCATGTTCTTATTGCAGTCCTCTCCCAGCTTCCTTGAATGTTAACATCTTACATAATCATTGGGTATTTGTCAAAGCTAAGAAATTAAAAATTGGTATAATACTTTACTAAATCATAGCTTTTATGTGAGTTTCACCATATTTTTCACCAATGTTCTCCTATTCTAGGATTTAATCCAGAATATCATATATCATTCAGTTGTCATGTCTTTTTAGTTTCCTCCAATCTGTGACCATTTCTCAGCCTTTCCTTGTTTGTCGTAACCTTAACATATTAAAAGCGTCACAGTACTCCTCAAACTACTACAATAGTATCTCACTGTGTGTCTCTAGCATATTGTATTTTCCATATTTATATGTCACGTTTGCCAAGTTATGGGCTTGACACCAGCTACTCTCAATCAAATACTGTACTTCAAACATAGCCTTATTCATGTCCACTCCTGGGCTCATGTACACCAAAGAGATAAATTATTGAATCACAAAGCTTAAGTGTACATTTCTATTTTTTAAATATTTGTTTTATTTCAATAGCTATTGGGGTACAAATGGTTTTTAGTTACATAAATGAATTGCAAAGTGGTAGGAGTCTGAGGTTTTAGTGCACCCATCACCTGAGTAGTATACATTGTACCTGATAGGTAGATTTTTATCCCTAATCACCCTCCCACCCTTCCCCTTCCGAGTCCCCAAAGTCCATTATATCACTCTACATGCTTTGTATTTTCGTAGCTTAGTTCTCACTTATAAACAGGAACATATGGTATTCTGTTTTCCCTTCCTGAGGTACCTTACCTAGAATAATGGCCTCCAACTCCATTCCAGTTGCTGCAAAATACATTATTTTGTTCTTTTTTATGGCTGAATAGTATTCCATGGTGTATATATACCACATTTTCTTTATTCACTCATTGATTCATGAGCACGTAGATGAGTTCCATATATTTGCAACTGTAAAGTGTGCCACAGTAAATATATGCATGCAGGTGTCTTTTTATATAATCTCTTATTTTTCTATGGGTAGGTACCTAGCAGTGGGATTGCTGTATTGAATGATAGATCAAACTTTTAGTTCTTTAAGAAATCTCCATACTATTTTTCATGAAGGCTGTATTAATGTACATTCCCACCATCAGGATATAAACACTGCCTTTTCACCACATCCATGCCAGCATCTATTGTTTTTTTACTTTTTAATAACGGACATTCTTTCAGGAATAAGTGTTATCTCAATGTGGTTATAATTTGCATTTCCCTGATGATTAGTGATGTTGAGCATTTTTTTTCATATTTTTTGGCCATTTTTATATTTTCTTTTGAGAAATTATATTCATGTCATTTGCCCTCTTTTGGTTGGGATTCTTGTTTTTTTCTTGCTGATTTGTTTGTGATCCTTATAGATTCTGAGGATATTAGTCCTTTGTTAGATGTATATTTTGCAAATATTTTCTCCCATTCTGTGGGTTATTGGTTTACTCTGATGATTGTTTCTTTTGTTAGTGAAACTTTTTAGTTCAATTAGGTCCCATTTATTTAATTTTGTTTTATTTGCATCTGCTTTTGGAAAAGGTCTTAGTAATGAATTCTTTGCCTAGGTCAATGTCCAGAAGAGTTTATCCTAGGTTATCTTTTAGAATTTTTATGGCTTCAGGTCTTAGATTTAACTCTTTGATCCATCTTGAGTTGATTTTAATATAAGATGTGGCTTTCAGGCCACAACCCTCCCAATCTACCAGCAAAGCTGAGGCACCCAAGTCCTGTGCTAGTCACTGCAGCACACTTCCCACTAGCTTCACATTTTGCCACAATATCTTGATTCAGGTCTATAATAAACTAG
Organism: Homo sapiens; assembly: GCF_000001405.40. NCBI lineage: Eukaryota > Metazoa > Chordata > Mammalia > Primates > Hominidae > Homo > Homo sapiens. The sequence continues at coordinate 81,950,929 of NC_000011.10, forward strand.
ATGCAAATTCTGGCAATTTTGCTTATTTCCAAGAAAAGTTTTACTTAGTAATTAAAGAGGACTTGGCAAGGCCACAGAGAGAGAAAACAGCCTGTCTACAACTTTTCCTTTTTCTTTTTTCTTTCCTCAAATTTCTTTACATTTGTTTCTTATTCTCTTCCTCTCCACTTGATCTTAGGAACTACAGAAATAAAATATCTATAATGGAAGATGGATTCTCCTTTCCCTAAAATCTTTGGCATCAATGTACTCCCAGGAACTGGTGAGAGAAGAGAGACAGACCCTCTTATATTGTTTTATATTGTTTTATACTCATAGAAGAAAAGAAAAGTGAAACAAAAGGCAGGTAGCCCGGTGCCTAGGAACCAGACCGGAAACCAAGGAACCAGACCCGAAATCAGGCCTGGGCCTGCCTGACCTAAGCCTGGTAGTTAAAGATCAACCCCTGACCTAATCGGTTATGTTATCTATAGATTACAGACATTGTATAGAAAAGCACTGTAAAAATCCCTATCCTGTTTTGTTTCGATGTAATTACTGGTGCATGCAGCCCCCAGTCACGTATCCCCTGCTTGCTCAATCAATCATGACCCTCTCAGCTGCACCCCCTTAGAGTTGTGAGCCCTTAAAAGGGACAGGAATTGCTCATTCAGGGAGCTTGGCTCTTGAGATAGGAGTCTTGCCAATGCCCCCGGCCAAATAAACCCCTTCCTTCTTTAACTCAGTGTCTGAGGAGTTTTGTCTGCCGCTCATCCTGCTACGTTTCTTGGTTCCCTGACCGGGAAGTGAGGTGATTATCGGACAGAAGAGGCAGCTCCTTAGGCGGCTTTAGCCTGCCCTGTGGAACATCCCTGCGGGGGACTCCAACCAGCCTGAGCGACGCGGATCCTGAGAGCACTCCTGGGTAGGCTTTTGCTCCGGTGGGACACCTTGCCAGAGCAGTGTGTGGCAGGCCCCCATGGAGGATCAATGCAGTGGCTGGACACCGGGAAGGAATGGGTGCTTGGAGTCTGGACATCTAAAACTTGGTAAGACTAGTCTTTGAAACTTGCCCACTCCGCTTGAGTGGAAGCGTGGCCTGATCACCCATGGCGTGCCTTTATCGGCACTTTGGTTTTGGTTTTGACTTGGTTTGAATTGCTTAACAGGATTGGTCTTAGGAACTTGCCCACTCCGTTTGAGTGGAAGCGTGGCCTGATCACCCACGATGTGCTTGTACTGGCACTTTGGTTTTTGTTTTTGACTTGACTTGGATTGCTGGATACTTTGGTTTTGGTTTTGACCTGGCTTGGATTTCTGGATACTCTGATTTTGGTTTTGATTTTAGTTTGGTGCAAACTGCAAAAGTGTGTGTGCCCTTTTTACCCATTCTTTGTTTTGTGGTGTGCATGTGGTATGAACGTGGTGTTTTGTCTCGAAGAAGCATAGGTCAGGCACAAATAAGCCCACCCTACTAGGAACTATGTTGAGAAATTTCAAAAAAGAATTTAAAGGAGACTATGGAGTACTATGACACTAGGAAAACTTAAAACTTTGTGTAAGGTAGACTGGCCAGCATTAGAGGTAGGTTGGCCATTAGAAGGAAGCCTGGACAGGTCCCTTGTTTCAAAGAGGACACAAGGTAACCTGTAAGCCAGGGAACCCAGACCAGTTCCCTGGTCTGACACTTGGTTACAGCTGGTTTTAGACCCCCCGCCCCTAACACACAATGGTTGAGAGAACAGCAGCATAAGCGGCTGGCAGAGGCAAGGAAAGACCAGCAGAGAGAGAGAAAGGAAAGAGACAGAGAAGAAAAGAGAGAGGAAGAGACAGACAAAGAGGGAGTCAAGGAGAGAGAGAGAGAGAAAGAGAGAGGCAGAGAGAGAAAAGAGACAGAGGCAAAAGGAAAGTCAAAGACAGACAAAGTCAAAGAGAAAAAGAAAGAGAAAAAGAGAGAGAAAGAGAGAGAGATACAAGTAGTTAAAAAAAAAGTGTACCCTATTCCTTTAAAAGCCAAGGTAAATTTAAAACCTATAATTGATAATTGAAGGTATTCTCCATAACCCTATAACACTCCAATACCACTTTGTTGTCAGTGTAAACAAGGGCATATCCTGAAAGCACTGAGGCCTTCCTATGAAAAATCCTTAATCCAGTAACCTGCGGATGGCCCAAATGCATTCAATCTGTAGCAGCAACTGCTTTGCTAACAAACAAACAAAAAAGGTTAAAAAAATAACTTTTAGAGGAAACTTCATTGTGAGCACACCTCACCAGTTCAGAAGTATCCTAAGGAAAAAAAAAGGTAAAAAAAAAAGGGGGGGGGCGGAATTTATATAAAAAGAATATTATATGGTAAATTCTTGTCCTGAAATAAATTAACTGGTTGTTTAAAGAAAGAAATACTTGTAATAAGTCAGAAAGTTGAGGCATGTCGAAGAATTGTCTGTGAAAGTCATAAAAGAGAAAAATGTTATAAAAAATAATTTATGCAAAAAACGTTGTATAATTTAAAAGTAACTAGGCCTCCTGAATGTAAAGCTATTGAAAAAAAAAACAGTTTATGTGCAAGGTGTATAAGAAAAGTAAAATATACCTTTGGTAAAAGGATTATAAGGAGGCATAAGAATATACATTGTTACCTACATTAAAAAGTTAAAAAAATTATTGTTTTGAAGGTTTAAGCAAGTTTTAAAATGTTAATTGTAAAGAAAATTCTGTGTGTAAACATATTAGCTAAAGTTAAAAAGGTATCATCCAGTTTTTCTGTGAACTGGACATTAAAGTAAAAACACAACAGGTTTTTCTTAAAGCACCAATCTGCTCTTTAATAAAAATTATAAAAGGTTAAAAAGAGTCTATAAAAACTTACCTTATGGTCAAACATGAAAAATTGGATAAATATGTCTACAAGGTTTTATTAAAATTAATTTTAACATTAATAACACACTAATATAAAGGTAAAATTTAGCTTATCTGGTATAAAAATCATACAAGAAGTATTATTAAATATAAGATGGTGTTTAGCTTTCTTTGGTCTAAAAACTAATAAAAATAGGTCCTAAAAGAAACATTCATTCTACTAGAGGATCATAGAAGTTAAAGACTTAAAACAAACTTTGGCAATTAAGGCAGCATACCAAGATGCAAATGCCTGGTTGAAATGGATCAAATATTCCATCTGCACGCTAATAAAAAGCAATTATTATGCTTGTGCACATGGCAGGCCAGAGGCCCAGATTGTCCCCTTTCCACTAAGGTGGTCCTCCAGTTGACCACGCGTAGGCTGCATGATAGCTCTTTTCCGGGATTCTATAGCCTGGAGTAATAAGTCATGCCAACCTCTCTCTGCTATATCCCGAAGTCCCTGCGGGTCAGTCCCCGAGGGCCATCCAGCCTCTGTCTCCCAACACTAAGTTCACTTCATGTCTCTCATGACAAGGAGGAAACTTAGCATTCCTTGGAGACCTGAAGGGATGCGATGAGCTTAAGAATTTTCAAGAGCTTATCAATCAGTCAGCCCTTGTTCATCCCCAAGCGGATATGTGGTGGTATTGTGGCAGACCTTTACTGGGCACTCTGCCAAATAACTGGAGTGGCACTTATACTTTAGTCCAATTGGCTATCCCATTCACCCTGGCATTTCATCAACCAGAAGGAGGAAAAATAAGACATCATAAAGCCAGAGAAGCCCCCTTATAGGTCTTTCGACTGTCACGTCCATTTAGACGCAATTGGAGTCCCACGAGGAATACCAGATCAATTTAAAGCTTGAAATCAAATAGCTACAGAATTTAAGTCAATATTTTAGTAGGTAACAGTTAATAAAAATGTAAATTAAATAAACTACATCTATTACAACCAACAGCAACAAGCTTTTCATGAGTTAAAAGAAAAACTCAGGTCAGCCCCAGCCCTGGGGCTACCTGACCTGACAAAACTTTTTACACTCTATGTGTCAAAAAAAAAAAAAAAAAAAAAGGCAGTTGGAGTTTTAACCCAGACTGTAGGGCCCTGGTCAAAGCCAGTGGCCTATCTCTCAAAACAACTAAACCGGGTTTCCAAAGGCTGGCCCCCATGTTTAAGGGCCCTGGCAGCAACGGCCCTGTTAGCACAAGAAGCAGATAAGCTAATTCTTAGGCAAAACCTAAATTCCCCCCATGCTGTGGTGACTTTAATAAATACCAAAGGACATCATTAGCTAATGAATGCTAGACTAACTGGATACGAAAGCTTGCTCTGTGAAAATCCCCACATAACCATTGAAGTTTGCAACACCCTAAACCCCGCCACCTTGCTCCTGGTATCAGAGAGCCCAGTTAAACATAACTGTGTAGAAGTATTAGACTCAGTTTATTCTAGTAGGCCCAACCTCCGAGACCATCCTTAAACATCAGTAGACTGGGAGCTGTACATGGAAGGAAGCAGCTTCGCCAACCCCTGCAAAGTGACTCTGAAAAAGACAAGCCTTGCTCCAGTCACACCCGGAAGCTGACTGGTCCATACATGGCCAAAGCATGAGAAAACTCATCGCGGGACTCATTTTCCTTAAAATTTGGGCTTGTACAGTAAGAACTTCAACTGACCTTCCTCAGACTGAGGGCTGTTCCCAGTGTATACATCAAGTCACTGAGGTAGGACAAAACGTTGCTACGGTCCTATTATTTTACAGTTATTATAAGGATACTAGAACTCTAAAAAAAGCTTGTTTGTATAATGTTATTCTATCCAAGGTATGTAGCCCAGCAAATAACCAACCTGATGCGTGTTATGACCCATTTTAAGGCTCCCATGATCACAGTTTTTTAAAAATAAAATTAAGGACGGGTCCTTTTCTAGGTGACACAAGTAAAATAATAGCCAGAACAGAAGAAAAAAGGGTCCCCAAGCATATAACCCTAAAATTTAATGCTTGTGCCAGTATCAATAGCAATCAGCATAGAATAAGATGTGGTTCTTTAAATTGAAAAAGAAAAAATGAAAAAATCCTTTCCACCTTCAGCAAGGGAAAAGTAGCCCTTCCTATACCAGTGGTGAGTGTAACCCCTTAGAACTAGTAATAACCAACCCCCTTAATCCTCGCTAGAAAAAAGAGAATGTATAACCCTAAAAATTGATGGAGCTGGACTGGATCTTCAAGTAAATATTGTGGTTTGAGAAAAAGTTTATAAACGCTCTCCTGAGCCAGTATTTCAAACCTTCTATGAGGAACTGAATGTGCCAGTACCAGAAATTCCAGGAAAAACAAGAAATTCGTTTTTGCAATTAGCCGAGCATATACCCCAGTCTCTCAATGTCACTTTATGTTATGTATCAGCACAACTGTACTATATGAATCATTATCAATCTATTGCACAGAAAGACATAAGGAGCAAAAATAAGAGTGAGAACTCCCACTAATAAAAAGTGAGAGTCTCAAAGGGGGGAAACGAGAGAAGAAAGACAGACCCTCTCATATTGTTTTATATTGTTTTATACTCAGAAAAGAAAAGAAAAGCAAAACAAAAGGCAGGTAGCCTGGCGCCTAGAAACCAGACCTGAAACCAAGGAACCAGACCCAAACCAGGCCTGGGCCTGCCTGACCTAAGCCTGGTAGTTAAAGATCGACCCCTGACCTAATCGGTTATGTTATCTATAGATTACAGACATTGTATAGAAAAGCACTGTGAAAATCCCTATCCTGTTTTGTTTCGATGTAATTACCGGTGCATGCAGCCCCCAGTCATGTACCGCCTGCTTGCTCAATCAATCATGACCCTCTCACGCACACCCCCTTAGAGTTGTGAGCCCTTAAAAGGGACAGGAATTGCTCACTCGGGGAGTTCGGCTCTTGAGACAGGAGTCTTGCCGATGCCCCCAGCCGAATAAACCCCTTCCTTCTTTAACTTGGTGTCTGAGGAGTTTTGTTTGTGGCTCGTTCTGCTACACTGGAAGAGTCACTTTCCAGCAAAAATACCATTTAGTAAAAGCAGCTTTGCCCCTAAAAGGATTTCTGCTGCTAGGAGTTAATGAAATAATGGCATTGGCATCCCATAACTCTTTTTAAAATGTATTAATACAAACCATTGCCATTATGTTAATAGACAGCCTCCTATTTACCGTTTATTATTTGCTGGGAAAAGTTCTTTTTTCCTACTAATCTTTCAACATAGAGCAGAACTATATAAACTGTTGTTTACTTGAAGATTTTTTGTGTTATTTTTCTTGGGTTTTGATGTCAATTTCATAAAATAAATTGGATAGCTATCTTCAGTTCTCCATGTTGTGCAAGAGTTTATATAGTATCTTCTCCTCAAGAGGTTAAAGTATCCTAATGTTACTGCTGGAAGATAGAGTGACTGTTTTATACATATCTAAGATAAACATCATGTAACTATATTACTATATAAATATAATTTCAATATCAAATTTTGTTTCTCTATATTTAGGTTTACTGTTCCTTCCCAGACAAAATAGATTTTCCTCAGGAAATGACTCATTTCACCTAGATTTAATAAGTTATTTACATGAAATTATATAGTGTATTTTCTAAAAAAAATTTCTTCTTACATATTATTAAGCTTTTCATATTTAATTTACATATCTCCTTTAAAAATGTTGTTATATTTTTAAAAATAAATAATTTAATGCATTTAAACATTTACTTACAAATACACACAATTTGACACAAATGCAAAATGTGATCCTATACATAAAATTTTCCATTCCCTTTTTGTACTTGTGTGTTTCTTTCTCCTATTCTGTTACCTACTTTGACCAATGTCTCACAAAGAAAATGAAAACAATTCATCTACTTTTTAAAATTATCAGAATATTATGTGTGTGTGAGAAATACATATACACATGTACAGAGTTATATATCATGTAGCTCAAATTAATTACTTTATTGGCTAAATAATATTTATTATGTACCATAATTTCATTATCACCCTATTGATAAGGCAACATGAAATCAGCACCATTTTACACGTTTTATTTATCTTTTCTTCTAGGTGGTTACTTTTGAAGTAGGAAAAGCTATTTATCTGTATATATAATGAATTCTGTATTAATAAGCTCAACTTTTATTTCTAGTCACTCTCTCTACTTTTTAAACTTTATTTCTACAGTTCATTTTCTAATTTCTTAAGATGCCTACTTAGGTATTTTATTTTTACAATGAAGGCATCTGGTGTTAAGCATTTTCTTCCAAGAACAGGTTTTTTTTTTCTCCATCCTGATTTTTTTTCAATCAACACTCCAATTTTTGTTATCACTAATATATGATATTCTCTTTGAATCAGGCATTATCAAGATTTACTTATATAATTTTAAGAAGTTATCTTATTTTGTTCTCTTTTTATAAAAGCAGTTTCTCATTTTATTGAATAATACTAATGTGTTTTTACCATTGTAGATTTCTTGTCCCCTTTGCCTGAGCTCAAAAATATTCCCTAGATATGCTAGATTTATATCTTTATCCCTTTGTTCTGCCTAGAAATAGGTGAATGGTATCAGTATGCAAAATTTTATTTCTTCAGCTCATGAAAATATTCCTCCCTCATAAGTTTTTTATTGCCTTTCTTTTATGTATTGCTATGATTCACAATACAGCCTCAGAATCTCATGTTTGGCCTCATGACTTCAATTTTTATTTCTCTGCATATTTGTTCTGTGTATTCAAATATGCCTTTTATCTGATTTTCTGGCCACTCACTTGGCTTTTAACAGTGATCATTCTGTTCTTCAATTCATCTTCTGAATTTAGTAATTAATGTGACAGAAAATTCTAAGGGCTCATTCAAAGTATATTTTCTCCTTTCTTACAGAATAAATATCTTATATAATTTGGTAATATAGCCAACTAAAATGTTCACCTTCATAGATACTCTTGCATTTGGTGGTGGTCAAAGAGCTCAGCTCTAGCCAATAAACTTGAGGTAGAGATTGCTGGATTTGGGAGGTGTCCAGGAACTTTTTAAAAGAGGGTCAAACTTATCTGCCATGCTCCTTTTATTCTTTGCCCTTCCTGTCTTGTACCCAGCTGACAATGGATGGGATGCTTGCTTATTAGTGCAGGAATTATGTCAGGACAGTAAAGACAAAAGTTATAAATTAAAGAGTATGGGTCAGACAAAAAGGATAAGCTGGTGACATTTATGATATTCCATAATCACTGCACCATTCTTTGTTTATCTAATTCACGACTTTTCATCGTGTAAAAAAAAAAATCCTTTTTTGTTAAACCACTGAAAACCAAATATTCTATTAATTTCAGCTGATTACATTTCTAACTTATACAATTATAAACATTGTTTTGGTTTTGTTTTCTGTATCAGAAAAGTGTGTATGTGTGTGCAAACGGTGTCCCAATTTATTTTATTAATCACTTTTATCTTTTTAAGTTTTACATGTGTACCCAGAGTATTTCTATTATTTGGGCATATATTCTGACTGATATCTGCTGTTTTCCTCCCTCTGTACTCTGGACACCTTTCAATGGCTGTGTTTTTTCTCTTCTGGTTCACTGCTGGTGGGGTCAAGTGATAGGAGTGCCTTTAAGGACTAGGATATCTCAGGAAATAGCAGCTGGTGCAGTGGAATGCCATGCATTTGTGGTGCCGGAGCAGCAAAGTCTCCAGGCCCCTGCTGCAGATCCTCTGATTTCTGCTGTCCAGGCTCTGCATTCTCTTTCCCTGAAGGGCAGTGAGACTCAAAGTGCTCCTTCAGCTCTTTCTTTTCTTTTGGGTTTCAGAATGACCTGGCAAAGTCGTGCAAGTCTGATGATGAATTTTCATCCTTTGGGAGTTCACAGGTTTTTGAAGTACAATTTCATTTCATGATTTGCTGCCTGATGCTAATTTTCTATCATTTGCCTTGTTGTAAGGAATAGAAACCTTGGACCACCTATTTTTACAAAAAGCACAGCAAAGCCTCATATAAACTGCACATAAGCTATATTATTTGTCTATGGTTGCCAGTGGCCTCTTTGCAAATGCAGAGACAAATGACTTGAAGTTGGAGTGGAAGGGAAGACTGAATTTTTTTTTTTGTTTTGGTTTTGGTTATTAATGTCTTTAGAATAAATTTTTGGATTTTTAAGACAACCTCACTATTTTCCTTTTTACAAACTTTTTGCTTTGTTTTACCTTTATCTGAATTATTTAATTATTCATAATTTCCCTAGTGCTTCTTTTTTAAAGGCAATCTTTTTGAGCATTATGCTTAGTTCATTTCTTTACACTATTTCTCATCAAAAATCAAACCTTTTACTTATTAAACTATTGGCATAATCTGTCATAATATTTTGCTCATCTTTAACTTTTTATTGTTATTCAAAATTTCATTTAAAAATTTTACTGTGGAGATATTTCAGTATAAACATCATAAATGATTCCTAGTTTTTTATTATCAAAAATATGGCCAACACAATTTTCACATTTTAGAATTAGTGAGTCTTTTCAGCCAAGTAAGGGTAACTTTTTCCCCGCAGATAACATGGATATCTATAATAAAGTAATAACCCCTCTAAAAGCTTTAATGCATATTAATACAAATATTAACGTATTTACAATACGATACATCTTTTTTCACATATTTTATGGGTGTAATTTTTCATTAATTTATTTTTCTACTTCTTGGCTTTTATTTGGTACACTTTGATGCTACATTAAGCAGTGCATAAGAATTTAAAACTATTTGGCTTGCAACACTGAGTGACAATTTTACAACTGTAATATGATCCAATTCATTTTGGCTAATGCTTCTTGCTTTAAATTTTTCCTTGTTTGCTAATAGCGTCTCCATGGTCAATTGCTTTCTGTTTTTTCATACACAATAAACTTTTACCCATTCTCTGATTTGAAATGTTTCTATGTCATTTTTGTAGGTGTTTTAAAATTTGATGTAGTTTTGTAATTCTTCCTGACAATATTTGCTTCTGAATAAACAGAATAGTTTAAAGCAATTTCCTTCACTGTTATCACTGTTATGTGTAGCTTTAATTCTGTCACTTTGTTTTATGTTCTCAGTTTTGTTTTTTCTATTTCTTTTTGGTTGCCTTTGTTTCCTGTCATTTGCAATGTAAGATATATATGTTTGTTTTTAGTCTTCTACTGTAATGTAAAAAGTCATCATTCTTTCTAATTCTACCAGTGGGTTTCTATGATTTTCACAATAATATTTCATTATTATTTTTTGAAATAAAAATCAAAACCGATAACTTTTTGTTTTCTTCTTCAAGTCCAACCTATGTTGTCTTTGCAAAATTAACCATCTTTAAGGACATCTGTTTCTTGTTAGAATCAGTATGGTATTTGTGCTATTTGTTAGCATTTATGTTAAATTTTATGGCATTCACAATATTGATTTCACTTAAAGTTTTGTTTGTTGTCTGATATTCTTTCATACAGAGATATCTTCATTGTTTTTAATTTATTTTGATTAATATCTTCTAAGGCTTAAGTATGTATTCATTGTGTTTTTCCTCAAAAGTGTATATTAGTAATACATTTTCTAAAACTTTTCAGAAAGTTTAGAACTATAGAAAAAGCTATAGAGCTAAAGAAAATTTAGTTATATGTAGAATTTTTGAGAAATAATATTTTCATTTCAGAATTTACTAGAAATTACTCTACGGTTTTTCTGATGCCTAACACTGCAGAGAAGTTGCAGTTTTATTTTTAAATATATATATGTGTGTATATATACACAACTATATGTTTTATGTATATATGTATATATACTATATATAAATATATATTTGTATTATTTTAATACAAACAAATTCTATTCAATATATTCATATATATAATACCTTCTGTTGTATATATTCATATATATGTATCTTTGTATTATTCTTTATTTTTAAAAATTTGTCAAGGCATATGTGGTGGTTTTTTCCTTTATGTCATTTACTTAAAATATGATCAGTTCTTTTACATTTAGATAATTTTTTTCTTTATCTCCCATTGTTTTGGTTTACATTTTTATTTGTTAATGTACCTATATTTATTCCTGATCTATTTGATCTACTTTGATTTTCTTTCAGTGTACTTTTTAATCAGCAATTTTGACCAATAATGAACATACAATAAAATTATCAATTATAATTATATTATTTGATATGTTTTGACAACTGTATCCGGTTTTGGAGTCCAACTACAATCATAACATATAACAAGAGTGTACAGTATATTTGCTGCTGAACCTCTAACTTACTGTATTCATATCAGCTGTTTATCTGTCGTAGTTAATGGCTTTAAACTTTTATTTTCATTATGGCATAATTTCACATATTTTTTTGGGGCATGAAGTTTTTTATAGTATATTTTTTACTTTCCATCTCCCCCAATATTAATGGTAAATCTCTGCTATAGATTTAATTTCCTTGCAACTTTTACTTACAGACTTTTGTGATTTCTGATAGTCTTCTGTCTTTCCCTGTTCAACTAGGGACTATTTCTTTTCTTGCAGGCTAACCTCTGCTTACTATAAATCTGTCATTGTTTAGAGATCTGTCTTTATTTATGTCTCTGAGTAGCAGAAGCAGGTATTTCCTAAAATTATTTTTGCTCTGCATTTTAAATGTTTTTCAGAGATAGCTTTTATTTCTTCTCAAATTATATGGATCCTTTTTCTTGGGCTACAAAATTTGTAAACCTTCCTTTCCCTTATCAATTGATTGTCTTTTTTTAGTCATTGAATAACAGTAGATGTATCTGGACATAATGTCTGCCAATGAAGAGGATGCTTTTTGTGTCTCCTCCTTAGCCTTGTTTCAGTTAAAGAGTTGGAAACTTTTTGGGCACCCCACTTATACAATTCTGTTGCCAGAAGAGTGAAATGCGACTACCCTATGCCTAATTCTCTGCAGTGAGAAATTACATAGAAAATTCCCCAAATTCTTGACTATGAATTCCTATCTAAATGAAGAGTAGAAATTTCCAAATATATGCCTTAAAATAGATTCTAATAACCAAGAAACAAAAATAAAATAATGGTACAGAAGTGAGGAAAGGAAATGACTATTTAATTTCTTATTACTGTAGGTTTCTTTACAAACTGGGGTGTTTACCTTCCCACTCAAGTATATTTGGCAGGGATGTGATATTTGTTAACTCATTGCTACTGTTACAGACTTTGATTTAGTTACATAGAAAATCATACTTTAGTTTTCAGTGTTGTTAAAAAAAATGTCCTTTCCTCCCCCTCATCACTGGAGATATTCACGAATATTTTAGTGGATGAGAGAAACACGCAATGTTAAATGTTATCTTGACCTTTAATTCCTGGAAATGCTTTATGACGTCATTATTTCCTTTTATTGCCACCTACTGGTAATTCCTGGTCTCTGTTTTGCTCTAAACATTTGCCATTATGATAACTTTTCTCTACCTATCCCTTTCCTGTTAATTTATTTCCAAATTTAATCTCCATTCAAATATGATGTTTTATGAAATATAATGTCCTTTTGTCACATTGTGCACTAAGAGTATTACTTTTCTATTTTGTGTGGGGAAGGCTGTAATATCTGTTCAGCTCTATCAAGAACAAATGTACAGAGCGTCCCACCTATTGAGACACTGCCTTATTTCAGGTGAGCTCTGTAAGGCATCACAGACTGGATCATTTTCCAAAGGGTAAATGAGTATGGATAGCAGAGGCCAATTTTTATTTGGATGAATAAATGTGAGGATGCAGCGCTAGAGGCATAGTTGTGGTGTTGGGGTGTCCAACTGAGGACTTGAAGAATGCCGTTTTGTTGTTTGAATGTCTGCGATCCTTTCGTGTGACTATTTGTTTCTTAGCATTGGCAGCACAAATGATAACGGAGACACAATCTGCAGCGTAACAGTTGATTCCATGTACCATAAAGAAAAGCTAAGTATACCTTACAAGAGGTATTAAGCATGTGCGTGCGAGTGTGTGTGTGTGTGTGTGTACATTTTCTTAAAAGTCTTGAATTGATCTTGAATTCTAGGATCTTGAATATGGGGAACAATTTAGCTTACCTCCTAGTGTGGTTCTCATTTGTGAGTTTTGTGTCGTTTAACAATAATAATTAATATCAAGGATCTACGAACTATGCATTGTGTGTATGTTTGTGTACATGTGATTTTTCAGGAAGAATAATGGTCGGGAACTGAGATAGAAATGGAGAGACTATCAATTATGATTGACAGAGCATCATGACTGATTATCAGAAATGAGAAAATATAAAAGTCACAGGTAGTTCTTATATTTCTGATTTGCGTTCCTCAAAGGATTGGAGGGGGCACTATTAAATATAATATAATAACTCTTATGTTGATGAATGAAAGAAGTCAGATTTAGGGAAAATGAAAGAGCCTAGCTTGTGGCATTACTAGTCATCATGTGTAATTATGTTGATTGTTACTTCTGTGCAAATTTTCTTAATCAACCTCTCCTTAACAAAACATCAGAGTTACCATTCTCCCCATAAAGCATATTAGCAGATGTCTACATTCCACTGAATGTGTGTGAGTAATAGGTTACTTTCCTGGACAACCCTATACTTTTCCCACCAGGTAAGCTGAACAAGTATTTTCAGGTGAGAGCTGTATTTGTTCCCCCAACCATTCTGCCACTTGTACTCACTATTAATGAGCAGTACATTAAAATATGGGAGCAGAAATGGAAATATTGTTTTGATGCAAATGAATGATTTGGAGAAATGAAATAAAATGAAATAATAATACTGGAGAATAGTTGTGGGAATATTTATTTTAAAAATCTACAAAGATGATGCATGTAGATTTATTTATATTCTAGTATAACTTTAAAGAACAAAATAAAATTTTAGTTAAGATTTACAGAAGAAAAACAGACCAAACTCTAATTTTATGACCCATGTTCAATGAAAAGTCCTTGTTCTAATAGAAAAAATGGGTAAATAAGTGTGTATTTATATATTTTAAATTAAAATGTTGTGTTGCATATAATACTATATGATTCCTCAGTTATCCAGTCTTTTCAATTAATGGACCTAGTACTGTCCTTGATTGAACTGAATAAGAGGTATTCTAATATAATTGATTAGTTTTCTTTGAAAAAATTGCTGTCCAGACTCATTATGTCTCAGAGAATACTCAGTCTTATCCTGCTAGCTCCAATGTGTTTTTCATGTGGAGAAGGTTTCTAACCTGTAAATTCTCTTTCTCTAAGTCATATTGCACTGTGGTAAATGTTTGCAACAAAAAAGCTACATCCCTATTCCTAACTTTCTTCCCTCCCCTAAATCATCACAGCATTCTGCTGTGTTGTTTTCAACAGCTTTGGAACAGGAATATATGAAATAACATTAAAATTTAAAAAAAAACCTAAATCATATCACTGTTGAGATGGGCTAGCAATATTGAAAGCTGTTGGTGAATTGTCATCTGTGGGATGAAATGTAATTTCTTGATCTGAACTGTTTTGATATTAAATTTCTCATATTAAAACGAGTATTTTTGTGCTCAAAAACATCCACTAATTATCATTTTGGCTATTAAAATGACACAACTAAAGAAGAAAAGCCTAGAAATTATTGTTTATACTGTTTGGATATGGAATTAAAAATTTGCAGGTCTTCTTGCTTGAAAAATATAATACTTTCTAAACATGTCATAAAACTGAGAAACTAAATATATTTTATTTTTAAAATCTCTATTTCATGTTTAAAAAGGACAAGTGGAAGAATAGGTTATCCTCTGTAGGGTCATAATATCTTAAATTTGAAAGATTTTAAGTTATAATGTATACAGAATGAAATACTAACATCTTAAGTGTACCATTTAATCAGTTTTGATGAATCATATGTTGAAGGTACATTCAACTCATTTTGATGAATAATAGGAAGAAACGTAACATTTCTCATGCCTCTTCCTATACAATTCTCCTCCTAGATAATTTCACCATAGTCTGATTTTGCCTATTCTTCAATTTCATATTAATAGGATAAGAGAGCCTGTATATTTCGGTGTTCTATTTCTTTCACTCAACATACATCATGCATGTTTTTTCATTTATCAGATGTCTGTTTCTTTTTATTGAGGCATATATTAAATACTACACATGTTTTCTCCATTCTCATGTTGATGGACATTTGGGATCTTTCAAGTTTTGGACCAGTATAAACAAAGTCTTTTTGAACATTTTTGTATAAGGTTTCTAGTGGACATGTGTCTTTCTTTACTTGGTTATATACTTAACAGCAGAATTTCTGGATTGGTTTTAACTTATTAAGATAGTGACAGTGAGCTTTCCAAGATGATTGTTCATTTTGTGGTCACAATAAAGCCTTCTCAACAACGTCCAGAGCCTCGTCCCTGGAACCTGTGAATAAGCACTTGATATGGAAAATAGGACATTACAAGTATTAGTAACGTTTTATATCTTGAGATATATTATTTAGCATTATTTAAGTGGACACAGTCTATTTATAAGAGTCCTTAAGAGTGGAAGAGAAAGGCAGAGAGTGCGTAAGAAATATAACCATGTAAGGAGAGGTAGGACAGGTTAGAAACATGAGAGGAACTTTTATCATTGTTGCTGAACTTGAAGATGGAAGAAGGGAGCCACAGGCAAGGAATGTGGATGGCTTCCAGAAGCTAAGAAAAGCCCTTAGCCCATACCCAACAACAACAAAAAATGGTGACCTCAGTCTTAAGCCACATAGAATTGAATTCTGCCAACAATGTGAATAAAAAATGAAATAGATTTTCCCCTAAGTCCTCCAGAAAGTAACACGGCCCTGACAAAACATTTATTTTAGTTCAGTGAGACCCATGTCAGGCCTCTGACCTATAAAACTATGAGATTAATCCGTGTTATTTTAAATCACCAAAGTACTAATTTATTATAGCAGCAATAGAAAATAATAATTAATTTTACCACCCCACCAATGTTGTATAAGAGATCCAGTTGCTACAGTCTCTCCAACATTTGATGGTGTCCTTCTGTGTAATTGTAGTTGTTCAAGTAGATGTATAGTAGTATCTCATTTTAACTTATATTTGCATTTTCCTCACGTATAATGATGTTGATGTTATTTGCCATTTGTCCTTTTGGGAGGTGTCTATTCAAACTTTTAATATTTTTATTAGATGGTTAGTATTTGTTTTATTGCTTTACATTAATTCTGTAAATTTTGTGAATTCAAGTTATTTATTAAGTATGTGTTTTGAAAATATTTTCCCCAGGCTGTGGATTTTCTTTCATTTTTCTTAACAGAACTTTTAGGGGAGTTGTGTCAAATAAAAGTACATCCAGATTTAGATAAGGATAAACTATTCACAAAAAAGACTTGTAATAGGGAGAATACTCTGATCTCAGAAATCTGCAAGGATCTCAAAGTCTGACAGAAAATAGCTTTTTTTTTTTTTTTTTTTTTTTTTTAGGGAGGAATAAGAAGTAAGAAAGGAGAAGTTAGGCAAATTAGAAAAAATGGCCAGCCATGTATGAAAAAAAATGTGTTGTTCGTGTTTAGCAAATTCTTGAGATAAGTTAATAAGGGGCCATGTTTCCCTTAGTGTTTTCTTAGGCTGGAGGCAAGCAGTGTTCAGAGGCCCATAGGGAGGAGAAAGCCTGACTGAATTTGAGTCATGACAAAACAGAGGGTAAGAAGTGGGCAGTTGTGAGTGCTTGACCAGAAGAAGATTTTTTAATATGATGAACTCCAATTTATTCATTTTTCTTTTGTCTATAGTGTATATTTTGTCCTCTCTCACAAAACTTTACTCCAATTTAATAGGATTTTCTCATAAATTTTCTTCTAGTAACTATTGTCTTATTCATGTTTAATATTTAGCTCTATGATCCATATTATATTGATGACATGATTGTTAGGGATCAAGTTTTTTTTTTTTCTGGGGGAACATTGTCAAAATGGACTGATCCATACTTGTGTGGATTAATTCTGGACTCCTCTGTTTCTTCTGTAACACAATATCTTGATTATTACAGCTCTAAAATAGGTCTTGACCTCAATTACTGTAAGTACTGCAAACATTTTTTTATTTGTAAGATTATTTTAGCTAATATAGGTTATTTGCTTCTCCAAATAAATTTTCTAAGAAACTTCTAAGTTTCTACAAAATACCTGCTACTTGAATTGAGATTGCACTGAATCTATAGATAAACTTGAGGAAAATTGACGTTTTAACTATACTAAATATTCCAGTCAATGGTCTATTGCACATTTCACAATTTATTTAAATCTTGTTTTGATCTTATTCATAGTGTTGAGAAACAAACATTCAATATTTCATGATAGTCTATGATATCAACTTTAGGTTTTTCATAAGTACAATTTGTCAGATTAGGGAAGTTTATTTTCATTCAGGTTTACTGAACATTTTATATTACAAATGTCTGTTGCATTTTGCCAGAAACTTTGCCTGAAAAATTAAGATTATATGTGTTTTCTTCCTTTATCTCTTAAATGTGGTTTATAAAATGGATTTCCTTTCATATATAAACCAACCTTGATCCTGCAGTAAAACTTATTTGATTACAATGTATTATTCTTTTTTAAATATTGCTAGATTTAATTTGCTGATATTCTATGTTCATGAGAGATATTTGCTTGTAAATTTTTTAATTGCAAAATCTTTGTTTATTTTTGCACCAAGATAAGTGACCCAATAAAACAAGTTGGGATTTGTTCTCCCTCTCAATTTGTATTATGTTCCCATTACATGTCTGATGGAATTAACCATTTTTTACCATCTGTGCCTGGAGTTACCTTTGTGAGAACTTGTTAAACTAAAACTTCATTTTCTCTAATGTCTCTATTTCTACTGAATATCTTTTGATGGTAGATCACATTTTCTCACTTTATTGTATGTATTATGTATACATATATACACACACATATATACACACACAGTTATG
The DNA here is from genome assembly GCF_000001405.40 of Homo sapiens. NCBI lineage: Eukaryota > Metazoa > Chordata > Mammalia > Primates > Hominidae > Homo > Homo sapiens. Next base: position 81,968,785 of record NC_000011.10, read on the forward strand.
TGTGTGTGTGTTTGTGTGTGTATGTAAATGAATGCCAGATATAGAATACAAGTATAATACAAATAGATATTCTGCTGCTTCTCTCACTGCTCATGGTCAATGTATTGTATAAATTCAGTGTTCTGACTATAGGCAGGTTTCTATTGATTTTCCCTGCTCTCTCTCAAACTTCGGAATTGCCAGTCATTAGCAACAGAAGAGGTTTCTCATGTCCAATGACCTGGCCTAATGTTTCTCATAGTAGGTAGGTGCAGATTTCTATGGTGTTTGGGCCTCCAAGGAATTCTAAGTTATCACACCAGCTATACTTGGACTTTAAGTTAATTTCTTAAAATTTTATTTATTTTTAAAATTCACTTCCATGGCTACCATATGCTCCTACTGTTCTTTCAAAGAGGAAATAGTTCATGTCTACTACTCTACTGGAAGAGGTTAAAACCCTTTGGATGTATATAATTAGATTACCTTGCCATCTAAGGTCTCTGATGGACTCTAAAAAATATGATTTTGTATGCCATTTGGGCTGCTGTTTCTTGTTAGAATGGGAGCAATGTTTTTCTGGGACACTTAATATTCTAACCTAAAACCTCTTGAGGATCATAACATTTTATATAGTTCAAATCTATTTTATAGTGGACAACATGAAGCCAATAGAGTATATGACCTGTTTCTGGTGGAATAGCATGTTCTGTAACAGCATGCTTCACAACCCAGGTCTCCAAATTTCAACTGAGGGTTCTTATTCTTAACTAGGATTCACATAATGAGGTGGTTTATTCTGTTCTTTTCCACAACATATTTGCCTTAATTTGAAAAACCCATTTTACTTCCTGGACATTCATAGCTACACAGAAATTACAGTACAAAAACCTAGGTTTTAACTTTTCACTTCGACCATGCCACCTTGTGTCCTTATGGGAAAAAGTTTGAACTAACAAGTAACCAAGAAGTTGTTCTTTAAAGTCATGTTTTCCTCATAAATCTACAAAGTATTTGCATTCTTCAAAGAAGGTTGCTTTAAATCCAAAACATCTGGTAATAAATTGCTTATACAATCATGTTTTCTCAAGTGATACTGTGGATCTTTTTTGTGCTAAATATAATTAAGCCAGTCCAAAAGCTGATAGTGCTACTTAAATACTGTAGAAAAGGTTATTTCAGTTTGCCTTTTAACAAATACTGCCTTAGAATGTGAAAATAGAATGTATAATATGTAAATAAATTATTAGTGTCCAAAAAAGACTTAAATTTCATTTGAAACAAAGATCTATATACATAGGTAATATTTTGTGTGTAAGATAGAATAACATGTGTATTTACTATACATTTAAATAGCTTTAATTTTTGCTTTAATTCTCTAAATCTTCTCTAATCTTCCTCATGGGCTTGCCACCCACTGGATAGCAGAGACAACTTAGACTTGCCAAATTAAAATATTTGGTTCCAATGTAATCACTCTCCCCATTAGTTTAATATTTTGTCACTTCAAATTTCATCTGCCTATTAGTTTTGGCTTAACTCTTTTATATGACTCAGTTTTTAAATTAAATTATACGTCTTTCAGATTTTCCTTATCCTTTTTTTCTCTTCTTTAAGTTAGCTTCAGTATAGAAGAGGGAGAATTGCTGTGTTCCTGTGACCCTGGGGAAAAAGGAATTCCTAGATTCACCTTCAGGACAAAGATTGACCCGGTAGAAAATAAAACTGAGGAAAGAAGAAGATACGCACAACAGAGGGGAAGACATTGGCTGAGCCTCACAAACATTGCAGATATCCCTATGTGACTCAGAATCAACACAAGATCCTGCCTTTAAACACTGATGCCGAAAATCAAGAACATCCTTTAAACTGAAACCATCAGAACAAACATGTTTAAACAACACAAATGTTATTATTAATGTAAAGCATTTCTAAAATGCTTTTTTAAATGTGAAAAAGCAACGAAAGTTTTAGTTCTGACACCACCAGACAAATAGCTAGGAAACAGACACTTCTGTCTTCACAACAGTAAAAATAAAACAAACTGAAAATCAGTAAGTTTTGCGGGCCTATCAGAAAACTAAGATTGCAGGAAGAGCTGTCACACCCAAATATGAAGAAATAGAAGACTTCAGAGAGACAAAACCAAGTTCTGCTTATCAGAAGTAGAAGACACTGGAGACATATAAACTCATAAGAACACTTAGAACACTTACATGGCAATGTTAACAAATTGCTGTAATCTGAGTATGGACTATCTTGAGAGTGATAATCCCTTAAGAGCTTCAGTATTAGAGGGGCCTGCCACATTCACGGCCTTTATCTACAGTTATCTCACCAGATACTCACAGTGAAGATGCCCTTGTAGCTCTGGCTGGGGCGGAGGAAGAGCAATCCTTGTGAATTACCTCCAGAGTATGCTCTGTAAAACAGGTTTATTTTTCCAGGAGAAAAGACACTAACAGCGTCTTCTAATGTCCATGAGGTGATGAATGATGACCCTTATTTCATTTCTCTTTTATTCTTGGTTAGCCTGGTTAGATGTTTATAAAATTTCTTAAATTTTTCAAAGATGTGGCTTTTGGTTTGTTAATCTTCTGTATTATTTTTTATTTTCAAATTTATTGATACCTACTTCTATTTTTACCGTTTTTTTCATCTGCTTCCTTTAAGCTTAAATTGTTCTCTTTTTCCTGTAGTTTATTATGGTGGAACATTATATTAATGATTTTAGAATCTTTCTTCTTCTCTAAGATATGCATCTAAAGTTATAGATTTCCTTCCAAGCTCTACTATATTTGCATTGCTCAGCTTTTGATAAGTTGTATTATATTTTAAATTATTTTCAAGTTATTTTGAAGCTTCTTTTTTTAATCATATGTTGCTTAAAGTATGTTTTTTAATCTCCAAATATTTGGATATTTCCAAATCTCTTTATTGATTTCTAGTTAAATTTCATTGTGTTCCAAGAACACAATTTGTAAGTTTTCTGTTCTTATAAATATGTTAAGAAGTGTTTTTTTTTCTTTTTTTCTTTTTTTTAAGACAGAGTCTCGCTCTGTCACCCAGGCTGCAGTGCAGTGGCGCGATCTCGACTCACTGCAAGCTCCGCCTCCCAGGTTCACGCCATTCTCCTGCCTCAGCCTCCCCAGTAGCTGGGACTACAGGCGCCCGCCACCACGCCCGGCTAATTTTTTGTATTTTTAGTAGAGATGGGGTTTCACCGTGTTAGCCAGGATGGTCTCGATCTCCTGACCTTGTGATCTGCCCGCCTTGGCCTCCCAAAGTGCTGGGATTACAGGCGAGAGCCACCGTGCCTGGCCAAGAAGTGTTTTAAAGCCCTGCATATGATCTCTTTTAGTGAATGTTTCATTGGAGAGTAAGAAGAATATATATTCTTCCTTTTTTAGGTAGATTATTCTATAAATGTTGATTAGTCAAGTTGATTTATAAGACTGTTCAGGTCTACTATGAACTACATGATCTATCAATCAATGACAAAGAAATGTTGAGGTTTCTGACTATGACAGTGGATTTGTCTATTTCTCCTTTCAGTCCTCTTGGTTATTGCATTTAGAATTGTTATGCTTTCATAAAAAATTACATTTAGGATTGTTAGGCTTTCATAAAAAATTGACCCCTTTATCATTAAATCATACAAAATTGTATCCCTTACAATTTTCCTTGTTCTAAAGTCTGGCTTGTCTAAATGTAATATAACTACTGTAGCTTTCTTTTGATTATTATTGACATGGTTTATCTTTCTTTATCAGTTTACTATAACCTATGAATTTTTATATTTAAACTGTCTTTTGTAGTGAATGTATACTTAGGTCTTGCTCTTTCATATTTGAATTGAATATCTCTGTCTTTTCGTTGTTTGTATACCAAGCACCTTTAAAGTAATTATTAATGCAATTGGATAAATATCTACCTTTTTTTTCTTTTACACTTTCACTGGTTTCAATTGAGTTATATTCATTCCACTTTATATGATCTCTTAATATATCAATTATACTAAGTACCTTTAGAAATGAGTAGACACTATAAGAGTAAAGGCAAAAAGTATTATCAATAATCAATATACTCTAGTTGAAAAAGTTATTTTCCATACACATATGTATTAACAGCTCTGATATCACTAGACATGTGTAAACAATTAAATTGACAGAAAGTAGCAGCTGGGCACAGTGGCTCACACCTGTAATACCAGCACTTTGGGAGGGTGAGGTGGGCAGATCACGAGGTCAGGAGTTCGAGACCAGCCTGGAAAACAAAGTGAAATTCCATCTGTAATAAAAATACAAAAAATTAGCCGGGCATGGTGGCAGGTGCCTGTAATCCCAGCTACTTGGGAGCCTGAGGCAGGAAAATCGATTGAACCTGGGAGGCAGAGGTTGCAGTAAGCTGAGATCCCACCATTGCACTGCAGCCTGGGTGACAGTGTGAGACTCCATCCCCCACCCACCACACACACACACACACAAAATGTGTGAGCCTTGTTTTTCACTGTTGAAATTGAAGATTATAGTAAACAAGGAGAGGAGGTCAGAACAAACCATGTGGTTACAGAGTAGAACTGGATATTTCAGTATGAGCACTTAGCTCAATATTGATGCAAATAGTTACATACAGAAATATTTACAGATAAATGAAGATACATGGGTTAACATATGCACATATATTCACTGTCTGCTCTTGGTCTGTCAGCTAAGAGGGACTAGAAACAATGACACCCAGTAGCAATGAGCACATGGAGTGTTCAGGTTTTGGTTTCTACTATAAATCTGCATTATGGGGATCCTTAGAGGAATACTGATTCTAGGACTATAGCAGTAAATATGCAAGACGGACATGGAGCATTTTTTTTTTTTTTGGCAAAAAGTTTGAAAGTTCAAACACACATAAACACACACACAATAACGGAGAAGTCAAATAAACCTAAAGTATAGAATAAGTATTAATGTATTCATATTCACAGAAATAAATGATTAAGTAAATAAATGGAGGAGTCCAGTCTTCTATGAAGAATTCCAAATAACTTAGGAAGACATTCTATCTTCCAGGAGGTGAAGCATCACTCCCAACTCTTTGAGTGTGGACTACATATAGTGACTTTCTTTTAAAGTAGGAAAACTAGGAAAAAAATTAACTTTAGAGTGAAAAAAATTGACAAACACCACCTCTACCAGGTATTAAGGTCAACATCAACAGTAATAACACATGTTGATAGTATGTACCATCGATATGACATGATGAAAATGGAACTATACCTCTGTGATCTTTTTCCTAAAACCCAAAACTCCACTCCAATCATGAGACATACAGCAGAAAAATCTCAACTGAAGATTCAAATGATGATGAACTTCTGGTTCATCAAGTCACATTTCATTTTTATCTATCAAGTACTTTTTTCTCCAATAGTTTTTTCTTACATAACAGTAGCAGAGATGCTCAACCAGTGATTATATTTAACCTCTTCAAAATGACCTTCTCTGAATGATTAGAAGCCATGCAATACTTTTTTTTTTTTTGAGATGGAGTCTGGCGCCATCTCGGCTCACTGCAAGCTCCACCTCCCAGGTTCACGCCATTCTCCTGCCTCAGCCTCCCGAGCAGCTGGGACTGCAGGCACCCACCACCACGCCCAGCTAATTTTTTGTATTTTCAGTTGAGACGGGGTTAACCGTGTTAGCCAGGCTAGTCTCCATTTCCTGACCTCGTGATCCGCCTGCCTCGGCCTCCCAAAGTGCTGGGATTACAGGCATGAGCCACCGTGCCCGGCTGCATGCAATACTTTTAAATTATCCTGTAGATGTCCAGAGCCTGAAAAATTGCCTTAGAAAACTGCAAACCTTTTGGAATACTCTAGCAGATTCAGGGAGAGAAGTCTCTCATCAGCTCCTAATATAGGACAATGGCCATTGATGGGGTTCAGGACATCCCCAAAATATGGTTCCTTAGCATTTGAGACAATAGCAGAAGCAGGAAGGTCAGTCTCACCTCCCTCTTGCTCTTTTCTCTTGAAACAGGCCATGGAACTAAGCTGACCTTCCCTTAAAGTAGATCATAAGACCCTCATTCTATACCTGGAAGAAAGGAATGTCCTTAACTCTGAAAACACAGGAAACAGAGAAAAATCTGAACAAATAGGCCACGCTAAGTTCCCCCACCCCAGTTTTTCTCCATCAGATCATATCCCCTTTGTCCAATCATACTTCTGCATAAGTCTCCACTCTCCTTAAAACCTAAGCATAAAAATATGTTGTCATATAAAACATATTAAATAAATTTGCATGCTGTATTTAAAAAGAAAAATCTCAATATTTGGCAGAATCTCACATTCTGCCAAATTTCTGAGAATTCCTCCTCAAAATTATGACAGTCTTCAAAAAAGGAAAGTCTATGAAATTGTCAACAGCCAAAGGAGCCCTAAGAAGACATGACAACTAAGTAAAATATGGTGTCCTGAATGGGATCCTAACACAGAAAAAGGACTAGGGTAAGATGTTAATAATTTGTGAAACTAGGTATGGCATTTATTCCCTCTACTATCTTTGAAATTTTTCTATAAAACTAAAACACTTCCAGAAATAAAAGTTCAATTAAATATAGGTTGTGAAACATGTATTAGCGTAGAAAGACAATAATGTCATGTAGTGGCAAGTTCACAGGAGGAGAAGTCAGGAGACTTGTGGAATCATCTCTATGATGCAGCAATTTCTCTGTGAAACCTTGAATATATCACTTATCTTCTCCGGGCTTTTCATTTTTTACATGTAAAAATACAAGTTTTGTAGTAAAAAGCCTTTTCTTTTTTGGAATTTGTTTCTAATCTAACAATTCAGTTCAATAAATCCTTATTCAACTTGCTTTGATATTTTCAAGAGGATTTGTGCCAGAAGGAAAATTCCATTACCTTTGTTTCATAAATGGAGTCATTCTTCCTTCTGTGCCCAATGTATGAATAATACACAATGACAGGGCAATTTCACCCCAATTTCACTGTTTCTGAAGGTATTTATAGGAATCTAAAATATAAAGCTTGTTACCAACTGGAGATATTTCAAAATAATTTATATTTCTTTACTACTGTTAATACCTTTTTTGTTGGTGTTATTCTAGGGTTGCAGTGATGAGACACCTTGTCAGTTCGTGGAGCCTTAAATTAGATTGAAAAGCAGCAATACAAATATAGTTTTATTATATTTCCAAATTAAGTGACGTTTAACATACAAGTTTATATACGCATGTCCCATTTTTATGTTTACAACAAAGTAAGCATTGTTTTATAAAGAAGGAAATGAAAGAACAGAGTGGTTTTATAACCTGCTAAGACTCAACACACAGCAAGTAAGATGTAGAGTTGAAATCAGGCCTCAGGCTTCTTACACAAAGCAGAGAGTTCATTCTAATTGGACCACAAAATCCCACTAAGCACAGCACCTAGCACATGGTTGAATAATAAATATGCTTCATTTGTACATTTGTAGCATACATACTTGATTTCAGTTCTCCTTTCACACACACACACACACACACACACACACACACACACACACACACAAAACAGATAATTGACAGAATCATTGCGTTTTATTTAGATCACCAGAGGTGCCAAGACAGCCAGGTGAATTGAATTCCAAAATGTGACAAGCTTTTTTGAAGAAACCAGAAAGGCAAATTGATTTTGCCTTTTGTGGAACATGAGAAAAGAATGTGATGGCTATAAAAGGATCAAAAAGAAAAGAAAACTGGAATTTTCACAAATTCTAGCAATTGTTTGCTAATTTAGAATTCCTAGAGCCTGAGACACATCTCTTTTTCCTGGATTTCAATAAAATTCTCACTAGAAAGATTGGTGGTGGAGCCAGGGACCTCAGAAATCTCCTTTCAGGGTGCACAGGTACAAACACTGACAATTTATGTGGTCCTTCTCTCATACGGCAGAAGTTTCCTCAACCTGATAAAGAACATTTCGAAAAATCCTATATCTTCTATCATACTGAATGAAGAAAGACTGAATGCTCCTTCCATGATTAGAGATGAGGCAAGGATATCCAACTCAAGCTTTCTGTTCAACACCAAACTGAGCCCCAGAAATGAAAAGAAATACAATACACGCAGATTGAAAAGAAAGGAGTAAAACTGTCTTCATTTGCAGATGGTACAACCATCTACACAAAACCCACAAAACATTTTCAAAGATGTAGTAGAACAAATGGGCACTTTTACCAAGGATGTGGAATACCATTTTGTTCCTTTATACTAATATTCAATAGTTAGAAGTGGAAATTAAGGAAAAAAAAATTACCTTTTATCTGGGCGCAAGTAAAGGCTTTCTAAGATTCAAAATTTAGATTCACTAAAATAATATATTGATACATTTGACATAATAGCAACTTAAAAAATAAAACTTTTGCTGGAAAAACAAGGTTGTAAAACATAAGATAATTGACAGGGAGAAAATATTCTAACATATATTACATATATTTAATAACACATAAATTGAGGGAAATGATAGAAATAAAAGAAAAATGGGCAAACTTACATGAACAGACATCAGGACAGAGGTATAATATGGATTTTAATACTTCACAGTTCAATCTTCTTGGTCATTGTTCAAATGTAAATAAAATTACACTAAACTACCATTTCTCAATTATTAGACTGACAAAACTTTAAAGTATTACACTAATATCTGTTTTTGATGCTGTGGTGAAAGGAACATCCTCACACATTGCTAATAAAAATGCAAATTCCACCATGGTTATATAGGAACATTGATAATCTTACATAATGTGTCTACTTTGTAAAAGAATATTTTTTATTTTACAATAGTTTTAGAATGATGGAAAAATTGTGAGGATAGTACTGTCTTCATATACTCAAATGCAGTTTTCAAATTTTTAACATCTCACATTAATATGGTACATTTGTCACAAATAATGAACCAATGTTGATATATCGTGAAGTAAAGTCAAGGCTTCACTAAAATTTCCATAATTTTAAACTGATTTTTTTTTCCTGTTCCAAGATTCCATTTAGGATATCACATTACATTTAGTTAGCATGTCTTTTTAGGATGTGCTTGGCTCTGACAATTTCACATACTTTCCTTGTTTTTGATGATCTTGGAAATGTTTAGGATATTAAGTAATTTGCAGAATGTCCCTCAGTTGAGATTTTTCTGCTGTATGTCTCATTATTAGAATGATGTTATGCGTTTTGAGATCACAGGGACAAAGTGTCATTCTTATCACATAACGTCAAGGATATATACTAACAAAATGATTTATGATATTTGATATTAATCTGGATCACCTGCCTGAAGTAGTATTATTCAGATTTCCCTGCTGTGAAGTTACTCTTTTCTCCTCTCCTTAGTGCACACTTTGGAAGGAACCACTATGTGCAACACACACATATTGAGTAGTGAGTTAATGCTCCAACTCCAGAAGAGCAGAGTATCTTTCTAAACTATTAGAATATTTTTCAGTCATTTATTTATGTCAGCATAGACTTAATGCAAATCTATTTTTTTGGGGGGGTAATAATCCAACGCTACTTTCTTTCTTTGCTTAAGAATTTCCACCTATGGCCTTTGGGAACTCTCTCAGTTGGCTTCTGCTTTCCTTTGAATACCCCACCATTGTTTCTGTTTTCTTCTTAGTACTTCTTTATGTTGGCATCACAATATGTTCCATAATTATTTTGTATATTCCCTATCTCAGTCCTAGAATTAGCCATTCCTCCAACGGGCACTGGTTCCTTTTATTGGAGAATAGTATTAGAAAACGAAGATCTGGGTCAGGTCTGGTGGCTCACGCCTGTAATCCCAGCTCTTTGGGAGGCTGAGGAGGACGGATTGCCTGAGGTCAGGGGTTCGAGACCATCCTGGCTAAGATGGTGAAATCCTGCCTCTACTAAAAATACAAAAATTAGCCGGGCATGCTGGCGTGCGCCTGTAGTCTCAACTACTCAGGAGGCTGAGGCAGGAGAATCGCTTGGGCCCAGGAGGTGGAGGTTGGAGTGAGCTGAGATCACATCACTGCACTCCAGCCTAGATGACAGAGCAAGGAAAGAAAAAAAAGAAAAGGAAAAGAAAAGAAAAGGAAAGGAAAGAAAAGAAAAGAAAAAGAAAAAGAAAAGAAAAAAAGAAACCAAGATCTGGGCACTGTGTGTGCTCATTCATTCTAGGGTGTCATTGTTTCTAGGTGTCCTCAGCTGACAGAACAAGGCAATGTATGTGTGTATACTCAATCCACTTATATTCACATATCTATATTTTATGTAATTATCTGTATTGGTGCTGACTTAAACATAAGTTCATACTGATGCCTCCAATTCTAATTCATTATTACATGGCTTATTCTAGCCTCCTCCCATGCTTAGTTGTAATACTCTCACTCCAAAAATGCAAAATCTGGCTCTTAATATCCACAGTTATCTTATTTAACTGTTGAGTTTCTGTATACATGTATAGTGGTTACAGATTGTTAACATAGACCCCAATGAGGAACAATCTTATCAACTAGACTACAGTACTGATATGTAGTTTCCTTTGTCTTTAGTTTTACAGACACCACTAACTTCCAAAATTACTTCTCAGCATCTTTCCCCACCTCCATCCAGTTCAGTTAAGTTTTTTTATGGATTTGTTATTCATTTAATTTTTTTTGTCTCATTTTATATCCCATCATGTGATTCTTTAATAGCCTACTTTTTAAAAATTGGCATTCATTTCACTCCACACTTTGTTTAGGAAAGTTCTATGAGTTTTTTAAATGTGCAATGTTTTGTATCCACCATTACAGTATCAACATTCACCACCCTAAAAAAAAAAAAAAAAATCCACTGTGCTTCCCCTATTCAGCACTTCCTCCTCACAATGTCATAGCAACAACTGATATGTTTACTGCCTCTGTGTTTTTGCCTGTTGCAGAATGTCATGTAAATGGAACAATACAGTATGTAGCCCTTTCAGACATGCTTTTTCCAACTTAGCTACCTGAATTTACAGTTCGTCTATTTAAGTGTGTCTTGATAGCTCATTTCTTTATTCACTGAAGATCATGATATTGAATAGACCTACCAGATATTGTTTATTCATTCAATTATGGATAAAGATGGTGTACACTTTGGATTGCACATTTTTGTGCAAACATGTTTTCACACTTGGGCAAATACTCAGGAGGGTGATTGCTGAATCATTTGGTAAGACTGTCTAGCTTTGCAGGAAGCTAACAAACCATTTCTCAAAGTGGGAGTTCTCACCAGCAATCAATGAGAGATCTTCCTATCTCACATTCTTGCTAGCAGTTGGCATACTCAGATTTTTAAAAAATTTTAACCACTCTAATAAGTGTATGATGGCATCTCATTATTGTTTTAATTTTCATTTCCATATTGGCAAATTCCAGTTTTTCATATTTTCAAATGCTTATTTAACATTTGTTTATCTTTTTTGGTTAGGTGCCTATTCAAATCTTCTGCTAATTTTTTAAATTAGATTATTTTCTTAGTTTAATGTTGTGTACCTTTTGTATTTTGGTTGCAAATACTTTATCAGATATGTGTTTTATAAACATTTTCTCCCTTTTGAACCTTGTTTTTTCCTTCTCTTAATAGTGTTTTTTACGTGGTAGAAGTTTTTAATCATAATAAATCCTTTGTTAATTATTTATTTCATGAATAGTGCTATTGAAATTGTGTCACTAACACAATATCATATGATTGTTCTCATGTTTTATTTAAGGCATTTTATAGTTTGACATTTTACATTTAGGTGTATGTTCCACTTTCGGTTAGTTTTATTAAAAGCATAAGTTCTGTAGTTTGGTTCATTTTTTTCTTTATGGAACATTAATTGTTCCAGAATCCTTTGTTAAAAAATCATTTTTCCCATTACACTATCTTTATTCTTTTTCATAGATCAGTTGACTATATTTCTGTGGTTCTATGTCTGAGCTCTCTATTCTGTTTCATTGGCCTATGCATTTATTCTTTCACCAATACTCTGTAGTCTTGATTTCTATAGCCTTTTAGTAAGTCTAGATATTGGATAGTATGAGCTCTCCAGCTTTGTTTTTATTCTTCAGTATTGTATTTTCTATTCTAGGTCTTTTGTTTTCCACATAAATTTTAAAATCAATTTGTTAATATCTATAATGTAGCTGAATTTTTACTGTAATTGTGTTGAATCTATAGATCAACTTTGGAAGAATTAACATCTTAAATACATTGATTCTTAGAATCCATGAACGTGTAACATGTCTTAGTTATGTAGACCTTTGGATTTTTCATCAGTGTTTTGGGTTTCTCTCACATAAAGATCCTGTACTTATTTGTTTGATTTATATATCAATATTTAATTCCATTTTTGATCCTAGAGTAAATGGTATTTTGTAAAGCCCAACTGTAAATTTCTGGCATATGGGAAAGCAATCAACTTTTGCATATTGACCATGTATCATTTGACTTTGCTGTATGTAGTTGTTTATTAGTCCCAGAAGACATTTCTTGTCAACTCTGGTATTTTACACATAACCAATATGTCATTTGGACATAAAAACACTTTAAGTTCTTAACTCCTTGGTATTTTATATATAACCAATATGTCATTTGGACATAAAAACACTTAAAGTTCCTCCTTCCCAATATTGTGACCTTTCTTTCTTTGTCTGTGTGTGTTTCTACTACCTAGGAGTTTGAACACATTATTGTGTTGAAATAGTTAAAGAAAACATGATTGTCTTTTCATCAATTATAGTGGGAAAGTTCCTCATCTCTCAATACTAAGTATGATGGTAGACATACATTTTTAATACACTATTTACCCTTTATTTGGTTCCCTCCTAGACCTAGTTTTTTGAGAGTTTTTTTTTCTTTTTCATAAGTCGGTCTTTCAGTTTTTAAAATGCTACTTCTACATCTGTTGATATGTGGTTTTTCACATTCGATCTCTTAATAGGATGTATTACACTGATTGACTTAAGAATATTGAACTAGTCTTTCATTCCTAAAATCAACAGCATTTCATCATTACACATTATCCTTCTTACACATTATTTTATTTTCTAGTATTTTGTAAGGAGTATTTTCTCTCTTTTCACAAGGAATATTGGTCTGTATCTTATAATGTCTTTATCTGGTTTTGGTATTAGGGTAATGAATGAGTTAGGGATTAACCACTCACCTTTTATTTTCTTGAAGAGATTGTGATGGTGAAGCTATCTGTGACTGTAGTTTTTTTTTTTTTTTGCCAGATGATTAGTTTTTCTTTCAATTTTAAAAATAGATATAGGACTATTCAGGTTATCTATATTTCTCTGTGTAAATTCCAGTGCTTTATGTCTTTAAAGAATTTGGTATTTTTTATTCTAAGTTACAAAACTTGTTGCTTTAAAGTTGTTAATATTATTTATTTTTCTGTTACTGTTCATGAAATCATATAAATGCCTTCTCCTTCATTTGTGTTATTGATATTTTGAGTCTTCTCTCTTTATTTCTTAATTAATCTAACTAGAGTATTATTAATTTTATTAATTTGTTCAAGAACCACTTTTGCTTTTGATGGTTTTGTCCATTATTTCCTATTTTCAACTTCATTAATTTCTGCCATAAATTGTATTATTTTTCTTTTGTTTGCTTTAGGCTTATATACATTTTCTTTTTCTAGTTTCCTAAGGTATAAAATAAGGCTATTGATTTTAGAATTTTTTTCCCAATTTATGCATTTAATTCTACATATTTCCTTCTAATTACTACTTTTACTACATTTTTACATTATGATGAGTTGTATTTTAATTGTTAGTTACAAGTGTGTTGTTTAATTTCAAACTAATTGAAGATTTTTATACTATGTTTATATTACCGATTTTACTTTAATTCCACTTTTTCTCTGAGAACATATTTGTATCACTTTTATTTTTTAAAGTGTCTTAAGGTGTGTTTCTTGATGCAGAATGTGTTTTATCTAGGTGAAAGTTCCTGGCAAGCTAGAGAAAACTGTGTATTCTGCTTTTATTGAATGAACTATTCTGTACATATCAATTAAATCAAATGGATAAGTAATGTTCAGACAAACTGTGTCCTTAGTGGTTTTTTGCCTACTTCATCTATTAATAACTAAAAGATGTCTTGAATTATCTGACTGTAATAGTGAAATAGTCTACTTTCCTTTAAGCTCTATCAATTTTTGCTTAATGTATGTTGACATTCTGTTAGTTCCATAATCATGTAGGACTATTATGTCTTCTTGAAGAATAGACTACATTGTTATTATGTGCTGTCTTTTATCCCTGATTTTTCTTGTTTCAAATTCTGCTTTGTCTGAAATTCATACAGCTACTCCAGCTTTCTTTTGATATTTGTTAGCATAGTGTATCTCTACTCCTTTACTTTTTACTTATCTGATACTTTACATATAAGTTGGATTTCTTATATATAGACAATGTATAGTAGTATTATTCCTTGCTCCCCACCCCATTCTGACAATATCTGTCTTGTAATGACATGAGTAGACAATTTATATTTAATTAATATTGATATAGTGTGATTAATATCTACCATGTACACAATTTTTTTTCTATTCATAAAATTTTTTCACTCCTTTAGCCTCCTTTTTTCTGTCTTCTCTGGTGTTATTGAGCTTTTCTCATGATTCCATTTTGTCTCCTTTCTCAGCATTTTAATTATACTGCTTTTCAGATTTTTGTGTTAGTACTTGCCCTACAGTTTATATTTTAATGAATCTAAGTCTACTGATTTAGTTAGTTCAGGTTGCTATAACAAATTACACAAACTGTGTGACTTAAGCAATAGAAATTTATTTCTCACAGTTCTGGAAGCTGGGAAGTCCAAGATGAAAGCGCAGCAAATCTGGTGTCCGGTGAGGGCACTGCTTCTAGTTTGCAGATGGATGTCTTTTTCTTTTGTGCTTACATGGCAAACAACAGAGACAAAGGAAATAAGCTGTCTTGTGTCTCTCCTTATAAGGTCACTAATCTCATCGTGAAGGACCCAATCTCATGACCTGATTAGCTTCCAATGGTCTCAATTCCTAAACTATATCATTGGGGTTATGGCTTCAACATACAAATTTTGGGGGAACCAAAACTTGCAGTTTATAGAATTGATCCTCTAATACTCCTGTGTAAATTACAAATAGTGAAGTTTCCTTGGAATAGAGTATTGCTAATTCCTTCCTCCAATCCCTTGTAACATTTTACCATTCATTTCACTTATCTACGTTATATCATCAGCCAGTATCTTTTTACTGTTATTGTTAAACACCTATTTTCTTAGATCAACTGAGAAGAAAAGTAAGCACATTTATTTTACCTTCAGCTACTCCTTTTTTTATGAAGATCCGATTTTTTTGACCTATATTATTTTTCTTGTTCCTGAAGCACTTCTTTTAACACTGTTTTTGCAGCATTAGTCTTCTGGAAATGAATTCTTTCAACTTTAGCTTTCCCAAGGAGTTTTTATTTCTCTTTCATTTTTGAAGAAGAATTTTGTTGAATGTACCATTATAGGTTGGTTTTTGTTTATTTCATTTCAACACATTTAACATTTTACACATCTTATTTGCATGGTTTCTAATGAAATATCCAATTTAATTATTATTCTTATCTATTTGCAGCTAAGGTGTATTTTTTCAAGATTCTTTCAAATTTTTGCTGTTTGATTTTCTGTAGTTTGAAATAATATGCTTGGGGTGTGTGTGTGTGTGCACTTGGTATTTTTCCTGAATGGTGTTTTCTAACTGTCTTGGATGTGTGATTTAATTTTTATCACTGATTTAGAAACATTCTTAGCCATTATTTTATTATTACTTCAAATGTTTGTTTTTTTGTTCTTTTTCTTCTCTTGGTATTCCCACTAGATATAGGTGACATGTTTTTATATTTTGTCACAATTTTGATGCTGTTTTTGTCATTTCTTTTTTTGCTTTGCCTTTCCATTGACCTATGTTAAAGCTTATTGACCTATCTTTAAGATCATGGAATATTTCTTTTGCTATGTCCAATCTACTGATTAACCCATCAAAAGCATTTTTTATTTCTCTTACAGTGCTTTTGATTTCTAGCATTTCCTTCTAATTCTTTCTTAGGGTTTCCATCTCTCTGCTTGAATTACCCTTCCCTTCTTGCATGCTGTCTACTTTTTCCATTAAAGTTCTGAACTTCTTAATCATAATAATTTTAAATTTCCTGTCCGATAACTCTATCATCTGTGTCATATCATAACCTGGTTCTGATATGTTTTGTCTCTTAAGACTATTTATTTTTTCCTCTTGCATTTGGCTTGCCTTGTAAACTTTAGTTAAAAGAAACAAACAATGTATCAAGTAACATGATCTGAGATAGATAGGCCTCTAGTGTGAAAACTGACTAAACTGGCTATGAATGGGACTTCTTAAAATGTTTGCTGTTTTTATGAATGCTAAAGGCTTCCAATTCCTCTAGTTTCTTTTTTTTTTTTTTTTTTTTGCCCCTTTCCTTGACTTTGGATTTTCTTAAATATCTGTCAAAGATATCCCATATGTTGCAACTCTTTCAGCTGTAATCCACTGTTATTGTATGGGAGCCCTATTACTATGACAGTAAGGTATGTCAGGGGTGAGGGAAGCATTCTACAGTGTTTTGATTCAATTTGTCTTAGTAGATCTTTGTCTTGGGACCCCAACTTTCACAAGTGTTTCTCTAGTGGTATAACATTTTCTCTTTGTGTCCGGAATTGGTGGGTTCTTGGTCTTGCCAACTTCAAGAATGAAGCCCTGGACCCTCACGGTGAGTGTTACAGTTCTTAAAGATGGTGTGTCTGGAGTTTGTTCCTTCAGATGCTCAGATGTGTCTGGAGTTTCTTCCTTCTGGTGGGTTCGTGGTATCGCTGACTTCAGGAGTGAAGCTGCAGACCTTCAGGGTGAGTGTTACAGCGCTTAAGGCAGCACATCTGGAGTCGTTCGTTCCTCCCGTTCAGAGTTGTTCATTCCTGCTGGTGGGTTTGTAGTCTCGCTGGCTTCAGGAGTGAAGCTGCAGACCTTCGCAGTGAGTGTTACAGCTCGTATGGACCCAAAGAGTCAGCAGCAGCAAGATTTATTGCGAACAGTGAAAGAACAAAGCTTCCACAGTGTGGAAGGGGACCCCAGCAGGTTGCCACTGCTGGCTCAGGCAGCCTGCTTTTATTCCTTTATCTGACCCCACCCACATCCTGCTGATTGGTCCATTTTACAGAGAGCTGACTGGTCTGTTTTACAGAGAACTGATTGGTCCACTTTACAGAGAGCTGATTAGTCCGTTTTGACAGGGTACTGACTGGTGCGTTTACAAACCTTTAGCTAGACACAGAGTGCTGATTGGTGCGTTTACAATCCTCTAGCTAGACACAGTGCCAGACAGAAAAGTTCTCCAAGTCTCCACTAGATTAGCTAGACACAGAGCACTGATTGGTGCATTTACAAACCTTTAGCTAGACAGAAAAGTTCTCCAAGTCCCCACTAGATTAGCTAGACACAGAGCACTGACTGGTGCATTTACAAACCTTAAGCTAGACACAGGGTGCTGATTGGTGCATTTACAAACCTTGAGCTAGACAGAAAAGTTCTCCAAGTCCCCACTAGATTAGCTAGACACAGAGCACTGACTGGTGCATTTACAAACCTTAAGCTAGACACAGGGTGCTGATTGGTGCATTTACAAACCTTGAGCTAGACACAGAGTGCTGACTGGTGTATTTACAAAGCTTGAGCTAGACACAGAGTGCTGATTGGTACATATACAATCCTTCAGCTAGACATAAAATTTCTCCAAGTCCCCACCCGACTCAGGACCCCAGCTGGCTTCACCTAGTGGATCCGGTGCCGGGGCCACGGGCGCAGCTGCCTGCCAGTCCCACACGGTGCACCCGCACTCCTCAGCCCTTTGGTGGTCGATGGGACCAGGCGCCGTGAAGCAGGGGGCGGCACGTGTCAGGGAGGCTCGGGCTGCGTGGGAGCCCACTGGGGGTTGGGGGGTGGGGAGGGCTCAGGCTGCAGGTCCCAAGCCCTGCCCCGTGAGGCAGCTGAGGCCCGGCGAGAATTCAAGCATGGCGTGGGTGGGCCAGCAGTGCTGGGGGACCCGACGCACCCTCCACAGCTGCTGGCCTGGGTGCTAAGCCCCTCACTGCCCGGGGCCAGTGGCGCCGGCCAGCTGCTCCAAGTGCAGGGCCCGTTGAGCCCGCACCCACCTGGAACTCGCGCTGGCCCATGAGCACCATGTGCAGCCCCAGTTCCTGCCCGCGCCTCTCCCTCCACACCTCCCCACAAGCAGAGGGAGCCGGCTCTGACCTTAGCCAGCCCAGAGGGGGGCTCCCACAGTGCAGTGGTGGGCTGAAGGGCTCCTCAAGTGCGGCCAGAGTGGACACCAAGGCTGAGGAGGCACTGAGAGCAAGGGCTGCCAGCACGTTGTCACCTCTCACCTTCCTGCCTCTTCTTAACTTCCTTTTCTGTTTGCAATTGTAACCACACAACCAGTCTAATGCTCAAGTTTGCAGTTTAGGTAACCTGGGCATACACAGGTGAAGCAATCATGCAAGTATGACTATAACCTAAGTTCTTGGTACAAGGAATAAAGAAAGAATTACGAAGCGAACACCTCATGGCATAATCCACGATTCAATCACATAGAGCCCTGGCATCGCCTCACTGCCAGATCCAATCAGATTACAACTCATTATCCTCTACCTATAAAAACTGCCCCTGCTCCTTGTTCAGGGAGATGAATCCAAGTATTGCCTCCTGTGTCCCTAGCAGTCTATTTGCAATAAACCTTTCTCTCTATAAAAACTCAGTGCTTCAGAGTTTGGCTTTCTTTTGTGCATGGACAAAGAGACCCAGTTTGGTTCAGTAATCCAATGCTCCCAACCGTCTCCTTGAAGTGCTACCCCTGTTGATTATGGTTTTTTTTTACCCCTTAGGTAAAAGAACTGATGGCTGGAGAGCATTGAAACAGACAGATGAAAATTAAAGAAGAAATAAAAATAAAATTAAAAAGGGAAAAACAAGTTTAGAAAAAAGAATTTTTTTCTTATTTTCCTTTTTCCTTTGATAAGAGCCAACTTATGAGTTTATAGATTCCTGTTTTCTGTAACTAGTAACTTCAAGTATTCTTTTATCTGAGCAGCACAGTGAAGGTCATGAGGCATGCCTGAGCAGGCCTGGACTGCAGCCATTTAGGCATCATAGTGAAAGTTATGAGATAAGTCTGTGCAAGGTTCTTGAGCAAGCCTAGATGACGGCCATGTAGGCCACACAGCAAGAGAATCACATGTAAGCCTGAGTTATGAACCTGTCCCAGATTGATTAACTGCTTTTGTTCTGCTTCTGTACACTCACTTTCATGCCACTATGCTTCTTGCCATTGTGAGCTTGTTTCAAACTAGCCAACCCCTTTTCAGAAGTGTGTATAAAAGCCAAAAACTGTATTTGTTCGGGGCTCATGCTTTCAGTTATAAATATGCTGAGCCAGCACACCTCCTGTTCCACCTATTGGTCTCTTCAATCTCCTGATTTCCGCAACAATGGGAGAAATTCCTTTTCACAAGCTGGAATAAGGGTCTGGAATATTCCTTTTCCTTGGCTAAGTAGGCCATTGTTATGGAGAAGTTTCTGTGCTTAAACAATAATTAATCTTTCCTTCCCCTTTCCAGAGATATGAGGGGATCTTTCTCAGATAATCACAGTGAGAATCACGTGAGTGGGGTCTTTGAGGTAAGGACCAGAAAAATACATAACCCTTCTCCCTGAGACTGCAACCCAGGCCTTTAAATGTCTCCTCCCAGTACACTTTCAATTTCCAACAATTTGTCAACATTTCCCTTGTTAGCTTAAAAATCATGAGAGCTATAACTTTTGATAGGAGACTGTATTTCTTGTAAAGAGTTACAGACTGCAAGGTGGCCATTCTGCTAGGCTACAAAGCATCCCTCTTGCAAAATCCTGAAAGGCAGGCACTTCAAGGGAGGAAAGGACAAGACAGTAATTTAAACTGAAGGGGCTGGCCAAACATACATATTCAACAGGTTATAGGAGGAGCTATGATTATTCATAAAGTGGGTTCTGACATGTGCATGTTGAACAAACATGCATGTTACCTATGACCTGTGTTCACCTTGGGGTAGAGACCTAAATTAACATTTAAATGTATTACAATTACACCCCATATGTCAAAAAGTAAAGAAGGTACACAAAGACACTGAAATGATCAACCTCTGTAAAACCAGCCAGAACTAGTGCATGGTATGTAGTCTCTTATCAGAAAAAAAAGTTACAGAAATCAACCTCTTTTGACAATGCTGTACTTACGGCTTGTGGAACAGGAGGCTCAGTTAGTGAGCATCTAGTGGAGCTGCAAATTGTTTTAATGTTGCCTATGACAAGGCTGGTGCTTATTTAGCTGCTAGAGAAAAAGAAAAAACCTTGTGGCAGTTAGAACATAGTTTATTCTTAAGTGTTGTGGTGCATGACTCAACCCGTGCCTGGCATGGCCTTAGGTCTTGTTTATAGTTTGGTATTGACACAAGAAGTCCACTCTTTCAGCCTTATGATCTCTATTTTAACATTACTGCTAGTTAGTTGTTGTGTTTAAACCACAAAAGGTATGTGGTATAATGAGGTTTGCCTGACCTCTGGTCCCATCATGTCCAGGAACACAATTTTTAAAGTTGCCCTGGGGTCGCCTTTGCCAAAAGGAGGTCCTTTCAGTTGATTTCGGCCTTCGGATTTTATTTTTAGTTTACATCCTTTAATATTACTTAACATATTACTTACTTAATATTACTTATCATATTACTTACGGCTTCAATAGCTTCTGATCTGGGTAAGCAGATCTCGTTATTATGGATGTTCCTGTCCCTCCAGATTCAGGGTTGCATTTAGCCATTTGACATATTTTCTATGGGTCCAAGAAAAATCACTGTTTTCAGTTTTCCAGCTATTTCTTCTAAGAATGGTTGTGACAACTTTTAGTCTTTTTATATGTCAAAACTGAAATCCTTTATGTATTTATATTTTAAGCCAGCAATCTCACTTCTGCAATTTACCCAGAAGATACAGGAAAAACAAAACAAAAGTCCTCATGTACAGTGTTATTTATTGTAGCATTGTTTGTGAATTCAAAATGTGTCCAGAATTGGTGGGTTCTTGGTCTCGCTGACTTCAAGAATGAAGCCGTGGACCCTCGCGGTGAGTGTTACAGTTCTTAAAGATGGTGTGTCCGGAGTTTCTTCCTTCTGGTGGGTTCATGGCCTCACTGACTTCAGAGGTGAAGCTGCAGACCTTCGCGGTGAGTGTTACAGCTCTTAAAAGCGGCATGTCTGGAGTTGTTTGTTCGTTCTGGTGGGTTTGTGGTCTCGCTGGCCTCAGGAATGAAGCTGCAGACCTTCGCAGTGAGTGTTACAGTTCATAAAGGTGGCACTTCCGGAGTTGCTCGTTCCTCCCGTCAGGAGTTGTTCATTCCTGCTGGTGGGTTCGTAGTCTTGCTGGCTTCAGGAGTGAAACTAGAGACCTTCACGGTGAGTATTACAGCTCATAAAGGCAGCGCAGACCCAAAGAGTAAGCAGCATCAAGATTTATTGCAAAGAATGAAAGAACAAAGCTTCCACAGCGTGAAAGGGGACCTGAGCAGGTTGCCACTGCTGGCTCTGGCAGCCTGCTTTTATTCCCTTATCTGACCCCACCCACATCCTGCTGATTGGTCCATTTTACAGAGAGCTGATTGGTCCATTTTGACAGGGTGCTGATTGGTGCGTTTACAAACCTTTAGCTAGACACAGAGTGCTGACTTGTGTATTTACAATCCTTTAGCTAGATGAAAAGTTCTCCAAGTCCCCACCAGATTAGCTAGATACAGAGAGCTGATTGGTGCATCCACAAGCCCCAAGCTAGACACAGAGTGCTGATTGGTGCATATACAATCCTCCAGCTAGACATAAAAGTACTCCAGGTCCCCACCTGACTCAGGAGCCCAGCTGGCTTAGCCTAGTGGATCCTGGGCCAGGGCTGCGGGTGGCACTCCTCAGCCCTTGGGCAGTCGAAGGGACCCGGTGCAGTGGAGCAGGGGGCAGTGCCTGTCAGGGAGGCTCGGGCTGAGAGGGAGCCCACGGCTGGGGGGAAGGGGCAGGGGGAGGTAGAGGTGAGGTAGGGGAGGTGGGAGGGTGAGGGGATGGGGAGGTTTGGCTCTGGCATGGTAGGCTGCAGGTCCTTAGCCCTGCCCTGTGGGGAGGCAGCTGAAGCCCAGCGAGAATTCGAGCGCAGCATGGGTGGGCTGGCAGTGCTGAGGAACCTGGCCCATGCTCCGCAGCTGCTAGCCCAGGTGCTAAGCCCCTCACTACCCCGGGCCAGCGGCACCGGCCGGCTGCTCCAAGTGCGGGCCCGCCGAGCCCGTGCCCACCTGGAACTCACGCTGGCACACGAGCGCTGTGTGCAGCCCCAGTTCCCGCCCGTGCCTCTCCCTCCACACCTCCCTGCATGCAGAGGGAGCTGGCTCCAGCCCCAGCCAGCCCAGAGAGGGGCTCCCACAGTGCAGCGGCAGGCTGAAGAGCTCCTCAAGCGTGGCCAGAGTAGACGCCCAGGCTGAGGAGGCGCCGAGAGTCAGTGAGGGCTGCTAGCATGTTGTCACCTCTCAAAAATACAGGAAACAATCTGCATGGCTATACGTAGATTATTTGAAAAAAAAAAGATATAATGCACAATACAATGGGGACCTTGTAAAATACATTAAGGATGTTATCCATGCACTTTTAGAGGGTTATTTTAGAAATATATTGTGAAACAAAAATAACAAATTATAAAAGAGAAAATATTGTATGCTACTTTTTTTGTAAGAAAAGAGGGACACTATACTCCTTGTGCAACAAGAAAGTAACATAATTTTGACTTGCAGTAGATTAGTAAGAACATGTTAGAAAAGATAAAAGATAAAAATAAGGTGAGAAATTGGGGAGGAGGTAATACTTCTCTGAATGCATGCTTATTATACAGTTCTGACTTTTGAGACATTGTTAATATTTCACATATTCATGAAATTTAAAAATTGATTGTACATACCATAGAAGAAGAAATAAACTGTACTTACTGCAAATGACAAATATAAACACAGTGAAGCATGGGAGGATATCTAATCCTAGTAACGTTGGACACAGTATACAATATTAGAAATATTGACCTTCAAGTAAAGACAAAAGTTCTATAAGCAGTAATGATCCCTACTTAGTAAGTTTATTTTTCATAGAGGTATAGGATGGCACTTCTGAAACTACTTTCTCTTATTCTGTAATTAAATAAATTAAGTAAATATTTTGTGGATATGAGGAGTTAGTTATTTCAAACTTGGGGAAGAGAATTACAAAAATGAAAAAGGGAAAACATTGAATCAACATTGTCTGGGTGTATTGTAATATAAAGTATCTGAGTAAATGCTTGGTGATAGATAGAAAGATAGATAGATACATACATATATACATACATAGACAATTAAATAAACAGATGGTATATAGACATGCCCATGTACCATATCTATATCCTAATGTTGTCTAGTTGATATGGAAGGGGGACAGGGAAGTGCTGGGAATGGAAGGGCGGGTCCCTGGCAAGGGCTCCACCCCCGGACCTGTGCCCACAGACCTAGACCTAAGTCAGGACAGGCAGCCCTGCCTTTGTGCCCAAATGTTGCATTTCCTAAGACCAACCTGGCCTGCCACAGCCCCATCTGGTGCCTATAAAATACCCTGAGAGGGCTGGGCGTGGTGGCTCACGTGTGTAATCCCAGCACTTTGGATGCCAAGGTGGGCAGATCACAAGGTCAGGAGTTCGAGACCAGCCTGACCAACATGGTGAAACCCCATCTCTACTAAAAATACAAAAATTAGTTGGGCGTGGTGGTGCACATCTGTAATCCCAGCTACTTAGGAGGCTGAGGCACGAGAATCGCTTGAACCCAGGAGGTGCAGTTTGCAGTGAGCCAAGATTGTGCCACTGCATTCCAGCCTAGATGACAGAGCGAGACTCTGTCTCAAACAAACAAACAAACAAAAAAGCCCTGAGACTCTAGCAGGCAGCCACACAATCAGCTGGACGTCGACAGGAGTGAATCAGCAAAAGAAGACACAAGCAGCTGGATGTCGAGAAGACATCGAGGGGAGCACACCTGCGGAAGAGCATGCTGACAGGTGCCATCAGGCCAGCAGGCCATAGACTAGCAGAACGATGCGGAGGTTCGCTGGGGCAATCAGAGGAAAGCCCAGACCACTAAGCACCCCAACTCCAGGGGAAAACCATCTCCCTTCCGGCTCCCCTATCTACTGAGAGCTACTTCCACTCAATAAAGCCTTGTACTCATTCTCCAGCCCACGTGTGATCTGACTCTTCCAATACACCAAGGCAAGAACCCAGGATACAGAAAGCCCTCTGTCCTTGCTAGTACTTGGGGGTGTAATTGAGCTGGTTAACACAAGCCACCTATAGACGGCAAAACTAAAAGAGCACACCATAGCACACACCCACTGCGGCTTCATGAGCTGTAAACATCCACCCCTAGACACTGCCATGGGGTCGGAGCCTCACAGCCTGCCCATCTTTATGCTCCCCTAGACGTTTGAGCAGCAGGGCACTGAAGAAGTGAGCCACTCCCCATGTTGCATGCCGTGTGAGAGGGACAAGGGAACTTTTCTTCTTTCATAGTGAGAAGGCTTAAAGCAATGCCAGTAAATAGCACTGAGCAAACATAGTGCCCATATATTTTTAGTCTAAATATTTTTTTTCTATGTATAGAAACCAAGGCTCTTTGAGTAAAGAGCTGCTTTTGGGTCTGAATCAGGAAAAATTCAGGTTGATCTTATAATATGTTCCTACGCCAGAAGTCAAAAAAGCATTGAAACCATGATGTAAATGTATCAAGAGGACACAGTAGCCAGTTTGAAAGGGCTCTCACTGGCCAAATATGGCGCATTTGAGCATCACAATAAGTAATGATGGTATTGAACTCTCACCCACAGAATGAAGTAAAATTTCATGAGACTGTACAGATAAATAGTAAAAGAAAGATTTTCATTATGTAAGCTGAAAGAATGATGAAATTAGAACTCACTATTTGGCAATCATCAAAGAGTAATAATTAACTCAGGGAAAAATCATCATTGCATGTTAACTCTACTGGATAAAGGTCTGAGGAATAATAGGATATTTACATAATCTTTAACTAAGCTCCCACAAGGTAACTGTTTATTACAAAGCAAAAAATAGTAACCTGACATTCATCTCTTTAACTAAAGTGACCAATGTTAAATCTGCAGTTATGGAACAAATTAACATGAGATCATTTACTTCCTGCTATGATGCACTAGGAATAAATAGAGTATTCATTTTATAGTATCACTACCAAAAATACATTACTTGAATATATTAATAAGGAAACATGAGGTAAACCCAGATTGAGGGAAGCAATACAACTGGTTTCTACTCTTCAAAATGTCAATGTCAGATAAAATAAACTGTGAGGAACTTTCTCAAATTAAAGAAGATAAAGAAGGATAACAACTGAAAGCAATACATTATTTTGAGAAAAATGGTGAGTTCACAATTAGGTATGTAGCTTAAATAATATTTTTATCAATGCTAATTTCTCAATTATGATCATTTTACTGTGTTTATATGAGAAAAATTATTTTTCCTTTTTTTGTTTTTTGTTTTTCTTTTGCTTAGAAAGTAAAAAGTATTTAGGGGTAAAGAAGCAAACTATCTGCAACTCAAATGGTTCAGAAAATAACTAGATGTATGTATGCACATATGTGTCTATATGTTTATCTATCTATTTAAAATCTAGTAAAGAGTAAAGAGGGATTCCTTGTACTATGCTTGTACATTTTCCATAAGTCTATACATTATTTCACAATAAATACTTAGAAGAAATCTAATCTAAATATAAATTAAAATGTAAATTGCTATCAATATTTTTATAACTACTGTGTGTCTATGTAGTCACTGTATCTCAGAGCACCACGCCATTCAAAAATATGGATATACATAAAAGTATACACATTTTTCTGAAGTTTAGAATAATAATGTGCATAATCATTACAGTTACAGTTTACTGAGCACTTATAAGGCAAGTACTAAAATACATAATTTACGTATAAAATTTTGCCAACATTTCCAAATGCCTTTAGATAATTATCATCCACATTTCATTATTGAATAAATTAGTACTCAGAGAAGTTATTAACTCTGCCAGTTCACAAAGCAAATAAATGGCAGAACCAGCATTTGAACACAGTTTTTAATGTTTTCAAAGGCATTGCTTTTTAATATTATACTATTTTCCTCATTAAATATTTAAATTTATAGAGCTACTTAAGCTTGTGCACAGGTTTTTTATTCTTCAAAGTCTCTAATACTTTGAATACAAAATAGCAACACTTATTTGCTTCTATACTTCGATGAAAAGCACTTTAAGAATATAAAACAAGAAAAGAAAAATAAGATTTAATTTTTATAAATACCTCTGAACATGTATTAGGAGGCAAGTTGCAATGGACATATACACTTGTCAAAGACTATGTTTTCCTCTTTCTTTTTTATTTTTTTTAGGTTTTCAATTCTGTCTCTCATTTACTAATTTGGCACATCATTCACCCAACCTTAGTTTATTTTCTGAAAAATAGGGATAATACCAACAACGTATCTTTGCTGTTGAGAACATTCAAATGATGTATGGACCCAGAAATGAGCTGCAAATTATACAGAACTCTACACAGTATCAGAGTTGCTTTTTTTCCTGTTAAGAAGAGTTATTTCTATTTCAGCATTTCAAAGTGACACATAAATGTTGTTGGCATTTTAAAATGTTATCCCCATTTTTACTTTAGAAGTGTTTAGTTTCAGGACTGTGGGGCTCACTAGAAAAAACTAGCAAAGCATTTATTTTATAGCATAAAGAAATAACTTAGACACAAAATGAATTAAATCAGACAATTTGAGATTGCTTATATTTCAATGATTGAATAATGATGAATAGTATTAGCAAATAAAACAAAAATTCTATTTTAATCCATTCTAATTTTCTGTGTTTCCCTTGATGCAGGATGTTTTCTTGATCCCTTCACAGGACTACCATCAGTGGTACCCCACTTACTCAAGTCCACCGTGTTCATCCCCTTGCAGGAGGGAGCACACAAGCGAAGGAGTACGGGAACCAGCTGGCTGCTTTGGCGCCTGCATGAGCAAACTCTGTTTACTTGGTCATGCTGCACCCCACCCCTCGTGGGAGGGAGTGCATAGGCAAGCAAGCTCGGGAACCAGCTGGCCACTTTTGCATTGGCAGGAGCAAACTCCATGCCGGCCCTGCAGCAGCGTCCAGGTGGTGGTACCTGCCACCCCAAGGCCCCAGAGGGTGTGTAACAATGCTCTCTCAGCTCTGCCATCCACAGACAGCAATGTGTTATCAGCTCAGTGGGCCCTTTGCCTGGTCATGTGGGGCTGCTGACCTCCACCAGTGGGGGGCAAAGGGTCAGTGTGACAGCCTTTTTTGGTACCCACACTTGGTGGGTCCTGAGTTCTTGTCCCTGCCCAATAAGAATGAGGTTGTGCAGATGAATTGAAGGATGGTGAATGCAAGGAATTTTATTGAGTGATGAAAGTGGCTCTCAGTGGAGAAGGGAGCTGGAAAGGAGACAGGAAGGGCTGGTTACTCTCCCCTGGCGTCTCTCTGCCTCTTTCCTGCAAAGTCAAGTAACCTCTCACTGATGTCCAGCCATTGCCTCTGAAGTCAAGTCGCCTCTGCCCAACGTCCAGGCACTTCTTTGAAGTCAAGTTGCATCTCCCTGTTATCTTTTCTTTCTACCAGCCACTTATCTTTCTACCAGCAGAGTCTGGGGTCTTTATAAGCACAGGACTGGGGACAGGGTGAGTTGTAGACAGTTTTAGAAAATGCAACATTTGATTAGTAAAAATACATTATTCAGAAAGTACCAATTGGGAGAAAGTGGGCAAACAGCAATAGAAGTTCTCACTTTGGGCTGTGGGTTTGGGGCTTTTCAGTTTGAGGGTGGGGATTCAACAAGGACCTGTTCCTGTCTGCTTAGAGATTCTCTGCCTCCTGCCTCTATCATTTCCCCCACTGAAGAGGCACATCTAATTGCCATTAGAATATGGATGATGACAGATCTTAGCTGCTTTCTGCTGACAATGGGGATTGTTTAGGGGAAAAGGGCAGTCAGATTTTCCTCAGAGGGCTACCTAAGGGTCCCCTGCAAAAGAGAGCCACCACTTGAGGCTCTGGTTGCATGACCGTTTGGAGTTTGATGACCTCTAGGCATAAAAAAATGTTGTTAAGTATACATGGATCAAATATGTGTATTATACAAAGAGGAGTTAAAAGGAAATAATCTAGTGCCAAAGATTATAGAAATAAGTTAAATATACTAATCTTTCTGAAAACAACATTGTACTCTGAGCTGTTTTGCCCTAGTAGGAGAAATTAAACCTTGTATGAGAGCAGTTAAACTTTAGAAAGAGAGATAACTGCTTAGGGGAGTACATATTTCCGTGGGCATTCATGATTATAAAGGTGCCTTATGGTATAGAAAAGAATGAAGATAAGAGTAGCAAGCATAGGCAAGACTATAAAGGGAATATCTATGGAAGGTTAATTATTGAAACTATCTTTTGTGATTTTTAGCTTGAGGTCCTCGATCTCTTCACATTGTTGTTTTGGGTGCTCTTCTGGGTCGACGGAGGTAACTTCATCAGCGTCACAGGCCTTTACTCAAGTATAATGAATCAAGAATCTACCACAATGACCTTTATTGCCACAGGAGTAGAAAGGAGTACAGTGTAAAGGTTCCTCCCAATCTGGGCTTATATAGGGAGAAACGGAACAAAGTACCTTTACTAGGACCAGATCCTCTGGGTTAAATAGAGGTGGCCCTAGTTCAGGGGATTGGGCCTCTGACAGTTGTTTGAGTTCTTGTTGGAAATTGACCAAAGAAGTTATATGTTTAATCAAATCAGAGGTTTCTTGGTCTAGCAAAAAAATCGCTGATGAAAAAGGCTGTCCATACATCATTTCAAAGGGACTCAAACCCAGCTTTAAAGAGGTGTTTCTAACATGTAGTAGGGCTATGGCAAGAAGGGTAGTCCGGGAGATGAGTCCCCAGAGACAGTTTCCTGAGGTGCCTTTTGATGACATCATTTGTCTTTTCTACTTTTCCCAAGGATTGTGATCTCCAAGCACAATGAAGATGATATTGCATGAATAGTGCCCTTGAGACCCCCTTGGTGACAGCCACCTTGAACAAGGGGCCATTATCGCTCTGGAGGTACTTAGGGAGTCAAAAGAGAGGAAGTATCATATTAATTAGTACTTTTATCACATCAAAGCCTTTCTCTGTCTGACATGCAAATGCTTCTATCCAGTTAGTGAAGGTATCTATCCATACTTGGAGGTACAGGATGCCCTTTGCCTTTGGCATCTGGGTGAAATCCATTTACCAGCCTTTCTGCAGGTAGCATCCTATTGTTTGGGTCCTGAGGGAAAGAAGCCATCAATTGAGGGGATTAGTTTTAAGACAAGTCTTGCAAGCATTAATGACCTGTTTAACCATTTGTATCAGGTTTTTACCTGAGAATGACCTCTGGCTAATTGATAGGTTTTATCCTTACCCAGGTGGAAGGTCTAGTGAAGGCTTTTTAAAAGCTTTCCATTGATTGGCAGCTGGTAGATGAAGCTTGTCATCCTCCAATTGTAGCCATGCTGAGGACTGAGAGATGTATCCCCCAAGAGGTGGCCCATTCTATTTCCGCAGGAGAATATTGAGGTTTTATTTCTCTTATGGAGCCCTCCCAAATCAGAAAGTCTTCAAGTGGAACCAAAATCTGGGGCCCTCTTTCTCCTTATTTAGCTGCTTGGTCTGCCAACCTGTTTCCCTCAGCTATTTCATCCATCCTTTTTTGGTGGCCTTTACAATGTATTACTGCCACTTCCCATAGGAGGAAAACTGAGGATAATAGTCTACTAATTCCTTGATGGTATTTAATGGGAGACCTGTTAGCTATGAAGAGTTCCTGTCTTTCCAGATAGGGACATGCATATGAAAAACTAGGAAAATGTACTTAGAATCTTTATAAATGTTAACTGCTTTCCTTTTGCTTAACTCGAGTGCCCTTGTGAGGGCAATTAGCTTGGCTAGTTGAACACTTGTGCCTGAGGAGAGGGACACATTCTCAACAACATCATTTAGGGTAACTATTACATATACTCTGCTTTATGGATCCCTTATTCTACAAAAGAACTTCCATCCATAGATAATCCAGTCTAGCTTCTCTAAAGGGGTTTCCGTGAGGTCCCCTCTGGTCACATAGGTTTCTACTACTATCTGTTTCCAATCATGTTTGAGTTCCCTACCTTCCTTGAGGAGGAAGGTGGCTGGATTTAGGGAGGGACGAATTCTTAATGGTACTGCAGATCCCTCTAATAGCAAAGCTTGATATCTGAGGAGGCGGTTGTCTGCTAACAAGAGATTCTCCCTTAGAAGACAGTAGTCCTGCCACATTATATGGGGTGTAAACAGTTAAGCTATTCCTCATGGTTAACTTAGTAGATTCTGGTACTAGCAACGCTATCACTGTGACTGCCTGGAGGCAGGCTGGTCATCGACTGGCTACCAAATCAAGCTCTCTACTTAGGTAGCCCACAGGCTGCTAGGCTGGACCCTGGGCCTGGGTTAGAACTCCCAGGGTCATTTCCTTCCTTTCTGACACATAAAGATTAAAAGTCTTTCTATGGGAAGATTAAGGGGGCTGGTGCCTTAAGCAAGGACAAAGACCTGTCTAGTCTCCGGTTTCCAAATTAGAGGGTGAGTTTTAGCTGCCTCAGTCTCGTTAACTAGGTGATATAAAAAAAAACAAGCCATTTCACTGTACCCAGGTATCCATAGTCTGCAGAATCCTGTAATTCCCAAGAATCCTCTCAGTTGCTTGAGGGCTTAGGGGAGGGGAAAGGAGGAGATGGGCTTAATTCTTTATTTACCTAATGCCCTGGTCCCCTCTGACAAGACCAGACCTAGATACTTCACTGAAGTCTGACAGAGCCGAGCTTTAGATTTTGAAACCTTATTTCCTCTGTTACCCAGAAAATTAATAAGAGCCTTACTGTCCTCCTGAGAGTTTTCCTCAGTTGGGGCACAGAGGAGAATGTCATCTATGTATTATAAAACTTTAACCTGAAGAGAAAGGAACTCAGAGAGGCCTTTTGACAATGCCTGCTCAAACAAGTCGGGGCTGTCTCAGAATCCCTGACATAACATTGTCCAGGTTAGCTGGGTAGTCTGGTTGGAGGGATCCTCAAATGAAAACAAATACTGGGAGTTGAGGTATAATGGTATGCAAAGGAAGGCATCCTTTAGGTCCAGGACTGTGAACCATTTAGTCCCCTCAGGTATTTGAGCTAGTAGAGCATATGGAGTGGGAACCACTGGGTGAACTGGAACCACAGCCTCATTAATGAAGTGGAGGTCCTGGACCAGTCTCCATTCCTTCTTGGGCTTTTATACTCCCAATATCTGGGTATTACAAGGGCTATAGCAGGGTTTGAGGAGGCCCTTCAACCTTAAATATCGATGATGGCTTCCATTCCTTTCCTAAGTTCTGGTTTCAGGAGATACTGTTTCTGGTTAGGAAAGGAGGTGGGATCCTTATGATGGATCCAGACCACTATGGCAGTTGTGTGTGGCTCGGCCAATTTTCCCTCGAATTGCCCAAATTTCTGGGTTAATATTGGTCTTTACTACGGGGAGACAAAGAGTTTTTCCTGGGGCCATCAGGATGGTGGTCCCCATGTGAGCCAGAATATCCCTGCCCAACAGAGGAGTTAGGCTTTCAGGCAAAATTAGAAAGGCATGGGTGAACAAGTGGTCTCCCCAACTACAACTAAGGGACTGGGAAAAACATCAAGTTAAAGGCCTTCCTGAGACACTCCTCACTGTTGTGCTAAGAGAGGAAGGGGGCCTGGATTGGTGAGGAGAACCAAAAGACCCACTCCAGAATTTCCAGAATTTTGATTTCCAGAATTACCTGGGGTTCTTGTATGGTAATGGTGGTCTGGACCACTGGAGCCAGTGGGGAGGAGCCCTGGAACCCATCAGTCCTGCTGGACCATTTGAGAGATTGGCTCTGGACCCAGTGACCAGGGTCCCCTGGAACAGTCTGCCTTCCAGTGGTTCCCATTGCAGATTAGACAGGGTCGAGGTGGCTTCCTCATGCTGCCTGGGAAATCCTTCCTAAAGTGCCCTGGCTTGCCATATTGTAGCAGTTAACAGGGGCACTTCAGGGATTCTGGGGTTTGTGGGCTTTGTAGTAGTCATTAAAGCCTCTGCCACTTTCCTGTGTCTCCTTTCTCTCCCCTGGGCCTCCTGTCTCTGTTGTAAAAGACCAAGGTGACCACTTTCAGGAGGTTCTCTAAACTACTATCTGGTCCAGGGCCTGTTTCTATAGCTTCCTCCTGATATCAGAGGCTGTCTGCGTAATAAATTTATCCTTTAGGATTAGTTGTTCCTCTGCTGAATCAGGAGATACAGAGGTGTGCTTTACCAGGGTCCCTCTTAGCCTTTCCAGAAAGGCAGTGGGGTTCTCATCAAATCCCTGGTCTATCATAGATAGCTTGGTAAAATTGAGAGGCTTAGTTCTAGCCCCACATAAGCCCTCCATTATGCACACTGAAAGTGTTTCCTCTTCTATTCTTCCATCTCATCACTGGGAGCCTATTTAGAGCCCTCTGATGGTACCACTTCTCTTCCAGTTAAATAAAGTTTGTCCCTTTCCCTGATACTATATGACATACAAAGCTCATCCTCAAATCTCTCTGCTGTTTGCAGAGCAGCCTGCCTCTCAGTTTTAAGCAGGGTTTGATTCAAAAGTAACAACATCTTTCAGGGAGAGTTCAAATGCTAGAGTTAAATTCTAGAAAGCCTCTATATATCTGTCAGGATCATCTGAAAACTTGCCAAGACCCCCTTAATTTTTCTGAAGTCCTGTAGAGTGAAGGGGATCTGGACCTTACCGGGGCCAAATTCAATAGGAATCTGTTGGAGGGGCAAGAGTGAGGCTGGGGCTTGTCTAGGGTGAGGAGTTCTAGAAGGGGGCAAGCAAGAGAGAGAAACTGGATAGGGAGGACATGGTGGACCCAGAGGAGCAGGGCCAGAGGGAGCTGGCTCCCCTGTTAGAGGTGCCTCTGGGGCTTGTTTCTTTAGTTCCCTGGGATTTCCCCTTGCAGCCTCTCCTGAGATGGCAAACAGGAGGGTTGGATCAATCCTACATTGGTGGAAAAGGCCTGGATTACCTGGCAAGGTAAGAAAGGCCTGCGCATATGGGGCCTCAGATCATTTGCCCTCATGTTTACAGAAAAGATCCAACTACTGGATGGTATCAAAATGAATAGCTCCTTCCAGAGGCAGATCATAATTTCCTGCAGATCATAATTTGGCCAAACATTTGTGCAAAAGGCTATGAAGTATATTTCCTCCAGAGTCTGAGGGTCAAACAGTCCCAGTGATTCAGGATACACTCCAGAGGAGTATAAACTGAGGATGGTCAAGATGGTTGGTTGCTTGTTCTGAAAGAAAGAGAAATAGGCATCTCTCATTTCCTTCCGCCTTTCAGCAAAAACCCAGTGTGTGAAGAAGAGAAAAAAGGGTATCCCCCTTTTTGTCTTTCATCTTTTTATCCCCTTTTTAACCCCAAATTGCACATGGGTGCCAGTGCAACATGCATCCATGAGGCAAGGGGGCGGCTAGAGGATAGGAATTATTTGCACTCACCTACGCCTCCATTCCCCCTACTGCTGGAAACTTTTGGGTTCCCTGGGCCTCATCTATGCCATGGAGCATGGCCTTCTTACATGAAACAAGGACTTAATAGGCAGGAATTAGTCCTGCCCATCTATGCTTTGCCTTTTGCCTGCCTTTGGATCCCTTAGATCTAGTTTTCCTTTCTAGGGCTTCAACCTGAAGCTTGGAATCAAGTTGAGGACAAAAAGGTGTCTTGGGGGATACATGGATTCGTTTAGATTAAGTCCCAGGGGGCCTTGCCACATTTTCAGTCATCAGCCAGCAGGGTCGCTCCTCCACTGCTTCCCTACCACAAGCAGAGTTCAAAGGTAGGAAAAAACTTCCCCTTGAATAGAAAAAGAAAAAACAGCTTAAGCACAAGTGGGGGACGCTGGGGGAAGAACCTCTTGCTCTACGCAAATGGATTCTTTTAATCACTGTAACCTTCCTCTGGTTTGGAAGGAGCTAGACCCCTTGGCCAGGGGAGGAAAGACTCTGTGGGCACGTGGCAGGAGGGGTTGGCAAGTGGGAAACACTGGTCAACTAACCGTGTGGGGCCCCCGAGTCTGGTCTGGGGCTCCTGCGGTGGCCATGGATCCTTGCCACCCCTCATGGCCGTTAGCTGCGCCATGTGCATGCTGTGTACACACCCAAGCACCCAAGCTGGGAGAGGGAGCAAAGGAGAGCCGCCATGTGCTGTGCATGCCTGCAGCTGATGGAGTGGATGTTGGAGTAGCATCTCTAAGAAAAGATGGAAATTGCATTGTTCTGAATTGCATATCTGATGGCTTAGCCAAATGCTCATTCTACCGAGTAATATTCCTGCAGGTTGTAGCAATATAACCTTAACATTATAAAAGGAGAGAAAGGAGTCATTTCAAACTGTGAAAGAAGAAAGGAAAAATATCATAGAAGACTCTGGGGGTATTAGCTGACACCCTAATAGGTGGTTGGGGATTAAGCCAAGTCTAGGGTTCTTCCTGCAACACTGGGGAGTGTTGCTCAGCCAGATGCCTTCAATTGCCCCAGGACTTTATTTCAGTCCCACATGACAGCTAGACCTCTGTGAAGAAAAATGGAGCCAACATTCCTTTCACCCAAAAGAGAGAGGGGGCAGGTTCACATCCTGTCCTCCATAGCTGTGTCATTCACCCTTAAGTGACGACTCAGAGTTTCGATGTGTCATTTGCCTTCAGAGGAAAGTCTGAGGACAAGAACTTTTGGGGAAAAAAAAGCAGAGTAAGATCTGCATTTACTCACTCTTCTGATGAATCCCACATGAGCCCCCAAATGATGCAGGATATTTTCTTGACCCCTTCACAGGACTCGCGACAGGGTGTCCTGATTACTCAGCCTGAAGTGTTCAACTCTTCATGGGAGGGAGCGCATGAGCAAACAAGTGTGGGAACCAGCAGGCTGCTTTGGTGCCAGCAGGAGAAAACTTTGTTTACTGGAGCCCGCCATGCCCCACCCCTCACGGGAGTCCTTTGCCTTCCAGCTGTATTCACTTAAGAACATGATTTCCTTTCTGGATATTGTTACCAATACCTTCCACTTATTCCATTAGGCCTAGAGATGGTAATCCTTTGTTACTATTTTGTCTTTGCAGTTCTCCAACACTCAAATTCTATAGTTGACCACCTTTAAAATAAACTTTCCTCAAATAATCCAATTTCAAGTGTGCCATCTGTTTCCTATTGGAACCCTTCCTGATACAGATGGTTTCCTGGAAAAGACATCCAAAATGAAGAAAATGAGGAAAGTACAAGGTTTAATAATTGGTGTAGGAAGAGGAAAGATCATGTATGAATGCATATCAGGGGGCCAGAATAAATGTGACTTATGTGAAAGCAAACTGAAAACTAAGATTTCTATGCAATCAGTGGATAATGAATATGATTATGACAACAACAATGATAAAAGCTGTCTTGAGTTAGCAGAGGCTTTGACTAGCGCAGGGAGTGGAGAAACTAAAATCAAGTTTGGAACCAGGAAAGGAGCAAGTATTGAGTCAGCAACATTGGCAAAGGTAAGATACTAGGCTATGTATAGAAAGGTGGCCTCGCACCATGGGTGGATGTCAGTTTGTGGTACAAGGGAAACATTTCTGGGAAGGAAGTCAATATTTCAAACTGGTTTTTCATAAATATAGTCTGTGCCTGGGCTTTCTGATAAATCATGCTTTCTGCCACATTAGTCATGCACCTATTTATTGCACGTAATGGTGGTGGTGAAAGCTGAATTACTCTAAATGTGATAAAGATGATACTGGGGAGATGATGGGGTGATAGTGGTGACACAATTCAGAGTAATGGTGAAGAAAGTGCTAGTGTTGGGAACAGGAAGGTTAGTGAGGAAGACTTAAGATTGGCGTTCTATCTTAAGATGAGTGAGGTGGAACCAGGTTATAGAATCAAAGAAAGTGCTTGAGTCATTTCTGTTTCTCTATAGTTATATTAAGAGCAATGGCAAATGAAGATGATCATGACAACAACAGTGATAAAGACTCTCCTGAGTTAGCAGAGGCTGTGACTAGGGTAGGGAGTGGTGAAACTAAAATCAAATTTGGAAAGAGGAAAGGAGCAAGTATTGAGTATTATTCATATTAAAAGCAATGGCAAAAACTGCAGTTACTTTTGCACCAACCTAATAAAATGATAGCAGTACAGATTGAGCACTCAGTTGAGAGAGTACAACGATGAGCCCAGTGTCACTGAACTAAGATACTGCTGAAGTGAATAAGCAAATTTGATAAAATTCCCAACACCCCATCATTTTATATGGGTCTGTAATTTCCTGCCTCTTCATTCAATAGTGATGAGACATATCACATACTGCATTAATGCTACTGAATGTGCCCTCTTTCTTTTTGCTGATTCAGTAGCTCAGAAAACTACTTCTCTACCTATAACTTGTTCAGAGAAACTAAGCCCTCTTTAAAAGCATTGATTATAGATAAGAAATTCACCATCATATGCAAGAATAGTAAGAGTTCTAAATAGGCTTAATCTATTTAGGTTAAATAGTTTAGAGGTTGAAACATAATATTCTCCAAAAAAGAAAAATAAAATTAGAATTGATTGTCTACAATATGCCTTGGCTTGTGCTATGTGTATTAATTGTATTATTTTCATCTTTGTAGTATTTTAATTACTTTTTATCAATAGGGTAGCCATCTAAATTGGATGATGCTCATAGTATAATGGTCGTTAAATAACTTGACTGTTAACTCAGTACATAAAAGCCCTTGAAGATAAATATCTAATATTCTTCTGATGTTATTTGAGAAGCAAAATTTAAAAATATATCCTAGTCATAGAGAGAGAAGTCAATAATTGAAGGAATCATTAGACTTCCTGGTCAGTTCAAAAAAGTTCATGTACCTCAAACGGTGGCTGAAATGCTTTCCTACTTTGATAAACATTTATTAAGTATCTACTGTGTTTCAGACAGTATACTAGGTGCGATAAAGATATGTAAACTTCAAAAAATATTAAGTCATTAAAATCTAAATCAATCATATTATTTTCAGCAATAGAATGGAGTAAATAGGCTTTGGAGACTAGCCTGGAAATGCTACTCAATATCTTGGATTTTATTACCTTCAAAACTCAGGCAGCTTTTCAAAAGCAAAGAAATGACTACGAAAATAATGTTTATTAACTGTGGCAAGTAGTTTAACTCTCATATTTTATTTTATGATCATAAGAATTGAAAGGAGGGATAGTTTAGGTCAGTGCTTCCCAAATATTTTCACACTGTGGTACATAAAAAATTATATTTATACAGTATATTTGAGAAAACCAGGAGTTCGAGTGTATGTTTATCTTTTTGCCTTATACAAACACTATCATGCAGGAGATTCCCTGTAATTATTTCCTGTGTTCAGTTACTAGTTTCTTTCTTTCTATGTATCATGTCTGTTTATTTTTTTCTTTATCCCTTCTCTTTTTATGTTAACACAGATGAAGCAAATATTTATTTCAGTGTTTTGTTGATGATTTTTGCAACTATATGAAACTTGGCTTTTTAAATATTAGGTTTATATGGAAAAGTATTATTTGGAGGCCAAGGTGGGCGGATCAACTGATGGCAGGAGTTCAAGACCAGCTTGGCCAACATGGTGAAACCACGTCTCTACTAAAAAATGCAAAAATTAGCTGGGCATGGTGGTGCACACCTGTAATCCCAGCTACTCAGGAGGCTGAGGCAGGAGAATCACTTGAACCCAGGAGGTGGAGGTTGCAGTGAGCTGAGATGATGCCATTGCAGTCCAGCCTGGGCGACAGAGCAAGACCCTGTCTCCAAAATAAATAAATAAATAAAATAAAAAATATTAAATATTCTAACCCTAATTTTTTTTCACATTTTGATAAGAAATTTGAGTTTATTACTATAAACATAATTTTGGCAAATAATATTTATATTTACAAAATTTTATAACACTTTTATAAGTCATTTTTTAAATGACATAAATTCCAGGTCAAACTATTTAAAATTAACATTACTTTAACAAACTAATATGGTTTATTTATTATAAAATTATATTTATGTATTGTAATATTTGTTTTATCAAATGAAAGTATACAAAAGATTTACAAAAAATGCTGTTGCATTCCAACCCCACACCTTCCTACTCTCCTGGTTACCCCTCCCAAAGATGACCTCTTTCAAGTCTTTTAAAATAATGTATGTTTTATTTTCATTAATAAAATTCAGAAATTATCTTTTGAATTGCTGTGAAAGTGCCTGTGAATTTTCTAATTGAAAAATGCCATCCCTTCTGCCTCCCCTCTCCCATTGTCTCAATATCATTATTTCGTATTTATATTATATAGACTGTGTTTACATTATATGAAATGATTATATGAAAGATTATTTATAAACTGAGAATTGAAGTATATTTAATTATATTTCCTTTTCTACTTTTTGTTTTTCCTGAACAAATACTTGTCATTTTTGTTATTTGCTTATTTTGTTTGTACTCTTCCTGTATATTCTAAAATCGCCTCAAAACAATTTTTCAACAACTTCAGTCTCACTACGTAATCTGTCATTTCCTGTTTTCTCTTGGAGACTTTCCCGTTAGTGATGGCCATTCTCCTCACTGGGCCGAGAGTTCACTAGCCTTGTTGCACAGTTTGATTTTCTTTTGACCACACTGACCCTGTCCGGAATGGCCACATTGGGCACTGGGTTTATGTATCTTCTTGCCTTATATAATTGTTCTAATGGAGGTGATTCACTACGATTATTTTCTGTGTTCAGTTACTTGTTTCCTTCTTTGTTATGTATCATGTCTTTTTTGTTGTTATTTATATATGCCACCTTCCTTTTCTCTTTTAACACAGAATAACCAAATATTTATTTTAGTGTTTTGTTGAGGATGTTTGCAACTATGTTCCTTAGAGACATCACTCGGAAATATATTTTTTTTTCTTCTACTGCCTTTTACTGGCTTTGGTATCAGAGTATTACTGGTCTCATAAGATGAGTTTGGAAGTACTCCCTCATCCTCAGGTTTCTGGAAGATTTGCGAAGGATTCTTGTTACTTCTTCTTTAAATGTTCGGTAGGATTCACCAGTGAAACTCTCTGGCCCTGGACTCTTTATTGTTGGGAGGATTTTGATTACTGATTAAATATACATACTTATTTTCCTGCTCAAATTTTCAACTTCTTCATGATTCAGTTTTAATAGATTGTATGTTTCTGGCATGTATTCAATTATCCTAGGTTATTCAATTTGTTGGTATAGAATAGTTCAGTTTGTTCTGATCCATTTTATTTCTATGGCATTAGTTATAATGGCTTCTCTTTCACTTCTTTGCATTCTGCCTCTTTGCATTTATTTTTGATTCACATAATAATTGTAAAAACTCTTTTTCTGTCAGTTGTCTCTTCCTTGACATTATGGGCACACAAAGAAAAATCCTGAATTCTTTATAAGAGTTTGATGAAAGCTACTAATGTCCCATTATGGATCTTGTTTTACAAAATAGTCCAATGAATCTATATGGTAATTGAATTGAATTATATACAATAAATTTTATTCAATTAAAATTAAGTAAATGTTCCCTTTATTCTTAGCAATATTCATAAGGAAATACAAAAATATATGTAATGTCATTCCTTAAAATATTTAAGAGTCAAAGCACTAAAATTAGGTACAATGAACGCTGACCGTGTAAAGAGGATTAATTTTATATTTTCCACATGGGGAAATCTGTTTCATAAGCTTTTCAAAAGCTCCAGTTTTTCTAACATTTCAAAGACAAAAGAATTCCACATTTTATCTATTTTTTTTTTCATTTCTGCTTGCAAGCTGATAAAGTCTTTCCTGAACTCACATCTGTCTCTTCATTCATTGTTATAAACTGCCCGGAATAATCAACAAACTGTAGCATTCTAGTTCTTTTTAAGTTCTTCTCATAGAGATATGGGTTCAGTAGGTATATAATCTACTTTCCCAGTTAATGCAGGAGGTATTATTACTAAATATTTTTCCATTGTGTGCACAAGTCTTCAACTTTCTAGTTTTTGATACAATTTTCCTAGCTGTTTTTCAGTCAATCAACTAAGCCAGTAGCAGGTAGTTTACCTAATGTTACAGCAGCACACCCTTTAGATAAAACTAACAGATGTAATTATTATTAATTAAATTTTCTGTTTTTGCACATAGCTTATTTTTTTGCCGATGTAGCAATTCCAAACAGGTATTTTTCATGTGACCTTTTTCATGGTGATTGGGAACAAAGCCACTTACATTTTGTGGCTCTGCCATTGCTTAAAAAAGGGGTTAGAGGCCAAAACCTGTTTTTATATAACTCGTGAGCTGGGAATGAATTTTATGTTTTTTAATAGTTGAAAAAAATCAAAAGAAGAGTAATACTTTGAGAAAAATAGTACATTTTAGTGTCCATCAATAACATTTTATTAGAATGTT
The DNA here is from genome assembly GCF_000001405.40 of Homo sapiens. NCBI lineage: Eukaryota > Metazoa > Chordata > Mammalia > Primates > Hominidae > Homo > Homo sapiens. Next base: position 82,009,570 of record NC_000011.10, read on the forward strand.
AATTTGTTTACATATTGTCTAAGGTTGCTGCTTTTATTCTAAAATGAGAGTGGAGTAGTTCTGACAGAGACTGGTAACTGTTTGGTCCTCAAATCCTAAAACATTTATTACCTGGTCCTTTACAGAAAATATCTGTCATTCTCTGCCTTTGAGATTCAAAGGAGTGTGTGTGTGTGTGTGTGTGTGTGTGTGCGTGCACACCTGTGCATGTGTGTGATGTGATTCCTGCTTCCCAGCAACGTTACTCTATAGAAAAAATGTACAACATTTTGTTGGGTAACTAGCTACCTTTGCAGTGGTCTGATTCAAAACCCTACTCCACAAACCTTTAAATTGACAATACCCTTTTCCCCTTGTCTCTTACTTCACCATGGTAATCAATTTAATTGGATTAATATCCTGCCTCATAATAAAATATCAAATATAAATGACTCAGGGATGCAGCAGCATACTATGGCCTTAAAATGAATGTAACCAATGGTTTATATAAAAACAGCTCATAGATTCTAGCCTTGAGCTGGTTTTTCATGGGGGTAAATGTCAACTACCATGAGCCAGAGACTTTTATGTGAGTTACCTTATTTACTCAGGACAACAAATAAAATAGATGTAACTATTCTCTTTTATAATTGTGGGATATGGGGTTCAAAGAATTTAACCAAATTCCTCAAGAGTGTATAGGTAGGTGGAAAGTGATAAGATCAAAATTCAATATTAAATTTTGCATATTACCTCAGCCTATGTTTTCACCATTTCCCCAATTGTGATAACTGTTCAAATTCAAGGAGGATGGGCTTAAAATAGAGGATCTTGAGAAAGGAAACGGCCGTCTGCAAATGAAGACCTGAAATCATTTAGAGGTTTACCATTATCACAAGAAAAATGACATGCAAAATGTTTTCATTCTTTGGAAAGTGTGATGGGTTTTATTAGATTTATGTATTCAGTTGAAATCATCTTCGACAAGCTGTTTCTGGAGTATGAAGTCTATATGACAAAACCGTCATTAAAATAACAAACTGGAGTAGTTAATAATAGTTAAACTAGTCTCTATGCAAGTTTTTATCTGCCAGATTTAAAATATTCAACACAGAGAAAAGGTGATTAAATAATGGTTACCTTTAGAAGATAGTAGTTGGCACTGGGAAGGGGCACAAAAAAAAATAAGTCTGGAGCGCTAACAGTATTTTATGTTTTCATGAGGGTAGTGATGACAGAAGTGTATCTACTTTATAGAAATTCATCCGTCACCTAAAATTTGTGCACCTTAGTGTGTGCATTTCATGTCAAAAATATTTGATAAAAGATTTCAACTCTTAGAAGGATATAATATGTCATAGCAGGCCAAACATTCTCTAACAACAAGAAAAATAACACTTTAGTATTTTAGTTTTAAAAACATCAGAATCTTAACAAACAGTCGAGAATTAACAAATTAAAATTTCAGAGCAGAGAACCTTTGTTAGGTGAACTGATAATCTCTAGCAGAACCCTTCCTTGCCTTCCTCTTCTCCCTTCTGCCCCACCCCAACAATTTCCCATAGCCTCTAAGTATTGAGTTTGGCACAAGCAGAGGGCCTTTAAAAGGGAAAAGGAAATCAGCAAGGCCAGGCGCTGTAGCTCATGCCTGTAATCCCAGCACTTTGGGAGGCCGAGGCAGGTGGATCACCTGCAGTTGGGAGTTCGAGACAAGCCTGACCAACATGGAGAAACCCCCATCTCTACTAAAAATACAAAATTAGCTAGGCATGGTGACGCATGCCTGTAATGCTAGCTACTCAGGAGGCTGAGGCAGGAGAATCACTTGACCCTGGGAGGTGGAGGATGCAGTGAGTCAAGATCTGCCATTACACTCCAGCCTGGGCAACAAGAGTGAAACTTCGTCTCAAAAAAAAAAAAAAAAAAAAAAAGAAAGAAAGAAAGAAAGAAAGAAACCAGCAATGCATTCAGTGGCCATATAAGTCTGGAGAAACAAATTAAATACTTGGGAACCTCAAACTCAAAGATGGTTTACAAATGCTGAATTCTAGGGTTGCCCAGAGGCTGGGGAATTATAGAGCTTTCAAAAGGAAAAGGAAAATGAAATCTTCTACAGTGTGTGAGTGTGTGTGTGTGTGTGTGTGTGTGTGTGTGTGTGTGCGCACACCTAGGAAGCAATATTCTTCATGGGAAGAGATCAACTTCAATTATATAGCAGATATTTTCCTCATGATATTTATCAGAATATGAAGTTTCTTAGAGCATGAAGTTGGAGACTTGGAAACCTCTCAAGGTTAGAGATACGTCACCTAAAGTTTTTGTAAGCTGAGAGGGTAGATACTGACCAGTTTTCCAAAAAAAAAAAAAAAGAAAAAAGAAAAGAAAAGAAAAGAAAAAAAGGAAAAAAAATCAAGTTAGCCAGTAAATGCTCAATTCCTGATTTAATTGAGGCAATCAATCCCCTACCCAATCTGCCTAACTGATGAAGGGGGAAACCTTCCTGGGAGTAGATAGCTGGTCTTTTACTTCTTGAAAAACCTTGACCTCTTCACGCAAATTGATACATTTCTTTCTAAGTGACTGTCTTTTCATAACAAGGTTTTAGTTTGTCTTCTATGGCACTTGAGCCATAGGAGATATTTTACTCTTAATCCCAGGTCAAGGCACTTTACTTCCAAAGTGTCATATATTCTGAAGAATAAGATCTGCATTAGCAAGAAACATGCTTTATGGAAATCAGTTGCTCCTCTTTGGGCAAGCTGAGTTGACTGATAGAATTTGATGAATGTATGTTGGATTGAATTGAGCAATCTTTTCAAGAATTTAGGGCAGTTTTTAAAACCTTTTTACTAAGTATAAAAATGCTTACAAAGACTAAACGATTGTTTCTAATCAAATAGCAAATTATTAACTGAGCTGAGAGACTACAAGACACACTCCAGTGGTTTCTGGATACCGTTGGTATGCATCAAAATTACTTGGGAAGGTTACAAAGCAGATACCAGGTCCCATAAGAATTAAGAAAAACTGCTTCATTGAAAGAGTTCAGACTTTGGATTCAGATGGGTCTGAATTCCAGCTTTGCCTCTGATTAACTTTAGAACAGTTAATTAAAATCTCTAAACCGAATTTCTTCAGTTGTCATGTCAAAAGAACTAAACAATCCTTGGCTTATTCCTGGAGCTGGTGTAAAGGTTAAGTGACACACATAAATACTGTTAATCCCAAAGTATCTGAGACAGGTCTCAATCAATTTAGAAAGTTTATTTTTCCAAGGTTAAGGATGCACCTGTGACACACCTTCAGGAGTTCCTGATAATGACATGTGCCTAAGCTTGCTTTTATACATTTTGGAGAGACATAATACATCAATCAATACATGCAAGACTTATATTGGTTCCATCTAAAAGGGTGGGACAACTCATAGCAGGGGCTTCCAGGTCATAGGTAGATCTAAAATTTTTCTGATTGGCAATTGGTTGAAAGAGTTATTTTCAATATAAAAGAATGTCTGGGTTACAATAAGGGGTTGTGGAGACCAATGTTTGATCATGCAGTTGAAGTCTCCAGGTAGCAGGCTTCGGAGAGAATAGATTGTAAATATTTCTTATCAGACTTAAGGTCTGTGGTAATGTTAATGTTAGTTGGCTTTTCCTGAATTCCAAAATGGAGGAGGATATAATGAGGCACGCCTGACACCCCCTTCTCTTCACAGCCTGAAATAATTTATCAAGTTAACTTTGGAATGCCCTGGGTTGAGAGAAGGTGTCCATTCAGAGGGTTGAGGGGCCTTATAATTTTATTTTTGTTATAATATATAAGATAGCATGCAGCACATAATACATGCTCCATAAATATTTATTTACTTTCCCTTCCTTGGGCTAGAACCCATTCCCACCTACCTTTTAGCCCTGTGATCATTTTGGTAAATTTAAGTAGAAATCTTTTGAATTGGTCAAGTCTGTTGAATAGCCACACAGTAGGCAGATGATAGAAACTCACAAAATGGATCTTAGGTACTAGAAAGAACCTTTCCGGATTCTGACTCACCCAGAAGGTATAAAGGTCCAGGACACGTGGGTAATAGTGGCCAGCAAACACACAGAACATCGGGGCCAAGACAAGACCAGTAGTTTGGCTTACAAGTTCCAAAAGTTTAAATAACTGCCTTGAGGAAACAGGGTAATTGGAAGTAAATTTGACAGAGAGCTTGTGAAGCAAGCTTTTCTTAGGCAGGTGTTTTAAAGAATCCCCTGTGAGAAGCAAATGCCTGCAAACTTAGTGAATTTCAGAATTCAACCACCACCTCTGACAGGTTCTGTGACAAGCAAAATCTATTCAGGCCAAGAAAAAGGATGGTCTTTTTCCTCCTTTTAATTGCACATTCTCATTTCTCTTACTCTTTAATAATAGATTGTTATAAAATTTAGCCAAATATCCTAGCACTCTAGGAAAATCATGCAAAATAAAAAAAATCAGCAATTAAAATATAAAAATACTATTGATTAATCTTGTGCAGATCAATACAATTTACAAAGCACTTTACATATGCAGTATCCTCTAGAAAGCATATGACAGCTACATTATGTAGATATTATCATCATAATTAACATACAAGTGAGGATACTGAAACTTAGAAAGGGTAAGCAAATTGCCAAACTGGCAAGTAACAATGCGAGGATTCAATTCTGTATTTGTACTCTTTTTATTTGTCCATTTAATTGTCTATTTATTTAATTATTGCAGAAATATTTATTGATATCTTACTGTGTGCTAAGGTGCTGAGTGCTTGGTATTTAAAAGCCAAGAAGCATAGTGCTGATTTTTAAAGAAGTCATAGATCAATATGGGGATAGAGTTTTAAAGAAGTAATTCCAATTACGTACGATGAATTTAAAAGAGTAGATAATTGAGAAATTAGACGAGATACATGAAAAAATAATCAACTTTGCTTAGATTATCAGCCAAAAATTAGAGTTTTTATTCAATGGGTAGTTACTATGGTATTAAGTCCTTTAAAGGTATTATTTCATGTAATCCTAAATATATTGTATGTATTAGGGATTTTTATCTCATTTTCTAAATGATTAACCTAAGGTGCAGAGCAGTGATAACAAGTCATGGTTGCACAGCTAGTAAGTAATGAGAACTACGTCTGTTTGCTTCCAAAGCTCCAGCCCACAACCATTATATATATTGTATCTGAGACAGTCTTCCAGGAGGAGATGCTTTGGCTTGGTACTGAAGACTGCAGGTGTTTATTCACTAGACATGTTGGGAATGATACTTCAGGAGAAGAGAGCAGCATGCACAAACTCTAGAGGTTGGAGACAAGCCCCTGGGTCTGTGGAGCCCCGTGGAGTTCAGTATTGTTGATTTATTACCACCCTTGAAGGGTGTTGAGCTGTGAGGCTGAAGAGATAGCCCTTGACCATATCACAGGCTGTCCTAAAAAGCCTACAAGATGAGTGGGTGTGGTTCAGAATCACTAAAAGATCTAGGCCTCCAAAGTACATAGTAGGATTACTACTTTGGAGTAATTAAACTGTAACATTGTGATTCAGTCTAGCTTCTGTAGCTAACCAGTAATTCACCCAATTAAGACATATTCTTACATTTCTTAAAACATGTCCTTAAGGAATACGGAAATGAACAGAATAGGAAGTTTGGTGGAAATAATACAACACAGATGCTGTTCAGTTAGGCAAGCCTTCTTGCTTCCTCTAATTTTTTTTCTCTAATGAGAAATGCTAGTCATGAATATAATCTGCACTGGTCACCAAAATTTGTGAACATCCCATATAGCTTCATATCAAACTGTGTAGTACATTGTGAAAGGCAAGAAACATACACTTAGTTATTTATTATACCCACCCCTAATCACCCTTTGAGGACCTAACCCTCCCGGTGTGTTGGCATAGTAGTAGCAGGTTTTTTTGTAGCACAGATGTCAGTCTGATACTGACTGCTTCCTTACAACAATTTAGGGAAGGGAAGGAAGGCCTCAGGCTTGGACTTGCTTACTGAAAACAGGACTGGTGCTGGGGGAGCTGACTGACCTGCAGATCTTGAAGGAAGGTTGAGTCTGACTGAGGGTTATGGTCATAACAAGGTGTGGTCCAGGCAAACAATGGGTGTCCAGGATGAAATGGTAGTTATTGTCCACAGGGGAAAGAGCACAGAGGCCTGGAAGAGGAGGAGAAAGACTAGGTATCTAAGTGTTCAGGCAATCAACTGTTGGAAGGCTGGTCAGAACAGGGCTGGAATTTCATGCCTAAATATTGTCCTCTGCCTCCAGCCTAATGTTTTTACTTTTCTTTTTCTTTTCTTCAGAGATAGGGTTTTGCTCTGTCACCCAGGCTGGAGAGCAGTGGTGTGATCAATGCATGCTGTAAACTCAAATTCCCGGCTGTGATTGATTTCTCTGCCTCAGCCTCCTGAGTAGCTGGGACTACAGGTGCATGCCACAACACTTGGCTAAATTTATTTTTTATAGAGATAAGGTCTCGCTACATTGCCCAGGCACTGGTCTTAAACCCCCAGCCTCAAGTGATCTTCCCACTTTGGTCTGCTAAAGTGCTAAGATTACAGCTGTGAGCCCCAGAGCCTGGCTCCTCCAGTCTAATTTCCGACTGCCAGGAAGCAGTCTCATATTCCATTTCCAGTGAGAAGACAGTTACTGCTCTGACCAAAACACGGCTTCTTTTGTTTGTTTCACATGCCTAAAAAAAATGGCCATACGTAAATTCCACATGGTTCATTAATTATTCTCCAATTCATGTTTCTCACATGTTTTGCTACATTAAGTTTCCTAAGGAAGTTCCAGTCATCATTTTTCTGCTCCAGATCTTCCCGAGTATTCACTGCCTTCTACAATATGACTGCAGTTTTAGTCTAATTTCTATTGTTTTCCCACAGACAGGTATCATATATAGTATTTTATCATCAAAGTAGATCATTTTCACCACCACCTCATGTTTATCTCAGGCTTTGCTCTTGTTGTGACTTTGCTTATATTTTCCCTAGATCTCTAGAAGTGCTAATTCTACTCATTAATTCTTCAAGGAGCTCTTTTCATGAAGCATCTCCTTATCTGTATCTAACTGATTATCTCTTCTTTTGAAATTTATTTTATTTACACTTACTACTTCTACAGAACCAAAGTTTCTCATAAATAATCAAGAAAAGTATACTCCATGAAGAAAAATACATAAAGGCTTATTTTTAAGATAAAAGGTATTTTGGTTTTAATATTATCTACAGACCCGATACTCCATAAGATGCATTGGTAGAGAAAATAGTACTTTTTCAATAACTTCTCAAAAGTATATACTGTGGTTTTATTTTGCAAACTTACTCCAAAACTTGTGTGGTCCTGCTTTGCTGAAAGGGTTAATGAAGCTAAGTCCAGGCTCAATGAAGAGGAAACCCATCATTTATTAGTTATGTCTGCCGTGGACAGTATGACCTGGGGAAACAAACTGGAAGCAAGAAGGCCAAGTACTTATTGTCACTGAATAAAATAGTAAAATAATAGGTTATGTGCTGGGGTCATGAAGTAAGGGAACCAAGAAGGGAGCATAAGTTGGTGGAAGGAATGCACTCTGGGTCCCTTGACAGCCTCTATTTCTGGCTCACTCTCTGATCATGGGGAAATGACATAACCTTGCTTTGAAGCTGTGGAGTGAGTAGTTCTATCCAGTGATCTCTAAGGTATCTTCTATCTCTAACCATGTTTTAAGGTTCTTTTTCTAATTAGTATGTTCAGTGACAAGATATATTGGTGATCATTAATTATTTGTTTCTAAATATCACACCATTCATTGACCTGTCATTGTCTAAACACATCAAAAGCATCCCAAATCATAATCATCTCATCTGCAGTTAATATCACCTCATATGAAAGATGAAATGTTAACATTGTGCTTTAAGTAGTATGAATGATTAGGTTAAAAAGGCTGTTAGACTCAAGATCTGAAATACACGTTCACATACATACATTTGCGAAATTTAGATGCTTATGACAGCTGACATGATAGAAACTATAACTTCAAATTTTTCAAATACATATGAGAACTGGAAAAATTATGAATTAGAAGCACCAGCATTAAACAAATATTTAGTGTTTTTAATTTGGAAAATGTTACAATAGTTACTATAAGAGGTGTAAAGGAGAGTTCTGAATTACTAGTTAGCTAACAGCCTAATCATACAGACATGACATTTTCATCAAATTCAATTCATGAAAACAATGCACAAATACTATATACCAAGCATTGTATAAGCTATTCAGGACATGGTCATGAACAGATAAATATTGATCCTGTACTCACAGAGACTACAAATAAAGGGCTCTTAAAAATCGATTATTTAAAACCCTTAAATGAAGAAACAGAGATACAGAGGAATTAACTACTTTCTAAGATCAAAATTGTAGTTAAGTGAAAGAGTCAAGTTAATAACATATGTCTTGGAGTTCTGGTCCAATACTGCTTCTATGGCTCACATGGTAATATGATTATTTAAATTAAAGTATACTTTATGTACAGTGAAATGCACAGGTCCTAATTTTAAAAGCTACTGTTTTGGAAAAGTATATGTGTGTGTATCCAACAACCTAAAGACGTTATAGAACACTTATATTACCTTAGAAAGTTTTTTCATGCCTCTTTCAACTAATCTTCACCCTCTCCACAGGCAACTATTTTTCTAATTTGTATCACCATAAATTACTTTTGCTTCTTGAGTATTTTATAAATCATACATATGTCTATTATCCATTTGAGGGATGTTGGATGGCTCTAATATTTTTGTGTTGTTTTTGCTAATACAATTAGAGCTGCTATAAACATTTTGTATGAGTTGTTTTATGGCCATACATTTTCATTCCTCCTTAGTAAAGAACTAGGAGTATAATTGGGTGATTGGAGTAGGCTTATTTTTAATTTTCAAAAAAAACCCACCAGTTTTCCAAAGTAGCTACTCTATTTGATAGTCCTACCAGCAGTAGCAAGAGTTTCAGCTATTCTTGCCAATTTTTGTTTACAGTCTTTTTAATTTTAGCTATTTTCCTAAGTGTGAAATGGAATCTCATTGTGGTTTTAATTTGCATTTTTCCTGATAATTAATCATGTTGAGCATCATTTCATGAGCTTATTCTTCCTTCATATACCTTCTTTTGCGAAGTTTCTATATTCAAAATTTTTCTCATTTAAGCATTGAATTCATTTTGTCTTTTTAACTTGTAGGATTTGTTTAAATATTCTAAATATAATTATATATATTATATATAATGATTGTGTATATAAATGTGTATACATATATAGATATTCCCAGTCAGCAAGCTTCACACACACACACGCACACACACACACACACACAGCCTTCTTATTTTTCTAAATCTACTGTTTATCATTAAATAATTATTTTTATTATTTTTTATTTCTGACAAAGCCCAAAATCCTATTTCTAATCATTTTATTAGTCATTGTTTCCCTTTCTCAACAACTTTTGCCATCCCAAGATTGTAAAGATATTTTCCTATGTTTTCTTTTAGTTTTTCTAATTTTATTTTTATGCTTTAGGTTACAGCCTCAGCAACAGAAAGTCAAAAAATGCCAGTACTTTACATAAACTCTGCCTCGTACGTGGAAGAAGCATGGCTGGAACTGACAGACTTCAGTGCACACTGCTATGGGAAATGGAGTGAATAGAGCATTAACTAAAAGACATATGGCATCACTTAGACAAAGTACCTTATTGGGAGGTCAAGATGGTGATAGTTAAAGAGGACATTTGATTTTAATATGCCTCCTTCTTACAACCTCTCAATGGTAAGCTAAAAATGATAAACATAACCATAATATTACATTATATTAATAAAGTGAAAACTACTATTGTTTATGTATTTGCTTTTGTTTTTATATTTAATGTTTATATATAATTATATACATAATATCATGATGTTGTTATATATAGTGCTTTCATATAATGTCAAATGACTAGATTGATTTTATTTAAAAATCAAAACAACAATCAAAACAGCCTGTTTTATTAAAATTGACCATTACTTGCTTGAACTACTACTATGTCCATTAGGCAGTTTAGAGACCATCATTAATGATAACAACATTAAAACACACACACACACACACACACACATACACTTGGAATAAATCCCTCCAGTGACAGAGTATGTATTCTAGTATACTTTGTGTCTTCAAAATTTTGCCCTAGTATGGGAATGCACTATTAAGTCCCATATTATTTATTGATTGCTAAATGGGTATTAATAAAAATAGGGATCACACATTTGCACAATGCCTTAAGTTTCCAAAGCTCATGTTTATTTGACTCCCATAAAGGTAGAATTACTTTGTAGAAGGTAGTAGACTACATTTGTAGTCTTTGTAGAAGACTTGGTAGAATGACCATTTATTTCAATTATTTTATCAAAAAGGCAAAATCCAAAAGAGTTAGATGACTTACATAAGTACAGAAAACATTCAGTAGTAGAGCCAGAACTTAATTATAGATCTTCATAGCTCAAAGCTTTGTCTCATGGATGTGAAATTCTGAATGTGATTGACTTGTGGAATCACATTCTGACTTCTGACTGTTTTGAAGAGGGATGTACCATTCATATCATTTACAGTCACTAATTTATAGTAAATCCATTTTATCATATATGGAACACCTATTGACCAGTCAATCCTTGAGCCCTTTGTTGCAATGGATTAAAAGGCTATATCTGGGCTTGGCAGAAACGAGCAGTAGAATTATAGTCATGCATCACCTGATAGGGATACCTTCTGAGGAATGCATCTTCATTATGCGACTTTGTCATCATGCAAACACTATAGAGTGCACTTATGCAAACCTGGATGGTATAGCCTAATACACACCTAGGCTATACGGTAAACTCTATTGCTTCCAAGCTACGAATCTGTACAGCATGTTACTGTACTGAATACTGTAGGCGATTACAACACAATGCTAAGTAATTTGTGTATCCAAACATAGAAAAGGTATAGTAAAAATATGGTATTATTATCTTATGGGGCTACAGTCATATATGCATTTCATCATTAACTGAAATGTTACTATGCAATACATGACTATAGTGATATTGTCTGTGGGTGTGAGAAAAATAACTCAGTTCAGGCTCTAACATATACTTGTCATCCCTATGATAAGGCATTGTCTTTTTAAGAAGACACACATTAAAAAGGATGTTGTTTAACCTATATAGTATGGTATCACCCATTCCCATATAGAGTGTGGCATTTGATGGATGATTAAAATATCACAGCATAATAGTTGCTGGCTTTTTAGGAAGGCATAGTGTGCACACTATAAACAATCCAGGAGAAGAAATGTTTCATGCCATTAAACTTACTCATTCAAAAGATACTGATTAAGCATAGAGTATGTAATCAAGCTGTTTTTTTTTCTAATTTCAATGATCACAAGTAACACCTCACTGAACATTTTTGTATATAGACTTTTTGTTAGCATTTTAGAATTTTTCTTTAGGATAGATTGTTATATAATAGCAACTTGATATATTCTACCAATATGATTTTCAAGAAGCTTTCATGTTAAAACATAGACATCATTAAAAATGATGATGTAATTGAAAGAATAACCGAAAGATATACAGTTTCTCTGTGGCAAAGGATGTAGAAAATAACTGTAAAAGGGCTGTACAAAGTGGGAAGCATTGCAACATGCTCTTGAATGAAGGTCTGTGTTTTCCATATGTGCCAAAGCTACCTGTTGGGGCATCCAGGTAACATTGATGCCATCTATCTGGAGTAAAGATTCAGCAATGTACGAGAAGCTCATATTCACTTTCTCAGCTTCCTTGCTGTTCTCGGCTGTTTTTGGAGAGTCGATGTGATTGCTATGCCAGCTTAGTCACTAGGTTTAAATAACTGGGGGAAAAAATGTTCAGTAGATTCTTGTGTTATCTATGAGAATGGTTGCTCACTTAGGGTCCATTTCTAAACTACAGTACACTTGCACTATTTTAAAGCTATATAATACACAAAGTTAAGTGATACACAATTAGTTGTTTTATGAGTTTCAGGTGATTAAAATACACAATAAATGCTACAGATGCAGGAGTGCAAGACAGAGGAAGACATAATCCTAGAACAGTACAACTGGACAATTGATGGTAGTAAAAGACAATAGGGACCACTAAGAACAAACTTTATAAGTCAGCAAACTCTAAGATCTGCAATAACTGTCTCTAAAACCTCAAAAGCCAACAGAGGGTAGTGGCAGGTGTATTAATAGCAAAGTGGTGATAATACTAAGACCTAATGTCAGATAATATGGATAATTTTCATGGGTCATCCTATTACTGTATGAAATTGAATACCTCACTTGGAATCTCTCAGTGACAGTTGCCTTGTCATATGAAAAAGTAACAATTGTCTACCTTTTCCTAATTTATGGACATTTTATAAGGATTAGAAACTTAAGCTATGTTAAAATGCTTTGTTGGCTGGGCATGGTGACTCACGCCTGCAATCCCAGCATTTGGGAGGCGGAGGCAGGTGGATCACCTGAGGTCAGGAGTTTAAGACCAGCCTGTCCAACATGGTGAAACCTCATCTCTACTAAAAATACAAAATTAGCCAGGCATGGTGGCACATGTCTGTAATCCCAGCTACTCGGGAGGCTGAGGCAGGAGAATCACTTGAACTTGGGAGACGGAGTTTGCAGTGAGCTGAGATCATGCCACTGCACTCCAGCCTGGGCAACAAAGGCAAAATTTCATCTCAAAAAAAAAATGCTTTGTCAACTGTTAACACTATATAAATATTTAGCACTCTCGTCTTGGCTCTACAGTCTACATCATTAGAGAGTTTTGAAGTTTGGGTGATTTTTGCTTTAACTGTTGATCATCAGTATACTTTGCTAGGCCTTCAAACTCTTATTACTGTCTTCTCCAGCTTCAACTCTCTTATCCCCTACATAGACAGAACTGTCCACACATATTTCATAACTTGTATATACTCAACCATGCCATATTTTGTTTCCATCCCTGAAATTCCTTACTTTTTCCATACTAGCTAACTTCTTTCTTACATGCTACAATTTAAATATACACTTCTCTTTGAATCTTCTCTGACTCATTTAACTGATTGTAACTACTTCTCCTCTGTGCCTCTATCCAACTTGGTATATACATATTTCTATTATCCAACCCATCATTTAATATTCATTAATGAATACACCATTCTTCTTATATTGTGAACTAATTAAAGAAATGCCTCATGCCTTATTTATTCAAGTAGGTCAATGCAAAATGAATGAATAATTATTTAATTATTGAATAAACAAGCTAAAAATCATGTTAAACTCAGGCCTATGTATTTTCTTGGTCACAGATTAGCAATCATTTACACTTCCTAGTTATTTCCTATGACTATATTTTATAGTTGTAATAAACAGATGCATCTGAAATGAATTTAAAACAAGATAAACAATGGGACCTCACTGCAAATGATGCTTGCCCAAACATGCCTGCTTTCATTCTCACTGGATGGTTAAAGTTTTGTGACATACATTCAGCCAAACATAATAAGCTACAAGATCGTTAAGACTTTAGCCACGTGTATTCCAGAACAAGAAACTTTGCCCTTGATGCTACAATTGATACTGGTAACATATTCAAGAATTTTTGTTTAAGTGCTGAGTTAAAATTATTTCTCATATCTGAGCCATACTGCAGAAGAAATATTGAATCAACTTTTCTTGCCCTCCTATCTGTCTACTATTTTCAGTTGTACTGTTTTACTTTTTTTTCTTCTTGTTGCACATTTCTCATTATTGATTCAAGCTTATATGGGGTTTTCTTGGTTATTGACTCTCAATACCTATGCTAATTTTGACAGTGACCATTCTAGAGCTGTCCAAAAGATTGTGGTCTTATGTCTATTAACTTATCTATATTAGTCCTACTGGCAAGACCAATTCTGTTGTGGGTTTATAATTATGAATATATGCCAGCCTGAAAGATTTATCTAATCTAACTAATTATTCTCATTTTGATTCCACGTTCACTGAACTGCCTTCTGGTTTGGATTTGGCTTCCATCCTATATCTATCTGCATGGGAAAGTGCCCTAATCATGTAAATGTGAATATTCCCATTCCTGCAACCTCTCTATTTTATTTTAATACTAGAATTATGAACATAGTGACTGGGAATCATTCACAGTGAGATGGCTCTGTGCACAATGTGCTGGCAAATGCAGCATTCTGAGTCTAGAAGATAACAGAGACAACATGTTAGATTTTCACCAAGCACATTGATGAGGAGCTGTATATTCATAACAGGATATTTTTTAAAATAATACTAACTTGTGGTTAAACTGGAAAATTCATATGAACTCATGACCTTAATGATCTGTCTTCCTAGGTGTCTTGCTAATTTCTGGCATCGTGGAAATTTCACCCATAAAAGCTTTCATGTAGAACAATCTGGTATGTGCTTGCAGCATCCTGAAATTAGTATTTGAATTTATTTTGCATTCAATGGAATTAAATCTTTTTGGAGATGATCCCATGCTTTGGAATAGAAAAAAAAAGGCAAGATGAACTCAGAATATCTTCTTGTTGCCAGAAATCAAAAATGATTTTATACTTTCCTGAGCAGTATCTTAAAAGACAGAATTTAGTTAAATGTGGTTCCCAACAGATAAGTTGTAATAAAGTATGCATCAATAAATGAATTTTAATTATAATTAATAAAATTGAGTTGAACCTATAAAAAACATGAGTTTATGATTATATGAAAAATGAAAAATTTCAAATAAACTTTACAATATGAAAATTCAATACAAAAGCAGAGCAAATACATTAAACCATAATAAGTAATTAATTTAGTAAGTAGGTGGATACTTAGATCACTTAAATACATACAATATTCTTAAATTATGATATACTTATTTTTCTATTTGTTTCAGCAAAAAAGGGTGATTTCAAGAAACAGTGAGTAAGTCATATAGCATCAACAACATGCAATAAAATTATAGATTACCTGTATAACCACAGAAGAAAGCTGTCTACATAAATTCAGTCACTAATCTCAAGTACAAAACTTCTGAATATCCCTAATAATTATAAAATAATAATAGTCAATTAAATTGTTAACTGAGGTGGACCACTCTCTAGCCAATATTTTATTGATATGGAAGCAAAGATGAGTCAGCCCCAGATCCTGAAACAAGGCATAAACTTGGAAAGTACCATTTATCTAGTAAGTAAACTTTTATTTAAGAAGAATCCAAGACCAATAAACACTGACTCAGGTTTCAGTCTACTTAGAAGATGTAAACAGATCCCTTGACACAACAAAGAATGAATAGGTCGATGAAATAGAATCTGCAATATCAGCTAGTTTGAGATTACATTCTGTTTGATCTGGGGATTGATAAAATTAGTGGACATAAATGAATAAAACTGTAACCTCAGGGATATATAAAATCATATTAGTATAGAGAAAATAATGAAACAAACAACCCACAGTATTGATAATTTGAAGCAGGCACTCTAAAAATTTTTGCATTAACTATTATATTTTTTGTGGTTTAAGGCATTTGGAGTATATAAAATAATTTGATACATTAGACTATGACTTCATTGAAGTGCTTTGAGATTTGACTAATTTTGTGTTCAATATCTAAATATTTAAGGGCTCAATTCACACAATTGATATTTAAGTACATTAATTATACTAACAAAGTTAACACTGCTCACTAGATTCATGATGTAAACAAAGGATGCACAGAAGGAAATATTCTTCTTCCTCTTAGTCTCCTAAGACTCTATACTGAGGGCTCTGTCAGGCCTCTGAGCTGAAGCTAAGCCATGGCATCCCCTGTGACCTGCACGTATACTCCCAGGTGGCCTGAAGTAACTGAAGAATCACAAAAGAAGTGAAAATGGCCTGTTCCTGCCTTAACTGATGACATTCCACCACAAAAGAAGTGAAAATGGCCAGTCCTTGCCTTAACTGATGACATTACCTTGTAAAATTCCTTTTCCTGGCTCATCCTGGCTAAAAAAGCTCCCCCACTGAGCACCTTGTGACCCCCACTCCTGCCCACCAGAGAACAACCCCCCTTTGACTGTAATTTTCCTTTACCTACCTAAATCTTATAAAACGACCCCACCCCATCTCCCTTCACTGATTCTCTTTTCAGACTCAGCCCGCCTGCACCCAGGTGAAATAAACAGCCTTGTTGCTCACACAAAGCCTGTTTGGTGGTCTCTTCACACAGACGCACGTAAAATTTGATGCCATGACTCGGATTGGGGGACCTCCCTTGGGAAATCAATACCCTGTCCTCCTGCTCTTTGCTCCGTGAGAAAGATCCACCTACGACCTCAGGTCCTCAGACTGACCAGCCCAAGGAACATCTCACCAATTTCAAATCTGGTAAGTGGCCTGTTTTTCTCTCTTCTCCAACTTCCCTCACTATCCCTAAACCTCTTTCTCCTTTCAATCTTGGTGCCACACTTCAATCTCTCCCTTCTCTTAATTTCAATTCCTTTCATTTTCTGGTAGAGACAAAGGAGACACATTTTATCCGTGGACCCAAAACTCTGGCGCCAGTCACGGACCCAGAAAGGCA
Organism: Homo sapiens; assembly: GCF_000001405.40. Lineage (NCBI taxonomy): Eukaryota > Metazoa > Chordata > Mammalia > Primates > Hominidae > Homo > Homo sapiens. The sequence continues at coordinate 82,026,203 of NC_000011.10, forward strand.
GCCTTCCCTTGGTGTTTAATCATTGCGGGGACACCTCTCTGATTATTCACCCACGTTCCATTGGTGTCTGATCTCCACAGGGATGCCTGCCTTGATCATTCACCCACATTCCCTTGGTGGCAAGTCAATTGTGGGGACGCCTGCTTTGGCTGCTCACCTACGTTGCAGCCCAGGGCTGCTCCCCACACCCTTCTCCATGTCTCTACCCTTCTCTTTAAACTTGCCTCCTTCAATATGGGCAAACTTCCACCCTCCATTCCTCCTTCTTCTCCCTTAGCCTGTGTTCTTAAGAACTTAAAACCTCTTCAACTCTCCCCTAACCTAAAATCTAAGCATCTTATTTTCTTCTGCAACACCGCTTGGCCCCAATACAAACTTGACAATGGCTCTAAATGGCCAGAAAACGGCACTTTCAATTTCTGCATCCCACAAGATCTAAATAATTCTTGTTGTAAAATAGGCAAACGGTCTGAGGTGCTTGATGTCCAGGCATTCTTTTACACATCAGTCCCTCCTTATTCTCTGTTTCCAATGCAACTCGTCCCAAATCTTCCTTCTTTCCCTCCCGCCTGTCCCCTCAGTCCCAACCCCAAGTGTCGCTCAGTCTTTCCTCTTTCCGACCTTTTCTACAGACCCATCTGACCTCTCCCCTACTCCCCAGGCTGCTCCTTGCCAGGCTAAGCTAGGTCCCAATTCTTCCTCAGCCTCCGCTCCTCTACTCTATAATCCTTTTATCACCTCCCCTCTTCACACCCCTTCCAGCTTACAGTTTCGTTCTGCGACTAGCCCTCCCCCACCTGCCCAGCAATTTCCTCTTAAAAAGTGGCTGGAGCTAAAGGCATAGTCAAGGCTAATGCTCCTTTTTCTTTATCCGACCTCTCCCAAATCAGTTAACGTTTAGGCTCTTTCATCAAATATAAAAACCCAGCTCAGTTCATGGCTCGTTTGGCAGCAACCCTGAGACACTTTACAGCCCTAGACCCTAAAAGGTCAAAAGGTCGTCTTATTCTCAATATACACTTTATTACCCAATCCACTCCCGACATTAAATAAAACTCCAAAAATTAAATTCCAGCCTTCAAACCCCACAACAGGACTCAATTAACCTTGCCTTCAAGGTGTACAATAATAAAGTAGAGGCAGCCAAGTAGCAATGTATTTCTGAGTTGCAATTCCTTGCCTCCACTGTGAAACAAACCCCAGCCATATCTCCAACACACAAGAACTTCCAAACGCCTGAACCGCAGCTGCCAGGCATTCCTCCAGGCCCACCTCCCCCAGGAGCTTGTTACAAGTGCCAAAAATCTGGCCACTGGGCCAGGGAATGCCCGCAGCCTGGGATTCCTCCTAAGCCATGTCCCATCTGTGCGGGACCACACTGAAAATCGGACTGTTCAACTCACCTGGCAGCCACTCCCAGAGCCCCTGGAACGCTGGCCCAATGCTCTCTGACTGACTCCTTCCCAGATCTTCTCGGCTTAGCAGCTGAAGACTGACGCTGCCTGATTGCCTCAGAAGCCCCCTAGACGACCACAGATGCTGATCTTCAGGTAACTCTCACAGTGGTAGGTAAGACCGTACCCTTCTTAATCAATACGGAGGCTAGCCACCCCACATTACCTTCTTTTCAAGGGCCTGTTTCCCTTGCCTCCATAACTGTTGTGGGTATTGACGGCCAGGCTTCTAAACCCCTTAAAACTCCCCAATTCTGGTGCCAACTTAGACAATACTCTATTAAGCATTCCTTTTTAGTTATCCCCATCTGCCCAGTTCCCTTATTAGGCTGAGACACTTTAACTAAATTATCTGCTTCCCTGACTATTCCTGGGCTACAGCCACACCTCATTGCCACCTTTTACCCCAGTTCAAAGCCTCCTTCACATCCTCCCCTTCTATCTCCCCACCTTAGCCCACAAGTGTAGGACACCTCTACTCCCTCCTTGGCAACCAATCATGCACCCCTTACCATCTCATTAAAACCTAATCACCCTTACCCTGATCAACGCCAATATCCCTTCCTGAAGCACGCTTTAAAAAGATTAAAGCCTATTATCACTTGCCTGGTATAGCATGGTCTTTTAAAGCCTATAAACTCTCCTTACAATTCCCCCATTTTACCTGTCTTAAAACCAGACAAGCCTTACAGGTTAGTTCAGGATGTGAGCCTTATCAACCAAATTGTTTTGCCTATCTGCCCCGTGGTGCCAAACCCATATACTCTCCTATCTTCAATACCTCCCTCCACAACCCATTATTCTGTTCTGGATCTCAAACATGCTTTCTTTACTATTCCTTTGCACCCTTCATCCCAGCCTCTCTTCGCTTTCACTTAGACTGACCCTGACACCCATTAGGCTCAGCAAATTACCTGGGCTGTAGTGCTGCAAGGCTTCACAGACAGCTCCCATTACTTCAGTCAAGCCCAAATTTCTTCCTCATCTGTTACCTATCTCAGCCTAATTCTCTTGAAAACACATGTGCTCTCCCTGCTGATCATGTCCAACTAATCTCCCAAACCCCAATCCCTTCTACAAAACAACTCCTTTCCTTCGTAGGCATGGTTAGTGTGGTCAGAATTCTTACACAAGAGCCAGGACTGCGCCCCGTAGCCTTTCTGTCCAAACAAGTTGACCTTACTGTTTTAGCCTAGCCCTCATGTCTGCGTGCAGCGGCTGCCACTGCCTTAATAGTTTTAGAGGCCCTCAAAATCACAAACTATGCTCAACTCACTCTCTGCAGTTCTCATAATTTCCAAAATCTATTTTCTTCCTACCTGACGCATATACTTTCTGCTCCCCAGCTCTTTCAGGTGTACTCACTCTTTGTTGAGTCTCCCACAATTACTATTCCTGGCCCGGACTTCAATCTGGCCTCCCACATTATTCCAGATACCACACCTGACCCTCATGAGTGTATCTCTCTGATCCACCTGACATTCACCCCATTTCCCCACATTTCTTTCTTCCCTGTTGCTCACCTTGATCACATTTAGTTTACTGATGGCAGTTCCACCAGGCCTAATCGCCACTCACCAGCAAAGGCAGGCTATGCTATAGTACAAGCCACCAGCCCACCTCTTAGAACCTCTCATTTCCTTTCCATCGTGGAAATCCATCCTCAAGGAAATCACTTCTCAGTGTTCCATCTGCTATTCTACTACTCCTCAGGGATTATTCAGGCCCCTCCCTTCCCTACACATCAAGCTCAGGGATTTGCCCCCGCCCAGGACTGGCAACTCTTAACTCACTCTTAGAGTGGATAGATGATCTTTGCTGGCAGGGGACCCTTCAATAGTTTCACCCTGATGAAGTTCTCTTCTTTACTTTTATACTCACTCTTATTCTCATTCCCATTCTTATGCCACCCTTTACCTCTCCCCAGCTATCTCCACCACACTATCAACCTTACTCATTCTCTCCTAGCCACTTCTAATCCTTCCTTAGTGAACAACCACTGGCTTTGCATTTCCCTTTCTTCCAGCTCCTACACAGTTGTCCCCGCCTTACATGCAGACTAGGCAACATCTCCTGTCTCCCTACACCTCCCAACTTCCTTTAACAGCCCTCACCTTTACCCTCCTGAAGAACTCATTTACTTTCTAGACAGGTCCAGGAAGACCTCTCCAAACATTTCACATCAGCAAGCTGCTGCCCTCCTCCGCGCTTACCTAAAAAACCTTTCTCCTTATATCAACTCTACTCCCCCCATATTTGGACCTTTCACAACACAAACTACTATTCCTGTGGCTGCTCCTTTATATTTCTCTCAGCAAAGACCCACTGGAATTCCCCTAGGTAACCTTTCACCTTCTCAATGTCCATTTACTCCTCATCTCCAAAGCCCACCTACACACATCACTGAAACAATTGGAGCCTTCCAGCTCCGTATTACAGACAAGCCCTCTATCAATACTGGCAAACTTAAAAACATTAGCAGTAATTATTGCTTAGGAAGACACTTACCCTGTATTTCACTCCATCCTTGGCTACCTTCCCCTTACTCGTCAGACTCTCCTCCCAGGCCCTTTTCTTGTTTACTTATACCCAGCCCTGAAAATAACAGTGAAAGGTTGCTCGCAGACACTCGAACAAAACCGTATCCAGGCCATCACCAACAATTCTACATGACAAATGTTTCTTCTAACAACCCCACAATGTCACCCCTTACCACAAAATCTTCCTTCAGCTTAATCTCTCCCACTCTACGTTCCCATGCCGCCCCAATCCCGCTCGAAGCAACCCTGAGAAACATCACACATTATCTCTCCATACCACCCCCCCAAAAATTTTTTTTCACTGCCCCAACACTTCAATACTATTTTATGTTATTTTTCTTATTAATATAAGAAGGCAGGAATGTCAGGCCTCTGAGCCGAAGCTAAACCATCGCATCGCCTGTGACCTGCAGGTATATGCCCAGATGGCCTGAAGTACCTGAAGAATCACAAAAGAAGTGAAAATGGCCTGTTCCTGCCTTAACTGATGACATTCCACCACAAAAGAAGTGAAAATGGCCAGTCCTTGCCTTAACTGATGACATTACCTTGTAAAATTCCTTTTCCTGGCTCATCCTGGCTCAAAAAGCTCCCCCACTGAGCACCTTGTGACCCCCACCCCTGCCCGCCAGAGAACAACCCCTTTTGACTATAATTTTCCTTTACCTACCCAAATCCTATAAAACCCAAATCCCCCACCTTTATCTCCCTTCGCTGACTCTCTATTCAGACTCAGCCCGCCTGCACCCAGGTGAAATAAACAGCCGTGTTGCTCACACAAAGCCTGTTTGGTGGTCTCTTCACACAGACGCGCATGAAACTAACCCTGATAAATCAATGCCTAAGTGGTCTTCATACCACGTGAAGCTCCTTTTGGACCACTCAACTGTCTAAATCATGAGGTAGTTGGGATGAGGAATTATAATTTAGTACTATAGTTAAATAAATTAAATTTATCTCTTGAACATAAGGATTTTCCTTACATCATTCTTTCAAGTAAAGTTTTATTTGTATTTTTATCTAACTCAATGTGATTATCATTTACTTCCTAACCAAAGAGAGACTAGAAAATTATGAGCTTTTATTCTTTGCTACTCAGTGACCTAGAAAGACAAAGCAAAATTTGAAATGAAAACCCCCTAAATTCCTTATGCTACACACCCTGTGCCTCCCAGAGAATGGTAAATCCAGTCTTTTTTTTTTTTTTTTTTGGTCCCTTAGGACAATTTTCTGTGACTCTGTGTACACTGGAAACAAAATTGGTTAGTTATTGTTAGATAAATTTGTTGGGTAAATCCAGTAAAAATAAACCACGTATATTATCTGGAACACATATCACCTCCACTCTTGTTTCTGTCCTCATCGTATAAGTTTTGCCACTTGAAGTTGTTCATCCTTCATGAAATCTTTCATGCATAACTCAACTCTTCCTCTTGACTTAATCTCTCAAAAGTAGTACAGGAGCTTTTAGAAATACATTCTCTTGAGGGCAAGTACTATATCTCCTGCTTCTCCAGTTCATTCTATACCCCACTCACCCAAGATAGTGTGCTGGTTAGTAAGCCACTGAAGCCCCACTCAAGGCTCACCCTTCTGTATTCTGCCTAACCATAAAAAAGCAGGAACGGTACCAACCACACTTCTTTCCCTGCTGTTTTTCTGCAGATAGGCCTGCCATTTGCCTGCAGATACACTCGGCAGAGACAGATGATAGGGTGAAAAATCTAAGTATTGAGAAGGGAGAAGGAACTTGCACTGGCTGGTTTTGTTTGCTGCTTCTGTTAGTGTCACCAACAACATTTCTTCACCCTGGCTGCAGCAATGTATTCCACTTCCAATTTTCTTCCCATGCTCCAAGGATCAGCTTCATTTCGCTATCTCAGAGATGCAAGTTCTAGCTGTCAGTGACCTCAAATATTTGAAGTATCAGAATCAGCTAGGAAAAGTCTGTTCTTAGAGTTCTGCTGGCCCCTCTTCAAGTTCCTAAAGGCTAGCAGCTGGAAAGGACCCCTTCTTCAGAAATCTGTATCACAGGTTGTTAGGTGCCAGTAACTCTGACATTTTCCCATTTTGTCTCTACCCTTAGAGTTGGTAGATGCTTTCTTCAATAGTTCTCTCTATGTTATCTTTATGAAAAAGACACTTAAGAAAATTTAAAAAAAAGTGGAAGGTGATCCAAAAAAGTAATGAATATAGGCTGAGATTTTACAGCCTGCTCAAAAAAAAGGGGGCTATTCATGGTGTGGTCTCCCCTGAACCTAAATACAAGGTTCAGAAACTTAGTAAACAGGGAGCCAATAGGCAATGACCTGGCATCACCCCCATGGACACAAAACAGCTAATACTATTTTCTTTTTAAAGATAACTGGGGCATGCAGAGCCTTAATTTCCATAGGCAGGATTCCTTTTCTGCCTTTTCAGTTTTCCAGTACTTGTTTATACAGTTGCCTACATTAAATTTTATATCTTAAAATAACTAGTGTGGTTTCTAAAACCTGCCCGTACCCTAATTGATATACTCAGTGTCTGGAATGTTGTAGGGAACCAAAACATGTGTTGCTCCAGTCTTCTCAACTTCAAGGGGCTTCATGATTTGTTGAATCAAAGTTTTACTTCATTCTGGAGACTTTAATCATGCAAAGTCCTGAGGAAAAATGAAAGTTTACCAGGAATTGTTGCCACATAAAATCTATGTGCATTTCAAGGAAGAAAAAAGAAAGTTTTAAAGTTTTGGAATTCGAGCTCACAACTTAAGCGCAAGACTGAAATAATACAAAATATCAAATACATACTCATTGATAAGGGATCTGAATATATGCTTGCTCAATCTGCCATGAGGTAAGCAGCATTCCTGCATGTAGCCACCCAAAAACTTTTCAGGGTTAAGTGATTCAGTTCTGGTAGAAAGGAATCCACAATCCAGGAACCTTTCTTTATTAATGTGAAGATAATATTTGGGCGTGTTCCCATTTGGGCATGTTCCCACCATAACTAATATGGATTTTTATGTAAGTGTGCAGGCAATTTATGTATATTATCTGACTTAATATTGGTGAAACTCTTTCAAGCTTAAGTATTATATGCATCTGATAGATAAGGAAATCATATTTCTGATTGATTCAGCAAAGTGACCCGAAATCCCCAATTTGGAAGTGCCAGAACCAGAAGTTCAACTCAGGTCTGTCTTATTCCCACTTTTTTACTTTGCACCGTTCTGATAACCCATAGGTTTGGGAGTAGGAATCATAGAGGAATGGTCGTCTATCCCTATCTAGAGAAGAGACTAGCTGTTTGGTAAACTCTGCCCTGAGGAATGAAAGAGCACAAAGTAATTTGGATTAAGAAAAGAAGTTATGGAGAGCGAATATTGTAATTGCAAAAGTTTCCCTACTTCTTGTTCTCATTAGGCAAAATAGTATAATAATAAGCAGTGTCTTTGCCTTTAGAACAGCTGGAATTCAAATTCCATCCTTCTACTGAATATTTTTATCTTAGAAAAGTCACCTAATATCTGTAAGCCTTTGTTTTACTAACACCACATAACATTTTTTATTTTTAAGGAATAAATATGATAGATGATCGATAAATGTTAACTTCATTGACTTTATTAACTCTTTTATATTTCTATTTTCCATATTTATTCCTGCAGTGACTAATAAGAAAATTAATATATCTAAAATTAAAAGAACTTTTGAATCTATCTAAAACAAAACTAAAGAGAGAGGTTTTGAGCATATTTTGTAAAATTCCCTGAAGAACTGGGTGAAGAAACACTGGGTAAAGAATGATAAAAAAAAAAAAATCAAGAGCAGATTCAAAATGGCAATAGAGGTTGGCTGAGTATCTAGGCCTATCTAAAAGAAAAGGCGTTCTTAGTCTTTGATCCTAAAGATTTCAGGGTCTTAATATACAAGAATTAATGAACAATGACCTGGCAACCCTTTGACTGGATACAACCTGGCTATTACTTTTTTTTCTTTGTAGATGAGAAAACACACTCAGGCAGGCCTTCTCCCATAGCTAGTGAAGGTTAGAACGCTCATTTGGGTCCAATTTTTCTGCTTCCAAATCAAATGTTCTTTCCAATGTGATGCAGCTTTATAAATCAACTTCTTTCCCTATTATTCCGCTATTGAGTTTTCCTATTTTAATAAGATGAAAGTATCTGTTTTTTATTATACAAATTGAGAAGCAGTAAGAAGACACACACACTACCATTACATCTCTTCCACATCTCTGCTAGAGCTTACAATTTAAAGAGAAAACTGTCAGGGCATTCTTGCTTGCCTAGAGTGAAAGTGATCTCCAAATGCAAACTCCATATAATATGCACTTTGGATGTTCTTTGTCAAGCAATCTTATTTTCAGGAACATAATTGCTTTGTTCAATCAAAGTGTCTCCAAGTGCTGTGGGCTGGAGGCCTCATGATTTAGTTTCTATCAAAGAAATTCTGCCCCAAGTGGAGAAACTTGTCTGATTTAAATGAATATCAACAAAAATGATGATTTTACACTTTTCAGGGAAGAAATAGCCCCAACAGCTCTTGTGTGTTTCCAGGGACGTTAAGGGAGGCTAACAGATTTATGGTCTCATTATTGCCTGAAGCAATAACTCTTCCAATAGGTAATTTTTATGATGTGGGACCACAAAACATATGGGAATAAATGTTCTTGAATGAAGGAACTGGCTGTCAGGGTTTTCAAATACAGCAGTTACTGAAACAATAGATGATTTTCACAAAAAAATGAATTTCTTTCTCCTTAGCTTTTCTCTTATCATCTACCATTAACCCCATCAGAAACACTTGTCTCTTTAAATAGTAGAAAGTGTCATACAATCAATTGGTAAACATGAATACAAGCATAAAATACCACATTCAATTAATATTCTAATAATAACACTAGATAAGAGTTTGATATTTACAATATAATATTAGATACTATTTTAATAGTCTGTTTTGTTGCTATAGAGGAATACTAACATTGGGTAATTTATAAAGAAAAGAGGTTTATTGGCCCTCAGTTCTGTAAGCTATACAAGAATGGAACCCACATGTGTTCCTGGTAAAGACTTCAGGAAGTTTACAATCATAGTGGAAGGCAAAATGGGAGCCAGTGTATCACATGGCGAGAGAGCAAGTACGGGGGGATGTGCCACTTTTTTAAACAACCAGATCTCATGTGAACTAACAGAGCCAGAACTCACTCTTTACCATGAGGGAAGATACCAGGCCATTCCTGAGGGATCCCCTACCGTGACCAAAACACCTCCCACTTGGCCCACTTTCAAGATTGGAGGTCACATTTCAACATGAGATTTGGAGGGAATAAAACACTTTTTGATATGGTTTACCGTATCAAAAATAATATATAATGGTAATAATAATAAACTATCTTCAATTAGTAATAATTGCCATACATTTTACTCCTAATCTGAATATCAAACAGAACTCAATGGACCACTAAGAAATTATAGGAGATGTGTCTTCTCATCAGTAGATGTATTTAAACAGAAATTAAATGTCCATGAGTGGGAGTGATTTTGGAATCAAAATAACTTAAACGTTTTGGAATGGACTTATGTATCAGATAGGGACAATACTAAAAATGATAGAATATTAGCCATTCATGGAAACTAAAGGAATAAAAAGACTTTAGGGACCCATGAAAATTAAATACATAAAAAGAAGAAAACAAACTTTTGTCAGATTATCTGTTCTTGGCTAGGTGTTTTGCCAGTTGTTTCAGTGCTTCCTCCAATTTATAAATTTAAAACCTGATAGTTTGAATAGGAATAGATGAGAATTTGGCATTAAAACAATATCTACCTGATTTTATAGAAGTTTTTATTTCAAGTGCATATTCCTAACCATATATAATAAGCCTCAATAAGCCAAAACAATTTTATGCTTTGCCTATAATAGATTTTAATAAGAGTAAATACAAGTTTTAAATTTAGTTCTAAAAACAACAACAATTATTCATGGATTTATTGCAATTTTCTGACACAATCATCAATATATAAAAGCAGTTTCCCCAGCCCTGCTTCCTTCCAGATCTTCTCAATCACATCACCTATTTCATTACCCTATACCAGTTATCACTATATGAAATTATCTTTGTCTTGATTTCATTGCACATTAAATGCTGTCTCCCCACCTCTAATACATAATCTCTGAGAGATACGTACTTCTCTTTTTGCTCACTATTACATCTCTAACACTTTGAATACTACCGGGCAAAGAGTAGAACCCCAATAAATATTTGCCGAATTGAATTTAGTCTTACCACAACAGCAATAACAATGTAGGCTTCCAATATAAAAGTATAATTGCTTATAAATGAGGCAGCATTGCACAGTAGAAAGAGGGTATTTTTGAAGTCAAATAGTTTACTCAGCACCTCTGAATCCATTGCTCCTTTAGTGTGAGGTGGATGGTGTTATCATTCTGAGTTTATGGAGGACAAACAGACAACTAGAGAACACAGTGAATTTTACAAAATACATAAAAATCAGAGATGAAACTAAAACTCCTATTTTGAGTTTGAGTAATATGAGAGCCATTTTATTTTATTTTTTCTATTATTGACCCACATGTTGCACAGGAAGTGGACTAAAAAATAATACACGACAAACAAAGAGGTTATAAAGGAAATGATGAGAGTAGTCAAATTGTAGTAGAGAGTACATTTTAGAAAGTATTGAAAAATAAGGTTGAATAGTAAAGTAGATATAGTTAACAAAGGGACTACAAATATAGGGATAAAATAATTAAATAGGGTATTATGCAAAGATATATTTCATTCTATTAAGAGTTTTTGACTTGGGAATCTTGGCATTTATTTTACCATGTAATTTTACAGGGCAAATATGATCTGCTGAAAAATGGAAACAGAGGCAATCTAGTATTTTTTTCTTTATTAAACCTGGTATAGTTGCATGTGTGCGTGTGCGTGTGATTCTCTGTCTGTGCATGTATTACGTGTCTCCAAGAAGGGTATAATAAGAAAAATAACGTGTTGCAGGTGCCATGACAAAAGACTGTGCAAACATAGTCATGGCACAAAAGCAGGAGTTATTTATTTTTTACTTTTTGCCAGTATGAAAACAAACAATTAATGATATCATTATATCAACTTTGGAGAACAGAATGATGATTATACTTTAATATTGATATTTATAATGTAGATTCAAGTATAGTCCAGGTCAGAGTTTTTCAGCTGTGTGCCAAGTACAGAATGTTTGTTCTTCAACAATTCAAACAAAAGAGACCCAAACCTGTAGTATCAGTAACTTTCTGGAAGCAAAATTCAAATTACAATGCTGATAGAATCTGTGAGGAAGCTAATTGCTAAAAATTAATTCCAATATACACAGACACATTTGAAATTGCATCACTGTAATCTAATTATTTTAATAGAAGCTAAACCAATTAAACATAATTACTTACAACCTTCAGGTTAAAAATATTGATGCAAAAACTGCAGCTATGTAAAGGCATAGTATAATATTTTAATTATATCCACAAATGCATTTAAATTAGATATTCCATTTTATCCACAAAGCAGTTTCCTTTGTATCTGAGCCCAATGAATATGATCTGGTTTGTTTAAAAAAAAAAACTAAATTATTTATTGACAAAATAAGGTGGTGATTGAAAACCACCCAAATTTATACAGATTTATTCTAACTCAATTTATTCAATTCAATGGGGAAGAAAAGTCAAACTGCTTCTGTGATGTCTTGGAGAAAAACAAAAAGGAAACCTGTTGATTGACAGAATTATTTTTGAGATCTACTAATAGCTATGTTTTGGTGAAAACATGTAAATATTCTTATTTTCATATTTAAGGATACCTTAGTAAATGGAAAGAGCATTGACTATACTGGGCATCTAGTTTCAAAGGATAACAAAGTACAACAAATACACTAGTTCCTTCTGAAAGTATGAATAGTTATCTGATAATCCAAATATTTTAAAATGTACTAAAAAGGTGTAGTTAACACACATTAGGCTTGGGCTTGGGTTAAAGTAAAAGACATGTCCTCAATCTTATTTTTCAAATTTATGGGATTATGCATGGATCCTGCTCTGTATATTATAAAGCACTTTAAACTGTATATTATTGCAATAATTTGTTGCCACCATGTGGCAGTCTCTAGATTGGGTCATGCCACCTCCACTCAACATTCTGAGTCTTGGTTTCATCACCTTCCTGGCCAGGAATTCCAGGAACTTTTCCACAAATCTTTCAGGGACTCAGTACGTGTTTAATTCACCTATTTCAGGGAGATTATTCCAGGGTAGTATAAGGAATTTTAGGACGTACACTTTGCCTTCTAGCTTAATGGAAAGAAGTCATCTCTCTTTCCTTGTCTGGGTATCAAAGTAGCCTCCCTTTCCCTGACCCCAAGTTAGGAATGACTCCAAACATTTGAAAAAATGTCAGGAGCCAGATTCCAAAACAATATATCCAAATTTTCATCTTGTGCAAGGGAATACTATAGTACTGGGAAGATTACTGTGTGATATATGTTGTTTTTTTCCTCCTGCTCCTTTCATTTCTACCAACAAGCATAAGATTATAGGACAGATTCCACATGAAATAATATTAATTGTAGGTTTACTGCAAAATGGGTACAGACCAGAATATCTAATTTGTGAGTACAACAACTAATGTTCAGTAAGAAATGAGGAAGAATTTTACGAAATAAGACTAAAAGAATAAATTTTTAAACACTTATTTTTGCCACAGTCCAAAATAGCAAATTCTTAGGAAGTATGAAATTTTCAGCTCAAATATACTTGAAACTATTATAAAACACCTCAGTATGTGCTGCATCCTCCTTTGCCTAAATTCCTAAGCACCTTTTATTTTCAACAGTTAGCATAATCATGTAACATACTTCTGAAGAGGGTGATAAAATGTATTTTATTATAAACTATTTTCACTATTAAATTTTTCTTTAAAAATCATGTAAATTAAAGCAGGATATATATTTTAAAATACATTATATTGCTTATCTAATAATAAGATTATTTTAAAAGTATATTTATATATTTCAATTGCTTGGCTATATCTGGTATTAATATGCAATATATTTTGGGGGGGTAAAAAAGATGCCTTTTAATAAGAAAGTTTTATTAATTAAAATTTTGTCATAAACTTTCTTGCAATCTTTATTAAAATTGTGCTTTATAGTTATAATCTTTCAACTTATTGTTCTAGGATATATGTTTAAATATTAATATTATATTTATGTGATATAAATATAATTTTTAATTGAGAAATATTTTTTCATTTGGTGCTGATCTACATAGTCAAGGCAAAGCAAATTCTCCTAAATAGATATTCTAACATTTTTCTAATGGAAATGTATTAATACATCAGCTAAAATATATTCACACTATAGTCTTTTTGCCTTTATTTTAAAACACTTTTCATATTATTATATTTACAAGAAAAAGCCATCACACGTGTTTTTTGTTTGCAATTTTTTTAATGACCTGCCAAATTTAAATGCTATAAAATTGTAGAAATGCTTATCTTTATTTCAGTAACAAATATAAACATTCAATTAAAATAGGCTCTCCAGTTAAAAAAATTTTTCTCTCATTCATATATTTCAAAATTCAATTATAAAACTACAATAAGTGTGTTATAATTATTCAATAACTCATTCTTATTTTCAGTTTATCCTTTGCTTTTGTACAGACTAACTTTTTTTTTTTCTTTGCAGACTTTGTCTTCAATAAATGCAATTCACTGAAACTTGAAAAGCTGGAGCTTTTGGGTCTCCATTCATTGAATATTTTGATTAAAAATCTCCAGTTGATTTTGTTCAAAATACAAACAAAATTACAACCTATCCTTTAAAGAATATATTTGTATACATTGAAAAGTGAAGCAAAGAAATATAATGCACACCACCACATTGAAGTATGTTTTTTTCTAGTCAACATCAGTTTTGTTATTAAAATTTTGAAGTCCCTGTTTATTTGAAGAATATTTTTAATAATATCTTGGCACCCTTAAATATCTGTAAGTTCATACTGTTGCAAATATGGCAGCTTGGTTGAGTAAATTAATAAATTATTTGTGCATCACCACCAATTATGAGTACATATCTATTCATTGCATTTCTCATTTTAATAATTTAGTTACCCATGGAATCTAATTCCTCAGTGTTGAAGTCAAATAAAATATTGAGACACATCTCTGAAAATAAAATGTTTTATTTCAGAAGAAAGAATTGTAATTCAGGGCATACATGAAGTCAGGGTGGTCTTTGATACATCCAAAGAAAAAAGCAAAGGTTAAAGCTTTTATTAAAAAGAGAAAGGTTATGTATTGCTCTTTGAGAAAGTTCATTGGCACTATTAAGCTTCTAGAGAGCAGGAAAGTTTTGATTGGTGGGCGATAGTTGGCTAAAATCAATGTTAGAGTTGCAGCAGATCATATCAGTAGCCATTAGATAAAACTGGTTTCAGGTTACATTAGGTAGGTACAGCAGACAGACTTGCTGAAAACTACATTTTTTGGAGCAGTGTTATGTGCCTTGAGAACTTCTAACCCTGACCTCTTGAATGTGTTTTAGTAGGATATGACAAGAGCGACACAATTCATTTGATCAACTTTCTCACCAGGTTTTCCGATATAGTAGTTTACTAATGCTCAAATAAATTTTATATGAAATATCACTGCAAAAACAAATTATTTATTCTCTTATTTAACTTTTTAAATAAATTTATGAAATAACTCAAGATAATCAGATGTTTAATTTTGGATAGGATAAACTTCCAAAATCTTATTCTATAACTAGATGAAAATTTGAACCATTATTGGAAACAAATCAGTTGTTTTTCTATTTGAAGCCTCAGATGCCACCGATATAAAACTGACATTATTTAACTATATGTTCTTCTGCAAGTAGAACTAATGCATTACCAGATATTACCACAATTTACATATACCCACAAGAATACTGGAAACAAAAGTGAGCAAAATTAATTTTGAAAAACAATCATCTGAAGTAATCAAAAGCCATGCTTCACAGAGTGAGGTGTAAATCACTTTGTGATATAGCCTGTATTAAATTGATGCCTTTAGGCTTAATCTTCTAAAATAAAAACAAACTGCAGAAGTAGATGTTAATGCTTCTTGTGTCTTCTGGCTTTCATGTAGTTGTTGACACTACTACAGCCCCCACACTAGATATTCAGGGCCAGAAATATTTTATTCAAGTTCCATTTTATTAACAACTTTCTGGAGAAATTAAAGGCTTCACAAATTCTTACACAAGTTCATTTCTCCTTTTATTGAGCTCATTGCTGCTGAAATGAGCTACATTAAAACATCACAGTATTATTAAATAATAAAATAGTTATAGGCATATGTCATTCAATAAACAACAAAACCATCATAACAAGAACATTTAGACAAATCTCCATTCTCTATAAAGCAGGATGCCTCAGTCTCAATTTCCTGCACATATTTAACACCTATTAATTTGTATTTCTCCACATTCCTCACTGAAGCTACCACTGGCAGTCTGACATCCTTGTGATTTTCACAATCCATTACCCAGTCCACCATGTAGCCATCAAAGGCAGCACTGTCAAATACCACTAACTGAGAACCAAAAAAAGGAATTAGTTGTGTCTGATGGCCGGTTTTCTAGTGTGTGTCCTTTTTATCAGCCATCGCTCTGCATATCGTCCTTCTCTGAGTCTAGATAGCATCAGGAAAAGAGAACCAGGTTAGTTTGGACTATCTTTCAAATTTAATTATGTAAAGCATGAGAATTGTGGATGCTTCCCATGCATCTCATATGCCAGATCGTGGCAGAGCTCTGAACTATCAAGTAAAGACTACTACATTTAATTATTTCAATGTGTCATTAATAACGATATTTCAGTGAAATAAATGAAGAATCTAAGAAACATACTAAGTCGGACATGACATCTGATAACAGGCAGAAGCTGGATCTGTCTTGTGCACCTCAAACTTTTATGACTTTACCTAAAGAATATTATTCCAAGTCTTAAGTCTTTTCCAGTTATTTTATGTGTGTTAGACCTATATCAATCAGAGCTTAACTTTTCCCAAGAGGTCCTCAACGCAATTTGGCACAGAATTAATATTGTAGACTCCCAGGTCAGAACTTTTGAATTTAAATTCCAGCTCTACCACTTTCTAGCTGGATAACCTTGGACATGCTATTCTAAACACTTTCTGCTCCACTAACCATGTCTGAATACTATGAAGAAAAATAGAGTTCCCCTTAAAGTTGTGTTTTGAGGATTGAATACTATATGCAAAGTTAGAATAGGACCTAACAAGTATAAGCACTAAAATATTTGGCTAATATTATTATTACCAAACTATTGAGATGATTCATTCATAGTAGACTCTCACAGTAGATCATAATCGCCTCAAGGACAGAGACATTATCTTTTTAACATTTGTTAATGAGAGCATCTAGCTTTGGGAAAGTGCACAGTGAGCATTTAATAAATATGTCTTGAACAAATATGAATAAGCACATGCTACTTATTTTGTAGCATTTAACTATTGTGCTATAGTTAAGTATTTAAACAGCACTGTTTGTGTTCAATTTATCTTATATAACATATGCTATGTATACACCAGGTGCTCAATTAATGTTTAGTTAAAGTTGAGTTCTAGTTTCCCTACTTCCAACTAAGTTCTATTTGGAAAGCCTTTTTTTTTTTTTTTTTTTTTTTGAGACGGAGTCTCACTCTGTCGCCCAGGCTGGAGTGCGGTGGCGCGATCTCAGCTCACTGCAAGCTCCGCCTCCCGGGTTCAGGCCATTCTCCTGCCTCAGCCTCCCAAGGAGCTGGGACTACAGGCGCCTGCCACCATGCCTGGCTAATTTTTTGTATTTTTAGTAGAGACGGGGTTTCACCATGTTAGCCAGGATGGTCTCAATCTCCTGACCTCCTCATTCACCCACCTCGGCCTCCCAAAGTGCTGGGATTACAAGCGTGAGCCACTGAGCCAGGCCTTGGTTTTGTTTTTGAATCTCAGTTTCTTCACTTTCAAAACACTGGTTCTGTGAGGGATGGTTTGGGATAGAGAAAGAAGGGAAGAAAAAAAATTGCTCTAGTTTATTTTTATAGAGTGGGACAGTGTATTCCTAAGTGTGTTTCACAGAACTGTGACTCTTCTGAATGAAGCCATGGGCTTTCTGGAATGATGAAAAGCTAAAGACAGAGATATTGTTCAAAACATTTGTTCCTAGCATTGCTTTATTCCCCTGGAGGAGAATATGATCTTGCTGATACAGCGATTACTTAAGAACTAGAAATGCCTGAGGTTTGTCCACATTCTCATAAACTGAAGTTTATAAATTACTGGTTAAATTCTTAAAGAATGGTAACAGTGATTCAGGGAATTAAAAATTATGGCCCAGTAAGAAGTGAGCTTTCAGATCTGAGAGGACTCTGCATTGCTTGGACAGTGTCACACGCAGCAGTTCCACAATCACAGGCAATACATTTCCTTTTTCCTTCCTAGCTTCTAAAGACTAAGGGAAGTTATGCCGAGATATGCAAATAGGTTTGTGTTATGTGTGCACATAATGATCCTGATAAAATTTCTTAGTTTTGGTGACATTCAGAAGGTTGAGTAAAGAATATTCATATGTAATTTTTTTTTAAATTTTTCTTTGTCAAGCACATTTTGGAAACCTAGGCTCAGCAAGGTTAAATGTACATGTATGTATTTAACTGCAAGAAAATGCAAAACCTTGATTTTGCTAATATGTGAAGTGAATCTCCAATAAGGAAACAGGATTTGCAGCATTTGCCAAACTTATCTGATCACAGAAATGTCTGTGGACCTAGTGTAATATGAAATTCAGTCTGAGAAAAACTAAGCTATAACTAGATAAAATCAGGGCCTGAACCATAGTGTTGGCTGCATTGAATTATGTTAAGAAAATTTGGAGTTAAATTTACTCCAGTGTCATGGGACTTCACATTGTCCAAAGCTAGATTTAGATAGTTTTGAATAAATTTAGTTGCTTATACAGTATCTTTTTATACAAGCAGATACTCACACAGACACACATAATATACATACATGTATATAAATGTATATATACATACACTATATATATATATATATATTCACATATATAAATGGTTATAGGAAACTTAGAAAGAATAGATTGCCATCTGAATCTGTGTCCTGCCCAAATTCATATGTTGAAACCTAATGTCCAAATACAGTCATACCTCATTTTGTTTTGCTTTATTGCACATTGCAAATATTGCATTTTTATTAGTTGAAGGTTTTTGGCAACCCTGTATCAAGTAAGTTTATTGGTGCCATTCTTCCAACAGCATGTGCTCATTTCACACTTCTGTGTCACATTTTCATCATTCTCACTATATTTTAAACTTTATTATTATTATATCTTTTACAGTGACCTGTGATTAGTGATTTTTGACGTTTCTACTGTAATTGTTTGGGATCACTATGAACCATGCCCACATAAGATAGAGAATTTAATCTATAAATAATGTGTGTGTTCTGACTGCTCCACTGGCCAGGTATTCCCTCATCTTAAGCCTCCGTAGTCCCTAAAACACAACAATATTGAAATTAAGCCAATTAAAAACCCTACAATCTCCTCTAAGGGTTCAAATGAAAGAAAAAGTCCTTCACTTTAGATCAAAAGCTACAAATGATTAAGTTTAGTGAGTAAAGCATGTTGAATGCTGAGATATGCTGAAAGTTAAGACACTTTGACTTTATCAGTTGGCCAAGCCGTGAATGCAAACGAAGGATAAGTCTTGAGGGAAATGAAAATTGCTATTCCAGTGAGCACATAAATGATAAGAAAGTAAAACAGCTTTATTATTGATATGGATAAAGTTTTAGTGGTCTGGATTAAAGAACAAATCTTCCACAACATTTCCTTATGCCAAAGCCAATGGAGACCAAAATTCTGACTCTCTTCAATTCTATGAAGGCTGAGAAAGGTGAGGACATTGCAAAAGAAAAGTTTGAAACTATCAGAGGTTCGCTCATGGGGTTTAAGTGAAGACGCCATCTCCAAAACATAAAATTGCAAGGTGAAGAAATAAGTGCTCATGTAGATGCTGCAGCAAGTTATCCAGAAGATCTAGCTAAGATTGAAACTGACCCTACAAATTTTATAAAATAAATCAAGAATGAAGGGAGGGGAGAAACGAAAATAAACCAAGCTTGTCCACATTCAATTAGGTTATTAGGTCAGCTTGCTCTCTGACTTGCTTTCTCCTAGTTGTTTGGACCCTATGGACCTACAATCACGTAGACTCTCACTGCTCAACTGCTCTATAGATAACAATTTAAATGTTCTAAGATTGAGGGTGGAAAAAGATGGCAGAATTGAAGGCTCCATGAGTCATTATCCCCCAACTCCCAGCAAAGGACACCAGATTAGCAACTATCTACAAAGAAAAAACATTTTTGTAAGACCCCCAAATCAAGTGAGCACTCATAATACCTGGTTTTAACTCCATATTGCTGAAAGAGGGACAGAAAATATAAAAAAAAGAGATAGAGAAAACAGTCCCCCAACCCCTAGCAGTGGTGGCGTGGTGGAAAGGAACTTTCTGAGTGCGTGGGAGGGAGAACATAGTAATTGTGAGCCACTGAACTCAGTGCTGTCCTTTTAGAGTATAAAGAAAAATTGAACCAAACTCAGCTGATGGCTACCCATGGAGGAAGCATTTAAACCAGCCCTAGTCAGAGGGGAATTTCCAAGCCCAACAATCTGAATTTGAGTACCTGCAAACCTCACAACAGAGGCTACAGTGCTCTCTGTGCCTCCAGGTAAATTCAAAAGGCAGTCTAGGCCATAAGGACTGCAATTCTTAGGAGATTACTTGATATGGTCTGGCTCTGTGTTCCCACCCACATCTCATTTGGAGTTATAGTCCAAATTGTAATCCCCATGTGTTGGTGGAGGAACTTCATGGGAGGTGAATGAATCATGGGGGTGGTTCCCCCATGCTGTTCTCATGATAGTGAATGAGTTCTCATGAGATATGATGGTTTTGTGAGGGGTTTTCCCCTCCATTTGTTCTGCATTTCTCTCATTCTTTTCCTTCCTGCCACCATGTGAAGAAGAACATGCTTGCTTCATCTTCCACCATAACTGTAAGTTTACTGAGGCCTCCCCAGTCATGCAGAACTGTGAGTCAATTAAACCTCTTTCCTTTATAAATTACCCAGTCTCAGGTATGTCTTTATTAGTAGTGTGAGAATGGACTAATACAGTAAATTGGTACTGGTAGAGTAGGGTGCTGCTGTAAGGATACCCAAAATGTGGAAGTGACTTTAGAACTTGGTAACAGGCAGAGGTTGGAATAGCTTAGAGGATCCAGAAGACAGGAAAATTTGGGAAAGTTTGGAACTTCCTAGAGACATGTTGAATGGCTTTGACATAAAGGCCGATGGTGATATGTACAATAAAGTTCAGGCTGAAATGGAGATGGGGAACTTGTTGGAAATTGAAGCAAAGGCGACTCTTGCTGTGCTTTAGCAAAGAGACTAGTGGCTTTTTGCCCCTGCCCTAGAGATCTGTGGAACTTTGAACTTGAGATAAATGATTTGGGGTATCTGGTGGAAGAAAATTCTAAGTGACAAAGTGTTCAAGAGAAAGCAGAGCATAAAAGCTTGGAAAATTTGCAGCGTGATGATGCAATAGAAAAGAAAACCTCATTTTCTGGGAAGAAATCCAAGCCTGCTGCAGAAACTTGCATAAGTAAAAAGGAGCTGAATGTTAATTACCAAGGAAATGGAGAAAATGTCCCCAGGACTTGTCAGAAACCTTT
Organism: Homo sapiens; assembly: GCF_000001405.40. NCBI lineage: Eukaryota > Metazoa > Chordata > Mammalia > Primates > Hominidae > Homo > Homo sapiens. Next base: position 82,047,053 of record NC_000011.10, read on the forward strand.
GCAGTAGCCCCTCTCATCATAGTCCCAGAGGCCTAGGAGGAAGAAATGGTTTCATAGGCCAGACCCAGAGTCCCCCTGCTGTGTGCAGCCTAGATACTTGGAGCTCCACATCACAGCCACTCCAGCTGTGGCTAAAAGGGGCCTCAGGATGCTGTTTCACAGGGCACAAGCCCCCAGCCTTGGCAGCTTCCACCTGGTGTTGGTCTTACAGGTGCAAAGAAGACAATAATTTAGGTTTGGGAACCTGCACCTAGATTTCAGGGGATGTATGGAAATGCCTGGATGACTAGCACAAGTCTGCTGTGGTGGGGTACGGGGGGCAGGCAGGGGCAGGGAGCCTTCATTGAGAACCTCTGCTATGGCAGTTCAGAAGGGAAATGTGGGATCAAAGCCCCCACACAGAGTCCCCACTGGGGCACTGCCCAGGGGAGCTGTAAGAGCAGGGTCACTGTTCTCCAGGCCCCAGAATGGTAGATCCACTGACAGCTTTCATCACACTCCTGGAAAACCCACAGACACTCAATGCCAGCCATGAAAGCAGCTAAGAGGGAGCCTATACCCTGCAAAGCCACAGGGGCAGGGCTGCCCAATGCTGTGAGAGCCCACCTCTTGCATCAGGGTGACGTGGATATAAGACATGGAGTCAAAGGAGATCATTTTGGAACTTTAAGTTTTAATGACTATCCTATTGGATTTCAGATTTGCATGGGGCCTGTAGCCCCTTTGTTTTGACCAGTTTATCCCATTTGGAATGAATGTATTTACCAAATTCCTGTACCCCCATTATATCAAGGAAGTAACTAACTTGCTTTTGATTTTTCAGGCTCATAGGCAGAAGGGACTCAAAATAGGATTTTGGGTTAATGCTGGAATGAGTTAAGACTTTGGGAATCAGTTAGGAAGGCATGACTGTGTTTTGAAATGTGAGGAGATGAGATTTGGGAGTCAACAGGGGTGAAATGATATGGTCTGACTTTGCAGCCTCACCCAAATCTCATCTTGAATTGTAATCTGAACTGTAATCCCCACCTGTTGGGGGAGGGACGTTGTGGGAGGTCATTGAAGCATGGTTTTATTTCCTCCATGCTGTTCTCATGATAATGAGTGAGATCTCATGAGATATCATGGTTTTGTGAGGGGCTTTTCCCCTTTGCTCTGCACTTCTCTCATTCTTCTCCTCCATACCACCATGTAAAGAATATGTTTGCTTCCCCTTCTGCCGTAATTGTATGTTTCCTGAGGCCTCCTCAGCCATGCTGAACTGTGGGTCAATTAAACCTCTTTCCTTTATAAATTACCCAGTCTCGGGTATGTCTTTATTAGCAGTGTAAGAACAGACTAATACAGTCCTAGAGCTGAGCCAGGCCCAAAGACAGTAGACTAGGGAGTATGAGGGGGACATGTGACATACTGAGACATAAGCTGGGACAACCAAGGGAGTACTCGCAGCACCAGTTCCTTAAACCCAGGCTGCACAGCTTATGGATCCAAAATAGACCCCTTCCTTCTAACAAAGGAGAGGGAATGGAAGAGTGGGGAGGACTTTGACTTGCATCCTGGATATCAGATCAGCCATAGCAGGATAGGGCATGAGGCAGAGGCATGAGGCTCCCGTTCCAGGGCCTAACTCCCAGATGACATTTCTAGACACATCCTGGGCCAGAAGGGAAACTGCTGCCTTTAAGGAAAGGACCCAGTCCTGACAGCATTCATCACCTGTTAACTGAAGAGCCCTTTGGCCCTGAATAATGAGCAGTAATGCCCAGGTATTACACTGAGGGCCTTGGGTGAGTCTCTAGATGTGCTGGCTTCAGATATCATCTGGGCCACATCAGAGCAGAGCACCAAGTCAGCTCTTGGGGTCCCCAATTCCAGGACTAGACTCTTGTCCAGCATTTCTGGACCTGCTGTTAGCCAGAAGACAGCCCACTGTCCTGAAGGCTGAGGCCCAGGCCAGGCAGCATTCACCACAAGCTGACATAAAAGCCCTTGGGCCACAAGGAAAAATTCGTTGGTACTCTGACAGTACTCCTCATGCACTGGGGTGGCAGTGGCTCCAGGGTGAGGCTCCTCTGCCTTTGGAAAGAGGAAGGAAGAGTGGGAAGGACTATGTATTATGCTTTGAGTGCCAGCTCAGCTACAATACAAGAAAACACCGGGTAGACTTCTAAGGTTTTTTACTCTAGTTTATGACTCCTCGAAAGCACCTCTGGACCCACTGGAGCCTGAGCAATCTTGCTGCTCTGAGGGCAAGAACACAGGCCTCGCTGGCTTTGCCACCCACTGATTGCAGAGCCCCAGGGCTTTAAGTGAACATAAGCAGTAACTAGGGAGTGGTTACAGAAGGCCTTGGGCAAGACCCATCACTGTGCTGGCATCAGGTCTGACCCAACACAGTCATAGCAGTAGAGGCCACAGGGGTACTTGTGTTACTCCACTATTAGTTTTACATGGCTCAGAACAGAGAGAGACACTCTGTTTGTTTGGGAGAAACTAAGAAAAGAGAATAAGAGTCTCTACATGGTGATAGAGATAATTCTCCTGGATTTTGTCCAAGACCATCAAGGCAGTAACTCTATGGGTCTGCAAGAACCACAGCATTACAGGGCTTGGGATGCCCCCTAAAGTAGATACAGTTTAGATCTCAATACCCAAGTCCTTTCAAATATCTGGAATGCCTTCCCAAGAAAGAAGGCTACAAATAAGCACAGACAGTGAAGACTGAAATAAATACGTAGCTCTTCAATTCCCAGATACTGAAGAGCAACACCATCCAGGAAAACATGAATTCACCAGATTAACTAAATAAGGCACCAGGGGCCAATTTTGGAGAAACAGAGATATGTAATCTTCAGACAGAGAATCGAAAATAGCTGTGTTGAGGCACCTCCAAGAAATTTGAGATAACACAGAGAAAGAATTCAGAATTCTATCAGACAAATGTAACAAAGACATTGAAATAATTAAAAAGAGTCAAGTAGAAATACTGGAATTTAAAAATGCAATTATCTTACTGAAAAATCCACCAGCGTCCTTTAATAGCAGAATTGATCAAGCAGAGGAAAGAATTAGTGACCATGAAGAAAGATTATTTGAAAATGCACACTCAGTAGAGACAAAAGAAAAAATAGTAAAAAACAATAAAGCACATCTACAGGATCTAGGAAAGAGCTTCAAAAAGGCAAATCTAAGAGTTATTGGCCTTAAAAAGCAGATAGAAAAAGAGATGGGGTAGAAAGTTTATTCAAAAGGATAACAACAGCAAACCTCCCAAATCTAGAGAAAGATGTCAATATACAAGTACAAGAAGGTTATAGAACACCAAGCAGATTTGACCCAAAGAAGACTACCTCAAGGCATTTAATGATCAAACTCTCAAAGGTCAAGGATAAAAAAAGGATTCTAGAAGCAGCAAGAGAAAGAAACAAATAACATACAATAGAGCTCCAGTACATCTGGCAGCAGACATTTCAGTGGAAAACTTACAGGCCAGAAGTTAGTGGTGTAACATATTTCAAGTGCTGAAGGAAAATAACTTTTACCCTAGAATAGTATATCCAGTGAAAATAATCTTCAAACATGAAGGAAAAATGACCTTCCCAAATAAAAGCTGAGGAATTACATCATTGCCAGACCTGACCTATAAGAAATACTAAAGGGAGTACTTGAATAAGGAAGAAAAGGACATTAATTAGCAGTAAATAATCACATGGACCATTCTCAAAAATAGACCATATGCTAGGCCACAAAACAAGACTGAAAACATTCAAAAAAATAGAAATAATATCAAGCAACTTATCTGATCACAATGGAATAAAACTAGAAATTAATAACGAGAAATTTTGGAAACTATACAGATAATGGAAATTAAACAATGTGCTCCTGAATGACAAGTGGGTCAATGAAGAAATTAAGAAGAAAACTGAAAAATTTCTTGAAACAATGGGCAATAAAAACACAACATACCAGGACATACGGGATACAGCAAAAGTAGTACTAAGAGGGAAGTTTATAGCTGTACATGCCTACATCAGAAAGGGGAAAAACTTCAAATAAACAATATAATGATGCAGCTTAAGGAACTAGAAAAGCAAGAGCAAACCAAACCCTAAATTAGTAGAAAAAAGAAATAATAAAGATCAGAGTAGAAATAAATGAAATTGGTATTTAAAACAATACAAAAATCAATGAAACAAAAAGTTGTTTTCTGAAAGTTAAACAAAATTGACAAACCTTTAGCCAGACTAAGAAAAAAAAAGATAGAATATCCAAATAAAATAAGAAATGTAAAAGGAGTCATTACAACTGATAATGAAAAAAATTCAGATTACTAGTGGCTACTATGAACAACTATATGCCAATAAATTTGAAAATCTAGAAGAAATTGACCGATTCCTAAATACAAACAAACTACCAAGATCGAACTAGGAAGAAATCCAAACCTGAATATACCTATAACAAGTAACAAAATTGAAGTGATAATAAGAAGTCTCTCAGAAATAAAAAGACGAAGACCTGATGGCTTCACTGCTGAATTCTACCAAACATTTAAAAAGGAACTAATACTAATTCTACCCAAACTATTCCAAAAACATAGAGGAGGAGGGAATTACTCTAAACTCATTCTACAAGGCCGGTATTACCATGGTACCAAAAGTAGACAAAAACACATTAAAAAAAAAAAGGCCACTATTTCTGATGAATATTGATGCAAAAATCCTCAAGAAAATACTAGCAAACCAAAATCAACAATATATGAGAAAGATTATTCATCATAACCAAGTGGAATTTATCCCTGGGGATGCAAGGATGGTTCAACATAATGCAAATCAATCAATATGATACATAGTTTCAACAGAATTAATGATAAAAACTGTATGATAATTTCACTAGATGCTGAAAAATCATTTGATAAAGTTCAACATTGCTTTATGATAAAAACCCTAAAAAAACTGAGGATAGAAGAAATACACCATAACATAATAAAATCTATATACAACAGACACACAGCTAATATCATACTGAATGGGGAAAAACTGAAAGCCTTTCTTCTAAGATCTGGAAGACATTATCACTACTGTTATTCAACATAGTACTGGAAGTCCTATCCACAGCAGTCAGACAAGAGAAAGTTGTAAAGAACATCCATGTTAGAAAGGAAAAAGTCGTAAGTTCCTTGTTTGCAGATGATATGATCTTTTGTTTTGAAAAACCTAAAGACTCCACAAGAAAACTATTGGAACTGATTTAAAAAAGAGTTGAGTAAAGTTGAAGGATACAAAATCAATATACAACAATCAGTAGTAATTTTCTATGCAGTGAACCGTGTGAAAAAGAAGTTAAAAAAGTAATTCCATTTATAGTAGCCACACAGAAAATTAAATACCTAGAAATTAACCAAAGAAGTGAAAGATCTCTATAATAAAAACTATAAAACAGTCATGAAATAAATTGAAAAGGACACAAAAAAATGGAAAAATATTCCATGTTCATGGATTGGAAGACTCAATATTGTTAAAATCTTCATACTACACAAAGTAATCTACAGATTAAATGCAATCCCTGTCAAAATACTCATGACATTCTCCACAGAAATAGAAAAAACAATCCCACAATTTATATGAAACCATAAAAGACCCAGAATAACCAAAGCTATCCTAAGCAAAAAGAACAAAACCAGAGGAATCATATCACCTGAATTCATATTATACTACAGAGCTTTATCAACCAAAACAGCATGGTACTGGCATACAAACAGATGTAGACATTTGGACCAGTGAAACAGAATGGAGACCCCAGAAACAAATCTATCCATCTAAAATGAACTCATTTTCAGCAAAGGTGTGAGGAACATGCACTGGTGAAAAGAAAGTCTCTTCAATAAATGGTGCTGGAAAAACTGAATATCCACGTGCAGAAGAATGAAACTAGACCCTTATATCTTGCTGTATACAAACATCAAATTAAAATGAATTAAAGACTTAAGGCTAAGACCTCAAACCATGAATCTGCTATGTGAAAACATTGGTGAAAATCCCCAGGACATTGGTCTGGGAAAAAATTTCTTGAACAATACCCCACAGCACAGGCAACCAAAGCAAACATGGACAAACAGGATCATATTAAGTTAAAATGTTTCTGTATAGCAAAGGATAAACAACAAAGTGCAGAGGCAACCCAAGGAATGGAAGAATATATTTGCAAACTACCCACCTGACAAGGCATTAATAACTACAATATATAAGGAGCTCCAACAACTCTATAAAAAATCTAATAATCTGATAAAAAGTGGGCAAATGATTTGAGTAGGCATTTATCAAAATAACAGACAAATGGAAAACAGGCATATGAAAACGTAATCAACATCATTTATCATCAGAGAAACACAAATAAAACTACAATGAGATATTATCTCACCCCAGTTAAAATGGCTTATATCCAAAAGACAGGCAATAACAAATGCTGGTGAGCAAGTGGAAAAAAGGGAACCCTTGTACACTGTTGGTGGGAATGTAAATTAGTACAATTGCTATGGAGAACTGTTTGGAGGTTCTGCAAAAAAGTAAAAATTAAGCTCTCATATGATCAAGCAACCTCACTGCTGGGTGTATACCCAAAAGAAAGAAAATCAGTATATTAAAGAAATACCTGCACTCCTGTTTGTTGCAGCATTGTTTAAAACTGATAACATTTGGAAGCAACCTAAGTATCCATGAACAGATGAATAGATAAAGAAAATGTGGTACATAGACACAATGGAGCCATGAAAAAGAATGATATCCATTAATTCGCAACAACACGGGTGGAATTGGAGATCATTATGCTAAATGAAATAAGCCAGGGACAGAAAGACAAACATTGCCTGTTCTCACTTATCTGTGGGACCTAAAAAATCAAAACAATTGAACTTATGGACATAGAAATTAGAAGGATCATTACCAGAGGCTGGGAAGGGTAGTGGGGCACTGAAGGGGAGGAGAAGATCATTAATTGGTACAAAAATAGTTAGAAAGAATGAATGAGAGCTACTATTTGATAGCACAATAGGGTGACTACACTCAATAATATCTGAATTTCATATTTTAAAATAACTTAGTGTGTAATTGGATTGTTTGTTACTCAAGGTATAAATACTTGAGAAGATGAAAACTCCATTCTCCATGATGTGTTTATCTCACATTGCATGCCTGTATCAAAACATCTTATAAATATATATACATACTATGTACCCACAAAAAATTTTAAAATAATAATAATAAAATAAAAAGAAGGAAAGGTGTAGGCCTGTAATCTCAAAAAAGAATCTGAAATGTTAATTTTTCATTTGAAGTATTCTTTTAGGTCTTGTATACCAATAAAACCACTGACATCATTTGGTCTTAAGGAACCTATAAGGACTTGACTCATCAAATAATGCTACATCCTGATGATTTTATCACCCTTACCCGGACCAAGAAATGACTCCCATTCTCCAGCTGTTCACTCTCTACAATCTTTTTAAAAACTCCCATCCAGAATTCCTCTGGGAGATGGATTTGAGGACCTCCTCACTCAGTGAATGCGTCATTAAACTCTTCATCTGTTGCAAAACCTGTTATCTCAGTGTATTAATCTGTTACTATAAAGCAGGCATACAAACCTGTTGGCCCTATAACAAGATCACTGATAAGGGTGTGTCTCCACTAAATAATCGATTTTCAATGTACATGAAACAGCTTTCTCTTGGAAGAAGATGACACCTAGGACTTTTATAGATAGAGAAGACAAGTTCATGCCTGACTTTAAACCTTCAAAAGACAGGCTGACTCTCCTGTAGCAGTTAGTGCTGATTGTGACTTTAAGTGGAAGCCAATGCTCATCTACCAATTTGAAAATCCTAGGGCCCTTCAGAATTATGCTAAATTTACTCTGTGTGTGTTCTACAAATGAAACAACAAAGTCTGAATGATAGCACATCTGCTTACAGTATGATTTACTCAGTATTTTAATCCCACTGTTGAGACCTACTGCTCAAAAGAAAAGATTCCTTTCAAAATATTACCCCATTGAGAATCACTCAAGAGCTCTGGTGGAGATGTACAAGTTATTAATGTTGTTTTCATGCCTGCTAACACAAGATCTGTTCTGCAGCCCATGGACCAAGAAGTAATTTTTACTTTCAAGTTTTATTATTTAAGAAATAACTTTTGTAAGGCTATAACTGCCTTAGATAGGGATTCCTCTGATGGACCTAAACAAAATAAACTGAAAATCTTCTGGAAAGAATTTACCAGTCTAGATGTCATTAATAACATTTGTGATTCATGGGAGGAAGTCAAATTATCAACACTAGTAGAAGTTTGGAAGTCAAATTATCAACACTAGTAGAAGTTTGGAAGAAGTTGATTCCAAATCTCATGCATGATTTTGAGGGGTTTCAGGCTTCAAAGGAAGAAGTCACACTGCTGTGGTGGAAATAGGAAGAGAACTAGAATTAAATGTTGAACCTAAAGATGTGACTGAACTGCTACCATCTCATGATAAAATTTTAATGGATGAGGAGTTGCTTCTTATGGATAGACAAATGAAGTGTTTTCTTGAGACTGAGTCTACTCCTGATAGAGGCTGTGAACATCGTTGAAATAACAGCAAAGAATTTAGACTATTACATAAACTTAGTTGTTAAAGTAGTGTCAGGGTTTCAGATAATTGACTCTGATTTTGAAAGAAGTTCTACTGTGGGAAATATGTTATCAAACAGCCTCACATGCTATAGAAACATATTGTGTCAAGAGAAGTGTCAATGGATGTGGCAAACTTCACTGCTGTCTTATTTTAAGAAATTGCCACAGCCACCCCAGCCTTCAGCAACTATCACCCTGATGCATCAGCAGCCATCAACATAGAGGCAAGATCCTCCACCAGCAAAATGATTACAAATCGCTGAAGACTCAGACTATTGTTAGAATATTTTAGCAAAAAAGTATTTTAATTAAGGCATATATATTGTTTTTATACATGCCATTGAACACATAATAGACTAGAGTATAATGTAAATATAACATTTATATGCACTGAGAAACCAAAAATGTTAAGTGACTCACTTTACTGCAATATTCACTTTCTTGAGGTGATCTGGAACCAAAGTCACAAATGCTCAGAGGTATTCCCTCCCTTTCCACCATGCGAAGACACAGCAAAAAGACAAAAATCTATGGACCAACAAGTGGGACCTCACGACACATCAAATCTCATGACACCTTGATTTGGGGCTTCCCAGCCTCCAGAACTGTGAGAAAAAAAAATGTCTATTGTTTATAGGTCACCCAGTCTGCAGTATTTGGTTACAATAGCCTGAAAGGACTAACAGTTGATTCAGAAAAAAGTACTTCATATACTCTCTTTTAAATATAACTTGTTACACACTTCTGTTATACATCTTTATACTTCATTACCATGCCTTAAAAACTTATTGTAACATGTTGGAGGATTTAGATGTTTGATTTGATTGATTATAAACCTGAATTATGTAATTAACAACTTTGAGAAAAGAGCTCCAATATATTTCAGCTTATTTACTTTGGATACATTTTCAAGAATGAAATTGCTGAGTCAGAAGTTTTGAAAGTTGGTTTTTCATACACGTAATGTCATTATTTTACCTGAGGATAAAAAGGTGGGAAGAAGGAAGTACTTGCAAAGGAAATCAACTTGGAACATTCTTAGCTGCAAAGACTTTCATGGTTGAAGAATGGCTTTTTTTATGTGAAATAATAATAATGGATTAATGTAGTAGTGTTACTATACTGTTATTATTAATTATTATATAGTAACACCGAGTTGTGAGCAGGAGCTAGAAATTATTTTAAGTGTTTTACTTTTATCTCTTTAATCTTCACAAACCTCTGAGATAATTATTATTATTACCCTCATTTTATAGTTTAGGATTTGAGGGACAGAGATGTTAAGTAATTTATTCAAAGTAACTCAGTAAGTCAGGAGTAGAGTCCATATATAAATCTATACAGTCCAACTTCAGAGTCCCTGGTCTTAATCACTACTCCTCAGCAATTAAGAGAAAAATACAGTAGTCTTTCTTATACATGGGGAATACATTCTAAGATACCCAGGAGATGCCTGAAACATAGTATATATGGTACTGAACCTTATATATTACCATGTTTTTTCTTATACATACATAGCTATAATAAAGATTAATTTATAAATTAGGCACAGTAAGAAATTAACAATAACTAATAAAAAACAGAACAATTATACTGTAATAAATATACTGTAATAAAGATTATGTGAATGTGGTCTCTCTCTTTCTCAAAATATATTAATATTTTTGGACCAGAGTTGACTGTGAATAACTGAAACCACAGAAATTGAACCTGTTGATAAAGGAGGACTATTGTATATACAAATATACACCTCAAACATTACGTAGATTCCTATAAATATAATTCTGGACTTCACCATTTATCTTGCCTTACAGAGCATTGAAGAGACTCAGAATTGCTGAGGATAGCTCTTACATGCCCTTGTCTGTTTCTTCTTCTGTCTTATTTATTCTGATCATCCAGTCTTCACTCTGAATCATTTATTTTACCATTAAATTATTGACCATGTAGGCATTGATTCTTCCTAGTCTCTACGTTAATATAGTCAAATTTAATGCTAAATTATTTCTATAAATATGAAATTTCAGGATAGACATCTCAGGTAAAATAAAAATTACTAGAAAATAACATTTGTAATGCACATATTAATTGTGAAGCACACACAGAATCATGTGCACATACATGCCTGCCTTCCTGTTCATAACTGTCATGATTCAATCAAAGTGCCAAGTAACATTCACAATAATGCAGGAAATTTCATGATTATTTGAATGTATAATCTCTCAAAAGTTCCAATTCTGTATCTCTTTGATCTAACATCCTAGAAGCTTACTTAACTAACAATTATATTTTCTAGACCTAGAAAATCCATTTTACCAATCAATATTTCATTAGGATCCGGATATATTTCATTCTAGTAGGAAGATGTCACTTTGAAATTTTAATTTGGACCTATTCAAATGTTCTGTCTTATTTTCATCAGGTTTACTTTCTAGTAAACACATGCAAATTTAGGTTTTCCTATACATGTATTTTTTTCCTTTCTTTATTTTATTTTTCTTTCCATTCTAATACATTAGAATTGACTCAGCATTCCATGAAGCACCAAATACGTACTGCTTTTTTATTCCTGGCAATATAATTATTGCTACTTTTGTCTTAAAAGAACTAACCAATATAGCATAGGATCTGGCACACTGTAGGTACTCGTATTTATGGAATAAATTAATAAAAAATACAAGTATACATATTACATTTATGCCCACACAGATTTATAATTCATGAACTGAAGAGCTCTCACTCTCCTGAGATTGTGACATACACACCTTCCTTGACTATGCAAAACTTCCCTTTTGCTTGTTTCGGTATTTTCTCCTAAGTTTTCACAAACAAAGAATATTTTTAAAAAATATTATCACCCATATTGTTACAGAATGTATTTTAATGTACGTATGACATATATTTGATAGTCCTATGTAAATATAAAGATAAAAAGCAATAACAAGGTGAAGCCATCTAAAATGACTTTGCTTTTATCCTATTAAAGTAAATCTCTCATTTGAAAATGATTGTAAGAATAATTTTGATGAAAATAATAACTACCACCAGTCAGATGCACAAAGTTTCTAATGGAAAATATCATTTCAATATAGATCAGAGATATACTTCATTCTTGATAACTGAGAAAAAAAACTGTCATTAAGTATTTTATTTAACTATTACTGCTTCTACCATGCTGTAATTAGGAAAGAGAGAAACGTTCTCTTTAGTTTCCTTTTTCCAGTATAAAGAACTTGTTCCTGTAGTTCTAGGATGGTATTTCAGGAAGTCCACAAAAAATGAAACATTTTCTGCCAATAAAGAATCAAACAGACTAAAGGCATTCACATCTTTTCATCTGCATTTTGTTTGGAATATCACTCTTCAGAAGGCTTCTAAATGAATGTCACAAGTGTTGTTGGCTGAAGATAAAGATGTATGTTAAGTTCATTATATAATTCCTCATAGTGCTTAGGATAGTAACGCAGTGCATGGCAGTTGGTAGTACTTCAGTAATTTTACACTAAGATACTGAATCAATAAATGAAGGAGTTACACATTATGTAGCAGAATTATTTATGATCCTGAAAAAGACATCAACTGTTGTCACCTTTTGTGTCATATTTGAATACTTCCCTAAATTAATCCATCCCCAGTTTCACTTCTGGTCAGTCACTGGAGTAACAACTTTACTACTAATATGATCCTTTCACTTTGATCCACTTACTTACTCAAAGGGCTAGCAGAGCAAAGCTGAGTCTTAGTAAGGTAACTTAAAATAGAATAAACACTCAAGTGCCAGCCTCATGTTACCACCTAAATTAGATAATTTAACCTCAGAGCCCTAGTTTTCCCATCTGTTCAATCAAAAAAATAGTATGATCTATTTCTGATCAAAATTGCTGTGAGATACCTAAGAAAATAAGTTAAATGAAAATGTTATAAAATTTGTAAGGTGTGAGGAAAACGTAAATATTTTGTATCACAGAACGCTGAAACTGAATGCTCAGCATTTTTGCCTGGATCTTTCCTAATTTATCCTACTCTGAAGCTGTTGATTTTGTGGCACTTAGAACTAATAATTCAAATTTCTAATAGCAAAACAATGACAATACTGGAGGACATAAAGCGCTTACCATTTAACAAGCATTGGTTTAAGTACTTACATTTAAATCTTACAAGAATTATGTGAGGTCATACTCTCTACATAATACAGATGAAATAATTGAAGCTTAGAGAGACTCAGCAACTTGTCCAAAGACAAACTATTATTATGTGAAGGAGCCCATATTCATAAAGAGGGATGACTGACCCCAAAGCCTATATGCTTAACTCAGTAGCTACCATGCCAGCTCCCATCACATCTGAATGCACATCTTCCTTTACCCTTGACTCTGCACCTGTCAATATGAAAGTATGAAGTGTGAAGGATCTGTGGCTTCTTCATTTGAGGAATTTAGAACCTAGAGAGAAATGAAAATTAGGCCATAAATTTAATGTAAAACAGAGGTCAGACTTGAAAGCCCTTATCTGTTTAATGGCAGCAATTTAAGTAGCTGAAAGTCCCTTCTCACACAGAATAATCTCTGCAAATTCAATTCAGTTACATCAATGTGATTATGAACTATGTAATGATTTACAGAAATTTAAAGTTAGGATCAAACAAATTGATTTGTGCTCTGATGACAACAGCCTATTCTGCAGGGATGGGCACAAATTTTATTTTTATGTAAATTACCTCAAATGCAGTTCTTTCTCCTAAATTATATAAAACTGGCATTTGCCCATGTGCATTATTTCCTGGGCATCAAGAACCTTGACAAGCCCAATGCGAATCCAAAAGTGGATATGAGAAAATGAGGGGAAAGTATTAGGGACAGAAGTTATTTCCATTTTTAATTTCAGAAATTGAAAAATGCATTGAAGTTGATGTCTATTTAGTATGAGTTAAAAGAAAAGTTTGGAATTAGAACCCGAAAATGTTGAGTTCAAATTTCATGTAGCTGATTTTTGCTTTGGGGGAAGTTGGCCACTCTTACTACCAGTGTCCATATTGTTTTCATTCTTGCAACAAGTATTGATTGAAAGTCTCCTGTATGCCAGTCATTCAAATAAGACCCCAGGATATTAAAAAAATACGGTCTCTCATTAAAACAGTTCAATCTACAGACAGGATATATAAAAAGTCAAATAAAGAACAATACTGGATTAAGATAACAGTGGAGGCAAGGGAAGGTGGAGCATTATAAAGAGAATTATCACTTCACTTCAGTAGAGTAGGCTTCTGAGGAAACACAATGTTTCAGAAATTCAACTTTACAGTAAATCAGGATGATTATATACATTTAGCAGGGCCATTACTGGGAAAAAAATGCAACAACATACATAATAACTCATCTTGGTGATTTACATTATTATGTTATTTTTATATGAGTATCATACAAGTATAAAAACCAAGAATTAACTCTTACTTTTCAAAACCTATTCTGTTGCTATCTTTAAACAAACATTTTGTTAATATCAGTCATTCTGATTTTGTGCCCATGATTGCTGCTCACCAGACCATGAGGATCAAAGCCTGGAAATCCCAGGAATGGCAGAGGAACATTCAGTGCACTACATCTCAAATAAAAACATGGTTTTCATTCCTGATATATAAATACAATTAACCTATTTATATTTCACCTACCACATACACAAAAAAGGTACCTGAGTTAAATAAGGGCATAAGAACCTGCCATATACTCTTGGCTCAATTACATTCGCCCTCATTTCTCCACTCTCACCCTAATCCACAGGCTCTTGCTTATGTACTAAGTTGTTCGGAGTTGTTTTGGTTTTTGCTCTTTTGTTTTCCTAGACTCATTGTTTTGCAAAATTTGTGTGTTGTTGCACATAAAGCTGTTTGTCCTGAGCTCCCTAGAACATGAATAATTTAGGAGAAGTGTTTTTATTTTAAAAGATATCTGAATATTGCTAAAGTTAAAAAGAAATAGCTCCAGATTGTGCTTCTGACTTTAAATGTTCTCTTCCCATCCATTTCCCAGGAATGAGAGCCCTTCCACTTTTTAACAATATAATTTAATACCAAAAAAAGCCAAAAAAATTATAAATGTAAAACTTGATGAGTTTTCAGAAAGTGAACAAAGCCATATAAAGATCAAGTATAGAGTACTGACGGCACTTTAGAAGTGCCTTATCCTTTTCCAAAAAGTAATCACTACCTGGATGTCTAACACCACAGAAAATTGCACTTGTATTTAAATATATAAAGAATGAGATTGTGCAGTATATATACTCTTTTGTTTTTGGTATTTTTACTCAATATTATGTTTATGAGATTTATCCATTTTGTTAATGAAGTATAATCATTTCTTCTCTCCAATTACTGCATGTCATTCCATTGTAAGAATGCATCAATAATTTAGTAGTTTTACTGTTACTGGATATTTGTTATTTCCAGATTTTGTCTATTACACATAATGCCATCATGAATATTTTGTGCATATGTTTTGGTGAATATTTATGCACTATTGGGAATGTACCTAGAATTTGAATGAATGGGCTCTTTTTGTTATACAGATGCTCCTTGATTTATGATGATGTTACATACAATAAACCCACATAAATTGAAAAAGTCATAAGTCAGAATTGCATTTAATATACTGACAAACCCATCATAAAGTCAAACAGTTGCAAGTTGAAATATCATCAGTCCAGATTTTCCTTGACTTATGATAGGTAACATCTCAATAAAACCATCATAAAGTCAAAAAACCATAAGTTGAACAGTCATTAAGTTAGGGACCAGCTGTACATATATCCAACTTTAGTAGGTACTGCCAAATGTTGTTCCAAAAGGGTTTGGCATTACCATTAAGAGTGGATGAGAGTTTCAGTTTTTTCTTATCCTCATCAACACTCAGTATTTTCAGTCTTCCTAATTAGCCATTTTGGTGGGTATAGAGTAGCACTGACTTATAGTTTTAATTTGCATTTCTAACTAACTAATGAAAATAATTCATTTTTCAGATGTTAACTTGCCAGTGGGGTATCCTAATTTGTGATCACCCTGTTATGTCACTTGCTTATTTTCTAATTTGGTTGATTGCTGTAAATAGGCAGAACAATGTGCCCTCAAAATGTCCATACCCTTATCCTTGGAACCTGTACGTATGTGAATATGATACCTTATATAGAAAAGGGGGGCTTTATAGATATGGTTAAAGTTAAAAACCTTGAGAAGGGGAAATTATCCTAAGTAACTGAGTTTGATTTATCACATGAGATATTAAAAGTAGAACTGGAAGGCAGAAAAGTTAGTCAAAGAAATGTCACTGTGAGAGGGATCTGACCCTGCATGATTGGTTCTGAGATATACCCCTGCATGATTGGTTCTGAGATATACCCCTAAAAGAACTGGAGAGACGCCTCTAGGAGGCAAGGGCAGTCCCCAGCTGATACCAATGGAATGGAGACCTCGGCCCTACAACTGCATGGAACTGAATTCTACCAACATCTGAATGAGCAAGGAAATATTCATTCTTGGCACCTACAGAAAGAAATGCAGGCCTGCTTACACCTTGATTTTAGCACGGTCAGGTTTGTACTACACTTCTGACATGAAGAACTGCAGGATTATAAATTTACATTGTTTTAAGCTACTAAGATTATGGTAAGTTGTTATGTTCAAGAAACACCATACAATTATCTTTTTATTATTGATTTATACAAGTTATTTAGTTATAGTGAATATGAATTAAATATTGTAATGACCATGTCTAATGACCATGTCCTAACTGTGATTTTTATTTTCTTCTCCTAATGAAGTCTTTTGGAAGGAGAATCAATTAATTTTAATGTAGTGCCATTTATTAATCTTTTCTGTATAGTTAATTAATTATGTGGATTGTTTAAGATATATTTGGCTACTCCAAGCTCATTAAGATACTATCTTTTTTTCCTTCCAACTTTTATTTATGTTCAGGGTTACATGTGGATGATTGTTACATGGGTAAATTGCCTATTGCAGCGGTTTGGTGTGCAAATGATTTTATCATCCAGGTAGTGAGTATAGTACATAATAGGTAGTTTTGATCCTCACCTTCTTCCCACCCTCCATCATCAAATAGGCCCTGGTGTCAATTGTTCCCCTCTTTATGCCCATGTGTACTCGATGTTTAACTCCCACCTATAAGTGAAAACATGCAATATTTGACACTTTGTTTCTGTTTTAATTTGCTTAGGATAATGCCCTCCAGCTGCCTCCATGTTGCTGCAAATGACATGATTTCATTTTTGTGTGTGTGTGTGGCTGTGTTGTAATTCATGGCGCATATATACTACATTTTCTTTATCCAGTCCACCGTGGGCATCTAGGTGGATTCCATGACTTTGCTATTATGAAATGGGCTGCAATGAACATATGCATACATGTGACTTTATGGTAGAATGATTTATATTCCTTTACCTAATATACCCAATAATAGGATTGCTGGGTTGAAGGTAGTTCTGTTTTAAGTTCTTTAAGAAATCTCCCAAATACTTTCCACAGTGGCTGAACTAATTTACCTTCCCACCAGCAGGGTATAAGCATTCCTTTTACTCCATAACTTTGCCAGCATCTGTTATTCTTTGACTTTTTAACAATAGCCATTGTGATTGGTATAAGATGTTGTCTGACTGTGGTTTTTATTTTAATTTATCTTATAATTAGTGACACCGAGCATGTTTTCACATGCTTGTCAGCCATGTGTATGTCTTCTATTGAGAAGTGTCTGTTCATGTCCTTTGCCCAATTTTTTAATGGGATTGTTTGTTTATTCCTTGTTGATTGGTTAACTTCCTTGTAGAGTCTTGGTATTAGACCTTTGTAAGATACACAGTTTGTAAATATTTTCTCCCACTCTCTGGGTTGTCTGTTTAATCTGTTGGAAGTTTCTTTTGCTGTGCAGAAACTCTTTAGTTTAATTAGGTCCCACTTGTCAGTTTTTGTTTTTGTTGCAATTGCTTTTGGAGTCTTCATCATGAAACCTTTGGCAAAGCCTATGTCCAGAACAGTATTTCCAAGGTTTTTGGCTAAGGTTCTTTTTATAGTTTTAGGTTTTACATTTAAGTCTTTAATCTATCTTGAGTTAATTGTTATACAGTGAAAGAAAGGGGTCCAATTTCAATCTTCTTCATATGTCTAGCCAGTTTTTCCAGCATCATTTATAGTGAGTCCCTTTCCCATTGCTGGTTATTGTTAACTTTGTCGAAGGTCAGATGGTGGTAGATGTGCAACTTTATTCCTGGATTCTCTAACCTGTTCCATTGGTCTATGTGTCTGTTTTTGTACCATGCTGTTATGGTTACTGTAACCTTATAGTATAGTTTGAAGTCAAGTAGTGTGATGCCTCCAGGTTTGTTCTTTGTGCTTAAGGTTGCTTTTACCATTCAGACTCTTTTTTTGTTCCATATGAATTTATAATAGTTTTTTTTCTAATTCTATAAATATAACATTGGTACTTTGATGGGAATAGCATCAAATCTGTAAATTGCTTTGGGCAGTATGGCTATTTTAACAATATTGGTTCCTTCTATCCATGAACATGGAATGTTTTTCCCTTTGTTTTTGTCATTTCTGATTTCTTTCAGCAGTGTTTTGTAGTTCTCCTTGTAGAAATCTTTCACCTCCCTAATTAGTTGTATTCCTAGGTATTTTATTCTTTTTGTGGCTGTTGTGAATGGGATTGCATTATTTATTTGGCTCTCAGCCTGAACCTTATTAATGGATAGAAATGCTACTGAATTTGTACCCTGAAACTTTACTGAGGTTGTTTATTGGTTCTAGGAGAATTTGGGAAAAGACTATGGGGTTTTCTTGGATGGGATTATCACCTGTGAAGTGATACCGTTTGAATTTCTCTCTTACTATTTGGATGCATTTCTTTTTTTTTTTCTCTTGCCTGATTGCACTGGCTAAGACTTCCAGTACTATCTGAATAGGAGTGGTAAGAGTGGATATTTTTGTCTTGTTCCAGTTCTCAAGAGGAATGCTTCCAGCTTTTGCTCATTCTGTTTGATATTGACCGTGGGCTTGTCATACATGGCTATTATTATTTTTAGGTATGTTCTTTCGATGCCTAGTTTAGTGAGGATTTTTTTTTTTTTTAACATGAAAGGATGCTGAATTTTATCAAAAGCCTTTTCTGCATCTGTTGAGATGATCATGTGGTTTTTATTTCTAGATCTGTTTATGTGATGAATCACATTTACTAATTTGCATGTTTTGAACCAACCTTGCATCTGAGAAATAGAGTCTACTTGGGCATTGTGCATTAGCTTTTTGATGGGATGCTGGATTCAGTTTGCTAGCATTTTTGCAACTATGTTTATCAGGGGTATTCACCTGAAGTTTTCTTGTTTCATTGTGTCTCTGCCCAGTTCTGGTATCTCAATGATGCTGACCTCACAGAATGAATTAGGGAGGATCCCTTCCTTCTTTACTTTTTGAGAATAATTTCAGTAGAATTGGTACCAACTCTTCCTTATACAGCTGGTGAAATTTGGCTGCAAATCCATCTGGTCCAGGGTTTTGTCTGGTTGGTACCTTTTTTATTACTGATTCAATTGTCAAACTTGTTATTGGTCTGTTCAAGGTTTCAATTTCTTCCTGGTGCAGTCTTGGGAAGTTATATGTTTCCAGGAATTTATACATTTATTCCAGGCTTTCTAGTTTGTGAGCTTCTCTATCTCATTCAGTTCAGCTCTCATTTAGGTAATTTCTTTTCTTTCTACCTTTGGGGTTGGTTTTTTCTTGTTTTACTAGTTTCTGAACATATGATATTAGGTTATTAATTTGAGATTTTTATAACTTTTTGATGTAGGTGCTTAGCACTATGAACTTTTCTCTTAACACTGTTTTAGCTGTGTCCCACTTCTGTGTCCCAGAGCTGTGTCTCTGTTATTTTTCATTAGTTTCAAAGAATTCCTTGATTTCTACGTTAATTTCATTTTTAAATCAAATGTCAAAAGGAAAGGGATGGGGAAACATCTATCAAGTACATGGAAAAGAGAAGAGGGTAGAGGTTGCTATTCTTATTTTAGACAAAACATATTTTAAACCAAAAACAATCCAAAAGGACAAAGAATGGCATTACATTATGATAAAGTGTTCAATTCACAAGAAGACGTAATTATTCTAAATATATATTCACCTAACACTGGATATCAGATTCATAAAATAAGCTCTTAGAGACTAACAAAGAAACTTAGATAACGACACAATAATTGTGGGAGACTTCCTGGTTGATAATTTCCATGTAACTGTATGGTTTTGAGAGATCTTCGAACTTATCTCTATTTTTACTGTACTGTGGTCTAAGAGTGTGTTTGGTATGACTTCCATTTTTGTGATTTTTTTGAGAATGACTTTATGGCAGAGCATGCGGTTGATCTTAGAGTATGTGCCATGTGCAGATGAGAAGAATATATATTCTGTTGTTGTTGGGTGGAGTGTTCATAGATGTCTGTTAGGTTAATTTGGTCAAATGTCAAGTATAAGTCTCAAATATCTTTGTTAGCATTCTGCCTCAATTATCTGTCTAACACTGTCAGTGGGGTGTTGAAGTCCTCCACAATTATTGCGTGGTTATCTAAGTTTCTTTGTAGATCTCTAATAACTTATTTTATGAATCCTATACTCCAGTGTTGGGTGAATATATATTTAGGATAATTAAATCTTCTTGTGAATTGAAAACTTTATCATAATGAAATGCCATTCTTTGTCCTTTCGGATTGTTTTTGGTTTAGAGTCTGCTTTGTCTGAAATCAGAGTACCAACTTCTACCCTCTTGTTTTTTTTTTCCATTTGCTTGATAGATATTTCCTCATCCCTTTTCTTTGGGCCTGTGGGTGTCATTGCATTTGAGATGACTCTCTTGAAAATGGCATACTATTAGAGCTTACTTCTTTATCCAACTTGTCACTTTGTACCTTTTAAGGGGGGCATTTATCCCATTTACATTCAAGGTTAATATTGATATGTGAATGCTTGATTATGGCATTGTGTTGTTAGCTGATTGGTATGTAGACCTGATTGTATAATTGCTTTATAGTGACAGTGGGATATGTTGTTAAGTGTGTTTTAATGGTGGCAGGTAGTAGTCTTTTATTTTCAGGTTTAGCATTGTCTTAAGAACCTTTTGTTTGGGAGATCTGGTAGTAATGAATACCCTTAGCATTTTGCTTGTCTGAAAAGGATTTTATTTCTCCTTCACTTATGTAGCTTAACATGACTGGATATGAAGTTCTTGGTTGGAATTTTTTTTAAGGATGCTGAATATAGGCCCCCAATATCTTCTGGCTTGCAAGGTTTTTGCCAAAAGGTCTGTTGTTAGCCTAATGTGATTCCCTTTGTGCATGACCTGACCCTTCTCTCTAGCTGTCTTTAACATTTTTTTCTTGTGTGTTACCTTGGAGAATCTAAGGACTACACATCTTGGGAATGGTCCTCTTGTAGAGTATCTCGCAAGGGTTCTTGGAATTTCCTGAATTTGCATTTCAACCTCTCTGTAACAGTTAGAGAAATTTTCATAGACATGATTCTCCAATATGTTTTCCAATTTGCCTGCTGTCTCTCCATCCCTTTCTAGGATTGCAGACATATGGTCTCTACATAATTCCATGATTCTTGAAGATTTCATTGAATTTTTTAAATTGTTATTTTTTTGACTGGTTGTATTGATTCAAAGAATCCACCTTCAAGCTTTGAGACTCTTTCTGCAGCTTAATCTATTCTACTGTTAATACTTTGGATTGTTTTAACATTATGAAATTCGTATAGTTTTTCAGTTCTATCAGATCAGTTTGGCTCTTTCTTAAAATGGCTATTTCATGTCTCAGCTCTTGTATAATTTTATTGGATTCCTTGGATTGGGTTTTAACTTTCTCCTGAATCTTTGCCATCCAGATTCTGAATTCTATTTCTTTCATTTCAACTGTTTCAGTCTGCTTAAGAACCGTTGCTGGGGAGTTAGTACAGTCAATTGGAGGTAAGAGGACACTCTGGCTGGGTCTTTCTTGTCTGTGTTGGATGATATTCCTTCAATGTTTGAAACTGCTGTTCATTAAATAAGGCTTTTTGCTTTTATATTCTTTGGTGCCCTTGAGGGTTTGACTGTGGTATAAATTTGGTTTAGTTAATACACCTTATTTCTTGGATGATTTCAGGAGGCCAAGGCTCAGGTCAGCACTCCTGGGCTGCATATTCTATCCCTGTGAGGCTAGGACCAGGCCTATGGCTGTGTGCTGGTGTGCACTGGGAGGTGTCCATTTTCAACAGCTCTCCAACTGTTAGGTGGGGTCTGCTGGCAAAAAGCTATGATAGTGGCAACTGGCAGGTGTCTCTGCTGTGCAGCTGCAGCTCTGCTGCAAGAAGGTCTTGCCAGGCAGGCATCCTGGGAGAGGCCAGTAAGTGAGGAGGTGCTCAGATCAGACTATTTCCATACCACAAGCAAAATAGCCCTGCTCTGTCCAGATCTGTTGGCCAACAAAGGCTGAAGCCATCTACAGTAATGACGAGCCTTGGGGGATGGGTATGCATGGCCCTACTCCACTACAGCTATTCCTACACAAAACCCCCTGGGCTCTTTCAGGCTGGAGTTCTGTGTCTGCCAACTCTCCTGGCAGATCTCCTTGCCAACTCAAATGTCCATGGGAGTCATGGGCATCACAGAGGTCTGTGATGAGAGTAGGCCACTCCACACCTCTTTTACCCCTTGCCTAGAAGCTGCTCAGGGCCAGGAACAATTCCTGGTGCTTAGCAACTATTGAATGGTTCCTAGCCTCCTCCCCATTCAGCCTGGGTGTGAGTCCTCCCTCCATCCACTGTCAATGCCTTCTTTCTGAAGATCTGTTTGGAGTGTGCTGGTCTTCTTGACAATCTGTTCTCTCAGTAGGAGGACCTCTTTCTGGTTGTGTCAGTTTGCCATCTTGGCTCTTCCATATCTCTCCAAGATACTATCTTAGTTATATTTCACATTTAAGTTTATAATCCGCTTGAATATATTCTTGTATATCGCATGACAAGGGTCCAGTTTCATTTATTTCCACGTGGATATCCAGTGGACACTTCAACACTTATTTAAAAGACTACTTTTTCCCATGTTTTTCAGTTCTAACTTTGTCATATATTAAAAGTTGATTATGTGTGTCTTTCTGTTCTTTTTTCTTCTCCATGTCTTTCTTTTCTTGTGTCAATAATTAACTGTACCTTTTTAAGTGTTGATAATTGATAACACAAATCTTCTAAATTTACACTTCTTTAAGACTGTATGGGTTTTTGGTCTTTTTCCTTTCCATATACATTTTATAATTAACTTCTATGACCCACCCCATACACATACTCCTACTGGGATTTTAATTAGAATCTCAACAAATCTAAAAATCAATTTGCTCAGGATTAACATGTTTACAATATTGTATCTGTCAGTTCAAACACATGAAACTCCCTGTTCTTTATTTAGGTCTTCTGCTATTTTCTCCCAATGTGTTGTAATTCTTTGTGAAAATATCTTACACATCATTTGTTAGATTCATTGAAATACATTTAATATTTTCTCTTACTAAAAATTATGTCTTCGCAATTAAATTTCTAATTGTTGATTGCATATAGAAATTGAAATTTCATATGAAACTTGTAAGTAAATTACTCTTTAATTCACTTAATTTTAATACTTGTTTAATAATTATATTTCTTTTATATACAGACCAATGGCGTTTTTGAATATTAAAAAGTTTTCATTTATTTCTCCTTTTACAATTATTTTGCCTTTTAGCTATTGATTTTTTAAATCTTAGTCATGGCTAGAATATGCTGTATCATAATACATAGAAATGACAACAGTGAGCTTCTATGTTTTGTTGCTGACTCAAGGCAGGACATTTCAGAATTTTTTTAAGAATGACACTGGTTTTTATTGGTACCCAAAATAAAAATTATAAAGTTTCCATCTATTGTTAGTTTCCCAATAGTTTCTATTATAAGTGAGAGTTAAATTTTAACAGTCTCATTTTTTAGCATCTGTTTAGATAATCATAGCCTTTTTCTCCTTTATTCTGATAGTAGTATGAAGTACTTTATCTAGTTTTTAGGTGTTATAAGCAAATCTAGATTCCTAGAATAGGAATAAACTTCATCTTTTTTTTTTTTTTTTTTTTTTTGAGATGGAGTCTCACTCTGTTGCCTAGGCTGGCGTGTGGTGGTGCTATCTTGGTTCACTGCAACCTCCTCCTCCTGGGTTCAAGCGATTCTCCTGCCTCAGCCTCCTGAGTAGCTGGGATTACAGGCACGCACCACCACGCCCAGCTAATTTTTGTAGTTTTAGTAGAGACGGAGTTTCACCATGTTGGTCAGGCTGGTCTCAAACTCCTGACCTTGTGATCTGCCCGCTTCAGCCCTCCAAAGTGCTGGGATTACAGGCATGAGCCACTGCACCTGGCCAAACTTCATCATTATTTTGGGGCATTCTCCTTTTACCTATGGGCAAACTTAGCTATTACTAATTTATTTAGACTTTTTGCATATACGTTCATGGGATAGATTGCACATCTAATAACACAGACTAGTCATACAAGAAACAAAAACTGATAAAACTAAAAGAAGAAACAGGATAATAATTTCTTAATAAATGCAAAGTATTCACAAAATTCATCATTCATTCCTGAGAAGCCTCAACAAACTATAAATAGAATTCAACATCCTCAACCTCATAAAGGGAATCTGTGAAAAATCTACAGATAACTTACCTAATGGTGAAAGTCCAAATTACCCTCCTCCATCAAGGTCAATGATGTCTGCCCTCACCACTTCTATCTAACTTTGTACTGAAGGTTAGTTAATGCCAAAATTCAAGGAAATAAAAATAAATAGTATCCAGATTGTAAAGAAAGATATAAAGCTGATTTTATTCCCTGATGACTAAATCATCTATGTAATCATAATAAATTTATAAAGAAAAGCTTTTACAAAGTTGCAAGATATGAGAACAATATACAGTGATTATACTTATGTATACAGTAATAAAAATCTGAAATTACAATTTAAAAACCATACACTTTATAATATCATCAAATCATTATGTAGGGGTAATTATATGAAAATATACAAGATATATAAAAGTTTGTATGCTAACTAATAATGTGTCTTGCCCACTTCCTGTTTATTAAACACTGGATATGTTCCATATGAGTTTATATTTCTATATCAGAAAACATGGAGTTAATTTTTTTCTCACTCTCAGTGATAACATGAAGATTGAGATATTGCACATGAAAGTTACTAGTATGATATCACATAGTAGGAATTCAATATATGAAAATTGCTGCTTTAGATTTAGTCTCAGCAGGCCACAGAATTTCACTTAAAATAATTTATTTGGAAAAAAAATCAGTGAAGAAACAATTTGCAGAGTTGAGTGCAGGGTTTAGAGAGGTCAATCTGGTGGTAAAAACGGGTATGGCTTTGAAGGGGCAAGAGGAGGAACAGTGCTTCTGGAGCTCAGTGACTTCTGTTACCATACAGGAGGAGATGGCCAACAAGAGGAACAGTTATGAAGTGATTTAGCACTGCTGGAACTGTGGTACTGATTCAAGCAAGGAGGCTCTGACATTTGTTTCCTCTTGTCTTCTGATAATTTGCTAGAGTCCTATTGGGTGAATCTGATCCGAAGCCAGAAGACAGGGAGGTATGGGTGATGCAGTTCTATAAGTCAACCCCTCAAAATATACGGCAGAAAAGAAAAGGACAGAGAGGACAGAAGATGAATCAATCAGGGAACATTAAAAGAAGATAACCTGTACAATTTCTTTCTTTTCTTTCCAGAAAGAAAGAGATACTATGGGTGCCAATGTTCTCAGCTTCATTTGTCTTCAAGCCACCTGGCTCTGTCAAAGTTCAGTACCCTTCAATAATTTGGCCATGTCTGTTAGACAAATGAGGTTGCAAGCTTACTTAATGATACCAGTGGTATATTACCACTTAGAACGCATGCTAATTTTTCAACATTTGACATGAAGTAATTAAAATTCTATGGAGTAACAGGACCTGTCCTAATTTTCTCATTTGTTATGAAATATTATTAAACAAAAGCAAGTATTTCATAGCCACCCGTCAATACAGGTAAGTGGTTTAACAGAAAATTCCAGATGAATAAAATAACCCATTGTGCATGTTGTAAACTGATTGGTGCATTTGGCTAAGCTACACGAACGATATTTCACATTATTCTTTCCTGCGTGTGCATGGTCAAATAGGCGACTTTGCACAGGCAAGGCCCTTTTATCTAAAGGTGACTATTTGTCACCATTACTGATTATTGACACCTTATCTATCCTCCTCAGGTTGGCTCCAATAAAACTCCAATGTCGACTTTTCTGATTTCCCACCTAGAAAAAATAGTTGTTACTTATAGGTAAGCTTAATATTTTATTCCTCTTTTACATTATTTTTCTTCCTATCAGTAATCGAGTCCTGTCAACCACACTCCTCTACTTTATGAACCCTTTCATTTCCTTCCCTCCACCTTTGCCTTACTTTCTGTCAACACTATCTCTTTTCTGAACTCTGTAGTATATTCCTAACTCATCTTGAGTTTCCCATTCACATCTACCCAGCAGAGTGACTTTTCTAAAAACAGCAATAGTAACAATAAACTCCTGTCATAAAACTTTCCTACTTAAAATCTTTTAGTTACTTTTTATTGACATAAAGGCCTATCTCATTAGAATGAGACCAAGAGCTCCTCAGGAGTCATCTCTTAACTTCCCAGCCTCACCTGCCACTTCTCAGAAGCTCTTGAATGCCACAATAGCATTTAGTTTTCTCAATTGGCCCAGTTCTTTCACAGCCCCGTGCCTTTGCATACGGTGTTAACTGTACCCGGAAATCTCAACCCACAACCATGCCAACACCTAGGTCATTATCCTCACCATTTCCTTTGCATTCTTCTAGCTCAGTTCAAGCATTATCCAGTTCATGAGTCTTCCTGAATGCTCCTTTCTCACTCCATATTTTCCCAATCTGTGCATTAAAAGCATATGATTTTCTGTCCCAGATTATAGATAGATGCCAGATATTGAGCATCTTTGAAGGTCAAAATTATATCTATTCTCCTTTCTATCTCCAGCACTCATCACATTGTCTGTCATCTGTGGATGCTCAGTAAATGCCTCCTGGAACAAAAGTAGAATTGAATTCATGGATTCAGTCTATCTAATAATTGAATTTTATTTGCTCTGCCAAGTGTATGGCATAACAAAGGCCCTCTCTTTGAACAAACTTCAGTCAGGCCCATCTATGCCCTTTTCTCAACTAGGCTTCTTCCTTGGGCCTTGTTCTCAGGCTCGTATAGCCAAGTTCTAGTAAGACTCCTGTTAAGTCAGTCTATTGGGAATCTCCACCCTTGATATTTTAGGCCTGCCTTCAGGAAGAACCTCGAGTGAAGTCAGTTTATCAAGACTTCCTCCTATCATTGATGTTTCCTGTTAGTAATTTTCCATCTACTAAACTCCTCCACCTCTCAAATCAACTCCTTGGTTATAAATACCTACTTGTCCTTGCTATATTTAAAACTGATTTCAGTCTTATATAGGGAGGTCTCTTTTCCTCTGTTGCAATAGTTTTTGAATAAAATTTGTGTTATTACTTTCCAGTTCCCGTTTTCTTTAACACTTAGAATTTTGAGTCTCTAAAATGATATTGTTTGATTATATAAGCTTCTTCAATCTGGCTTAACTCATTTTATGGCATAATCTATGAGCATTAAAATAATTTAAGTTAGTAAGCATTACTCTGGTTCTTTAGTATATCCATGTAACCCCAAACTGTACTTTTGTGAGTGGTATTTCCTCTTGCTGAATCATCTAATTATGTTATAGTCAAGAAACCAGTATGGCATGGTAACAAAGAACAGCTAAGTTGTCTGGGACTGACATGAAAATGATATTTATGGGTCACTTCTTGGCCTCCTGTGTGCTGGGCACCAGGTTAAAAATTTAGGATACAATATTAAACTACACAGACAAATTTCACAGCTTTAATGAGAGAGATGAGGGCATAGATAATATAACCAAAAATGATAAGCTCAGACTACAATTTGTCTATGGAAAAACTAAGCAGGGTGATAGGATAGAAAATATTAGGGGAAGGCTATGTTAGTGGGGCTTATCAAAAGAGATGGCTAGTGTATTTAACTAGCAATAAAAAAGGCCTAGTAATTGTCCTGAAATTCATGGTGAATTCAGTTGAAATGTTTTATTGCTGAATGTATATTGCCCTGTACAGCGTGCTAAAATGGTTGAATTCATTTTAAGATACAACTCAAAGTAGAATTCCTTGATTCATTCAGACATTTTTGAATATTTGAGTAAATAAGTTATGGTTTTCCTCCCATGAAACTTAAAATCTACTAGAAGAGATATGATACAAATAATTGTACAAATAATAATTTATTTACAAATAAAAATTTAAAAGCTTTATCACGTCCCAGTGTTTAAAATTAATGAGTCCTACACTGCTATCTTCAATTTAAAAGCTAATAATCACAGCTTTACTAAAATGAGAAAAAAGAAAACATGATGGGAACGTGGTATGTATCATACACTGTGTACAGATGCTTTAACACATGCTATTTCATTTGTTTTCACAATAATACTGTGGATTTGGTGGTATCATCCAAACAATTTTTATTTGAAGTAACTCTGCTGAGAAGGGATAAGGAACATGACCTGGATCACATAACTGTGTGTCAGAGGCAATATTCAAACTCAATTCTGTCTAATCCAAGACTCTTCTCACTTCTTACTTGAAGTACATTCTACTCCAAATAGCAGAAAAACAAGACAATAACAAATTTAAAAAGAAAACCCCTAATTTACTTATTTGTGTGAATAAATGAGGCATTTGAAATTCCAAACTTCCACTTTAGTTTTATCTAGCTTCCACTGAGGGATTCAGATAGATTAGAATTTACAGTTTCTTATACAACAACAAAAACTACAACCTACAAATTATTTAGGTACAACCTAAATTTTCCTGGTAAAACCAAAGATAAGTAGATATTATTGTTATTATTTCCATTTAATTGAAAAAGAATCAAGCCCAGGAATGATGAAATGACTTGTCCAGAATCACACAGCTAATATATGCTGACACCTACACAGACATCTAGAATCTAAAGGCACTGTACTTTATCCAATATGTTCTATAATTTTTCATTGTGTAATGTCTAAATTTCTAACATTTTAAATTTTTATTTATCAGCAAAATGCATGTTTTAAGAATATATTTTGTTTCATTATTAGGTATAAAGTACTTTTTGGTTTTTAAAAAAATTTCTACTGTAAAGCAAGAGATCCTGAAGCTCATATAACAGTTGTTATCCTTAAAATATGCAATGACTTCCAAGTTATCTTGCCAAATGAGTTCAGCAACAAACGCCCTGATGGTCATAACATTAATATAATCATAAAAGTACCATTACATTAATTAGAACTTTGTAAATGCTGTAATTAAGATATTCTGTGACAGCTGTCTTTCCTGTCCCTGAGCGTTCCTAAGAAATCTCCTAACACCACTTATTTCTGAACCATCATCTGCCTAGAGCTGGGAGAAGCCATCTGTTAGTATATTTGAAATGTTAAGTGACAAAGGGGTTTCAAACTATTATATCCCTCAGAATCCTTTTTTAGGGAGAAAAAGAAGCAGCACTTGGAAACCATTTCTCGGTGATTTTTTAGCTAGACCTAGCAGGGAAAAAAACTAGATTTATTTTTAATCTTGCATCAGTGTTAAGTGGTGGAAAAAGTCTGGGATTTGGAGTGAGGTAGATCTGACCTGATTGTTAACAGTATGACCAAAGACAAGTTACTCAGCCTTTCTGAGCCTCAGTTTCTTCATCTTCATGATGGAGAAATATCATAAATGAGGACGTCATGCCTACTTTTCATTATTGTTGAGAAAATAAAAGGATACATTTCAGGTGTAATGCCTTATAAAGTTTCTACCAAAGGCTAATTTTATTTTAAAGTACCATCAGAATGACCTTAAAGAAGATATAGTGCTTGACTTTTTCCAGCTATTTTATGCAGCTTTGGAAAATGTGTTTGTCTTCAAAACTACTTCTCAGGTCCTCAGGTCACATTATACTTATTTTTATTAAACCCAAGAGGTAGCAGAGAGGGTTTTACTTAATATGCAATAAAGAGGAATTCAGTATCTACTATAATCCACAATTTCTGATTTTAAGCAAATCACTTTACTCTGATACTGGTGGGCTGGGGGAGGTCTCCAAATGCCAGTAGGACATTGACATTGTAGCGAGAAGGAGTTCAAAAATGAGACAGAAAATAGTGAAAGTAAGGAGATTTATTGCAAAGTGAAAAGTACTCACTCAAGAAAGGGGAGTGTGGGTGTACTCAAAATAAAGTCACATGCAAGGGGATTTGGGGCTGCTACCTTTATGGGTTTCTTTAACTGAGGGGTGGAATATTCATGGAGACTCCTGGGAAAAGGTGGAGATTTCTCAGAACTGTGATGCCGCCCATTTTTACACCAAATATGGCTGTTCTTGGAACCGTCATGGTACCGGTAGGTGTGTGATTAATATGCTAATGACCATATAAAGGGGTCCAAGATAAAAACAAAGTCAAATCCAGTACTGTGTTGTGTCCAGTAGTTCTTAACCAGCTTGGTCCACACCACGTTTTTGAGGGTCTTTTCAGCCCCTACCTTCTGCAGCTTTTCAAAGTTTCTTTTTGCTAGTCATGTGAAACTGCTGCCTGGAATTTTTTATTCTCCTGTGACCACCCTGTTTCAATTGGACTTCAACTAGAAAATGATGGAAAAATTAGGGACGATGTATAGTTTTACTGTTAGAAAAATAAACTGAAATAGCAATACTATTTAGATCACATTTTTTAAGTAGCTCATTTTTTAATTATTTAATCTCATCTTGGATTTTTTTATTATTCATGTTGTTATTATGAATTTTGATGAGTCAGTACTGTTCACACTCAGTTAATTTCTATTGAACTTTAATTTTCCTAGCAGTTCTATGGAGTAGATATTATTATCAAAACCATTTTTGGAGATAAGGAGGCTAAGTCGTGGGCTAAGTGACTTGCTCAGTATCACACAATTCTAAGTGACAGAGCCTAGACAAAATTATAAAACTAACTCACACCAAAGTGCATGATTTTAATATTTTCTGCTAGTGCTTTGCAACTTGCAAAATTCTATGGAAGTGGAAAACATTTGTTTTACAAGAGAAAGGACCAGTGAGCTCATTGGCACTTTTTACCTCTGCGTGGCATAGAAAAGCAATTCTTATTGTTAAGGAAAACAGTAAACATTTAAATGAGACTTACTATGTGCTTTACATAATTAACTCACTTAATCCTGCCAACACTATGAGATAGTGACTTATTTTTCTTATTATATATAAGAGTAAACTAAGGCAGGGAAAGTCTACCTCCTGGAGGTTGTGTTAGAGTAGGTAGCTAGGCAGACATAATCAAGGAAAGCAGGGAAGGAGAGGCCCCCTGCCCCAAAAATGTCAGGCAACCATCAGGTAATTGTCAGGCAATTATTAAACTGTCTCTATAAAATAATAATTGTCACAGCTGGCACCAGGAAAAGCAGTCTTCAATAGAAAAAACCTGAAGTTGGTGATCAGAACTTCCCAGTAAGATCTCAGGAGTTTGGCAAGTGGGCCCCAGCATGCACACTGAGAGGCAAAAGGGTGGAGTTTAACCAATATATGAAATTCTTCTAGGAACACTTGACTGGTAATGGAAAAACACCTCATATGAGCATGCATACAACTTCAGTAAACAGTAGCCTAATATTCATCTGTCTACTTGAGAAAATGAGATTTGATCAGCACAAAAATAAGGTAAGGACAATCTACACAATTTATATTCTACCAAACCTAGATCCATAGAGATTTCTCTGGGGACTGTAAGCACTTGTTTTTTCTTGAACAATATGAGATTAATAGGAAAAATGGAGAAATAAGGTAAAATTAAATATTATCTTACAGGTTAGGAAGGGAAAGCAAGCCATTGTAAATTCTGGATTACAACTAGAGAAACACATACAAATCCACAATGAAATAAGCGGCTGAGGAGAAAATTCAACAATTTAAGATGAAAGGAAAGAAGAATGAGATGAAAAAGATGAATGAAAAAGTTTTAAAAAGTCAAAATCAAATAACAAAATTAAAAATGGCATTAAAGGTAGTAAATATCAAAGGAAACTTGGTGGGGAATTGAATCAGAATGTAGAGGACAAATCTAATAAGTTTCTGAGTTAAATATTAAAATACAAAAATAATAAGAGAATAATTTGAAACACTGAAAATTGAAATCCAACGTAAGATTTATTACTTATTCTGTGGTAGAAACCAGACTAATTACAATAGAAACAATAGTTTAAAATAGAATAAAATAATACTTTCTTGAACTTAACAAAGATTCATGGATATAAAATGAAAGGGCTTCCCAAATTTTAAATAAACCTAAGTGTTCTTTGTATTAATTATAGACATTACAGGCAGCTATATTGCTCAAGTTCAATGGGGTGTAAGTATTTCAGGACCATATTGGCATAATCTGTAATCTAAAATGAGTGAACATGGAGGGGGGGAGAAGATAAAAATGACATGATCCAGAAAATTAGACCACTTGATTTTAACCAGACCTAGGTGATAATTATGTGTTTATCTTTGAAAAAAAAACATATATGTATACCCTGAACACACTCTCACAAAGATCCCGAGTCTGTGATCAGGCTCTCATTCAGGCAGGTGGTCCATCAATACAGCTGAGTTTTTGATACACACCCTTGGTTAGGAACTACCAATTAAGACAATGCTAATAGTGGTTCTAATTGGAGGTCTGTGTCAGGTGTTCTATGTTGATTATCTTTTATCAAATTTATGACTGCCCATTACATAGTAATCACTGTTATTTTACAGATAAAAAAGCCACCCCTCAGTGAGGTGAAATATTTCTGATAGTATATACAAAGACTTTTCCTTGTGCAATGCACTCAATACCCATTCAAAGTAGATATTATCCCTTCCCCTTTGCAAATAACAGATGAAGTGAAATGTCCAACGTCATAAAGCCAACAGATATTGGATCCAGTACTCAGAGTTTTTGACATTTAATTACATCCACAATATCAAAATCAGAATTTAAACTGATGTCCATCTGACTCCACAAATGTTACCCTATTCAACTAACAATTCAGGAAGTGAGGAGGATATCTTGAAGTTTGATTAAGTATGGGCAGCCCAAAGGACTGTGTAAATTTTTTCAGTATGCCAAAGAATGGAGTTGCAGACTAACTTTTTATGTTTCCTTGTTTTTTATATTTATAGGTGTATGTACCTTATTTTGTCCCCTAGTCCTCAAACTTCAAATTACTTTCTATAATTCTATTTATCTCCTTATTGCATATCAACCAGAGAACTAGATGTAGGAAATATCATTCTAAAGATTCTCCTTATATTATAAAGTAACTGTAAGGAATGGTTTTTATTTATACTTCAGTGAACTGAGTGGTTCCCAATGAGTCATTAAGTCTGAATGTGGTGAGTATGTGCCAGAAAGCTCCTTAAATATTTAAACGATAATAGAAACAGTAGATGGTGGTACAGCATAGTATATTGGAAAAATGTGCTGGAGGTGGTTTCAGAAGACTCTGAGTTTTTGTCTCAGGACTTACTAGCTGCATAAATTTAGCTGAGCATCTTTGCTCTTTGAGTTTCTTCGTTTATAAAGTGGTATAATAATAACTAGCTCACATGTTTGGTTTCACCGAGACTAACAGTGAGCTATAAAAGCCATCTAATTCTCTTTTTCAATCGATTGTTTGGGGAATATCCACACTGAGCCACAATGTCATATATAATTAACTGACTTAATTCACTATTCATTTACCTGGTTCAATTTGCCTTTGGCTTCATTATGCCTTTCCTGTCATGAGGATGCCCCTTATGTACAATATGTTGAGCTAAACAATTTATCTGTAAATTGTTCCTAAGTTTTAAAAAGTGGTCTTTATTAAGAAGATCTACTTAACATTGAGCTCAATCCTATACTGGGCACCATAAAATGTGTTTTCTCTGGAAACAGGAATTGGAAGTTTGTCTCTAGCATTCCTACAAGACTGATGAGAATTTCAGTTTTCACTGCCGTAAGAAGATCTTAAAGATGATCCAGACAATATCTTTATTTTTCAAAAATGACAATAGTACAAATAAAAGTAAAGTCACTTAACCTAAGTCATATACTTATTGGTAGATCATGAAATTCAACTAATATCTCCTCTTTAGACTATTGCTCATTGTGTTTATCCATGCTGCTAGAGCTGAACTCAATCAGTAAAAAATGACAAGCCATAATGCAGCTTATTTGAAAGCCCTGCTCTTCTTCAATTTTGTTACTGATTTTAGAGTTTCTGAATCACTCAAGTACAAAAATACAAACTTCTTGAATCCACTCCAGAATGTCTCTAAGAGTCATCAAACTCACAGGCTTGCAAGTTTTTATAGGCTTACCATAATCTTAAATTATATCGTTTATCAACCTTCCCAGGGACTTAGGGAATTGTGTTGAGTGAATACAATTGCATTTATAATTCAGACATCTTGAGCATCAATTATATTTTCTCTTGCTTCCACCAATCATTGCTCAATTTTTAATAACTCATTGGACATTGATCAATTTCAAGGCCATTCACCTTGAGTAATTGGGCAGGTGCCATCAGATTTCTGAATTCTATAAACAAAAAATGGCTTATGTTTTAGCATGTAAAATGTTTTTGAAAGAAAGGGCAAATGGGGTACTGCTTCCAAACATTCAAACATATATAAATACTCCCAAACTGGTGAGTTACACATTTCAATGCAAGGTGTTTTCTACTTTGATTTTTTGGGTTCTGAGTACATGCTCTCATCACGAGTTTTAGCGTTTTTGATAGGACCAATCTAAAACCCCATAATCTCTTATTTCAGCCCGATGCTTTTTATAACAACGCCAATGTTTAACCATGAGTTTAAGCAATTAATGATGTCAATTTCAATAGGAATATTGATTTTTACTCAAAAGTCATAAGTAGTAGGTTATGGATAATGAGAAAATCAGAGGGTCCCTATTTCTTGCTCAGCAGCTGCAAATGTATGTTTATTATATTGGTCATCATTTATTGAAAGTCTACAATATGGTTTAACCACATCATATGTTGGTTAGAGCTATTGGTTGTGAAGTCACTTGGCCCTAGGCTCCCAACCTGATTCTACTGATTACTTGCTGTGTATATCCGGTTAAGTCTGTTAACCATTGCAAATATCTATTTTTTAAACTCTATAAAACCTGATTAATATCAATTTCATGGGGCTGTTGTGAAGAATCAAGTATGTAAGACACTATGCTCAGGTTTTGATAAATTATAAGATCATAATACATGCTAGATATTAGTTTTCTTATTGTTAAATATTCATATCTGCAAACTGTCCTGAAAATTATTATCATCACTTCAGTAAGATTAATTTATTTCCCCCGGGTTGCACAGTGAGTAGGTGGCAGAATTGGGATTCAAAATCAGATGCCTCATTTTAGAAGTTATAATCCAGATCTGTGAGAATCTGTAGCCTCTGGTCTCACTGATACATGATAGCATCCCCCTACTTTTTGTATTAAATTGTTGTGTTGACATGGTGTCTAACTTCAGCTATACCTTTTAATTCAATTTGCAGACAAATCAATAGTGTTACTGGAAGTTTACTATGAAGTCTAAAAATGTCTGTTTTTATCTATTGATATCTTATTGACAAAACCACCACTATACCACAAAATGTAAATATCTTCTTGAGAGTATTAGTGTCAATTTAGAAAGATAATTAACTCTGAATTGGACTGACTTTTAAAAGCTATGCATCATTTACATGTCCAATAATTTTGATATGAGGTAGAAATTTGATGTGTTTTGTTTTGATTTTTGTAGTATACTTTTACTAATAATCTGTTTCTATCTCAATCCCCATTCTCCAAATCTTACAATGACTTTTATTGAACAACATCTCAAATTTATTATTAATGAATAATCAAAATTGAAAAAATATGTATTTGCTACCCTCAATGAATTCATATTTTAGAGATAAAGACTGACAACTAAACAATTTCAGTACATACAGCATGTCTTATAATTATTAAAAGCACAGGGTAAACGAAGGGACAGAGAAAGGCTTCTAAGCTAGCCTTAGGTGGCAAGGTTACAAGAAGAAGAAAGCTACCATGAAAAGATTCTAAGAAGAGGTATTGACCTTAAAAAAGTAGAAAAAGGGAAGGAAAATGTAAAAGATCCCCTCATACGTATTCCTCTGTTAGTGAAAGGAACGCTTAAGCACTTGGAATGATTTACAATCACTGACTGCCAGAAAGTTTCAATGCCAGAACATTGAAAAGAGCTGCAGCTCTTTTAATGCCAGCTGAATAACAGTTTAGTAATACTGTCCTTGTATATTTTAGCAGTTTAATCATTTTACCAAATTGTATTAACTTGATCTTTGTTGGTGTAGGGCAGCTGGCTTAGCATGTGGTGGTAGGTACTATTAATTTTTAAAATATATTACACAGCAACTGCTTAAAATAATCAATGAGCTATTGTATGTCCTGACTCATCATGTTCTTGTTTAGGTTAGCATTGCATATTTTTACATATTTTAAAGGAGGATCAGGGGATTTACAATAATCAGAATGAAGAGGCAAAATTGACAAACAGTAGTGTAAAATCAAAAGTGATAACTTCATGAACAAACTTTATAAGAGGCATTTTAGCCACATTTCTAACATATGTCATGAGAAAAGTATGCAGTAAAAATCAGTAACAATAATTCAACAATGCCTTAACATTTTAGAGCACTTGAATTTTAATTCATTTTTATAAATTAATATTCCTTAAGCTCCTCACTATCATGTGAGATATATAAAAATATAAATCATGTCTGCTTTGCTGTTAGTATGATAGCAATATGTAGACTAACTACCTAACGGTATCAGGTATTTAAAAATAAAATATAATTGAATAACGTTATTGTTTTTATAGGTTGAATTCCAATCATCAGCAGAGATAGAAATGGTGGCAGTAGCCCAGGAAATCACTTTAGTTCAACACACCTTACGAATGCTTCTGGAAGAAAAAAAACAGAGGGAGATCCATTTGTGCAACAAGGATTAATTGAATACCACACAGGACAAGAGCCATTCTAACTGCTGGAAATACAACAATTAAAATACAAGCGTGATCCTTCAGAAAGTTTGCATATTATTTGAAGAAAATAGCCATGAAAATACATGGAAAAATATTGGGTACTTTGAGAGAAGAGAGACAACTGATCATAAAAAGGATTTTAATCCCTGCTAAGAAGCTTAGATTTTACTCTAAAACCAAAGTAAAGCTTTTTGAAGGATTTTAGAAGGGAAGTGACAAAATCACATTTGTTTCTAGAAAGATCTTCCAGGCTTCACAAGGAAAATGAATTCGTGGGAATAGACAGAAAGCAGGTCAGTCAAGGAAGAGAATTTTGTAGTAATCCAGGTGAGAGTTATCAGCAGTAGTGTAGAAGGGGGATAAAGATAAACATATTTTTTAAAATATTAAGGAGGAAGAATCAATAGGACTCCCTATTTTTACAAAGTGGATGATTAGAAAAAGGGGAGAGTCAGATGACCCTCAACTTCCCAGCTTATAGTACCGAACGAATGGTGATGTCATTTTGTTCCCTAAAAGAAGGGGCAATTTATATTTCTTTGTCATTTAAATTAAGAGTGCTCTTACACAGATGATGACCCAAACTGTTCTTATATTACTGTGATTTTTTTTTCTCCCTCTCTTTGTGATGAGGAGCTTTTTAAGTGAATTTTAGTAACCTCAGAACTTAGCAAGTGTTCAATACATGTGTACCGTATGAATGAAATAGTGAATGAATGAATAGATAAATTGCTGTATATTACTTTATTTGAAATTTACATCATCGCTGAGGGGAAGGAAAGGTAGATATAATTATAACAACTTTAGAAATGAGAATTCTGATACAAGGATGGGTTGAAGCACTTGGCCAAGATTACCCAGCAAGTAAACACTCACATGCCAGTACTCTTTTCACTGTATCAGCCTACTTCTTACTACCTGCTTTTCCATTGTCCCACTCCTCATGAAAAAGTTCCTATGAGTTATGGGCTCTTCATGTCCAAATTAACCAAGAAGATGTGCACTGAATTTCCCCATAATAAATTATGTGATATCATGGGGCATCTTATAATCTACAAAATTACTATAATTAATGAAGGCATGTTGTTGGTGACTGGATCCATCAAGCTGTTCCTATGTTTTGCACAGCAGGTAAGAGATCAGATGCAAAGGGTGATGATCAGCACTCCACAGTCAGTTTGACACACATACACACTCTCACACATGCACATGCACAAGCGCGCACACATACACCTCAGAGAGCAAAAAATGCTGTCCTTCAGTCTAAAAAATAAAGCACTTAGGATCATTATGTGGTATGAATATGGTTGGCAGAGAGAATAAAGGTGTTGCTCCAATGTAATCAAACCCAGGAAGCCAATTAAGAGTTGTAGGGACTTTGTGTAGAGTTCCTGATATCTCTGTAAGTTTTCTCATGGCACTTGGAGAAATGAATGAAAGAAAAACAAGTAAATCTAACATAAAAATAACATACTAAACAGGAAAACAATGGTTTCTAAAACCCTTCTTCGGCACACCTCAGATTTCTAGGAGTTTCAGAAACATTGTTCATTTTTAAAAGTTATTAAAATCAACTACGTGTCAAATAGTGTGCTAGCTGGCTACAGAGGCAAATGAAACACAGTTGTCAGGGGTCCCCAACCCCCAGGCCTCTGATGGTCCCTGGCCTGTTAAGAACCAGCACAGCAGGAGGTAAGTAGCCAGCAAGCCTTATGGCCTGACCTCTGCCTCCCGTCAGATCAGCCAGGGCTTTAGATACCCATAGGAGCACGAATCCTTTTGTGAACTGTCCATGCAAGGGATCTAGGCTGCACACTCCTTATGAGAATCTAACTAATACCTGATGATCTGAGGTCAAACAGTTTCATCACCAAACCATCTCCCCACTTCCGTCTATGGAAACATTGTCTTCCATGAAACTGATCCCTGGTGCCAAAAAGGTTGGGGACCACTGAAGTTTTCGACTATCTATGAGACTACAAAATAGCACAGGAGTTGGAAGTAAAAATCACACAATTGAAATATAATGTGCTTCATGCAGTAATAGAATTGTCCTAGATGGTGCAATGAAGTCAGAAATGTGAAATTATAATGGTGACAGTGTTACCCTAGATAAGCATTATATAGTTTTGTAGACTGAACAAATCTAACATAAACTTTTCTGAGTAACACTGTCCACATCTCAGAAAAGAGGAGAGTAATAGTTGTTATTTGATAGGTTATCAAAGGAGTTATTTATTTACTATTTTGAATGAATCTGAGACAGCTTCAGATGGTAGATGATATCTTTGCAAATTTGGGGGACATACAGTTTCTCAGGCAGCTGCAGGAAGAAAACATTCTGGGCTAAGGGAGCAGTATGTACAAATTGGTGACAGTGTAACACAGCATAGTGCAATGTGACATAGCAGATGCTTTCCCAGTACTCACCCTCAGCTTGACCCTATCTCTTTTTTTCCTGCTCTGTCCTCTTCATGCTTCCTATTTAGATGCCAAAATGCATGCCATTTTTAAGTCTACAGTTAAGGGCAATTAGCAAACAAAGACAAACATAACACAAGAAATATACCTCCTGTCTAAGCTTCAGTTCAATCATTTTAAAGGCCCACAGAAGCTTTAAAATATTCTTGAGAAATAAACTCTGATCAAAAAGCCTAAAGCTCTGGTTGTCAGTTCATTCTCTGTCCATTCCACTCTGCCCGAAAGTAGGCATTTTGCAGAAGGCAATCAAAGCCAGGCATCGAAGAAATGTACAGAAATTACCCTCTCCTGAATATTGTGCATTTTTCAGATGAGTGTAATTCCAAATGAGAACAGAAAAAAAGTACAATAGAAATACAAACCTAATTGATATATATGTCCTCTCAACTTTAGAGCGATGTTGAAAAATGGCAGTAAGTCTAGAATCACTCCACAATTAATATACATAAGCTCTAATGTCAATCACTTCAGATGTAAAACAAAGCAGGTTAGAAAATCATGCAGAATCAATGAAATAAATGAGAGGAAAGACACAAATAAGCTATGGTAATCATGAGCTCGGCCATTCCTGGTTAATGACTTCACCAACACCACTACCTGACAAGAAATGGTACTTATACTTATGAACTCTGTGTAGATGCACGTATATTTACTTTTAAAAAAATAAACATATTAAGTGAATCTATGTAACAGGTATATTATATATTATATATAGCATATATATTATCTATAATAATATATTATAGCATGTAAATACATATATGCTGTTATCATATTTTAAATGTGCTTATTTTATGCATTAATTCTATATTAAATAAAATCTTATATTTCAAGCATGTTATATATATGTCACAGTGAAATTTATGTATGAATAAAATCTCATATTCATTCTATAGAATCACAAGCCTGTGGAGAAGAAAGATATGAAAATATAATATTAAATATGCAATTAAAATGACTTCTTCATGTATCTGCTTATTTATGCCAAAAATAAATATAGGAAGAATGAACCAGAAACTAAAGAGATTAGGTACTTACAGGAAGTATGTTAGAAACAGGACGAGAAGGGCAAGGGGTATGGGGGAGTGAGCGAGATTTCTCTGAGTATAACTCGTTGTACAGCTCTGACTGTTGAAATTACGCTGAAGTTTTACACAATCAAATACATAAACAGAATCAACAATGATAAGGGAAATTTTTAAATGGCATGCAAACATAAACAAATGAACCTAATTTATTTGAAATCA
The DNA here is from genome assembly GCF_000001405.40 of Homo sapiens. Classification (NCBI taxonomy): domain Eukaryota; kingdom Metazoa; phylum Chordata; class Mammalia; order Primates; family Hominidae; genus Homo; species Homo sapiens. Next base: position 82,087,741 of record NC_000011.10, read on the forward strand.
ATAATAACCATATTGAAGGAGGTAAAAAGGAAAAAAGAAAGAAAAATTATTACTTTTATGAACCTAAATATTTTGATATTATACCCTAAGTCTGAAGGCAAAAAGCTGTAAATAAATAAATAAAATAGATAATGAATTCTAGTTAGTAGAGCTATTTATTTCAGTGGCATGTGTATGTAAGCAATTCTGAAACCACTTTCTGTATATTCTAGGATTCAGCAAATAATTATTTTGTAGTAAGTATAGTTGAAACTTTCTCACTGCTGGAAAAAGGAGCTACAATATGCAAGGGGAAAGACTAGAAGGAAGCTGCATAAATAAGCAGATACAGATAATATTTTAAGTAGATAAGACACATAGAGAGATTCCTAGAAATATGTGTGTATGTATATACATATGCCCTATCTCTATTTGTTGACAGAAACTGGGAACAAGGACATCATAATAAAAATGGGCCCATCACACACCAAAATGTGGTTTCTAATTTAAAATTTCCACTAAATAAATTAATTTAGAAAATGCAGACAGAAACAATTCTCCTGAAGAAATAGCTAATTCTAGGGCTGAAATTGAAAAAGTATGAGATAAGTCTGGTTCATTTTATTGTAGGAAAAGAACATGTTTTCAAAGTATGTTTGAGACATATTCCAAAAACACAGATACTAGATTGAAGGAGCTCCAATGAACCAATCTGGGCTGTTTGAGCATCCAAAATCTCAGTTTATAATCAATGGAATAGAATAAAAATGCAATGGCACAAACTAATATAAATGAATGAATAGATAAATGAGAAAGAAGGGATTTATTTGTAGTAGAATGCCAACTGCTGAGGAAAGAACGATGGAATTAGAAATGATCAATTAGCAGCCATAATAGTAATAACTGATTTCACCATAAATCATCATTGGGTGTTAAAACTAGTAAATTAAAATTTGAGGGGTAATAGGATATTTATATAGTCTCAAAGTATCTCCCTTTAAGGTACCTATTAATTTCAAACAGAAAAGTAGAATATTATAGTGGAGAAATCTAACACCACCTTAAATAAATGATCAAAGTTAATATTACAGGAAATGAGACAAATCAGCAGTGGATGTGCTACTATAATGCACTAACAAGTCAGTTCTGTGACTTTCCTGCCAAAAAAGTGTAATCAACAGCCAACATAAGGAAACATCAGACAAACACAATTTGAGGGTCATTCTACAAAATAAGTATCCTGTACTCTTCAAAAATGTCAGTCATAAAAGATTAAAAAAAACTTATTTCATATTAAAGGAGATTAAAGATTTGTGATAGCTAATTGCTATGTGTGATCTCAGATTAAACACTAAACAAAGACAAAAATGTACACACATAAACATGACATACATGCATAAACACAGAATATTATTGGAATAATTGCTGAAATTTGAATAAGGCCTATGGCATCAATTTTAAGTTTTTGTATGATGGATATGTGAGACAATTATTTTATTTTTAATAAACAAACTTTGAATATTTTAGGGGTTAAGGGTCTTCATGCATATAAGTTACTCTCAAACATTGAGAAAAAATAGTAGGTGTATGTATATTATCAATATTTGTGTACTTATCTATGAATATATGTATAGAAAAGTAACATGTGTAAGAGAGAATATGAAAAAAAAATTGTAGTGAATTATTAATAATTGGAAAATCTGGGTGAAGGGTATATTTTATTCTTTAAAAGATTTTAGAAATTTTCCGTAAGTCTCACATTATTCCAAAATGAAAATTTGAAATCATGAAACAATACTTAATGTAATTTGTCATTACAAAAGTGCAAATTTAATCCCAGCTTCTCATGAGGCTGAGGCATGATAATCGTTTGAAGCCAGGAAACGGAGGTTGCAGTGAGCCGGAGATTGCACCACTGCACTCCAGCCTGGGCAATGGAGTGAGACGCTGTCAAAAAAAAAAAAAAAAAAAAGGTAGATAGATGGAAGGTGCAAATTAAATCACAATCAGATAATGCCAGACACATATCCAAATGACTAAAATTTTAAAAGAAAATGACAATACCAAATGACAGTGATTATGCAGAGCACCTAGAACTTTAACAACTCACTAGTGAGAGTGCACAATGTTACTTCCATTGTGGCAGACAGTTTGGCAGTTTTTTATACACACATGCACTAAACATATACCCAAGAAATTCCACTCTTACGTAGTGAAATGAAAATCATGTCTACACACAAAAATGTATGTGAATGTTCAAAATTACTTTATTTTTAACCGCCAAACTGGAAACATTTTGAATGTCTCTGAACTAGAGACTGGATAAACACATCATGGTACTAATATAAAGTACAGTATTATTCAGCAATAAAACCATAGATACTTGCTAAAACATGGATGAATCTCAAATGAATTACACTAAGGAAAAAAAGTCAGATCCAAAAAGCTACATCCTGTATGTACACATTTTTACTACAGTTTTGCAAAGTGAAAACTGTAGGAACAGAAAATAGATCAGTAATTGCCAGAATCTGGGGTGGAGAAAACAGCTGACTGCAAAGGGTCACCAGATAATTTTGGAGACTGATGGATGGAGCTGTTCTTTATCTTCATCATGGAGGTGGGTGTGCAATTGTCAAAACTCAGATAATTGTATTATAAAAAGGATAATTCTCCTGTATATTATACCTTAGTACAAAGAAAGGGCAGAACGCAACAAATTTAAAAACATAAATTATTGACTCAAATGTGCAAGCACTGAGGTTATTTTTTGAGGGCCTGCTACTCATCACTCAACTTCTGAGACAAGGAAGTTATTTCCACTATCTCCTAATGATTTATCACTAATAATACTAATAATAATAGCATTGAATGCAGGAAGATCAGGCATTGCCAGGGAAGGCTTCCTGAGCTGAGTGATAAGGAATAGGCAGTACAAAAGGAATATTTGGGAAAGGTACAGTGGTGACATTACAAGGAAGTTATTTCCACTATCTACTCATGATTTCCACTATCTACTAATGATTTATCTCTCCTTGCAGTTTAGCAGGCTTCTGGAGGCACTGAGACCTGATATAACACAAGGTTGAGACACCACTCTCTTGTGTAATGCAGTGCATGGAGCCCAAGGAGAAAACGCAAAGAGAAAATTAACACAACAAAGTTACTAGTTAGGTCAATCATCCAAATACATTCTCCATTTAACGGAACTAGACCATTAGAGAATGCACCCAAATATTAAATAAGTCAGTGTCTGGGAGACAGCTGCTAAAACAATTCCTTAGAATGGGGAGAGAGGATGCATCAGGTATTTATGGAGTTCTCTCTTTTTAAAAAATCTTTATTTATTTGTTTGGCTGAGGAAGAATAAGCCATTTAAAGTATTTCTCCTTGAAATGAAAAAAAAAAAAAAAAGAAACTTTCTCTGTGAAAGATACCAATCTCACTATGGAGTGTTCTGAGAACACATGATTCCACATCTGTTTCTCCAGCTTTTACTTTTTCTGGTGGATCAGATACTAGAGCTCCCTGAGGAATGATGTCATATTCAGCACTGCTTTGCCATCCAGAATTATCCAGGCAGATCACAGAGATGCAGGATAAAAAAGAAAAATTTCCCTTGAATTGGTTTAAGCCAAAAGTGTGGAAAGGAAAGTGGTAGAAAATAGACAGCTGGATTTTGAGGAAGTCCCCTAACCACTTTGATCATCTTAAAGGATGCCACATGGGAGTTCTCCAGCAGCCTACATTCTCAGTAAGGGCAGTGGTATTGGAAGGTTCACAGCAGTGTATGAAACATCTACATATAAGCGCAATGCTTCCGTATGTGGTATACAATTACAATTGTAGCCATCAAACCAAGAAAAATAGACAAAGTTTCTATAACTTGGAAGTAGAAAAATTATTTTCTTTCTGAGACAAGCAAAGGCAAAATCTGATACACTGACTGTTTAGGATTTGGCCTTGTGAGAAAACATTTGTTATAAATTGTATATAGAATTGAAAACCTGCGGCAGCTCTTTCACTGAATTTTGTGGCCTCAGGTACTGGCAGATAAGGAGACATGGCATAGAATTGTGCTATCAATATTTGACAATTTTCTGGCCTTACCTTTTAACGTGGCTTTCAGCCTGTTTGGGGTTCTATCAAATTTTGATCCTTCTTTCCATGTTGAGTTGATTTTTTTTTTCACACACTACACTGCCTTATAATAAATGGGACAGAATAACGGGTCGGTCACCTTGCCAAAGAAAAGATTGCAGAGTAATGCGACTTTCTGACATTTAGCAATTCTGATGTAGCATTGATTCATTGATTATTTTTGTCAGTAAAATAGTTAATAAATGTTATTACTAGGTTATTAATGGCCCTGCAAAGGTATTGTAAAATTTGTTAAACTATGGTATAGGAACTTATTAAATGTATTTATTATTGAATGTATTTTTGAATTTATTTACTATTATAAGTATATAATTCTTAAAAATTTGTAGAAAGCAGTTAAAATTACTTTTTTCCAATTGAGATAGTTATCATTGCTGAAACAAAAGCCTAAGTGTGCTAGAATAAGCACTTACATCTTTCTTCAATTTTCAGTATTTTAGAATTAAAAGAGAAAGTGGGGAGAGAGAGAAACACATCAAAATTTCCTGATATGCATAAAAGTACCTTACATTAGCAGAGGGGAGAGAGAGAAACACATCAAAATTTTCTGATATGCATAAAAGTACCTTACATTAGCAGAGAGGTAAAGCAGTTCGCTTATTATTACAGAACAAATCATTGACATAACTAGGAACACTCTCCTGACTTTAATTCAAATAATTTAAAACATCCTGCCTTACCCTATATTCCTAAAGCAAATACTAAAACATTACAAGAAATAATAGCTTTGAATTTAATTAGAAGTATTTTTGTCACCTAATATTTTCTTCAAACAAAAAACTAGTAAAACAACAAAGAACCTTATCTATTTTCAGAGTGGCTGAGAAATTCCTGTATGTTTTCTGATGAATGTGTTTATAGAAGTCTCAGAGAAGGGATGAAATTAACAAAAGACATATTTACAAAAGATTAACTTTTGCAAATCATGTTACTTCCTAAGAATAGAGCTTTCCTGCCAGACTTCAGCATCATACATTGGTACATGTCTTTTTTGTTTTGGATTTACAATGATTCTCCTCACACAGAATTAAAGCAATAAAGAGCTTAAGAAAAAGTTTTCATTCCATATCAACTCTCAATTTACTGAACCATCCACTAAGACACTGCCCTGGGTACTTATATATGTATTATCTGATAAAAACTTCATAATACTTCTATGCATTCATTCAATAAATCATCAACACTTGATTAAGAACTACCCTGGCACTGTCCAAGGTACTATGGGCACAGAGATTAAGTTATTTTAGCTTTCAGGAAATAGTATTCTTGAGAGGGAGTCAGACAAGGAAACTAGCTATTTCAAAAGAGTAAGATAATACTCTGTAGGAGAAGAAAGCTGAGGATTGTGCCAGGGCAAGCAAGAATAGCACTGAAGCAAGATGCAGGAAGATCAGGGGTTGCCAGGGAAGGCTTCCTGAGCTGAGTGAAAAGGAATAGGCAGTAGAAAAGGAATATTTGGGAAAGGGGCAGTGGTAACATTACTAAAGTCAAACAATCCAGAAAGGTATTTTTATACTCACTTTTCATTTACGTGAGCTGAAGCTCAGGGGAGTGAATAACTTTCCCAAGGTTACACAGTGGCTATGTGTTAAAGGCTAGCAGATTTATATACTATCTTAAGTATGAAATTTGCTGCCATTAATCAGTAATTCTGGCTGTTTTTGTTTCAGTATGTTTATTTTACATCTACTAAATTTCTGAGTAGAGACATATTTTTCAACATTCTTCTTATAACATTTCATCATCTATACTATCTTGTTCCCTTCTGCCTTCTATGGACCAGTGAGAAGAGAAATAAAGACTGGAGCAGTGCATTATCTCAGTGTTTGAATTCTAAATGAAGGAGTGGAACATCACGTTCCCAGGGGATGCTGTACATACAGCCAAGAGCAAGACCTGCATTGAACATTTCCAAAAATAATTGGAAGCACACATGTTTTTAGGAGTAAATACCCAAAAATGTTGGTTAAAGTGCTTCCTTTCAAAGCGGAAGTCTCATGTTGTCTTTCCAAACACCTACTCTACCTTTTCTGAATCATCTTTCCCAGAAAACATCAACATCTTCCTTCTGGTCTTCCTAATTCGGCCATGAAAATAGCCAGTGTAACTTCAGAGGGTCACTAAGACTCATTCTTCCCTGGTATCAACGCATGTGAATGTGCATATACACACACACACACTCTCTCTCTCTCTCTCTTTCACACACACACACACACACACACACACACACACACACACACCCCTTTTCCCTAGGTTTTTACCCTACGTGGCATAAAAATGAAATTGGTGCTTCAGACTACAAAGATCTGTATGATCTGGTCCCTGCCTCCTACTCCAACCTCACCTCAGACTCACTTCTTAGTTTCTCAGCTGTGCCAAGCTTTTATCTGCCTCGGGGCTTTTTGAAATGTTGCTTCTTTTAGTTCCTGACATAGCTGACTCCTACTCATTCTTTAAGCATCAGCTCATATCCTCAGAGAAGTCTTACCTAACTGCTCCGGTCTTAATTAAGTTATCTCTCTTATTCTATTTCAAATAATACTTCTTTTTTCTTAGAACCTTATACATTATACATTTTTTTGGTGGCTTATTATTTTAAATGCATATGTTTCACATAAACTTATTGAGGACAGGAAGTGTGACTTATGGATTCAGCACCCAGGCCAGGCTATATAATCTGTGACGTCCAGTGGAAAGCAAAGTATGAATCCCTTATGCAAAGTTGTAAGAATTTCAAGATGGGAATGGCAGAGTATTGAACCAAGCAAAGCTGGCTTCTGGGAACAGGACTGCCCAGGTCATGCACACACATGAAGCTGGCCCTGTTACCATTTGATACTCAATATCTATCTTAACATCTGGGAAAGGAGTACTCAATAAATACTTATTTACCATAATGAATAAATTACTAGGAAATGAATTATAGTGATATAGATTCATACTTGTATGAGAATAATTCAGCATATTCCTGAGGAACACATTTTGAGAAGAATGGAGAAAGAATATAAGGCACGGTGAAACAATAGGAAAAGAGAATAAAATAGAGAAAGTCAGAGGCAGAAATTTTTCCCTTCAAAAATTTCTTCAAAAAGTATTTTTCATATATTAAAAAGCTTTTTAAAAAAACTTTTGAAAAGTGAAGAATCTGACCCTTTAGGAAGAAAGAAAATTAACATTTTGAATATATAAAATATTCTATACACAGGATGCTTTCAAATACATTATTTCATTTTAACCTTCCCAACAATTGTGAGAAACATATTTTATTCTTCGTGACCTATATTTAAGAAAACTATAGCTCAGAGACGGAAGAAAATATACTTAGTTTCCTAAAGCGAGTTATTTTGTGAGCTGGAATGAATTTTTGTACGTAGGACAATACCTTCCTGACCTATGCCTAAAGGCAGTTCACATTATGAAGTGTCTTCCTTGAAATTTTCCAGGTCTAGCTTTGGTAATTTGGAATGGCTGAGGCCAGCAGTGCCATCTAGGTAGAACATCATGAGCCTGGGACACACATGGACCTCCAGACCCAGTCTCTCCCATTTGAGGTTCCCTTTGATCTTCTATGTCCACCTATATCTGCAGGATCAATCAGCTATAAGAAGTCAAAATTTTAAAAATGACAAAGTGATCAAGATCCAACACAGTGCTGAAGTCTTTTGATCCAGAAATCATTTCCCTTGGAATATAATCTAAGAAAATGATTCAAGAATGGAAAATAAAGCAAGATGTTCTGTTCATTGTAACATAACCTATAAATGTAAGGGGAAACATTTTATCAATTTTATTGTCCATTATGATTGAATGTAAATTGACTTCGAGTGAGAAATTCAGGTGAATAAAACTTATAGAAAGAAAATTTTGAAAATTATAATACATTAAGCTCTAAAAGAACAGTACTTCCCAAATTGTAGTCTAAAATCTTCTTATTTCAAAAGCACCTGCTGGTTACATGTGCAGGTCCCTACCCAACTGTCAACCTCTAGTCGCTGAATTTGCTTAAGACTCCCCGTGTTGTAAACAGTTCTTCCTCACCAGTATGCATTTTGACTACAGTGTTTCTTCTGGTTTACAGCGACAAAGATGAGAGGAATGGTGGTAAACATTCCGTTACCCTGTTCATCCTCTGCCACAGGAATTCAAGGTGATCACCTCACCCACTCTGTAGGCTCCAAGCCACATATCTGTCAGCATTGTTGGAATAGCCACACTTGCCTTCCCTACAATGCCAACTGATTCTTTTATTAGTGTTCTCTATTGCCTCTAATCAATACTATCAGGAGTGCTCTTCTCGGTTAGTCTTATGTCATGTCAAATACACATCAGACAATCCTTGCGCAAATAAGGCAACTCTTCCTACTCTTCCAGGGGACTCTTGCCTATCTTCCCAACTGGTGTTAGTTTGTGAAAGGCAGGGATAAGACAAACATTTAAAAAGACCACATTCTATATAGGAAAACAGTAAATAAAGAGCTCACGAAAAGATACAATCGAAGGATTTCTCTATGTTCATACTAGTATGAATGATATGTTTAATATGACAAGAAAACTAATTATTATTCACATGTACTACATACTCTCAGTATGACTTGCATTTGTGGTCAACATTGGTGAGGCCCAGTAGCAATTCTTGAAAGAGTCAATGGAAGCCAGTATTCACAGGTGGCATTGTGAATGATAAATAGGTTGGATGATGGTTGGATGATGCAGCATTATGAATAAACCCTGCATTAAATAAGTGGAATTAGGGAACTAGATAGGCAAGTTGTTCTATGTTTTTTTAGGCAAGTAGATTTTGAAGAGCTATGACATTGTGAGTAATAATAGCATTACGTTTTCCTCACGGTAGAAAATATAAAATCAGCAAGAGATGGCACATTTAACAGTAAAATACACAGAGAGATGGCTTCTAGTCCTGAAGAGGAAAAGAAGGTGCCTGGACACTATGAGTAATCTTCAAGTGCATTGATTAGACAATAAAACAATATATGAGTACCCTTTCTCTACACGTTTATGATTTGATCTTCATTGATAAATCACTGTATCTTAACTGGGCCCATACATCGTGTATTATAATTTAAAATCAAATTGTTTGTATTGACAGAAAGAGTCCCCCGCTACACACACACACACACACACACACACACACACACACACAATGATTCAGGAGGTTTAAATCCACCTTTTCTCTATAGGCAACCATACTTATACTCCAAAATAATTGGAAAAAGCAACCAATGCGGCAAAAGAGAAGATAATGCATTTGATTTTTGCATGCCCAGGGAAGCATATGTTCTCAGTGTAAAAGGAGAAAATCAAGCACAATATTTATTGACCAATAAAGGTAAGCTTTTTTTGTGAGGGAAACTGAATTATCTTTTACCAGCAAACTGTGTTTAATATCACAGAAGATAAATCTTAGGCTTAAAAATAGGAGGCAGGCTGCATAGATGCACCCAACCGTGTGGATAATTACAACAGAGAGTTATACCTTAACCTGGTAGCTTGGACCAATGCTTCACAGAAAGTTAAAAGAAGCAGAGTTTCTGCTTGGAAGTTTGTTCTCTGGGTCAAGTGGTATTTGATTATTAGGTCTCACTAGCTGCTGAATAGCGTTACAGAAGCCACTATTTAGTGATGTGGTGTTAAATTTATTCTTCCAGTATCGTTATATGGCTATGCACAAGTTATGTATCACCTTTGAGCTTCAATGAAGTGATGAGTGAGCTGATGCCTGGAGAACTGGGGAGTAATCATCCAGGCAGAGAATGAGGGTGTGGTTGGCCTAGAGAAAAACTTTAACTTTCTCAAGAGAAGAAAGCATATGCTCTTTTGGAAGGAATGAAAGCATGTATATTTGTTTCAGTGTACTTGAGGGTATGACAAGAGAGAAGCTAGGGCTCATCTGCCAAATGCAGACAGTAGCAGCGCTAGTAGATCTGAATCGTGGCATATAGTCTTGTGCTAGTGCTTATTAGGCACTGAAGACTTTTATATCCAGACACTTAAAAAATCTTTGAAGTCATACTTCTTAAGTGCTCTGAAAATAGGAGCATAAGAAAACCCAGGTGGTAAAATACTTAGTCACAGATATTATTTTGGATTCTTCCCCCATTCTAAAATCCCAGAGAAATCCAGAGGCTTATTTGATGCCTGAAAATCTGGTGCAGAATTGATCAAAATACTATTTAAAAGGTTTTCTTTAATTCCAATAGTATCTGTTTACTGTTCTGAGCCAAACTGAGCCTAGATATCTTTGGATATCTTTCAGAGACTCCCAAGTTCTCCATAGTCCATCCATCTGAATTCCTGTGGGAAAACAGCACTGATAGACAACTGCAGCTATCTTTCTAACACCTATCCTCTTCCCCCTTAAAGTGGGAGCCTTTTTACTCCTCAGACCACCTAGGCCTTCATATTTCTGAGCCTCAGAGCTCCTTCTCTGACACTTCTACTCTTTTTGAAAGAAGATATTATGATCTAATCCACAAGACCCAACGCTTTAATTGCCCTCAAAGGTGGAAAGTAAGGGGACAGAGAAAAAAATGTAGCTTAATTCATCTTATGTTTCTAAAGCAGGAAAAACAAAGCACAGGATAGAATTGGAGATCATTATGTTAAGTGAAATAGGCCAGGCATAGAAAGACAAACATCACATGCTCTCACTTATTTATGGGATTTATAAACAAAAACAATTGAACTCATGGAGATAGAGAGTAGAAGGATGGTTACCATAGGCTGGGAAGGGGAGTGGAGAGTTGCGGGGGAGGGGGAAATGTCTAATGGGTACAAAAAACAGAAATAATGAATAAGATCTAGTATTTGATAGCACAACAGGGTAACTATAATCAATAATAAATTAATTGTACATTTCTAAATAACTAAAAGAGTACAAGTTAACATCTATTTTTAAAGTACTAGAAAACTATCAGATAATTGCCATCTCCAGCCGCCTCATCCCTAATATTCATTCAAATACCAGCTCTTGCAAAATCCACTCCCTCAGTGTGTTCCACCTCGTCCCACCTCCTTCCAGCTTCCTTGCCAACACCCAAGGCCAGGTTGTCATCTGCCCTCAGGTGAATAACTTCCACAGCCTGGCAAATGGTCTCCTCCACTGCTGCTCTTCTGGGATCCTGTCTCCATATCACAATGAAAGCCATTTTTCCACTGCACATGTTCACCCCACTGCTAAAAATCATCTGCCCCTTATCCTTCAGATGAAGTCCAATTGCCTTTTCTTGATGCAAGTCTACAATTCTCCCCCTGGCTTCTCTCCTGTCATTCCCTCAAGTACATTCAAACCAATATACATGCTTTCATTCCTTCCAAAAGAGCATATCCTCTCTTCTCTTGAGAAAGTTAAAGTTGTTCTCTAGGCCAACCACACCCTCATTCTCTGCCTGGATAATTACTTCCCAGTTCTCCAGGCATCAGCTCACTCATCACTTCATCGAAGAGAATTCTTCTGGAATGGTCAGTGGGATGTGTGTCATGCCAGTCGTTCTGTAATGCTACATATTCTTTTCACACTTCATAATTATTTGTTTGTTGCCAATCTTCATTAGAGTGTAAATGTTATAAAGAAAGGGACCATTCTGTCTTGTTTGCTTAGTCTAGTCCCTAATGTCGTGAGTGTTGAATGAACATCCATTAGATGAACGCATGAAGGAACAAGTAGTGGAATGCCTGATAGCCTAATTATGACCTTGCAGGTGTTACGAGCAATATTCAAATTTAAATCTATTTTAACTTGCTTATTTCTTTCAATTGTGCTCAATTTCTGAGCTAAACTACCACATAAAGGCTTCAATTTTCAGTCAAGAAAAAACAAAACACACTTACATATGTTCCATAGTATTTTTAAATTTATTTTGAATTAATTGTGGAGTAAGTATTTCTTCAACCAGTGACCCTATTTGACCCTATGACTCTCTGTGTCAAAAAAATTGAATATAAAACTGGAGACCTATAAGCAGCCTGTTTGTATGGAAATAATGCCATTGATCAGACAATGCAAACAGGGGAAAACATCTGGAATAAGTTTGTTATTAGCAACCTGAGAAACCAAATTCAAAAAAGTGACTTACGATTATGGAGTTAATACAGTGCCCAAGCGTGTTGTTGTTGTTGAGACGTAGATTCTCTCTTGTCATCAGGCAGGAGTCAATGGCGCGGTCTCAGCTCACTGCAACCTCTGCCTCCCGGGTACAAGCGATTCTCCTGCCTCAGCCTCCCGAATAGCTGGGATTACAGGTATCTGCCACCACGCCTGGTTAACTGCAAGACTTTTGATCTGGCAATCCTTCTCCTTGAGATGTAACCTAAAGTAATTATTCAGTTGTGAAAAATAAAGCAGTATTTCCTGTTCATTGCAACATTAGCTATAAGTATAAGGGAAATATTTTATCAATTTAATTTTCCACCATGATTGTGCAGGACTTTTAATATGAATTGACTGATTTAGCAAGAACTTCAAGTGAATTAAAATTATGAAATTAAATCAATAAATTATAACAAAGTAAGCAGTAAGAGTGCTTCCCAAAATGTCATCTGCAGACCTCTTATTTCAGAAGCACTTTGTTAAATTGTAATAAAATAAGCATTAAAATAAGAATGCCTCACAGAATGTCATCTGCAGACCTCCTATTTCAGAAGTACCTGTTTGTTAAATATGCAAATTCTTGGATCCTAATCCACAACTATTGAAACAGAATCTCTAGAGGTGGAAATTTAGAAATATGCTTTTCTAAATGTGTAACACATTATCCTTAATATGTAATTTTATGTAAAAAATAAAACAACTATTTTAGAATAATGTGAACACAAATACCATAGAAAACACATCAAATGAAATACTTTTGGCTCTAGTCTTCACAAATGTATGAATGGAATTAACAATCTTTATATTTTTAATCTAATCTGTAGCAAGCCTAGACCAAAATATCCTGAAATTGAGAATCAGAAAATATGGGTCCTACTCAACACTTAATCACTTACATTTAAAGTGTTTACTTAATCTCTGAGACCCAGGAGCCACAGGTGCAAAATAGAGGAAATAAACTCACCTCACCTGTCATGAGATGATGTATAAGAAATTCATAGGTTGTGATAGGACGGAGGAACCACAGGCTCTCAGGTCAGATAGACCTGTGCTTGGGTACTAGCTCTGTCATTTAATAGCTATGTGATTTTGCATAAATAACTACATATTTTCTCACTCTGTTTATTCATCTATAAGATAGATTCAATAATATCTACTTTACAAACCTATAGAATAATGATATGAGACAATGTGAGTAAAGCTACTTGTTGGATGCTAGTTATCATCTCTCTGAAAACAAAAGGAACTTTATCCTCAGCCTTGCCACTACCTAGGTTAGATTCAAACATAAAAACAAAAGGTTCAGATTTATTTTACACTAATGATCCTAGGTTTCCCAATTACATAATATTAGACATTCATTTTGATTACCTATCTCCCAAATTTTAAAGCCTGTAAAGGAGAAAATGATCAGCCCAGCACAGTGGCTCACGCCTATAATGCCAGCACTTTGGGAGGCCGAGGCGGGCGGATCACGAGGTCAGGAGTTTGAGACCAGCCTGACCAACATGGTGAAACCCCGTCTCTACTAAAAATACAAAAAATTAGTTGGACGTGGTGGCAAGTGCCTGTAAGCCCAGCTACTCAGGAGGCTGAGGCAGAAGAATCGTTGTTTGGACCCGGGAGGCGGGAGTTGCAGTAAGCTGAGATCGCGCCATTGCACTCCAGCCTGGGCGACAAGAACAAAACCGTGTCTCAAAAAGAAAACAGAAAAAGAAGAAAATGATCTTTATTTTTTCCCTTGATGTTCACTTATTTTCAAATTCTTTCTATAGTGACTTTCCCTTTGAAAAGCCTGCATCATGACTTTCTTTAAAAAAGTATGTCATTAACAAAATATGTCTTTCATAGGATATTCTTAAGCTAAATTTATTTTAACTACTCTACCTGGCAGGAAGTTGTGCTCTAATTTGAAATTAGATGACAAACAGCAAGGGCATAGCACCTGTGGGCATGCCTTCCAAATAATAATTGTGAATCCTAACTGATCAAAAGCAAAGCAACAGAGAGTATGGCCATAATATCACCTATCTATACTTTCCTTCCTTCATGCAAAAACTCTTGGTTTGTCCACTGTTCAAGTGGAGCATGACTAAAACCCTATCACACAGTTAATAAGACATTCATTGCAGAACTCTTCAGCAGACTGCTTCTCATTCCCACTGTTTTTATTTTATTTTATTTTATTTTATTTTATTTTATTTTATTTTATTTTATTTTATTTTATTTTATTTTTGAGGAGGAGTCTCACTCTGTCGCCCAGTCTGGAGTGCAGTGGTGCGATCTCAGCTCACTGCAAGCTCCACCTCCCAGGTTCACACCATTCTCCTGCCTCAGCCTCCTAAGTAGCTGGGACTACAGGCGCCCACCACCACGCCTGGCTAATTTTTTGTATTTTTTAGTAGAGATGGGGTTTCACCATGTTACCCAGGATGGTCTCAATCTCCTGACCTCGTGATCTGCCCACCTCGGCCTCCCAAAGTGGTGGGATTACAGGCGTGAGCCACCGTGCCCAGCCCGTACCCACTGTTTTTAAACAAACCATATAAGAAAAGCCTTTACATCCTCAAGGTGATTCCCCAAGAGGCTACAAAGAGAAGGACCACCTTTTGTTCACATGGACTTTGAAATGTCACCTAGAAACTGAAAATGTTCAGAGAGGGAACAAAATCTACCCAAGATCAAACAAATCTTTTCAAAAGACTTGCAGCTCATATGTTTCATTCCTTTAATGTGTCGATTTAACAAATACTTTTCAGTGTCCATATGTCTACATTGAGCAAGACAGAGTCCCTCTTGTAAAACTTATACTCTAGAGAATTCTTTTTTGTGCACTGATCTCTACTTTGAAGAAAATATATAGGATGTCATCACAGAGAGTAAAATGAACAGGTAGGATAATATCTCAGAATGGCTGATCAGGAAAAGTTTGCTGGAAAAAAACTCTGCTTGAGCTGAAACCCAAATTTTGAGGAAAGAAAAATAGCTATGTAAGGATCTAAAGAAAAAAACATCCCGAGCAGCAGGGAACTCAACTGCAAAGGTTCTGAGGCAGGAATAGAATGGAGACTAATGTGAAGGGGGAGTGGGGTAACAGAGATCACAAAAATACCACTGCTCCAAAAGAATATAAGCCTTCATTCATTGCTGGTGGAAATGCAAAATAATGCAGCCACTTTGGAACACAGTTTGCCACTTTCTTCAAAAACTAAACAGACTCTTACCACATGATTCATCAATCATACTGCTTGATGCTTACCCAAAAGACATAAAAAGTATGTCTACACAAAAACTTGCTCATGGATGTGTATATCAACTTAATTCATAATTGCCAAACTCAGAAGCATCAGGAGGCCTTTCAGTAGGTGAATGGATAAATAAACTGGTGTGGGTGAAATATTATTCAGCACTAAAAAAGAAACAAGCTATCAAGCCATGACAAGACATGAAGAAAATTTAAGTGCATATATTATTAAGTGAAAGAAGCCAATATGAAAAGGCTGCATGTCATATAATTCCCACTATATGAGATCCCAGAAAATGCAAAACTATGGAGACAATAGAAAGGTGAGTTGTTGCCAAAGGTTGGAGGAGAGGGAGGAATGAATAGGCAGAGCATAGAAGATTTTGAGGGCAATGAAATCATTCTGTATGACACTACAGTGGTAGATACATGTCATTTATACATTTGTTAAAACCCATAGAATGTGCAGCACCAAGACTGAACTTTAATGTAAGCTATGGACCTTGGATGTAATGATGTGTCAATGTAGGTTCATCAGTTGTAACCAATGTACCACTCTGGTGCAGGATGTTGGTGGTAGGAGGACTGTGTCTATGTGGTAGAAGTTTGAGGGGCATGTGTGTCAGGAGATACATAAGAATTAATTGCATTTTTCACTTAACTTTCCTTTGAATCTAAAAATGCTCTAAAAATAAAGGCTATTAAAAGGGAAAATATTTAAGAGCACACGGTTGATAATGCTAATGTTGTCATCCCCACCTAGGGTGATATGAGCTGCCTAAATCACACAGTTGGGAAGTGTTTAGCTGGAATTAGAGCTAAAGGCCTTTGACTTCTGAACCACTTCTGTTTCTAAAAAGAAAATAATCTATGCCAGAAAATTAATGGTATTTTCTAGTTAGAGGAAGATTCTCATTCCCTACTGAACTATTCAAGAGGTCATGAGCGGTAATAGATTAATAACTTAACATTCTTGTTGTCACAGAAACATGGAAAATCTGGAAGCCAGAGTTAATTTTAAAAAGAGGGAAGACAATGGGATTATTGCAGAGATTTAAAATCCTATCTCATTTTGTTTTCATATAAAAAAGGAGAGCTATATTTCCCATCCTGCTTTGTAGTTTAGTGGGACCATGTGACTAACAGCATGAAATAAGGAAGTCAGACATGCTACTTACAGATCGTGGTGCTTAAAACTTATTTTGTAAAATATCAGGCTCTTTCTCTTCTTTTGACTATTGCAAAATGGATTTATCTCTGAGATATTTTAAACACTAAGTTAACATCTGCCTTAATTTTGCAGATAAGATCACTAGCTGTCATTATATATCATCAGTATTTAATCCTGTAGAAATCTCTGAAGCCCTAGTAGATTAGCAAAGCCATTATATGGAAGATACCTGGACCTCTAAATCACAGTGAGAAAATCCACCCACTAAATCCCTCATCAGACTATGATATGAATGAATATTAAAACTTAATGGCCAGCTGGGCGCGGTAGCTCACACCTGTAATCCCAGCACTTTGGGAGGCAGAGGCGGGTGGATCACGAGGTCAGGAGATCGACACCAGTCTAGCTAACATGGTGAAACCCCATCTCTACTAAAAATACAAAAAATTAGCCGAGTGTGGTGGTGGGCACCTGTAGTCCCAGCTACTTGGGAGGCTGAGGCAGGAGAATGGCAAGAACCCGGGAGGCAGAGCTTGCAGTGAGCCGAGATCAGGCCACTGCACTCCAGACTGGGTGACATAGTGAGACTCCATCTTAAAAAAAAAACAACAAAAAAAGACTTAATAAGGTAAACCGTGGAGATCTTGGGTTTTGTTAGAGCATTAGAGCAGTTAGCTTATCACAAAAGGATGTTGGTTTACTGTATATCTTGCTGACTGCAAATTAAAAGATGCCGATTTGGGTTTTCTGCTGGATGGTCCACCGTGTATTTATTTTTCATTTGAATTATTAGGCTAGCTAAGGTGACACATAGATTTCTTTAAATGGATTATATAATTCAGTGCTTACTACTGAGCTTTCACATAAATATGCAAGACATGTATTCACCATCCTTGCTTTGCTATAAAGAAATACCTGAGACTGGGTAATTTATTAAAAAAAAAAAAAAGAGGTTTAATTGACTCACAGTTCTGCAGCCTGTACAGGAAGCTCAGAACCAGAATCTGCTCTGGGGAGGCCTCAGAAAGCTTCCAATGACGGTGGAAGGCAAAGAGGGAGCAGGTGTCTCACATGGCAGGAGCAGGAGGAAGAAAGATTGGAGTGGGGAGGTGTCACACACTTAAAGAACCAGATCTTGCTAGTAGTACCCACTCACTACTGCAAGTACAGCACCATGCGATGAGAGATTCGCCCCCACGACCAAAACACCTCCTTTCTGGCCCCACCTCCAACACTGGGGATTACATTTCAACATGAGATTTCAGCAGGGACATCCAAATATATCAACTTAACATTGAACTAAATAGAACTCATTGAATTAAATGTGTGAGAAATTTGCCCGAGCTCTTGAGGGCCATGTGGAAAGTGAAAGCACAGACGTAGGATTTAGTTTCAACATTGCCCTCTTTGACTTTGTATGAATTAGTAACTTCACAGGGTGGAACTGTACTAATGCAGCAATGAGACTTGTAGCTCTAAAACAAATATATGATGGAAATCCAAGCATCCTTTATTCTGCTCTAAAAACCTTCATTTCCTTCAGTTTGCCAATACTTCTAAAAATACTTTGCATTCAAATTTTAAACCACTCTAAGTAAGTATTATTTCCATCTTGTGTCTGAGCCAAATCATATGCCATAGACATCAGTTTGCCTCTTTGGGTCACGGTTACTTCATTATCATAGTAAATGCAGAAGGCTCTTTCTCTCACTAGCTTCTCCTGAGATTTATTACAGGAGGTATTTTTTAGAACAAGTCCCTTAACATCTGCCTAAATTTAGTAGATGTGATCATTAGCAGTCATTATATCTAATCAACATCTCATCCTCATTAAAATAATACATTAATAGGATGAAATGGAAGTAAAAACATAAAAATGTGGA
This sequence comes from Homo sapiens, assembly GCF_000001405.40. Classification (NCBI taxonomy): domain Eukaryota; kingdom Metazoa; phylum Chordata; class Mammalia; order Primates; family Hominidae; genus Homo; species Homo sapiens. The sequence continues at coordinate 82,106,286 of NC_000011.10, forward strand.
ATATTCATTTGCCTTGAATAAACATTCAGCAGCAGAAAATTTGCAGACTTTTAAAACCTGACTCTAAAAAAATACATACCCTGTGAGTTTTAAGCCCTGCCCTGAGTTTTTCATTAGTAGCCTTTACCTTCCACAACAAATGGGTGCATTGAGTCCCAACTGAAACACAATCACACAGTATGCATCCAGCTATTCATGTGTGGAATTAAATTGCATTAAACTGTTTGTTCTAGGTCAAGCAAATTAATATTCTGTGATATAATTATTATTAATTAATGGATAAAATTAATTAATGGATAAAAATTAATGGATAAAATTAATTATTTCAGCCTTGAACTGCTTATACTTTATTCCTAGTGACTTCTATATGGGGAAATTAGCTAATTTATTGCTGTTCAGTCAATATTTTCAAGAGTACAATTCACCCCAGTTCCTAGGATCTATGTATTGCTTGGCTTGTGTAATGCTTTGTTATACGTAGATAACAACTCCCAATATCTCAACAACTTGAATATCCTGAAATTTGCAATTGACACTGAGATTGTCTTACTGATGTTTATGACATTTCTTCATCAATGCCGTAGGTGGAAATGAACATATAACATAAATACTTGCAGAAATCATCACTTTGCCCCATTTCTTCCCAATATTATGTAACACCTGACTTGTAAGCTCAAAAAAAGTATATCTCACCCTCATCACCACTGCATGTGGGTGTCCCTTTTCCCCATTCTTCTTTCTCAGAATCTTTCTTCAAGTTCCTTCTACACAGCCCCCATTCTACTTACATTTTATTTTACAAACTATATTTATTTTCTCAGGTCTTCTATAAATGCCTCTGCCTTGCATCTTTTAAAGGAGGACGCTATCATACATGGTATTTTTCCAGTTATAGAAAGGTTAAGAAAAGATCAGACTTCTATGAGGTTGTAAAATGCAGACTCCTCTGCCCAAGTTCCACTAAAAATTACGTGTTAACTACAAGGGAAGTGGTCTTAATTTTGGCCATATACAATTTAAAAGTACTTTATTCACCTACACTTTCACATAACTGAAACTTTCATTTAAATTTAATGATTTTAGTGCCATTAAATCATTGTTTTAAACATTCAGTGGAAAATGTTTCTGAAATGAATTTCAAAAATCCTGATATTACTATGCAGGGATGTGGGATACAGTAAGAATCAAACACATTGACACTTATGACCACAAATTAATACCCAATCTCCTAAACATGCTAAGCATCAATCTTTTCATCAATTAAATAAAGAAATTGGAGTAAAATGCTCTTTAGAGCCTCTTAAGATTTAAAATTAGCAAATGCTGACCATGAGTTTACCTTTCATCAATGTCACAGACACATTATAAAGACATATTTTTGGAACCGTACTTGCTGCATCTCCCTGATTGTAACACTGGGTGGATGGAAGAAGAATCTGGTCCCCCGGCCATAAGTAAACAAGCCTTTCAGAATTATGTTGAAGGTAAGAACAGATAAACTGTGAATTTAGGAAATTAATGTGTGAATTTTAGGGTCTTTGTAACCCATTTGGAACTTGTTTTGAAATAGTTATTTGGTAACGAGGCAGAGCCCATTAGCTTTTGCTTCTTAAAAGTCACCCCCAAACTTAGTGGCTAAAGTAACAATAAATTCTTATTTTTCACAAGTCTGAGAATTCGCTGAAAGGTTATTCTGATCTGGACTAGTTCATTTGGTGCTGTTTGGTCCTGCATAACTTCATTCCCAAGTCTGGGACCTCAGCCAGTAAAGTCTGTTTGACTGGTATAGCTGAGGTTACTTTCTCACACAGCCTCTTCTCTAGCTTCTAGTTTCCCTACATGAAGATGGGATGGTTATAAAAAAGATAAGACTAATGCATAAAACACTTCTTAGACCTCTGGTTGTTTCACATTTGCTTCTGATCCATTGCACCAGATCAGGCCATGTGAACAGGACCGGATTCAAGGAGTGGAGAAAGTGATTTGATCTAATTTTTTATGTGTATAAATTTATGGGACCCAGGGTAATTTTGTTACATGCATAGATTATGTAGCGGTAAAGTCAAGGCTATTAGAGTATCCATTACCCTAATTATGTATGTTGTACTCATTAAGTAATTTCTCATGACCCATCCCCTTCCTACCCCCTCAACCACCTGAGTCTTCATCGCCTATCATTCCATACTCTGTGTCTTTATGTACACATTATTCAGCTCCCACATTAAGTTAGAACATGCAATATTTATCTTTGCATCTGACTTGTTTAAATAATGGTCAATGTTGCAGATGATGGCCCATGTTACATTAAGATAAGGGTCATTGTTCCACCCATGTTGCAGCAAAAGACATGATTTCATTCATTTTATGACTGAATGGTATTTCATTTTGCATATATAATACATTTTCTTTACATAATCGTCCATAAATGTACACAAAGATAATCCATATCTTTGCAATTGTGGACAGTGCTGCAATGAACATACATGTGCAGGTGTCTTTTTGGTAGAATGATTTATTTTTTTGGATATATACCCAGTACTGGGATTGCTAAGTCAAATGGTAGTTTTGTTTTAAGTTATTTGAGAAATCTCCAAACTGCTTTCCATGGTGGCTGAACTAATTTGCATTCCCAACACATAAGCATTTCCTTTTCTTTGCAGCCTCGCCAGCATCTGTTATTTTTTGACTTTTTAATAATGGCCACTCTGTCTGGGGTAAGATGACATTGCATTGTAGTTTTAATTTGTATTTCTCTGATTATTAGGGATGTTGAACATTTCTTCATATACTTGCCAGCTATTTATATGTCTTCTTATGAGAAACATCTATTCATATCCCATGCCCACTTTTCCCCAAAAAGATATGTAGGCATTAAAAAAACCTAGCTCCAAACATCACCTGGCCAGAATTTGTTCACATTCCTCCCACATGCGAAATGTGCTTTTTCCCATTCTAAGACCTAAAAAAGACTTTTCTCATTACTTCATCAGATTGAAATCCAAGGCCTAATCAAAATTAAGTCCAAATGTGGATAAGTCTCCATATTTGCTACCCTTTGAGTATAATTCCTCTCATCCAGAGACTTTAAACTATGAAAGATGAGTTCTATAACACACACCGAATGAGCATACTATGGTGAGGTGGTGCTAGACAACTGACAATAGATACAGTCATTTAAAAAGAAATACATAACACGCCTATATCAATCACTGGTCTATAGAATTTCTGAAATCCACCTGGGCACACATTATAAGATCACTCTGTTCTGTGAGCAGAAAATAATACTTGAGCTGGGCCCAGTTCTGCTTTGTGGCAGTGTCAGTATAGCCCATTGGTCTCCAAGGATTTGAGCTACAGCTTCTAACATTGTATTCCTTCACATAAGAAATGCCCCATGCTTGATGCCAAGTAGCTTTCTTGGCCTGGGTCATTCCATTAGCAACGAAGAGTCCAGACGCCTTCTTTTAATTTGAGATATCTCAGTCCCTTTAAGTCTAAACTACTACTACCCCCTTAAAACTTCATGGGTTTTCTATCTATCAGATTATATTCCACTCCATTAAATGAAAACTAAGCCTAAAATACTTTATGATACACTTGTTTAGACTTGCTTATACTTTTATTGGGGATTAGGCTTGAAATCTTTAGAAATCTTTTCTTTCACTGAAGAATTTCCTATCATTATAAAGCCCTCAAAGTCTTATAGCCACCCATAATCTGATATTCATCCTGAGATTATGTCATCTACAAAAGGATGAAGAAACTGTAGAAGGTACAAGAGAAGCAAGAATGACCATTTTTCTCACGGGCTTATGTATAAGAGAAGCTGAGATATCATGATTACAGGGTAAAGTAATGACTCTGGAACTGAGAAATCTTCTATGAGGGAGAAGTAATTATGCATCATATACAAAATATGCAGTTTCCTCTGATTAAGAGGAACAATTTTTATATGTACATAATGTCAAGTAGACCTTGGCTTATGTTAGAGAGTATGTAGAAATAACTGATTTATTTTGTCATTCATAAGAAATTACCTTGGCCAGGTGTCGTGGCTCATGCCTGTAATCCTAGCAATTCTGGAGGCTGAAGTGAGAGGACTGCTTGAGCCCAGGAGATTGAGGCTGTTCGAGTTGCACTCCAGCACTCCAGCCTGAGAAATAGAGCAGGATTCTGTCTTAAAAAAATTACCATGGCAAGTAGTCTCCTTTTTCATCTAGAAGGATGTCTTTAAATACAACAGACTAAGAGAATGTTATATTTTGTGACTTGAGGACACTGGGAGACAAAGCTGTATTTACCTCCTTCACATGCGCACCAATACATTTCTCCACATTCTCATTAAATATTTAATTGCTTTACCATGGGTTCAATATTTGTATTTAAATTTACGTAACACATCTTAAAAAGTAGCATATCTTAAAATATAATACTAGCATCAGTGGTGACACGACAAATGAGGGTACCCTATTGTTTTGTAATATTTAGAAAATGCAGCTTGATCTTTTTGCCTCAAATTGTGATCTACAAACCAAAAGCATTAGTAAATTAGTAAATTAGTAAAAACATACTCTCTGACTCAAACCCAGATCTACTGAATCAGATTATGTATTTTAACAACATCCTCAGGAGTTTTATGTACATAAAAATTTGAGATACACTATCCTGAATATTGAAAAAAGTAATACCAGATACCTAATATGTAGTACCTGCTTCAGAGGAGTTTATTGTTCAAAGGAGAGACTATGCAAGTAAACCAATAGTTATCTTATTGTGTGATTTGTGAAGGATCAATATTAATTCCTTTATTGAACCCAGGTTTTGGTGGAAGGAAAGTGTGAGAGAAAACAGGGGGAAAATACTATTTAAATTGTTATTCATGCTTATTATGCAGCAAAAGCGGAAGTATGATTACGGGGCTCCCTCTGGGTGTTATGAAAATGTTCTAAAGTTGACTGTTGTGATAACTGCACATCTATGAATACACTGAAAACCACTGAATTGTACCCTTTGGGTGAATTGTATGGTATGTGAATTATATTGCAATAAAACCCATTTTAAAAATGAAAAAAAAGTATGAGAAAGAAAGAATACAGACACAAGTATGTGGATAAGAAAAAGACAGAGAGCTACAAAATCATGCAGCTATTTCTATTAACAAGAGGGAGATTTCATATTGGGGGGAGATATTTATGCATTAAAAACCCTAACAAACTAACGATAAGTCTACTGATCTGCTCCAACTGACCATGAGATGTATGAGGAAAAAAAATGTTTATCTTTGAAATCCAATGAGATCTGTTTTCTTCTTAGTGGCAACTGCTGACAGATAAAGTACATAGGTGAAGATGGAACTAAGGACCTTGAAACAAACAAAGAAAAAATGACATTCCAGCGTTCACTTCACAGAACAAGAAGGCACAAGGTGACCAGAAAAAGCAATACAATGCACTCTGCACAAAGACTTCCTTCCTACTCACCCCTTGTTAAGAATTCTTAGCTCTTCACAGAGAAACTAGGGATTCAAACCAGAATTGACTATCTTGTAGTTCATTGGATGAACACAGGCATAATGCATAAAATGAATAAATTGTAATCATTTCTTCATTCCCAGGGAAGATTCAGTCACTATTAGTATATCCATGATAGGTAGGTAAATAGATAGATAGATAGACAGATAGATAGATAGACAGACATATAATATTCATGCAGCATATAGCTAATACATATCACTATACACTGAAGCGCACTTCTTGAATACTAGAGGCAAGATTCTAATATACATATTAATAGAGAGAAGATTGGTTATACAGTCTCTCTGAAAGATAGAAACTTAGCCAGGATTATTTCATGTAACACCAGATCTTACTGAATTTTCTGGGCAATTTTATGTCATCTGAACCTAGTACTACTCTCACGGGTATCATATTCACAATTCCCAAACAGTTGTTTATCATTTACAAAAATTATGCTCATCACAATTCTTAGGTCATTTTGCCAATGTTATGTAACTCTCTTCCTGAAGCATCTTGTTTTTCTTCTCCCTATATCTCCCCGCATCAGTGGGTGTAGGAAACACAAGCATATGCTTGGAGCACATACTTCAGTACACCACCTACCAACACTGATTCTTTAGAGAGGAAATCAGAATGCATTAAAATGTAGGTTGGCCTATTGCCCAAGACATTTTTTTTGTGCTGTATAAATTCTTTTAAGGACTGGCCATGTGCCAGAACCTATTTCCTTGGCTGGGAAATCTGAGTTTGAAACTGTGTGTGTGTGTGTGTGTGTGTGTGTGTGAGAGAGAGAGAGAGAGAGAGAGAATACATTCATGTAAATAGAGATCTTTTATTTTCCTACTTGTCTTAGCATGACTTTTAGTATAAGTATTTATCTTGACTCTTATGTAAGAAGTCTTACTTATTGTGAGAATGACATCATCTGCGTTTCACCCCCTTTCCCATAACAGATTCCTAAAATAACCTAAGAAAATCATGCATCAGTATATGATATGGATAATATATAGGGTAATGGAGATCTACTCTTATATCCACTTTGTATTTCTGGTATTCAGCTCTTTACATTTGTAATAGAAACTACTGCATTTATCTTACAGGATTGTTCTAAAACTAAATGAAATTGCATATATGAAGAATGGAGCATCATGTCTTTCTCAGACCCTGCACTGAAAAAAATGTTGGTTCCTACTACTGCTCCTTCCTTGCCCAGAGAATGAGGCATTTAAGAGGTACAGGGAAGTTGAAAGAGGGTCTGGAATTTCTTCTGCTGCTGTAGACATAGTGACCCATGAAACTTGGGAGATCCAGGTTCTCTCTATTCATTTGCTTAAGGTAAAGGTTTTGTGTGCCATGTACCACTCTGAGTACTAAAGACACAAGTGTGGAGAAATTCTTTCTCTCTTAGTATATGGTTAAGGTTTCTAAAACCATCATTATTTTGTTAGAGTGTGATACACATCCTTTCACATACCTCACCAAGCATGCTGGGCATTAGTTTCTTGCTAGAATTAAACTCTGTCCCACAACTCAATGTGCTTAGTAGAGACCATGAAACTGCAATCTGATTTTTGTAAGCCTCTTCTTTTAATATCTACACATGGACTACTATATTACAATACACTGAACATTACAGCTTTAACAATAATAAAGTTGAAAATTATATGACAGAATTTGAATTAATCTCAGGCAGATTCTTTTTAAGCCTGCCAGTCTTTTCTTGATTCCTTCATGGTCTTGTCAAGGAAAGATGGTTTTGAGTGACCAGATACCTCCAAAATGATTTCCCTCTGATGTTCTCTTCCTAAACCGCTGATTTAAAATATATGTTAAGTAAATTTTCTGAACTTGGATTTATGGTAGCAAATAAAACTATCAATATAAAAATTAGAGAAGTATATTTTCTCCAAACTGAAATATATATGCTTTAGATTTTTGAGGTTTTATATTTAAAAACAGTAACTTATAAATTTCCATTGTATATATTAGAAGAAAAAGTTATATATCTCAGGACAAATAATAAAGGATATAGTACTGCACCTACTTCAAATAATATATAACTATACAAAAATTACAGTTATATTCAAAAGAAAATTGTTTCAGTGGGAAAAAATAAGAATTTATTAAAATTTTAAAACTCCATTATTAAGAAGTTTTGGGTCATGTGGTAGATAACTATTGTTGGTGTTCCACAGTATTTACACACCTGCAACTGAAGAAGTTTCAGCTCACACCTGCAAGTTCTCCAGAGCACTATCCTTGAACTAAACATGATCCAGTTAATGTCTTGCTTGATGTGCCTGGAAAGTTATGCCTCACAACCCTCAACCCATAACCAGTGATTGATCAGGTATGGATACGAAAAAAAATTCTTTTCTTCTTTTTCTCTAAGTATAACATAACACAAAAACAAACAAACACACTATTCTGTGGTGTACTTATTGCACCACAATTTAGACTACATTGTTTTGTTTCCCCCTACCTCATCTCCCTTTAAGAGTTCTACAGAGAACACTCCCTTAATCAATTACTCGCACAAGAAAACCATCTCAGATTCTGCCTGTAAGTAATCCAGTTTAGGAACCTTTGGTATTAGGATGCAGACTCTGAAGAAGAGAACATCAAATTAGATTATTCACTGGCTGGATAGCAATGAGGTTCCATCGTTGGGGGTAAGGAGAGTATTGATAAGTCCTGACATGTTCTAGATGTGCCAACATTGAGATTTTTATCTCAGGTGAACTGGAATGAAATACTGGTGAAGGACATGCTACGCTTTATGAACCATAAAATTGCACTTAAAGGTGAGGGAAAATAGTGTTTATAAGGACTTTGGAAGTAGGCAGCTGTTGCTGAGTACCACTGATGCATTCAGGAGAGAATTTCACAAGCAAAGGTAGAATATTAATCAAAGGACCCAGAAGATAGAGGAAAGAAACATAGAGAATTATTCTGAGGCCTTGTGACCTAATCAAGGCTCTTCCAACATTTGCATGGCTGAATATTTAAATTGCTTTGAGCCAGCAACTCCTTTCAATTTTCTCTTTTTGAGCAGGAATGTCTTTAGTGATTATTCAGTGTCTCCTCTACTATTACATGTGGGATGTGCAGGGGTGAGGGACTGATTATTTGTCTCTTTAGTTTCACAGATCTACAGTTTGAGATAAACTGCATTTGAAGAGCTGTGCTCAAGGAACTGTATCTGAGGAGCCTTATCCCTACATGGACCTTTAGGGATTCTGGACCTTGAGCTGCTTCTATAATGGTGCCCTTAGGAAGGAGTGAGTACATTTTTGTTTCAAAGTGAGAGAGATACAAATCATATGGAGTACAGGGGCTAGTCTTTAAGATGAACTTCAATGACCCTGACATTCTGGTATTCATATCTTAATGTAATGTCCTCCTGCTAAAGAAGGGAACAGGGAGAGAGGTGGACCTATTGACTTATGTGGGATTGTTGATTGTATGTCACTTATGAGATCAACTTACAAAAGGAATATAGCTTCCATCTTTCCATTTTTCTATGTCATAAGGCATCTTTGTGAAGAGGCACATGAGGCAAAAACACAACAAATGCCAACAACCACATGCATGAGCTTGGAAGTAGAATCCTCTTTCTCAGTTGAACCTTTGGAAGAGAACATAATCCTAGCAAAATGAGAACTTCAATGGACCTTACTAAAGACCTTGACATAGAAGAATCAGGCTAAGCCACACGTAGATTATCCATCCACAGAAACTGTGAGATAATAAATGGTCGTTGTTTTATGTGACTACATCCTGGAGTAAATTGTTATGAACAAGCATATAAGTAATACAATTGCAACTCTAGTGGTTACAATTCAGTTCTAATCTTGTTGGACTTCTAATTGGTATGGTTTAGCATTTTATTCTTCACAGTCTCAACTCTTTGGAGATTTATGGCCCACCTGTTAGTTGCCTTCCTCATTTTCCCCCATCACTTAAATGTTGACTGTTTCCAGAATTCTGTCCATGGTTCACTGTTCTTATTCTTCATGCTCTCCTCAACTTCCTCCCCATTCTTTAACAATATACTGAATGCTAATGCAGGAAAATCTCAGCCCACACAGTGATTCTGAGTTTCAGACTCAATTATTCAACTCACAAATAAAAACAAACAAGCAAATGAAACACGTGTTACAGGCACTAAAAAGCACCACATCCCAAACTAAATGTATTATCTTCCTTAAAACCAACTGCTGATCATACATTTTTGATTGCAATTAATGCCACACAGCATATCCCATGTCACAAACTTTGAAGTAATGATAGAATTCTCAAGCTTGAATATTAATTTCTTCTAATTGAACACCATGTTATGTTGAGTTTACCTCAAATATATTTCTCAACACCATCCTGTTTCATTGACCTAACATCCTAACCACAACCATTTCACCTATGATGGTGAGTTTAGCAGAATTATCCTCACAGTTAAACAGATTATACTCCCGGTTATGCATATAGGAGTAATTATGGTCACCCACTGATGCCCTTTCTGTCATATTTCTTATTTGTTTCTGGAGCACTTTTATTTTTCTAAATTTGGGAAGTTTTATGAAAATATTTTTGTTTTTTTAAGGTGTGCTCAAGTTAGAACCAAAATTAAGTTCTACTCTTCTCTTTTTGTTCTACATTCCTTCACAATTCTCAATGTTTCCTAGGGCAAATCTATCAGCTGTCTTGTTTAAGCCACCCATTAAGAAGGATGTCTTAATAACAAAAGTGTATTCATTGTGACATGTTCCCAATGATTTCTCAATAATCATCTTGCAATATTAACCCAATCTGATGCCCAAACATACAATGTATTTATCTGTTAATATTCCCTCTTCAGGCACATTTTCTTGTTAAACTTGGTGACGCTTAAATGTATTTCTCATATGAATTCTCCAGGTAATAAATTTCATGAAACATCAGGTCACAATATTCAAATCTTTCTTCACTAGAACTTCTGGGAATATCTGAAGTTTACAATAAGCAATTTTTACATGGTTACATTTCAAAATTTTAGATAAATATATAAATGCATATGAATACATACATCAAATACTAGTTTGGTTAATGTCATAAATGCCATACAGAAGTTTAAAATATTTGAAGTACACTTTATTCATAAGCCCATGAACTACACCTCTAAATTCTAATTATTTTTCTGCACAGGAAAAAGTTACATGTTTAACATACAGCCAGTATCAAAGCTGGCTATTAAATTCTTTCAGATTCATCCCATACAATTATAGTCTCTCAATCACCTTCTAGGAATCTATAGACAATGTATCCTCATCAGCTGCCTGCTCTAGTCACTTGACTTCATTACATCTCCCAGTAACTTTACTATGTACACTAGAGTTTAACAGTTTATTTCATTTGCAATTACCTTATCATTTCTCTTTCACACCTTTTCAATATTTTGCCCCCTCTTTTTTTTTTTCCATTTTAACAGGCACTTTAACTTTTTCTTGGGCCAGACTTCCTAGGTATTTCTCCTAGTAGCTTTTCTTATTGTAACAGAACTATGTTGCAGAGCTGTTTTGTAGGCCAAGATAGAGCAGTCTATATAGAGGTAACAAGCAACTTTATAATTTCAGAGGCTTACTGCAACAAAATCTGATCACTCACTCCTGCCACCTATCTATCATGAGCCACTGTAGTCACTGAAATGCTCCAGTCGAAAGAAGCTTAATTTTAAGCTCTGTTTTCAAGATCACTATGAAAATGAAACAGGCATGCCGCAAAGCACTCACCCAGTTGACGTTTTCACCCTGAAATGACACATTACAGCTGCTTATATTTCCTCGGCTAAAGCAAGTTACATGGCATGCCTAATTTAAATGGGTCAAGTAAATGCAATTCTGTGCTCTGGACGAGGATATCTAATTATTTGTGAATGTCTAATACTTTTACAGTGATGAAATGATGGACTCTGAAATCAGATAATATGGACTCAAAACTTCCTTACAATACTTTTTATCTTTGTAATCTTATATTACCAAAATCTTCCATGCCTCAATTTCTCAATACACAAAGAAAGACTAAATAAGAATATCTACCTAAAAAGTAATTGTGAGAATTCAGTGATATAACACAATATCTGACTTAAAATGGTTTTGATAAATATCAGCTATTCCTGTTAATACATTCCCAGACAGTAGCCATGGAATACTTACGTGTCTCATAACCCCATAAATATATACAACTGCTCTATACCCACAAAAATTTGTTTTAAAAAGTGAAAAAACAGATTAATTCTAAAATACTGTAAAATATTTACTAATATAATTTTGTTCTTTAATTAAAGATAACTACAAAATTAATGAAAGAAATTCATCCTATAGCCTGGTCATTTGCTTATCATTAGTGAGTATGAATTTTTAAAAAGGTAAACAATTTGGGAATGTTTCTCATTTTATTCTGAATTCAAAGGCAATTTCACAGATAATATATCCTTTGTCTGCAATTATATTTCCTAGAGAAGAAAATATTGAGAGAATGGATTATTACCATTCCAAACTCAAATTAATCTTGACATTCATTATAACTATTGAATATGATGCCATTATAGTTCATATTTGACAGTAAAACGTAGAAGACAATACATTTTTGTCCAGAGTAGACAAAAGTGCTGTCAAAGTTATCAATTTGAAACTAAGAGCAAAAGGCCTTGACAAGATTATCTCCTAATTAAATATTCCTGTCTGTTGAGTACTAGAATAAAGTACACAGTTGGAGGTCTGAGCCCACAGCCAATGGCCATGTCCCATTCAAATAGCAATATCATTCTCTCTTGCATTTTAAAAACCAGCTTTAGATACTTTTCTTACTTGTGAATATATTAGATCTTTCTCCAAATACCTCTAAGAACAATTAGGAACAAAGAACTCAGTTATGAGAGTTACTTGAATGTCTAGTGCATAAACTTTTTGAACTACAAGTCTTCTTACTTTAAATTGAATCAAGAAACAAAATGCTACAGTTCTTGTCTATTAAAGAAAAAAACATCATGTAAACATTGCCATGCAGGTAACTCTAAGTTGACTTATGTTCCACCTCTGCCTGGTAGGATACAAAACAATGGTGCTTGAATAGATAGAACCCTGTTTTACTTAGCGCTCCAACAAGAGAAGGCTGCCAGGCAGTGCTACACAAGGAGGTTGTACCTGGGGACAGGGTCTTACCAACCCAGAGACATAGAGGACACCTTATATATGGCAATTGGAATGGGCTTAGCTAGGTTTCACAGACTCCCGGTAGTTTGGATAGTTAGAACAATTTTGCAGTCTCCTGCTGTTTCTAGTTGTCTGGTGCCTGGCTCCAGGGAGATTTGGCTGGCGCACAGTGACCTTGCATTGTGAGATCCTGGATACACGAAGTGTTTAGAGTATGAACCTAAACAACTACTCACGAAGGAAAACTGATCAACCTCTTCACAAGGCTCCAAAACTAGATGAGGAAAGTATTTTAAAAATACTTATTTATAATGTCCTTAACCGCCCTAACAAAGGATTTCACATATTCCTAGTAAAGAATGAGTTGAATTAAAGTTAGAACCATCCTATGTTTACATCCTTGTTTACAATAGATATCTGATGTTGACTTCACCCGTATGTTTATAATTCAGTAAATTTGTCATTGCTTTCTTACTCCAATGTCAAATACTCTCACAAAATTATTTCTGAAACTATTATAATTCATTGATTTTTTTGGTATCTAGTCAAGTTGCATTTGGTTACTTTACTTTTTTAACTCCTAGAAAAGAATTCCATTGGATGTGATTAATGATGTGCCTCTGAAAATTTAACCTCAAGTGAAAACTGCAATTAAAATTTTGTTGCCAGGGTGTTATGTCAGTACTCCAAACCTGTTTCATTATTTATCAAAATAAAATCATAGTAGCTAATGATATCTCCATGTAAGGTGTTTTGTGTGTTCTTTTGCATACTAATGTTACTTGATATTTTAACAGATATATGTGTGTATATATATGTGCGTGTGTGTATGTGTATGCACACACATTGCCTTTAATGAAAGCTGTGATAAAGAAGAAAAATAAAAAAATTAATTCCTATTGTACATTTTACCGAAAATATTAGGCAGACCACAAAACTAAGCATTATATGTAACTTTAAAGTATAAGATAAAATCGAAGATGGCCAAATAGGAACAGCTCCAGTCTACAGCTCCCAGCATGAGCGACGCAGAAGATGGGTGATTTCTGCATTTCCAACTGAGGTACCGGGTTCATCTCACTGGGGAGTGTCGGAAAGTGGGTGTAGGACAGTGGGTGCAGTGCGCCAAGCATGAGCCGAAGCAGGGTGAGGCATTGCCTCATCCGGAAGAGCAAGGGGTAAGGGAATTCCCTTTCCTAGTCAAAGAAAGGGGTGACAGACAGCACCTAGAAAATCGCGCCACTCCCACCCTAATACTGTGCTTTTCCAACTGTCTTAGCAAATGGCACACTAGGAGATTACATCCCATGCCTGGCTTGGAGGGTCCTATGCCCACGAAGCTTCGCTCATTGCTAGCACAGCAGTCTGAGATCAAACTGCAAGGTGGCAGCGAGGCTGGGGGAGGGGCGCCTGCCATTGCCCAGGCTTGAGTAGGTAAACAAAGCGGCCTGGAAGCTCGAACTGAGTGGAGCCCACGGCAGCTCAAGGAGGCCTGCCTGCCGGCCTCTGTACACTCCACCTCTGGGGGCAGGAAATTGCCAAACAAAAGGCAGCAGACTCCTCTGCAGACTTAAATGTCCCTATCTGACAGCTTTGAAGAGAGTAGTGGTTCTCCCAGCACGCAGCTGGAGATCTGAGAACTAACAGACTGCCTCCTCAAGTGGGTCTCTGACCCCTGAGTAGCCTAACTGGGAGGCACCCCCCAGCAGGGGCAGACTGACACCTCACACGGCCGGGTACTCCTCTGAGACAAAACTTCCAGATGAATGATCAGGCAGCAACATTTGCTGTTCACCAATATCCGCTCTTCTGCAGCCTCCGCTGCTGATACCCAGGCAAAACAGGGTCTGGAGTGGACCTCCAGCAAACTCCAACAGACCTGCAGCTGAGGGTCCTGACTGTTAAAAGGAAAACTAACAAACAGAAAGGACATCCACACCAAAACCTCATCTGTACATCACCATCATCAAAGACCAAAGGTAGATAAAACCACAAAGACGGGGAAAAAACAGAGCAGAAAAACTGGAAACTCTAAAAATCAGAGTGCCTCTCCTCCTTCAAAGGAATGCAGCTCCTCACCACCAACGGAACAAAGCTGGACGGAGAATGACTTTGATGAGTTGAGAGAAGAACGCTTCAGATGATCAAACTACACCGAGCTAAAGGAGGAAGTTCGAACCCATGGCAAAGAAGTTAAAAACCTTGAAAAAAGATTAGACGAATGGCTAACTAGAATAACCAATGCAGAGAAGTCCTTAAAGGACCTGATGGAGCTAAAAACCATGGCACGAGAATGACGTGACGAATGCACAAGCCTCAGTAGCCCATTCAATCAACTGGAAGAAAGGGTATCAGTGATGGAAGATCAAATGAATGAAATGAAGTGTGAAGAGAAGTTTAGAGAAAAAAGAATAAAAAGAAACGAACAAAGCCTCCAAGAAATATGGGACTATGTGAAAAGACCAAATCTATGTCTGATTGGTGTACCTGAAAGTGATGGGGAGAATGGAACCAAGTTGGAAAACACTCTACAGGATATTATCCAGGAGAAATTCCCCAATCTAGCAAGGCAGGCCAACATTCAAATTCAGGAAATACAGAGGACGCCACAAAAATACTCCTCGAGAAGAGCAACTCCAAGACACATAATTGTCAGATTCACCAAAGTTGAAATGAAGGAAAAAATGTTAAGGGCAGCCAGAGAGACATGTCGGGTTACCCTCAAAGGGAAGCCCATCACACTAACAGCGGATCTCTCTGCAGAAACGCTACAAGCCAGAAGAGAGTGGGGGCCAATATTCAACTTCTTAAAGAAAAGAATTTTCAACACAGAATTTCATATCCAGCCAAACTAAGCTTCATAAATGAAGGAGAAATAAAATCCTTTACAGACAAGCAAATGCTGAGAGATTTTGTCACCACCAGGCCTGCCCTAAAAGAGCTCCTGAAGGAAGCACTAAACATGGAAAGGAACAACCGGTACCAGCCACTGCAAAAACATGCCAAATTGTAAAGACCATCAAGGCTAGGAAGAAACTGCAACAACTAATGAGCAGAAGAACCAGCTAACTTCATAATGACAGGACCAAATTCACACATAACAATATTAACCTCAAATGTAAATGGGCTAAATGCTCCAATTAAAAGACACAGACTGGCAAACAGGATAAAGAGTCAAGAGCCATCACTGTGCTGTATTCAGGAAACCCATCTCACATGCAGAGACACACACAGGCTCAAAATAAAAGCATGGAGGATCAAGATCTACCAAGCAAATAGAAAACAAAAATGACAGGGGTTGCAATCCTAGTCTCTGATGAAACAGACTTTAAACCAACAATGATCAAAAGACACAAAGAAGACCATTACATAATGGTAAAGGGATCAATTCAACAAGAAGAGCTAAATATCCTAAGTATATATGCACCCAATACAGGAGCACCCAGATTCATAAAGCACGTCCTTAGAGACCTAGAAAGAGACTTAGACTCCCACACAATAATAATGGGAGACTTTAATACCCCACTGTCAACATTAGATCAGCAAGACAGAAAGTTACCAAGGATATCCAGGAATTGAACTCAGCTCTGCACCAAGTGGACCTAATAGA
This sequence comes from Homo sapiens, assembly GCF_000001405.40. Classification (NCBI taxonomy): domain Eukaryota; kingdom Metazoa; phylum Chordata; class Mammalia; order Primates; family Hominidae; genus Homo; species Homo sapiens. The sequence goes on from NC_000011.10 coordinate 82,122,599, forward strand.
CATCTACAGAACTCTCCTCCCCAAGTCAACAGAATATACATTCTTCTCAGCACCACACCACACCTATTCCAAAATTGACCACATAGTTGAAAGTAAAGCACTCCTCAGCAAATGTAAAAGAACAGAAGTTATAAAATACTGTCTCTCAGACCACAGTGCAATCAAACTAGAACTCAGGATTAAGAAACTCAATCAAAACTGCTCAACTACATGGAAACTGAACAACCTGCTCCTGAATGACTACTGGGAACATAATGAAATGAAGACAGAAATAAAGATGTTCTTTGAAACCAATAAGAATAAAGACATAACATACCAGAATCTCTGGGACACATTCAAAGCAGTGTGTAGAGGGAAATTTATAGGACTAAATGCCCACAAGAGAAAGCAGGAAAGATCTAAAATTGACACCCTAACATCACAATTAAAAGAACTAGAGAAGCAAGAGCAAACACATTCAAAAGCTAGCAGAAGGCAAGAAATAAATAAGATCAGAGCAGAACTGAAGGACAGAGAGACACAAAAAACCCTTCAAAAAATCAATGAATCCAGGAGCTGGTTTTTTGAAAGGATCAACAAAATTGATAGACCGCTAGCAAGACTAATAAAGAAGAAAAGAGAGAAGAATCAAATAGACACAATAAAAAATGATAAAGGGGATATCATGACCGATCCCACAGAAATACAAACTACCATCAGAGAATACTATAAACACCTCTATGCAAATAAACTAGAAAATCTAGAAGAAGTGGATAAATCCCTCAACACATACACCCTCTCAGGACTAAACCAGGAAGAAGTTGAATCTCTGAATAGACCAATAACAGGCTCTGAAATTGAGGCAATAATTAATAGCTTACCAACCAAAAAAAGTCCAGGACCAGATGTATTCATAGGCGAATTCTACCAGAGGTACAAGGAGGATCTGGTACCATTCCTTCTGAAACTATTCCAATTAACAGAAAAAGAGGGAATCCTCTCTAACTCATTTTATGAGGTCAGCATCATCCTGATACCAAAGCCTGGCAGAGACACAACCAAAAAAGAGAATTTTAGACCAATATCCCTGATGAACATTGATGCAAAAATCCTCAATAAAATACTGGCAAACCAAATCCAGCAGCACATCAAAAACCTTATCCACCATGATCAAGTGGGCTTCATCCCTGGGATGCAAGGCTGGTTCAACATATGCAAATCAATAAACATAATCCAGCATATAAACAGAACCAACAACAAAAACCACATGATTATCTCAATAGATGCAGAAAAGAAAGCCCTTTGACAAAATTCAACAACCTTTCATGCTAAAAATTCTCAATAAATTAGGTATTGATGGGACGTATCTCAAAATTATAAGAGCTATTTATGACAAACCCACAGCCAATATCATACTGAATGGGCAAAAACTGGAAGCATTCCCTTTGAAAATTGGCACAAGACAGGGATGCCTTCTCTCACCACTCCTATTCAACATAGTGTTGGAAGTTCGGCCCAGGGCAATCAGGCAGGAGAAGGAAATAAATGGTATTCAATAAGGAAAAGAGGAAGTCAAACTGTCCCTGTTTGCAGATGACATGTTTGTATATCTAGAAAACCCCATTGTCTCAGCCCAAAATCTCCTTAAGCTGATAAGCAACTTCAGCAAAGTCTCAGGATACAAAATCAATGTGCAAAAATCACAAGCATTCTTATACACCATTAACAGACAAACAGAGAGCCAAATCATGAGTGAGTTCCCATTCACAATTGCTTCAAAGAGAATAAAATACCTAGGAATCCAACTTACAAGGGATGTGAAGGACGTCTTCAAGGAGAACTACAAACCACTGCTCAAGGAAATAAAAGAGGATACAAACAAATGGAAGAACATTCCATGCTCATGGGTATGAAGAATCAATGTCGTGAAAATGGCCATACTGCCCAAGGTAATTTATACATTCAATGCCATCCCCATCAAGCTACCAATGACTTTCTTCACAGAATTGGAGAAAACTACTTTAAAGTTCATATGGAACCAAAAAAGAGCCCGCATTGCCAAGTCAATCCTAAGCCAAAAGAACAAACCTGGAGGCATCACGCTACCTGACTTCAAACTGTACTACAAGGCTACAGTAACCGAAACAGCATGGTACTGGTACCAAAACAGAGATATAGACCAATGGAACAAAACAGAGCCCTCAGAAATAATGCCACCTATCTACAACTATCTGATCTTTCACAAACCTGAGAAAAACAAGCAATGGGGAAAGGATTCCCTATTTAATAAATGGTGCTGGGAAAACTGGCTAGCCATATGTAGAAAGCTGAAACTGGATCCCTTCCTTACACCTTATACAAAAATTAATTCAAGATGGATTCAAAACTTAAATGTTAGACCTAAAACCATAAAAACTCTAGAAGAAAACCCAGGCAATACCATTCAGGACATAGGCATGGGCAAGGACTTCATGTCTAAAACACTAAAAGCAATGGCAACAAAAGCCAAAATTGACAAATGGGATCTAATTAAACTCAAGAGCTTCTGCACAGCAAAAGAAACTACCATCGGAGTAAACAGGCAACCTACAGAATGGGAGAAAATTTTTGCAATCTACTCATCTGACAAAGGGCTAATATACAGAATCTACAATGAACTCAAACAAATTTACAAGAAAAAAACAAACAACCCCATCAAAAAGTGGGCGAAAGATATGACCAGATACTTCTCAAAAGAAGACATTTTATGCAGCCAAAAGACACATGAGAAAATGCTCATCATTGCTGGCCATCAGAGAAATGCAAATCAAAACCACAATGAGATACCATCTCATACCAGTTAGAATGGCGATCATTAAAAAGTCAGGAAACAACAGGTGCTGGAGAGGATGTGGGGAAATGGGAACACTTTTACACTGTTGGTGAGACTGTAAACTAGTTCAACCATTGTGGAAGTCAGTGTGGCGATTCCTCAGGGAGCTAGAACTAGAAATACCATTTGACCCAGCAATCCCATTACTGGGTATATACCCAAAGGATTATAAATCATGCTGCTATAAAGACACATGCACACGTATGTTTACTGCGGCACTATTCACAATAGCAAAGACTTGGAACCAACCCAAATGTCCAACAATGATAGACTGGATTAAGAAAATGCGGCACATATACACCATGGAATACTATGCAGCCACAAAAAATGGTGAGTTCATGTCCTTTGTAGGGACATGGATGAAGCTGGAAACCATCATTCTCAGCAAACTATCACAAGGACAAAAAAACAAATGTTCTCACTCATAGGTGGGAATTGAACAGTGAGAACACATGGACACAGGAAGGGAAACATCACACACCGAGGCCTGTTGTGGGGTAGGGGGAGCGGGGAGGGATAGCATTAGGAGATATACCTAATGTTAAATGAGGAGTTACTGGGTGCAGCACACCAGCATGGCACATGTGTACACAGGTAACTAACCTGCACGTTGTGCACATGTACTCTAAAACTTAAAGTACAAAAATAAAAATAAAAATAAAGTATTAGATAAAATCAAGAGAAAAAAATGATGAGTCCCCTGAATTTGCAAATATTTGTTAATCCATGGCAAGTAGAACACATTTGTATATTTCTTAAAATAAAATGTCGGCTATTACATAAGAATTGAAGAAACACACAATGCCATTGACTTTCCTTTGGGACTTTATTTTCTTAACTATGGAATTGAGAATGTTGTCTCTCCAGTTTCAGCTCTAAAAACTGTATCATTTTGTGAAATCAGAATAGATTTTTATCCTCTTTTACCTTTCATCTTTGATGTTTTTATCAGCCAGTTTGAGTAGACCTAATTCACATTTGATACCAGCTTTTATTGTGTGTGCATTCTTCCATCGAGAAATTACCCTTTCCTCGTTACATTTTGGAAATCCTCGTTTGGTGAAACTCACTTAAAAGCACCCTCAGTCTCCTACACGAATGGGCAAGGAATCCAGAAAGTGGCATAAAGACTCATGCTCAGGGTGCTGGATCAGGAAATGCTCTGGTTTGAATGTGTCCCCCAACACTCATGTGTTGGAAACTTAATCCCCCAATGCAACACTGTTGAGAACTAGGGCCTTTAAGACCTATAATTAAATCATGAGAGTTCTGTCTTCAGTGAATAATGCTGTATTCACTGGAGCGATACTAGTCAGCTATTGTGAAAGTGCATTTGTATTTCTCTCAATCGCTCTCTCTCTTTCTTGCCTTTCCACCTTCCACCATGGAATGAGGCAATGAGAAGACCTGGATCAGATGTAGGACCCTCAACCTTGAATTTCCTAGCCTCCAGAACTGTAAGAAATGAATCTCTGTTCTTTATAAATTACTCAATCCCAGGTATTATGTTTTAGCAGCATAAAATGGTATGACATAGGAAATAATAAAATAAAAACAAGCTCTTTGGACCACTGGTTATATAAAACATCCTCCAAGCAGAACGATAAGAAGCAAAGAACAGGTTACCAATCAGAAGACCCAACCTCAACACTAAATCACTATGTGACCTTGAAATGTTGGACCTTTCTGTCAGTTTCCTCAAGTATAAAATTAAATGCTGAGAACTAAGTTCTCAGATTACTCAGAAACTCTTTCCACGGTTTTCTCCACTTGACAAAGATAAGAAGCCAGGAAAAATAATGGCTGAATTTAAAGACATTTAGTGATTAAAGGCTTCTATTTTGTATTCCATTTTAATTTACTTTATTTTTTTGCTACTATATCTGGTTGTAAATTGTTTCAGTGGTTGACTTCAACATTGATATATACATGTTTAACATTTCATTGTCTACTTAGAATCAATTGTGAACATTTTAAGTGGACTATAAAATCCTTACCACTGTATAGGTCACTCCTCTTTATGCTATGTAGTTGTCTTACATATTACATTTATATGCATAGAAAATTTTATCAGACATACACATATACGCTTTTTTGCTTTTAACAGTAACATGTATTTTAAAAAACATAAAGGAAAAAGAATTATTCTATTATCCATATTTTTTCCATTTCTGTTGCCCTCCCTTCATTCCTGATGTTCTAAGTTTCTTTTTAGTATTTTCTGCCTTCTTTTTTAAAGAAATTCCATTAGCAATTCTTTTAGAACAGGCCTGCTTGGCAATAAATGCTCTTAGTTTTCTGTGAATGTCTTTGTTTAACATTTATTCCCGAAATATTGTTTTTTCTTTCTGTTTAAGATTTAAAAATTCTTGTTGATCTATGTTCAATTCACCAGTTTTCTGCTTTCTCTGCCATCTCCATTCCACTACTGAGGTGTGTGTTTGTGTGTGTATGTATTTACTGTTTTTTTTCCTCCTAGAATTTCCATTTGGTTCTTTCTTACATATTTTATTTCTTTGTTAAGACTTATTATATTCCCACTTGTTTCAACAGTGTTCATGATTGCTTAGTGAAACATTTGTATAGTAACCAAAATTTTATCAGATATTTTCAACATCAATAACATCTTTGTTTTGGCATCTGTTAATTGTATTTTCCCATGAAATTGACATTTTTCTTTGTCTTTTATACTGAATAATTTTGGATTATATCCTAAATATTTGGATTATTTTGTTTTAAGTCTGGGTTTTATTTAATTTCTATGGAGGATTATATTTTTGTTTAGCAGACAATCAACCTGGTTAGATTCAGGCAAGAGGTTAAATCTCACTTCCTGTGGGCAGTTCACTTTCAAAAGCTTTTGCAGACTACTCAGATCTGTCCTGTAATGGTCACTCTGTTCATTCAGTTTTCAAAGTCTTTGATATGCTGTGTAGAATCAGATCCACACATATGCAGCTAGAGCACTAAGGCATTTATAAATAAGGGAGTTGTTTTCTTGAGTTTTTCCCTTGCTGCATTTTCCTCAATCTTTTTTGAGCAGTTTTCTTCTTACTCTTTATCTAGAATGCTTGAGTTTTGCTTATCTCACTCTGCCATGTATTTCTACAATGGCTCCCACATCCAAGTGGAATAACAAAGAGAGAGAGAAAAAACTAAAGCAAAACAGAATAGAGGTTGGATTCACCATCTTGGAAACACATTTCTGTAAAATTGACAGGGAAAGGTTTTCCTTCCACAAATTTTTTCTCTTTCAGTCTCTCACTGCCATCAGTTGCAATCACCAACACAGCACGAAAGAATGGAGAAAATAAGAGAAAAAAGTGGATATATTCCAAACCTCGCCTGAGCTTTGGTGTTCCTTCGTTCACTCACTGAGCCAATAATAGAGTAAGTCTCTTGGGATATTCTCCGTGCTCTTACATTTACTTCCAGGTTTCCAATGCATGGCCAGGGGATACCTAATAACATATATATGTATATATGTAATATATGTCAATATATTACACACACACACACACACACACACATGAAGTGTGCTTAAATCTAGACCACTTATATTTTATTTAATAATAAATATGCTCAGATTTAGGCTGGCTATTTTATTATTTATTTTCTATTTATCCAATCAGTTTCATATTATTCTTATTCCCCTTATCTGTCTCGTTTTGTATTATTTAAATATATTTTAGCATTTCATTTTAATTTATCTGTTGATTTTTGGACTACATAATTTTGTATTATTTGTAGTGGTCTCTAAAGATTAAAATATACATAGCTAATTATTCACTGTCTTTTTAGAGTTAATATTTTATCACTCTTAGTAAAACAGGAGCCCTACAAACGTACAGGACCTTGTTCTTTCCCACTTTATCCCTTAGTTGTCATTTATTACTTCTACATATATTCAAAGTCCCAGAAAATAATTTTTTTTGCTTTAAAAAGTCACACATTTTTAAAAACATAAAAGGAGAAAAATTGCGTCCTATATTTACTTATTTACAATTGTTTTTATTCCTGCCATTACAAGTTTCTGATGTAACTTCTTTTCAGTCTGAAAAACATAATTTAACATTTCTCTTTGCACTTGTCTGTTGGTGATGAAATATATTTGTATTCTTCATCCAAGTATATCTTCATTTCTCCACCACTCCAGAAGAATATTTTGGCTACACATAGAATTGTGGGTCGACTTTTCTTTCCTATGGTATTTTAAAGATATAGTTCCAAGGTCTTATCACCTTCATGGTTTCTCATGTGAAAGCAATACTCATCCAAGTTGTTTTCCTATAAATAATAAATCAATTTCATCTGGTTTCTTTCATTTTTTTCTTTTTTTGCATTTTCAGCAGTTTGGTTATGATTTGTATTGGCATGAATTTCCTTGAGTTTACCTGTTTTTCTATTGTTGAACTTTGTAAATCTGCAAATTCATGTCTTTCAACAAATATGATACTTGTTTAGCCATTATTTCTTCAAACATTTTTATTCACTATGTTATACATTTCTTCTGCTAAAATTTTAGTAGCAAAAATCTTAGATAGCTTGACAATATCTCACAGACTGTGGAAACCATATTCAGGATTTTTGTTTTTTCTATTCTTGTGCTCTCTGCTTTTCAAACTGGATCACTTTTATTGACTTATCTCCACGTTAACTAATTCATTTTCTCTGTCATCTCCATTATGTTATTAAGCCCAAGAAGTAAATTATTTTTCTTCAGGTATTTTACTTTTCAGTTCTAAAATTCCTATTTGATACCTTTGTGGTTTTTCTTTCTTGGTTGAAAGCTTCTGTTTGTATTCATTTCAATATTCATTTCTTCTATCTCATTAGGCACGGTAAAAATATCTGCTTTCAAGTATTTGATAAGTCTTTCACTTGTATTATCTCAAGGATAATTACCTCTTCCCTTGAGGATTGGTTCCATCTTCCTTGCTCTTTCTACGTGGAGAATGATAAGTGGTAACCCTGACCTTTTGAATAATATGTTGTAAGACACTGGGTCCTATTAATATACTATGGAAAGTGTTTATTATTTTGCTGTAGCAAACAACCAACCCACTTAAGTTTATAACACAAGGTCTATCTAATTTTCTGTGGGTGGTGGTTCCAATTGCAGTTTGGTTTTTAAAACTTTTGCTATGTGGCTTTGTAGCCACACATGAGGTTCTCAGGGTTTAATCTTGGCATTGAGAAGTTTTTTATATCTTATTTCAGTTCTCAATGATTTCTTGGGCTTCTTTGGGTCTTTTTTGCACATGAATAGCTTAGGTTTGAGCCTGATCTTGTGTTGGTTCATACTCTGAGAGAATCTACTGACCCTCCTGCTGTCATGTTTTTTCACAGGTGGGCCATCAATCAGTCAAAGCCCAGAGAGGAGAGTTTTATAAAAATAAGGGAGCTCACATCCATAATGGGTCATTCTTCCAGTTTTGGCTTTCTTCCTCAATCTGGATTCTATTGTTAACTTCTCAGAGTCTTCGGGTCTCTTATGGCTTCTACAGAGATAGGCTGTCATGGGCTTACCCCACCTACTTAACTGTCCAACATCAGAAGTTGAAAGTACTACATTTCAGTGGGTAGTTTACTGTGTGTACTTTGGAAGAAGGTTTTTTTTTTTTCAAGTTTACGTATACCACTTTCATATCAATGATAAAAGTCATCTAAGATACAGTTAAACATATTGGTCTTTCTCCCTGTGCCTATTATATTTCTGGTAGAAAGAAAACTGAATTATTTCAGATGCCTCTCTGGAGACAGAAAGCAGGACAGTATGAGTAGGTGTTTTTCTTCCGAAGATATTGGAAATTTAGTCGCACCTGTCACAACTTTCTCTGATGGGATAAATTTCTGGGTAAAGTCAAAGTTCCCAGCTGGTAGGCTCCAGCCTTGACAATTGGTATGAATTGATTGGTATTCAAATTAGGACAAAATCTTAATGTTTTCCCTGTTTGAAAAATGGGGCGGGAGGAGGAGTTCACTTTGTAAAAATAATATTTTATCTGTAGGTATCAAATTGATGGTTAAGAGAGGGAAATTATTATTAAATTTTCAGAGAAGGGGAAATATGATGTTATTTTATATTGCTCTGTTATTATTACTTGAACTGCATTACCAGATATTCATTGAATAACCATATATAATAAATTGATCAGATAGCATATCTGGGTATAAATGAGGACAATAAATATAAAAGCAGTGATTTTTTAAAATATTTTATTGGACTAGGATTTAAGGCCAAACTTGTGTAAAACATCTCTTTATTCCAGTTCAGTCGAATCTGGTGGCAATATTAAAATGGCTTCAGGGTTTGACTTGCCCCCGTCCATTAGTAGCAAATGAATACAGAGTAGCTAGTTACAGACAAGAGAAACAGCCTCTGACACAGATAAGATGTTCCCAATTTTTCACTTATCTTTTTAGTGGAAAGCACACTTATCTTTTGTTCCTTCTCTTGTTAGTGTATTTGTTTTAACAAGACAAGGAACAAATTTAAGGGAATATTAGTGGCACAGAAACCTTTAGTAGGTGCTCAATTTCTTCCATCCAGAAGTTCACCCTGCACCCTGCTTCATGCCCATATTTATGGGGAACTTGCAGTGGCAGCAGAAACTGATTGAGACTTGCAAGTATGTAGATCTTTTCATCTTTGCCTTCAGGTTAGACTTACACCTCTCTCCCAAAGAATGCTTCTTTCTCCTTAACCATTCTCCTCTCCTTTTCTCTCTTCTTCTCCTTTTCCCTTCCCTTCCTTTCTTTTTCCTCTTTTTCTGGATTGTCTTTCTTCTGTCGTTGCATTATTGTCATTTTTCTTCCTTACTCCACCCCTCATTCCTTCCACCCTTCGTGTCAAAGCCATGTGCGTAAATTTGTAAGTAAATTGTCGTGGATAATTTTTTAATTTAAAATTTTAACAGAATATAAGAGATACGTCTAATTATAATTATTTGCAATAAAGAAAATGCTCAAATACATAACATATTTGAAAAGCAGTAAAAATAAATAAGCAAGATTAAGCTGAGGACTCAGTTAAATTGAGCCAAAGCACGGCTGTGCTAAATTCAAGATACTCAAATTTGGCTTAGTCTTTTCTCGCTGTTAGTTAATTAATTAGGAATGCAGTTGTTACATAAAATCTTACAATAATGAAATATATACAAATGCTGAAGAGCTCTATTGGCCATACATTATTGTTTATATGTTTAATGTTTACTCTAATATTATGAAATATTTTAAATTAAGCTATTCAGGTATGCCTTTATTCAACATTTATAATGTGAGGTTCTGGTACAAGCACCAAAAAAAATGCAATGAAAATCATAAATCATAGTTTTGCAAAATGTTTTTTACGAGAAGTAATACCTAAGAGATCTTCTGGCCAAACTCTTCATTTTAGGGTCAATTATTTGAGATGTCGTGAGGATAGGGGCCTGATGCCAGTACAGGAAATAGAGGTAGACTTGGCCTTTTCCTGTGAGAATTTGTAATCTCATGAAATGGTAAGATACATGCTCATCACTACTATCTTTTTAGGAACAAATAAAGAGTTTCAAGGAGAAAAGTGAGATAAGATGGGTCTCATAACAGGAGTATGCTGGAAAATGTTGATTTATAGTGTTATCTCTATACTTCTAAGCTTTCTTCTGTATTCAGAGGCATACAATCTGTAAACTACATTTCCCAAACCCTCTTGTTGATATTCCAATTATGTCACCCATGAGAGGTGCTTTGGACAGATCTAGAAGGTCAAGGAAAGGAGAAATCTTTATTCTCTTGTGAGGGCTATGGACTGGCATGTGGGCATTGATAGATGGGAACTGCAGGGTTTGTCATTGAGACTCCCCTTGGTGCTGCAGTCAAGGGGAGTTTCTGTTTCCTGAAATTATAGATTTCCTGAGAATAGCCTGTCTGATCTTTGCCCTCTACCCATCTTACATCGGTTATGTAAGGCTCTATTTCCTTTTATTAAGCATCCTTCCCTTCTAAATAACTAGAATGGCTTCCTGACCAAACCATAGTTAATACAAGGATCATTAGTAATGCAGTCACAAGCTTTAGAAAGGTAAATAAAATTGATGCCAAGTATTTCATAACCTTAAAACTGCCTAGTGGAGAAGAGGAGGCTAAGATGAGAATGAGTGCATTCAACTTTGAAGGGCCCGCTGTGCTATGGCAAGTTTTTATCCTGAAAACTAGTAGAAATATCACTTCATGGATGGCTTTTGCTGGGTGTTGAAGAAGTGAAAATGTGCACAAGGAGAACTGAGTGCTCCAAGGTTTGGATAGAGATTCCTACATTAGCAGTTGGCACTATAGATCTAAATACTGATGACGAGTTGATCAAGTGTGTGTGTGTGTGTGTGTGTGTGTGTGTGTGTGTGTGTACATACAATCTTCCAATATTTTTTGTGCCTCTGAAGTTAGAAGGTGGCCAGAAGAAAGAGGCCAGTAATCTATGTGGGCATGCAAACACAAACACTCACAGACACATCTGCCAAGTCTATCTGGAAACTTATTTTTATGAAGTCATAGTATAATTAGCTGTTAAAATAGATATAACAACAATTGTATACTTGTTACCTTTGGCCTAATTCTTCATTATAACATCGCCCAATCTACACTCCCTATATCCAATCTGTTTGGAAATTTTGTTTTTATTTTTGTCTGTTTTGTTTTGGCCTTATATCATGTATCTTTTCTTTTTTAATATGCCTAAGCAGACCATAGGAAAAAGCATTTCTTTGTTTGTTTGTTTCCATAAATGTACCCAATTGATCTCCTTCATTCAGCTTTCTTCTCATCTTAAGATATCCAAATCAAAACACACTTCAGAAATAATGGAACCTTGGTCCTTTCTGTTTTTATATGAGGGCAGTGAGCTTCAGAAACAGGAAAAACAAATAATTTTTCAAGAAATAGGACTAGAAATGACATAATTGAGACTAGGACTTGGGTCTTCCAATTCTACATTCAATGTGTTTCTTGTGACACACCAAGGCTTTCCTATAAATGAGTGAGAATCCTGAGGTTGGCTGAAAAAGCAAGCTATAATCAAAGTCAGGATATTTCTGTTGCTGTCATGATTTAGTCTCTTCATAAAGTCACGTTGCATCAGTACAACATAAAGAGAGAGAGATAATAAAAGCTAGTAAAACAAAGTTTTTCTTAATTTTTCTAGAAGTCAAAGAAAAAAGACACTAGATTTATTACTTTAATAAGAATAATATGTTCAAAACCTTAAAATGCCTTATCTATTTCTGAACAATCATCTATGTGAGTTAGAACACTGTTTTTCATAAAAAGATTGGTTTTCCCAATTGTGTTAGATGAATACTAATATTTGCCATGAAATGTCCAAGCTCTTCATTGATAATAACATAGTTATCTGTGGAAAAAGTGATGTGTTCACTTAAAACATTAATTAAGTGAATCACCTAATCTTATGATGAGATTTATCATTTTGTTTACCCTCAAAAAAAGTAGAGTGAGCAACAGAAGACCTTGGCTTTGAATAAATCTGAATTTGAATTCCAGAGCTACTCGTAATCTTTGTGACCTTGGGCAAGCTACCTAATTTCTCTAAGGCTTAGTTTTCTTATCTGTAAACTGAAGATGATAATGCCTACCTTCTAAATTCAGGTGAGATCGTGTATGGAAAGCATTAGAACAAAATAAACGCTTGCCCTTGCCCTTCTGAATGAAAGTTTTTGCTCTTTTCTCTATAACCATATCTGCAAGACATATTAAAGAATGAATCTATAACTGTATAATATGGCTGCTTAATAGGCACACAATAAAAGCCACTGTTTTATAAAGCATGACATGCCTTGAAATAAGCAACTTGTTTCTTTAACCATTCCTTGTACCTCTCTCATAGTCTTTTTGTCCTTCCATACTTTGATAGGCTCCTATTTTGCTAAAGATTTTGCCACTTTCTTAAGTCACTGTTTCAGCAGAAACTTTCTTGTCACCATGGCTACATCTAAAGCCTACACTGAAGAGATTAAATCTAGATTCGTTAGCCAGCCACATAACTTGATTCATTCCTTATCCCTAGAATAATTTTTATTACTAAAATATTACTAATTTCTAATAGTCATTCTTTAGAAAGCACACAGAAGTATGATAAAATTTAATTAAGCTGAGTAAATAGAAGGCAGATTTTCAATAAAGGAGAATTAGCTATTTCTCTATTAATTTATTTAAGAGGAGAGAAGAATATTTGCAAAAGAGCCCTTTTAATCGTGAGTGTATTTTAGAATTAACCTAATACAGACATCTAAAAGCAGTAAAGAAAAATATGCAATTGTATTGAATCACCTTCTCCCTCTATCTGCTCCTGTGTTAGATAGGGTACAGTTATTGTGAGAGACTGTGGGTGTGTGGATGTGTATATCCACAGTATGTATATATGGGTTTGTGTTAATTAATAAGTACGGCAATAAAAATAATCCTTCAAATTTTACTAAACTTTACAGTTTTTAAATAACTCTTAGCTGAATTATCACATTTCAAATTTCTTTCTGACTCCCTGAATTTTACAGCATACTGGACATTGCATGGTAAACAGCAATTTACTTTTTTCAGCTCCCTACTAGAACCTGAGCTTCCAGGGACAGACATCAGTTCCATACTGAATTCTCTAAGCCTAGTGCCTAGTATAATGCCTCACACATAGTAAGCACTCAGTAATTTATTCTGAATATCTACTTGTAGCTCTAGCTCTCACTTATTTGGTTAATCCAGTTACCAAGACTCTCCAAACCTCAGTTTCCTTATCTGTTAAATCAAGGGGTTAGACACTGTAATCTCTGAGACTGGTGCCAGTTCAAATATCTCATTATTCTCTATCTCAGAGGTGAAGTAGCCGTTTTATCCACCTCAGAAGAGAAGACAACATTTCTACAGTACAGTTAGCAGAGTTCAGCAAGTCCTGTTTTCAGGATTCACTGAAAGGTCTTTCTATTATGTCTTACTATAGTAGAGACTGCATTCTTGTCAAGGTTCCACTGCCACCTAACTCCTACAAAAATCAGGAAAAATGTTTTTACAAGTTAGAGAAGTAAAGATAATAAAGGGAGAAACAAAATGAAGCCAGATATTTCCTTTACATATAAAAAATTTAATCCAAACAGAAGAGGCATTGATAGAAGGAGCACTTCATTTGAGATGGTCAGCTAGCTAGATATAAGATCATTTATTTGAACCTAATTAGCTTGGTCATGTCAAAGTTTGTCTTTGAAAACCAAGGATCATACATATTATTTTCATCTCCTTGTTTCTAGTGTATTGTTACATTTTTTCCTTATAAAGAGTTCCATCAAAGGGTTCAGCTGTCTTGAGATTAGTCAAATAGAATGTCTATGGAGAGAGGGTAGTAAATGCTAACTATACTGATTTTTCATGAGAAAATTCAGCAGACAAAAATTCTTATCTAGTCCGTCCAGGGTCATTTAGCATCATCTAAGTTGGCAGCTAGAATCCTAAAGAGAATTGTATATATGACCTTTGACAAGTCGCATATCCTTTCTGAGCTTTCGTGAGACAGCAAACTCACTAATAATTTGCATGTACTGAGCTCCTCTCCTTAATAATCAATGTTCTCCTTATCTCACTGGGTTATTGTTAATAATAGATGCTATCCTCACAGTCATAAAAATGCTCAAAAACTGTAAAGAGTCATCACAAGAACTGAATCCACATGGCAAACCACTGTAGCAAAATTCAGAGAGAAAGATGCACCTGGAAAGATAAGGCACCTGAGATCTGCTTACCTGAGGAAGCAGAAGCTAGAGCTATAAACTGTGCAGGAAACAGGAAAAGTCCCCATTATGAGCACACCCAGACCTTCCTGTATAACAAAGGCATACCTCTAAATGAAAGTACTCTATTAAAGTGTCTTTTTTTTCTCCTTTACCAATAAGAAACAGTTTCCATCTAAGGAAATGGAATTCCTCCCCACTACAGCCCTTACACTCTGTTTGTTTCATGTAAGAAAAAACAAAATAGTCAGCAATGAACAGGCTTTCAAGGAGGTAGATAGAAAATGCTGGAGCCAAAGAAAGGGCTGGGGAAGGGATAAATTTATATATTGCAGAGAGGCAGAAACAATTGTGAAGGCCAAGACTCCAAGACACAGGTCCATTAAAAGCCTAAGAGTTAAGAAGAAGGCCAGGCATGGTGCCTCGTGGCTCATGGCTGTAATCACAGCACTTTGGGAAGCTGAATGCAGTAGGATCATTTGAGGTTAGGAGTTTGAGGCCAGCCTAGGCAACATAGGGTGACCTCATATGTACTTTAAAAAAAAGAAAATAGTTGGGTGTCATAGCCCACACCTGTAGCTGCTAGGGAGGCAAAAGATGGAGAAATGCTTGAGCCCAGCAGAGCAAGGCAGCAGTAACGAGCTGTGATTTTACCACTGCACTCCAACCCGGATAACAGAGCAAGACCTTATTTTAAAAAAAATACAAAATATTCTCCCCTCTCCCCATAACCCACCACCACACCAACAAGCCTAAAGTCTAGTAACAGTAAGTGGAAAGAGCTGCAAGACACACACGGTTTCTGAGGATCACTAAATAAGAGCATTCTTGTCTGAGTCCATTTGGAATGACATAACAGAATACCATAGATTGAGTGGTTTAAACAACAGATATTAATTCTTACAGTTCTGGAAGCTAGAAAATTGAAGATCAAGGCACCAGGATATTCAGTATCTGGCGAGGTTTATCTTCCTGGTTTACAGACAGCCTTTTTCTCTAGGTATCGTCCCATGGCGGAAGGGGATGAGGAGCTCTCCGGCATGTGTTTCTGAAAGGCACCAATCCCGTTTATGAGAGCTCCACCCTCATGACCTAAACACCTCCCAAAGGCTCCACCTCCAAACAATATCATTTTGAGGATTAAGTTTCAATGTATAAATTTTAGGGAGCACAAATATTCAAAGAGTAGGTGCAGTGAATAGAAAACAATTAAAAAATGGTATACATTAATTCAATTATATTGTTCCTCAGTTTAAAAGTAAATGGCATAAACACATCAATTAACAGAAATTGTCAGAGAGGATATTTTTAAAAGATCCAATTATACGTTGTCTATAACAATCTAGTTTAACATAAAAACTCAGATTAGTTAAAAGTACATATGAAGAAAGACATACCATGAGAATATTAATCAGAAAAAAGCTCACATAGCTATACGAATTTTAGACAAACTTGACTTAGAACAAGGAATTTTTTAATTTCCATTTTCATTTTAGATTCAGGAGGTGAACGTGCAGGTTTGTTGCAAGGATATATGGCATGTTGCTGAGTTATGAGCATCTATTGATCCTGTTACTCAAATAATGAACATAGCACTCAATAGGAAGTTTTTCAGCCCTTTCCCCCCTCCCTCTCTTCTTTTTGAGTTTTCAGTGTCTGTTGTCCATGTGAACCCAAGATTTAGCTCCCCCTTAGAAGAGAACATGTAATATCTGATTTTCTGTTTCTGCATTAGTTTGCCGAGGATAATGGTCCCCAGCTGCAACCATGCTGCTGCAAAGAACATATTTTTATCGCTGTGTAGTATTTTATGGTGTATATGTAGCACTTTTTTAAAAATTCAGTCCATCATTGATGTTCCCTTGGTTTGATTCCATGTCTTTGCTATTGAGAATAGCGCTGTGATAAACATACAGGTGCACGTGTCTTTTTGGTAGAACAATTTATTTTCCTTTGGATATATACCCAGTAATGAGATGTATGGGTCCAATGGTAGTTCTGCTTTGGGTTTTTTGAGAAATCCCCAAACTGCCTTCTACAGGGGCTGAACTAATTTTCATTCCAACTAGCAGCGTGTAAGCATTCTCTTTTCTCTGAAGTGTCACCAACATCTTTTTTTTTCTTTTTAATAATAACCATCCTGGCTAGTGTGAAATGGTATCTCATTGCGGTTTTGATTTTCATTGCTCTGATGATTAGTGATGTGGAAGTTTTTTTATATGTCTGTTGGCCACTTGTATGTCTTTTTTTGAGAAGTATCTGTTCATGCCTTTGCCCACTTTTTAAGGGGACTTTTTTTCTTGTTGATTCATTTATGTTCCTTAAAGATTCTGGATGTCCTTTGTTGGACACACAGTTTGCAAATATTTTCTCCCATTCTGTAGGTTGTCTGTTTACTCTGTTGATTATTTCTTTTGCTGTTCAGAGACTCTTTAGTTAAATTAAGCCCCATTTGTCTATTTTTCTTATTTCGTTGCATTTGCTTCTGGAGTCTTCATCATAAATTATTTGCCCAGAACAATATCTAGAAGAATATTCCTAGGAATAGATATATTGACCAATGAAACAGAGTAGAGACCAGTGAAATAAAGCTACACACCTAAAATCAACTCATCTTTGACAAAGCTGACAAAAATAAACAGTGGCAAAAGAACACCCTATCAATAAATGGTGCTAGGAAAACTGGCTGACCATATGCAGAGGATTGAAACTGGACCGCCACCTCTCACCATATACAAAAATTAACTCAAGATGGATTAAAGCCTTAAATATAAGACCTCAAACTGTAAAAATTCTAGAGAAAAACAAAATATTATCAAGAATAAATTGAGGCATTGCATAACAATGGAGTCAAGTTTGCAAAAAGACCTAATAATCCTCAATGTGTGTGTAGGCCCCTAACAATAGGCTGCCAAAATACTTTAGGTAACAAAATGATTGCATTGAAAGGAGAAGTGGATATGAGTTTCATTAAATATAAACTCATTAAAGGCAGAAATTTTTTCCTGTTTTATTCACTACCATATTCTCATGCCTATACAACTGGTTCATACACTGTAGATTCTTAATAAGTACTTCTAGTTGGTAAATACTGTAAATGGCCCCAGCACATTGTCCCATTTGAATAAATATGAGTTACATCCAAGAGTTGAGTGAACAGCTATTATCCTTGGAAAGAGAAACGCTAAGTGCTGTTGTACTGGGAATAGCGTAAGTCATCTGTTATACCAAGGACCTTAAAGGGAGAACACTAAAGAATGCGTAACTCTGGTCTTTCTATGTATACTTTGAGCTCATATGAGCTAAAATCCCGCCTTTTTCTTCCATTCGGAATAATAATGCATAGAAGGCTTCAATAAGGAAGGTGACTATGCTGTTGGCTTCCACAACAAAATGAATCTCATAGTACTACAGCATGTCCTGAGATGTATAATGGCTGGCCCTTATACACATTTTATAGTTTTTTCTCATAAATAATAATTGTATAGTTATTTAAGTAGCATAACAAATCATAAGTCTCCACCACAGTAGGTCTGTTTTTGTAAGCCTTCCAAATAAAAGGTTTCCATTGTTTGTGATTGTTTCCAATTCAGTAAAGGGATATTTTTGCTCTAAAGAAACTTGAAAACTAATGATAAAGAAGAAACAAACTGAAACGAAGTTCTACATTCCTCAGAGATGTCTAGTGAATGACACTTAAGAAGATGATCTCATTTTATATGTATCAATCACGGCATCTTTAAAAACCCAAAATTTTTAATGAAGTAGTAAGTTTGACTCAATGATATTCTCTCAAAACCATGCCAGTTCTAAAGTAGATGTGATAATAATGATATGCTTGATGGAGCTGGGACCAACCTCTGAAACCTATTTTGAAAAGCATTCTAAATGCTAGTTCCATATAAGAAACACTAGAATGTATGATCTTGTTAAACTTTGAATTACAATGTGAAATTAAAGACTCTCAGGGTATTAATGTGTTAATTAAATAAACCATATTATTCCTTAAATGAGACAAAATAGTATTTCTTGTGTCCAGTATTCCTTTAAAACCTAATACTATCCTTTATTAATCAGCCTAATAGTTCCATAGCACAATTCCAAAAGGACTAACACTTTCTCCATTTAAAATAGGAATTTTTCTAGGCATATATACTTTTATAGTCCTGAAAATGAGCATTATCTGGAACAGATAACTAAAATGACCCTTTATGACGTTTACTTCTCCTTTCAATTCAATCATTGTTTCACCTTAAGTATTTTGACAGTCTGTTCTGGGCCTACGCACATATTGAGGATTATTAGGTCTTCTTACAAAATTGACTCCATTGTTATGCAATGCCTTAATTTATTCTTGATAATCTTTCGGGCGACTCTAGAATTTTTACATTTCAAAATTTTTTTGAAAATTGCATTTAAAACTATTGACTTGCTTTTTAATAAATTATTAACCAAGTCAAGAAGATAAACAATAGATTTAATTGTTCCTCTGTGAACTGACAAATAATCATAGTAATTTTAAAAATATATAACTCTTTCATAATTTTTAATTCAGTGTTGATGACAGTAAAATTTCTAAAATACAGTCTCTAAAAATTGTCTATGTTCATCTCACAAAGACATATACCTCTTAAGTGCCTAAGCATCACTCATTGTACAAAGAGGGCTACAATAAGATTTTCTTCCATAAGTGTGATACAAAGTGGGATATAGAATGACAGTTTGCAAAATATGAAACATGCAAAATATAAAAATAAAACAAAAATCAGATATATTTCTTAAAAGAAGCAGACATAAATCTTGTAGGACCCTCAGGGATTCTTTTCTACTGCCATTTTTGTTAAAATGATAGAAGAGAGAAGAGTCTTTTCAAGGGAAGGGAAACATATCTGCAGTAAATATTTCAGTCTGATTGTTTAAAATGGTGGCATAACATAAAATGTGAGACAAGAACACAAAGTTCAGAGGTGGTCAAATTGGAGAATATTAAAAGTTTATGCTGAATGATTTGGTCTTCAGCTCTCCCAATTAAAAAAATAATGCTGGGAGAGCAACAGCAAGAATAGCTAATGGATTCTGGGCTTAATACGTGAGTGATGGGCTGATCTGTGCAACAAACCACCATGACACATATTTACCTATGTAACAAACCTTCACATCCCGCACATGTACCCCAGAATTTAAAATAAAATTTGAAGAAAAGAAATAATAAAGATAAAGAAGTTTGAAGACCAATAAGAAAACCATTGCAGTAATCTAGACAAGAGATGATGGAAGTCCAAATTCAGGTAGCAATAGTGAGGAGGTAAAGGATATAACTTTATAAGCAGAAGAGAAATAAATGACAAGGAATCAACAAGATTTCCCAAAAAATCAAATTTAAAAAGATGAGATACAGGAAAAAGTCAAAATCAGTTCTGAAGTTCTGAGCCTGGATGAGTATTTTGATAATGATACCATTTACCAAGTTATAGAATACAACAGGGAACCAGAAATCATTTAAAGGCCGAAAGAAATAGAGAAGTATTTATTCTTGAAGAACTATGGAGCTTCAGGTAAGTGGGAGTCCATGACCTTTTTCACCCGGGGCTATTCCTATCCTGACTCTTTCTCCCTACTCCATATTCCTACCCTTCATCCCACGTCCACTGAACTCATGTATTTTTATCACGAGTTTAGAAACAAAAACCAGCTTCTTCTGCTAGTGAGCACAAACTTGATTTGCACAGAAAGAGGGTAAGAAAGCCCATTGTTTTCCAAGTAAAACAAATAAATTCAGTCAGAAACAAATGGAGAGCCCCTAAACTTTGTGAGTCTTGTCTTTCAGTTTTTGTAAGGGCAATCAGTGGAACAGCCAGAAAGTGAGAGAGAGAGAGAGAGAGAGAGAGAGAGAGAGAGAGAGAGAGAGAGAGAGAGAGAGAGAGAGAGAGAGAGAGAGAGAGAGAGAGAGAGAGAGAGAAAGGAAGCCGGGGGGAGGGGAGGAGAGGCTATAAACTCTCCACAAATACTGGCCTGGCTGATGTGTTTTGTAGGAGCATCCCAAAAAGCCCATTGAGCAGTGAAAGCCAAGTCATACCTGAGAACTGGCTCCAACTTTGGCATAAGGTGGAAGCCTTAAAATCTTGAGGTGTTTGAATGTACTGCCTCTGCTCAAGTCATTGTCTTAGTGTTATGTTACATAGACACAGGGTTAATCCATAGGAAGTCAGGCTAAAAATAATAATAATAATAACCATGCATAGACATCAGGAGCCACAGCAGTTTCTGCAGTTTATGTCTGGACAACATTTTAAAAATAATATAAAATAAAAATAATTTATATAAATGAAATAGAATCTAGTGTTCCAAGAATACATCTTATTGCTGTTCATTTTTCAACAAAAATTATGAAACCTGCAAAAAGCAAAACAAAAACCTAAAAAAATGATCAGGAGGATAGTGCAACCTATACTCTGGGTAAAAAAGCAGTCAGTAATAAATGTGAGCCAGCCCAGAGGTTGGCTTTAGCAAAGACTTAAAATTAGCTAGTTTAAGTATTTTCCAAGAATTTAAAGAAAAATATGACAATGATTCAAGAAGAGATTAATGTCAATGAAGAAAAACAAATCATAAAAAAATCAAGAAGAGATTAATGTCAATGAAGAAAAACATATCATAAAAAATAATGAAAATTTTACATTAAAATTCAATAACAAATATGAAAAACTTTCTGAATGAATTCAACAGAAGATCTCTAATGGCAGAAGAAAAAAATCAGTCAACTTGAAGGTAATCCAATAGAAATCATTCAATCTGAAGAACAAGAAAAAATATTGCAGAAAAATGAACATAGCCACAGGGATTCATGGGACAATATATAGTATAAAAATATATGCAAAAAAGTACCAGTAGGAATGGAGGAAGAGAAATTTGATGAAAAACATTAATCTATACATTAAAGGAGCTCAAAAAAACAACAAAATTAAGATAAACAGGAGATTTATAATTAAAATAATGACAGTTAAATTGCCGAAAACCAAAGAAGAGAGAAATCTTGAAAATAGCAAAAGAAAATGATTCATTATGTAAAATAGGAACATTATACTTAAGTTTTTAAAAAAAATTGAACTAAATGAAAATAAAAGCACAACATTCAAAATGTGTAGCATGCTGCTAAAGCTCTAAGCAGTATCTAGAAGGGATTATAAATTTAAACCCATGTTAGAAAGGAAGACAGATCTAGACAAATATTCTCAGCTTTGACTTCAAGAAGCTAGAAAAATAGAGCAAATCAAATTCAAATTAGGGAGAGGAGAAGAAATAGCAATAAAAATGGAAATCAATAAAATATAAACCAGAAAAAAAATTAGAGAAAATCCCTGAAGCCAAAAGTTTATAAGATTTAGGTAATCTAATAAAGATAAAAAGAAGACATAAATTACCAAAATCAGGAAGGGATAAGTGGCCAATACTAAAGACTCAAGACATTAAAGAGAACTGTAACTGAATATTAAGAAAAATCATACATTAGACAATTTAGATGAAATGTACAAATTCCTATAGATACTAAAATTATGAAAACTGATCCAAATGAAAAACATACATTTGATGAAATAGATCTATATCAAGTACAAATACAGAGAGTAATTAAAACTTTTCTAGCAAGAAAACTTCAAGATTAGATGGCTTCAGAATGAATTTTATACAACATTTTAAGGAGAAATAATATCAGTTCTACATATACTATTTCATAGCATTGAGAAAGAAAAAATATATCCCAATTATCTTAAAAGTCCTGTATTACTTAGGCACGAAAGCCAGACATAGATTCACAAGAAAAGAAAATAAATAGAATTCTACACGTTAACCAAGTGGAGTTTATCCCAGAAATGCAAGGTCATTGTAATAACAGACAGACATTTGCTATGTATTATATTTATAAAGTAAGGGACAGAAACTGTATGTTTATCTCAGTAGAATCAGGAAAAGTATTTTACAGAATTCAACATCCATTTATGTTGAAAACTCAAAACAAACACAAAAGTGAGGAAAAAATGATCTCTGATACAAAGTGTTTATGAAAAACTTACAGCTACTATAATGACTAATGGAGAATGGCTGAACGTTTTCTCCCTAAAATCAGTTACAAATATGTCTGTTTCTCACCGTTTCTATTCAACATTTTTCTAGAGGTTCTAGCCAGTGTAAAAATCAATCAATCAATCATTCAACAACACTCAGATTGGAAATAAAGTACCTTTATCCACTGATGAATTAATTTCATATGCAAACCAAAGAATCTACTAGAAACCTACTCTAATAAGTAAGCTCAGCAAGGTTGCTAGATACGTGATCAATATTTTTAAAATTACAGCTTTATTTCAGTATGCTACCACCTAAAAATCAAAAAATTAAATGAATAAAAATACTTAGAATAGATTTAACAAAAGAAGTGAAAGACCTCCACATAAAAAATACAAAACATGTTCATCCATATTCCTGCAAAGGACATGAACTCATTCCTTTTTATGGAAACCATCATTCTCAGCAAACTAACACAGGAACAGAAAACCAAGCACCACATGTTCTCACTCATAAGTGGGAGTTGAACAAAGAGAATACATGGACACAGGGAGGGGAACATCACTGGGGCCTGTCAGGGGGTGCGCAGCAAATGGAGGGAGAGCATTAGGACAAATAAGTAATGCATGTGAGGCTTAAAACCTAGATGATGGGTTGACGGTTGCAGCAAACCACCATGGCACATGCATACCTATGTAACAAATCGCATGTTCTACACATGTGTCCCAGAACTTAAAGTAAAATGTTAAGAAATGCAAAACATTACTTAGAGACATTTAAAGGGACATTAAAAAGTGGTGGAAAATACTAGATATGGAGATAGGCATACAGCATAATTTTTATATGGCACTTGTCTCCAAATAGATATGTAGATTCAGTGTAATCCCTATCAAAATTCCTGTGGCATTTTTGTTCAAAGTGATAAGCTGTTCCTAAAGTTTATGTCTCAAAGGAAAAACAATTTTGAAAACGGCAACTATAATTAGAGGAAACATACTACTTTAAGAGTTAATATCTTCAATTAAAGCTTCACACATTATACAAAAATTAACTTACATTGCATCTTAGATTGAATGCACAATGTAAAACTATTAACCTTTCGAACACAATATAGGAGAAAATCTCCATTGCTTATAGTTAGATAAAGAATTTTTAGACACAACACCAAAAGCAAATTATGTTAAAGAAAACATAGCTAAATTGGACTTTATTAAAATTGAAATATTTATTGGACAAAATATAATTTAAGAGAAGGGAAGAACAAGAGATGAACTGGTAGAAAATATTTGCAAATCAAAAAACCCAACAAACTTTAAAAAAGTATACTCTGTATACATATCAAGAATATATTTTACAATCTATGAACTCAATAGTAAGAAAATATATAATTTAATTAGAAAGTGGGCAAAATACTTGAACAGACATTTCACCAAAAGGCACAGATAGATAGTAAATTATACACAAAAATATAATCAACATCATTAGGCACTAGAGAAATTCAAATTAAAATCTCAATGAGATGCCACTATATTAGTATTAGAATTCCTGCAACAACAATTCTGACTAAGTACTGATGAGGATGTGAAGCAACTGCATGTTATATAGACTGCTGATGGAAATGCAAATTTTAACGGCCACTCTAGAAAAGTTTGCTTGTTTCTTATCAAGTCAGATGTGCAATTCTATGTAATCCACCAATCTTTCTCCAGTGTTTACCCTGGAGCAGAGATTGGCTAACTTTATCTGTTAAGTGCCAGATAGCAAATATTTTAGGTTTTCTGGGCCAAATACTATCTCTGTTGCATATTACTCTTTATTTCTTCAACCATTTAAAAACATTTTAAAAATTATATGTGTGTGAACACGTTTTCATTTAACTTACATGAATATCTAGAAATGAAATTGGTAAGCCACATGGCTAATACATATCATTTTATATTCCCATCACTAAGTAATATATGTAATTTATGAGGATTCCAGTTTCTTCCAGCCCTCTCTACTATTTCCACACTTAAATTTTAAAAATAATATGTGTAATCAACAAGAATGACAATGCCAAGTATTGGAGAGGGTTAGCAAAAATTAGAACCCTCATAAATTACTTGTTTTGCTGAAGAGAATTTAAATGGGACAACTAATTTGGAATCAATGTTCCATTTTCTTAAATAAACATATATTTACTATGCAACTTACCAATTTCATTTCTATATATTTACTCTATATAAATAAAAACATATGCTCACACAAGTAATAGAAATAATAGACATGAATACACATAGCAACTAAAACATAACACTTCAAATGGAATCAATTAGTGAATTTATAAACAATATGACATACATCTATATAATGAAATACTGCTTGATATAATGAAACAAATTACAAACTCATGCAAAAATGTAAATGAATATCAAATCATTATTCTTTCCAGTGAAAGAAATCAGACACACATTTTCTATAAATCCTTTCAAATAAAGTTTCTAAAAAAGCAAAAACTGTAGAACAGAAAGTGCTGGGAAAAGAATTTTCTACAAATGAAAACATGAAAATTTTGTCATGTTGGAAGTATTTAAAAATTGGATTATGGGGATGGTTGTAAAGATGTATAAATTTACTAAAATTCATCAAATTTTACACTTTCAATGGGTGCATTTTATAGTATGTAAAATTTACATTTTATAGTATGTAAGTTATATACAAATAAAGCCATTTAAAACAGGGGTCAATACTATTCACCATATTTACAAATTAAAAGAAAATATGTCAAGAGATACAGAGAAAACATAATATTCCCTACTATTCATAAATTTTATAAAGCAGTTTTAATAAACTAGAAATAGAACTTTCTTGAAATACTTGATGATATCTACAAAATATTATGAAAAACATTAGAAGCATTCTCTTTAAAATAAGGATATGCCACCACCTACATAAGCATCACACTTGAAGGTCTTAAGCGAATATTTATGAGTAAGGCATCAGTAGAGCTGGCTTTTAATCCATAGGCTCAGTTACTCAGGCAGTATCCATCATGTAACGTTTTCTTCAGTTTCTTTTTTTTGTCCTGGTTGTCAGTCTTTGTCTCTGTATTAGTCAGGATCTTTGGTTGCAAGTGACAGAAATCCAATTTCAATTAAATTAAACCAAAATCTACATAAATTTACATATAGCATATAAATATATGTGTAGTATGTGCACATATATAGTATATATATTATATATATACCTGTATGTTGTAATAATACATATATAGTATTTATAATAGTGTATTCATATCTATAATTAGTGCAAATATATATACATAGCTTCACTTTCAATATGTGAATCTCAATTTTATATGTTTGAAACTGAATTCTATGAACCAATCAAGTTGATTACATTTACACCTTTGTTATTACTCAGCAAAAAGCTTTTGAAAGCAACCTCAAGTGAAATCAACTGAAAAATGTCAATGTAAAATGTAAACAGTCCTAACTAGGTGTTTTCTTCCCTATTTTACATATAAGAAAACCGAGGGTAGAGATGGACTTCAAATAATTTTCCAAGGCCACTTGCTATATCTTCAAGATCATCCAGGTAGAAATGATCAGGATGAGACCCAAGACTGCTCATCCCCAGCAACTTAGTTCTTCCCAGTAGAACCAGGCATATCCTTAAAGTACCTACTTGGTGTCAAAGCTGGATTCAATCTATCCATATAGATGTAACTTAACTACACTATACTGGTCATAGAAAGACAAACTTAGGCTGGGTGCGGTGGCTCATGCCTGTAATCCCAGCACTTTGAGAGGCAAAGATGGGTAAATCACGAAGTCAGGAGTTCAAGATCAGCCTGGCCAAGATGGTGAAACCCCGTCTCTACTAAAAATACAAAAATTAGCCAGGCATGGTGGCAGGTGCCTGTAATCGCAGCTACTCAGGGGGCTGAGGCAGGCAAATCACTTGAACCCAGGAGACAGAGTTTGCAGTGAGCCGAGATCACACCACTGCACTCCAGCCTGGGCAAGAGTGAGACTCCACCAAAAAAAAAACCAACAAACTTAATCAACATTGTTTTCATGAACTTCGCTGTCTGTTTGGACATCATCCCAACCTTTAGAAGGACTAGACAGTCAATCAACAACATTCCACTAATTGAGAATCACCATAAATCATGACAGCATAAAATGTCAGAATTTAAATGTACAAAGAGGAAGTGGTCTAATTTGCAATTTCTTCATCTCAGATATCATGATGAATCAGTACATCCATAATTGGTTTGACATTGAGTTTCATAACACAAAGCATCTGGGCTCACTCCCATGGTGCCCAATGAGAGCAATTTCTGAAGCTGGGACAAATTACCCTCTTTAAGAACAACAACAGCTGTCTCAGTGATCTATAAATGTGTCTTCCCCTTTAGCCTGGGAGAATATTCATGTCATAGAGAAGCAGGGACAAGGGCATTATGGGAGACATGGCCCTCATGGAAAACCAACTGTTCCCCATCTATCTTTCTGGTGGCCAATGAGCCTTTATTCACCATACAGCTGTTCCTTCCCATCCTCCTGATTAGATGCACCTGCCTGCTTGCATACATGTCTGATCATTAGATATATTTATCAGTATGTGTAAAGTTCCCTTTTCACATTATTTCTCTGTAACCTCAAGGGTAAATCCTTTTCAGAGACTCAACATCTGAAAAAATCACATTGGTAGCTGTATTAAGAGTCAAAAAGAAAAATCCCTAGATCTGGACTTCCTATGAGTCTGATACGTGTTCCAGGACTAAGAGTTTAAAATGAGAGGGTTATTCAGGTGACCCCACTACTCTAAATTCTTATTCTGTTTTTTTTTTTGTCCCTCCTAATTTCATACTGATGGAAGCAAAGATAATAAGCTATAATTATTTAAAATATCTCCATTATATTTAGTTAAGAAATATAAAAAAGAAATTTGCCATGTAAATGGCTCTGAAATATGACTCTGGCTCATATTTCTCCTGGAAAATTCACAGCAATTTTTCAAATTGAGTATGAGAGTTATGCCACTGTGTTCTATGACCCCACGAGTATATCATAAAATAATAACGGCCAATGCACTTTATGCATTTCTTTTTTTGCTAAATTTAACAAATCACTAAAGATTAATAAAACCACTGCTATTTTTTCCAGCAATAAGATGGTTATTGTGGTGGGTAAGGAATAATTGATCATCACTTTCTGCTGTCTTCCTAAAGGTACCTGTGAAAAATTGAGTTTCTGGTAATAAATGACACTAGAAATCTTGCCACCCCTGTGCCCCACAAATCCTTTCATGAACTCTATGGCTCTACTCACTTGAATGGATAAACATGATAAAAATAGAGCTTTTTTTCATGTCTATGTCCAACAAATTGTTGAGGAATTTAATGTATATTTTAAAGTCAGAATTTAATCTAAAATATTATAGAAAGTAGAAGCTTGCCATTTGACTCTCAAAAGACTACTTTTGTAATTAGCTTACTGAGATAAATTTTCAACAAAATTCTCATTAAAATCCCCTTGGTACAATCTTCTGTGCGATTTGATGAATTTGGACGAATGTAAACAATAGCTCCCACAACAATGAAGACACAGAATATTTGCATAACCACAAAAAGTTTTCTAGTGACACTTTGTAGTCAATTCCCTGCCTCTGTCATCAACCCTAGAAATTACTGATCATCCTCTTTTCTCTGTAGTTCTAGTTTTACAGAATTGCATATAAATGCAGGTGATTTGTTGTTGTTGTTGTTATTGTTGTGTTGTTCTTGAGACGGAGTTTCACTCTTGTTTCCCAGGTTGGAGTGCAATGGTGCTATCTCGGCTCACTGCAATCTCTGCTTCCTGGGTTCAAGTGACTCTCCTGCCTCAGCCTCCTGAGTAGCTGGGATTACAGGCCTACGCCACCACGTCTGGTTGATTTTTTGTATTTTTAGTAGAGACAAGGTTTCACCATGTTGGCCAGGCTGGCCTCGAACTCCTGACTTCAAGGTGATCCACCTGCCTCAGCCTCCCAAAGCGCTGGAATTACAGGTGTGAGCCACTGTGCCTGGCCTATAAATGCAGTTTTGATGTCCAGCATTAAGCTTTTGAGATTTATTTACATTGCTGCATATGTCAGTAATTTATTCCATTATATTGCTAATTAGTGATCCATTTTCTGATATCCCAGACTTTGTTTATCCATCTGCCACTTAATGAATATTTGTACTGACCAGTTTGAGGATATTATGAGTGAAGCTGTTATTAACAATTGAATGCAAATCTTTGTATTAACATATGTTTTCGTTTATCTTCAGTAAATAACTAGGAGTGAAACTGCAGGTTATATAATGTAGGTACAGGTTTAACTTTATAGGAAACTGCCAGACTGTTTTCCAAAGTGGCTGTACACTTTTTCATACTCACCAGCAACGTATGAGATTCAAATGCTTTGTATATTTGCCAACATTTGGTTTAGTCAGTCTTTTTAGTTGTAGCTATTGTAGTGATATTAAAATATCACATTGTCTGTTTTCATTTCATTTCCCTGATAACTAATAATTTTGAACATCTTTTAATATGCTTATTTGTCATTCCCGTGTCTTCTCTGATAAAGTATATTCTCAGATCTTTCACCCATTAAAAATGATTATTTGTCTACTTTTTTAAGTTTTATTTCATTTTTAATAGAAAAATAACAGTTGTATATATTTATGGGTTACAATGTGATGTTTCAATACATGTGTACATTGTGGAATATTTAAATCATTGTAATTAGCATATCTATTGCCTCAAATATCTGTCTTCTTGTTATTTCCCTCAATGTTTGAAAAACACATTCTATAGTTATACACAAAAAGCGGCATTATTGCAGAATAGGTATGTGTTCTTCATTTCATAAGATATTGCCAAATTATCTTATTTGCTTGTGTTAACTTAATAAATACATAATTGACTGAAAATAAATTTCACATATTACAACAGTCTAATAAGTTTTGAAATATGTATACACTCTCAAATCATCACCACAATAAAGATAACGAACACATCTATCTCCCCAAAAGTTCCCTTGTGTCCCTTTGTAATCTCTTCTCCAGTCTTCCGCACCATCCTCAGACAACCATTAATTTTCTCTGTGTCACTATGGACTGGTTTGCTTATTACAAAATTTTATATAAATGGAAGAATATATTATGTATTATTTTGGGTTATTTTCCCACTAAGCCTAATTATTTTGAGATTTATCTATGGTACTATTTATATCAATAGTTAATTTCTTTGTACTTCCAAGTAGTATTACATGGCATCGATATACCAGAATTTGTTTACCTCTTAGTGGACATTTGGATTGTTTCCAGTTTTTTCTATATTATCTAAAACTGCTGAAAGCACCTGTGTACAAGTCACTGAATGAACATGTGCTTTCATTTCTTTAATTTATTTTTCTGTAAGGTCAATACCTAAGGCTAGTCTAACAGGTCAATAATGATAAGGTCAATACCTAGAAGAATATGTGGGTCATATGGTAGGTATTCCCTTATCTTTTCAAGAAACTGCCAAAATATTTTCCATGTTTGTTATATTATTTTAAATTCCACCATTACATATATGGCATCCAGTTCTTCTACACCTTCATTAACACTGTATAGTCATTTTTATTTAATTTTAGACCTTCTAATATGTGTACAGCTGTATTTTTTGTAGTTAATTGGCATTTCCCTAATAATTAATGTTGTTGAACATTTTATCATGTGCTTATTTCTCATTTACGTATTTTCTTTGGAAAAGTGTTCCATTGAAATAGTTTGTCCATATTATTGTATACTATCTTGTATTTTCCACTGGATTTTCTACATAGGCAATCATCTTTTCTGTAAAGATGTTATTTATTTATTTATTTCCAATCTTAATGTCTTTTATTTGTTTCTCTTGCTTTATTCCACTAGCTAGATCCTCCACTAGAATGTTCAACAGAAATGGTGAGAGTGGGCATCCTTGCCTTATTCCTCATCTTATGGATAAAAGCATTCAGTTGCTTACAATTAGATGACAGTCACTGGAGGTTTTCCATACATTGCTTCCTTATCAGGAAAATAAAGTTTCCCTCTATTCCTAGTCTCAAACACTTATTATTTGTCCTTTGAGGTGGCCATATGGATTTTTCTTTTTTTAATATGTTAATATGGTGAGTTGATGTGATTATTTTCTGAGTGTTTAACTAACTTTGCATTCCTGTCATAAATCTCCACCAATCACCATATATTATTCAGGTTTCATATCGTTGGGGTTAATTGGCTAAGGGTTTGGTTAATAATTTTTGTGTCTATATTAATGGGGAATATTGGTCTGTGGTTTTCTTTTCTTGTATCAGGTCTTTTGTCCAGGAAAAAGCATATTATCTTCCTATAACTCCACGTCCAGATCCACTGTCAGGTGAACGTATCCCTCCTTGACTCAAGAGAAATTCTATAAATTCGTGAGTCCTTAAACATTCACATAAAGTACTGCTGTTAGCCACTCTATATCAATGAACATTTCGAAATCTCTTTAAATGGACACATATAGAATATAACTCATTGAATATTACCATACACAAAATCTCTCAGGATATTGAGTGGAAAACATTAGAAACAGCAATGGACAAAGTAATAGAGTAGGTAAATAAGAACGAAATCAAAAGCACGGATAGAAAATTAGTTTATGGAATAAAGACATGTTGTGTTTTGCTACTAGAGTAGATGAATATAAATTTTCTTAAGATGTAGATAGAATGACAATGATGGAAAACATATGAAGAAATAAAGTAGTGTAGTTACCAAGATATATGAGGATGAAATACTGTGAGGGCTCCAGTACAGAGCTAGGTATAGGAAAGGAAGAAACATAAATGAAAACATTATATAAGTGGTTTGGAAATTATGCCATATTGATAAAGGATAAAGGACTGGCAATCTATAGTGAAGGATGGCTAAGAATCAGTGGCACACAGTTAAAGTAACTAAACTGAGTGTATGTGTTTGAATCAATGATATTCAGCACTTATTGTTGATTTTTTTTTTTCTTTTTTTTTTAGACGGAGTCTCGCTCAGTCGCCCAGGCTGGAGTGCAGTGGCGCGATCTCAGCTCACTGCAAGCTCCACCTCCTGGGGTCACGCCATTCTCCTGCCTCAGCCTCCCGAGTAGCTGGGACTACAGGCGCCCGCCGCTAAGCCCATCTAATTTTTTTTGTATTTTTAGTAGAGACGGGGGTTTCACCGTGTTAGCCAGTATGGTCTCGATCTCCTGACCTCGTGATCCGCCAGTCTTGGCCTCCCAAAGTGCTGGGATTACAGGCATGAGCCACCGCGCCCGGCCTATTGTTGATTTTAATGTCAGAAACCTAGGAGAGGACTTCAGCTT
The DNA here is from genome assembly GCF_000001405.40 of Homo sapiens. Classification (NCBI taxonomy): domain Eukaryota; kingdom Metazoa; phylum Chordata; class Mammalia; order Primates; family Hominidae; genus Homo; species Homo sapiens. Next base: position 82,154,659 of record NC_000011.10, read on the forward strand.
CCAGTGCTGACATACTGGCTTCTATTATAGCCCAATCTTCTCACTGAGAAAAAAAAATTTTAAACAATATAACATATATAAGGAGGCAGTGGTTTACCCGCAATGGGAAGCAACTAAGGTAGCCAATACTTGAGAGACCGAGGTCCCAGATAATTGAAACACATTCAATTAAGCTAGCCACCTCTGTTCCTTTATTCTCAAAAGGCATTTGTAGATTCTCAATGTGGAACATAAAGACAAAGCAGCAACCTAGATATTTCGACAGTAATGTCCTAAGGTAAGGGAGATAAAAACAGAAGTTCAGGGTAACAAGGAAAGCTAGAATCTGAGGATCTAAGACCCCAGAGAAAATTGAGATGACCGTCCACAGACTTTTAACATTGTCTGTTAATGTCTTTTAAACATTGTCTGAATTTTAACTGATGCACAGGTGAGAGGGAAGAAATCAAGTAGTATATAACAACTAGGAATATAGGAAATTAAGGAGAAATGTCAGCATTCTTGAGGAATTGGAGGTGGGGATTAGTTTCAACGGCTGCCAAGGAAAAGAAGCCCATATAAATCTGCCATTTTTTAAAAATGAAAACTCTGAAAGTCTACACTCTAGGAATAAAGACATAAGAAGGGAGACCAGTGTTCACAACACCAAAAACCCAGGATCAAATCATATCAATCCAGACTGAAACAAATTAATTCACCCCTAATCTAACTGCTAGTGACAAGAAAATAAATCCTCTCAAGAGGAAAGTAATATCCAGAAACTCTACAAATTTTTGTATAATTATTCAGCATTATGTAATATTTCCAGAAGGCATAGAGACAAATCCAAATTAAGAAAACCAATTTAAAAAAACACAAATAATAACATGCCTATAGGTAAATCAATATATTGGAATTATAGCTATGGTCTTAAAGACAGACACATTTGAAATATTCAAGAAAAAACATAGCGAAATGAAGACATTCATGGTTTTTTAAATCAATGAAAATTGTGGAACTAAAATATATTTGCTAAAATTAAAAACTCAAGAAATGGGTTTAATAACAGAGTGAATACAGAAAATAAGCAGTAAAGGAAGTAAAGTAGAATCATGCTGCTATAAAGACACATGCACACGTATGTTTATTGCGGCATTATTCACAATAGCAAAGACTTCGAACCAACCCAAATGTCCAACAATGATAGACTGGATTAAGAAAATGTGGCGAGCCAAGATGGCCGAATAGGAACAGCTCCGGTCTACAGCTCCCAGCGTGAGCGACGCAGAAGACGGGTGATTTCTGCATTTCCATCTGAAGTACCGGGTTCATCTCACTAGGGAGTGCCAGACAGTGGGCGCAGGCCAGTGTGTGTGCGCACCGTGCGCGAGCCGAAGCAGGGCGAGGCATTGCCTCACCTGGGAAGCGCAAGGGGTCAGGGAGTTCCCTTTCCGAGTCAAAGAAAGGGGTGACGGACGCACCTGGAAAATCGGGTCACTCCCATCCGAATATTGCGCTTTTCAGACCGGCTTAAGAAACGGTGCACCACGAGACTATATCCCACACCTGGCTCAGAGGGTCCTACGCCCACGGAATCTCGCTGATTGCTAGCACAGCAGTCTGAGATCAAACTGCAAGGCGGCAACGAGGCTGGGGGAGGGGCGCCCGCCATTGCCCAGGCTTGCTTAGGTAAACAAAGCAGCCGGGAAGCTCGAACTGGGTGGAGCCCACCACAGCTCAAGGAGGCCTGCCTGCCTCTGTAGGCTCCACCTCTGGGGGCAGGGCACAGACAAACAAAAAGACAGCAGTAACCTCTGCAGACTTAAGTGTCCCTGTCTGACAGCTTTGAAGAGAGCAGTGGTTCTCCCAGCATGCAGCTGGAGATCTGAGAACGGGCAGACTGCCTCCTCAAGTGGGTCCCTGACCCCTGACCCCCGAGCAGCCTAACTGGGAGGCACCCCCCAGCAGGGGCACACTGACACCTCACACGACAGGGTATTCCAACAGACCTGCAGCTGAGGGTCCTGTCTGTTAGAAGGAAAACTAACAACCAGAAAGGACATCTACACCGAAAACCCATCTGTACATCACCATCATCAAAGACCAAAAGTAGATAAAACCACAAAGATGGGGAAAAAACAGAACAGAAAAACTGGAAACCCTAAAACGCAGAGCGCCTCTCCTCCTCCAAAGGAACGCAGTTCCTCACCAGCAACAGAACAAAGCTGGATGGAGAATGATTTTGACGAGCTGAGAGAAGAAGGCTTCAGACGATCAAATTACTCTGAGCTACGGGAGGACATTCAAACCAAAGGCAAAGAAGTTGAAAACTTTGAAAAAAATTTAGAAGAATGTATAACTAGAATAACCAATACAGAGAAGTGCTTAAAGGAGCTGATGGAGCTGAAAACCAGGGCTCGAGAACTACGTGAAGAATGCAGAAGCCTCAGGAGCCGATGCGATCAACTGGAAGAAAGGGTATCAGCAATGGAAGATGAAATGAATGAAATGAAGCGAGAAGGGAAGTTTAGAGAAAAAAGAATAAAAAGAAATGAGCAAAGCCTCCAAGAAATATGGGACTATGTGAAAAGACCAAATCTACGTCTGATTGGTGTACCTGAAAGTGATGTGGAGAATGGAACCAAGTTGGAAAACACTCTGCAGGATATTATCCAGGAGAACTTCCCCAATCTAGCAAGGCAGGCCAACGTTCAGATCCAGGAAATACAGAGAACGCCACAAAGATACTCCTCGAGAAGAGCAACTCCAAGACACATAATTGTCAGATTCACCAAAGTTGAAATGAAGGAAAAAATGTTAAGGGCAGCCAGAGGGAAAGGTCGGGTTACCCTCAAAGGAAAGCCCATCAGACTAACAGCGGATCTCTCGGCAGAAACCCTACAAGCCAGAAGAGAGTGGGGGCCAATATTCAACATTCTTAAAGAAAAGAATTTTCAACCCAGAATTTCATATCCAGCCAAACTAAGCTTCATAAGTGAAGGAGAAATAAAATACTTTATAGACAAGCAAATGCTGAGAGATTTTGTCACCACCAGGCCTGCCCTAAAAGAGCTCCTGAAGGAAGCGCTAAACATGGAAAGGAACAACCGGTACCAGCCGCTGCAAAATCATGCCAAAATGTAAAGACCATCGAGACTAGGAAGAAACTGCATCAACTAATGAGCAAAATCACCAGCTAACATCATAATGACAGGATCAAATTCACACATAACAATATTAACTTTAAATATAAATGGACTAAATTCTGCAATTAAAAGACACAGACTGGCAAGTTGGATAAAGAGTCAAGACCCATCAGTGTGCTGTATTCAGGAAACCCATCTCACGTGCAGAGACACACATAGGCTCAAAATAAAAGGATGGAGGAAGATCTACCAAGCCAATGGAAAACAAAAAAAGGCAGGGGTTGCAATCCTAGTCTCTGATAAAACAGACTTTAAACCAACAAAGATCAAAAGAGAGAAAGAAGGCCATTACATAATGGTAAAGGGATCAATTCAACAAGAGGAGCTAACTATCCTAAATATTTATGCACCCAATACAGGAGCACCCAGATTCATAAAGCAAGTCCTCAGTGACCTACAAAGAGACTTAGACTCCCACACATTAATAATGGGAGACTTTAACACCCCACTGTCTACATTAGACAGATCAACGAGACAGAAAGTCAACAAGGATACCCAGGAATTGAACTCAGCTCTGCACCAAGCAGACCTAATAGACATCTACAGAACTCTCCACCCCAAATCAACAGAATATACATTTTTTTCAGCACCACACCACACCTATTCCAAAATTGACCACATAGTTGGAAGTAAAGCTCTCCTCAGCAAATGTAAAAGAACAGAAATTATAACAAACTATCTCTCAGACCACAGTGCAATCAAACTAGAACTCAGGATTAAGAATCTCACTCAAAGCCGCTCAACTACATGGAAACTGAACAACCTGCTCCTGAATGACTACTGGGTACATAACGAAATGAAGGCAGAAATAAAGATGTTCTTTGAAACCAACGAGAACAAAGACACCACATACCAGAATCTCTGGGACGCATTCAAAGCAGTGTGTAGAGGGAAATTTATAGCACTAAATGCCTACAAGAGAAAGCAGGAAAGATCCAAAATTGACACCCTAACATCACAATTAAAAGAACTAGAAAAGCAAGAGCAAACACATTCAAAAGCTAGCAGAAGGCAAGAAATAACTAAAATCAGAGCAGAACTGAAGGAAATAGAGACACAAAAAACCCTTCAAAAAAATCAATGAATCCAGGAGCTGGTTTTTTGAAAGGATCAACAAAATTGATAGACCGCTAGCAAGACTAATAAAGAAAAAAAGAGAGAAGAATCTAATAGACACAATAAAAAATGATAAAGGGGATATCACCACCGATCCCACAGAAATACAAACTACCATCAGAGAATACTACAAACACCTCTACGCAAATAAACTAGAAAATCTAGAAGAAATGGATACATTCCTCGACACATACACTCTCCCAAGACTAAACCAGGAAGAAGTTGAATCTCTGAATAGACCAATAACAGGCTCTGAAATTGTGGCAATAATCAATAGTTTACCAACCAAAAAGAGTCCAGGACCAGATGGATTCACAGCCGAATTCTACCAGAGGTACAAGGAGGAGCTGGTACCATTCCTTCTGAAACTATTCCAATCAATAGAAAAAGAGGGAATCCTCCCTAACTCATTTTATGAGGCCAGCATCATTCTGATACCAAAGCCGGGCAGAGACACAACCAAAAAAGAGAATTTTAGACCAATATCCTTGATGAACATTGATGCAAAAATCCTCAATAAAATACTGGCAAACCGAATCCAGCAGCACATCAAAAACCTTATCCACCATGATCAAGTGGGCTTCATCCCTGGGATGCAAGGCTGGTTCGATATACGCAAATCAATAAATGTAATCCAGCATATAAACAGAGCCAAAGACAAAAACCACATGATTATCTCAATAGATGCAGAAAAAGCCTTTGACAAAATTCAACAACCCTTCATGCTAAAAACTCTCAATAAATTAGGTATGGATGGGACGTATTTCAAAATAATAAGAGCTATCTATGACAAACCCACAGCCAATATCATACTGAATGGGCAAAAACTGGAAGCATTCCCTTTGAAAACTGGCACAAGACAGGGATGCCCTCTCTCACCGCTCCTATTCAACATAGTGTTGGAAGTTCTGGCCAGGGCAATCAGGCAGGAGAAGGAAATAAAGGGTATTCAATTAGGAAAAGAGGAAGTCAAATTGTCCCTGTTTGCAGACGACATGATTGTTTATCTAGAAAACCCCATCGTCTCAGCCCAAAATCTCCTTAAGCTGATAAGCAACTTCAGCAAAGTCTCAGGATACAAAATCAATGTACAAAAATCACAAGCATTCTTATACACCAACAACAGACAAACAGAGAGCCAAATCATGGGTGAACTCCCATTCACAATTGCTTCAAAGAGAATAAAATACCTAGGAATCCAACTTACAAGGGATGTGAAGGACCTCTTCAAGGAGAACTACAAACCACTGCTCAAGGAAATAAAAGAGGACACAAACAAATGGAAGAACATTCCATGCTCATGGGTAGGAAGAATCAATATCGTGAAAATGGCCATACTGCCCAAGGTAATTTACAGATTCAGTGCCATCCCCATCAAGCTACCAATGACTTTCTTCACAGAATTGGAAAAAACTACTTTAAAGTTCATATGGAACCAAAAAAGAGTCCGCATTGCCAAGTCAATCCTAAGCCAAAAGAACAAAGCTGGAGGCATCACACTACCTGACTTCAAACTATACTACAAGGCTACAGTAACCAAAACAGCATGGTACTGGTACCAAAACAGAGATATAGATCCATGGAACAGAACAGAGCCCTCAGAAATAATGCCGCATATCTACAACTAACTGATCTTTGACAAACCTGAGAAAAACAAGCAATGGGGAAAGGATTCCCTATTTAATAAATGGTGCTGGGAAAACTGGCTAGCCATATGTAGAAAGCTGAAACTGGATCCCTTCCTTACACCTTATACAAAAATCAATTCAAGATGGATTAAAGATTTAAATGTTAAACCTAAAACCATAAAAACCCTAGAAGAAAACCTAGTCATTACCATTCAGGACATAGGCGTGGGCAAGGACTTCATGTCCAAAACACCAAAAGCAATGGCAACAAAAGACAAAATTGACAAATGGGATCTAATTAAACTCAAGAGCTTCTGCACAGCAAAAGAAACTACCATCAGAGTGAACAGGCAACCTACAACATGGGAGAAAATTTTCGCAACCTACTCATCTGACAAAGGGCTAATATCCAGAATCTACAATGAACTCAAACAAATTTACAAGAAAAAAACAAACAACCCCATCAAAAAGTGGGCGAAGGACATGAACAGACACTTCTCAAAAGAAGACATTTATGCAGCCAAAAAACACATGAAGAAATGCTCATCATCACTGGCCATCAGAGAAATGCAAATCAAAACCACTATGAGATATCATCTCACACCAGTTAGAATGGCAATCATTAAAAAGTCAGGAAACAACAGGTGCTGGAGAGGATGCGGAGAAATAGGAACACTTTTACACTGTTGGTGGGACTGTAACCTAGTTCAACCATTTTGGAAGTCAGTGTGGCGATTCCTCAGGGATCTAGAACTAGAAATACCATTTGACCCAGCCATCCCATTACTGGGTATATACCCAAATGAGTATAAATCATGCTGCTATAAAGACACATGCACACGTATGTTTATTGCGGCACTATTCACAATAGCAAAGACTTGGAACCAACCCAAATGTCCAACAATGATAGACTGGATTAAGAAAATGTGGCACATATACACCATGGAATACTATGCAGCCATAAAAAATGTTGAGTTCATATCCTTTGTAGGGACATGGATGAAATTGGAAACCATCATTCTCAGTAAACTATCTCAAGAACAAAAAACCAAACACCGCATATTCTCACTCATAGGTGGGAATTGAACAATGAGATCACATGGACACATGAAGGGGAATATCACACTCTGGGGACTGCGGTGGGGTAGGGGGAGGGGGGAGGGATAGCATTGGAAGATATACCTAAGGCTAGATGACAAGTTAGTGGGTGCAGCGCACCAGCATGGCACATGTATACATATGTAACTAACCTGCACAATGTGCACATGTACCCTAAAACTTAAAGTATAATAAAAAAAAATAAAAAAATAAAATAAAATAAAAATAAAAACCTAAACACCTAAAAAAAAAAAAAAAAGAAAACGAAGTTTAAAAATACAGAAAAGAGGAATGTAGAGCAAAGATAAGACTGACAGGCTGCATTTTGAATAAAAACGAAGAAAAATAGAAGGCAATGGAATGGCACGCTTCAAATGCTGGAAGAAAGAAAAAAACTTACAGTCTAGAATTTTATATCTGGAGGAAAATACTCTTTATTAAATAGTATAAACTTGTTGTTAGTAAATCCACACAAAACAAAACAACACTAAAGGGAAACTTTCAGGAGAATGAAAGCTATTCCATATAGAAGTCTGTTAATGTAGAAAAGAATAAATGCCAGAAAAGGAAAATATGTAGGTACAGATAAACACTGACTATATAAAACAATAATATTAATGTCTTGCAGGGTTAAAATACATGGCAATAGCACAACAGGCTTGAGGAAAATGTGAATTAAGTCCCACGAGACCTTTGTATTACCTGAAAAATGGTACCAAATTATAATTTGGAGTAGTCTGAATAATTCAATTATGAATGTATAAATTTATAAGGTAATTACTAAACTGAAAGAAGAAAATATAAATAGCAACATCAGGGAATTTTTTTTAATTCTCAAGTAATACAAAAGAAGGCAAGAAAAAGGTAAAACTAACAAAGAATAGATGAAATTCATTAGAAAACTGGAAAACATATAGCAAGATATTAGGTTTAAACCTATAGCAAGATATTAGGTTAAATACATAAATTTATGTATTTGAACTGTAAATGTGTATGTATATATATACTATGTATTTCAAATGAATTATTATAATGTTCACAGAAGTATTATTTACAACAGCAAAAGAGAAAAAAAAAACTAAAATATCCAAAAGAGTAGAATGTTTGAATCAGTGATCATAAATACATTTATGATACACCCAATGACACAGATGAATCTCACAACCATAAATCTGTGCAAGAAAGTAATACACAAATCTCTAAATATTGTGACTGAATTTACATAAAGTTCAAATATAAGCAAAACTAACCTAAGGCGATAGAAGTCAGCATATTGGTTATATTTGTGGGTGAAGGCACACTTGTTCTTCTGATGTTTAGGTTACACTCCTTACCCTGATGAGGGTAAAATTATCAAGATTTACACTTATGATTTGTTAATTGTAATGTGTGTGTATGAAAAATCAATAAAAAATTTTAGAAAAAAGCAGATGAAATGGAGAAAAGTTTTACATTTTAGAAAAATGTTATTTTACATTTTAGAAAAAAGCAGATGAAATGGAGAAACTTGACAATAGAGGTTACCTAGGAAATTGTCATGGCGGGCTGAGGAGAAAGTAAGTAACATAAATGATAGTAGCCAGGTGAAAGAGACTGCTTTGATATGACTGCTGAGTTCTGTCTGATCCCCAAATTTATTCATTAACATAAGTATTAGAGGTTTTATTAGCAATGTTGAAGAGTGGGCAAAACACAAACTGTAGACGCAGACCTAGGATCCTCTTCCATCTTTACAAACTTATGTGTGAGCAAGTCTGTTTATGTCCTTTGTCCGGTTTTTAATAGGATTGTCTGTTTTTTTCTTGTTGAGTTGTTTGAATTCATTCTAGATTTTAGGTATTAGTCCTTTATTTTGGAGGCATAATTGCAAATAGTTTCTCCCATTCTATAAGTTGCCTGTTTACTCTGTTGATTATTTCTTTTGCTGTGCAGAAGCTTTTCACTTTAAATATCATCTGTCTATTGTTTTCATGGCAGTTGCTTTTGGGGTCTTTATCATAAATTGTTTGCCTGGGCCAATGTGCAGAGAGTTTTTCTTATGTTGTCTTCTAAATTTTTTATAGTTTCAGGTCTTATGTTTCAGTCTCTAATCTATCTTGGGTTAATTTTTGTATATGGTGAGAGATAAGGGTCCAGTTTGACTCTTCTGCATATGGCCAGACAGTTTTCCCATCATCATTTATTGAATAGAGTGTCCTTTCCCCATTGTTTATTTTTGTTGACTTTGTTGAAGATCAGATGGTTGTAGGTATGTAGCTTTATCCCTGGGTTCTCTATTCTGTTCTATTTATCTGTATGTCTATTTTTGTATCAGTACCATGCTTTTTTAGTTACTACATATTGCCTTGTAGTAGAATTTAGAATAAGACAATGTAATTGCTCCCAGATTTGTTCTTTTTGTTTAGAACTGTTTTTGGCTACTTGGACTGTTTCTTGGTTCCATAAAAGCTTTAGGATTGTTTTCTAATGCTGTGAAAAATTATGCTGATAATTTGATAGAGATTGTGTTAAATCTGTAGATTGCTTTGGGTGGTATGGTCATTTTTACAATATCGATTCTTCTAACCCATGAGCATGGGATGTTTTTCCATTTGTGTCATCTATGATTTCTTTTAATCAGTTGATCCCTGTCATCCTTGTAGAGAGCAGAACTAAATGAGATTGAGACAAAAAAAAAGATACAAAAGATCAACAAAACAAAAAGTTGTTTCTTTGAAAGGATAAACAAAATTGACAGACTGCTAGCTATAGTAACCCAGAAAAGATTCAAATAAGTATAGTAAGAAATTATAAAGGTGACATTACAACTGATACTATGGAAATACAAAAGATTATCAGAAACTACTATGAGCACCTCTGTCCATACTAACTAGAAAACACAGATGAACTGGATAAATTCCTAGAAACATACAACCTCCCAAGACTGAACCAGCAAGAAACAGAAATTCTAAACAGACCAATAACAAGTAATAAAAATGAATCAGTAATTAAAAGAAACTTCTAATTAAAAAAATTCAGGACCAGGTGACTTACAACTGAATTTCACCAGATGTACAAAGAAGAGATGCTACCTATCTTACTGAAACTATTCCATAAACTTGAGGAGGAGGGATTCTTCTCTACCTCATTCTACAAAACCAGTATCACCTTGATACAAAAATCAGGCAAGGACACAACAACAAAACTACAGGCCAATATCCCTGATGAAAATAGATTTTAAAATCCTTTACAGAATACTAGCTGAATACAACAGCAGATCATGAGATAACACGTTATATTCAAGTGGGTTTTATTCCAGTGAGGCAAGGATGATGCAACATATACAACTCAAAAAATGTGATTTACCATATAAACAGAATTAAAAACAAAAGCCATATGATTTTTACAATAGATGAAGAAAAGGCATTCAATAAAATTCAGCATTACTTTATGAAAAAAATCCTCAATAAACTAGGCACTGAAGAAACATACATCAAAATAGTAAGTGCCATATATGACAAGCCAACAACCAACATCACGCTGAATGGGAAAAAGTTGAAAATACTCCCCCAAAGAACTGAGACAAGAAAAGGATATCCACCTTCACCACTCCTAATCAACATAGTACTGGAAGTCCTACTTAGAGCAGTTGAGCAAGAGAAAGAATAAAAAGCATACCATTTGGAAAAGAAGAAATCAAATAATCTCCGTTTGCTGATGAAATGATTGTACAGCTAAAAACCCTAAAGAATTATCTAAAAGCTTCCTAGACTTCATAAATGACTTCAGTCAAGTTTCAGAATACAAAATCAACAACAAAAATCAGTAGCATTTCTATACATCAATAACATTCAAGCTGAGAACCAAATCAATAACTCACTATCATTTACAGTATCCACACACAAAAATAAAATAACTAGGAATACATTTCACCAGGAAAGAGATCTAACATATTTTACCCTCATCTAGATATTACCTTGTGAGTATTTACAGGTAGAGATCTTTTACTGTGGCACTCTAGATACATGGAATTGCCTTCCTTATAATTTTGAGTCTCTCACATAGTCATCTCCTCTGAGAAGACACTACTGAAATGCTGTATTCCAAGCTATGACTTGTCATTTTGGTATTATAGCTGTAACTTGTTGTTGAAAGTAAATTATCTAATTGCCTTTACATAGAAAATAAGTCACTAAAGTAGAATTCCAATAGTAGGTCCTAATGAATTGAGGGGGATGACTAATGAGCTTAGTTCCAATTTTATAATCTCTAATCATTTTTCACTAGTTGATTTCTGGAATGGTTTCCTGCTTGAACAGTAGAGACAATACTCGCATTTATTCATTGTTAACCAGTCAAGGCTTTAAGGAGAATACATACTGCACAGTGGTTTGCAGAGGCAGCTGGACCACTGTTAGTTTGTGCATGCAGAAATATTTGAAGCATTATCACTACCATGTGGATGTGGATATTCCAGGAGTAAAAACCTCCCTTTTCTGTTTGGGTTTGCCTTGTCTCTGAATTCAGTGATTCTTTATCAGGTATTTAGGTTGATAAGATCCATGTTTCAGGATTACTCAGTCAACAAATATGAAGGTTAAACTAGGGATAAAATAGTTAGTGGACTGGAAAGATTAGTATTGGCAGGAACTGATTGGGTACCTGGATAAAGGCAATACAGAGAAAATGGAAAAGGTGTGACATATTCAGGAAAAGACAGGATATACACACATAAGAAATTTAAATTATTTGGGGCTGCTACTATGAGCCACTTATGTCAGGAAGATTCACATTTTACAGGTGAGAAAACTAGAGATCAGTCAAATGTGTTTTTCCCCAATGTCACACAGCTTGCTTTTGTTAAGCGGTAGGATCTCGGCCTCCTTATCTTGCCCTTTTTACCTGTAAGTTCTGAGGAATCCTGAAACCAAACTCACCTACCCCAAACATATTAACAAAAACATATTCATGCATTCTACTGATTCCTAGAAGCTTTACTGCATTTGGGTAAATCACTTAACCCTCAAAAAGAGGAGTGAGGTATCAGAAAGAACATAAACTGACTTCAAACAGACCTGTTTATCTCAGGTGCCCCACCTTCTGGTAGTGGGAACTTACTTAATATCTCTAAGCCTCAATGTAATCAACTAGGAAAAGTAATCAGGCTTATTCCAAGGGCTAAGAAAAATCTTAAACACATATAAATAACTAGGTCCCATGTCTCACATAAAGTTAAGATCTGCCATGCCATATTGAAATTCTTTATCAGAACATTGTGAAGCAGTGTCCTCACTGAAAAATAACTTAAAAATGAGGTCTATTCTGGAAGTCCATGTTCCCTGCTTAACAAACCAAGCAATGAGTTGCTTCCTCACATAGGGGATGTTTTCATGTCATTGGACAGAAGCTGGCAACAGAACCCTAACTGCTTGCTGGACCCTTTTGTGGAAAGCAGGTCTAAGTCTCTAGAACTTAAATAGTCCCCAGTACTGCCCAAGCAGCAGGGATATGTGGGAAACAAAACTGTATTATCCATAAAGACAAAAATTGGTTATAAATTTTTGAGGAACTGTAGCTGCATTGGAGGATACTTGGAACAGATACAGATATACAGTGAAAAACCAAAAAAAAAAAAAAAAGTATTCTTGTATTGAAGTGGCTTGTTTCAGCACAGGGAGGGGAAGGAAACATACACTTTTTGGAGCACATGTTTAGACATTTGACACGTTATCTTATTTCACCCCTTTAACAACTCAAGAAGTGGGAAAAGATAATCCCCATTTTTCAGGTAAAAAATGAGCCTCAAGTAACTTTGCAGTGCATACAGCAAGGAAGTTACTAAACTCAGATTTGAACTAATATAGTTTGTTCTAAAGCTCATGTTCTTTAGATTCCATGTTAGGTCAGGGGGGAATTTTGCCTCTTATTTTCTGTGAGAAGAAAGCATGCATGCATAGACATGAAAACTGAAGTTAAGAGATGTGCTTATGCCTGTAATCCCAGAGTGTTGAGAGACCAAGGTGGGAGGATCTATTGAGGCCAGGTGTTGGAGATTACCCTGGACAACACAGGAAGACCCTGTCTCTACAAAACACACACACAAACACACACAAAATTAGCTGGGCATGATGTCACACACCTATAGTCCCAGCTATGTGGGAGCTCGAGGTAGGAGGATCACTTGAGCCCAGTTTGAGGCTGTAGTGAACTATGATCGTAACACTGCACTCCAGCTTGGGTGACATAATGAGACACTGACTCTTTAAAAAAAAATTAAAAGAAGGTATACCAGCAAAGGCCCTAACAGGAAACAGATTACTTACTCACATAGGTTAGTTTTAGGAGAGTTCAGTAACTATAAAACTGTACAAAGATTATGTACAAAGTTATGGCCAGGATTAACCAAGAAACGCAAAAGCATCATCAAATTCACAGTAAAAGGAGCAGCTAGCATCCCTATGTCTGAAAGGGCAGAGAAAGAAAGCAAATACAAAAATCTCTAGAGATGTAGCTAAACGAAGAGAATCCTAAAGGTGCAAAAGCCTTCAGTAGAGGAATATAGTCACTGTCAACCCATGGACTAAGAGGAAAGAAGTCAGACGGATCATATACACCAACCTTACTTTCCTCCCATCTTCTAGTGCTTCCCATTAGTCAAATCACCTGGAAGCAAAACTCAAGGGAGTCCTGTGTTGTAGTCCAAAATTTCTACTTCCAGGAACAGAAAAGAGATGCATAGTAGTGGATCCAGATGGGCAAATAGGGAATATCCAACAATTAGTGAGAATTAAACTCAAGGTGGACAGGGGAAACTGAGCACATTTACATGCCCAGCCCAATGGGATGTTAAACAAGCAGCAGCCTGAGCCCTCAAGAAAATCCTAATTGGCAGGAATAGATAAACCATGTGTGGGCTGAGTTGTCATCAGCATCTGTGGGTCTGATTTAAAAGAGTGAAGAAAAGTTTCAGAGAGACAGTGACTTTTGGTGTCAGGTGAAGGGATAATTTAGTATTAGGGAGTTCTAACAGAGTCAATGCAAAGAACACTAAAGCAAGCACTTGCTAGTCACTTAAGTCCACGCCAGATTTCATTATCCTCTCCTCAGAGAAAATTAGTATCTCCCTTTATCGTGTACTTATTGCACTTTGTTTTTTTGTGTGTTTTTATTATTATTATTATTATTATAAGTTCTGGGTTACATGTGCAGAACGTGCAGGTTTGTTACACAGGTATACACTTGCCATGGTGATTTGCTGCACCCGTCAACCTGTCATCTACATTAGGTATTTCTTCTAATACTATCCCTCCCCTAGCTCCCCACATCTTGATAGGCCCCAGTGTGTGATATTCCCCTCCCTGTGACCATGTCCTCATTGTTCAATTCTCACTTATGAGTGAGAACGTGTGGTTTCTGGTTTTCTGTTCCTGTGTTAGTTTGCTGAGAATGATGGCTTCCAGCTTCATCCATGCCCCTGCAAAGGACATGAACTTATCCTTTTTTATAGCTGCATAGTATTCCATGGTGTATATGTGCCACATTTTCTATATCCAGTCTATAATTGATGGGCATCTGCGTTGATTACAAGTCTTTGCTATTGTGAACAGTGCTTCAATAAACATACATGTGCATATGTCTTTATAGTAGAATAATTTATAATCCTTTGGGTATATACCCAGTAATGGGATTACTGGGTCAAATGGTATTTCTGGTTCTAGATCCTTGACGATCTAGATCGCCACACTGTCTTTAAGTTTAAATTGCTTGGACATTTTTTATTTTCCATTTTAAAGTAATAGATTACCACAAAGAAAATAAACAAAGGCAGAAAGAAAAAAAATGTAAGTCATGATCCCATCTCCCCAAAGACAGTCACTGTTCACACTGTATGCTCAACACATTTTCCAAGAATAAATTTTATTTGCTCAACACTTTTTTCAGATATATTTGTGTTTGCCTGTTTTACATACTAGCAATCACCCTTTCAATGAATACTTCTCAAAATGTGTTTTTTAATGTATTTATTTATTTATTTATTTATTTTATTATTATTATTATACTTTAAGTTTTAGGGTACATGTGCACAATGTGCAGGTTAGTTACATATGTATACATGTGCCATGCTGGTGTGCTGCACCCATTAACTCGTCATTTAGCATTAGGTATATCTCCTAAAGCTATCCCTCCCCCCTCCCCCCACCCCACAACAGTCCGCAGAGTGTGATATTCCCCTTCCTGTGTCCATGTGTTCACATTGTTCAATTCCCACCTATGAGTTAGAATATGCGGTGTTTGGTTTTTTGTTCTGGAGATAGTTTACTGAGAATGATGATTTCCAATTTCATCCATGTCCCTACAAAGGACATGAACTCATCATTTTTTATGGCTGCATAGTATTCCATGGTGTATATGTGCCACATTTTCTTTATCCAGTCTATCATTGGTGGACATTTGGGTTGGTTCCAAGTCTTTGCTATTGTGAATAGTGCCGCAATAAACATACGTGTTCATGTGTCTTTATAGCAGCATGATTTATAGTCCTTTGGGTATATACCCAGTAATGGGATGGCTGGGTCAAATGGTATTTCTAGTTCTAGATCCCTGAGGAATCGCCACACTGACTTCCACAATGGTTGAACTAGTTTACAGTCCCAACAGTGTAAAAGTGTTCCTATTTCTCCACATCCTCTCTAGCACCTGTTGTTTCCTGACTTTTTAATGATTGCCATTCTAACTGGTGTGAGATGGTATCTCATTGTGGTTTTGATTTGCATTTCTCTGATGGTCAGTGATGGTGAGCATTTTTTCATGTGTTTTTTGGCTGCATAAATGTCTTCTTTTGAGAAGTGTCTGTTCATGTCCTTTGCCCACTTTTTGATGGGGTTTTTTGTTTTTTTCTTGTAAATTTGTTTGAGTTCATTGTACATTCTGGATATTAGCCCTTTCTCAGATGAGTAGGTTGCAAAAATTTTCTCCCATTTTGTAGGTTGCCTGTTCACTCTGACGGTAGTTTCTTTTGCTGTGCAGAAGCTCTTTACTTTAATTAGATCCCATTTGTCAATTTGGGCTTTTGTTGCCATTGCTTTTGGTATTTTAGACATGAAGTCCTTGCCCATGCCGATGTCCTGAATGGTAATGCCTACGTTTTCTTCTAGGGTTTTTATGGTTTTAGGTCTAACATTTAAGTCTTGAATCCATCTTGAATTAATTTTTGTATAAGGTGTAAGGAAGGGATCCAGTTTCAGCTTTCTACATATGGCTAGCCAGTTTTCCCAGCACCATTTATTAAATAGGGAATCCTTTTCCCATTGCTTGTTTTTCTAGCTCATTTTATGAGGCCAGCATCATCTTGATACCAAAGCCGGACAGAGACACAACCAAAAGAGAGAAATTTAGACCAATATCCTTGATGAACATTGATGCAAAAATCCTCAATAAAATACTGGCAAACCGAATCCAGCAGCACATCAAAAACCTTATCCACCATGATCAAGTGGGCTTCATCCCTGGGATGCAAGGCTGGTTCAATATATGCAAATCAATAAATGTAATCCAGCATATAAACAGAACCAAAGACAAAAACCACATGATTATCTCAATAGATGCAGAAAAGGCCTTTGACAAAATTCAACAATGCTTCATGCTAAAAACTCTCAATAAATTAGGTATTGATTGGACATATCTCAAAATAATAAGAGCTATCTATGACAAACCCACAGCCAATATCATACTGAATGGGCAAAAACTGGAAGCATTCCCTTTGAAAACTGGCACAAGACAGGCATGCCCTCTCTCACCACTCCTATTCAACATAGTGTTGGAAGTTCTTGCCAGGGCAATTAGGCAGGAGAAGGAAATAAAGGGTATTCAATTAGGAAAAGAGGAAGTCAAATTGTCCCTGTTTGCAGATGACATGATTGTATATCGAGAAAACCCCATTGTCTCAGCCCAAAATCTCCTTAAGCTGATAAGCAACTTCAGCAAAGTCTCAGGATACAAAATCAATGTACAAAAATCACAAGCATTCTTATACACCAATAACAGACAAACAGAGAGCCAAATCATGAGTGAGTTCCCATTCACAATTGCTTCAAAGAGAATAAAATACCTAGGAATCCAACTTACAAGGGATGTGAAGGACCTCTTCAGGAAGAAATACAAACCACTGCTCAAGGAAATAAAAGAGGATACAAACAAATGGAAGAACATTCCATGCTCATAGGTACGAAGAATGAATATCGTGAAAATGGCCATACTGCCCAAGTAATTTATACATTCAATGCCATCCCCATCAAGCTACCAATGACTTTCTTCACAGAATTGGAAAAAACACTTTAAAGTTCATATGGCAACAAAAAAGAGCCCGCATCGCCAAGTCAATCCTAAGCCAAAAGAACAAAGTTGGAGGCATCACGCTACCTGACTTCAAATTATACTACAAGGCTACAGTAACCGAAACAGCATGGTACTGGTACCAAAACAGAGAGGTAGATCCATGGAACAGAACAGAGCCCTCAGAAATAACGCCGCATATCTACAACTGTCTGATCTTTGACAGACCTGAGAAAATCAAAATGTGGTTTTTAAGATAAGTGGCATGGACATCATGTGAGAACTTGCTAGAAATACAAATTGTTGGGTCTCATTCCCGATCTACTGAAACAGAGACTGGGTTTGAGACTTAGCAATCTGTGTTTCAACAAGCCCTCTAGGTAATACAATGTACATTGACATTTAAGAACTATTTCTACAGACACTATTTTATATTCTGATTTTTGCACTCAACATTATAAATATTCACATTTTCCCTATTATGATTAGCACAATTGCTTCAATAGCTCTTTAAGAGTTTCTGGACTAGGTAATTCATATCAACATTTAATCATTCATTCATTCATTTTAAATACCCTGTGTACCTTCTATATAACAGATACAGTTCTAGATGATATGGATACATGATAGGAATGGAGAATATTCTCCTTAATCATTACATGCATTAGTTATTACCTATTATTCACCATTATAATTAATGGTAAAGGTAAGCATCTTTTTTAATGTAAAGACTTTTCCCTCCTGTATTTCAGAAGGAAGGAAGGAAAGAATACATAAATCAGCATGACTTGGAGTACCCTATATTGTCTTCAAAAGAGTATCTTTCATTTTTCCTATGATTCCTTTCTCTTGCATTAAGGTTTTAAAATTTGAGGAAACTCAATCACCAAAATAGTTCAATCTTGGCTTTTTCTTTTCCTTACAAAGAAACTTGAGAAATTCCAGTTAAACTCCAAAAGGAATGTAGTATCTGCTATTAGTGCTGAAAATATGTGGCCTCAACTGTTTGATGTAATTCTTGTCCAATTTAGTGGCCGTTAAAGCATTTCCATCATTGCAAGTGCAATAATCTTTTATTTCTTACTTTAAGGGAGAGAAATATGTGATTTTTTTTCCTCCAGTGCTATTACAATATTTGCTGTGATTCCCAGTGTGTGTCTAGCATCCCACTGTGCTTATTAACGTCAATGTCTTCGCACAAACATGGCCAATAGGCCAGAGAAGATGTGTTTGAAGACATCTCCTAAGCTTCAAGCTGTTTCAGGAGATAATGCTCCTCTCAGATCCCTGAGACATGTGTTTAAGCATATCTGACTCTTTGTCCCTTTTCATGAATTTGTACCCCTTGTCTTTCAGCCTGTTGACGTAAGACAGGAATATCTTGGCTATTACAGATACTTAATAATATTAAATTTCCAAAGGGGAGAGCTCAGGTCTAGTTTACTCTCTTCCCAAAAGGTTTGTTGGGCCATTTGCCATGGAATAAGAGAAAGGGCACAACCTGTTACACAAAAAACAAATAAATGCATGTCCTTTTCCTCCAATAGTGGAGGTTTTGTTCAATTATAGCCACATAACTGAAAAGAAACCCTCCAGAACAAACAGTATTTGATCCAGGATTATTGGATATGTTCTCCCATAGATATAATAGAGATTACAAGTTTCTTAAGTAGACACCTATCTGCACAATAATCATAATATTAATTCCACTGGATACTCATATATTTTCTCATTTTCAATAAGTAGTAATTTTTATTTAACATTTTATCAATAAGAAAGTTAAGGTTGTGACAGTTTCCAGAAATTAGATAAAGTCAACCCACTAAAATACAACAAATATATCTGATTAAAGAGTCATATTTTTACTTTTTATGTTTCATTTCTTTTTGGTGCTTATTTTTATT
This sequence comes from Homo sapiens, assembly GCF_000001405.40. Lineage (NCBI taxonomy): Eukaryota > Metazoa > Chordata > Mammalia > Primates > Hominidae > Homo > Homo sapiens. The sequence continues at coordinate 82,173,901 of NC_000011.10, forward strand.
TCCACTATTATTTTCTAAAGTTTGTACTAATTAATATTTGCTGCCAGCAATACTCAAAACTTAATCCTTTATGCCAACCTCACTAACAATGTTATATTTTATTTTTAATTTTGAAATAATTACATACTCATAGGCAATGGACAAAAATAGTATAGAGAGATGCTATGTATTCTTCACTTAGTTTCCCCTGATGGTTATGTAAGTTTAGCATAATAACAAAACCAGGAAACTGACATTGGTACAATGTGTGTATGTGTTCAGTTCAATGCCATTTTATCACGTCAATTCATATAACCACTACAGCAATCAAGATATTGAACTAGTCCATCACTACAAAGATCTCACTTGTATTACACTTGGCATACACATCCCTTCCTCCCAACCCTAAACCCTGTAAACCATTAATATAACCTTGGGGTGGCACGAACTAATATAATTTAGTTTTGATTATGTGTTTGCTAGAATTTTTTTATTGTTGATATACAGTCAATTTAATTTTTATTTAGTCATATGCATTGATTTTTTTTTCCTTTGAGAGGTCTTCTGCTGCTTTGACCATTAGAAAGCCTTTGTCTCTCCAGAGGTTTGATGAATATATTCTTTTATTTTCTTAATGCCATTTTATGGTTATTTATTTCATGTATCTCTTTAAACAGTTTGGAACCTAGTTGTTGTGTGATTTTTTTTCCACCAAGCAAACCAATTGTCTTGATAATTTATGTTAAAAACAACCTCTGTCACTCATTTGTTTTTCATGCCTCTTAAAATATTGAAAGTGCTCACTAAATGCCTTTTCCATCATTTGGGTTCAGTTCTGGAAACAGGAAATTGACCATGTGGAGATGGAAATTAAGGATCCTTAAAAGGAACTGTACTATGTTCTTCATGCCATAACAAGCGCCACCACTAGGTGTACCTCTTTTTGTAATCTGGCTAGCCATGAATCCAGAGTACTGAATGAAGTACAAAGCAACCCTGGGTCACAATCTGGGACAACAACAGAAACTAAGGTACAAAATAACTGAAAGCTGAGCCAGAGACAATGTCAAAAAGTCTTGCAAATTCTGGGTGAATCTTCTTATTGACCATTGCGGGGCAGAATGAAGCAGTAAGGCAGTACACCGGAAGTGTGATGGGTAATCTGTACCTGGTGGAACTAGATTTTCCTCCCATCTGAAGCATTTAAGATTTTAATTATTGAAATACATATTTATGGAAAAACATGAAAACTAGCACTCCATCTTGTAAGACCTAATTCAACAAAATCTCCCCTGTAAATTATCACATTAGTCTTTCCTATCTCTAAACTCTTAAAGTCTTTGATTGGCTGCCTATGTTATTAGACAAAAGGACATATCAATGGCTAATGTGGAGACACTTACTATGAGAAAGGGGCAAGTTCAGACGACCTCAGGACCTAGGATATCTGAGGCGACAGCTCCCAACATTGCTCATGGCTTATGCAGAAACTTCTTTGATCCAGCAACTCTGAAATTATGAAAATGCTTTGGCCCAAAGGAAAGAAAAAGAAGAATGTGTGATGTGTGATTATGAGGAAAGGTGAGAATAATTCTATAGACCTATAAATAGGGGATTTTATGTGGACTAGATAATTCCTAAGGTTTCGCCCAATGTTTTGTTCCATGTATGCTATTTTTTTACCTGGCATGTTGACTGTCCTTGTGAATATTCTATGAATTCTACATTTGGGTCTTTAGAGTAACAACCACTAATTGGTCCACTAGTGAAATCAAGAGGTGAAAGTTTATCACAAAGTAATTCCCATGCTTGCCTGGATGAGCAATTATGAGACCAACATACTTCACAGTGGTATAGTAGAACTGACCCATTAAAACAGTAATAACACAAATTCTGCCTCCTCTAATACACTCCTAAAAGCAATACAACTAACAGCTCATTGGAATTTTTCTTTCACCCCCATATTCCAAGGCAATTTGTTGATATTTGTATGGTAACATTTATCACACTATTTTCCTTAAAATTTGCATGCATCTATCCCTCCCTCCATCCTATTAATATAACTAAGCCATTCTCCTAAGGGTAGGAGAAATAATTTACTATCTTTATTCTTCAATGTCTATCACAGTATCTAGGCCTCAAAAATGTTTAGTGAACATTGGGTTGTACTAAAGAAACCATAAATATAAAAGTTTTATCAGGGAACATGCATGTTGTTACCTAAATACTGTCAGATACAGTGATTAAGAATGGGGGCTTTTGAATTGCAAAGACCTGGGTCTTGAGTGCTATCTGCTACTATTTATCTGTGTAGATCTAAATATTTTTCTAAACCCTTTAAGCCTTAATTTCCTCATCTGTAAAAAGTATATAATGGGATTTATACAACAGGGATGATGGAAGTAATTATCAATATAATATATAAAATATGTTTAAATGGTGTCTAACATATAGTATGTATTTAAATATTAATAATTATTTAGTTAGTAAAAGGAAAAAGTGACAGAAACACCTGTTAGAAAGTCCAGTTCTTAAGAGGTTCTATTTAATTAAAGGAATCAGACAACTATTACTATAACCTTAATCAAACATAGAGAACAACTGAGCAGTTATTCACTAGGAGAAGGCACAGCAGTATTTAGGTATATTCTAAAGTCAACCTCTGGAGAATTGATTGTGAACTTCGCTCTTGACATGATGGCTAAATAAACAATTACTTATTAACTGCTGCCTGGAGGTTCACTTTTTAATCTTCTGAACTAGTGATAAAGTGAAGATTTAAAAATCAGGCTATAGTCAATTTGCAGCTAAGGTGAGAAAGTAACAGGAAACGGGGAGGCTTGTGTCAAATGGCAAAAACACAATTTAGTTGTTGACCAAGAAGATGGGCTAAGGAGACATTTTTTAAGGCTAAATATACTTGGAACAATTTACCTTCCATGGATGGGTGACTAGGACACTCCTCAATACCATTTAATGACTTTCACCTGAAGGGCACCAGAGCATCGCCTTACCCTAATTTGCTCTTTTATTTCCATTGTGAGAGCAGCACCTCAATTACCTGTGTATTTAATGTTGACAATGTGTTATTTATATGATGGATACTTCTCTGAGGGTTGTAGAAAATTGGATGTTTAAATGATCACAATCACTAGACATTCTGATAAAGAGAAATCCTGAGAGTCAAAAAAGTCTCAAGAATCACGACAGACCTGGTCAGCTCTCATAGGTAAAGTCGTACAGTCAAAGGTCTGAATTCTGGCTTGCCACCAACAAACAGTGTGACTGTGGACAAGAGCATGCACATCTATGACTCCCAATTTCTTTATTTGTAAAATGAAAATAAAAGTATCAATCTCACCAGGGTATAAGTAGGCAGGTCAGAGCCAGAGAATGAGTTTTTTCCCCTTGCATCTGTGTTTACTCCATATTTAGAATTCATAGCCCTCTAATCTCAAAGAACTGACAATATAATCAATCTTTAGCAAGCAACAGTTTTAATATGGACTTTTAAGGTTGTCTAATGCTTTAAAGAACGACTTCTCACCAAGTCTTCTTTGTGATACTCTCCCAATGTCCTTCAGAATACAATTGTATTACTTAAGTTAAATTGTGTTCCTGTCTTTCCAAGGAGTTCATACCCCAACTATCCTTCCTGTTAAGAACTGGTAGAGATCTCAGAGATACAATAAAGCACTTTCTCACTCTTTGCCTTATCTTCCCCAGCTATGAGCTTCTGATGATTTACTTTCATTAAATCTAAATCTGACAATGTAATTAATTTTGTACATTACTGCCAGTAGGGGCCAGCTACCCTAGGGGGATTAGTGATAACTGTTAAATAAAATTTCTTGCATTTAAAACAAAAGAAAGTTTTAGAACATATTACTGAAAATCAATTTCTTCCTGTCAGATAGTCCAGAACATTTTAAATCTTTTCTCATTTGCTCAATGTCTGATAAGCCTCACACATCCTAGATATCTTGTGTAATGCTATACTAAGTGATGCATGTGGAATATAAGATTCAAACATAGTACAATGACATAAATTAAGATTTCTTCAATATTCCTTAATTTTTCTATTTCTGGAAAAGTGATCCTCCTAAGATGCTCATGAAGAGTGGCCATGTAAATGAGGGAGGGTCTGTAATTTTTTTTCAGTGCTATCTCACTTTCACACAAACACACCATCATGGAGAAAGAATGCTTTACTACATATCTCACTAAATGAATAAGCTTTATTTTAAAGGAAAGACTCCAGACTGCAACTCAAGAAGCTGGACAATTTGTCCCTATGATCCAGAGGATCCCATAACATTACAACTATCTCTGGAAATGTAAAATAATCTGGAATTCTGTGTCATATATCCTCATAAGATTTACAGAAGAGGTCTTTGGGGGTTTGGGAGTAAAACTAAGTTATTTTCAGATAGTATTTTTACTTCTTTAGAGAAAAATAGATTAATACTTATTCCTGGAGGCTAAGTTCCTGATAACACACCAAGTGACTATGCTAAGCTGTCATAAACTGAGTAGTACTTGGTCTACAAAACCATAAATATGGTAATTCCTAAGTATACTCTAACACCAAGTGGAATTATATAGTGTACTGGGAGCTGGGCTAGTCCTAAACTCAGGTCTTAGTTTAGGCACAAATGCACACATTTCCATCATACTTCCTCCTCCTCTGCTGCCACTTCCCCTCAATATATACCCATGGGTTATGGGTCATTTTCTATTATCTTTTATCTGAGAAAAGAAATAATCAGATGCACAAATGACTCTGCATAATGTCTTAGCATAAATCAAAATCATGATGATGTAGCATAAATCAAATATAGACTTCTACATTATGGGCATTCTACCCTAGGGGCCCCTGAAAGAGAGTGAAACAAAGAAATACTTCCAGCTTGCAAATCTTTAAGTAATACCTCTCTTCATCAATTGATACTCAGAGAAGATGTGGCACAAAGTAAAGATACACATAATTTTTGGCCAGTAGCTGATGACTAGTTAAGTGATTAGGGTCTTTGAAGACTGGACAAAAATGTTTAGACTTAAGTGTGTGTGAGAGCCCCTCAGTATAGACACAAATGCGATGTTTTGAGGTTTTTGTCAATGTTCTTCAAAGGGTGGCCATTATGAAGGTTATAGGATTATTTTTCTTTTTGTTTTTAATAATCTGGTAGACAAAATGATCAATTAATAAATTTCACTCATTTTTCTTTCCTAATCACCTCGGTGATTGGGCAAAGTGTTCTTGAACAAAATGCTTTTGTTAAATGGAGGATAAGTTTTAGATCAATATAGTATGTTCTACACTGCAAGAATGACTGGTTACCTGTGCTACTGAGGATCCAGTTTGCCAAAAGCCAATATCTCCATGCCCATAGACAACCTTTGCTATACAACAATTAACTATGAATCTCAATGGCACACAACAATAGCATTTATCTCTTATTCATTTGCATGTTGGCCGAGGTTCAGCTGTTTAGGCTGACTCAGCTTTGGTCTTGTCTCAAAGATAAAATTTGAGTTTATGTTTGCTTTCTCATTTTTCTTGGACCAGTGTTTAACCAACGTACATTCGTATCACAATGAAAGACAAAACAACAAAAAGACCAAGCTGAACTTTGCAGACAAAATTTATTGCATGCTCACAGCATGACTGCTTACATATTATTGCTCAAAGAAAGTAGCAGGGCTAAAACCAAAGTGAAGAGGTAGGAAAATATAACTCTCCCTCCTAAAGGCCATGGCAAGAGTATGTATACATAATATTACTAGAGGGGAATGAAGAATTAGAATTGACAATTATATCCTTCACAAGTATCAGACCTTGGTAAAGAAGCCCCCTACATGTGGTGAACTGAATTATGTTTAATCCCTTTCTTCTTAGAGAGGGAACTGATTTGAACTAGCTGGAATGTCACTTATTTTGGATTCGTGTTTGATTCTTCTGTCACTGAGGGTTCTGCTGATATCATTTATGGATGTGTTAAATTTCTCATACATTGTTTTGCTACCTGTATAGCTAATTTTACATTTGGGTGTATAACAATAACAATAAAAATGGCCCCACAAGGTATGAAGAAAGAAGATGTTACTTGTATCACGCAATAAGAAATTAAAAGTAGATCAGCACTTCAGCACTCTAGTGCTGATACAATCACTCCACAATTCCCATAATAGGCCAATACTATCAACATTTCAATTCCATGACCTTATCACATTAGCTTTAATTCTTATACTTGTATGATACTTAAAGTAAAACATTAGGAATGAGGCAGGAACATTAGGGACGAGTAGTGAAGGGGAAAAGGTTTCTTTTAGCAAGGATTTGTGTTTGTTTGTTTATTTTAAGAGAAATGGATATGTTCCTCAGGCCTTCTGCCTAGATTTTATGGGTTATAAATTTTCTACAGGATCACATCTAGACTGAAGGTATTTAGAGAAAAAGCAGAGAAATATTAGAGCTGGTTTGCACTGACTCACCAGAGCTGATTGTGTGTATGTCTTCCTGTCATGGTTTGAATGTCTATCTCCTCCTAAACTCATGCTGAAATTTAATTGCCATTGTAATGATACCATAGTCCTCTTTTATCCACCAGACCCTCCGTGGATGCTCAAAACTACAGATAATATCAAACCCTGTATTTATATAATTTTCTTTTTGCATATATATCTATGATAAAATTTAATTTGTGTATCAGGCATAGTAAGAGATTAACAATAAATAATAATAAAATAGAACAATTACGTTATATTATATACATTTAAATGTATTCTCTCTCTCTCTCTCTCTCTCTCTCTCTCTGTTTCTCTCCCTCTCTCTGGTCTCTGGATAACTGGTTGTTAAATATTTACCTGCATACCACTAGAGAAAATGGTTAGGGTTGGGGGATTGGGACAGCCAATCAAGATGACCTTTTATGGAATTTCATGCAAAATTTCTTTTTGCCAATTAACTCATTTTATTGCTTGAGAAGTGAAGCACTAATCTCCATGAAATTCAATAATCTTTACTATATACCCCTTAGGAGCAATTGGCTTTATCACATGGTTAAAGGACCTTTTGAAGTTTTGTCATGAAATTATCCATAAGTTTGTGGCCTTTCTTACAGGATATATAGATCTTTATGTATGGGCCAGAAAACCAAAGGCTAGAAATGAAAGAGACTTTTTACAAGCTATAGATCACAGTGGTGTAAAAATGATACACATTCAATATCTTTATCAATTTAAAATGGGGTTACATTAGGATAAACCTATTTTAAGTTGAAAATATCGTAAGTCTCTCCCTCTCCCTCTCCCTCTCCGTCTTTCCACGGTCTCCCTCTCCCTCTCTTTCCACGGTCTCCCTCTGATGCCGAGCCGAAGCTGGACTGTACTGCTGCCATCTCGGCTCATTGCAACCTCCCTGCCTGATTCTCCTGCCTCAGCCTGCCGAGTGCCTGCGATTGCAGGCGCACGCTGCCACGCCTGACTGGTTTTCGTATTTTTTTGGTGGAGACGGGGTTTCGCTGTGTTGGCCGGGCTGGTCTCCAGCTCCTAACCGCGAGTGATCCGCCAGCCTCGGCCTCCCGAGGTGCCGGGATTGCAGACGGAGTCTGGTTCACTCAGTGCTCAATGGTGCCCAGGCTGGAGTGCAGTGGCGTGATCTCGGCTCGCTACAACCTCCACCTCCCAGCCGCCTGCCTTGGCCTCCCAAAGTGCCGAGATTGCAGCCTCTGCCCGGCCGCCACCCCGTCTGGGAAGTGAGGAGCGTCTCTGCCTGGCCACCCATTGTCTGGGACTTGAGGAGCCCCTCTGCCTGGCTGCCCAGTCTGGAAAGTGAGGAGCGTCTCTGCCCGGCCGCCATCCCGTCTAGGAAGTGAGGAGCGCCTCTTCCCGGCCGCCATCCCATCTAGGAAGTGAGGAGCGTCTCTGCCCGGCCGCCCATGGTCTGAGATGTGGGGAGAGCCTCTGCCCCGCCACCCCGTCTGGGATGTAAGGAGCGCCTCTACCTGGCCGCGACCCCATCTGGGAGGTGAGGAGCGTCTCTGCCTGGCCGCCCCGTCTGAGAAGTGAGGAGACCCTCCACCTGGCAACCGCCCCATCTGAGAAGTGAGGAGCCCCTCCGCCCGGCAGCCACCCCGTCTGGGAAGTGAGGAGCGTCTCTGCCCGGCCGCCATCCCGTCTAGGAAGTGAGGAGCGCCTCTTCCTGGCCGCCATCCCATCTAGGAAGTGAGGAGCCCCTCCGCCCAGCAGCCGCCCCGTCTGGGAAGTGAGGAGCCCCTCCGCCTGGCAGCCACCCCATCTGGGAGGGAGGTGGGGGGGTCAGCCCCCCTCCCGGCCAGCCACCCCGCCCGTGAGGGAGGTGGGGGGTCAGCCCCCCGCCCGGCCAGCCGCCCCGTCCGGGAGGTGAGGGGCGCCTCTGCCCGGCCGCCCCTACTGGGAAGTGAGGAGCCCCTCTGCCCGGCCACCACCCCGTCTGGGAGGTGTACCCAACAGTTCATTGAGAACGGGCCATGATGACAATGGCAGTTTTATGGAATAGACAGGGGGGAAAGGTGGGCAAAAGATTGAGAAATCGGATGGTTGCCGTGTCTGTGTAGAAAGAGGTAGACATGGGAGACTTTTCATTTTGTTCTGTACTAAGAAAAATTCTTCTGCCTTGTGATCCTGTTGATCTGTGACCTTACCCCCAACCCTGTGCTCTCTGAAACATGTGCTGTGTCCACTCAGGGTTAAATGGATTAAGGGCGGTGCAAGATGTGCTTTGTTAAACAGATGCTTGAAGGCAGCATGCTTGTTAAGAGTCATCACCACTCCCTAATCTCAAGTACCCAGGGACACAAACACTGCGGAAGGCCTCAGGGTCCTCTGCCTAGGAAAACCAGAGACCTTTGTTCACTTGTTTATCTGCTGACCTTCCCTCCACTATTGTCCTATGACCCTACCAAATCCCCCTCTGCAAGAAACACCCAAGAATGATCAATAAAAAATAAATAAATAAATAAAAATAATAATAAATAAATAAATAAAAATAAAAATAAAAAATAAAAAAAAAGAAAATATCGTAAGTCAAATGTTTCCTTGAGGAAAACACCTGAATGAGTACTTTGAATAGGAAGCTGAGATTAGATTGCCATTTAATTATTTCAGTATCTTCCTTCTCTTAGACTAAAATACAAACATGTTATAATGTTAGCTCAGTTGACTGGTTCTAACCATCAGGACAGAAATTAGTTGCTACACAAATGAAACAGAAAAATAAGGGTGAATTCTAAGTGATTTCTTGGGGTTCTTCCTAGGTTCTGTGTTAATAGACTACAACTAGTTGAATATACTGGCAGGACTACCTCAGAGACAAAAATGCCTAGTTCTTAACTAGTCCAGCAGAGGAATGGGTTTCATGATTAATAATAATAAATATCAAGACACGTCTAAATAGTATGCATCTCACACTCACACATCAGGCTTGCAGGACATGGTTTCCAGCTAATGATTCAGGATGTCAACAAGTAGAGGACAGTTGGTGGGAACACCATGTCATGGCTACCACGGTTACTCCATAGGAGACATACTCAGTTGATGTATCTTTCCATGGCTGAGACCCTCCCCTAGTGTCAAGAGTCACAAAACAGATGCTTAGCTCATTTCCTGTATTTACAGATGCATCACTGACATAGTCAACATAATTAGCTTATAGACTTGCAAAAACTGCCTTTGGCAAGACGTAGCATCTGATTCCAACATCTGGTTTCTGGGTACAATTTCTTGCTAAAATATTGATGTCATATTTCAGCACAATCTGCAGGCCTGTAATAATGACCAGCCACACACAAATGCAGTCACACCAAAACTATTAGATTGGTGCAAAGGTTGTTGCAGTTTTGCTCCTGAAAATAATGGAAAATAATGGCAAAAACACAATGACTTTTGCACCAACCTAATAACTAATAACTATTTTGGGGACATGGGTTATACCATGGCACAGGACCTAGCAGGGACCAAGCATAACAAGCCTAACTGTGGCCACCAAGTAAAGCATCCAGAATTGAGGCAACAGAATATGGAGTAGGAAAATGATTACCAAAAAAATGTTAGCTGTGTCTTTGAAGTAAGGTGCAGACACGAGATTTACAAATGCCCACGTTTTTCTGAAGTGGGTGTGTGTGTGTGTGTATTTTCGTTTTCTTCATTCTCATATTCCACACTATTTAGAAAGGGTGTAAAGGAATTTAATCCATTAATTGTAGCACATTTAGTGAGGACCAAGACATATCAAAAGCGAAGTAGACATTATTCAAAAGTCTGATAAAGTATAAGGAAGTACCTATTACATTACATTGTCTTCCTTTAAAATATATGAGTTTATTCTGGCTTGTAGGAGAGATAATTATATAATATTTGGTGAGGGATTTTTATTGTGGGTGCACTGTGCTTGTTTTGTTTTGTTTTGTTTTGTGGTTGTAGTGTTAGTGTTCTGTCTCTCACTCATCTCATCTCACTTGCTCCTACCTTTCTCCCTGCCTTCCTTGTCTCTCTTTCTCTTTTTCTGTCTCTCTTTCTTCCTCTGACTTTTTTCCTTTTTCTTCCTTTATTGAAAATGGGAAAAATATACATGTTGTATTGAGTAAACAGAGTAATAGATATGGTGGACATTTAGCAACTTTTGACCAGTCTGCCTCCAAACATACTCAGTCTTTGGGGAAATTTCCAACTGTGGGTCATAACACAGAGGCACAGTCCCTGTCTCCCAATTATAACAGTTAAGGTATGAACCCATAATTCAGTATTAGCTAAGATGCTTCCATCTGAGACCTTGAATACACATGTAGTAATACACTTATTCATACTCAAAACTGGGGTCAGATCAACAGAAAATGATAACACAAAAGAGATGGCAAAATCAGAACAAGTGTGAAGATAAATATTAGTGAGAAAACCCCAAAAGTTTAATAATGTGTGCGGGAATTTAAGAAGGAGACAAGGAATGGGACTTATAGCATGTAGTTGCCAGGCTAGGCAAATATTTGTCGCCAGCGGATTCTTCCATACACTTAAAAATTTTTTTCCCACACATTTTCCTATACCCAGTGCCCTCTGAGCATCTGCAAGCCTTTTCCATAGCACCATGACACGGCATTCATCTCAGTCATTTTAATTGAAAAGACCTTTTAAAGTTTAACAGCTTTGCAGAGAATAGGCGTTTTTACAATCTGCATATTTTGTGGCATTTGATTTAATTTCCAGCACAATGAACTTGTCTTTGACTGTCTGAAACTGACACTTTATATTTACTTCTTTTTTCCCCACTGCTTTCCATTAATGATCTTGAACACTAATAAAGTTTTACAAGAGTTGTGACTTCCTGACCAAGCATAATGTTGTTCACCAGTGATAAAGCAGAAGGGCGGAGCTCTCCATCTTAAGGCCACACTGAATTTTACAGAAACATGTACTTTAGCTTTAACTTTCTTTTCTTATTCTAAATCAATTATTAAAATTTAACAAATACTAATAAATAATTTCAACTATGTATTCATAAGTCTAACCTGTAGATTCAAGTTCCAAAATCAAGCTGTCATCTTAAGATGAACCTGATTGTATAACCTTCTGTGAATCAAATAGCAACAGAAGACAGATGTTGAGCAGAACTATTTCCTAGATGAATTTTGTGTCACAAATTTCATAAGAAAAGAGAGATGGAGAGAGAAAGAAGGAGAGAAAACACAGGATCATCAGATCACTAAATTTTGTGTTGCTGGGCCCCTTGACAAGTTCTCTGTGTAAGCAGTCTAGAGAGAACACTCTAGTTAGATGGATGCTTTTTCATGCTCTTTAACATCTTTCCAGGATTGTGGTTTCCAGCATCAATGTAATTTCCACATGAGTTAAGTTAAGCTATTGATTACCTACAAAGATACATTGTATATCCTGTCCTGAAGTCAATATTAAAATCAGGCATAGTCACTGGCTCTTTTTCTGTAAGCCATCTCATTTTTTTCTCTTGGCATCTTGTCACACAGCAGGAATGAATGAGAAAAACACACTGTTTAGGCCATACAAGAAGGGGCTAATTCTAAGATAGCCAAATCCTTTAATCCTTTCCCTCATCAACTAGGGCTTTAGTTCTAGCACCAAGTATAATGAAATTTTTGTCCTTCAATATGACCCATTTTGAAGGAAAGGTGTAAGGTGTGTGTGTGTGTCTGTGTGTGCATGTGTGTGCTTGCATATGTGCACGCACGTGTGTGTTTGCATGTGCACGTGTGTGTGTGTAGTCTTAAGTTTTCATCATTGTACTGTTATTATACTCAACATTATTAGAAAGAAACATTATGTAAAATCATTGAGCTACATGTCTTTCCTTCCATACTTTTTATTTCTAAAGTAAAAATGCAATGTCACATGAAGGGAGGAAGGAAAAGAAAAAAAATGAACATTCTTCAAATATTTATTTAAGATCTACAAATGCCAGGTCTTGTATTAGACTGAGAATGCAATAGTGAACAAGGTATAGTTCATACTTATTATTAAGAGTTCCTATTGCCATATGAGAAAACTGAGTCTCAGGCAAGAAAAAGGACTTGTACAAATAAAATATCTTCGTGACTAGTGGAGAACAGGGATTTGAATCTACATCTGTTTGACTCTAAACCCTGCTCTTTCCATTACCCCATTAAACAGTCCCCACCTGTTGATGGCGTCAGAGACAGTTCGTTTATGCACAGATAGGTGTTCATAATTCAGGGACTGATAATAATAATGGTATTATTATTGTTATTGTTTTATTAATATATAGCAATTTCTGAAACCTGTATAGTGCTTACCAAGTGTCAGGCACTGTTCTAAGCATTTTGCTTTCATTAACTCATTTAACCTTGACTTTAACCCTATGAGAAAGAGAATACATTCTTTTTTTACAGAAGCAATAGTTGAAGAATGGAGAGGTTAAATATCACCAAAGTAAGTGACAGAGCCCAAATCTGATATTAAACTGTCCTTATTCTATCATCTTCAACAAATGTCAGTGAAGATCTATGAACCAATATTTGAGTCTATATATTATTAACTATATATTGCCATATAGTTACTTGTGGTAAATTGATTATAATTAACAACTCCAATCCTCTTACTGTATCTACACACATTGCTACGGAAGCTTGGAAAGCCTCTCCAGTTTGACAGGCCCTGTGACTTGCTTTGACCATTGAGTTTTAGGCATGAAGAGTGCTTGTGTGATTGGGCTTGCCGTAGTATACCCAGGCTAGCTGTGGAGAATTAGACACAAAAGCTAATTTACCCACTGTCCCAAGCCAACGCCCAGCCACTCCCCACATATGTGAGCGTATTTTTTAAAAAACCAGATCTTCCAAGCTGAGACCAGTCTAAATCAATGACTTACAGACTTGTGAGCTAACAAAGATTACTTATTTTTTGATCTTTTAAGTTCAAGGGTTCAAGTGCAGGTTTGTTACACAGTACACTTGTGACATTAAGGTTTGTTGTACAGATTATTTCATCACCCAGGGATTAAGCCTAGTACTCATTAGTTATTTTTCCTAATCCTCTCCCTCCTCCCACCCTCCACCCTGTGAAAGGCCCCAGTGTGTGTTGTTACCCTCTATTTGTCCATGTGTTATCACTTAGCTCCCACTTATAAGTGAGAACTTATAAGTGGTATTTGGTTTTCTGTTTCTGCATTAGATGGCTAAGGATAATGGCCTTCAGCTTCATTCATATCCCTGAAAAGAACATGATCTCATTCTTTATTATGGCTGCATAGTACTCCATGGTGTATATGTACCACATTTTCTTTATCCAGTATACCACTGATAAGCATTTAGGATGACTTCATGTTTTTGATATTTTTAATGGTGCTGCAATGAATATGCTTGTACAATGTGTCTTTACAACATAGCAATTTATATTCCTTTGGAAATATACTGAGTTTTGTGATATTTTCTTATGTGGCATTATTGTGGCAATAGATAATTGATATATTACCCAAAATGGTACTCACTGGCCTGAAAATGAAGGTAAACCCATTCGAGTCCCTGGGTCTGTGGGATAATAAGAACATTAACTATGAGTAAATCCTTGTGCTATATTTCTTCTGAACAATCTAAGGAAAAGCTCTACCCTTTCTGAGTAATATTGTAAAACAATTACCCTCCTCCAATTCCTACTCCCAAACACATATGAGTATCTGTTTTAATCTGTTTTCTAGTCTTTCTAAAACTTGGTTAAAGATACAATTCATTTAATCATAGGAATAACACAGAGACTGTAGCAGCTGATACACACACACACACACACATACACAGACACAAGGTTATGTATGGTTTGGAAATTGTATTCCTTGGAACTTCAGGGCTCTGTAGAGATGTCTGAGGGTCACTAGTCACAGCAGAGAAGGGAAGTATAGTATGAGAAGGGAAGAGATGATGGTGATAAGCAGGTAAGGTGATCAGATCCTTCTTTCTGAAGTTCAGTCAGAGCAAAACCATTTTATCTATTGTGTACACTGGTGCTCTAGATATGAGAAAAGGGTTTTCTGGCAAATACATTACAGACATATAGATAGATTATAAATAGACATATAGAAGGCCACTATCTGAGTATAATCCCATCGGTTCCCAGCTGAAGAAGAGGCTAGAGTTCAGGTAGTAGAGAAAGAAGATAATATTGCTTAAGCATATATTCTACATGCTGGCCATTTTTAACATACTATTTCTCTTAAACTCACAACCCTGGGAAATATAAGCTATTCATTTTAATTTTTTTTTACTTCATAAGTTAGGTGATTTATTCATGTTCACATTGTCACAGGAGATAGAACCAGAATTGCTCACTTTTTTTTCCTAATATTGCTACTACAACCAAAAGTAGGGAACTGAAGTCTTGTGGTTCAATATCTAGAGGCTGTTCTATTTCCTATGAGCAAATGTAATCAAGAAATGAATGTCCCACCTGCAAAGGCACCAAAACATATAACAAACAATTGGATACCAACTAAAACACCCTATAGTGAATATGAAGATAAATAACATCATAAGTACTAATGTATTGCCAGCATCTCTTTGGTAGCTAGCCATAACTATTAGTGAATTGCACTTTAAAATATTTTATAGCCATTAATTCAACGACTCACTTGCCCTAGATCACAAGAAGCTATAGTCTGGACTAGTTCCAACTGGTAAACACAGATGCAGAAACACAATATGAATAATAACTACAAAGTATCTCGAATACGTACCATATACCAGGCACTGGGCTAAGTTATTTTACACATAATTTTATTTGAGCTTCACCACAACCCTTTAAAATAAGTTCATTAACCCCATTTTGTATATATGACTAACTTGATCAAGGTACAAAACTGTTCAGTGTAAATTCATAATGTGGCTCTAGAACCTCTAGAATCTTTCTTTTATTAGCCCTGAAACTAGTAAAATCACATAATGCTTTGAGCCAAATTCCAGTTTTTAAAAAATGGTATATCACCTACCCCAAGCGTTTCTTTGGAGGATTCAGTTACATATGCCAAGTATGTATCACAGTGCTCAACAAATAAAAAGAACACAAAGTAATAGTCACATTATCATCATTAAGAACATCACTTTTATTATTAATAAAATCATGTGAATCCCTGATTAATTTACATAACTCTTCTAAATTTGGCTTTTTAAATCTATTTAACAGCACTTGTTTACCTGCTACTGTTACTTCTGTCTCTTTGACTCTATCTATGTGCTGGTTCTGTTCCTGTCTGGACCTTGGTTTGGGGCACCTCTCTCACTTTGACACCACCTGCCCCATTCCCAGGGCCATCATGTTTTCATTAACTCAGTGCTCCATAACCAAAAGCTTCTGTCCAGGCTGCATTTGTCATTAAAGATCAACACCAGCAGAAAGCTCTAGGCCCTGGAATCACGAAGTCCAGTGTGCTGATTAGCAAGCACACTAGCAGAGTTCCTACTTCTCAAGATTATCTGGCAAAGACTCAAACACAAGGAACAAGAATCAGATACTAGTACTAATCTACAAATCAAGAACTAGAACTTCAACTGAAAGGAAAAAAGTGCCTGATTGTTAGAACTAGTGCTCAGTATTGAGGCAGACTAAGACCAAAGCCATTTGATATTCATTCCAAGAATATTTCCTTGGAACTATTTAAATATCTATCATTAGAAATGACTGTAGGTTTTTAGTTGTCTAAGCCAACAGATGGTTTCAAATACTTCTTGTATGAGGAAGGACCTAGGACCAGCAGAGCCTGACAGTATATTGCTATTTTGCCTCTATTTGTTCATCTGTAAAATAAAAATAATATGTCCCCTGCCTACCTGAAGATATGTGGAAGTATCGAATGATATGATGTATATGAAAGGGCTATATAAAACATACACATTTGTATTTTAATTGGCTTCATTCATAGCACTTATTGCCCTTCTAATATTCTTTGCACTCTGCTTATTGATTATGTTCACTCATTAGTATTTATGTCTCCTTACTAGCTTCTGGAGGGCAGGAGTCTTTATTTGTTTTGTTCACTGATTGATACCAAATACTTACTAACAAGAGTGCTTCCTTTACATTAGGAAACAAAAATGTGTTAAGTAAACATATATGTTAATGTTTATTATA
The DNA here is from genome assembly GCF_000001405.40 of Homo sapiens. Lineage (NCBI taxonomy): Eukaryota > Metazoa > Chordata > Mammalia > Primates > Hominidae > Homo > Homo sapiens. Next base: position 82,190,521 of record NC_000011.10, read on the forward strand.
ATCTTATACTGGTTAAGATAAATTGATAATATCAATTTCTATTGGCAATGTTGTCTTTATACAGAAACCTTCTAATGATACAACTTTAATTTAAGAACTGGTTAAACGATAAGAATTTCAGATCTGATCTCAGGCTGGAGAGACTTGTTTCTGGACAGGTAAGCCACACAGAGTTCTTCAAATTCCAGAAACTAAATGATAACTTGTCTGCCTAAGAGACTTGCTGGCCACACCTACAGCAAACATTGCAGAATTTCCAAGGCCAAATAGCTTAATTTTTATCCTTAAATTCAGTTACAGCATGTACATACAATTCCACTTAACTAAAATTATTTTAAATATGGTTGGATTCAGCCAAACAAATGTCTGTATTAAATCAATAACACCAATTCCCTGAATACAGCTCTTTCCAGCTGGTCATTGTGGCTGTACGTAATCACCAAGTACAGGAGATTGGGATGCATAAGTAGCGTGTGATTGTTCCACTCACCTTCTCTATGATTGGGCTCTCAATTTCCTCCCTTGTGGGCCACAATCTGCATATAAACACGAACAAATAGATTTTTTTGAAGAAGACAGTAAGGCACTTAATTTGACTGTGTGATGATTCATCAAATGGGAGAAATAGAGATCACATGCCTAAGAACCTAATCCCTCCACCCATACAATATTAGAATATATGAGCTTAGACAGGTATGGCAATACATAGCCTGAAGGTTTTCTGAAGGACAAATTGCAGGAAGTAGTGACCTCTGAAAAGTGTCTTAAATAATAGGGAATTTCCTGGATAAAGAGAGAACAAGAAGGCACCAGCAGAAAGAACATCATGTGCAAAGGCTCTGAGGTTTCAGGAAGCATTAAAAATTGAGGGAAATACTGATATTCAGCATAGCTAGAGCATACGGTGAGTGTCAATTGGAGTAGGACTCCTAACAGTCATTGACGGACATTGAACCAAAATCCTTGGTAGCCTCAGAGCACACGATAAACTCCAAATGTTGTCTAAAAATAAACATAGCTAACATTTACTGAGGAAGGACTCAGTGCTAGACACAGGTAACTTGCCCCAAAGTCAAGGTCACATAGTAAAGGGAGGGAGCCAGGATGGGAACCCAGTCAGTCTGGCTACAAAGGCAATGTTCTCATCAAGTACATTCTAAACTTATTGAAAGGGACCTTAAACCTGAAGACTATGAAGGATCACTGCCGCAATGGAAAGACAGCCTCTCTGAGTTACTCTCACTGTGCATCTCGTGCATGGGTGGAAATGCAATGTGTTCTCCTCCCCCAAAGGTCAGAGTGCAATATCTTCTCTGTGGGCATGTTGCTGCATCCAAAGCTCTCCCAGTGGCGGAGCAGATGCCCTGCCAGATGGTAGCCACTTGGACCTGGGCCCCACTGTGGCAGGTGGCCAGGACAATTGCCTTGTAACAGTTGTAAATGTCACCATCTCTCACAGACTGGATAGCTGGACAGAATGCTCAGAGCAAAGCAGGTGCTGACCATACAGCACATGGTTTTCCTGCCCAGAGGGAAGAAAATCAGTGTTTGAGAGCACATCCAGCACTGTGCCTATGGAATAGTTCTTACTGCACTGAACAACACGCACCATTACACTTGGGAAGCAGAAGAAATATCAAGGAAAAATGTGATTATTTATTCAAAAACGTTTCTGTTTACATCACCCTTCTGGCTACCCTGGCTTTCCTGATCTACATTCTGCCTACCTGTTCTCCTTCATCCTTCTATGTTCAAATTAAGTATGTCTTCCTCTGTAAAAGCTTCCCTGATCTTGCCCGGAGTCAACTAACAGACAATCCTGCCATTTTGGTGCTCAGGCTTATGGGGGGAAAAGACGTGATAAGGTGGTGATAAGGCAACTTAGTATGTGAAAAGTGCTACATGGCCCAAAGGAGAAAATGACAACTTTCTTGGAAGGTTCACAGAAAGCTTCACTGAGAAATAAATGCTTGGTTTTGCATCTCAAAGTATAAGTCAGAATTCACTAGGCAGACAAGAATTTGAAGGGAATCAAAGTAAAGAATCACAAGAGCAGAAGCTGAGAAGTTGGTGGCGTTGGGTAGTACTGAGCAGTTAAATAGGGCCACAGTGCAGAAAGCTTTATGAAAAAAATGTATCAATTTGCTTTTGCTGTGTAACAAACTACAGCAAAACTCAGAGGTGTGCAACTATAAGCTATGGGACTCTAGTTATGTCATCTGGACTTGCTCATTCAAGTGTAGGGGGCTCTGCTCTAGACAAGGTTCAGCTGGAGCAACACTGTCTCGCTTGTTCATCTTCCTCCTCTCATGACCAGCAGGATAGACTAGGCATATACTTCCGGTGGCGATGGCAGAAGCACAAGAGTAAATCAGGCCAGTAATCCAAATAGTTTTCAAGATATTGCTTGTGTCACATATGCTAATATCTCTTTAACTAAAACATGTCATGTGGTTGAACATAGAGTCAAGGAGTGAAGGAGTGAAGTGAGCCCCACCCTCAGTGAGAGAGCACTGTGCTACATGGATACCAGAAATATTATATCATTGGAGATATCAATATACATGATAAGTAACTAAGAGGTGAGTCTGGGGATGAGGTGTGAACAAGATCATGAGATGCACTGTAAACCATACTATTGAAATTTTCACTTCATTTCCCATCTTACAGGAAATATGACACTAAAGTATTTTAAACGAAGAAATGACATGCTTGTATATGCATTTTAGGAAGATCTATCTGGCCTCTGTAGAAGACACTTTGGAGGATACTAAAAGTAGAGACAGTCAAAGCAGCTAAGAAGGTAAGAGTCTTAAAGAAATGATTTTAAGTCAGGCAGTAGCTGTCACAGAAGACATAGAGATAAAGAAGTTTGAGTAGAATATACAAATTTTGCACAATACGTTTATCTGCAAACAGTTATAAAGGCAGTGGTGAGGGAAAGAAGGAAGCTCAAGATGTCTGTCTTAACTGACTTGGCTAAGGATAGCCTTATCCAAAAAAAAAAAAATTCATAGGAAGCAAGAAGCAAAAGAGTTATGGCAGGAAAACAACAGGTCAAGCTTGGACATGAGTAGCCTGAGAGGAAGATGTCCTGTAGGTGTTTGCAGTTGGAGAGAATTTTAATCTGGAGATAGGATTTAAGAGTGACTGGACACAGACAGCGGAAGTCTGGAGACTCAGAAAGGTAAGAGAGTTAAAGGAGGTGTAGGATGAGAAATTACCCAATGGGTAAAATGCACACTATTCAGATGATGGTTATACTGAAAGCCCAGACTGCACTCCCATGTAACAAAACTGTATTTGTACTTCCTAAATCTATAAGAAGTATTTTTTTAATTTGCACAGATATTGTTTTAAAAAAAAGAGTGACTGGCATTTATATAATAGTGAATGCTGTAACTGTGATGGTGACTACTCAGAGAAAGACTAAAATGTATATTGAAAACAGTAGAAGCTGAAATTTGTTATTAGAATATATTTTGGGATCACTTTGAGAATCAGAAGCAAGCCATGGACTCACTCCTAGAAACATGCGTGGGCACATGTGAAACCATTTTCAGACACAATTTCAGAGAGCCTGTGCCTTCCATAAAGTCTCTCCAATAGACCCTTTAAGGATTGGAGAGATTAGAAAACCCTGATTCAAAGGATAAACGAGAGAAAAATAACAAATCAAAGATAGGAAAAGGAAGTGAAGCGTGGATAGAGACAAAATCTGAAGGCCAGGGTCCTGAGCTAGAGCTCACTAGGTGCTAAAGTCCTACTTAAAGTTGAAACGTTTAGAATAGACCTTCAGTACCAAAACAGTGTTGAGGGCAAAGACCTGGAGACAAAAGAAAAGAGACAGTGAAAGACAAACAGTAGTCCCCAATTATCTGCAGGGGATATGATCCAAGACCTTGAGTAGGTGCCTGAAACATAGTACATATAACCCTGAACCCTATATATACTGTTGTTTCTATCCATTCATACCTATGATAAAGTTTAATTTATAAATTAAGCACAGTAATAACATATTAACAATAACTAATAAAATGGAGCAACGATAACAACATACTTTAATAAAAACTCTTTCAAAATATCTTAATATTCTCAGACCCTGATTGCCCATAGGAACTGAAACTGCAGAAAGTGAAACTATGGATGAAGGCGGACACCTGTATGACTTTCAGCCAGCAACCGTGTCTCAGGCCATCGCAGGCATGCAGGCTCTCATCTCGCCTCACTGGAATGTGGGTGTGAGTGACTTTACCGCCTCATTTCTCAGCACAGGTTCAGGACCCAGATGTGAAACCAACCCGCAGAAGCCACATGTCAGTAACTGTGGGTCCCTTTAGGGGAAGGCAGAAGCTAGGAGCAGGGATTTGGTGAAGGTTTTGCAAAATCATCATCAACAGTCAAAATTACCAGGGAATCCTGTGAAATGCTGAAAGTGTGACAGAGAAGCTGGCAAAACTTATTATATTAGTACCCAAAGAGTAATGCAATCTCCTACTTTCTTAGAGGGCTTCTTGTTCACTAGCACTAGTACTCAGTGCCTCGAATAGTATCTGGCAAACAATTACAATAAATACATGTCACAGGAATGAATAAAAGCAACTCTGTGAAGCACCCAAGAATTTCTTCTCTTCAGGCTTATAAATAATATCCTGCTCTAAAACATGTCAGCTGCTCCAGTGATCAGCCTTGGGCCTTTCTAAGAAAATACTGAGTCTTTATTTCTAATTAATTCATTTTATTATTTTTAGTTCACCCCAAATGTGAGACATTTGGAAAACTCAGATATAATGTAAAGTATTTTATTATCATTTTCTAGTTCTCTCTGGCGCCAGGCAAATTTGGCTATAAACAAAAGCTAATAAACCCTGATTTAAGGGCCATAATGCCTCTAGTGTGTGTACTAGGAGTACAACAAGATGATGCAATACCACAAGGCCCTGTTTTAGTTAAAAGTCACATTAATGACTTCATCCTTCATAGTTGCCCAAAGAACCCTGAGAAAGAAACCTTCAACTCTTACATCGTTTTCTGTCTTAAGGGTAATGAACCATATGTGTAGACAGCTGCACTGTCTGTAAACTATGGTCATTAATTACACAGGAGACAGGACACTTCCAGGGAGAGGCGGGTGGAAAAAGAAGGGTGAGACTTTGAAAAGTCATGGCGATTATTAATAACAGAAAGGGCAACGAAAAGGGTAAGATGCCTGTCCTCCATATTTCAAATACATTACATTGCCCATAGCAATGAAGTAGCAGAAAGGTCTGGATAGGATGGAGAATGTTTTCGACCTGCATCTGAGGCCAGAGTTAAACAAAACAGGGTACCACAGGCAAGGATACATGTAGATTCACATACAGAATTTCAAAGACTATGCCAAGTTGGTGAACCATTTTCCTAAGGAATAAGAAGTCAACTTAGTCTAAAGGAGATACTGAATTACAGTACAGAATGTAAACCAAAGAACACAAGGAGAGAACATCAGATTTGAGCTTTCCCCCGAGTTTCAGGTATGAATCTCTAAGATATCAGATGCTTAGATAATTCAGGCTAAAATTATGGGACAAGAGTCCAAGCTGGGTTACAGCAAGCAAGAATAAAGGCTATGACTAACACAGATTTTCACAGCTTAAAGGCCAGATCCAGCTAGAGAGGTGGCTCCAGCCCATAGAGGCATGGTGTGCCTCCTGATATCCTTCCTCACTTTACGGGCCACATGTGGGACACATCTCTAAAAACATAAATGTAGATACAGAGAATACAAGAAACAAATGTAAGCACTTCCATTTCTTAAACTTTTTGCAATCATCATAAATTATTCACTATACTAAGGCCAACAAAGGCCAGTGTCTGTACCAGCACATACGTACCCATAGACAGGAACTCTACTCAACACTGTATTTTCAGTACCTCACATACTGGCCAAAACAGGCTCAATGGGAATTTCTTAAATAAATTAAGTCATATATTTATTGAAAAATGGGAGTAACCTCTCTACAAAAGAATCCAGAAACGTACTGAACAGAGAACAACAAACTGAAAAGTCTGACTGATAAAAGCATGATCTTTGTTTCTGCTGTGTGAAATGGTGATCACAACTAAGTGTAAGTATAAAGAAAATCTGGGATTGAAAGGCCAGATATATTGACAAAAGGGAAGGAGAGTTAAAGAACCATTGAAGAGTTATGTACAGTAGAGTGATATGATCAAGTTGACATATGATAAAGTCCCTCTGGAAGTTAAATGGCAAGTGGGTTAGTGGGTAGAGTAAATTACAGTGGAAAGACCAGGAAGACACTGTTCTTTTCATCTAGACAGAATATAACAAGCACATGAATTAGGACTGTGAAAATAGAGGGGATGGGACAGATATTAATAGGGTAGTACTGATGTGACTTTGTGACTCTTGGATATTAGGAAGGAAAAAAAGAAAAAAAAATCTGGGATTGCCTCCAAAGCACTAACTTCAGAGCTACAAAAGTTATTACATTATCAATAAATCTTTCATGGATTAATAAATACAACATGTGTAATCTTTAAATTCTTATTATTTATAAAAACTGTGCTGATAACATTTATATGCTCATTTTTCAAAATTCAGAGAACATTTGTTGAGAGCCACACAACTACTGAGTTAAATGTTGAATGTGGCTGAAAAATGAATGAAAGAAGGAAGAGAAAGCACCATGTGGATTATAAGCATGAGAGGACTGCCCTGTTCTCAATTTTTCTACCCCAGTTTTCACAAGAGAAGATTAGAGCTTGTCAGATTCAGACTTAATTTTGGATCATGAAACATGGACACTATGGTAGTGGCCAGCACCTCTCAATTGTGTGACTGAAAAGGCCTAGAGGGGTGACTGCCAACAAGTCTAGACCACAGCCCTTTCTGAAGCCATGTGTTAGTAAAGGGAATTTTCAGCATTGCTAATCCACATAGCAACAGGTTGGCCATGTGGATTAACAATGACGGAAATTACCTTCATGAACACATGGCACACTGCCCCTTACACTTACCTCCAAATTAAACCCTCTTCTGAGCTCCCATAGCATATTGTATTTTTCCCTTTTGTTTTATTTACTATTATCTATAGTAGTATATATTTATTAAGCACCTATTATGTGTCAGGCACTACCCTGGACGATGTGGGTATAGCAGTGAACAAAACAAACTAGACTATGTAAATAATAAAAACAACCACTATGATGTGGTTTTATTATTTTTTGTTTAGGTTTATGTCTTATACCCAATAATAAAGGATAAGCTCTCAGATAACCTTCAGAATAGTTGTATTCACACTTATTTCCCTTCTCCTTTCAGTGAATAAACTCCTTATACTTCATTTTTTAATCTTAACTAAGTTTCAGACATGTAAGATAATTTTGCACTCTTGAAAACAGAAGAGTCGCCACAGTATTAAAATTGCCTAGTAGAATCTTCTACAATTCTGCTATTCCATTTCACCTTAATTGAAGAGTTTGCACATCAGCAACTTTTATTATCATTAATGGAATCTAATATTGAAAATACAGTTTACTTCAATAAGCATTAATTGAGCACTTACTGTACATGAGTTCATATGCTATGTACTGTGGATATGGGATTGACTAAAGCACAGGCTATCAAATTTTGCCAGAGAAAACAGATGTGTAAGTACACACTGCATAAATACTGATAATGTAATAAGTTAAATATACGCAATTTACATACAAGTTATAGGTAAGACACAAAAATGGAGGGATGTTCTTAATAGACTAGAATAATGGCATCTCCTTGGATTTTGATAATGAAATGGAATCCAGTGGCAAGACTTTCCAAAAGGAGAGAACTCATCCAAAAAAATCAATGTGGTAAAAACAAAGTAATATCAAAAACAGGACCTATATAAAGGAAAAATACTGATAAAAGTACAATCTCTTAAACATGTGGGAATTCATCCATATTAATCAGATCAGCATTCAAGGTATCAAATACTTTCTGTGCACTCTGATACACCAAGATTTCAACATCTGGATTTGCAGAGGCAGGATTACTGTTTATGTGGTGTTTCTGTAATGAGAAGCTATAAAATGTAGTAGTCAGATGTTAAATATCTATATGAGTGCTAAACCCATATATAATCAGCTAGGATTTTAATTAGGCCTGAGAGAACAGATTAGGTTTCAACAACATTAACAATAATAATAATATTAGGTAAAACTTACTGAGCATTTACTGGAGACTAAGCCTTGTTTCAAGCATCTTATTACATAAGTGGATTCACAAAATAGAGAAACCACAGAAAATGCAGTCTGTTTCTATTGTTATTCCCACTTTACAGACAAGAAAATGGATGCACAGAGAGAAATGAGTAATTTGCCCAAGGTCACAAAAGAGGTAGAAAAATTAAAGTCTTATAGATAATTACAGTATAGAATGGGGAATTGGTGTTGGTAAATTCTATATCATTAAATAGCATAGGAACTATAGGAAATGGGGTAAGACAGTCTTTGGAACTGGTGGCTTATGAGGAGATCATAAGCTCGTACAGCAAGTTTTCTGAGTGTCTATTGGAAATGAACCATTGGATGCCAAAGAGAGAGGTTTGTATGTGGAAGGTGCTGGGGCAATAGGGATGAGTATGATGGCCCGGGTACCTTTTAGAGAGTTGCTTAACCACAGGAAGAAATACTCCACAGGGAAGAATGTACATGTGTTGAAGAGTTAATATTTAAGTATCCATCCAGGACAAACAGTCAATGAGTGAAAGAAAAATGAGCAAAAGTTTGAGCAGTCAATCCTAAGTGAAATAACTCAGAAACATAAAGTTAAATACTGCATATTCTCACTTAAAAGTGGGAGCTTAATAATGTGTACACATGGACATAGAAAGTGGAATAACAGACATGGAGACTCTGAAAGGTGAGAGGATGGGAGGTGGGTGAGGGATGAGAAATTACCTAATGGCTACAATGTACACTATTCAGGTGACGGGTACACTGAAAGCCCAAACTTCGCCACTATGAAATATATCCATGTAACAAAACTGCACTTGTATCCCCTAAATCTATTTTTTTTAAGTCTGAGCAGTCAGTTACTAATGGTACCAAAGGCTTGCACAGTGTTTATGATGTGGCCTGTACTGCACTAAGTGCTTTGCAAGTATTAACTCCTTAATCCTCACAACCCTATGAAACAGGGACCACTATTATCACCAACATTTTACAGATGTGGAAAATGAGTCACAAAGAGGTGGAGAAACTTGCTTGTGGTCTTACAACTAATAAGTGCCAGGCCTGAGATTCCAGGACAGGCGGACTTGCTCTGAAGCTCTACATTAGGCACACTTCCTAGGAGAGGTGAAAGGTAGGAAATGATGTGGAGATTACAATTGGAGATTGTTCATCTATTTTCTTCTTTAACTCTACAATATATTTACTAAGCATCTACTTTATGCCAAACACTATTCCAAGCAATGTGGGAAGATCAGTAAACAAAACAAACAAGGCTCTTTCTTGCTCTCAAGGCAATTACACTGATGAATAAACTCTATAGCAAACTGAGAAATAGAATTCTTGGACAGGACACAGTGGCTCACACCTGTAATTCCAACAGTTTGGGAGGGTGAGATGGGTGGATCACCTGAGGTTAGGAGTTCAAGACCAGCCTGGCCAACCTGGTGAAACCCTGTCCCTACCAAAAATACAAAAATTATCCAGGTGTGCTGGTGCACACCTGTAATCCCAGCTACTCAGGAGGCTGAGGCAGGATAATCGCTTGAACCTGGGAGGGGGAGGTGGCAGCGAGCCAAGATCGTGCCACCGCACTCCAGTCTGGGCAACTGAGTGAGATTCTGCCAAAAAAAAAAAAAAAAAAAAAAAGCAGGAAAGAAAGAAAAAGAAAGAAAGAAAGACAAGAAAGAGAGAAAGAGAGAAGGAAGGAAGGAAGGAAGGAAGGAAGGAAGGAAGGAAGGAAGGAAGGAAGGAAGGAAGGAAGGAGAAAAGAAAGAAAGAAAAATAAAGAGAAAGAAAGAAAGAAAGAAAGAAAGAAAGAAAGAGAAAGGAAGGAAGAAAAGAAAAGAAAAGAAATAAGAAATAGAATCCTTAAGTGTGACAGGCACTTTACCTAACCTTCTATATACCATATCAAGTTTAACCCTCACAAATGTACTACCATCATCCTCATTTTACAGACAAGGAAACTAAATCTTAAGGGCATTAAATAGATTTAAACAGATTGCAAATGTGGATGTAGTGACTCTAAACTAGATCTGCTGGACTCTAAAGCTCATATTTAAACTTACTCTAGCACTTAAAAGAGAAACAGGATCAAAGGAAGTACTTTTATGATATAGAATATCAGAATCATTTTTAGACTTAGCAGAGGGCATAAGGAGCAGGCAGGAATCAGAGCAATGGTTTAAATGGGAATATTGAAGAGCAAAAAAAAATACTGTTTGGTGATATGGATGACATTTTAACCAAAGGGCAAGAGCATTAGAAAAGAATATTATCTGCATGTTTTTAACTGGACTCTCTCAAATTCTTGATCATGAAGTATACTATAGAGCCAATAAAAGCCACAGTCACATGTATTTTTTTCTTCAAACAAAAATTTAAAAATGCCCATGTTCCCCCGAAGCCTTACAGCCCCATAGCCAAGGATTGAAATTGTACAGAATGGATTTTTCCCCATGAAACAACGGTATACCTCTGGTGACTGATCATATGGAAAATAAACATTTTTATTTTTGCTGAAAGAAGTGGAGCCAAGTTTTGTCTCAGCTGAGCTATCTTTGAAGGGATCTGCCTTTCTTCCTTTCTGGTGTTGCTCTCTATCTAGCCACCTCTCCCTTTAGGAGGGATGCCTTTATATCATCTGTTATCAAGTAGGACCACGCTGTTCCAAAGGCAAGCAATGCGTCAAAAATACCTGCTGGATGCTCTGACTTGGCTCTGCATTCCAGCTGCTGCATTGCCTTTGTCCCAGGCAGAGAGAGTTCTCAGCGCCAGATTAATGGTAACATATGATTATTTAAAAATATTATCCACTCTTATGATAATGCTTGTTGGCTGTCACTCTGTGAAAGCGAAAGGTCAGTGCTATCTGAAGAGTGCTGTCCCCCAACTCAAAAAAAGGATCTAACTGGGCATTTCAAAATAAGCTGACAAGCTCTGTGAATCTATATTCACAGATTGCTATGATGTGTTTTTTTCTTTACGAGATGGTTTAAAGTTTTTCCTGCTATCTCTTCATATCCAGTAAATGTACAGTTGTTTCTAATAAGTCAGATCTTATCTGTTACAGCACAGTAAACTACTATTGACCCAAGGAATAGAGTTTCTGAGTAACTAAAGAAAAATAAAATTATTATTTTCAAGCTTCTTAATGCTTTTAATTTTTGAAATTCTTTTTGTATCTATGTCACGTTTAATCATCAAAGCAATCATGAAGAAAGGCAAAGAAAATGTCATTATCTTCATTTTACTATATGAAAACTGAGGCTTAGAGAAAAAATGGCAATCAACTTAATCACAACAAATTTAGAAAATTACAGAGCTAAAGTTCAAATCTAATTTTCCCTTCTTTAAAACAAAAAGTCTTTTTGTCTGTTGACACTATAGAAAAATTATAGTAAAACATGAAAACTTAGAGAGGAAAGTTTAAGAAAATTTACCAACAGTTATAGATTACACATATATTGCACACATTTGATACATAATATAGTCATGCATCTCTAATGACCATAATAAATAAGTTCTGAGAAATGGATCTTTAGGCTATTTCATTGTTGTGCAAACATAGAGTGCACTTACACAAACCTATATGGTATAGCCTATTACACACCTAGGCTATATGGTATAGCCTACTGTTCTAGGCTACGAACATGGACAGCAAGTTACTGTACTGAATTCCACAGGCAATTGTAACACCAGGATAAGTATATCTAAGCATATCTAAGCATGGAAAAGGTACAGTAAAAATTCAATATTATAATCTTATGGAACTACTGTCATATACACAGACCAATGTTGGCCAAAATGTCATTATATGGGCCATGACTGTACTTACAAGCCTAACTCCCTGCAGACTCACACTCATATTTTAGACCTGTGGGTTAAATCTTAGATAATCCAGATCTTCAGAGTAGTGACCAGGTCACCTTGATCAGCTTGAGGTAGAGGTCTTTTTGACACACACAGCTTCATCTCTGTGCCTAGGCAACCTCGAACATAGCCTTTTCTTGGAGTCTCTTGTGAAACCATTCTTACTGGTATTTATTCCCATTTATTTCCAGAAAATTCTATTTTCCTGTGTACAAGGATTTTGAATCAAGTCCTGAATTAATGCTTGTTGGCCTCTAATGTTTTTAAAATGACAGGATGGTCTTACGGAAGACAATTTGGTCTACAAAAAATTCAGTGGCCCTTTTCATTTCTCTAATTACTACACTCAGGGACTGAGGCATACAGTAAAGACTACTCCAAGATCCCATTCTCAATTAAGTCTTCCTGAATGGAGCACCAATTATATTTCATAATCTAGTCACTATCCATATCAATAATATTTACTGTGAAACATAAAGTTACAAATTATTTTACCAGGCCAAAACATAGCAAACTATTTCATGTGTAGTCAAAATAATGAATATTCAAACATGACATATTATTTTCATCTACTCAATTAGCAATTTTAAAAAAGAATTAATTTTTTCAAATATGCCATAAAACTGGCATTATCATTAACTGTTGGAGAGACTGTAAATCTTTACAATCAATAGAAGAAGTATTTTGGGATATGTATTTAGATTCTTTAACAAGCTCATGTAATAATTAGCTTGCAATTCCTCCCCTATAAATAATTCCACACTAATAAAACAGATAAAAAGTGCACAAGGGTTTCTTTATCAATATAGTTATTATATGTTACGGAATAAGTAGGAAACACTGTAAATATCCTCAAAATAGAAGAATGATTAAAGTAAAATATGGTATGTTTACATCAGAAACTATTTTGCAGAATTTATATGTTTTCAAATGATATTTCATGGCATAAGAAAAAAGTTACAATAAAATAAACAGGTGAAAAAACAGCAAGATATACATTTGTATGTGCAATGTGATGTCTATCATATTAAAGCGTAGGTAGGAGTGACAGTGTGGCTTGGGTAAAGAAATAATGAAAGGGTCTCAGTTCTGTAACTAGAGAGCATGTTGAGATGGTGAGATGATGCATAAAGTGGATTGGTTCAAAGGAGGCAGGAATTCAACTTTAGAGTTTGGTTATACAATAACCTCTAGAATTTCTCAGAAATTTTAAGGTGACCTTTAGCCTTCCAACGGTACATAAAATCAGAGACTGAGACAGTTATACCTGGATTAAAAGGGAAAGGTAAAGATATTCGGGATCCAAATATATTTATATGACTTGGTTTACTTGTTGCTTTTTCTTTTTCTTTTGTTTTTTATTTTGAGACAAGGTCTTTCTCTGTGTACAGTGGTAACATCATGATTTACTGCAGCCTTGACCTCCTGGGTTCAAGTAATCCTCCTGCCTCAGCCTCCAGAGGAGCTGGGGTTACAGGCATGAGCCACCACACTCGGGCACTTGTTTATTTTTCTAATAAAAGTAGGAGAAGAATACTTCTACTACCTGCTATAATCCAGTTTTCTATGTTGATGGATGGTGAAGTTTCATAATTTAGATACAATCTAAGAAATTGCATTCACCAATATGCTCTTTCATTCAATTCATTTATGGAGTATCTACTAGGTGTTGTGCCACTCATGAAAGTTATTATGGGGAATTCAAGTAATGAACTGCCTGTGGTTCAGGGATTTATAATCTAGTTGAAGAAAAAAAAAACTAAGCTATAAAAAAATCAGAAAGTAAAAGTATCTGCAAAGGTTCTTGTTTTGTACTGTTATGAAATCTTAATGAAAGTTTTGAAGATTTTGTAATGGAAAGAAAATTGAGACTTCTGCCTCAGGTAATTGCAGGCTACATAATTTGGAACAAATCTTTTACTGAAGATATTATTCAAAGGTGAATGAAATAAAAATTACATCTTCCATAAAAGTATCAAGAAGGCAACATAACAGTAAACAATTACTAACATCAAAATCCAGGGAATGCTAGAATCCCAAAAACAAGAGCGGAGAACTGAGGACTGTGTCAGTCCTAGGAGCATTTGCTTATTGTTAAGAGATGTCTGTGAGGTTGCTCTGTTTGGAGACTGCCTGGAGTATCCAAGGAGATAAAAGCTGGAATCTTGGTCCCAAGGAAAATGTAGAGTTCAGTAAATATTATGCTTTTAGATGGGACCACAAAGGGCCCTGTCCCTTGGGTAAAAAGGCACCCCACCAAAAAATACAAAAAAAAAAAAAAACTCTTTTTTTTTTTTTGCTTCTTTGTTTATATCTTCTTAATAATGCAGAAAATTTCAAGCCTGGAACTTGGAAATATTATTTCCAGATTACCATTTTTCTCAGGCATCTTGCAGACATAAACATGATATTCTTCTTTTTCAGAGAAGGAAAACATTATCCTGTGCTTCAAATTATTATTTTTTTTCAATACATTTTCAAATTCAAGATCAAAGTATACCAGGCATGCCAGGCAACAAGTAACAAGAGGTAAAACTAGCAAGGCAAAAGTAAACAAATAACAGAAAGAGACCCAATTAGAAGATACATTTTGTAAAACTATTATGATGTTATGCTCAAGGAGTAAAAGACAAACATAAACATTTCAGAAAGTAACTGGAAATTATAACAAATGACAGTAAACCTGAAAAGAATAAAAATGAAAAATATAATAACCAAAATAAAGAGCTCAATGGGTAGATTTAAAAGCAGATCGAATGCAGTAGAAAAAATATCTGCGTCTCTTCACACTGTTTTCCTTCTATGTACGTCTGTCTGTGTACCAATTTTCTTTTTATAAGAACATCATGCTTATTGGATTAGGACCCACCTGAATTCTCATTATCTCAAAAAATTATATTTGCAACCCCCGTTTCCAAATAAGGTCATATTCTTGGGTACATCAATACATGGATTCTGTGGAGACAAAATTCAACTAATAACAATGACCCTAACTAATTATCTATATATATCCTAAAAACCTAGAAAAACACTGTTTTTAAGTGTCTTCTATCTTAGACATTATCCTTTTATACAGCTGTCATTCAACTCTAGCCTAAATGTTTTGTAAAACTAATGCTTCAGGAAGATTATTTTTTATTCTTAAAGAACTACAGAGAGAACATTTCACTAATGTTTGACTCCTCTTTCATTTCCTTTTCATATCGCTTACCTCTCATTTTTTCCCTCTACTGCCTCATAAGTTCATTCATCTTCCTTAGTATTTTCATCCTAAAGATTCATGTGAATTTGTACCATACCTGCCATAATTAAGTCCATTTTTGTTTATTTGTTCCTGTAATCTTCCCTGCTAAATATTTCCCAAATACACTTTATTTTTATTTATTTATTTATTTATTTTTGAAACAGAATCTCACTCTGTCTCACCCAGGCTGGAGTGCAGTGGCGCAACCTCAGCTCACTGCAGCCTCTGCCTCACGGGTTCAAGCAATTCTCCTGCCTCAGCCTCCCAAGTAGCTGGCACTACAGACAAGTGCCACCATACCCTGCTAATTTTGTATTTTTCACCATGTTAGCAAAGCTGGTCTGAAATTCCTTACCTCAGGTGATCCACCCACGTTGGCCTCCCAAAGTGCTGGGATTACAGGTGTGAGTCGCTGTGCCCGGTCTCCCCAATATACTTTGGTATATGTGTCAATGAATTTCTTTCCATCTTAGTTTGCCCATACTTATAGCAAAGACTCAACTTTAAGTTATTTTCAAGATGATGAAGAAAATCTGTTTTGAAAAGTTAGATCAGCCATAGACAGAAATGTGCCAGTTACATTATAGTTTTCCACAACCCCAGAGAAAATATTTCCAAAGACAAGCCCAGAACTTAAGTCATATTGTCTTATGGCACAGTAGGAAGAGTTTGGTCCTTGGAGTCAGACACTCTTGAGTTTATGTTCCAGCTGTCTTTCACTAGCCCTTAGCAAAGGTGCTTAACATCTTTTCCCTTCTACAAAATGAAAACAATGAGAGCTACATCATAAAAATTTGTCAGCATTAAATGAAATAGCATAAGTGAATGATCTGACAAATAGTAGATATTCCATAGGTGATATTTCCTTCTTTCACACTTCTTGTTACCTGGTCACAGTTTGAGACAATTTCTAGTTTGGGTGGGGGTGGGGAACTAAGCTCAAAGTCCATAGAAATGATAGTTCACAGAAACGACCATATCTGTTTTCACATATCCTCCTGCTCCTAGAGTCTTATAGTCCACCTCAAAAACAGACTCTGATCACAAGCCCTTGTCTGTCTTCCCAGCTGTAGTTTTTCTCAATATTGATAGATCTTTAAGTATGCAATTATCATAATTATGTAATTTACAAGGATGACATCGATGCACACTCTTTAATCACCCTTTATTGGATATGAATATTTGAAAATCAAAGTTAGTAGATCTATTTTATTATATTTTTCATTTAAACATGAGTTAAGTAATTGGATATATTTGTCAGCATTATTTATGACAGGGTCAACACTGTTTTCTCCCTTCAGGAGAAGATAACCACAAATTCATCATAATATCCTGGGTGACAAACCAGGATTGCCTGTACAACAAGCATTGGTCTCATTTTCCTTCCCAACAGAACTCTCAGTTTGCTTAGTTTCTTCTACATAGGGTATATCTGTCATAGGAATTAAGACCCCTTCTAGCCCAGGGTATGAATCTTTGCAGAGTCAAGCCAAAAGGCTGAACTCACTCTCCTTGTTAGCAGATCTGTTCAGGTATAAAGGACAACCTCATGGGCATAGTTAGAAGGGTTCCATTCTTGGCTTAGTGTTCTGCTGCTTTTATTTTGAAATTCTTAATTTTGAAAAAGGAGCTATGCACTTCCATTTTGCCTTAGGCCCTGCAAATTATGTAGCTAGTCCTGTAGACATGAACATGGGACACCCTGCTGGGCAATAAGGCAAGATGGAAAGAATGCAGGGAAGCTGCAAGAAAGCTTTTGTTTGTTTGCTTGTATTATCTTTTAAGGCTATAAATAAAGGGAGCGTCTCCTTTTCTGCCTGTGCACATGGCAGTCTACAAGGGAAGTATGGAACTTGGACCCTGAGGAAACTGCCCAAGAGGATATGCCAACATCGAGGATCACACAACCATGCTGAACCCTAAAACTACCATATTGTTATTTACTGTTATCTAAGGTTTTAGATGACAGTAATCTAAGATAGCTGTTATCTAAGATTGGAGTCATTTTTATTTAGATTACCTGCTATTTGCAGGCAAAAGTATCAATTTATACTAAAATTTCCCATTTTCCATGCAAAATCAATTTTTCCCTTTCTTGTTAGTAAGTAACTCTACTTTATTTGAGTCTGTAACACACCTAGTTATGAAATTTACCATCCTCTCTTACTGTTGTTATTTACATGTGACAAGTTCTAGCCAGTGAGAGAAGAATAAACGAGTTGAATGAGATTTCTAGGAAGGTGGTTTTAAGACAACTGATTCAGCTCAGGAAATTGTATTTTGCCTTTCCCTCTTTCTCCTTCATACTGCCTAAAATAATGATGAGAAGTCTGGGCCTCCAGCAGCCTTACTGATACATGAAGTATTCCTAAATTTGAAAGTCAGCATTAGGGCAGTTGAACAGATAGAAAAAGCAGCCCAGGGCACAGGTGACAGCAGCTGCTGTATCAGCTTTCACCCACATGCCTCTGACTTATTTATACAAGAGAGAATAAATTCCTATTTTTATTATATTTGGTTTTCTGTTCTGTGTTGCCAGAACTAATCCTAGTTGATATATTATATACATACTCAAAATGCAGAAATTGACATTACTGTCAAAACTTACCCACATATGCATGAAGCATAAATTCAATTTACAGGATTTTTAGGAATGTTTTTATTTTAATAGTATATACATGAAAAAAGCATAATACTGCTTTCTTCATATCCTCATTAAAATGTTCCTCAATGCACACACATACACAAATTAGACCATCTTAGCTCCCTAACCTTGGATTAAGGATAGAATTTGGCTTCTGTATAAAATGGGACAGATAAATGCCCATCAATGAATAAATGAAGAAAATGCAGTGTATATATACACAATTGAATACTATTCAGGCTTAAAAAGAAAGAAATCCTGTCATTTGTGACCACATAGATGGACCTGGAGGACATTATGTTGCATGAAATAAGCCAGCCACAGAAAGATAAATACCACATGATCTCACTGATATGTGGAATCTAAAAGAGTTGAACACACAGAAGTAGAGAGTAGAATGGTAATTTCCACCAGCTGGGATGATGGGTTAGAGAGATGTTAGTCAAAGGATACAAAATCTCAGTTAGATAGGAGAAATAAGTTAAAGATCTATTGTACAACATGGTGAATTTGTGACAACTATAGTGACATGTTTAACAGCTATAGTGACAATTATATTTTGAAAATCTTTAAGTGAGTAGATTTACCTGCTCTCACCACAAAAAAAAAAAATGATAAATATGTGAGGTAATGCATATGTTAATTAGTTCAATTGAGCCATTCTACAACATACACGTATTTCAAATTTTATAGTGTACACAATAGATATATACAATTTTTATTTGTCAATTAAAAACAAAATAGGCCTGGCACAGTGGCCTATACCTGTAAACCCAGCACTTAGGAACACCAAGACAAGAGGATCACCTGAGCCCAGGAGTTTGGGACCAGCCTGGGCAAGACGGCAAAACCCTGTTTCAACAAAAAATTAAAAAATTATCCAGGCACACTGGTGGGCACCCGTAGTCCTAGATACTCAGGAGGCTGATGAGAGAGGACCTCTTGAGCCCAGAAGATTCAAGCTGCAGTGAGCCATGATCACACCACTGTACTCACTCCAGCCTGTACGACAAAGAGACCTTAACCCTAACAAATAAAATAAAATAAAATAAAATAAAATAAAATAAAATAAAATAAAATAATATTAAGTATGCCCATCTAAATACCAAATGGGATGTAATCTCTACTAGCAATTGTAGTGAATTTGTTTTGGTAAAAATAAATGGACAAAACTTTTAAAAAATGGGTCAGAGTAAGAAGGAATATGATTCAGAAAGCTGGTTTGCTACAGAGGCAGCCAAAGCTCTTTGGATTTCAGTCCTCATCTAGCACTGTGTGAAAGACTATACTCCTCATTTTCACACACAGATTTTTCTTCTTGAGTGATCTTTATGGTGCTTTCACAGTAAATTGAAAGGTTCTAAGTGAGCATGCACAAAATGGGGCACATGTTTGAAGAAAGGAAAACAGATTGACATCCATTCCACTGCATAATAGATGAAAAAGCACTTCGAAACTGGTCCAATGGTTAACTTATCAATCCAACCACTATCTTAAAAAAACAGATCTAACAGCTAACTTTTTTAAAGCTTAATGGGACACCCACTAACATCCATCCTTTAATAAAATATGGAATAGAATGTCATGACAGTTCTATATAATAAATTACTCCAGCAAATTATGGATTGGTCTACGTTACATATAAATCAGCCCCATGTAACCTGTCTGACCTCATCCCTTACTAGTTCCTACATCTCCCTTCTTTCTCATCTGGAGGGGAGCATTCCTCTGTATTCTTGTAGCTTTTAGTGCTGATACCAGAGCACTTATGACTCAATTAAGAATTGTTGATTTACAAGATTTTCTTGACAATTACTGTCTACAGGGGTAAGGAGTGTGCTTTTTTTCCACATTTATCTGGCTAAAGTGTAGCACAGTATCTGGTAGAAAATAGGGAATGTTTGCTGATGGAAAAACAATTTAAAGAATAGAGTAACACAATCCAATGCATCATTATAGTTTCATTAGATTGTTGCATTACAGTTGGTTGTGTATTACCTCCATTCAACCGTAAATCTGTCAACACAGTGCTTTACACATTTTAGGAGGCTGATAGTGTAAAATCTTGAGATAATACTCAAGAAATACTATAAATAAAGACAAGATATGATTGGCAATTTGGCTCTTCTGCCCAGCTCCCATATTTTAACAGTGGTAGGCTAATGTTTTAATCTTCAGATGTATGCATGAGGACATGGATTGGAGGGAAAGGCTGGGCAGAGAAGTGGGTCTCTATATTCCCAACTTTTCCTTGCCTTAAGATTTCTAGGTCAGGATGGAGAAACAGGTGCCACCCACCTGTAAGATTCCTGGATTTTGCTGCCTGCATTCTGCAAATATCAACAGCCAGCAGACCCAGAATCTCTCCAATCGATATTTAAGTTTGAGTGAGCAACTATCACCAGGCTGACCATACTATAGCAAAACCAGGGTAAATTTGGATTATGTGAGAGAAGACTATCAAACTCTTGGTCTAATATTAGCATAGGCCAGGTATGGTAGCTCATGCCTATAATCCCAGTACTTTGGGAGGCCAAGGTAGGCAGATCAGGTGAGGCCAGAAGTTTGAGACCAGCCTGGCCAACATGGTGAAACCCCATCTATACTAAAATTACAATAATTGGCTGGGTGTGGTGACTTGCACTTGTAATCCCAGCTACTAGGGAAGCTGAGACAGTTGGATCACTTGAACCCAAAAGGTGGAGGTTGCAGTGAGCCAAGATCGCACCACTGCCATCTTGACAGAACAAGACCCTATCTCAAAAAAAAAAAAAAAAAAAAGAAAGAAAGAAATTGCGTAGACCCAGTTTAGTCATGTTACTAATTCTGCAATACTATGAGTTCACATTTATCAAATTTAACTATTTTGTCCCTGATTATCATGTTGATATGTTTATATATCTTTTAAACTTAAAATGCATAAAAATAGAATCAGCAAGTAACATAATTAATTAAACTCATAAATCCATAACTGGTTCAGAAAATATGCTTGTAGTCCTTGATATAGTTGAAACTATGGGAACACATTTAGAGATACATAAACTGTGCTCACAGGACTAGATTTTAGAAGACACATGTCTTAGTTTCTACTACCAGGAAAATAGAAAAACCTGCCTGATCTGGGAACATAATGTTTTTTAGGTATTTACTCAAAAATTTGGTTTCTGAATAAAAAATAATAGTTGTTCATTAAAACATGGAGGAATAGGAACAATACTCACTAACCAGCCATTAAATTATAGTCCATGAATCTAAGTAAATCTATCTGTATGCAAAATATTTGGTTGATTCAATGAGTCATAAATTAATTATGTTAAAGGTAATTTTGCATAGTATAAATTTGGAAATATTTTTAAATGTTTTTTAGTTTTAAATACAGTTTTATATTTCAACAATATTATTATAAATTTTATATTATGACCACAAAACAAAGATAGATACTACATGATTCTGGGTTTCCATAAAGAACAGATGATGAAAGAATATTTGAACAATCCCTTCGGAAATATTACTGAACAAAATCTAGAATTTGATAAGTCTCTACATAAAATGCAAACTACCCTATAAGTGTAATTAAAATATAATACACATAAAAGTCTGCACAAACACATCCAGAAAATAAATTGATTAAAAGACTAGTTTTCATTATAAAAATAATAAAACCTACTTTAAGATGTTCAAAAATCCTTAAAAAAAAATAAGGAATAAGAAAACGCTTGTAAGTTTCAAAATAAAATACAATTATATTTTGTTACATATTTGTCTATTCTTCTCGTTACGCATTTATTCACTAGGTGAAAATGTTTTCAAACAACTTTTAACTTTTTCTTTTAATAGGATATTAATTAATTTCCATGCCTTTGAACTCTCCTTCAACGAATTCACTTTTCTAAGATTCCTCATTAAATGCAAGATTCTTGCAACCAAAGGTTATGCTTTATTTATCTTTCCATCTTCAGAATCTCTCTCTGATTCACGTTGAGAGACACTATATGTTTATCAATTTATTGACTAGACTCACATTCTGTTTTTCCCCCAGCTTTATTGAGCTGTTCTTGACAAGGAAAAATTGTATATTTTCAGGTATACAATGTGATTTTTTGATACAGTAAACATTGTAAAATGATTACCACAAACAAGCTAAGTAATGTACCTATCACCTTACATAATTATGAGTTTTTGTATGTATGCTGAGAACACTTACAATCAACTTCCTTTACTAATTCCAATTATACAATACATTATTAATAACTAGTTACCAGGCTGAATATTAAACCTCCAGAACTTTCTCATCATGCATAACTGAATCTTTATAGCTTTGACCAACATCTCCTCATTTGTCCTACCCCTCAACCCCTGGAAACCACTATCCTACTCTCTGCTTTCATAAATTTGACTTTCTTTAGATTCCACATATATGAGCAGTCTTCAAAAGGTTCCAAGAAAATGTGTGTTATGAAAAAACTATGCATGGATTTCAAAATATTTTGCACCAAAACAGCCTCAAACTAATTTGTTCCACCGTGTCTGAATAGAATCTAGTTTGAGGCACTAAGAAGAATAGAACTTCAGTCTGAAAAGAGTTATATTGCAACAACATGAATTTTGCTAACATTGAAGTCAAGATCAAGCATCAAATTTATGGTAAAGCTTGAGTGGAAGAATGATGAAATCATTGATGCTTTACAAAAAGTTGATGGGGACAATACCTCAAATAAATCGGCAGTTTACAAATGGATAACTCATTGTATAAAGAGACAAGATAATGTAGATGATTATCTTACCCCTTCATATAATTATCATTAGAAAATAAATTAGATTATCATTAGGTATCCACGTTACAGTGCTGATTTGACTCCTTCTGACTTCTTTTTGTTTAATAATCTTAAAAAATCCGAAACGTGCAGTGGCAGACCATCTGCATCAATTTGCAAGGAAAAAAATTCATCTCATTCATGTCCTAATTGAAAAAGACTGAAGATTAACAGAAGAAACAATAACCAACACCAAAGACATCTCAATTTGTTCAGCTTATACAATTCTGTCTAAGCATTTAAACTTGAGCAAATTTTCCACTCTATGGGGGTCAGAACTGTCATGTCCAGATCAGATGCAGATAAGAGCAAAACTTTCAATGGAAATTTTGAACAAGTGGGATCAAGGTCTGGAAGCATTTCTTTGACGAATGGTAATGTGAAGTGAAGCATGGCTTTATCAGTATGATCCTGAGGACAAAGCACAATCGAAGCATTGGCTGCCTAAGGGTAAAAGTGGTCCAGTTGAAGCAAAAATGGACTAGTCAAGAGCAAAGGTCATGGCAACAATATTTTTGGGAAGCTCAAGTCGCTTGTTGGCTTTCTGGAGGGCTAAAGAATGAAAATATTTCATTATGAGGGTGTTTTGAGAAAGTTAGTTAAAGGTTTGGCAGAAAAAAAAAATGCCCAGGAAAGCTTCACCAGAGTCCTTGTCCACAATGACAATGGTCCTGCTCATTTCTTCCATCAAACAAGGGCAATTTTGCAAGAGTTTCAATGGGAAATCATTAGATACCCATATTATAGTCCTTACTTGGCTACTTCTGGCTTCTTCCTGTTTCTTAATCTTAAAAAATCTGTAAAAAGCATCCATTTTTCTTTAATTAATAATGTAAAAAGACTGCATCGACATGGTTAAATTCCCAGGACCCTCAGTTCGTCAGAGAGGAGCTAAATGGCTATTACAATCACTTACAAAAGTGTCTTGAACTTGATAAGGCTTACGTTAAGAAATAAAGTTTATGTTTTTGCTTTTAATCTTTATTTTATGTTATTTTTAAGGATCTCAGTCTGTCACCCAGGCTGGAGTGCAGTTGTAGAATCATAACTCACTGCCTCCTTGCCTTCCCAGGCTCAAGGGATCCTCCTGACTCAGACTCTCAGGTAGCTGGGAATACAGGCATGTACCACCAGAATCAGCTAATTTTTAAATTTTTTTTGTAGAGAGGAGGTCTCACTATGTTGCCCAGGCTGGTCTCAAACTCCTGGCCTCAAGGTATTCTCCAATCTCAGCTTTCCAAAGAACTTGCATTACAGGCATGAGTCATGACTGGCCTCATTTTATATTTTAATTCGATTTTTCCATAAACTTTGCGAATTAAAATCATGTAGTATTTGCCTCTATGTGTCTGACTTATTTCAGTTATTAGACTCATTTTTTAATGAAAATATTCATTTGATAAACATCACTTTTAGATCAGGTGCTTTATCCTAATAGTAATAGTATATAGTAATAATCACAACTATTATTATACACTGATCTTTTACTATGCTCCAGATACTAGACTAGAGGCTTCACTTTCATTCATATTTTTACCTATGTATTCATTCAACATACATTTGTTTAGCGCTTACTCCTGAAGAGATGTTTGTGAGTAAAAACAATGCTGCTGTTGCTGCTGTAGCACTTAGAAATATTTTGGGGATGAATCCTTGGGATCAACACTTATGGAGGGGAAGAAAGTAGGATTGGGCAGAGCAAGGAATTGAAATACAATTGCAGTTCAGTTACAATAAAGTTCTCAGCTGATCTACAAGGAACTTTGGGACTAGCATTGCCCTTTAGAGTGGTCCAGCATTGAACCAAAGTGACCGAGAATTTATACTCTTATGCCAAACAGTCATTGTGATATAGGCTACTCTTGGAAAGGAATTGGTCAAACCTACTCTATACAGCTAAGAGCAATTCACACAGAGGGAATCTGCTAAGAGCTGGCAGACACCATACTCCCTCCAGCACAGAGAAATCAGTGTCTCTGTCCTGAAGGAAAGTTGTTGGTGAAACAATACAGCAACCCCTATAGTCTACTCCCTGTACCACTTGGATACACTTGCTTTATATAATAAATTTTTAGAATAATTATTCCAGGAAAAAAGTTTGGTTCCTTTTCCTAGGAAAATGCCTAAGAGGAGTATTAGTGAGACAAACTGCAGTCTCCACTATTGCAACTGGTGTTGAGGTTATAACTGAAAGAAACTCAACATCTCCTCCATCTATTACTCATTCTCGACTCCTCATACCCTAATCATATACCTCTGCAGGTCAAGATGACTTACCTGGTACATAGATCCTTCATCCTGGAGGGGTCTTAGTCCCTGATCACTATTTCCTCCTTTCACTATAAATGCTACTCTTGATTACTTATGATCAAAATTGTGCAAGAGATTTCCAAAAGATGCCTCGGTGGATTATCTGGATGCCAGATATATTATTTTCTGTCTCTATTGTATATCAGCAGCCCTAACCTTTCCTAATAGGGGAATTCTTATGAGGTACTTAAGCTGCATTGCTGCAGGATCCTTTATCCTGGAGTCAGGGACTCTCGCATCTGAAAATTGGATCATGTTCAAAAACTAAGCAAGGAATTATGACTTTTTGATGATTCATCTGCCCTCAGCCTTCTGATCATTCATCCTTGATATATTTTATTACATAATTTGCACATAACTGTTTTGACTTTTGATCTATCTAGCTCCTAGGGGTGTTGTGTTCTATTAGCTATCTCCATATCTTTCTAACAGTCAGTATTCTGCCATCTCCAAGTGCCATTATAACCTTGGCATTCATTACAGTAACTGTACCCACTTTGCTCCTGTCAGTTAAATCCTGCCACTAAGCCCGTTATTTCAGCATTCTGTCATTGTCATGCTTATCAATGATCCCTAGTAGTTCCTACTATCAGCAATGGCCTACAGTGAACAGCCACCCTTGATTTCTCAGTGATACTCGTGCCCCTGTCGGAAGTGCATTTGCTTTAGTGAACAGCATCCTTCTAGGCTCTCCCAAAGAATACAGAAAGCTAGTGGGTTATATCTATTTAACACACTCACTCCTCTGTGCCTTTTGATCCTTTTTACTACCATCTGACATAGGGGTCATTTTACTTCTATGGGCCATCACTTTTTCCAAATTTCCAAGAGCTATCATTCCAGCAGCAAATAAATATCATATCCCTAGGTTTTTCTCAGTGTTTTGAATTGTGTATCATGGAAAAGTGCTTTTAACAGCAATTTTTAAATAACTCTCTTATCCAAATTTATTATTTGACCCTTTTAACCCATTACTCTCAGAGTACAATTCCATACATATTCTCAGATCCTTCTGATACAAAGTAGGCTCTGCAGCTCCTTCAATATATTGCCTTTTTCCTCCCTTTGTAGATCTAGAACATTCCTGTACTTGGTTATGCTGTGATTTGATCCTCATTATTGGTTGTATTATTGGTGGGTGGGGAAGAAATGAAGAACAAACCAAGAGAGGGGCACATGTTGATTTGCAAAGTAAAGGCATCAGCACTGGCTTCAAGCAAGGGGAAGCCTGGAAAGTACTAACCTCTAGAAGACAGTAATGGCTCACTCCTGCAGGTGCATATTCATGTGGTTTTCAAGTACATCAACTTCCATAGCCTCATCCTGACAACTATGGGAGTCCTACACCTTTTTATCCAAGACTGTGACCCTGGCATAGTAGACTTGTTGGGACTAAAAAATCAATCCTCTTAGAGCTCTTTTAATTCTGTAGGTTGATTCTTAACTTTTTCTGGACTTTGGTAGGTAAAAGTCTCTCATATGTTGCCTAAGGGGCCCTCTGGCTTTCAGCCTTTGTCGTTAGTTGATTAATCACACAAGCCTTTCATTTACTTTTTCCAGTGCATTAGTGTCACTCAGCAGGAATGATACAATTCCATTCCCCAAATCTTCTTTTAGCTTCTAGAGCGAGTACACATCTCCTTCTACTAGAGAAAATGCTTGGGTAAATGCTTTATACTTTCACTCTAACTCAAAACAATGCCAGAGTTTTCTCACCTGCATATATAAAGGCAAGGAGTGTTTACATTCTTTCTCTTTCTCTTCCAAGCTTCCGCACCTTCTGCTATTCAAAGGCCACATCCCATTGTCAATAAACTTTTTACACCTGCAACTATTAACATGTGGTAATGAAATAAGTATTAGGCAGAAGAGTTTTGAGCTTTATATCAACCCTCACCAAAAACTTTCTCCCTCTGGCTTCAACTTTCCTGGTCTCTCTAATAATTTCCCAATTTAAGAATTTCTGCCTATGTTTTTACTATATAATCCAAAGTCATTAACTGATAATACCTGAGACTATGATTTCTTTATAGGGAAAATCTTCTTGATTAGGAACTCAAAATAAAATCATTCAGACACAGAAAAGTGATATTTTAATGGTGAAATTCACAAACAAAAAATTAAAAACATTATGGTGGTATTTTTTTTCTGTGAAAATCTTTAAACAGTATCATTCAGCTGGTAGCAATTATCAGCAACACCTACATACTACCCAGGGGACATAAGTCTCTATTCGAGGGAGTGCTTTCTTATTCTGATCAAAGCTAGATTCAAGATAAAATTTTAGTAGAAAATGTACTCGTAAGTAAAAGAGGGCAAAGTTAAGATATTTTTAATATAATATTTTTACTATCTATTTATTGAATTCTGCCCAGGGTACACTTTTAAGTTGACTATATTCACAATTATCTCATTTAACTTGTGTGAGAACTAGGGCAGATATTATTATCCCCATTTTGCAAGTGAAAAAACTGAATTTTATAAAGTTTCAATTTGGCTACTCATTTAATGGCTGTCTCCTCATTAGCCTGTTGACTCCATAGTAACAAGGATTGAGTCTATCCTGTGAACATGATGCCTGACACATAGCAGATATTCAATAAATATTTCTTGAATAAACAAACAAATGAATATACATAGATAGGCCCTCAAAAGGGAGAATCAAGCATAAAATTTAAAAGTAACAAAATATTTGAAAGTTTCTAAATGTAAAGTTTCATGCAAATTAGTATGAACCATTCCTCACAGATATTAGCTTTCATACTTTATGTATATTTGTACATTGCATATATTTAAACTTTTGTAAGACTGATTTGTTAATAACAAAATCTTCCTATAAATATTTATCTCTGATTTTAAATCTCATGTATGACTTATACACAGCATTAAAAATATATTTAATTATAGCACTAAAAGAAAGAAGCAGCAGCATCCTAGGTTTATTTTGTTATAATTTGTTTTTGTAATTTTATTGAAGCCCTCATTTCTGAATTGGAATAGAAACACAAGTGAACACTTCAAAGCTCTTGATATAAACAACTGACTTCAAAAAGCTAAACGTGTGTAAGCTCTGCTATAAACCTGCTCCTTAATTATGTTCCATTTTGTGTTTAAAACCATACATGCGTCATTTTATTTCATTTTTCCCGTTCTGTCAGGAGTGTTATTCTTTAGTTTATTTTCAGTCTTGCTTTGACCGATAATATTTTTTGATCAATGAAAAGGCTGGTGTTTCCAAAAGTAATGGTATGTAATAAAACTGTTCTACTCTCACAATTAAGAGCATTTTATTATGTAATAAAATCAGTTTCTTTTTTCTAGCTCTAGCCACACTACATTAATTCAGACACTAATTTGCACATGGTATGTTATTGATAGCATTGCATAAGCATTTATTACTAATATGTATACACACATATCAGATTATATGTTATATTTAGATCACATAAATATCCAGTCTCAGCAGGCTTTTATTATATTTCAGTCTAATGAGAATTTTCTCTCTTTGCATACAAAACCCTCCAAAGCTAAGTCAAAAATATTTTTTTAAATTTTCTGTACAGTGGAAATATTTTGGAAAGTATATAAATCAAAATTAAATGGGACAATTTGGACAACATCTAACCCACAGCACTTAGTGCTCAAAGTTTTTATTGTCAGTTGAAATATAAATTAAAGGATTATAAGAATTTATTTATTTATTTATTTTTGAGACAGAGTCTCACTCTGTCGCCCAGGCTGGAGTGCAGTGGCACGATCTCGGCTCACTGCAACCTCCACCTCCCGAATTCAAGTGATTCTCCTGCCTCAGCCTCCTGAGTAGCTGAGATTACAGGCACATGCCACCATGCCTGGCTAATTTTTGTATTTTTAATAGAGATGGAGTTTCAACATGTTGGTCAAGCTGGTCTTGATCTCGTGTCCTTGTGATCTGCCCTTCTGGGCCTCCCAAAGTGCTGGGATTACAGGCGTGAGCCTCTGCACCTGGCCTAAGGATTTATGAGCAATTCAAAGCCCTGGACCAGAAGCTAAGAGACCTGAGTTGAATCCCAGTTCTGCAAAAATGTAAACATTGTTCAATCTTTAAAAAGTCAAGTCTCTTGAGAAAATTTCTTCCACTGTTAAATGAGGAATTTGGGTTCAAATGTTTCTTCTCACAAGGAGATTCTGAATCATAAGCGTCAGTTGAATTACGCTTTATTTGAGTTCTTCCTGGCCATGTGTTTGAACGGTCAGCATTGAAAGCCAGTCTTTCTGCCACTTGGTTGTCAGATTGAAATATTTTGTACTTTTCTATGAAATCCAGAGGTTGAAATTTAAATACTTTCTCATGACATTCCAAGTGTTTGTGGCCTGGAGAATGTCTAAATTCCTCAGCTTCATCTCATGCCCTGCTTCATCTTTGCGGTCCACTGTAGATTCAGCTCTGGGTTCCAGTTTACCAAAAATGTCAAATTAATTCCTGTTGCTGTGCCTTTTTGCTCATTAATTCTATCCTGAATGTCTTCCCTGCCCTACCCATTTTCTGTCTACCTAGTGTTTATTCCTCAGTCAAGACTTCTGAAATATTATTTTGATCATCTATGGTAATAAGAATGCATGCAGTATAGGGAAATTGAAGGGAAAAAATCACACGAGGCATTGTTTAAAATGCAGATTCATGAACCTTTCCTGAATTACCAAAACAAACTCTTAGGACAGGGCCTGGAAATCCATATTTTACCAGTATCCCATTAATCTTATCACAACTATTCAATAGATGACCCTTTAAGAAACATCACCTGTGAAGAGCACTCACTTGTTTACTCTGTGGTCCATGGGAGTCTGGGAGAATGAAGCCATTTCTCCACTAGAAGCAAATTTTCTATAGATATTTGGGGTCATTTTCATATATGTTTATTCACTCATTTTGATACTCTGCTAAAATATACCAAACTCCATGCTGGATTTGGGGAATACAGAAAAGATAAGATCAACTCAGTCTCTCCTGCTAATTAGGTACTTTCCTATCAGGTGAGGGAGACATCACAAATTAGTTATATAACTATTCATTTACTTACACTTGTAATTAATATCATTGAGTACCCCCTGCTTGTATCTGAGAGTGACTATCAGTAATATCTGACTTAGAATTCTGGACTAGGGAAAGTTTCCTTAGAAGTTTGACAGAAAATAGTGCAGTGATGAGCAAAGACGAAATAGTCCATAGAAATAAAAATGGATACACTTAAAACAAGGTAAAAGAAAATTAGAAAAAAACAGGCAAAAGAGTCAGAGAGACCCAAGAAGTTGATATTAGCACAGTCACTCCAGCTTTACTATAGTTACTGTCAGCAGAGTGGATCTGCGTTCATTCACTTTGAACAATTTATAATATAAATCCAAGGTATTTCTCATGTAAACAGCATATAATTAGATCATTATTTTAAAAACTTCAGTCTGACAATCTGTGTCATTTTCATGGGCTGTTTAAGTCATTCACATTAAATGTTATCATTAATATGTTTGGATTTATATCTGCCATTGTGGGTTTTCTTCATATATATCTCATTATTATTTAGTAACTCTGTCCCTCCTTTGCAACTTTCTTCTGTATTGAGTGAACATACCACTTTAATTCCTTTAATAAATTTTAACTATTTTTTAAAATTTTATTTTATCATTCTAAGAATACCTAACATGAAATCTACACTGCTAGCAAATTTTCAAGTATACAATATGGGATCGTTGACTATAGATATGATATTGTACAGTGGATCACTAAAACTTACTCATTTTGCTTAGCTAAAATTTTATGCCTGTTGATTAGTAACGCCCCACTTTCCCCTACCATCAGCCCCTGCCAACCACCATTCCACTCCTTGAGTCTATAAATTGGACTATTTTAATACCTCATATAACAGCAGTCATACAGTATTTATTCTTCTGTGACTGCCTTATTTAAATCCTTAAGGTTGATCCATGTTGACTCATATTGCAGAAATTCTCTGTTTTTAAGGTTGGCTAATAATCTACAGTGTGT
Source organism: Homo sapiens (assembly GCF_000001405.40). Classification (NCBI taxonomy): domain Eukaryota; kingdom Metazoa; phylum Chordata; class Mammalia; order Primates; family Hominidae; genus Homo; species Homo sapiens. Next base: position 82,221,645 of record NC_000011.10, read on the forward strand.
ATGTATATGCTACATTTTCTTTATCTGTACATATTGATAGAAATTTAGGTTGTTTCCACATCTTAGCTATTGTGAATTTTACTGCAAAGAACATGGGAGTACTAATATAGCTTCTAGATCCTGATTTTAATTATTTTGGATAATTATGCAAAAGTGGGATTGCTGGATCATATAGTAGTTCTATTTAAAAAATGTTTAGAAACCTCTATACTGTTTCCATAGCAGCTAACCATTTTCATTGCCAGTGTAATGGTTACAATTTCTTCACATCATGACATTTTCTCCTACATTTGTCATATATATATATACATATATACACACACACACATAAACACATATATGTATATATAGTATGTGTATATATACAGGCATATGTATATATGTGTGAGTGTGTGTGTATATATATATATATGGTATGTGTGTTTGTGCATGCACGTCAGATAGCTGCCCTGACAGCAAGTGTGAAGTGATATCTCATTGTGGCTTTGATTTGCATTTACCTTATTAGTGACACTGAGCATTTTCCATACATCTGTTGGCCATTTGTATGTCCTCTTTGAAGAAATGTGTTTAGGTCCTTAGGCCATTTTTTAAATCAGGTTATTCATTTTTTGGCTGAGTGAAGGAGTCCTTTCTATATTTTGGACATTAATGCCTTATCACATACGTGGTTTGCAAATATTTTTTTCCATTCTATAGACTGCCTTTTCACTTTGTTTATTGTTTCATTTGCTGTGAAGAAACTCTTTACTTGGACGTCATCCAGCTTTTTAAATTTTGGTTTTGTTGCTTGTGTTCTTGGTGACATATCCATGAAATCATTGTCAAGACCAATATCATGAAGCTTTTCCAACTGTGGTCAGGAAAGATACTTGGCATGACTTCAATTCTTTAAAATTTGTTTAAGGTTTGTTTTGTGATCTATCCTGGAGCAAGTTCATGTGTACTTGAGAAGAACATTTATTGGGCTCCTGTTAGATGGAATGTTGTACAAGTGTCTATTAGCTCCATTTGGCCTATAGTGCTGTTCAAGTCTCTGTTTCCTGATAGATCTTTTGTCTGGATGTTCTATTCGTTACTGAAACTGGAATACTGAATTCTACCATTAGTTTATTGTTGCCTATTTCTCCCTTCAGATTTGTCAATATTTATTTATTTAGGTGCTCTGATGTTGGGTGCACACATAATTATAACTATTAAGTCTTCCTGGAGAACCGGCCCTTTTATCATTATATACTGTTGTCATTTGTGAGAATTTATTACTTAAACTCTATTTTCTCTTATATAAGTATAGCCTACTCTGCTTTCTTTTGGTTACTATTTTCATAGAATATCTAGCTCCATCTATTCATTTTCAGCTGATGTGTCTCCTTAAATCTATAGTGAGTTTCTTGTAAACAGTAGATAGTTGGGTCTTTTTGTTTCTTTTTATTTTTTTTTTTTTTTAAATCCAATCAGCCATTCTATGACTTTTGACTGGGTTGTTTGATCCATTGGCTGTTTTTTGGGGGGGTTGTTATTGTTTTCATTTTTTATTTTTTTGTGTGGTTTTTGCTTATTGCTTATCGATTTCCTTTTTGTAAATTTTTTTCTTTTTAATTTCTGTGTGTACATAGTGCATTTAAAATAATTATCAATAGGAAATGATTTACTATTGCTATTTTTTAGTTGTTTTCTGTTAGTCTTGTAGTTTTTAAATCTGTCTTTTCCTCTCCTGCTAACTTCCTTTGTGTTGTGTTGATTTTTTGTACTGATATGCTTTGATTCCTTTCCTTTTGCTTTTATTTAACTTTTACACATACTTCATGTGTATGTGTGTCTGTGTGCTTACTTCAAGCTTACCTACAATATCTTATAACAGTTTATTTTAAGCGAATAATAAATTCAGCTCAACTGCATACAAAAAGTTTACACTATAACTTCTCCTTACACATTGTACACTTTATGTTATTGTCACAATTTATGTCTTTGTATATTATATAACTTTTAACAGATTTTAGTTAGAGATATTTTTAATAGTACTGTCTTTTAACTTCTATAATAATACAGTGATTCAACCAGCACCATTACAGTAATGTAGTATACTGCATTTGTCTATTTATTTATATTTATATGTCTATCTATATATTTGAGTTTCATACTTTCTTATGCTATCATGTTGCAGTTCAGCATACTTTTCTGAACCTTTTTTTTGGGAGAGCCACTTTAACATTTCTTGTGAGGTAGTTCTAGTGGTGATGAATGCTCCCCTACCCCCACCAGCACTTGTTTGCCTGATGAAGTATTTATCTTGCTTTAATTTTTGAATCAGTTTTGCAAGATGTAATATCTTGGTTGACAGTTCGGGATTTTTTTTGTTTCCTTTTTTTAACTTTTATTTTAAATCCAGGGGTGCAAGTGCAGGTTTGTTACATAGGTAAACTTGTGTCATGGGGGTTTGTTGTACAGATTATTTCATCACCCAGGTATTGAGCCTAGTACCCATTAGTTATTTTTCCTGATCTTCTCCCTCCTCCCACTCTTCACCCTCCAAAAGGCCCCAGTGTGGGTTGTTCCCTTCTACGTGCCCATGTGTTCTCAGCATTTAGCTCCACTTATAAGTGAGAAAATGCAGTATTTGGTTTGCTGTTCCTGCATTAGGTGGCTAAGGATAAGGGCCTCCAGCTCCATCCAGCTCCATATATTCAGCACTTTGAATATATAGTCCAACTCTCCCCTGGCCTGCAAAGCTTCTGCTGAGAAATCCACTGATAGTCTAAAGGAGTTTCTCTTTTATATGACGAGTCACTTTTCTGTTGCTGCTTTCAAAATTCTTTGTCTTAACTTTTGAGAATTTTTAATGTGTCTCAGCGTAAATCACTTTAGGTTCATCTGATTTACTGCTCTTTTGGCTTCTTGGATCTGTATGCCCTTTTCCTTCCTCTGATTTGAGAAGTTTTCAGTCATGATTTCTTTGAATAAGTTTTCTGGTCCTTTTTCGATTTCTCTTTTCCTTTTGGGACTCCCATTTTGTATGCATTGGTCCACTTGGTGACTTGGTGGGGCCACGTAATTCCCTTCAGCTTTCTGTATCCTTTTTTATTCTTTTTATTTTTATTTATTTATTTTTGCTCCTCTCATTGATTTATTTCAAAAAACTATCATCAAGTCTACTGATTCTTTCTTCTGCCTGAACTAACCTTGTGTTAAATTTCTCTAGTTACTTTTTTAGTTCAGTTAATGTGTTCTTCAGCTTCATGATTTCTGTTTGGTATTTTATTTTAATATTTTCTGGTTTTTTGCTGACATTCTCCCTTTGTTCATACATTGTTCTCTTGGACTCATTAAGCCTCTTTATGATAATTATTTTTAATTTACATGACAGAAAACTAATATTTTTGATAAATATAAATGAATATTTATAGGTTTCTTTTTAAAAATAATAATACTTTTATGTATCATTTGTAGTTTTCTTCATTTGTTTTTGTGGATTACATTACTGTTTGCTCTTATTTTCCTACTTCAAGGTAGCTTTATTTCACTTATCATTCCTTTGTGTTGTTACTAGCAAATATATTACATTCCTATATTTTAAATGTCTAACAATGCAATTTTATATATACTGTCTTATGTGATTGCTTTTAAAATCAGTTAAAAGAAAGGAAAATATTGAATTGTACTGTTTTTAAAACCATTATTTCATTATCATTATATTTAATGAAACTCTTTGTTTTGTCGTGTGGATTCGAACAGCTGTCTGTCATCCCTTCAGATTTTTCTCTTGATTTTATCTTTTTGCATGGTTTCCTAGGTTATGTTGACCTGTGGGTCAACATAAGCCATTTATGCTTACAAAAAAAGCTGTGCTTAAGCCACCTGAGTCAATACAATTTTCATCTTTTACCACTGGATCTCTGTGTGACTTGAAGACTGCTTTCACAGCTCAGAAAATTTACAGTTTTGTCCTGCATTCAGCTAGACAATAATCATTCAGAAGTTTCCTCTGATTGCACCTGAAAGGGTACAGACTTGGGCATGTGCATGGCCTTTCAGTACACCCACAATCGCTGTGGTTTATTTTTGAGCCTCACTTCCTTGAAGTTGCACTTGGTCAGAGTATCTTATTATTCAGCCAGTGATTGGTCAGAGGTTGTGCTTAGATCCCTTGAAGCACTAAGATTTCTAACTTTCGCTCTTAAATTGACATGGGACTTAGAGAATGCATTCAACTGTTCCTGCTCTGATTGCCCCTTAAGGGATAAACCTAGGGAATATGCACAGACTTTCAGAACATGAAATTGAGTATGATCTCAAGAGAGTCTTTGTATTTCTCTTTCAATCATTTAGGTATGAAATTCTTCATTCCGTGTTTCAAATAAATTTTATCTCCTGAGGTATAACTGGGGAGTTACCAATAGTTAAGGCCTGTCTCTTAATGTGGTCATAGTATCAACCCATTTCATTCACACTAGGGATGGGCACAGTGACCTACTCTCACTAGAGTGACAGCTCCACCTATGAGTGGGTATTGGAATTAATAGTGGCTCCTGATCTTCTTAGCTTGCCCTTTCTGGCATGAAATCTCAACCCTAAAAGCAATCAGGGGAAGGAGAAGTCAGGGCAGCAGTATTCTTGGCCTGTTGTACCTACGCTAGAACCCTTACCCTAAGACTAGGAGCTGTGTAGGAAAAGGGAATCCCAATTATCTCAGCCACTCCCACCTAGACCACAGCATCTGCGACAGGAAGATGGAGGTGAGAATGAGATATGAATGTGACTTGCACCTTCTTAAATAAAACCATAGCCCTAGACTGACAGCTGGGAGAGAAGAGCCTCCATTTTCTTATTATACCCATTTGGAGTAAAGCATCTGTAATACAAAGCAAAGGGCTGTAGATGGTGGAGAAGGTCGTAGCTCAAATGCCACAGATCCTCACTCTTCTACTAAGATTTAGTTGGTTTTAATATACTAATGTCCTTTTTATTTTATGTAAGCTTTTGGGCCAATTTCCGGAGACTTAAAACAAATATTTAAAAATAATTTTCACCAGTAAAATGGTTGTGATGGCAAGAGGGTTTGCCAAGCTACTCACAGAGCCATTGTGGTAGTCTCACTCACCAAGGAATTGGGGGTAAAAAAGACAATCAAAAAGAAAATGAAAGAAAGAACTAGTCAGAAATATCAGGAAAGTGTAGGGTCTTAAAAGCTATGGGGAAAGAAAATTTAATGGAAGGTGTGGCAAATAGTGTTAATAACATCCATAAAATCATGTGAGCTGAGTATTTGAAAACATGCACTGGATTTAATAGCAAGAATAGTGGTGATTTTCATGTGTAGTGATGGGTATGAAAGTCACATTCAGGAAAGTGAGGACTATGAGATTGGTGAGGAAAGGGAAAATGGGAGACACAAATGTAACTGTAATGGGCAGTAGCTACATGGAGGAGTGGGTCTAGCAGAGTGTGCATTTTTTAAATAGATGTTTGTAATAAATAGGAGAAATGTGGGTGTATTTAAGTGTAGCTGGGGAAGACCCCTGCAAAAATGGTATGGATGAAGGTAAATATCAAAAAATGAAGTTTAAGGTTTCTGAGAAAGCGGGAGAGAATGGGAGTAGAGCCTGGATGGAGAGCTAGCCTTGTAAACTAGGAAGATGTCTCTCCTATAGCAGGAGGGAAGGACAAACAAATGGTTGTGCAAATAGGGTGTTAGGTGGCAGAAAGTTAATGGAATTCACTGGATCTTCATTGTGGAAGGGACCTCAACCAGGCCTCTAGTCTAACCCTATGTATTCAGGCAGCTATGGTATTACCATCTCCCTTTCTAAAACTAATGCTCATTGACTTTTCCAAAGGTCAAAGATTGAAGCATGTAACAAAGGTAGAGAAAATAATATAGAATAAAAGAGTTGCCTCTCAGTGCTTTTGAATATACTTTCCTGATGTACTGGGCTCAGAGGTAGAAACACCAATGGGGGGCTGGGAATTTGAAAGGCGGGACAGAAGCACAAAATAGTACATCTGAAAGCAAGTTATGAGCCTCCATAGGATTAAAAACTCACAAATATAGGTATTAAAATTCCTTGACTAGTTAATCTAGTTGTATATTTTGGTATCTCATGATTCTTTCAGCTGAGGAAACTGGTTAAGTTCCTTGCTTAAGATAACACAGTCACTCAGAGGCAAAACTCAAGTCATCTGACTCCTAGTCCAGTGATGGCTTTACTATGGCTATGTATATGGTTTTATTTTGTAAAAGAAAGTCACCCCAAATCTGCTAATTATTAGGTTGGTGCAAAAGTAATTGTGGTTTTGGCCACTGAATGTAACAGCAAAGTAAAAGTAATGGAAAGTAATCTTTTGGAGCTTATGAATTTGATATGCTGTGTGGGCCTGCATAGAGTCCTTTTTTTGCTTTTGAGACAGGGTCTCACCCTGTCACCCATGCAGTGGCATGATCACAGCACACTAGTCTCAAGCTCCCCCAGCTCAGGTGATCCTCTCACTTCAGTGTCCCAATTAGTTGGGACTACAGGCACACACCACCACGCCCTGCTATTTTCTTGTTCTTTTTCAGAGATGGAGTTTTGCCATGCTGCTCAGGTTGTTCTTGAACTCCTGAGATCAAGAGATCCAACCCCTTCAGCCTCCCAAAGCGCTAGGATTACAGGTGTGAGCCACCACACCCAGCCTCTGCACAGAGTCTTAAAGAGGAATTATATAATTGCCAACAGGTAAAAATTTGGTTTTCACAAAAATTCAGATTTGAAGGACTCCTGAAAAACTGAAGGATCTGGCAAAACCAGGTCCTCGTAGCATTAATTATCATAAACTGAGTAGCAACTGTTCTCTTAATCAAGGCTAGATATCTTCCAATTCACCACTATTAACATTGGTTGCAATTTTTTTAATACTAGACAGACTTCACCCACTTAAAGTTACATGTCTAGTCCCAGATGGGCATTTGAGTTTGTGCCCTTTGGTGTTTTATATATTTTTTTAAACAACTATGATTTTAAAAAAGGGTAGACAGCCTTGCTCAAAGGCACAGTCTTACTGCTACTATTCCAGCCAGCCTGAAATAATGGTCTTTCCTTTCATCCACCCTTCCTTCAGAATCTCTCCGTCTTCTCTGCCTGGATAAACCCCGCTATTCTTTCCATCATCTCAGGAATCACCTACCCAGGAAAACATCTCTGAATACCTAGCAAGGTGTTTGGTCAGGCCAGTTGCCCTTCTTATGCTTTCATAGTGCCCTGTATTTCTTAACGGGCAAGTACCTGTATATTATCACTTGACTTCTTTGGAATTATCTGTGTATATGCCCATGTTTTCACTAGGTTAAGGACCATAATTTATTTCAGCATTGCTCATCAAAGCATATGGCTGGCATGTGTTAGACTTTCGGTAAAATCTAATTAAACCAAATTATGCTAAACTCAGAGTTCAAATCTCTGGACTACAGGAAAAAAAAAACGAGCAGAAGAATGTCAGAATACGTAGGTCTAATCTCAGCTCTGTAACTGTCTGAATGACTTTGGGAAAATCACATCTCTCTAGGCTTCAATTTCTCATATGAAAATGAATAAATTCATTGAACTTAAATTCTCTCAAGTGTCCCAGAGCCTGGTTCATAAATGATGCTCAGGAGGTCTTTAAGACAATATATTGTTGGAGATTTCTCTGGCCTAGAGATCATTCTAGCTATGAAGTTATTTTGTCAATGGTTCCATCAGAAACAACATTATACTGAAGTGGCTCATAAGTATCTATGGGTAGTTAAAATACTGGAGGAGAGTCAAGGGAGATTTCTTGTTTCCATCAGTTTTACTGTCTACACATAACACTTTATAATCACTAATTCTAAGCAAAGAGTAACCAGAGAAGCCACCTCTTAAATTAGCCCATTGGTGACCTCTAGGGGCTGTTTGACTTTCTACAACTATATGAGAAATGAAAACATTTAAAATGTATACATTAATTCTAGTAGAATGTTTCCTATTAGGTTTTCCCATTTAGAGGGATTGCAGTTGGTAGTCCATACTTGCAAAAATAGTGGGTTGAAGGGAAAGAAGATTTTTATTTTGCTTGTTTATATATTTGTTTTTTAGATTAGATTTTTGTTTAAACCCTATATAGGTTTAAAGCAGGGTTAGATGTAAAAGTTTGCTCCATTGGCGTAGTAAAAAAATCTAAGTGATACAGGCAGTCTTTTTTTGAGAAATCTAAAATCACTCACCTATCACCCCTAACCTCACATTCTACAGGACTGTCCTTCTTGTATCATAACATAGTTTTGTAAATACTGCTTGACATTCCTAAAAGTAGACTTTTAACTACTGTACAATAAGTATTATCTCCAGGGCCTGGCATAGTGCTTGTCCTAGAGAAGCTTTTTAAAAGGGAATGACAATCATCCATGATACAGAAATGGTCATGAGGATAATGTTGAGGCAGTGCATGTGAAGCAGCTTTGTAAGGTGCTATACAAATGCTGCCTTATGTCGTCATCTTTTCAACTAGGTACACTCTAAGGAAGAGCAGCTCCTTATGCAAGGCATCTGCAGTGGCCAAGGGAGCAGCTGCTCACATCTTGTAGAACTGAGAAGAGTTTTATGTGATAACAGCAATTTCTTGAGGGATCTAAATGTTTTCCTGGCTGTAATCAGAACTTTGATCAGGCAGATAAGACACCAGTAGTATTAGAAGAAAAATGGAGTGTAGGAAGCTACAAAATTAATTATAAAAGATGTGTTCACTCTTCGGGTACCTGTAATACTATAAAAGATGAATTTCCCCATACTATCATAAGTATTGATTAATTTTAAATGTATATTTGAGATTTTGTTGGAACATTCTGTTTGTAGTTTGTGAAACTCAAGTAGCACTGCATTAAATACCTGGATGGAGCTTTAAGAATCCTCTAATGGGCTGCAGTATAATTAGAATTGTTTTGGAAAAAAAAAAAACCAGTATAGGCTCAAATGTAGAGCAATGATGATACCAACATTTATTGGTATGCATACTCTTGGCCTATGCCTTAAATGAACTCTAGATTTAAAAGACTTCTGAACATGTCAACTTGAATTTGCTACACACATTTCAAACTAGTCAACTCCAGTATTGAGATAACTTTGACCCAAATCAGGTTTTGTTATTTAATTTTCTACCTAGTAATGATACTGGTCATCCAAGTCAGAATTAGGAGAGTCATCTTTGCTCCCCCTTTACACGTATCAATAAAAATTCTCTCACTCCTACTCAATTTACTATTATAGTCTTAGTTCAGTAATCACTTATCTTCTAGATTATTAAAATAGTCTTCAAATTGTTTATGTTGTCTCTAGAATGTAGCCATTCTCCTTTTTTATCTACCTACCAAATTGTTGCCAAAGCAATTATCCCAGAACCCAAATTTGATCATTCTTGCTTCCTCCTTAAAAATGCTTCAAAGTTTCCTAATAGCTTATAGACCACTCATACATGCCTTAGTTTAGCACATAATCTCTTTGCAATTTGAACCTTTTCTCATATGCCACTCTGTCAATACAAATGCACTTTTGCTTCAACCTTTCAAAAAAAGTATTCCATTTCCTTTTGTTAGTCCATGACTCCTTGCTTTCAAGCTTGTTGGATCCATTGTTGAAATGTCCTTTACCCTTTCTTTTTCTTGCTAATTTTATGTTTCCTTTAGCTCATAGCTTGTGTCACTGACTCTCCAAAATCATACCCCTGACACCATGGGAGTGTTATAGATATCTCATTTATGTATTCCTTCGGCGTGTCATGAAAACCTCTAACACATTACAATATCATACCGTCTTGCAACTAGTTAATTGTCTGCCACGTATTCTGTCTCAAAAGAAGTCAATTATTTCCAGATGTTTTACAGATGGCTACACATTGTTCTCTGGATAATTTTTTTTTTAAATTCTTAGCATGGCATACCAATTTTTTTATACTAGTTCCCCTAACTTTATGGCATTATTTCCTTATGAACTTCTCACCTTACACCTTGTTTTCCAAGTCCAGTGAATCGTTTTCAGTTCCCCAGTGTATATCTTAATACACTCTATGAACTCTGCCTGAGACACAATTTTCTGGCTTTCTTCACCCAATATTCAAGATTGTGTTCAAAAGCCTGGCAAGATCATTTTCCTCCCAGTATCCCAAACTGACCTTCCACCCCACTATGGTCTCCATTCCTCTATAGAAATCATCAGTTTCACTTTCTAGCCCACTGAACTTGATGAAGCTCCAGAGGGGAGCTGGCTGTTTCAAGTTCAATATTCCCAGGTCCTATTCCTAACACATATTGGCCATAGAGCCCAGGCGTTAATGGCATAGACTTTGGAGACACCAAAAGCGTTCAAGTCCTTCCCTGCCCCTTTCTAATAATGTGATCTTGAGCATTTCTTAATTCTATACACCTTAGTACATTCATGTATACAAATGGGATAAAAATATGTATCTTATAATGCCATTGTTAGAATACACAAAATATGATGTGTTAAGGAGTACTTTCTGCACCTGGCACATAATAAGCACTGGCTGGTGGACTTAGTTACATGATGACATTCAGTTATATAGCTGAATGAATGAAAGATTGAAAGAGCTGCAGGAACAAGCAGTGGCTGAATAACTTGATGTCAGTTTCCAGAAAAGAAGTGAGAAAACTAGCCCGGGTGACACAGAGAGAGAGAGAGACATATGAAAAATGGTGTGAAGGGGTGTCACACTGAGAGGCAGGTATGTCTAGAGTGGAGGGTGAATTGAAAGTAGAATAAGAGATGATGACTGTGAATGCTTGATACTGTGGAAAGCTTCGTCTTACTCTTAAATGTAAGGTGTTGTATAGACCACACTAGGACCCTGAATTGCATCCTGCAATTTAATACTGAGAGTACAAATGCTCCTTCACAATTCTACCAGATTATTTTCTTCTGATAGTTCCTGAATTAGCTGTTCCTCAATCTTTCATCTCATTTTTTACCCTCATTTTAGTCCCAGAAGGATAATCTAATGGGTCCACTAGACCTCCATTGTTATAATTACTCCTTTTCCACTCCCATGACTGCAGTGCCACCTTTCACACTCCCTATGAGACGGATGGGCAGACACAAAGTGATTAAAAGAAAGATATGTTTTTGCTGAGGAGTTGTCCAAGGAAGAAGTGCTCTTAGCCCAGAAACATCTACTATTTGTGTCTTGGATGGCATTTTTTTCCTACTTTTCTTTATCAAATGAAGAAGAAATAAAAAAAATCAGCAAGCTCTGAAGGGTCTTATTCAGCTCCTGGATACGTCCAGGGCCAATTATTTGTGTATATTTTTCTCTTCCTCCTCCTCCTCCTCCTCCACCATCTTCTTTTTCTGTCCCTTATGTAGTTTTATCCTTCATAAATTAAAAGAATTTGCTTTGCTATGGATCATCTGCTGTATTTAGAGTTCTGTAAATCTCTCTTCTATTTTTCCTGGTTATATCAGCAGTATAGAAGTTAGAAATAAAGCACAATATAACAGCTACACACACACACACACAAAAGAACTTGTACACATGTCCAGAATCTATTGTTAGTTTGAAATATTGATCTTATAGAAGAACTGGAAATGGCCTAAAATAAAGCATTAGAGACTCCAGCCCACAAAAAAGAGTACATGCAGGAACTATGAAAAATGAATTGTCTTTTTCCCATTTCTAATACACTAGATTTTGTAGAGGATGACAAAGAACTCATGTCATGATTTCATCCACCTCTACTACTTGGGAGATGATGAGTCAGCTCCTTCCTCACAGTGGTTTGGAAGACACTTTTCTGAGAAAAATGCGTGAGATTTCCATGTTTCCAGGAAAACATACTTTGCATCATCCTTGGTATTCTAGACTCCAAATTGTATGAATATTAAGATCAAATATTTGTCATACTCTTTTGTTTATTTGTATATTACTGTACCCCAGACTGTGAAGCCTTTGCAGACAAGACAAGTTGATTTTATTATTATTTTCTTTAATGTATCAAACAATTGCACTGCATTGTATGAACTAAGAGCCAGGCACCTGTTCTGAGGGTTTTTCAAATATTATAATTCAATTAATTTTCTTAACTGCCCTATGATTTAGAGACTATTATTATCCCTATTTTCCAGATTGGGAACCTGATGCTCACAGGTATTAAGCAACTTTCCCAGGGTCATGGACTAACAAATTAAGGAGATGAGAATGACTGTCAGGCTTTAGGGCCTGTGCTTGGAAAAACTTCTTTGCTGCCTTTAATGATTATCAGTTGCACTCTAAAGTTAGCACATAATCTGCCACATGTAAAACCCTCAATAAATGTTCAAAGAATTAATAATGTATTCGTTTTGGCTTTTAATTTCTGCTGATGTAAGTGTTGATACGTTTATTTTCTGTTTCCCACTCATCTACGAGCTCTCAAGAGGACAGAAATCTTGTCTGACTTATAGTTATCTCTCCTAAAAATTCTGCTTGGAAAAATACTCAACAACCATTTGTTCTATAAGTGAATGAGTGAGTGAGTAATCTTAATCTCAAAAATATAAAATTCCAGAGAAAGTGGCATCATCCCCTTTTTATATTACTTGCCTATTGCTGCTGTAACAAATTACCAGAAACTGAGTGGCTTAAGAAAACAATATTATCTTACAATTCTGTATATTAGGAGTCTGACATGTATCTCACTGGGCTAAAATCAAGGTGTCAGCAGGATTGTATACCTTTTTCAAGATCTAAGGAGAATGTGCTTCCATGTTCTTTGCTGCTTCTAAATGACACCCACGTTGCTTGGATCATGGCCCACTTCCATCATCAAATCTGAGAACATTGCATCCTTTCATGCCTCTCTTCTGTAGTCACATCTTCCTGACAGATTCTCTTCTACCTCCCTCTTATGCTTCTAAGGAGACTTGTGATTACAGTGGGCCTTTTCAGTAATCCAGGATAATCTATTTTAAGGTCAACTGGTTAGCAACTTTAACTCCATCTGCAACCTTAATTCCTTTTTGCCATTCAACCTAACATTTTCACAGGTTCCAGGGATTAGGAAGTGAATCTTTGATGAGTCATTATTCTGCCTACCATAACTTTCCTCCTTTACAAATTTATCTGATCCGCCCATGCCTATTTTTTTACTTCAGCTATAGAAAATTTCCCTCTCTTTATTTTTTAGTTTCAGTGTGGTACCAGTCTCTTTCCAATTTGTATTATAATTATATGCATATATGTCTTAGCTCCTAAGAATGCAATAGGACCTTCGATTGCAGGGAGATGCAGACAACTTTGTACCTCACAGAATTTAACACACTGAAGATTCTGTATATAGATTTACCAATATTTGTCTATAGAGGAGCATCACAGAGTTTAATTCTTTAAGCTACAATTTCTGAAAAACAAAAAAAAAGCCAAGTATGTACTAAGCACTAAATGGAAAAAAGAATAGCTGACAGCAGAGGGACTAAGAGACAAAGACAGGATAAGAGAGATGTGTACAAGAGATAAATTGTGTTGTGACAACAATAGTAATACAAAACTTGCATTTATTGTGCTACGCTCTGTACTGATGTATTTACAACAGCTAATAAAAACTGCACTAATAGACTGGGAGGTAGAATAGCCTCATTATGTAGATTAGAAAACTGAAGCTCAGAAAACCTAAGGGAAGGACCAAGAAGAGCACTTTGTATACACATATAATCCCTGAAAAACAAACATGAATTTTATATTTATTTTATATCTGAATTTAACAAATTTCAGAAAAGTTGGTAATTTTCACATGATTACATCTGTTTCAAGTGTCCCAGCTAGACTCAGAAGAAAAGTATTTCTGGCCCCAAAGAGTACTCAAACTCGTTCAAAGTTTAAGAGACTGCTCAAAAAGATATTATACCCTTGACATAAAGATGCAAAGAAAAAGAGAGACCTTACATGACCACACCTATTTAGTTTATAAATTATAAGTTTATGATAAAAATAAATAACAACAATAGTTATGTCCTACCTCTACTGGAAAATTTTGTGGTTTTTTATTAACACCCTGTGAAGAAAATTATGATTATGTTCCACATGATCCATAACTAAATAGGTTTATAAAAAAATTAAACAACGTATCCCTAAATTAGTGTATATATGTATACACACTTATAGTGTGTTTTTAATAATAGCTTTAAGATACAATTTATGTATCATAAAATTTTTTATTTTTAAAGTATACGATTCTGTACTTTTTGGTATATTCACAGAGTTCCACAACCATCATCAGTATCTAATTTTAAAACACTTTTATTACTCAAAAATAAACCTCATACCTATTAGCAATTATTCCTTGTCCCCTGCTCAAACCACAGCCTCACCCAAGCCCTGTGCAACCACTATTCTAATTTCTGTCTAGATATTCTATAATGTACATTTCCAATAAATGGATCATAAAATATGTTGTCGTTTGTGATTGTCTTTTTTCAATTACAATAATGCTTTCAAGGTTCATTCATGTTGTTGCATGTATCAGTACTTTATTACTTATTAGGGCCAAAAATATTCTATTGTACAAATATTTAATTGTATGAAAGAGAGAGTAAAAAAAGAGAAAAAGAAAAAAGGAAGGTGAGGAAAAAGAAGGGAAGATAAGAACAGACAGGTGAGAGGAGGGGCAGATAGAGAGGGAAGAAGGGCAAAAGAAGGAAACAAGTAAGGAAAGAAGTTAGTTAATGGGAAAGGCAAAAGAGGATGTGGTTTTAGTTATATGTGAGTGAAGAAAATTGGAAGCATGAGATTAGTCTTGAATAGGTGGAGAGAGGAAGCTCATCCAACTTAAGCAAAGTAAATGAGAATTGCAATAGAAATAAGAAAAGTTTGGCAGCAGAGGAAATTGAGTAGAAAGTCAATTGCTTCATTGTCTTAATTTTCTTAATGAGATACATATACTCTAAATGATTTGAAGCTTATTCAATTTTAACAAATGTGTACTGTTGATTGATACTGTGTCTGGCTCTATTTGAAGCACAGTGAAGGGTCCAGGAGAAGTGAAAGCCATTGCTCAGGACATTCAACAGAATCCAAAATCATTAATCTTAGTATTTTTTTTCTGAAGAATTCATATTTTAAGAATTTTATAGAATTGGAGAATTAGTCTTAGAGTCTAACTTCCCCTTATACATACTTGATCTCCCTTTTAACAACATGCCCAGCAAGTGGGTTTTTAATTGCTACTTACATACTTTTAGAGGTGAGTAGCTCTTTTCCTCCTAGAGCAACTCTTACCAAATGCTAAAGCAATAGGTTTTAAAGTTACATACTATCTGGGTTCAAATACTATTTCCACCACTTAAATGATGTGTGACCTTGGGAACCTCTTTTAAATTAAGTTTAGCCTACAGCTGCTTTCTTACATATTTTACATTCAGCCTAAAGGTTTCTCTGCACCTACTGAGCTATAACTTAACTGGATATGTAAACAAGACTGTAACCTGCTGTTATAGCAGTAAGCCAAGTCTCAGCTAATCACAGCCACCATACTTCAACTACATATCACTCACAGGCAGCCAATTGTTATTCAAACCATGTTCAAATAAGGCAAACATGGAGTAGTAACCAATCTGACTGTTTCTGGACCTTTCATTTTTTTTGTACATCACTTGCCTTTTTCTGTTCATAAATACTCTCCAACCAGGCCAATGTGCCTAAGTCACTGAACCTATTCTTGTTCGGGGGTTGTCCAATTCTTGAATTGTTCTGTGTTCAATTCAATTGTTTAATTTGTCTAAAATTTTTATTTTAACCCCCTCCATGTGAGGTTTCTTACCTAGCAAGTGGGAATAATGAAAATACTTAACACAAAGGACTGTTGTAAGGATTCAGTGAGTTAATATGTGTAAAGAACTTGGAGCAGACTAGTGTAAGGGATCAAATATCTCACTCCAAAATACACCACTTTGGCATGAGAACTATTTTGAACTGAAAACAACTGAGGAACAGCAGATGCCAAAAAAAAGCTCTCTGCTCTCTCCTTACACCATTTGCCTAACAGCAATCTTAGACTCAGCCCAGAGACAGAACAAGGTAAATTTACATAATAAACCTTACTAAAATAACACTTATCTCCCATTAGTTTCCCATATTTACATACCTTCCTACAGTCTGCCACCCTTGGAAGCCTAAAACACTTTTTCTTTGTGTTGTCACTTCTCTACAAATTTATTACTCTCATTAAGACACTATGTAGTCTATTGCCATATCGCCATGTCAGCCTAAATGCATTCAAAAAGATTTTATTTCTTCTTTGCTTATGAAGTTTAGTTTGGCCGGATATTAAATTCCAGGTTGGAAATTCTTTTCTTTTTTTTTTAGAGTCACTAATCCTTTGAGGTATGAAAATATTTTTTCATTTTTCTTTTTTTGTTTATTATACTTCAATGATAGACTGGATTAAGAAAATGTGGCACATATGCACCATGGAATACTATGCAGCCATAAAAAAGGATGAGTTCATGTCCTTTGTAGGGACATGGATGAAGCTGGAAACCATCATTCTCAGCAAACTATTGCAAGGAAATTCTTTTCTTTAAGAATGTTGAATATTGGCTCCCATTCTCTTCTGATCTCTACGGTTTCCACTGAGAGTTTCACTGTTAATCTGATGGGATTCCCTTTGTAGGTGCCCTGACCTTTCTCTGGCTGCCCTTAACACTTTTTCTTTCATTTGACCTTGAAGAATCTGATGATTATGTGTCTTGGAGTTGACCTTCTCATGGAGCATCTTACTGGGATTCTTGGCATTTCCTGAATTTGAATGTTGGACTATCTTGTTAGGTTGGGGACATTTTCTTAGATGATATCCTGAAGTATGTTTTCCAACTTGGTTCCATTTCCCCATCTCTTTCAGTTACCCCAATCAGTTGTAAGTTTGGTCTCTTTACATAATCCCATACTTCTTAGAGATTTTGTTCATTCCTTTTCATTCTTTATTTTCTATTATCACCTGTCTGTCTTATTTCAGAAAGATAGTCTTCAAGCTCTGAGATTCTTTCCTCGGCTTGGTCTATTCTTCTATTGATACTTGTGATTAGATTGTGAAGTTCTCTTGTGTTTTTCAGCTCCATCAAGTCAGTTATGTTCCTCTCTAAACTGGCTATTCTGGCTATCAGCTCCTGTATTGTTTTATCACAATTCTTTGCTTCTTTGCATTGGGTTACAACGTGCTCCTTTAGCTTAGTAAAGTTCGTTGTTACCCATCTTCTGAAACTTACTTCTGTCAATTCAGCCATCTCAGCCTCAGCCCAGTTCTCTGCCCTTGCTGGAGAGGGGTTGCAGTCATTGGGAGGAGAAGAGGCACTCTGGCTTTTTGAGTCTTCAGCATTTTGGCATTTTTTTTTTTCTCATCCTTGTGGCCTTATCTACCTTTGATCTTTGAGGTTGCTGATCTTTGAATGGGGTTTTTATGCAGTCTTTTTTGTTGATGTTGTTGTTGTTTTCTGTTTGTTTGTTTATTTGTCATTTAACAGTCATGCTACCCTTCCATAGGGCTGGTGTGGTTTGCTGAGGGGCTGCCTTGGTTTTTCCCCTTCCTGGGGTATCACCAGTGAAGACTGCAAAACAGCCCAGATGTCAGCCTGCTCTTTCCTCTGGAAGCTCCGTCCTAGCACGGAGTACTAACCTGTTGCTGGCCTGAACACATCTGTAGGAGTCTACTGGAGACCCCTTTTGGGAGGTCCCACCCTGTCAGGAAGAATGGGATTAGGAACCTACTTAAAGAAGCAGTCTGGCTGCTTTTTGGTAGAGCAAGTGTTATGCTTCTGGGGGGACCCTTCCTCATCCAGACTATCTGGACTCTCCAAAGCCAGCAGCCTGGAATGGCTGAGTCAACTAAACTAGAGTTGGTGGCTGCCCCTACTCCTGGGAGCTCTATCCCAGGGAGAGATCAGAGCTCTGTGGGTATAACCCTGAGTGGAGTGGCTGAAGCCCCCAGAGGGAGGTCCCGCCCAGTGAGGAAGAATGGATCAGGGTCCCACTTAAAGAAGCAGTCTGACCATGATCTGGCAGAGCAGCTGTGCTGCATTGTGGAAGGCCCTTCCTAGTCCGGACCGTGTGAACTCTCCAACGCTGGCAGGCTAAAATGACTGAGTCAACTGAACTGCAGACATGGTGGCTGTCCCTTCCCTCAAGGACTTTGTCTTGTCTCAGGCGGACCCCAGCCTGTTGCCATTGGCTGACTGGAATTCCAAGCCAGTGGGCTTTAACTTGTGAAGTGCTGTGGAAATGGGACTCACAGAACGATGCTAATGACTCCTTGGATTTAATCCCCTTCTTACGGTTATGTACAGATGGATCTCCCACCTTTCCAGGGACCCCAAGGCCAGAGTATGTAAAACTCCTGGGTCTCTGTATGCGCCTGAGTGGGTGCTCTGCTGAGACTCCACACAGCTCTCTGTATCAGACCCTAGGCCCTGATGGCATGGGCTCACAAGGGGATCTACTGATCCACGGGTGGCAAAGATCGATAGGAGGAAGCATGGCTTCCCGGGCAGGGTCGCACAATCACTCACCACTTTCTTTGGCTGGGAGAGTGGGTTCCTTTGGCTCTGTTCTTTGGCTCTGTTCATTCCTTTGGCTCTGTTCCTCTGGCTCTGTCCATTCCTTTGGCTCTGTTCACTCTGTTTGGCTCCCAGGTGGACCACTGCCTCACCCTGCTTTTCTTCACTCTCCATGGGTCAAGGTGTTTGCCTAGTCAGTCCCAGTGCAAGAACCTGGATGTTTCGGTTGAAGGTGCTGAATTCACTTGCCCCTTTCATTCTTCTCCATGAGTGCCACGAACCGCAGCTGCTTCTAATCAGCCATCTTGACCCCCTCCCTACTTCTTCATTTTTATTACAAATAAGTTAATTACATAAAGGTTTGGCTGTATTACTAATAATTTTCTCAGATCCAATTACTAGAAACAAAATTATTACCTATAAGGTATGTAAAATGATGTTCTGTTCTGCCATCTCATTCTCAACAAGTTTTGTTATTTTTATCTTTACTGATTTGAGGAGATATTTAAATAATATTTTAGTTCATACATTTTTTAGATTATGGATTTTAAAAGTAGGGTTCTTCTCAGAGCTTCAAAATGTGCATTAGAAATTTTAAAAAGGAAGGGATTGTATTCAGTGTAGTTCAAGGTAGTTGTCCATGAAACTCTTTTCTATTATGTGGAAAATGTTTTGGGGAACTCTGTATTGGAGCATTGAAATTGCTCTAGTTTTAATTGTCTAGTTGTAAACAGCAGAAAAGGTAGGCATTTTTACAAATAAAGGATCCTTTTTAAAAGATGATGCTTCCTGCAGAATAATGAAGAAAGACAATTTAACACTTCCAGCAACAAGAAAAAAAGAAAGAGGTAATTCAACTGAGGATCTACACTAATAAAACACCTCAGAAAGTTAAAATTATCATAGGCCAGAACAATTATCTCTTGATTAAATGTTTTCAGGAGGCCCCATGGGAACCAACCAGCCTAAAAGCATTAGGAACTGCTAGAAAACATGAGTATATTTTGACTAGAATATAAAAAAAATTAATAAAGATGTTAAGACTACTGTAATTAAATGGTCTTTTAATGTAATCATCTCTCTAGAGTTGAGAAAAATACCACATATAAAGCTATATTCTGAATAATCACAGATAAATAGAAAAGAATTTGTGAAAAAAAGAGAAGAAACCTAATTTAAGTTTAGCCAGTAATATTGTTGCTATAACGTTAATGGGTGCAGCACACCAAAATGGCACATGTATACATATGTAACAAACCTGCATTTGTGCACATGTACCCTAAAACTTAAAGTATAATAATAACAAAAAATATATATATAAGCAGGACAAATAAAGAAAAAAATATATATAACTTTGGACAAAACTTTACAGGCCATCTGTCTGTTTTGTCTCTTACAAGATGAAGACGATAATACTACCAGCATTAGTGTTTCTGTAGCATGAAAGAAGAGATTTAGTCCCATACTAACAACTGAAAATTTGACACATCGTAGTTATTTTCTGATCATACAGGGACAAAATTGATAGAAAGTACATATTTTATAAGGAATAGTCACAAAGGGTAGAATTTGAAAGGTAACAATTCCTTTGGGCATAGAAGTTATTATCTCCTTACTGAACTAAAACAATATTTGCTAGTCTATATAAATTCAACTATGGAAGTATTTGTAAAGCACTTTTCATGTTTTTAAGTTTAGATTAGTAACTGTCAAATAATATAAAAGCTCCCTGTCTAATTACAGAAGATACACATTAGACTCCTAGCCTGATTCTTTTTTTTTTTTTTTTAACTGTTACATTCAGGGGTACATGTGCAGTTTGTTATACAGGTAAACTCACGCCATGGGGGTTAGTTGTACAGATTATTTTGTCACCCAGGTATTAAGCCTAATATCCATTAGTTATTTTTCCTGATCTTCTCCTCACAACCTCCACCCTCCAAAAGACCCCAGTATCTCTTGTTCTCCTCTATATGTCCATGTGTTCTCATCATTTACCTCCCTCTTATAAGACAGAACATGTGGTATTTGGTGTTATGTTTCTGCATTAGTTTGCAAAGGATAATGGCCTCTAGCTCCATCCATGTTCTTACAAAGGACACAATCTCATTATTTTTTATGGCTGCATAGTATTCCATGGTGTACATGTACCACATTTTCTTCATTCAGTCTACCTTTGATGGATATTTGGGTTGATTCCATGTCTTTGCTATTGTGAATAGTGCTGCAGTGAACATACATGTGCCTGTGTCTTTTTGAGAGAATGATTTATATTCCTTTAGGTATATACCCAGGAATGGGATTGTTGGATTGAATGGTGATTCTGTTATTAGCTCTCTGAGGAATCGCCACACAGCTTTCCCCAGTGGTTGATCTAATTTACACTGCCACCAACGGTATATAAGCATGACCTTTTCTCTTCAACCTCACCAGCATGTTATTTTTTTCACTTTTTAATAATTGCCATTCTGACTGGTGAGAGATGGTATCTCACTGTGGTTTTGATTTGCTTTTATGTAATGATCAATGTTGTTGAGCTTTTCGTCATATGCTTAACAGACACATGTATGTCACTATTCATGTGCTTTGTCCACTTTTTAATGGGGTTGCCTGTTTCCTTTTTTTTTTTTGTAAATTTGTTTAAGTTCCTTATAAATGTTAGATATTAGACTTTGGCAGATGCATAGTTTGCAAATATTTTCTCCCATTCTGTAGGTTGTCTGTTTATTGACAGTTTCTTTTGTTGTGCAGAAGCTCTTTAATTAGATCCTGTGTGTCAATTTTTTCATTTGTTGCTATTGCTTTTAGTGTCTTCATCATTAAATCTTTGCCCATTCCTATGTCCAGAATGGTATTGCCTTTTTGTTTTCCAACATTTTTGTAGTTTGGGGGGTTTTACATTTAAGTCTGTAATGAATCTTGAGTTAATTTTGTATATGGTGTAAGGAAGGGGTTTAGTTTCAATATTCTGCATACACTAGCCTGATCTTTTTATGGCCTTGTGAACTGGGACAAGTCACTTCCCTTCTCTGATTCTTTCATTTTACTCAGTAATGTATTCTACTTTTCCAGGTCTTTGAGGGGATAAAATTAGATAGTATACAAGAAAATATTTTATAAGCAATAAGGTGTTTGCAAATGTAATTTTTCAAGGGAAATTGAAAAATAAGATCTGAACTTTATTGCTATCATTGTCACAAGGTCCCTTTATGTCTAGACACTAAAAATCACTGAAAATCTAGTTGGAAAACATTTATCTTTCTCTTCTCTTATAAAATGCTCAACAAGCAATCATTCATGCATAAGTACTCAGAGGCTCTTTTCAGTTCTGACCTAAATCTGCTTTTTTTCCTCTTCTCTCATCTCCATTAATCAAAACTGTCCCATCTCTTACCCTGTTTCTTCACTAAATAGTGATGTTAATAGTTGTCATATTATAATACAATCTACCTGTGATAGATAAAATTTTTCTCATTGTCCCTGTAGTAGTATGAATATCTCCATTGCTTTCCATGTGATGTTTAAATACTACTCACAAACCGTGTGGAATGTATTTCCTCAACCTGTTAATGTTGAACTTAACCATATGACTTGCTTAGGCCAATGCATTGTGGAAGGAAATTTTCATGTGCCAATTCTGGCCAAAGCCTCAAAAGATAGCATATATTCTTATTGTTTTTCTTGGGATCACGTTATCTGAGAAGAACATACCCCAAAAAGCACCTACTGCAAAGAGAATATGGAAACATATGGAGCTTATTAGTTGAAGGTTTAAACTTTAAGAAATTTCCAAACCTCTTTTCAAAACAATCTTTTCATTTTACATTCCCATCAGCAATGTATGAACATTTCCATTCTGCACATCCTACACTTACAATTGTCTGTCTTTTCAATCTTAGCCATCCTAGTGGATGTGTATTAACACATTTGTGATTTCAATTTGTATTGTCCTGATGACTAAAGATGCTAAGCAGCTTCTTAAATGCTTACTGGGCCTGTATATATCTGCTTTTGTAAATGTCTTTTCAAATCTTTTTATTGTTTTTTGCTTGTTTGTCTTCTTATTACTGAGTTGTATTTTCCATGTATTCTGGATAAAAGTGTAGATATACAGTACAGATGCATTGATGTGTGTGTGTGTGTTTGTGTTTATGACCTATAAACTGAACTACTATGTACTCTCCCACAGATCTCTGAAACAGTTCATTCTTCATCAATTTGCTTTCTTTCTTTTCTTCATGTTGCTTAATGTCAATTGATTTATCTTCAAGTTCACTAATTCTTCTTTCATCAATGTTTTTTGGGCTATCTCAACTAGTTTTTTATTTAAGTTTTGTATTTAGATCTAGAATTTCCCTTTTTATAGTGTTCATATCTGTTGAGATTTCCCATATGCTTACTCATTAAAATGTTCCTTTAATTCTTTGAATATAGGTACTTTTAATCATATAAACATATTTATAATCGATGACTTGATGTTTGTCTGCTAATGCAACATCTGTGGGCTTTCAGAGGTATTTCAGAAAGTAGCAAACTCAAGTCTTAACTTACGCAGCTCTGTCTTTCCAGGTTAGAGTCTCCTCTGATTCCTGTCTATGTTACCTTGGGTTCCTAGGGTTTCCACCTCGCTAACATAGCAGAGTATGGACAGAGAGTAAGGCAAAGTTTTGAACAGATTTGGGGTTTCTTTCCTTTCTACATTTCTCTCATTTCCATAATTTCATCCAGCCCCAATCTCTAAATTTGTTACCACAAGTTGATCTGGCTGTGGTTTTCTGCTGTCATTACCAGGACATTGAGTAATATCCTCAGGGGGAAGAAAATTAGCCAAAAACTCAGAACTCTTGGTATTGCAGTTGAAGTTTTTCTGGAGTAAACTCTTTTCTAAGTTCCATTTGCTTTTGGATGTTCTGGTGCCTTTAAATATATTTTTAAAAAATTTTCTCTGATATATAACCTTTGACAAGGTTAAATTATGACTCATTCCACCAACATTACCAAAATTCACTCTAATATTTCATTTTAACTTAAAATACTTAAAAGATATTTATTTAGGCCAAAGATTTTTGTTTGTTTCTAGCTTGCTGATTAGATTCTGGTTATTATTCTTGCATAAATCATAACCATAAATGGTCTTTGTTAATGTCTAGTTTTTGTTACTTTGAAGTGGAATGATAATTTAAAATATTTCTGAAGCTATTTGAGTGCCAAATCCTAGCTGTTAATGATGTTTCCAATCATTTACCATTGTCTTACCCACCCAAAGTTGTATAATTTTTGTGCTTCATATGTATAGTCTTTCCAAAACAATCAGAATTATTTGCATGTTCATATTTTATCAAGCTCTTTTAAATTTAATTAAATCCTATAATTACAATAAACATCCTATAATTACAATACCAAGTACAACCAGATAAATAGTTTTTGAGAACAGCACCTGAATTTTGGCTTGCAAAAAATTATTTTTGAAGGATTAAGTATGTGCTCATCCTAAAGAATACAAGTACCAAGAGTTCAGAGTGTTTGGTCTTCAATCAGTATGTTTTACAGAAGAGATAGAGACAGATGCTTAATTGAATGAGTAAGTTAGATGGAAGTCCACTAAGAGAGCTTCTACTCTATCACTCTCCACATTTTGAATCTAAAGAATATGAGATTCAGAAAGAGCGGTAATTTTTCCAAAGTCATACAACTGGTGGGTGACAAACAGGCATTGGAACTGAGGTCCTCTTTCTGATCTTGGGCTTTCCCTATATATTTCATTTTATTGAAAACCAATTTTATACTCTGTGCTTCATTTGGGTGATAAAATGCACTTCATAAGTCACCATATAAAAACATGCCTGAGGAAAAAAAAGATGTCTTTTTTTTTCTAATCTATAGTGTTCGATTATTCAGCAAGTTGTTGACATTCAATCTATTGTAGATTAGATAAAAAATGCACCAGGGACTCTTGCAACACAGCTGAAAATTGCATCTACCTACATGAAGCAATTGACTGAATGACAACATTTTCAACATAATCTAGTTAAACTGAAATTAAACCTTACAAATATTGGCCTTTCTATTTCTTTTCTATACTGAAATCCAGCCAAGCCACTCATTTCCTTTTGACTACTTATTTAAACATGTTTCCAAATTGCTAAACACACACAGCATTTGGCTGAATAATTGTACAAATTTTACAATGGAAAATGTAATGCCAGCAAAGTCATTCTCCTGAGCTATAAAATGTTGCTTTGCATTCATCCCTAAGGTATACAGTATTTTTAAAGTATACATTTCTGTATCTGTATTTATCTAAATATATGTAATATATCTATGTATATTAAAACCTTTGTCTTGCTTTTTTATAATGACCATGGAGACGTGACATGACATAAATGTTCTTAGCTCTCTTCAATCAAAAATCTTGCATCCTGTAAATGGTCGCTTATAAAAAAGACAAAAAGATTCTTAAATACTTAAAATTAGGACCTATTTTAGGTACCATTTAATCCAATGATTTTCAGTTTTGTATTTCTATATTCCTAGTAATTCTTTAGTTAAAGTATTCTAAAATCTATTTTCAAATTTTCTAAAAACAATTATAAAAATTATATATTTACCTTGGCTAAGGTCCATAAGGTAGAAAAAAACACCAAGGCAAAGTTAACTTAGAGCAGTAATGTGTAAAAAATATATGGTACAACTGATATAAATTTAAATAACCACTAATTAGTAAATTCATTCTTATGGAAACAGTCTTCCAAAATACGGGATTGAAAGAGCAGTAAAAAATTGATAGCAAGATGGCAGTCTTCCCCTGATAGAAACATCAATTTGAATAACCATCCACATTTGAAAATACCTTTACAAGAGCTAAGAGTTCCAGGGGAGAGATTATTGCACCTGGGTAGAGCACAGAAATGAGAGAAGACACATTGAAGAGGATAGAAAGAAATAAAAAGGACAGTTTCACATTAACCACATCACTCCTCCCCCACCCCCATAGAGAGCACACAGAGAGATATCCTCCATGTGGGGAAAGAAGAATGAAGTAACACCTGACTTTGCCTCAGACCTCAATACCAGGCCTTTCCTCAGTGAACCCTGGTACCAGTCAGCCCCCATGTCCCCCAGTTCCAGGATGGTACCCATGGACCCAGGCTCTAGGCCAACCCCAAAGACCCACAGTCCAGAACTGCTCCAGCACCAGGCCAGCCTGTGTGGCCATAAGCCATAAGCCAGGTCTTATATTCCCCATAAGGCCAACACTCAGGCTCCAGGGAAGCCTCTACAAACCCAGGCCCCAAACCTTTCCCGGCTCCAGGATGACCCCCATCCACCTAGACTTCAGTCCAGCACCCATCAACCCAAATTTCATGCCTGTATCGGTGGACCCAGTCTCCAGGCCCAGTCTCATGAACCCAGGAACTAGGCTGCCCCTGTGGGCTACAGGTACCACCACCTTTAAAATATACCACATACAAAATTAACACAAAAATGGATCAAAGATCTAAATGTAAGACCCAAAACTATAAAACTCCTAGAAGAAAACACACTGAGAAAAGCTTCATGACACTGGGTTTGGTAATGATTTCTTAGATATGACACCAAAGTCACAAACAACAAAAGCAAAAGTAGACAAATGGGTCTTCAAAGAGTTTAAAACTTCTGCCAAGCAAAGGAAACAATCATCAGAGTCAAAAGTCAATCTATGGAATGGGAGAATATATTTGCAAAGCGTGTATCTGACTAGGGATTAATATCAAGAATATATAAAAAATCTCACACAACTCAACAACAACAAAATAACTAACAGATGAAGAATTTAAATAGAACTGAAGAGATACAAATGGTCAACCAGGCTATGAAAAGATGCTCAACACCACTAATCATCAGGGAAATGAAAATCAAAACTATGAAATAACACCTCACAACTGTTAGGGTGGCCACTATCAAAAGAATGAAAAATAATAAGTTTTGATAAAGATGAAAAAATTGGAAGTCTTATGCAATGTACAGCATGATGACTACGGTAAATAATAAATGTATTGCATACTCGAAATTTGCTGAAAGTAGATTTCAGGTGTTCTCACAACACATACACACACAGTGGTAACTATGTGAGAGGTAGATTAATTTGCTAGACTGTTGTAATCATTTCACTGTGCTTCATTTCATTAGTAATCATTTCACTAACACATTTCAATATATAAAAATATCATGTTGTCCACCTTAGATATATAAAAGTTTCATTTAAATATAAAATAAAACAAGTGCTGGCGAGGATGTGTAGAAATTAGAACACTTGAATACTTCTGGTGGAAATGCAAAATGATGCTTCCATTATGGAAAGTAGTATGGAAATATCTTTAAAAATTAGAAACAGAACTACCATATAATCCAGCAATCCCACACCTGTGTATATATCCAAAATAATTTTTTTTAAGTTTTTCGTAAAGATATTTGCACACTCATGTTCATCACAGCATTTTTCACAATAGCTAAGAGATGGAGGTGACCCAAATGCTGATCAACAGATGAATAGGTAAGGGAAATATGGTTTATATGAACATTTGAATATTATTCGGCCTTAAAAAAAAGAAATTATGTCATATGCTATAACATGGCTGAAACTTTAGGGCATATGCTAATTAAAATAAGCCAGTCACAAGACAACAAATGCCACATGATTCCACCTAGAGGAGGTATTTCATGAGTAATGAAAATCATAGAAACAGAAAGTAGAATGCTGGTTACCAGGAGCTGGGGGGAGCTGGAAAAGGAAAATTGTCGTTCAATGAGTATAGAAGTTCTGTTTTGCCTGATAAAGAACTTCTGGAGATTTTCTGTACAACATTGTGCTTATAGTTAATACTAATGCACTACATATTCAAAAATGGTTAAGATGACAAACTTTATGTTTTTAGCACACATACACAACCATAAACACACACACACACACACACACACACACACAAAGAGAAATCTGTACTTGCCTAGTGATGCAGATGGCTAGGAAAGAAGAGAAAAAGGGACTACAGGAGGACATGTGGAAATATCCAATATAATACCTCCAACTACACAGCAGAATTTTCTTTAAAAGTATCAGTTTTAAAAAATAGAACTATCAAATTACTAGAAGAAAACCTGGACAAATTCTTGTATATCCATATAACGAGGAGTCCTTTGTATGTGTCTCTGAATAAAGAAACTATAAAGGAAGACTGATAATTAAACTCTCTGAGTTTTAAAAGTTTTTTTTAATTACATGAACAGAAACACCACAGGCAAAATCAAAAACAGTTCATAAACTGGGAAAACTATTTGAAATTCATATCATAGGAAAAAGCAATTCTAACAAATAAACAACTTTCTTAAATTTAGATGAGGACAAACAACCCAATGAAAAAGAGCTCAAAAGACATGGAGAGTTTATATAAAAATAAATATTAATGGTCATTAGTTGCATGCAAAGGTGCTCAGCTTTAGTCAGAATAAGAGATGCGAAACAGAGACACTGTTTTTCACCTGTCAAATTAGCAAACATTCAAATGTGCCAACACATTGTTAGCAAGGGCTATGGGACAAAGCAATCAAGGTCTTACTTGCTATGGGGAATATAAAAATGGAGTAAATCCTATGTAGGACAAATAAACAATAGTTTTAAAAATAACATACACATTTACCCTTTGCCTGGCAACTGCACTTCTTGAAATTTTTTCTAAAGATATGCCTATTCACAAACAAAATAATACATTTATAAGGCTACACATTATAGCATTGTTTATAATAGCAAAGAATTTATCATAAGCCAATGTCCAAGATAAGATTAAATAAATGTGTGTGTATGTGTACATGTGAGGGAAGGGAGGAACACATATACACACACACATTCATGCATCACCTATACTCCACAGTCTTGAATCTTATGCATTGGCCTTATAAACCTAGTTGTGGTTTCTGAGCACTTTCTGCTTAATCACATTCTGAGCCTTTACACTTATTGTTTCCTTCACCTTTCCTTCTAACCTGTTTCTGTTTTGTTAACCCTTCTCTTTTTAAACCCTCTATAAAACTTCTATTTACCCTGATGAGATATCATCTCTCTTGGGACACCTTTCATGACTTTGCAAATAGATCACTCACCTTTCCACAAATGACTGTTGAAAACAAACATAAGGTAAGACTTTTCTTAGCTTAGCTTCAACCCGATGTTTCATTCAAACGAATATAGTATAAAAAGGTAGTATAAAAGTAGTTCACATATTTACTCTCATCTCTTAGAGAATATAAAAGGAACCCACTCACAATCTAGTATTACTTATTAAAATTTATTAAGGTTATGAGAATAGTAGAGTAAGTTCAGAGGACAGAAAGTAACCAGGGTGGTAGACTGCAAGCTTTATTTAGGCAAGTTGACTACCAAGATTTATTTTGATATTTCTTTCTCTTCCAAAAGTAAAACATATGTGGAATATGCTAGAAATCCTTCCCAACACTTTCTATATTCCTTAAGCACCCCATCCAAATATCTCTGATTTCCCTATATTTTGTTCCTGTCACAGATGCCATTGGAATTTCTATTTCCATCCATGCCAAAGCAATTCACCTTCTAGGGCAATTAGAAGAAACAAACTGAATGCTTTCTAGTCACCTCTGCACCACATGAAGGGAAACATCTAGCAATCTCTCACCGTTAGATAATAAAAGTGCTTATTTCTTTATCTTTACCCCTGATTACATCACATGGCACTTCAGTTATCTGTTCCATGTCAGTCACCGCTGACACAGTATGTTCTCCTAAAACACAGACATCCTGTCTCATTGATCTCTATAGCCTACTGTTAGTACAGCCTGTGCTACCAAGTAGACACTTTAAAAAATTCCAGTAAAAGACAAAGCTAATTGTCTTTTGTCCTCTGTGTCAAAATCATAAGAATTTTGATTCTTATGATTCAGAGGAGGTAGACAAAATCATAAGAATTTTTGTGTGTAGCGGAAGCAGGTATCTTTCAGCACTGGCAGCGGAGAGAAAGGGGACAAACCCTCAAGTTGTAAAAAATCAGCTTACCTGACATCATGGTCCAGGAGAGATATTCCCTGGGTGCTGTTCAGGGGTAGGGCAGATGAGGGTACCTATCTTAGAACACAGATACTTGAAGTAAATAAAATAATCTAAAAATGGTTTTGAAAAGAACCATCTCACTCCAAAGAACAAGTGGTGCTGGTTTAGACCTCTGCTAACTTTCCCATTTGGTCTAATTTTAAACATGGGAGTTCATTATTGCAGTTTTAGCTCCTGGGCATGTGGGAACCTCAAAGGCACAGACTTCTGGGAAAAAGAAAATAATAGAGACAAATTGTAAACAAGGCTGGGAAATCTGACAAGGCTTCAGAGTTAGTACTGGAGAAAGGCATATAATCATTGTATATTCAGTTTCTCAAAACACTGTATCTGTTAAACAATTGATTATAAGTTCTAAGATTATTTTTTAAAAAAACAAGGGAAAACATAGAAAGGTCAATTGATATTAGTCACATTCAAATATTTTCTTCTTAAAAAATTTATTAAACCTGCTATTTAAAAATTTTTTACTGACTAGCATGGCCTACTGAAAATTAGTTTGTTTTACCCTTATAAACTCTGGGAAATCTTTTTTCCATGTAAATTGCACCAAAAGAAACTAAGAAACAAGTTACATTCCATTATGAGACATATAACAACCAAGAAAACTTAACATCCTGTATATTTAAGATAATTCAAGAATGTATTAATTCCTATTGATTATTAAAGATGAATAAAAACAAAACAGCAGTAATCTGAAGGGAAAAGTGCCAGAACAATGCAATCGAAAAGAATATTATCCCTGTAACTAGATATGACAATTTATGCCTTTTTTTAACACAAATATTTCAGGACAAAGTGTACTGACATAATTATTCTGAGGAATGCAGTGCTGATTCAATAAAGGCAAAATAGAAAAAGAAAACAGCCTAATTTTCAGTGATGATTCCTATTATGTTTGTATTTCAAAATTGTGTGCATTATATCTTATATTATTTCAGCAACACTGCGTGGTAGTTATTGTAAGCCTCCTTGTTTCCCTTGGATAATCCGAAGTCTTGTAGAGGGGAAAATAACTAAAAGTTGGCAAGTGCTGCCATTCAAAAAGTAAAATACATCAGGCTGGGCACGGTGGCTCACGCCTGTAATCCCCACACTTTGGGAGGCCAAGTTGGGAGGATCACTTGAGGTCAGGAGTTGGAGACCAGCCTGGCCAACATGGTGAAACCCCGTCTCTACTAAAAATACAAAAATTAGCAGAGCGTGGCGGCAGGTGCCTGTAATGCCAGCTACTCGGGAGACTGAGGTGGGAGAAACCTTTGAAACCTGAAGGCAGAGGTTGCAGTGAGCCGAGATGGCACCACTGTACTCCAGCCTGGGCAACAGAGCGAGACTCCCTCTCAAAATAAATAAATAATAAAATAAAATATATCAGATAATAAAGCTTTTTCAGCACACTCTGCTGCTGCTATTTTTCACTAGAGTAAAGTAACTTTGAGGCAAGAACTTACTAGAAGATTCTCATTTCTTACCATATTCTCCCCATTCCATCATCCTTTCACAAATAAAGTTTCTTTTTACAGAAAAATTAAGGGTTTTTCAGAACTAACTAGATGCTATTATGTGTCTACTCTGCCTTTAAGCATGTGTAGAAGGCTAAATCTATAAACTACACCAATATGCCTTGCCCTTATTACTATGGGCATTTATATTTGCATTTACCACATTGTACGTGTATCTGTGTATGTGTCTATTTCTCTCTCTAAAGTGTGACTCAAAAGATGGCAGAGACCATGACTCCCCAAAGTTTATCTACCTCAGAAAATTGGTCTTTGCCATCATGGTAAAATCACCGCCCTTGCCAGCGATTGGTGTAGAAATGGACTTCTGATCTAAATCTTGTGTATGATTGCTGGGGCACTCTTCCTTTTTCCCAGAAAGGAGACCCAGCAAAGGAGAGTTTCTTTGTTCCTTGGGATAATGGCTCTGAAAACGGTGATTGGAACTTCCGGAGTCAGCTTATGACCTACTTCAACATATCAAGAAAAAAGAAACACAGAAAAGTGGAGTCAGAATCCTGACAGGATCTTCCTCTAAACAACTCTGCTTTCTCCATTATGCAAAACAAAGTTATTTACTCTTTGGGATGAGTTCAGTCAGAATCTTTGGTTATCTATCCCAAATTACATGTTTTTTATTAAAATAATGATAATAATTTTAATCCTGGAATGGTACATATTCAATATTAACTCAAACCCAAACAATTTTCCTGCGTCTATTACATAGATTGTTTAAGCCTAAATCCATATTTTCGGTCCCCTAATAAAATGGAATGTCCAACATCTTTTTATAGCTTATTTGACACCCGTCTATATTCTTCGATGTGGTGTCTGTTAAGATCTTTTGCCCATTTTTTAATCAGCTTATTTTTCTTATTATTAAGATTTAAAATATTTTTTATATTTTCGCCAAGAGTTCTCTTAGCTATATCTTTTGCAAATATTTTCTTTCATTCTGTGACTTGTCTTCTAATTCTCTTGAGTTTAATAAGTTTTTGTCTTTAAATAAATAATTTTAGACCAACAGAAATTTGCAAAGATAGTATATAGATTCCCATGTATGCCATTCCCACTTTCCTTATTTTTAGTATCTTAAGTTCATATAGAACATTTGTTATAATTAATAAACCAATATTATCATTAACTAAAGTTTATGCTTTATTCAGATTTCCTTGTTTTTTACCGAATGTCTTTTTTCTGTTCCAGGATCTCATTCAGGGTACCACATTATATTTAGTGGTCATGTCTCCTTAGGCTCCTCTACACTGTGACAGTTTTTCAGACTTTCCTTTTTTTTTTTTTTGTATGATCTTGAAAGTCTTAAAGAATATTGATCACGTGTTTTGTAAAATGTTCAATTGATTGGGAGAGCAGGTTTACTGATGATTAGCTTGGAGTTATGGTTTTTTGTTTGTTCATTTGTTTGTTTTTACAAGAATACCACAGAGGTAAATAAATTATAAAGATACTTTCCCCTCAAGTAGGTGACACATAGCTTTCTACCACTTAAGTGTGAGCTGTTCATAGAAATTTCCTGCCAAAGAATACAATATGGACATCAGAATAAAAGAGTACCTTTACAGTAGGAAACTCTGACAAACTTTACCTCAGCCAGGTAATCAAGGTTAACATCTTCATAATTCATTCAGATACTAATGTCATGATGATAGTGGATATGAAATGATGAAAATGACATAATTCTATTTTTAATAAAATATAAAGATGATTACTGTTATTTCCATAATTTTAGAATGGATAACTCAAGCTAGTTTTTTTTCCGTCTTTCAATTATTTTGCAAAATTACTGAGCATCTAATATTTGCCTAATGCATCTAAGGTGATTCCACAAAAAGATGAAAATAAAATACAATCTTGCCTTCTTGGAGCTAAAAACATAAGGGAGGGAAACAGATCCCAGGTTAAATGTGTTAAAGCAGAATGGAGATGGAGTGAAGAAAAGGAAGAGATCCATTCTATCTGGAGGTATCAGAAAAAAAAAGTGACCATTGAAGTGTCATCTGAAAGACCACCAGGACAGTTAACTAGTAAAAAGGAGAGCCTTATTGGCGATATTGATTTGCAAGCTGGGAAGAGAAACTCTCCAGCACGGACCAAGGTGCTCTTTCTTCAAAGAGGGGAAGGATAGGTTGGGTTTTATGCCCCACGGAGCCAATATCAGACCTATTTAGTAGTTCTGGGGAGAAAGCTATACACATTTATGAGGGAAGCCAAGCACATCCAAGTTGGGTAAACATGTATGTAACACACATTTTGTGTTCACTTTGGGGTGGGGTTTTAGCATTAAAATAAAAAGAATTTGACTCTTTAAGCCTAAAAGGTAAAATATAGGACACAAAGACTGTTTGTATGCAGCCTCAATAAACTGGCTGAAACTGGCTTAAGGTCTGCAGTAACTTATCAGAAAAGAACATCTGTAAGGCTGATCTTCTGTCCAATCAGAGTTGTAGTCTGGATTGTAAATCAGAGCTGATAGCCCCTATTGTTAGGGAATTTAGCTATAGGAATTTAGAAATTTGCCATGTCAGCCAAGCTCTGAACTCTGACCCTTAGGTAGCTCGGTTTTCTTAACCTTAGGGCCTATCTTAGTTGATACAGTGGTGTCTATTTTGGTCTCTCAGGTCACAGGAAAATGAGCAAAATTTCAATAGGATAATAAACTCAAGGTCATTTTAGGCAGAAGAAGAAGGTATTGAGCAGAATCAAGGCTCAAGATTAATAGTTTTTGTGCTTATGACATAAATGGTACAGAGGCCATATTAAAACTATAATTGCTATTTCTCATATTATTTCTCAGGACTTGTCTTTTTATAACTGTTAATTCTACTCTCAAATTTCCAAAGCTAGTCATTTAAAAATCTGGGCTGGAATTTCTTTAACATATATGAAAAGTCAAACTGTTAAAACAGGTGTATAGCATGAAAGGTGATTCTTTGAAGAGGGAAATTCTACATGTTCTCATAAATTTCAGTGTATGGCCTTATAATAAGAGTTCATTTAATCCTTACCCAAAACTATCATACATTTTGAGGCACTTCTATAAGAGTGCCCCCAAACACAAAAGGTAATGGGAAAAACATGGACTGTCAAACAACCATTCAAATCTTGGTCTTCTTTATTCATAAAAATTAATTGTGAATGCATTTATTCAGTTGATCCTTAAACCAATCCTATGAGAAGCAAAGTCTGTCCATCAATCTAAATGACCAAAGAGAAAAATTGACAAACTTTAAGGATATATGTGTATAAATATGGAGATGTGCACTTTTGAAATAACCCTTCAGGAAGGTTATAAGAAGTTCAAGGATTTCTGAAGAAAATACCTTTTCCTTTATAGAGCAGGACCAAGACCCACCAGTCTTATATTTTTTCATTATCTGATATTCTTTTGTCATTGGCACAGTTCATTGCCTACTACTCTCATCCAGCATGAAACCAAATCAATGCTCACAATTCTCAGGTCAATTTCCAGTATGTTGAAGTCATCCTTGTATAGTGATTTTCTATTGTATCCTAAAAAATTACCATAAATGTAGTGACCTAAAACAATACCCATTTATTATTTCACATTTCTGTGTTTCAGAAATCTAGGCCCAGCATGACCAGATCTCTCTGTCTGAGGTCTTACCAGGCTGAAATTAAGCTGAAGTTTTCATCTGGGCATGGGACCCTCTTCTAGCCTCACTGGTTGTTGACAAAACTCATTTCCTTACAGCTATTGGACTGAGGTCCCCGTTTTCCATCTATTGGTGGGTTGAACCACTCTCAGCTCCTAGAG
This sequence comes from Homo sapiens, assembly GCF_000001405.40. Taxonomy (NCBI): domain Eukaryota; kingdom Metazoa; phylum Chordata; class Mammalia; order Primates; family Hominidae; genus Homo; species Homo sapiens. The sequence continues at coordinate 82,256,574 of NC_000011.10, forward strand.
GCTGCTCACAACTCTCTCTCATGTGTCCTCCATGAGCAGTTTTCAACATGAACCTTTCATTTCTTCCCGGCTAGCTGGTGCAAATCTCATCTCTCTGACTTTCACTTCTGCAACCAACCAAAAAAACCTCTCTGATTTTAAGGGGCTCATGTGGTTAAGTCAGGCCCACCTGAATAATCCCCATATTTCAAACTAAACTTTGATTTATGAATTTTTTCTGCAAAATTCCTTCATAGAATTACCTACATTAATGTTTCTTTGAATAATGGGAAGAAAGAGTGTCAATGTGAGGCAGTAGAATATTTGTGGAACCACCTTAGAATTCTACATTCCATACCCTTTTTGGCCTTGTTGCAAAGAAAAGAGACCTTCACTTAATCCCACTAAGTGATTATCTAACGAAGTTTATGAATATGTTTCCAACCTTGACTGGCAGATCTGATTTCAAATCTCAATTGTTTTGCATACAGAAGCAACCTAATGAAGAAAATTTTTAAAGCCATAAATGAGATATTTATTTCCTCTTCTATAGAATACTGTAAATAAATGAATAAGATAATAAAAGAAAGAACACTTAATTTGGTTCCCAAATTACTCTAAGTAAAGAGCTATTTAATATACTTCAGCAAATATTAGAGTATGCTCATTCCTTGACTAGCAATGTGTTATGTGTCACAGATACACTTGGGAACAAGATAGCCACATACATGACTTCATGGAACTCTACATTTTGCCAGATGTTAAACAATTCAAACAAACAATAATAATTTTGATGTGTGCTACAAAAAGAAAAAAAAATGTGTGGATAACTAAGGACCAAATCAAGAGCCCAGATCCCTGATTTCTATTCCAGTTCCCTTTCTACTGAGCCATCATGAATCATGCAACACCTCAAAAATCTTTAGTCAAAACCCTGCTCCAAATTATGTCATATGAACAGAATCATATTAATCTGGCTGAAATCTAGTTTAACAAGAACTATTTTTTAATGATTAGTCTGAGCAAAAGTCTTGATTAAAGGTGGAAAAATAGCAGTAGTAGCTCTTTTCTAAAAAGCTTTCATTGATGACCTTTCGTTCCTGTCAGAAATTGGTATTCAGTTATCCACTAAGCCCTGGATTGAGAAGTAGAAGTTAAATAACTCAGAGAAATAAGTTAAAAGCTTATGCATTTAATCTGCACACTTGAGGCAGGCATTTTGGATTCTCACTTAAAATCCATTTGTCTGTATTCCAATTTCCACGAACAAAATGCTTGGTTAGTTTAATGAATGCAAGTGTTGAAACACTTCTAAATTTGCCCTAGATTTTTTAAAGCACCCTTAACTACAGAGACATAGAAGAGAGAGACCTGTGAAATTAGATCTCTGTGCTAGTAGTAAGTAAACGAGCTTCAACATTGTGAATCAATAGCTTTATAGAGCTTGGAAAACTAATATAAAACAACATACTTTTGTTGAGAGTCTAGAGGAATTAATTACAGCGTCTTTCTTGGGATGAGAATCAACTTAAACATGTACATAAGATATAGAGTGGCTGGGGACAAGGACACAATGATTTGCAAATCTGGAATTTTGAATCTGTGGAGACTGAGATTAATCACAACATGATGGACCACTTTGCTTCCTTCTCCAAAGACATACCAAGCAGGGTTTACAACATATATCACACTGTCAGAGAGATCAAGTTGAAAGAAAAAGAGCCCAAATGATCTGTAGGTGAAAACTATCAAATAAATTTCAGCAAAAGGAGGATGATAAATAATAAGTGTGCATTAGTTTTCTATTGCTATGTAATAAATTATCACGAATCTAGTGGCTTCAAACAACACTCTGTTATTTCACTGTTTTGGTAGGTCTGAAGTCCAGCACAGTGCAAGTAAGTTCTCTGCTTAAAGTCTCTCAAGACTGGCATCTGGGGCTCTGTTTGCATCTGGAGCTTGGGTCCTCCTTCAAGCTCATTCAGGCTGTTGGCTGAATTTGGCTCCTTGAATTAGTTGGACTAAAGTCTCCATTTTCTCTCTGGCTTCGCCAGGGGTTGCTCTAAGCGCCTAGAGAATGTGATAGCTTCCAAAGGTCCTAATCATGTGACCAACTCACCACACAACAGCTAAAATATTTAAAGCCAGCAGAAGAATCTCACTCTAGTCTGTAAAGTCAGAGTTTTGAATATTGCATCCTAATCAAGAAAGTGAAGTGACTACTCCACACATTCACAGGTCCCAATCACATATACAGAAGAGAGTTTCTATATAACATGTACACCAGGCATAGTAATCTTGGGAGCATTCTGTATGTTTGGCTTCACAAGAAACAAGCCCAAACATTTTCAAGGGGTATACCATATTATGCTCCCATAAGCAATGTATGAAAGTTCCAATTTCTCTACGACCTTGACTACATTTAGTGTTGACAAGTGTTTTGTTTTGTTTTGGATTTCTTTTGGTTAATTTTAACTATTAAAATGTGTGTGAAGCAGTATTGTATTATATCTTTAACTTGGGTTGCCCTAATGAGTAATAGTAAAACATTTTAAAAGGACTATTGGCCATTTATTTTTCAAGAACAGACATAACTGTGATGAAGACCGCTTTTTAAATTTCATCTTTTATGTTTATTGGAATTCCTCTAATTTCTTAGAAATACTTAATTAACCACAGGTTATAAAGTCATCTTCCTATTTTCCTCTAAAAGCCTAATGTTTTCGCTCTTAGGCTCAATTTTTGTTCATAGTAGGGGGAAATGATTAAAGTTCATTTTTTCTTCATACAAATTCCATCTTTTAAAAAGAGTTTTCTTTGCCTTACTTAACTGCTTTTGTAGATTTCTTAAGAATCAGTTGAACACATTGCATGTGTTCTATAAACTCATATCTGTTCCAGTAATATAGATGTCTATCTTTATGCCAAAAAGATATTGTCTTGATGACTATAGCTTTACATAATGTCTTAAAATTAGATAATGTAACTTCTTCCGTGTTGTTATTCTTTTTCATGATTATTCTGGCTTTTCTCCATTTAGGTTCTTTTGTCGCATTTCCATATGAAGATTAGAATAATAAGAATGATGGCAGCCTGCTTTGGGTTGTTTTTCAATGCCTCCAAATAGTATATTTTAGAGTAATTATTATGCAGAATTATAATTGCAGTTTGCAGGTACATTCATTCACTACAAGCTACTTGACCATTACCATAACAGGAAGTCCTTCCTTAATTTTGTTTATTTCTGTAACTAGGCCTCTGTGACAAGCCTAGTTCTACCTAGCTCACCCTCCAGCAAACCAACAAGTAAATTATTTCTGCTCCTTCTCAAGCATTATTTCCCCTCAAAACTCCTGTTTAAATAGCAACATATGCAGGATCTAGCACATCTTTTCTGTTCTTTTTGCAACTGCACAAACTAATCATTTTTTCCAGCTCCTGCATATCCTTGTCCTGTATGGGAATTCTTTCCAACATTCCTCATAATCAACCTTACCCAAGTTATGAAAGCAGTCAGCAAGAAGTCATCCAGTTTACGGGTGACTGGTTAAACCATTGTAACCTCATGCTTAGCAAATTTTGGTCACTGGTAATGATAGCAACATTTTTATTCTCAATTACCAAATTATTTCCTGAAATACGCAACTCAGAATCTCACCATCTATTAGTTTTCTCAATTTTTCCTGGCATTCCCTCGCAGCTCTTTCCTTTCTTATTCTTGCTCTACAGACGTGGCATATGCTATTTTCTTTCCAGGTGTAATCTGGCTCCTTTTTCCCAATATCTACCTCCACGTTGGTAACTCTTCCTCAAATTACCTTGCATAGGATGCTTTCAGTTCCACTCAGTGCCTGGCCTCACTTTATGTACCGTCTCCACACATGGGCCTTCCCCCTGGAACATCGCATCCTTAGAAGAATAATCTGGGATCTGGGCAGAGCCCCATTTATATTTTCCCTTCCTACTTCTGTATTGGAAAAACAGGTGTGTTTTTGGCACACCAGTAGTTTTCAAACTAGTTGAAGTTCAGATTCCTAGGCTCACTCTTGAAATTCAGTAAGTGTGAAGTGAAATGCAACACGCTTTTGAGGCAGGGTCTGTGTCATTTTCACCCCAGGAATACCAACACAAACTAGAAGCATCTAGTACAGACTACATCTTCAGGCACTATTTGTTAAATTAAACCATATTAATTTGGCTCATGATTTAGAAAATATACTTCTTTTTGTTCCAGTCATCAGCAAGCAATGTCAGTTCTATATCTAAAGTGCTAGATTCTTTCCATTTGCTATTTCTTTTTCCATTTGTTTTTGTTTGTTTTTTGTTTGTTTGCTTGCTTGCTGGTTTTTGCTGTTGCTGTTGTTGTTGTTAGGAGATGGAGTTTCACCTTTGTTGCCCAGGCTGGAGTGCAATGGTGCAATCTCTGCTCACTGCAACCTCTGCCTTCCGAGTTCAAGCGATTCTCCTGCCTCAGGCTCCTGAGTAGCTGGGATTACAGGCATGTGCCACCATGTCCGGCTAATTTTGTACTTTTAGTAGAGATGGGGTTTCTCCATGTTGTTCAGGCTGGTCTCAAACTCCCAACCTCAGGTGATCCGCCCGCCTCGGCCTCCCAAAGTGCTGGGATTACAGGCATGAGCCACCGCTCCTGGACTCCATTTGGTATTTCTAAGACATTAGCCAAAGATACCACTATCTTCCACATGGATTATATCAATATCCTTTTAATTAGTCTCTTATGCTCCTTAACAACTAGAAGAATGGTTTTAAATAAGCAAATCAGATAATGTTATTATCCACAGGCTTAAAACATGCCAATATTTCTAAGCAATGATTTCCATGTTTCCAGTATTCCTGATTTCACTTATTATCAGTTTCCCCCCTCTCAACATGGCCCAGTCGCATTAGCCTTGAAAGGATTTTTCCACCCATCCACTCCTACCACAAGGCTTTTGCATTTGTTTGTTTCTTGAGTGTAGACTGTTCTTCCCCACATCTCTGTACCACTGATCTCACTCACCACTCAGGTTTCAGTTCAAGTTGTACTTCCTCAGAAAGGCCTGTTCACCCAATTTAAGGAAGCTACTGCTCATCCCATCCCTCCACTATGTTGCCATGTATAGGTTTTTAAATAGAACTTATCAGAAGCAGAAATCTTGTCCATTTATTTGTTTATTTGGTTACTTTCTGTCTGCCCTTGATAGAATGCAAGCTCTATGAGAGCGCAGGTCTTGTCTGTTTTCTTCATCACTGAAGTCCCAGTGCTGGAACAATGCCTGTCACAGTGTCAGCACTCAAAAAAGCTTTGTTCAATAAACAAACAGACTGCAGCAAAATGAGCAGAGAGAGAAAAATCACGGTTCATCAAAGTAAAAATTTATTCTTATACCACAGCAGAGTAATCAAGGAAAATATCATATCTATCTGTGTCTTGTGATTCATGCCCACTCAACCAATATGTAAGATCAGACCTATTTCACAAATATGACTGGCTAAGCATCACGTCTGTGCCATGCTGTCATGTTTTCTAATAACAAAAAAGAAATATCACAGTTTATAAACACTGCCTACACAAAATAAAATATGAAGAAAGTTCAGTGGAGAGAAAAGGGGATAAGATTTCATATATTGATAGAATTGAGTTTCAGTAAAACCTTCTTTAGGTTATAGTAAATTGTTCAGGCCAGGCACCATGGATCACACCTGTAACCCTAACACTTTGCGAAACTGAGGCAGGAAGATTGCTTGAGGCCAGGAGTTCCAGACCAGTTTGGGTAATATAACATGACCCCATCTCTACAAAAAAATAAAAGTAAACTAGCCAGACATGTGGCATGCACCTGTAATCCCAGCTACATGGGTGGCTGGGTGGCTGAGGTGGGAGGATACCTTGAGCCCAAGAGTCTGAGGCTGAAGTGAGTTGTGATCACACTATAGCCTGGGCAACACAGCAAGACCCTGTCTAAAAAAAAAATTCAAAGGCTCTTGTGTCTGCCTTAAATTAAAATAAATTTATTAAAGGCAATGTCCATTTCTCAAAGTGGTTACAGAATGGAGGTAGATGAAACAAGATAATTTGAGAACAATACCTCAAAATCTGGCCTACATAGGACTAACAAACAATAGTTGCTTTCCTCCCTTACTTAGTCCTATATACACTGAGAAGTACTCTGCTGAGTGGAAAAGTTCCTCTCCTGCTCACAAAATATAATTCAATTCATGTATTAGCATGACTTCACCAATGGGGGAAGATACAATCAAAGATCTTGGAGGCAGTGTGAGTTCATAAAAATAATCATACTTAAAGAGTATGTCTGTAAATTCAGTATCCTCTATTTTGTCTAATTCTTAATATCTGACCCATTCTCACTCCTAGAGACCATATGGCTCTAAGTTACCAAAGCAAAATTTGTAGTTCTAACTACCTGTACTTGAAACCAGTGGGAATTTATTAATATTCTTGCTATAGCTGAAAACATTGCTATAAATAGAAATATCATGCAGACATCAGGTAAGATAGGCTTCTGCTCACCATGGCCTTTGCACATTGGCAGTGCCTTACTTCTATGGCCTCCTTCTTATCAATTCTGTACAAATACAAAGGAAGCATCAAGGAAAAAGAGTTCAGAGACTGTTGCTCCAATGGTACAGTGAGACAGACATATCTGTAGTCTAGTACTTCCTATGGTTGCTTACAACTCCTTCTTTTTTCCTTTCATTTGAGGTTGCATACTATTAAATGTACAAATCTTAAGTGTACTATTCAATGGGTTATTACAAATACATAATAAAGCCTTGTAACCACTGAATTATCAATATATAGAAATTTTTGCCATCACAGAAAGTCCCCTGTAGTTCTTTCTCTAGATGCTATGACTTTTGTAAAAGTTTCTAACCGTATCTTAGTTTTGCTTATTCCAGAACTCCACATAAATGGAATCACTGTGCTTGATGTCATTCCCTCACTATAGTCGCCTATGATAGTCATTCATCATCCATCTTCTTATGTAACTTTTTTCTTTTTAATTGCTAACTTCCAGTCCATGAAGTAAATCTATCATAATGTGTTTTTCAATTTTCCTGTTGTTGGACATGTTGCCAGTTTGAGGTTATTATAAATAAAGTTGTAATGAATACAGTTCTAAACATCTTTTGGTGGACATATATTTTTCTTTCTCTTGGTAACACCTAGAAATAAAAATTGCTAGGTGCAAGGGTAGGTGTATATTTAATTTTTCTTTAAACTGACAAACATTTATTGCGAGCAGTTATACAATTTTAGAGTCCCAGCAACAGAGAGGAGAGTTTTCGTTGCTCTTCCACAGCATTTGGTGTTGAAGTGGTATCTTTTTGTGGTTTTAATTTGCATTTTCTGGGTGACTAAAGATGTTAAGCACTTTTTAATGAAATTATTGGTGTTTTGTAGATCATCCTCTGTGAATTGTGAAGTCTTGTGCTCTACCTCATCCATTTTCTTACCTGGTAACTGGGCTGTCTGTGTTCTTAGTATTGAATTATAGCAGTTTGTTGTACAATCTCGATCAAAGTACTTTTGAGAGTTATGTTTTCTATCCCAGTCTATAGTAATTATTCTATACCAGCTTATAGGTTTTCTATTCATTCTCTTCAGGGTATATAAATAACTGGAAACTTTTATATTTGATAAAATATAATTTATCATTTTAATAGTTATTATTTCTTTATTCTTAGGTCTCAAAGATATACACATATGTTTTCTTCTGGAAGTTTTATAGTTTTAGTTTGTATACTTTGGTCTTGATTTAATTTTTGTTTGATGTGAAGTAGGGTTTGCGGTCCATATTCTTTCCATTTAGCAATCTAGGTATTCCTGCATTAATTGTTGGGATTTTTTTTCCATTGAATTACTTAGAATCTTTCATTTAAAATCAATCAACTATAAATGTCAGTCTATTTTGATGTCCCCATTCCATGCCATTGATTCATAAATCAATGTATCTATTTATTTATTGTGTTATGCGAACACAATACTTGATTCCTCTGGCTTTCATTCAATGAGTCTTAAAATCGGTAGTATGAGTACTACAATTTTGTTATTCTTTCTAGAGAGTTTTGGGGTTTATATAGTTTTTTGTATTTTCTATACAAATTTTAAAATCAACTTTTCAATTTTGATGGCAAATTCTGCTAGAATGATGAATAAGATTGCATTGAAACTATAGATGGGAGAAAATTAATGACTTAAATATATTGCTTCTGAATCCATGAACGAGGTATATCACTTTAATTATTTATGTATCCTTTATTTTAGCCAGAAATATTTACTTTTCAGTGTGCAGGTCTTTTGTAAAATGGTTTACATTTTTTATGCTCTGTTAAATGGATTTTTAAATGTTATAGTTATTGTCGCAAGTACACAGAAATACATTTTTATATTAAACATGAAGCTTGAAACTTATTAAATTTACTTTTTAATACTGGTATAGGTTTTGCATTCCCTCAGGGTTTTCTACATAAAAATTATGTCACTTGTGAATAGATAATTTTCCTAATTCCTTTTCAATATTTAAGTTTTACTTTGCCTTAGTGTAATGACAAGGCCTCCCAGTACAATATTGAATAGGACTGATGAAAGCAGATATACTCGCCTTAAAATGATCTCTGGGGAAAATGTTCAATATTTCACTATTAAGTATGATGAATAGTTTTGTTTATAGATGTTCCTTACCAGATTGAGAAAGTTTTCTGATATTCCTATATTATTTAGAGTTTTCATCATGATGGTCATTGAATTGCGCTACTCTTTCTGTATTTATCATCATTTTTTCTCCCTTTTATAGTTAATACGGTGAATTATTCTGAATAATTTCCAAACAATAAACCAGACTTGCACTCCTGAGATAAGTTTCCCTTTGCTATTCTAGGTTATTGAATTCAAGTTATTAACATTCTACTATGAGATTTTGCATCTATGATCATAAAAGCTATTCTTTATGAATTTCTTTTTTTAATGTCTTATTTAGGTTTTGGTACCAAGATTATGATTACTTTATAAAAGTGCCTGGGAAGTTTTTCTTCCATCTTTATTTCTTGAAGAGTATGTGTCATATTGGTGTTTTTTCTTCCTTGTATGTTTGATAGACTTTTCCAGTGAAGACATTTGCACCTAGAGCTTTCTTTATGTGATGGGGTTTTGACAAGCAATTAGTTTAATAAATACAGATCTATTCCTATTTTCCATTTTCTATTTCTATTATCTTGTATCAATTTTAGTAGGTTGTGCTTTTCAGGATGTGAACATTTCATCTAAGTGACCATTTGTTATCTTTTAAACTCAGTAGGACCTCCAATATAACTCCCCTTTTCATTATTGATATTGCTAATTTATGACATTTCTCCTTTGTTCCTGATGCTACTGTAAAAAGCTTTTATTGATTTTTTTATCTTTTCAGTGATAAAAAGGATTTGTTGATCTTCTTTGTGTTTCTCTATTTTTGTTTCATAGATACCTGCTCTTCTTTTTATTTTGTTTTCTTTACTTTGTGCTAATTTTTTCCCCATCTTCTTAGGTGAAAAATTATATTATTGCTATTTAAAACAGTTCTTGATTTCCTGGGCATGACAATTCTCTTGAACTGACCTAGTTCTCCATGCTTTTTTGCCTGTAATTTTGATAATAACTTGTTGAATGTGCTGGGAGTGCATATGCTGAGACAGGAGGAACTGGCTGAACAGCCCAGGCCTTGTTCCTGACCCTACTAGAAAACATAGCATCTTAAATCAGGGACAAACTTCTTAGGACAGCCTGGGTTTGTTCTTCTCTCCTCTGGAAGCAGGATGTCCTTCTAAGCTTCTCCCAGTAAATCACACAGCCCCTAATATACATAATCCTGCACAGGCTGCCTTTTGGGGTCCCTCATCCACGGAGCAATGAGTCACACAGAGTCAATGTTCCATCTACCCCAGGCAACTTTCTTGAACCTTAGGGACTGGCTCACCGTGAATCTTAGGGTTCATTTGTTCCTTGTTGCCTATCTGTAAGTAATATATTTACTTCATGTAACTTGTATATGAGTGCATCTGTCTCACTGACGCAAGTTGGTAACCAGTGCCCAGTAAATCTGATTCACATCCTATCAGCACAAATTAAGCTGTACTCCATAAATTTTTATATTTTCTTCATCATTTGCATGAAAATATCTTCTAATTTTTCTTCTGATTTTTAAATTTAGCCTGTAAGTTATTTATGTGTGTTGCTAACTTTAAATATCTAGAACTTCTATAAGTATCTTATTTTATGAAGGTCTAACAATTCAGTTGTGCTCAAGGAACATACTTTGTATGCTCTCAATACTTTTACACTTACTAAAACGTATTTTATGGCCTTTTATATGATTTAATTTGTGAAGATTTTGTGTGAACTTGAAAAGTTTAGGATGCAGAATGTACTCTAAATCAATACATACTATATGGTGCTATATCCCTATTAGATAGAATACAAAGAATAGGTAGACTCTAAAAGTCCACGTACCAAAGAGTAGAATCAGAAGTGGCACCACTTACTATCATTCCCAATACATTACTCAATATAGATGATTGTATAGGTACAAGCCTGCATTTCCAGGTTCCGTGGATCTATAGGTATTTGTTCTTAAAAGGGGAATATGTGTCATTAAACTTTATCTACAGATACCACCCAATCATTTTGAATTCTTGTTCCAAGAGATCAAGAAATAAGAAAAAGAAATTACTATCCTGGCAGGGGTAATTAACACTGGCATTCAGAATGAAGTAAGGCTACTGTTACACAATGTGGTCAGAAAAAATGTACTTCACACCCACATGATCAATAGAATCTCTCTTGGTAATCATCCAATTTACATAGTGAATCAGCAAGTAAAGGAGCTATGATCTGAGTAAGACATAGTAAGCAGGATCTGAAATCCCCCAAGGATAAAGGCTTGTGAAACCCCACCAGCAGAAATGCCGAGGGGCAGGGGGAATCTCTTCTGCAATAAAATAACTGTAACGTAGGAAAACGATGAATATCAGTTGTCACCTGAAGTGTTTCTTCAGCAGAAGGGGCTACATTTCATCCCACCAACCTTCCTCCATTAAGTGTCTCTAGGAAGTGATCAAACAGAATCCACGAAAAAACTGTTTTGGTTTAGCATGAACTTATTATATGAAGCAATGGATCCAAGCAGTGCAAAGGGTAGGCTATTTAGAATCAAGGCACTCATCCCTTAGCTGTCAAGAATATTGTCTCTTAAAACTCATAATTGATACCCCATTTGGAAATTTCACTTGTCCCAAGGCAGCCGTCTTGACCAAAGTTACATTCTCAGAAGCAGCCAGCATTCACTGCCTTTCCTCTTGTTTCTAACTGAAGGTTACCTTATTAATAAAAGAATCTGCAGCATTTTCTGTTTGCTTTAAAGTAAGCTTTCTCAAGCTGACAGGTCTATCAGAACTTGTCACTTACAATCTAATGCCATGCAGCTGGTTAGGGCTTGTCAAACTTACAGTAAAGCCCAAATGGCTACTATGCCACTATGCATTCGATGTACTGGCTTCATGGAGCCAACCACAATATTAAATACTTAATGCCAGTCAAATTTATTTACTATATCAATCCTCTCCCATCTAGATATTTCCTTTTATCTGTAAGGCTAAAGCTTCCAGGGCTCTTTGTGAGCCACTTGGCACGTTATCCATCTGCGGTATTTTATCATAGCCCATGGTGACATTTTTCAGCCTAGAGTGAGAACAATTAATGAAAGGAAACAGGCCCTGAAGAACTTCAAGTTGAGAGAAAAGATGTAAAATATATTAAAAATAATATTATAGTATAGTATTATACTTGCAGAAAGAGCTCTTTTGTTCTGTCTCTTTTTATCCTACATCAAAATGTTACATATATTGGCCAGTTACTTGAAGACTGATTCCAAATCCATCAGCTTTTCTTCTTTTATAACTTTTAAAACATTGAGGGGAGAAGTAGAGAAGTTTAGAGGATAGCACCTCCCTTGCAAGCCCAGCAGGGTCTTTGTGGTTACTCCTGTAAATCTTGGCTACTCTGGGTTTTTTTGGTTCGGTTTTGGTTTTGGTTTTAGTTTTTTGGGGGAACTTCGGTTTTAACTTCTCCCATCCCCAGTTTGGGATTCAGAAGGGTTGATTTTACGACTGACATACCCACATGACTTGTGTGCTGTTGTTAAGAACACATGCTAAGGAGACAAAGCCAAGCTAGAGCATGGCCAAGGCAAAACAAAAACAGAAGTGAGAGGTCTGGAGCTCACGTCATATGAGGAAAGGCTGAAGCATACAAAGATGTGTAGACTCAGAAGATTTAAGAGAGAATCACCTGTCATGGGGAACACGTGGTTACCCTTGTCCTAATCCTGCAAACGTCTTACCCAATTCAAACTCTTCTCATAATTCTCTGTCTAGGAGGGCTTTTCCCTGTCCCTACTCCCAAATCTTGCTTTGTTAGCTTATTCTTCAGATTTCAACTTAAAGGCCATTCCTCAGGAAGTGTTTGGTGCACCAGCACCACCTCTATGACTACTGCTGTTATAGAATTGGTCAGTTTGTTCTATGAAATGTCTCATAAAACCCCTGCAGTTTTACCTCATAGCAGTTATTAAAATTTGAAACTTTATCTTTATTATGTAATTTTCCAAATACTATTGCTTTCCCCCAATATATTGTAAGTTGCACTATAACACAAACCAAAACTATTTTATTTATTATTGCATCTTTAGGGCTTAGATTGGTGCTTTGCAGTAAATAGTCACTCAACAAAATACTTTTTTAAAAGAAAAAAACACAAGATGCACAAATGAACAAAGGAATGACTTGGTATAAAGAAACATCTAGAAACAGAAAGTAGAGACAGCTACATAATATTTCAGTAAAAGAAAAACTTGATATAATCAGAGTTACTCATGAGTCAATCTGCCTGCATATGTGAGACTGAGCTTCCTGTTAGGAGAGCAGAGACAACAACATTTGTTTTTAAAACATGTGTGTGTGTGTGTGTGTGTGTGTGTGTGTGTGTGTGTGTTAATTAACTTGGACCCAAATAATTGCCACTTAATATTACAGTCTAGTATTCTAAGATTCTACAAAGTCTGTCCTCTTTCCTTTATGTCTCTAAAAGGGTAATCCATTTGTACTGGATTTTGACTGAGAGGTTCAGTGACCGTCTAACAAATTCCTTAGCTCTATTAGTCATGGCAAAACAAATTTGCTAGGTCTTATCAGGAATCAGTAGCTAAGCTGATTTGATCATTGGAAGTCTACCATTTGGGGATTCATTTATGAAAGAGTAATCCCCATGTCTTGTCCGTCTATCCTGTCTCTTCCAGGTATTGCAGATGGCTTTAGATATTGAATGTTTAAAACATAGCTTTTGGTTATTTTTTTCCACTCCCCTGAGAATAGCACACATAGTTATTAAACTGATGAATAATAACAAATTACACAGCTGATAAAGTGTCATTTCTGGAAGGAATTCTATTCTGATTTAGGTTTGTATAACAGACACATAATAAATAAAAGAAGTGAGTAACTAAGTTGAAAGGAGTTCTAAGTTTCCATACATATACTTAAGTGTTTATAGAAAGCCAAGACTGATGATGGAAGCCAATAGGTAGCATTGCCTTATTTTCAGGGTGTCAGGCATCTACAGCAAGGACTAGAGAGAGAGAAAGGAGTGATTTGAGAGCAGGATCCAAGGTTCTGAAAGAGGGAGACTTCAAGAGGAAGACAGGTACCCTAGACTTTGGGGATCAGTAGAAGGGTCCTTGTATGACTAATCCTTTTTATTGGTGATGTTGTTTGGATATTTGCCCCTCCAAATCTCATGTTGAAATGTGATCCCCAAACATCAGAAGTGGGGCCTGGTGGGAAGTGTTTTGGTCATGGGGGTGGATTCCTCACAAATGGCTTGCTGCCCTCCCCATGAAAATAAGTGAGTTCTCGCTCTGTTGTTTCACAAGATAGCTGGGTGTTTAAAGGAGGCCGGTACCTCCACCCTTCTCTCTGGCTTCCTCTCTCACCACATGACATGCAAGCTCCTCCTTCACCTTCTGCCATAAGTAACAGCATCCTGAGGCTTCACTAGAAGCCAAGCAGATGCTGGTGCCATGCTTGTACACTCTGCAGAACTGTGAAGCAAATTTTTCGTTATAAATTACGCAGCCTCAGGTACTCCTTTGCAGTGATGCAAAATGGACTAACACACTTAGAAATCAGAGAGTAACGCTTAGAAGACCTGGCCATGTGGTGTCTAAGACTGGGCAATATGCTCAGAGGAAATACGAGAATCAAGAGACAATCACCACTTCCAAGGGTGACTGAAATTGAATCATCATCCCACATAGCGAAGACAAACAGTAGCAGTAAAGACCCAAGCCAAATGAGAGGAGGTTCAAAGCAGATGGTGGGGACAAAGCCAGGGCTGATTCTGGAGGCAAAGCACAGGCAGCTGCAAGGATTTGACATGGGTTCCTGAAGCCATAGATATGCATATGTGGGAAAGGCAAGAGACACTCCTGAGTAGTGTTAGGCAGAGGAGTTAAGGCAGAAGGTAATTTGCATGGGGTAGGTGAGGCAGGACAATTCATCAGTGGTTTAGGAAAATCAACTTTTCCTGTTGCTCTGATCTTGTCCATGGGAACCCATGACACAAAAAATATGGGCAATATTATTAATTGCATATTTCACCACAAGAAAAGCCCAAGTCTGCTGAGCAACAAGATGATTACTTTCTGTGCTGGTCAGAACCAGCTCAAGAGCAAAATAATCCAAATCTGCTGGGAGAGTTACCAGTGATTCCATATGGGAACCACTGGGAAAGGCAGCCATCTTTCTCGAATTTGGCAAAAGAATGATTTATATATATATTAATTATAATGATCATTATCAGTCTAATGAATAATACATATGCTTGAAATTATTCTAGACTGGGAAATGTCATTGTTCGAGACTGTTTGTTTGGTTTTCACTCCTGCTGTTGCTATTGTGGTTTTTTAATAAAACAATATAAGAGAAGACAATATCAATCCATCCAAACTAGGGGAAAAATATTTTCTTCAAATCCTGGTAGACGTATAGCATTATTTCTGTTTGTTTGTTTGTCTGTTTGGATTTATTTTGTGACTCTGTATGTAAATTGCTTACTTTATTAACTTTGTTGTGATTCTCCTGAAGCTGGAATAGAGGTTCTGATGCCATATAACATCCCGCAAATCAGAAAAGAAACAAACAATGAACAAGCAAATAAACTCTGCTCAGAATCTGAAAGGAGGCATTATTAGTCACAAAAGATTGCCTGCTTCATTTGTTCTCATTTTTATGGGGAAACACTGTGTGTCCAGATACAGATCCCAAAGTGTTGTCTCTAAATCAGTACTGGCTTTGCTTTTCCACCAGAATGCAAATTATGTTATTTGCTGCCATTGTGTGTCAATTAAAGATAAAATGTGAATTCCTACTGCAATATGCTCCTACTGGCATAGCATCGTGATTTTCCTAAAATTCACGGACCAGTTCCCAAAGATGTTGGCTGCTTGGATGCAAGAGGTAAGAAACCTTGGGTTCTCAGCAAAACTGTGTAATATCTCTGGCAGTCGTTGAATCATGGCTACCTATGTGTATTCCAAATGTATTATCTATAAAGGAACTTATCTTTACTTTTTCCTTGCTCTTCCTTTTGAAACTATACTAATACCACTACTATTGCCTCAGTCATCAAGATTCATAGCTTAAAATAGATTACAATCTCTCTCCCTCTCCCTTTTGCATCACCCTACAATCTGATATCAAATCCCATAGAATCCACTTTGCTTTATCTCTATTTCCAGTCCCTGCCTGGATTCATATCCTCTACTCCCATTGGCCTAAAATATTGTAATATGTTCTTGGTTTCTCTTCTTCTGCCCTCTTCTCCCTGTAACTGTTTTTCTATATTACAGCTGTGTTTGCCTTTGTCAGTCACCTTCTGATCTTGGCACTCTCCTTTTCCCAAACTTTCAATGGCTTCCAAGTTAAAGATATGGTACCACGATCAGGTTGACTGTCACTCCCTGGCTCTCTGCTTGCAGTCCACTCTGCCCTAAAGCTGTTTTCCCTCTGTAAGCTCCTTCTTTCTGGTAGTTTGCTACTCATTTTGCAAGACAAAACTCAATTGTTCATCCTCTCTGAAGAATCTCCTTAAATAGTCAAACAGAATCATTTCTCATTGTGCCATTTCTGTCATATGCTATAGCTACCTCCACTATTGCATTTACCTCCTACTTTTTCACTGGTTACATGTTTGGATTTACAACTCCTATCAGAGCATGTTCTCTAAAATAATTTGTTTTTTGAATCTTAACCCCATCCTCAGAATCTATTCCATAATTAGGTGGCCAATAAATGTTTTTGCAATAAATGAATAAATGATTGAAATGTGATTCATTAGGTATATATTTAAGTAAATATTTGGTGGCAGAGAAACATTTAGTTATATATAGCAATTCTTACAAGTTCTATTGGATTTTGGATATAGCAAATTCTACTGAGCTGCCTTATCTTATTCATACAGCTGCATCTCTCTGATAAAGAAAATAGTGTGTATTTGGAATTATGCTTTGCCCTTTATAGGTTTATGCCAGCAAATAAATGACATTATTGTCAGTGTGTCCCTTAATGTAAAAAGTAAAATATAAAGAAACTTATAAAGTCTCATCTTGCTTTAATAAGGTAATTTTGTGATGTTGTGACTCACCCTCTGACATCGCTCAGAGTGATATTACTTAGATAGCTAGGGTAATTGCTATATGAATATGCTCTTCATCTTTTAAAATACTATACTGGGCTGGCTGTGGTGGCTCACACCTGTAATCCCAACACTTTGGGAGGCCAAGGCGGGCGGATCACAAGGTCAAAAGTTCGAGACCAGCCTGACCAACATAGTGAAACCCCGTCTCTACTAAAAACACAAAAATTAGCCAGGGCGTGGTGATGCACGCATGTAATCTCAGCTACTCAGGAGGCTGAGGCAGGAGAATCACTTGAACCCAGGAGATGGAGTCTGCAGTAAGCTGAGATCGTGCCACTGCACTCCAGCCTGGGTGTCAGAGGGAGACGCCGTCTCAAAATAAAATAAAATAAAATAAAATACTATAGTGGAAGCTTGACCTGATAGTATTTATTCATCATCATTTATTTTAACAGTTATTACCTAGATGATGTCTAGTCTCTGAAAAAAAAAAAAACAGTTTTCTCCTCAACACTTGAGATTACTGTTAAGAGTATATTGACCTCTATTGTTGGAGTAGATTGACCTCTATTGTTGGAGTAGATTGACCTCTACTGTTGGAGTAGATTGACTTCTTATCCAATATCCACAATATCAGGGAATGAAACCAAATCTTCACAGTAGCCTAGTTTTCATTCAATAAGGAGAAAAAGAATTTAAAGCCACCACAAGTCTCAAGTGATTAATTTCACACCAAATAAGACTTTTAAAGTTGTCTGAAATGTATCGGTAATGGAAATTAATAAAAAGTAGAGTCCCTAGAGAATTAGTAAATAGTCTGTGTTGATTATAAGGCAGCTTAGCGGCCAGGCGCAGTGGTGCACGCCTGTAATCCCAGCACTTTGGGAGGCTGAGGCAGGCAGATCATCTAAGGTCAGGAGTTCAAGACCAGCCTGGACAACATGGTGAAACCCCATCTCTACTAAAAATACAAAAATTAGCCAGGTGCAATGGCAGGCGCCTGTAATCCCAGCTACTCGGGAGGCTGACACAGGAGAACTGCTTCAGCAGAGGTTGCAGTGAGCAGAGATCGCGCCACTGCACTCCAGCCTGGGCAACAGAGCGAGACTCTGTCTCCAAAAAAAAAAAAAAAAAAAAAAAAACAGCTTAGCTATCTATGTCTTATAATCAACATAGAAGATTTACAGTTTTCTAGGGAAGCTATTTTTAGCTGGGTTCCAGGGAGTTGACAAACCTGGTACCTACCCTCAGATATCTTCCATTTTTAGCAAAAAGTTGGTTGGAGTTGAAAAGTGTCTTTATATGATTTATGGTACTTAATTCTCAACAAAGGGAGAAAGTTACTATTATCCCATTTTAAAAAACAGGAAAGTAAGACTTGGACAATAAACCAACATTCACATCAATGTCATTAATAAGAAGGTAAACTGGGATGAATTAATATTTGGAATTAAACAAATAAATGTAGAATGTTTCATCCAACATTTTAGAAAAGAGACACATGGTTTTCTAAAGTAGGGAGAAAAAAATCAGAGGTTTGTCATTAGTTCACCTGACTTTACGGTGCAATTACAGTGTATAAAATCTTCCTTTCCACTTTCTGTCCTTTATCTCTCTTTCTCCTGTTTGAATGCAAAGCATGTGCTTCTTTTCCAAACTTACTTCTCTATGTTGAACAGATCAATATATATTGTGGCAGGCATTGTGTTAAATATTCTTACGTGTGTTGTCTCATATAATACTGCTAAAGCCCTGCAGGTAGACTGCTTTTATTGTCTATGTTTGACATTTGAGGAAATTAACATTCCAGGAGGATAGATGATTTGCTGATGATTGCACAGCTAGTAAATTGCAAAACTAGAATTCAAATACAAGCCTTCTGACTCTTTGGTGCTCTCTTCTACAATGCCTACCAAATGAACTAAACAATGTTTATTATTGAGTTTAAGAGTATAGCAGAGTAGTTAGAGCTCGCAAATTACCTAAACTTGGGTTAGAATCTCTACTCTGCTACACACTAGTTGAGTAACCATACTGCTATTCTGAGCCTCAGCATTCTTATTTATAAAATGAAGTTAATAATAGTGTTTGCCCTACCTCACAGGATTATTATGAAAGGTAAATGAGTTAATGTAATATCCCCGGCAGATAATAAGCACTCAATAAATTATAACCATTATTAAAATATTACTATAAGTTTTAGCCTTTATAACTGTATCAACCTTGTCTCTAGTTCATTTTCCACAACTCTGGCATCAAAGAAGGTAAAGGCTTTCATGTCTAAATGAAATCAAATGTTTCCTTTGTTCCTTGGACACACCATTAGCTATATCTCTCAGCCAAAAATAGGAACTTGACTATAGTGAAATCTGCCAATGTAACACAAATTGCAAGAGACCGGGAATTTATCTAGATAACACAAAACCAATGTTCATTATAGCTTTAATTAAATTCTGTTTGGATGCTTTATCTCCCCACTTATCTGTTTTGAAGTCTCCTGTAAGGTCAGAAACTTTATCTAGCCATAAAAACTAAATAGATTTTGATGACTCTATATCAGAAAACACTAATGCCATTTCCTTATCTCTGAGAAATAGTCTTTTCTCTATATGCACCTCCAATAACTAAAGGAAGAAACCTTGGTTTTATTTTCCTCAGTTTGATATGAGTAATATTTTTCTTCTAGGTTTTCTGCTAAAAACTAAATTTTATCCTCACAAACACATATGATTTTTAAAAACAGTAAAGTGTTACATCTCTTCATCCTTTTGGATACTACATGAAATGGTATTACTAATATTTGTAGTACCCCCTCTACTTGTAATATTTAATGTTACTATCTAAAAATTGTTTTGAGAAATAAATCAAGGCCACATCTGTATGTTTAAGGATATATCATCATTCATATGTCTAAGAGAAAACAGAGTAACAATGATCTCTCCATCCATTACTTCTTTCAGCCACAGCAGCTAGAAAGCATCATTGTCCATGCTTGGAACCATGATAATGTAACACACACCTCATGTTAGCTTAAAACAATATTTCCACCGAGAGTGCCCTACCTCCCCTTTTTAAATATCCTATTTTTGTCCATTCCCCAAGGCATACTAGAGATGTACCATTGCTGAGATCTTTCTTTTGAGCTGTAGCAACACTGTTATATGCAGCACTCACTGGGCAATCTTTTGCTACTTTGGGAGAACATTTGGCTTCATTTTTGCCAAAAATCAAACTGTCTTTTAAGCGGGTTCCACAATAGTATATGAGTACAAAGAGAGTGCTTCTTAGAATTGTTAAAATTTGTGTATTTAAAAAGTGGGAAGCACAATGTCATGGTGAAAAGAATAGGGACTTTGGTATTGCCTAGAACTTAAGCTCAAAGCTATCACTAAAAATTGTGTAAATTGGAGGAACTTAATTAGCTTCCTTGTCCCTCTGACAATGCATCTGCATAATGCTGTGAATAATACAATTACTGAGAAGTTTCCAGGAGATAAGTTGTATAATATGTATGGTACATAGTAATTGCCCAATAATAGGTGTTACTCTTTCTTTTGTCCTACTATTTCACTAATAGAAAGATGCAGCATTCAAGTGCATATTATCTACTGAACATAGTTATTTTCTGTGCAATAACAAATGACCATCACACATGTCACTATTAATGGTGATCTTCAGAACCTTAATATAGCATATAATGAAGTAGGTTGTTCTTTAATACACAGTGCAATTCTAGCCTATTCCTTTAAAGAAACAGTTAGATATTATCTCTCTGCCCCCTTATAATTACATTTGAAAAGCAATAAACAGGAATTTATTGAAAAATAGATAAAGAATTACAATCAGGAAACCACAGATAAAATAAATGCAAAATGCCAATAAACAGGAAGAGGCCCAACCTGATAACTAAAAAATATGCATTAAAATTGCATCTGAATAATATTTTGCTCACCATCTTGGCTGTTTTAAATGAATGTATTGACAAGAAAGGAAAAAGCTGGGCATTATTTTACACGATTGAGGAGGGAGCATTTATATTATCATTTTAAAATGTGATTGTAGATTCTGGATATTAGCCCTTTGTCAGATGAGTAGGTTGCAAAAATTTTCTCCCATTCTGTAGGGTGCCTGTTCACTCTGATGGTAGTTTCTTTTGCTGTGCAGAAGCTCTTGAGTTTAATTAGATCCCATTTGTCAATTTTGGCTTTTGTTGCCATTGCTTTTGGTGTTTTAGACATGAAGTCCTTGCTCATGCCTATGTCCTGAATGGTAATGCCTAGGTTTTCTTCTAGGGTTTTTATGGTTTTAGGTCTAACGTTTAAGTCTTTAATCCATCTTGAATTAATTTTTGTATAAGGTGTAAGGAAGGGATCCAGTTTCAGCTTTCTACACATAGCTAGCCAGTTTTCCCAGCACCACTTATTAAATAGGGAATCCATTCCCCATTGCTTGTTTTTCTCAGGTTTGTGAAAGATCAGATAGTTGTAGATATGCGGCATTATTGGTGAGGGCTCTGTTCTGTTCCATTGGTCTATATCTCTGTTTTGGTACCAGTACCATGCTGTTTTGGTTACTGTAGCCTTGTAGTATAGTTTGAAGTCAGGTAGCGTGATGCCTCCAGCTTTGTTCTTTTGGCTGAGGATTGACTTGGCGATGTGGGCTCTTTGTTGGTTCCATGTGAACTTTAAAGTAGTTTTTTCCAATTCTGGGAAGAAAGTCATTGGTAGCTTGATGGGGATGGCATTGAATCTATAAATTACCTTGGAGAGTATGGCCATTTTCATGATATTGATTCTTCATACCCATGAGAATGGAATGTTCTTCCATTTGTTTGTATCCTCTTTTATTTCATTGAGCAGTGGTTTGTAATTCTCCTTGAAGAGGTCCTTCACATCCCTTGTAAGTTGGATTCCTAGGTATTTTATTCTCTTTGAAGCAATTGTGAATGGGAGTTCATTCATGATTTGGCTCTCTGTTTGTCTGCTATTGGTGTATAAAATCCACACCAAACACCCATCTCTACATCACCACCATCAAAGACCAAAAGTAGATAAAACCACAAAGATGGGGAAAAAACAGAGCAGAAAAACTGGAAACTCTAAAAAGCAGAGTGCCTCTCCTCCTCCAAAGGAACGCAGCTCCTCACCAGCAACAGAACAAAGCTGGACGGAGAATGACTTTGACGAGTTGAGAGAAAAAGGCTTCAGACGATCAAACTACTCCGAGCTACAGGAGGAAATTCAAACCAAAGACAAAGAAGTTGAAAACTTTGAAAAAAATTTAGATGAATGTATAACTAGAACAACCTACACAGAGAAGTGCTTAAAGGAGCTGATGGAGCTGAAAGCCAAGGCACAAGAACTACGTGAAGAATGCAGAAGCCTCAGGAGCTGATGTGATCAACTGGAAGAAAGGGTATCAGTGATGGAAGATAAAATGAATGAAATGAAGCGAGAAGGGAAGTTTAGAGAAAAAAGAATAAAAAGAAATGAACAAAGCCTCCAAGAAATATGGGAATATGTGAAATGACCAAATCTACGTCTGATTGGTGTACCTGAAAGTGACGGAGAGAATGGAACCAAGTTGGAAGACACTCTGTAGGATACTATCCAGGAGAACTTCCCCAGTCTAGCAAAGCAGGCCAACATTCAGATTCAGGAAATACAGAGAACACCACAAAGATACTCCTCGAGAAGAGCAACTCCAAGACACATAATTGTCAGATTCACCAAAGTTGAAATGAAGAAAAAAATGTTAAGGGCAGCCAGAGAGAAAGGTCGGGTTACCCACAAAGGGAAGCCCATCACACTAACAGCTGATATCTCAGCAGAAACGCTGCAAGCCAGAAGAGAGTGGGGGCCAATATTCAACATTCTTAAAGAAAAGAATTTTCAACCCAGAATTTCATATCCAGCCAAACTAAGCTTCATAAGTGAAGGAGAAATGAAATACTTTACAGACAAGCAAATGCTGAGAGATTTTGTCACCACCAGGCCTGCCCTAAAAGAGCTCCTGAAAGAAGCACTAAACATGGAAAGGAACAACCAGCACCAGCCACTGCAAAATCATGCCAAATTATAAAGACCATTGAGGCTAGGAAGAAACTGCATCAACTAATGAGCAAAATAACCAGCTAACATCATAATGACAGAATCAAATTCACATATAACAATATTAACTTTAAATGTAAATGGACTAAATGCTCCAATTAAAAGACACAGACTGGCAAATTGGATAAAGAGTCAAGACCCATCAGTGTGCTGTATTCAGGAAACACATCTCACGTGCAGAGACATACATAGGCTCAAAATAAAAGGATGGAGGAAGATCTACCAAGCAAATGGAAAACCAAAAAAGGCAGGGGTTGCAATCCTAGTCTCTGATAAAACAGACTTTAAACCAACAAAGATCAAAAGACACAAAGAAGGCCATTACATAATGGTAAAGGGATCAATTCAACAAGAAGAGCTAACTATCCTAAATATATATGCACCCAATACAGGAGCACCCAGATTCATAAAGCGAGTCCTGAGTGACCTACAAAGAGACTTAGACTCCCACACAATAATAATGGGAGACTTTAACACCCCACTGTCAACATTAGACAGATCAACGAGACAGAAAGTTAACAAGGATACCCAGGAATTGAACTCAGCTCTGCACCAAGTGGACCTAATAGACCTCTACAGAACTCTCCACCCCAAATCAACAGAATATACATTTTTTTCAGCACCACAACACACCTATTCCAAAATTGACCACATAGTTGGAAGTAAAGCACTCCTCAGCAAATGTAAAAGATCAGACATTATAACAAACTGTCTCTCAGACCACAGTGCAATCAAACTAGAACTCAGGATTAAGAAACTCATTCAGAACCGCTCAACTACATGGAAACTGAACAACTGCTCCTGAATGACTACTGGGTACATAAGGAAATGAAGGCAGAAATAAAGAAGTTCTTTGAAACCAATGAGAACAAAGACACAACATACCAGAATCTCTGGGACACATTCAAAGCAGTGTGTAGAGGGAAATTTATAGCACTAAATGCCCACAAGAGAAAGCAGGAAAGATCCAAAATTGACACCCTAACATCACAATTAAAAGAACTAGAAAAGCAAGAGCAAACACATTCAAAAGCTAGCGGAAGGCAAGAAATAACTAAAATCAGAGCAGAAATGAAGGAAATAGAGACACAAAAAAGCCTTCAAATAATTAATGAATCCAGGAGCTGGTTTTTTTTGAAAGGATCAACAAAATTGATAGACTGCTAGCAAGACTAATAAAGAAGAAAAGAGAGAAGAATCAAATAGATGCAATAAAAAATGATAAAGGGGATATCGCCACCAATCCCACAGAAATACAAACTACCATCAGAGAATTCTACAAACACCTCTACGCAAATAAACTAGAAAATCTTGAAGAAAGGGATAAATTCCTCAACACATACACTTTCCCAACACTAAACCAGGAAGAAGTTGAATCTCTGAATACACCAATAACAGGAGCTGAAATTGTGGCAATAATCAATAGCTTACCAACCAAAAAGAGTCCAGGACCAGATGGATTCACAGCCGAATTCTACCAGAGGTACAAGGAGGAACTGGTACCATTCCTTCTGAAACTATTCCAATCAATAGAAAAAGAGGGAATCCTCCCTAACTCATTTTATGAGGCCAGCATCATCCTGATACCAAAGCCGGGCAGAGACACAACCAAAAAAGAGAATTTTAGACCAATATCCCTGATGAACATTGATGCAAAAATCCTCAATAAAATACTGGCAAACCGAATCCAGCAGCACATCAAAAAGCTTATCCACCATGATCAAGTGGACTTCATCCCTGGGATGTAAGGCTGGTTCAATATATGCAAAGCAATAAATGTAATCCAGCATATAAACAGAACCAAAGATAAAAACCACATGATTATCTCAATAGATGCAGAAAAGGCCTTTGACAAAATTCAACAACACTTCATGCTAAAAACTCTCAATAAATTAGGTATTGATGGGACGTATCTCAAAATAATAAGAGCTATCTATGACAAACCCACAGCCAATATCACACTGAATGGGCAAAAACTGGAAGCATTCCCTTTGAAAACTGGCACAAGACAGGGATGCCCTCTCTCACCACTCCTATTCAACATAGTGTTGGAAGTTCTGGCCAGGGCAATTAGGCAGGAGAAGGAAATAAAGGGTATTCAATTAGGAAAAGAGGAAGTCAAATTGTCCCTGTTTGCAGATGACATGATTGTATATCTAGAAAACCCCACTGTCTCAGCCCAAAATTTCCTTAAGCTGATAAGCAACTTCAGCAAAGTCTCAGGATACAAAATCAATGTACAAAAATCACAAGCATTCTTATACACCAATAACAGACAAACAGAGAAACAAATCATGAGTGAACTCCCATTCACAATTGCTTCAAAGAGAATAAAATACCTAGGAATCCAACTTACAAGGGATGTGAAGGACCTCTTCAAGGAGAACTACAAACCACTGCTCAAGGAAATAAAAGAGGATACAAACAAATGGAAGAACATTCCATGCTCATGGGTAGGAAGAATCAATATCGTGAAAATGGCCATACTGCCCAAGGTAATTTATAGATTCAATGCCATCCCCATCAAGCTACCAATGACTTTCTTCCCAGAATTGGAAAAAACTACTTTAAAGTTCATATGGAACCAACAAAGAGCCCGCAACACCAAGTCAATCCTAAGCCAAAAGAACAAAGCTGGAGGCATCATGCTACCTGACTTCAAACTATACTACAAGGCTACAGTAACCAAAACAGCATGGTACTGGTACCAAAACAGAGATATAGATCCATGGAACAGAACAGAGCCCTCAGAAATAATGCCGCATATCTACAACTATCTGATCTTTGACAAACCTGAGAAAAACAAGCAATGGGGAAAGGATTCCCTATTTAATAAATGGTGCTGGGAAAACTGGCTAGCCATATGTAGAAAGCTGAAACTGGATCCCTTCCTTACACCTTATACAAAAATTAATTCAAGATGGATTAAAGACTTAAACGTTAGACCTAAAACAATTAAAACCCTAGAAGAAAACCTAGGCATTACCATTCAGGACACAGGCATGGGCAAGGACTTCATGTCTAAAACACCAAAAGCAATGGCAACAAAAGCCAAAATTGACAAATGGGATCTAATTAAACTCAAGAGCTTCTGCACAGCAAAAGAAACTACCATCAGAGTGAACAGGCAACCTACAAAATGGGAGAAAATTTTTGCAATCTACTCATCTGACAAAGGGCTAACATCCAGAATCTACAAAGAACTCAAACAAATTTACAAGAAAAAACAAACAACTCCATCAAAAAGTGGGCGAAGGACATGAACAGACACTTCTCAAAAGAAGACATTTATGCAGCCAAAAAACACATGAAAAAATGCTCACCATCACTGGCCATCAGAGAAATGCAAATCAAAACCACAATGAGATACCATCTCACACCAGTTAGAATGGCAATCATTAAAAAGTCAGGAAACAACAGGTGCTGGAGAGGATGTGGAGAAATAGGAACACTTTTACACTGTTGGTGGGACTGTCAACTAGTTCAACCATTGTGGAAGTCAGTGTGGCGATTCCTCAGGGATCTAGAACTAGAAATACCATTTGACCCAGCCATCCCATTACTGGGTATATACCCAAAGGATTATAAATCATGCTGCTATAAAGACACATGCACACGTATGTTTATTGCGGCACTATTCACGATAGCAAAGACCTGGAACCAACCCAAATGTCCAACAACGATAGACTGGATTAAGAAAATGTGGCACATATACACCATGGAATACTATGCAGCCATAAAAAATGATGAGTTCATGTCCTTTGTAGGGACATGGATGAAATTGGAAATCATCATTCTCAGTAAACTATTACAAGAACAAAAAACCAAACACTGCATGTTCTCACTCATAGGTGGGAATTGAACAATGTGAACACATGGACACAGGAAGGGGAACATCACACTCTGGGGACTGTTGTGGGGTTGGGGGAGAGGGGAGGGATAGCTTTAGGAGATATACCTAATGCTAAATGACGAGTTAATGGTTGTAGCACACCAGCATGGCACATGTATACATATGTAACTAACCTGCACATTGTGCACATGTACCCTAAAACTTAAAGTATAATAATAATAAAATTAAAAAAAAGAATGCTTGTGATTTTTGCACATTGATTTTGTATCCTGAGACTTTGCTGAAGTTGCTTATCAGCTTTAGGAGATAACAAATTTACAAGAAAAAAACAACCCCATCAAAAAGTGGGCAAAGGGTATGTACAGACACTTCTCAAAAGAAGACATTTATGCTGCCAACAGACACATGAAAAAATGCTCATCATCACTGGCCATCAGAGAAATGCAAATCAAAACCACAATGAGATACCATCTCATACCAGTTAGAATGGTGATCATTAAAAAGTCAGGAAACAACAGGTGCTGGAGAGGATGTGGAGAAATAGGAACACTTTTACACTGTTGGTGGGACTGTAAACTAGTTCAACCATTGTGGAAGTCGGTGTGGCGATTCCTCAGGGATCTAGAACTAGAAATACCATTCGACCTAGCCATCCCATTACTGGGTGTATACCCAAAGGATTGTAAACCATGCTGCTGTAAAGACACATGCACACGTATGTTTATTGCAGCACTGTTCACAATAGCAAAGACTTGGAACCAACCCAAATGTCCAACAATGATAGACTGGATTAAGAAAATGTGGCACATATACACCATGGAATACTATGCAGCCATAAAAAATGATGAGTTGAGTTCATGTCCTTTGTAGGGCCATGGATGAAGCTGGAAACCATCACTCTCAATAAACTATTGCAAGGACAAAAAACCAAACACCGCATGTTCTCACTCATAGGTGGGAATTGAACAATGAGAACACATGGACACAGGAAGGGGAACATCACACACTGGGGACTGTTGTGTGGTGGGGGTAGCGGGGAGGGATAGCATTTGGAGATATACCTAATGCTAAGTGACGAGTTACTGGGTGCAGCACACCAACATGGCACGTGTATACATATGTAACAAACCTGCACGTTTTGCACATGTACCCTAAAACTTAAAGTATAATAATAATAAAAATAAATAAAATTTAAAAAATTGTAATCGGTATCTATTAAAATAAATCATATGCATACTCTATGATCAAGTAATTCCAGTTTTATATAAATACAAGTTTTATATAAATATACATACAGAAATACTCTATAAAATATTAACAAAAATGCATAAAGTATAGGGAAAATATACTTAGGAATACATATTGCAACATGCCAGAGAGTTCTCTGGGTGGCCTTACAGCAACCCAGTCACACCCTCTCACACACACTTCTGGCTTGTAGTTGTCAAGAATCATTGTAGAATGTGCTAGGAATGCAACATCCTACAATAAGGGGGAACTGCCTGGAATAGCCCTGGATCTGTTCCAGTGCCCCCAGGAAATAAGATGTCCTTCAGTGCTTTAGCCCAGTGTATCATCTTCACTTCAGGGAATAAAACCCAGGATGAGTTGCATTCTGGGGTACCTAATCTGCAGGACAAGTGGGGTATCCACAGATGAGATTCCCTCTGCCCTGGGCAGCTTTCCTGAGCTTTGGGGGCCCAACTCGCAATGAAGCTTAAGCTTCTGTTGTCCCTTGCTGCCTCTCTGTAAATAATAAATCTGCTTCATGTAACTTTTATTTTTATGGGTATTCTGACTTACCTGACTCTAGCAAGTTGGCAACCCATGAAAGCAAACCTCCTTCACACCACATTGTTTATAAGAGCAAAAAGTGAGAAATGATGCAGACATTCATCAGAAGGGGAATGGTTAAATTAATGATACATATTCATACCTTGAAATACATTCAGCCAGTAAAAAGAATGGGACATATACTTGCATTATATGTAGCATACATGTATTGTTAACTGACAAAAACACACTGCAAGACAATATGTAATATGACATCATTTTACTA
Source organism: Homo sapiens (assembly GCF_000001405.40). Taxonomy (NCBI): domain Eukaryota; kingdom Metazoa; phylum Chordata; class Mammalia; order Primates; family Hominidae; genus Homo; species Homo sapiens. Next base: position 82,285,325 of record NC_000011.10, read on the forward strand.
ATGTAAGTATCCATTATGTATTAACATATGCAGAGAAAAAATTTGCACTACACTAAACTTTTGACAATTTTCAGCTATAGGATCTGGTATTGAAGACAATGAAACTTTCCATTTTTATTTTTATAATTAAAATTTTAATTATTTTTGTGAACATGATTTTTCAACTTAAAAACATTTTAAACAATCAACTAAACTCAAATAGTTTTTCTTGAGCATCTGCAGTGTATTTTTATCTAATGTAAGTTAAATACGAACCCCATTATCAAGAACTTCTACCTTAAATAAAAGAAAGAGGTAGAAAAAGGCAGGTTGGAAAAAGAAGAAAACAAGTATTGCTAAGTATACACTATACTTTAAGTATTTCATGCAAATTATATACTTTAATTTTTAAAATTATTTGAGATAGATATTGTTTTACTTACTCCCCAGGTAAGAAAGTGCATGTGATTTGCCTATGCTTATTCTAGGAATGAGTGGTAGTCCCAAGATCCAAGTTCAAGTTTCTGTAATTGCAAGGACTATTCACCTTCTACTTACATCCAAGGAATCAGAAGACAATCACATCTGAGATTTTTACATCAATATTCCTAGGTTTAATCTCTTTCCTGAAATCCAGCTACCTATTTCTTGTTTTACCTGCATGTCTTGCTGTCAAACTCAGTATCTCCAACATTAATTTTCATTGATCTGCAAACTGTTCTTCCTTCCTGGAGTATCACATATTACAGTACCAATATCTACCCAGCTATCCCAATCAGAACATTTCTAACATCTCCATTTCTCTCATACTTCACCTACCCAGACCCCATCAGCCATTAATCCAACTACTATGTTTACTGCTAAAAGGCCTTGCAAAAACTATTTCAACCTTGTCATTGCTCTAGTTCAGCCCTCATCACACTGAGTTCTGCCTATGGTGACAGCCTCCTAATCATCTTCTGGCCTCCCCCTAATGCATCCTGCATATAGTGGTCAGTGATATCTTTGTAAAATAATACTCTGTGTCACTCTTACTGCTGCAATACTCATTCTATACTATATAAGAGTATTCAAAACTCCTCCTTTAGAATAAAATCCCAATTATGCAAATGACATTTAAGCTTACAAAGCTCTCTTCTAGTGTATTTTCCCCTCATACACATACCTACGCACCACTTTGAAAAACTAGCCCTTTCCCAGAGAAGTCTTGAGATTTCACATCTTTGTGCCTTTACAAATGTTATTCCTTCTACCCAGAAGTCCTTGCTACTCCATGAAAACCCCACAATTGTCCTTCAGAATTGATCTCATATGTCACTTCCATTAAGCAACTTTGCAGAACTGTTCTCTTCTGAAGAGAAAAGAAATATAACTCCCTATTCTGTATACACAACATTTTTTTCAAGGTTCTACTCATATGGCTCACCACATTGTATCATAAAGTATCCATCTCCCTCCCTACAATGTGTCATGCCTTAATCAGCATTCTGACTCCAGAACCCAGTAAACTGCAATAGTTGGTACACAAGGAGTATACAATAAATATATATTGAATTATATCAAAATTAGAAGAAGGTGTTCATGTATTCATGCACTCAATCAGCATTTTTTGAGCATCTACCACATGGTATGCACAATGCCAGGGCTGCAGATCTAGTCATTTATAAAAGAGACAAAGGATAGATAGAGACATGAATAGATAAAGTGCTCTGGGAGTTCATGGATGTTTCAAAAATATATATCAATTTGATTTAAATGATAATTCAGCATTGATAGAGTTATCTTTTCTGCTATAATAAACTATCACAAACTTAGTGATGTAAAAGAACACACATAAAGAATCTTACAGTTCTGGAAATAAGAAGTCCACACTGGGTCTCACTGAGCTAAAATCAAGTTTTTGGCAAAACTGTATTCATTTGGGAGTTTGAGAAAACAGTCCTTCTTTTTTTATTTCCCCTTTTCCTTTTTCAGCTTCTGCCCCCATTTTTTGGTTTGTGGCCCCTTCACCCACCCAGCAATATAACATCTTCAAATCTCTCTCTGACTCTGCCTCCCTTTTCCACTTGTGATTACATTTGGCACACTTGGATAGCCCTAGCTAATCACTTTATCTCAAGGTCATCTGATTAGCAACCTTAATGCCCTCCTGCCATGTAATGCAATATATTTGTAGGTTTCTGGGATTAGGACGCAGATATCTTTGGGTTTGGGGTATTATTCTGCCTACCACAAACACCCAAGTAATAGGAATTACACTTCATCTATTTTCATTTTATTTTTAATTGTGGGGAGATCTAAGCAAACACTCAGTAATTAATCTGCTTTCCCGACATGATGCTTAAGGAAACTGCCATATCAAGATATAAAAGTTTTTCAAATAAAAATCTACTTGTTTTCAGATATACATAGCCAGATATTAGGGAGGCTGAGAAACATAGTTTTCCACAATATGGAATGACTGACATGTACACAACATATTATCTCAATAAAGAGAACCTACAGATGTCATTAAACGTTAGGGAAATGCAAATAAAAAGCACAATGAGAAGCTACTATGCAAGTATCAAAAGAGCTAAAACAAGAAATAATGATAATGCGAAATACTGGTGAGAATACTGAGAAACTGGATTATTCAGATATTCTGATGAGAATATGAAATGATAAGCTACTCTAGAAAACAGCCTGATAGTATTTTAAACAGTAAACATACAACTACCATACAATACAGAAATTATACTCCTGGACTATCATCCCATAGGAATTAAAACTTATCTTCACACAAAACTTATACATATTTATAATTGCTTTATTCATTAATAGCCAAAAACTGGAAAAAGCTCACATGTCCTTCAATGGGTGAATGGTTAAACAAACTGTGGTATATTCACACTATAGAATATTATTCAGCAATAAAAAGAAACAAACTTGATACACAACCTGGATGAATCTCTAGTGAATTATGCTGAGTGAAAAAAGTCAATCCCCAATGTTTACGTACTGTATGACTCTATTTATATAATTCTTAAAATGTCAAAATTTAAAAATGATGAGCAGTGGTTAACAGTGCTTAAGAGGGGAAAGGAAGGATGAATGTAATATTAAAAAGCAACGTAAGAAATCCTTGTCATGGTGAAAATATTCCATTGCTTATCCTGGTTGTGACATTAGTATAGTTTTGAAACTTATCACCATTGGGGAAAACTGGGTAGAGGGCATGTGGAAAGTCTCTGTAGTATTTCACACAACTGCTTGTGAATCTACACTTAGCTCAAAATGAAAAGTTAAGTTTAAAAAAAAGTCTGAAACATATGGTAGTTCTATTTTTATTTTTAAGAAAGCCCCATATTGTTTCCATAGCAGCTGCACCATTTTGCTTTCCCAACAGTGTACAAGTGTTCCAAATTTCTCTACATACATCTTTGCCAACGCTTGCTTTGTTTTTGTTTTTGTTCTTGATAATAACCAACATAACAGGTGTGAAGTGATAGTTTTCATTTGCATTTGCCTGATGATTGCTGACATTAAGCATCTTTTCACATGCTTTTTGGCCGTTTGGCTGTCTTCTTTGGACAAATGTCTATTCAATTTTTCAGCCCATTTTTTAAATTGGGTTATTTGCTGTGGGATTTTTTCCACTGAAGTGTAGGAATTCTTTATATATTTTGGAAATTAACACTTTGTCAGATATATGGTTTTCAAGTATTTTCTCCCATTCTATTTGTTGCCTTTTCATTCTGTTGTTTCCCTTGTCGTGCAGAAGCTTCTTAGTTTGATGTTGCCACAGTTGTCTGTTTTTTCTTTCATTTCCTGAGCTCTTGATATATTTATTATATCATTTCTAAGACCAGTGTCATGGGCGGGAGAGAGGAATAGAGAATTGCTAAACAATAAGCACAAATTTTCAATTATACAAGATGCATAAGTTCTAGAGATTTATTGTACAACACTGTTCCCATAATTAAACATTACTGTATTGTACACTTAAAGTTTTGTTAAAAGGGTAGTTCTCCTTTAAGTACTCTTATTACAATAAAACAAAAAGCTCTAAAAGCTTGTAGTCACATACATGTCACTGTTTTTACTTTTCCTCAATGTCCCCAAGTTATACAACATAACCATGTTCTAATACAGTTGAAGTCTTCCCTTGATGAAAATGAAAACTGATTATTTTGTGATGAGTAGCTTTCTGGAAAATGAAAAAGTGATAATGAAAATTGTTACAAATGACTGTTCCATGGATACATCATCTTAAAAAGCAGGAAGATATTACTGTCTGAAACTTACTACAGTCTATATTTTTCAATTACAAAGAAATGAATTTGAATCAAATTATATTCTTTTTTAATAATTAGTGACTTAGACATCTTGGACTCATGTAATTTTGATTACCTTTGAGAGTCCATTACCCAGAATATCTTTCCATAGAACATTTCTTGGTAAAAATAGAAATGTCACATCTGCTGTTAAATTATACCAACCACTGTTCATGCATTAGGAGAGAACAGAAAATTGAAGTTTTAATCCCATGATCAGTTAAAGTCACACACACAGACACACACACACAGACTGACTCCTTCTCAGGCCCATGACTTTGACCTTGTTCCTTTCACCCAGGATGACATATCCAAAAGGAGAATTTGGGAAAAACAGCCCTATATGTATTTATCGTTACCATCTAGCTGGTCACTGAGAAGTGAGTAATGCCTATGTGTCTCACAATGCACTAGAGAAGGAAGAAATTGAAAATTTCAAAACGTGATCCCTGTTTTTCTGGAATTCGTACCAGATTGTGACTCAAATGCCTGCCCTCTGGATGAGTGTGTCTGTTCATACTCAGCCCTATTCCTGCCCTTTTTTGTTTGTTTGTTTGTTTGAGACGGAGTCTTGCTCTGTCGCCCAGGCTGGAGTGCAGTGGTGCGATCTCCGCTCACTGCAAGCTCCGCCTCCCGGGTTCACGCCATTCTCCTGCCTCAGCCTCCCGAGTAGCTGGGACTACAGGCGCCCACCACCGCGCCCGGCTAATTTTTTTTTTATTTTTAGTAGAGGCGAGGTTTCACCGTGTTAGCCAGGATGGTCTCGATCTGACCTCGTGATCCGCCCGCCTCGGCCTCCCAAAGTGCTGGGATTGCAGGCGTGAGCCACCGCGGCGCCTGGCCCTACTCCTGCCCTTCTAAGCTCTTCTTTATTTACAAATGCTGCGAGCCTGGAAAGCTTCTCTGCCCATATTCCAGTGTCAGCATGATTACATGGTAAAGTGCTAACAATGAATAGCAAAAGCAGAAGAGTCAATGTGTTAATTTTATCAATTTTGTTTATTTTATATTTCAATAATTTCTTTTTTATTCTTATTTTCTTCTTTCTGCTTATTTTAAATTTACTTTGCTTTTTTCCGTTTTTAAGCTTCTTAAGGTGAAACCTTATTGGAGAATTGTTTAATTTTCATATAAGCATTTAAAGCTATAGATTTATTTCAAAATATTTTTATTTTATAAATTGAAAATAATGATACATATTTATAGGGCAAAATATGCTGTTTATATATGTTTACAATGTAGAATGATTAAATCAGGCAAATTAACAAATCTATCAGCACACTTACTTATTTTTCTGGGTGAAAGCATTTAAAAATCTTCTCTTAGCAATTTTGGAATATACAATGCATTATTATTTAATATAGTTGCCACTCTGCAATAGATCACTAGATCTTTCTCCTCCCGTCTGAAATTTTTTACCTTTTCATCAACACATCTATGCTTTTCCCATTCACTGCCCATGTCTCCAACATGTCTCTGATAAACATCACTCTACTCTCTATATGAGATGAACTTTATCAGATTCCACATGCAAGTGATATCATGTGATGTTTGTCTTTCTATGCCCAGCTTATTTCTGTTAGCATACTGTTCTCCAGATGCATCCATGGTGTCACAAATGACAGGATTTCCTCCTCTTATAAAGCTGAACAGCATTCCATTGTATGTACATATACCACATTTTCTTTATTTCTCTGATGATGAACACCTAGGTTGCTTTAGTATCTTAGCTATTGTGTATAATACTGTGACCAAGGGAGTACTGATATTTCTTCAGCATACTGATTTCAATTTCTTTGAATTAATACTCATAAGTGGGATTACTGGATCATATAGTAATTCTATTTTTAGTTTTCTGAGGAACCTCCATACTATTTCCCATAGTGGCTATATGAATTTATATTCCCACCAATAGTTTTTAAGAGTTCCTTTACTCTACACCCTCGTCAACACTTATTATCTTTCATATTTGGGATGATAGCCATTCTACAGGTATAAGTTGATAGCTCACTGTGGTCACAATTTGAATTTCCCTGATGATCAGTGATTGTGAGCATTTTTTATTATATCTGCTGGCTATTCGAATGGCTTTTATTGAAAAGTGTCTATTTAGGTCCTCTGCCCAGTTTTGATGGAGTTATTGTTTTTATGCTATTGAGTTGTTTGAGTTGCCTGTATATTTTGAATATTAGCCCCTTATTAGATGGAGGAGCTTACAATATTTTCTCCCAATCCATAAATTGTGTATTCACTCTATTAATTGTTCCTTTGCTGTAAAGAGCCTTTTTAGTTTTATGAAATCCCATTTGCTTATTTTTGTTTTTGTTGCCTGAGCTTTTCAGATCATATCAAAATAATAATTGTGCAGACCAATGTCATGGGGCATTCCCCCTGTTTTTCCTTCTAGTGGTTTTACAATTTCAGGTCTTACATTTAAGTTTTTAATCCACTTTGAACTGTTTTTTGTATATAATGTGACATAACAGTCTAAGTTCATTCTTTTTATAGATACCTAGTTTTCCTAGCACCATTGTTTGAAGAGACTATTCTTTCTCCATTGTGTGTTCTTGGTACCTTTGTGAAAAATCAATTGACCATAAATGTGTGAGTTTATATCTGTACTAGCTGTTCTGTTCCATAGGTCCACGTGTCTGTTTTTATGAGTGTATCATGCTGTTTGGATTACTATAGCTTTGCAATATATTTCGAAGTCAGCAGTGTAATGCTTCCAGCTCTGTTCTTCTTGCTCAAGATTGCTTTTGGTATTCAAGGTCTTTTGTGGTATTATAGAAATTCTGGGATTTTTTGCTTAATTTCCGTAACAAATGACATTGAAATTTTAATAGGGATTGCACTGAATCTGTAGATCACTTTGGTTAGTATAGACATTTTAACAGTATTAATTATTCCAATTCAGGAACCCATTTATTTGTGTCATCTATAATTTCTTTCATCAATGTTTTATAGAAGATCTTTGATCTTTTTGGTTAAATTTATAACTATTTTATTTTTTGATACAACTATGAAGGCATTGATTTTTTAATTTCTTTTTTAGATAGTTTATTGTTGGCATAAAGAAATGTTATTGGCATTCCTTAAGGAACCAAAAGTAGAACTACCATTTAATCCAGCAATCCCACTAGGGGGTATCTACCCAAAGGAAAAGAAGTCATTATATAAAAAAGACATATGCACCTGCATATTTATAGCAGCATAATTCATAATTGCAAAGATATGGAACCAACCAAAGTGCCCATAGACCAACAAGTGGATAAAGAAAATGTGGTATACATACACTATGGAATACTACTCAGCTATAAAAAAGAATGAAATAATGTCTGTTGCAAAAACTTGGATGGACCTCAAGGCCATTATTCTAAGTGAAGTAACTCAGGAATGGAAAACCAAATATCATATGTTTTCACTTCTAAGTGGGAGCTAATAACAATGCATAACAAATGCATAAGTGTTATATAATGGACTTTGGGGGCTCTAGAAGGAAGGTTGAGAGAGGGGTGAGAGATAAAAGACTACATCATAGGTACAGTGGACACTGTAAGGGTACACTAATCTCAGAAGTCACCACTAAAGAATTTATTCATGTAATCAAAAACCACCTGTACCCTAAAAACTATTAAAATAAAAAAAGCATTTGCATTGTGAAAGAAAGAAAGAAAGAAAGAAAGAAGGAAGGAAGGAAGGAAGGAAGGAAGGAAGGAAGGAAGGAAGGAAGGAAGGAAGGAAAAAGAAAGAAAGAAAGAAAGAAAGAAAGAAAGAAAGAAAGAAAGAAAGAAAGAAAGAAAAAAGAGAAAGGAAGGAAGGAAGGAAGGAAGGAAGGAAGGAAGGAAGAAAGAAAGAAAGAAAGAAAGAAAGAAAGAAAGAAAGAAAGAAAGAAAGAAAGAAAGGAGGGAGGGAGGGAGGGAGGGAGGGAGGGAGGAAGGAAAGAAAGAAAGAAAGAAAGAAAGAAAGAAAGAAAGAAAGAAAGAAAGAAAGAAAGAAAGAAAGAAAGAAAAGAAAGAAAGAAAGAAAGAAAGAAAGAAAGAAAGAAAGAAAGGCAGGCAGGCTACTGGCAGGGAGCAGTGGCTTATGTCTGTAATCCTAGCATTTTGTGAAGCTAAGGCAGGAGGATTGCTTGAAGCCAAGAGTTACAGATCAGCCTGGGAAACGTAGTGAGACCCAATCTCTACCAAAAATTTAAAAATTAGCCAAGCATGTTGGCACATGCCTGTAGTTCCAGAGACTCAGGAGGATGAGGTGGGAGAACTGCTTGAACCCAGGAGTCAAGGCTATGGTGAGCTATGATCACACCACTGCACTTCAGCCTGGGTTACAGAAAAAGATCCTTTTTCTCAAAAACAAACAAACAAAATTAAATTAAAATAAATTTTAAAAAACAAATACTACTAATTTGGGGGTGCTAATTTTGTACCCTGCAGCTTTACTGAATTCATTCATGAAGTCTGATAGTTTTTTGGTGGAGTCTTGGGGGTTTTCTATGTATAACGCCATGTCATCAGTAAACACAAACAATTTTACTTCTTCCTTTCCTATTATGATGCCTTCTATTTTTATTTTCTTGTATAATTGCTCTAGAGATAACTTCCAGTACTACATTGAACAGAAGTGGTGAGAGTAGGCATCCTTGTCTTATTCCTAGTTTCAAATGAAAACTTTCAACTTTTCACCATTGAATGTGTTAACTCTTGGCTTTTCATATGTGGCCTTTATTATGTTGAAGTGCATTTATTTGATGCCTAGTTTATTGGGAGTTTTTATCATGAGAGAATGTTGAATTTTGTCATATACTTTTTCTGCATCTATTTAGAGGATTATATGGGCTTTGACCTTCATTCTGTTAATATGGTATCACATTTATTGATTTTCCTGTATTGATCCGTCCTTTCATTTCTTTTAATCATGGTAAGTGATCCTTTAATATGGTGTTGAATTAGGTTTGCTAGTATTTTGAGGATTTTTGCATCTACGTTCATTGGTGATATTGGCCTGTGTTTTTTTTTTTCCTTTAGTGTTCTTGTCTGGCTTTGTTATCAGGTAATGGTCACCTTGTGTAATGAGTTTGGAAGTATTTCCTCCTCTTTGACTTTTTGGAAGAGTTTGAGAAGAATGTTTTATTTATTTATTTATTTATTTATTTATTTATTTATTTATTGAGATGGTGTCTCACTCTATCGCCAAGGCTAGAGTGCAGTGGCACAATCTCTACTCACTGCAACCTCCATTTCCCAGGTTCAAGTAATTCTCTTGCCTCAGCCTCCCGAGTAGCTAGAATTACAGGCATGCACCACCAAGCCTGGCTAATTGTTTTGTATTTCTTTTAGTAGGCATGGGGTTTTACCATGTTGGCCAGGCTGGTCTCCAACTCCTGACCTCAAGTGATCTGCCTGCCTCGGCCTCCCAAAGTGCTGAGATTAGAGGTGTGAGCCACTGTGCCCGATCTTAAATGTTTGGTAGAAGTATGCAGTAAAGTCATCTGATCCTGGGCTTTTCTTTGATGGAAGATTTCTTTTTATTGTTGGTTCAATCTCCCTACTCACTATTGGCCTGCTCAGTTTTTCAATTTGTTCTTGATTTAGCCTTGATAAATTTGTATGTTCCAGGAATTTATCCATTTCTTCTAGATTGTCTAATTTGTGGGTGTATAATTGTTCATAGTAGTCTTTTCTGATTCTTTGTATTTCAGTGATACCAATTTTAATATCTTCTTATGTGTATTATTTTATTTATTTGAGTCCTCTCTTTATTAGTCTGGCTAAAGTTTGTTGATTTTGTTCTCTTTTAAAAGAATTGACTCACAGTTTTATTGATCTTCTCTATTGTGTTTCTATTTTTTTCATTTATTTCTTGCTTGATTTGTATTGTTTCCTTCCTTCTACTGATTTCAGACTTCCTTTGTTCTTCTTTTTCTATTTCCTTGAGGTGTAACCCTAAGTTGTTCATTTCAGATGTTTCTCTTTATTTAATACGGGCATGCATTGCTATAAACTTCCCTATTAGAACTATTTTTGCTGTATTCCATAGGTTTTGGTATGTTGTGTTTTTATTTACATTTGCTCAAAATATTTTCTAATTTTTCCTTTTAATTTCTCCTTTGACCCACTGGTTGTTCAGGAGCTTATTGTCTAATTTCTATGTATTTGCAAATTTTCCAAAATTCCTCCTGTTACTGACGTTTAGTTTTATTCCATTATAATCAGTAAAAATACTTTATATGACTTCAATCTACTTAAATGTGTTAAAACTTGTTTTGTGGACTAATGTATGACAATCCTAGAGAATGTTCTGGGTGCACTTGAAAAGAACGTGTATTCTGCTGCTGTTGGGCAGAATGTTCTATATATGTCTGTTAGATCCATATGTTTTAAATGTTGTTCAAGTTCATTTCCCTATTGATTTTCTGTCTAGATGATCTATGCATTTTTGCTTGTGGAGTATTGATGTCCTCCACAATTATTATACTGCAGTCTATTTCTTTCTTTAATCTAATAATATTTGCTTTATATGTTTAGGTGCTCCAATGTTGGGTGCATATACATTTTAAATTGCTATATTCTCTTGATGATTTAACCTCTTTATTATAATGTAATGATCTTCTTTGTCTCTTTTACAGTTTTTAACTTACTGCCTATTCCATCTAATACAAGTGTAGACACCCCTTCTCTCTTTTGGTTACTATTTGCCTGAGAAATCTTTTAATATCCCTATCCTCTCGGTCTTCAAATGTTCTTAGAGCTAAAGTGAATCTTTTGTCAGCAGCATATTCTTGAATCTTTTTAAAATCTGTTCAGCCACTGTATTTTAACTGAAGAATTTAATCCATTTAAATTTAAAGCAATTAATAGTTAAAGAGGAATTGCTACTAGCATTTTAATTTTTTACTGCTTTGTAAGTCTTTCATTCCTCTCTCTCTCAGTACTGCTGTCTTTTTGGTGAAGTGTAGTATTTTTATAGTTGTATGTTTTGATTCTTTTCTCTTTATATTTTGTGCATCTCCTAGAGGTATTCTCTTTGTGGTTATCATGAGGTTTACATAAAATATCTTATAGTTATGATGTCTGAATTTAAGCTAATAGTACCTTAACTTCAATTTCACAATAAAAACCCATTATTTGTCTCCCTTTCCCCACATTTTATGATATTGATATTATAATTTACATTTCTTTACATTGTGTATCTGCTAATTAAAGTGTACAGCTACAGTTGTATTTAGTACATTTGTCTTTTGACTCTTATACTAGAGTTGTTACCATATAACATCTTTGCAATATTAGAATATTCTGAATTGACTATAGGTCTATGTTTACCAGTGAGTTTTTACTTTCACACGTTTTCAAAATGCTACCTCTGATCGTTTTGTTTCCAATTCAAACATCTCCCTTTAGTACTTCTTGTTAGGGTGCTTTGCCTAGGTGTTTTCTCAGAAAGGGTGATTGCAAGACTGTGGAAAAGAGGGCTGGAACCAAGATAGGCCCCTTCAGAATCTGATGTAAGATGATGGTCAGCACACCTATCCACTTGGGACAGATGGGTGCATCTCACAGCAGTTCCCTGTATCATTGGGACCGCTTCCAGACTGCACTCTAGAGAGGCTAAAGTCAAGCTTTAGGGCCCCTTCAGAATCTGCCATGGAATAAAGGCTAGCAAGTCTGCCATGGTGACACAAACAGGGGAGACTCCCAGCTATTCTCTGCATAGACAGGATAGCTTCATGTCTGTGGCGGAAGGAGGCTGGAGCTAAGACAGGGCCACTTTAGAATCTGCTATGGGATGGAGGCCAGCAAATCTGTCCTGGTGGTTCAGATGGGCACATTTCCTAGCATTTCTCTCTCTGTGTGAAATAACTTTCAGGCTGTGACAGAGAAAGACTGATACCAAGACGGGTTCTCCCATTGAGTGTGCTATGGGGCAGAAGCTGACAAGCCTATCCAGGTGGCACAAATGGACAAATCTCCCTATAGGTCTTTGTGCAAGCAGTACTAAGCTAAGCAGTATTAAGCCAAGACCACAGCTGAGGGAGGCTGGAGCCAAGTTACAGATAGCTCTCAAGTCCATCACTAAGACAAATGTTGGTGGGCAGAGCAGCCTTTCTGCAGAGGCACTAGTGTGTTTAGATTCTCCTGGAACCCTTAGAAGACAATTTTGATAGCAGGCCTAAGGCCAAATGAAGCTGTAGCCAAACACTTTAGGGGATGAGGCTGTTTCCAGGTTTGAACCCAGGAGTATGACTGGCAGATCTTTCATCTAAGTTCAGGTATATAGCCTCAAAATTATCCAGCCAGGTCTTGGGCTCCACCAAGGTTTCACAACTTCCTAATTAAACCTAAAGGCTACCACAAAGATACTTCTGTCCATGGATGGGTACAGAATTCTTACTGAAGTGTGGGGATACAAGGGGTGACTTCCTGTTTTGCCATCTTGCTGATGTTGCTCTTTACTCTCCACATTTTTAATATTGACATTTAAGATTGAAAATTTCATTTAAAGCCTCCTTAGATGCATACCAAAGAACTTGATACATTGTATTTTATTATGATTCTGTGCAATCACGAATGAAGACAGCAATAAGAAAGGAGCAAAGAATCTACAAAACAATCAAAATGCAGTTAATAAACTTGTAGTAGTGAGTCCTCAGCTATCAATAATTACCTGGAATGTAAATGTATGAAATTATCCAATCAAATGACACAGAGTGGCCAAATGGATCTAAAAAGCAAGACCTAACCATATGCTGCCTAAAAGAGACTCACTTCAAACTAAAAGTTAAAAGATAGAAAAAAAAAAAATTCCATGTAAATGAAAATCAAAATAAAGAAGGGTACCTATACTCATATCAGGCAAAATAGGGCGTTAAAACAAAAATTCTAAAAAGAGACAAAGCCATTATACAATGATAAAGTTGTTAATTTATCAAAATATTTTCTAATTTCTCTCATTTCTTCTCTAATCCATGAATTATTTACAAAAACATTGTTTATTGTGCTAAATATTTGTGGTTTTCTAACTATACTATTGTTATTAATGGTAATTTAATTATTATGGGCATTTGTATGCTTCCAATATTTTTTAATGTATTGAAACTTGTTTTATGGTTCATGATAAAGTCTGTCTTGGTATATGGATTACTGACTATTTTGATACAATTATTCTATCAGCTGTTGAGACAGGGTTTTAATATCTCTAATAGTGACTGTGAAATCATGGATACTTTTATAATTCTGATGATGTTTGCTTCTTATATTTCAAAGGTTTTTCATAAGACGAATGCATTTTTACCATTCTTGTGTCTTTCTGATGAATTCTTTCTTTTATCTCTCCTCTTTTGTGTCTCTGCTTCAGCTTGCTCACAAGTTTCCTCAAATATTTCAGTTTTTGGTATTTTTCTAGAGTTTATAGTTCTTATTTGTGGAAGGGGTAGTTTTGATATTATACACTGGCCATAGCAGAAGCTTGCATAATTTTTTAACAGCAGAACAGGAGAATGAGTCATTATTTGAGCTTTAACAAGTATTTCAATTTATTGTTGTTTCATAACAAAATTCTCTAAAACTACATAACTAAAATCAAAAGTGACCTACATCCACTTCTTTGGGTAAATACCCACATATCTGGCAAGACCCAGAAAACAAATGTTCATGTGGTATATTTAGGCTCATAGTCCTTAGTTAGACAACCTCAAAAGTAAAATTCATCATTTGTTATTATGTTATTTCCACTACCATCTCATGTGCACCTTGCTTTTAGAAGACCAAAAAGAGCAGCTTAGGATATTTGCCTTCCTCACAGTAAACCCTTGGCACTATCCTGAGAATCATATTTACTTATACTCTGGAACTTTTGTGAACACCTTAATTCATAAATAGATAATTTTTCAGGCTCTTTCCTTTACCTCAAATTATATTTATGATGAGAGCAATAAGTTGCCTGGAATAGCCTCAAATTTTAACCACAGTTTTCAACATTTACTAAAGTTTTATCTCTCTCTTGTCAGAAATATTTCATAAATAAAACATTTTTAAAACCTTAGGAGAATTTATAAGTATACAAGAAGAAGGAAAGAACAACCCAGCTGCATTAAGAAATGACAGACTAGCATCATTCACTATCTTAGTAATTCATAGCTCAGCATTCAGGTTTGTGCTTCAGCAAGGGAATAAATTATCATTGTAGCATTTATTGAGTACTGTGATTGTAAGATTTTTTTTCTGTATCCTCTACCAGATCATAAACTACATTGACAGTGCACCTCTAGTGCCTAGCATGGTCAGCCTAAAGCAATGTTTGTTGAGTTAATTAATGAAAAGTTAAAATTAAAATGCTAAAGTTTAATTTAACATGTTAATAAAACCTCTGCTTTTCAACATTAATGATGTGTGCATATGTGCAGTCATAAAAATACACAAATATATAATTTCATAACTCATAAATGTATTAGCTGAGTACATTTTCTGAAACATGATTTGTCTATACCCTACAAAAATAATTCTGCTTACCTAGTCAGCTACAATATTTTTATGGTACTCCTACTCCCAAGCTTTTCCTTTGGTATTACCTAGACAAAAGTTTTTCGGATAGCTCAATGAACCCCAAAATTCTGGGCTCTGATCTCATATATTTGATAAAGATTTCTGCACTGACCAAAGACATGCCATCCACTTTTCCATCATCAAAAAATGTTTTTCCTCCAGTGCAGATTATGGTATATCATGTTTTTGCTTAGAATATTCATTTGTTCCCCAATATCTAATATTTACAATCCAATCATCTTAGGCCTCCATTTACTTTGGGTCTAATCTCTGCTTCAATCCATTAACTAGCTAAGTGACTCTGGAAAAGGTACTTTCTGTCTCTGAACTTCAGTCTTCATTTTGATAAGTGAAAATAATACCTTTGAGTATCAAATATAAGCAATATGAAATACAGTAGGTGTTTAGTCAATGTCAGCTATTAGTTGAATTACTAGAATTTATCTTATTTTCTTTCTTACAAGCAGACTAACTGATGAGCCATTCTCCGGAAATGTTCCCTATACTCCTGGCACAATTATTAGAATTTAGACCAGTGCTATTTTACATAATTTTATCTGATATAGGAATGTTTTGTACCTATGCTGTTCAACAAGCATGTGGCTATTGAGTATTCAAATGTGGCTGGTGTGACTGAAAAGCCAAATTTTTACTTCTAGTTAATGTTAATTCATTTAAATTTAAATACCAGTGTGTGGCTATTGATCGCCATATCGGACAGCACAGATCTATGCCTCCCTTTAAAGGTTTCATGATTTTCTGTATAGAAACATGATTCCTTCTGGAGATATTCTATTTTTTCAGTTTCAGTGAACTACTATTTGATCACTTCTAAGAAGTCTTTTATTGTTTGTTTGTATTTTTTGGGTGGTGGAGAGACATCAGCCATCTCTTTTCTTCTCAGATGAATTTTTCATTTTTATCAGACTTTTTAAACTTTATTGATATTTTTTTCACTTCATGAATACTCATTAAACATTTTTGAAGACAAAATTTGAGTTTGATATTTTTCTACCTCTACTGTTAAGGGAAAGGCCTTACATATAATAGGAACTCAACAGAGATGGAATGAAGGGAAGAATAAAAGGAGAGAAGAAGAGAGGGAGGGAGGAAGGGAGGGAGCTTCAGGTAGGCTAGCATAGAAAGTGTGTCATGGAGGAGGCGGCCTTATAGATCCATTCACTTTACAATCATATTGAAGCAACATTGCTATTTGGGTTTGCACTATCTAACAACCACTAACTAATATTTTCCCTGAAGATCTTCTCTGAACAGTAACCAATAGGCACCTGAATGTAACGGTGTCTTGGTTGAGTTGTCTAGTGGGAAGCTTTATTGTAAGGAAATAGATGAACAATAAAAAAAAGAAACAATCATTGTTCTTTAAAATCTTCTACTCATAACACTGGTGACATGTGACACTTGTCAAACAGCTCTTAATTCAGGCTGTCACCAGAAAAATTATTGATGCATGTCTTAGTTTGTTTAGGCTGCTACAACAAAGTGCTATAGAGCAGGTGGCTCATAAACAACAGACATCTATTTCTCACAGTTCTAGAGGCTAGAAGCCACAGATGCAAACATGGTGGGGTTCTGATGAGGGACTTCTTCCAGGTTGCAGACCATGGACTTCTCACTGTGTCCTCGCGTAGTGAAAAGAAGGCAAGAGAGCTCTCTGGGGTGCCTTTTATAAGGGTATTGATCCCATTCAGGAGAGTTCTATTTTTATAACCTAATTACCTTCCAAAGCCCCACTTAATAATGTCATCACCTTGTGGGGTAGGATTTTAACATATAAGATGGAGGAGATACAAACATTCAGTCCATAACAACATAGTAGACACAATCTGTGGCATTGTGTTGTATAATCGTATCTTTTGTACTTATACCTTTGGGACTAAATCTTCTTTTATTAATACTTCTGTGAGCTTACTCATCCTCCCACAGAAAGATCAATCTGTAAAGCAGCTCTTCCTTCATAGGAAATGCTAGATCAATGGCTTTTCCTTTGAAACCCACTTAATAGCAGTCATGTAACATGTAACTGTTATGTTTCCATGATTACTCACTGAACCTTAACTCCAAACAACAGATACACAATTTATCCAGAAATCATCATAGCAAGGAGCCCATTTAATATAGTTATAGGTATAGATATGAGAAAAAGACTATATGCAATACTGGCTTGAGCATTAACTCCTTGAAAAATAATTGCCTGTATACATACCCAGAAGAATGGTAGAGTGGTGTATTTTTTTAAAACATTTTTATTCATCATCTATTATGCACAGGCTTAATTAGGCACGGGAGATACAAAGAACAAGACACAGTTCTTGACCATAAGGAATTTACAGGCTGGTAAGGAAAATAAAGAGACCAATTTAAATACAATATAATAAATATAACCAGAGCACACAAAATCAGATTATTGAATTTGAATTCTATGTTTTTAAAGATTCATAAAAGGAATCTTTTATGGGGTGAGGTGTAGGGAGTGATTATAGGACATTTCTGAAAATAGGTAACAGCTGGAACTAAAAGGCTATTTAAGGATTACCCGGTGAAGTATGTGTGTTTGTATTGGTAATGGAATTAAGGCAAAAGGTAGTAAATGGTAGGGAGCTTTGAGTAAAGAGTTCTACTCAGAGTGAACAATATGTTCAAAGTCTTAGAAGACAATATTTGGTCAGGCAAAATGAACACAAAAATTAATCAGAAACACAGACATTGTTCTTAAGGAGCTCCCAGTCTGTATCTGTTCTGCAAATGAATGAATTACACCACGAGAGGTTGAGTTCTATAAGAAAGAATGAATGAAGTTCTGGGGGGTCTAACATTCTCTGGGGACTCAAGAAAAGTTTTATAGAAGAAAAAGGTAATATTTTATCCGAATCTTCAATCTTCAGATATCCTGAATTCTATTAGAAGTTGAAGAAACTCCCCAATATTTTTAGTACACAAATATTCTAAAATGGTTTCAGAGTAATATGAAAATGAACATATATTTCCAAAGTTTGTTCGAAACAAAACAAAACAAAACCATAGCCATTTTGAACTGAGAGAGTGAGGGGTGAATAATTGCTGTTATTGTATGTGTCAAAAATGGGAATGTGTGGAATCAGAAATATCAAATATCATAGAATCAGAAGTCAAATGATAAAAACTTTCATTCAATGAGTCATTCAACTGATATTTAATGCATGCTGACTCTGTGACAAGTATTACAGCAGGCATTAAGGATATAGATGCATAGATTAAAAAGGTAACATTTGCCCTCAACTCTGACATAACTAGAGGAGGGGACAGTCATGGAAACATATGAGGCACAGTAGGATGAATAAGTCCTGTGGTGTGGTGTACACAGGAGACTCAGAAGTGCAAAGGAGGCACTTAAGCACTCTGAAGGGGAGAGGGGCAGTGTTAAGTGAAGAGGTTAGAGAAGATTTTCTGTAAGAGATGCTAGTATAAAAGGACCTGCAGTATTGAAGGTAGCAGAGCATGACAACTTAGGTTGTAAAATAAATGAAAAAAAAATTATCATTAACTGCAGTCAACATTCTGGTATCTGGCATGAAAATGGAGTGAGGAAGTCAGTGATGCATTAATATAGTCAAAGTTCTGCTTGAAGCAGGTCTATATTGAGGTTGCTTATTTTGAAGCAGATGATCAAGAAGTTTACTCTAATAGCCAGTGCCAGACATGACAGATGGTAAAATCAAAGCCTGAGGCAATGGAAGTCAAATCACATTTATTTGCCTGAATGATCCCCTTCCATCCACTGCTTCTCCTGAACCTTGGAGAAATGACAGTTCAAAGACATTTCAATTTCTAGTATTCAATGTTTTCAATAAACTAACTAACCATGGAAGAAGAGACTACTTAATTTGGGAGAGTACCAGGTGTCCATGTAAGAGTAATTGGAAAAAAATTTTATCTGTGACATTCCCCTACAGATAAGGTTCAAAATGGTAAGATGACCTTGTGTTGGTATTTATCCAAGATGATGTTTTAGTACAGGAACGGCTCTGGGTTAATTTAAGACTATTAGTAAGACACTGACCTTTTCTAGAGCCATAAGGCTGAACCTCGTCTTTTATCTAGAGAAAATTAATCTGTTCAAAAGTAATCTCACTTGAATTAAATGTAATTAAATATATGTTTGCAATGCAAAAATGGACTAATATTTTCAGGTGTGCATTTATTTGAACATATTTGTTCAGAGCCAGTCTACAAAATATAAATGATTAGAACCATTTTACAGATGTACAGATGAAAAATTAAGCCTTAAATTAAATGATTGGTCCAAGAGCATGCAGATATGAAATGAGAGAACTGAGATTTAATTTAAGACTTGTTTCTATCAAAAACCCAAATCATCTCCCTAGTTTAAAAGTCATCCTCATAAAAATGAGGATTTGGGCCTTAGAAAAACTGGGCTGTATGTCAATGAAAATAAATAAAGAAAATCAAAGTAAGGTTATTGATTTTTGTGAAGATAATACAAAATAATATTCTATAAATGGAAATAACAATATACAATACAAAGAACCTTTTAAACTCCAATTTTACTTAATCTCAACAGCATCTAACTTTATTGACTAATTCCTTCTACGTCTCTTAACTCTGCTTCTGTAACACCAAGTAACTTATTCCCCTCATATCTAATGGGTCATTCTTTCTTAAACTCCTTAATCCGTCCCCATGCCTGATCTTTAAGTGCAGTTATCCTGCACTTAAGATTCTCTTTTGGTCTATTGCTTACTTTCCTGTACATGCTTTTATTAATTAACCTCTTCTAATGACAGTTTTAACTTAAAATGACATGATACTATAATCCAAATTTATATCTCCAACCCATGGGTAAAATTCTAATTCCTCTTTCTGACTCATCAGTCTGCTCTTTCCAGGATAACATTCTGGTCTAGGGAGAAATAAAGCAGATTGAGAATTACAAATGGGGTTCCTAAAATTGCATTGAATTGTTAGGTAACTGGAAAGTCAAGAAATCATACAAGACTAAATATGAGTTCCTGGGATGAGGGCCTGACCATGAATTCAAGGGGCCTGGACAGAGTAATAGAGTGAATTTGTGCTTCCTTCAGCTGCTCTCCTCTTAGTCATCTATCCATCCTCAGCTGTGGTTTACCTACTTCAAAACAGGGGCTATGGTTTCTGTTCTAAGTGATTTCTTATCTCCCCTTAGATCTATAAAGACCAAAGCAAGATGCAGCTGTTGAACAAATTTCCCTTTGCTTAGCCTATGTCTCTAATTCCCTGGTCTCATTTTTCAGTGAACCAGTTTTCTTTTTTCCCGTCTGCCTCTTACAAATACATTTGAGAAATCCTTTCTTGCTGATTGAATTAGGCCCTGCAAACTAATACTCTGTGGGGATTTTCTTTTTCACTTCCACTTACCTCTTAAAAATTTGTTTAGATTTTTTGCCTTTGAATCGTCCCAATTTTTCTCACTGCTAAAGAGTCGTGATTGTCTTTTAAGGCATCCTATTTTCTAAGGCTTCTTTGTGGGTAGTGGCAGAGAAAATGATCTCTCTGTTTATCAGAAAGCATTAATGGCTTTTTAACTAAAGTTTATTAATTATATACTATAATTTTAGTGCCTTCAGCCCTATCATAACTTAAGATATATTGTACTGATAATTGTTCACTCACCTATTCATTCAAAAATCATCCATTGAACTTATAATGTGCTATAAACGATTTTAGACCTTAGAAATGTTAAGATAAATTATACGTGAAAAGTTTTGAAGAGGCATAGGATCTTGAAAAAATGTCAAATATACTATATGATAAATAATAAAAATAATTTTTCAATAATAAAATTATGTGCTTGATCAGATGAGAGCGTAACTAAGAGAAGGGGTGGGGATAGAGATGATGTCCTAAAAAAACAATGCCTGAGCTGGAGCTTTCTGTGTAGGCAAAAGGTAAAAGTGCATTTAAGGTAGAGGAAGCAGCATTCTTCAGCCACAGATATTTATAGTGGATCTTTTAGGGATATATGACAAACTCAGAACAATCCAGCCTTCTCTGAGAAATGTCTCCCTAATCTATGATGTTGACATAGGTGAGTACTGTGGAGTCAACAGCACATCCCTGGACATAGCTTCATGGAGAAGTAAGGCAAATACAATTTCTTTTCCAAATAATTTTGATGCAGGACCTTAAGAGAGTCATATCCCTCTGCTTGTATGGCTGTAACTCTTTTCTTTTCTTTTTTTTTTTGTTTTTTTTTTTTTGTTTGTTGAGATGGAGTCTCACTCTGTCTCCCAGGCTGGAGTGTCGTGGCGCAATCTTGGCTGACTGCAACCTCTGCCTCCTGGGTTCAAGCAATTCTCCTGCCTCACCCTACCGAGTAGCTGGGACTACAGGTGCATGCTGCCACGCCCGGCTAATTTTTTGTATTTTAGTAGAGACGGGGTTTCACCGTATTGCCCAGGCTGGTCCAGAACTCCTGAGCTCAGACAATGCGCCTGCCTTGGCCTCCCAAAGTGCTGGGATTACAGGCGTGAGCCACCACGCCCGGCCAGCTGTAACTCTTAACACATAAATTCAATCACTCTGAGATAGCAGCTATGTCTCATGTGGCCTGAGGTTACAGAAGGAGAAAAAGAAATGAGACATATAGAGAAAAGCAGAAGAGCTCAGTGAGGGAGGCTGATCACCTTCTAAATATCAATTTCAGTCCTATTGATACCCAGCCATAATCTAGCTCAAAGGTTCTGGGAGATGCTTCTATGTTCTTATAATAAATTTCCACTTTTTGACTTAAGCAGAGCTGAACTGGTTTCATTAGTCGTAGCTAATGAGTTCTTACTAAGCCAGGTATTATAAAGCTTGAGCCAAACACTTCAAGCTCCCAAAGGCCAAAGCTGGAATAAATTGAGTGATAAAATAAACAACATAGTATTGAACTATAATCCAAAGTATAAAATAAATATTCATAAGATCATAGTGAGATAGATGATAGATGATAGATGGATGATAGATAGATAGATAGATAGATAGATAGATAGATAGATAGATAGATAAAAAGGAAATAAACAGTCCTTACAAAGATAAATAGTCCTACAGTCCCAAACAACAAATCTAAATATTCTTCCCTTTAGGAGGTGTGGCTTGATCCCCCCCATCACCCTTGAGTTGACTTACTAATTCAATTCCAAAGAATAGATTACAGAAAGAGAAAACTTGTAACTTTACAGTGGAGAAACCTGGCAAACACTGCCTTAATCAAGTGGTTAAGATCACCAGTGAGAAGTCATGTTCATAGCATATTCCTCTTGATATGATATGATGACAAGGGCATTTCACTTCTGTGGCATTCTTTGCCAAACCCCGTAACACTACTGTAATCATGAGGAAAAACATAAAGCACACACAGATTGAGACACAGTCTGCAAATGTCTGACCAGTACTTCTTAAAAACTAGAAAAATCTGAAAAATTGTTATGTATTAGAGGAAACAAATGATACATGATGACCAAATGCAATGTAATATCCTAGATAGAATTTTGGAACAGAAAAAAAACAGTTAAGAGAAAAATGCAGGTGAAATCTGCATGAAGTATAGAGTTTAATTACTAGTAATATACCCATATCTGCTTCTTGGTTTTGATAGATATGCCATGGTAATGTAAGATGTTAAGTGTAGGGAGAAATGAGTGAAGAATATATGCAAACTCTATATTCTGTCTTTTCAAATATCCTGTAAATCTAGTATTATTCCAAAAAAAAAAATGTATGGCTAGAATGAATGATACATACAAGGGCAGCAAATACTGAGATCAAGGAATTAAGTGAAGACCAAATTTCAGAGACTAGTCTTTGCCATACATAATAATGGGAGACGGCCGGGCGCGGTGGCTCACGCCTGTAATCCCAGCACTTTGGGAGGCCGAGGCGGGCGGATCACGAGGTCAGGAGATCGAGACCATCCCGGCTAAAACGGTGAAACCCCGTCTCTACTAAAACTACAAAAAATAGCCGGGCGTAGTGGCGGGCGCCTGTACTCCTAGCTACTTGGGAGGCTGAGGCAGGAGAATGGCGTGAACCCGGGAGGCGGAGCTTGCAGTGAGCCGAGATCCCGCCACTGCACTCCAGCCTGGGCGACAGAGCGAGACTCCGTCTCAAAAAAAAAAAAAATAAAAAAAAAATAATGGGAGACCATCAAAGAAGTGACACTGTCAAACCTGTCTCTTAGAAACAGGTTTTTGCAGAAGATATACTGGAAAATAAGCAAGGCTTGAAGAAGAGACCATAGTTGCAAAGGCATTAAAAGGTCCACATGAAAGATTTCAAGGATCTAAATGTAAGGGTCTTTACTAATCTGATATTACTCACTAAAACCAAGATCCAAATAAAAGTCCATTTACCCAGCCAAACATGTGTAACCAAATCAGAAAAGCAATTTTTCAAAGGCCAGAGAGACACCTGATATACTGGGGCAGATTCTAGCTCTAAGACTGTATTACTGGCCTGAGATCATTAAGGAGGTTTAATTTTCTTTATTGATTTTGAAGAAGCACTTCAATTCACCTTTAAATATTCTTCCTCTCTTCCCCTTTACATTATAACATTTCCATCAAAGGTCCTTAGGGCTTTCTATACATTCCTCCAAAATCAACTTTCTGTAATGTTTCTTCCACTTACCATTTAAAGTCTAATAATATTGTGGTCACTGATATTCCCCAAAGTCTCACCCATTATCATAGTTGGCTTTTATCCTGGGATGCACTTAGAATAACAACTGACCACAGTCTAAGAGCAGTCAGATCTCCCAGTGTGAATCTAAAAATCCAGCTCTGTTCTCAAATACGTCTTCTGCAGTTGGTTCCTAGGTGTTCTGATCAATATCTGAGTAATTAAAATTTCTCATGATCAAAGTTCTGACCTTTGCTCTGGCCTTCCTTATCAGTAAAAACATGTCTTGATCTCTTTGTCAGTAGCCACCCGGAGGTTTGTGCAGCAATATCTCTAAACCCCTGCCTCCCTCCCCTGACCTTGACTTTGGTTCATGCTGTGTCTGCTGTGTCAGCCAAAATCATGCTGTAAATGCCCTTGACTGCCTCAGCTAATTCCCAACCAGCAACACTTCCCTTCCTTCTTCCATGTTGCTCCTCTAACACTTTGTCAACTACCATTTTAAATCCTCTGAAATTTTGCTGGTTAGGCCCTGTGTCAGACTGGTTTTCTTTTTATGAATCTTTAAAAACGTGGAATTCAAATTCAATAATCTGATTTTGTGTGCTCTGGGAATTTGTTAAAAAAAAATTGTCATTTGCTTTGCCAACACAGACTGTGACCGTCTTTTCGTCTTTGGTGAGCCTCATCACCACTCTGAGCTTTCACCTTCCCAATCATACTTAAATAAATAAAGGCATCCTTCAATGCTAAAATCTTTTTGACCCCTGATTACAGTTATTATATGTTCTTATTTTACACTTATCCAACAAATGCCTACTGAGTGACTCCTACTTCTAGGTACTGTGGACAGTGCCATAAAAAGCAGCAAATGAGAGACATGGTCTACTGCTATCATAGGTCTTAAATTTTACTGGTGGCAAAAGAAGTAAATGGGCATTTGCAATAAAAATTGCAGTTAAGCAAAGGCTTGTTCACAGTTATGGAGTGACATGTACCTTAGGCAGATAACTAGAGTCTACAGAAAGGCATAGATTGATCCAAATTTCTATCTATGCTGAAACTGAGGAAAGCCACTGCTATCCTAGGGCCAAACAAAAATAGCCAGTCACTCAGCAGGTATCTAAGGGTCCTCTGTCCTAGATCTCAGGAATGTTGACATCATACCTACATTCCAGTCTACTTTCTACACTGGAGTTTTGTGATCAAAGTTCAAAAATACTTCTCTGAACAACTCAAAGTTTCTTAGAGAACTAAATTCACCATGTGCATTGAATTCCATCAACCTTCTTCAGTTCCAAGTATCAAGTACTAGGGTGGGTATTCATCCAATTTCAACCCCAGCTTTCCAAGATGGACTGACAAGAGCTGCTTCAGGAAATGCTGAATCTTCTCCAATCATCAACTCATTCTGTCTTCCAAAATACTCTTACTGACCATTTGTTAAATACTAAGAGCAATGAAGATAGTTAAAGATTTCAGAAACTATCCATAGAACATGGTCAACCTAAAAATTCAGGCCAACTCAAATGTTCAGTCAAAACAAGATCTGATAAATGTAGTTCTTAAGTAAGTGTGGTTTACTTCACAGAATACAGTAAATAACAAAGCAAACCTTAAAGTTTACTGGACCCCAATCTAACTTAGAGAAGAGAGAGCTGACAACAGCAACAAAAAAAAAAAACCCTAACCAACTAACTCAGTGTCACATGGTTAATAAGAGAGCCCAAACTAGAATCATTATTTCCTCGAATATCAGTTGTAAATAACAATAAAAATGTTTAAGAATAGTCCATAGAAAACATTGATTAAATGCTTACTAGGTTCAAGGTAATGTCCTAAGGCTCCCTACCTCGCTGCACTGTGATAGATATAAAATATAACAATGGAAGAGAAGAGTATTGTGAATTGTTCAGCACTTAACCATTTTAAAAATTATAATGGTAATTGGAATATTTGAATCATTAGGACTTTCCCCACTTCTGTCAAAATGAGATAACACAAAGTCTGACAAAAATATTTACTAAATAATGAACTAATACAGTAATTAAAAGCACAACTTCAATTATTATAGAAGTAATTTTCTGAACTGCTTGTTTATATCCTCTTGTTTTGTTTGCTTTCTTTTTTCAGTGTAGTTGAGAAGGCATTTTATTCACCTCTACTTTTCACTCAGCATGAAGTAGCATACAGGAGTATAATAAATAATATATAGCAATGTAGTCATATCAAAGTGGAATATGCATCAAAGCCTAAAGAAAGAAGAATTTTGCATAATCATATGCATCAAAGTTAAAGAATATGGGATAACTATGTTTGGAAATGTAGGCAGAAATCTGTTCATGCAATGTTATATTCTATTTTACCAATTACATATTTTTACCTTTTAACCCAATAGACTTAAACATGAAATAAAATCATAGCATGTTAGATTTAGAAACAAGATGAGAAATCATATAAACCAACCCCAACAGTTTTGACGATGAGTTTTGAAGAAGTTAAATATATTCCCTATTTTCAAATAGATACCAAATCATTTATCCAAGAGTGAAGATAACTCAAACAAGCTCTAAACACAGTGCTCCAGGATACTACCAGAATACAGTTGTGTTTATATCTTTGCAGTTTCGTATGAGTCAAGAGTATTTTTCTATGGCCTCAAACCCTTACAGGCTAGATTGGGAAATCTATCATAAAAAGGCAAAAATAAATATAAACTTAAA
Organism: Homo sapiens; assembly: GCF_000001405.40. Taxonomy (NCBI): domain Eukaryota; kingdom Metazoa; phylum Chordata; class Mammalia; order Primates; family Hominidae; genus Homo; species Homo sapiens. The sequence goes on from NC_000011.10 coordinate 82,311,545, forward strand.
AATATAGTACATTAAATATACTACATTAAATATAGTACATTAAATATAGTACATTATAACTACAGCAAACATTATGCTTCCTCTAAGAAGATACTTGTCCAAGTATTCATATTTCATAAAGTAATAAGTTAATCTGCACATTAACCCAATGAGATGGGTAACATTAATAGTACCATGTTATAGATGAGAAAATTACACAACAATCAAATAACTTGCCAGTCATCAAACACTTAGTAAGAGGCTACAGACTCTATATTTAGTTTATGAATTTCAGTGGCCTTGACCCCTGCTGCCTGACTCCAAAGCTATGCTTACACTAATAAGGTCTACTATCTATTCACACTTAGCTCATGCTATTATTTTCTTCTTTCTGCCTTTTACAATTGAAGAGAAGAGCCTCTTTATAAACCAGACCAGCCTCTCCTTCTGTATCCAATTCCAACCGATTCTACCTCTGCAAGCATGTTATTCAACTCATCACCTTCTCCTTCTATTGCTTCTAGATCCTCTCTCATACTAGTCCTTGAAATCAACATTATACATATTCAGTACATTCCCAAAACCTTCCTTCAGCCCACATCCTTTTCCAAACTCCACCACATCTCTCATATCCTTCAAAGCCAATTATTTAAATCAGTTCTGTTTGTACAGAATGTCTCCCCTTGCTGCAGCTCACTGAAATTCACTTTAGTTATATTTATAGATTGATCATTCCCAAAACTATAACCCTATACCTATAAACTCTTTTCTGAGGTATCTATCTATATATCTAATTGATTCAACTGCCTGTTCCAACAGAAGGACCTCAGGTGCCTCAAACTCAGCATCTATCAAACTAAACTACTTCTTGCATCACAAATCACAGTGAATAACACCACCATCAAGGTAATCTAGTTTTCAAATATGTACCTCAAAACTCTCCCAGCCTCTACTCAATACCCAAGTTCCAAAGTCACATCCATATTTGTAGGTACTCATTATAGTACTATCTCACTTCTCAGTACCAAAATATTGCTCAAGCCAAAAATATAATAAAAACCTTAAAATCCTCCCACTACTCATTGCCCTCTCTCCACCTCTTACACATTTTCTATCACCAAGTCCCATCAATTCTACCTCCCAAATATCTTTTACATTGGTCTGCTTTTCCCCATTTGAGTGCTAATAGACTTGTTCAGTTCACTATCAATGTACACTTATACACAGTTTTCTAGTGCTACCATAACAAATTACTATCAACTTAGTGGCATAGAAGAACACAAATTTATTTTCTTACAATTTTGTAGGTCAGAAGCCTGACAGGTTTTTATTGAGCTAGAATCAAGGAATCAGAAGGGACGTGTTTCTTTCTGTTGGTTCTAGGAGTGAATCTGGGTGTGGGGTTTTTTGTTGTTGTTGTTTTGTTTTTGTTTTGTTTTGTCTTGTTTTATTTTGTTTGCCTCTTCCACTAGAAACTACCAGCATTTTTTGGCTCACGGTCCCCTTCATCAGTCTTCAAAGCCACCAGTATAGCATCTGGCCCAGATTTGTATTCCTGTATCTTTCTCTGACCACAGCTAACAAAGATTCTCTATTTTTAAGGGCTCATATGATTAGATTGTGCCACGAAAATAATCCAAGTTAATCTCCACATTCCAAAGTCCTTAACTTAATCACACCTACAATGTCCCTTTCGCTATGTAAAACAGTCACAATTTCCAGGGATTAGGACTTGGATATCTTTGAGGGGCATTATACTGTGTATCACTGTCTGGATTACACTAATAGCCTGATAACTGATGTTTCCACATCTACTTTTTCTCTCTCCATGTATCCTCCCACGTGCCAACAAAATACTCTTTCATAGTACCAATGCACTCACTAAAATCTTTCAATAGTTTCCACTAGTCTCCAGATACAGCACGCAATTGTGTTAGATGGACCAAGCACAGCAAGAGAGAGTCCAGGTGAGAAAGCTATTTGGCCAAACAAACATATAGAAAAAAAGCTCATCATCACTGATCATTAGAGAAATGAAAATCAAAACCACAAGGATATACCATCTCGTGCCAGTTAGAATGGCAATTATTTAAAGTCAGAAAACAACAGATGCTGGTGAGGCTGTGGAGAAATAGGAACACTTTTACACTGTTGGTGGGAGTGTAAATTAGCTCAACCACTGTGGAAGACCAAGTGGTGAATCCTCGAGGATCTAGAACCAGAAATACCACTTGACACATTAATCTCATTACTGGATATATACCCAAAGGATTATAAATCCATTCTACTATAAAGATATATGCACGCATATGCTTATTGCAGCACTATTTACAAAAGCAAAGACTTGGAACCAACCCAAATGCCCATCAATGATAGACTGGATAAAAAAAATGTGACATATATATATATATACCATGGAATACTATGCAGCCATAAAAATGGATGAGTTCATGTCCTTTGCAGGGACATGGATGAAGCTGGAAGCCATCATTCTCAGCAAACTAACACAGGAACAGAAAACCAAACACTGCATGTTTTGGTTTTATGTTATGTTGTTTTTTTTTTATGTTATAGTTTTTTATGCTATGGTTCCAACTCATAAGTGGGAATTGAACAATGAGAACACATGGACACAGGAAGGGAAACATCACACACCAAGACCTCTCGGGGGTGAGGGGCAAGGGAAGGCAAAACAGTAGGACAAATACCTAATGCATGGAAGGCTTAAAACCTAGATGATGGGTTGATAGGTTCAGCAAACCACCATGGCACATGTATACCAATGTAACAAACCTGCACATTCTGCACATGTATCCCTGAACTTAAAATAAAAACAAACAAAGCTATTTGGGCCACTGTGCACATTTGTATAAGGTCTCATATTTCTTAAAATCATCACATGAGACTATTGCTACTTGTTTTTTTTACCATAAGATCACCACTTTGCCAGTAAAAATAATTTAAAATACAATGTAACTGTAAACTTTTTTTATGAATTTTTAAAAATATTCTAGGAGACTCAAAACCAAGAGCCACATCTAAGAAGCCCTATTCCTTATAGTTTATAAGTCTCTACCCAGGTTGCTAACTGCCTCTCAGCCTTACCTCTTAACTCTGGACACTCTGTGCTGTCTATTTGTCCTACTATGAACCCCAACCTTCTTAAACTCCTTCCAATAGCACATATCAAATGAAACAGGAGGTGTGGTCCACGCAAGATGGAAAAAGCACATTTGCGAAGTTTTCCTCCAGAGTTATCTGGCCTGAATTTAACACAGCTTCAAACCCTGAGGTAAGTACTGCACTACAGAAAGAGCTCTAGGGAAACCCCTCCTGTTCTGGAAGGAGGACCTAGAAGGAAATTCTCATACCCACAGAAAGAGTGCAGAAATCACCCTATTTTCTTCTTTTTTCCCTCCATTTCTCATACTCCAACTCCCAAGTAATCCCATGGGGATGCGGGTAAGAGTGGAAGACAGCCACCCATAATGGAAGGCCACAGGAGCCAAAACTCTGAGGCAGTCTAGTTTTCCTCTCCCTTTACTGAGGAAGCAGTTCCAACAGGATGGGACCACGCTGTAAAAGAGAGCACCTGGGAATCACAGTACTAGGGAGATTACAAAGAGGAGCCTGGGCAAGTGGCCTCATAAAGTTGTTTATGAGCTCTGGGCTCACCCATGCCATGATGGGAACCTAACTAACATACCTAAAAGTTTGAGAACTAAACTACAGGTAAACTACTGCCCAGGACCCAGACTGTCCACTGGGTGGTGCACTTGGAAACAGATGTGAAGCGCTCTACAAAGGCTTCGCAGTTTGACTTTGGAATCCCAGCGCACAGAAGCAGGTTTGGAACATGCAGCATGAACCTAACTGGATAAATTGCCTGCTAAAACAAAAACATCAACATTTTCCACAGCATTTAAATTAAGACCCAGACTCTTGACATAATATTTAAAATGTCCAGGATTCAATTAAAAATTCCTCAACCTTGAAAGGTTAAACTCTCATGGGAAAAGACACTCAGCAGATGCCAAAGTCAAGATGACTCAAATATGGCAATTATCATCAAAAGATTTTAAAGGAGCCCTTATAAAAACCAAATGAGCAATTTCAAATATTTTTGAAACAAATGTTAAAAGAGAATGTTTCAGCAACTAAAAACATATGAAGACAAAAATTAAAATACAAGAGCTGAAAAATCCAATAACTGAAATTAAAGAAAAAAACTCACTAAATGTACTCCATAGCAGAATGTAATTGACAGTAAAAAGAGCCAGTAAACTTGATTATAAATCAGTAAGAATTATGTAATCTAATCAACAGAGAAAAAAGTATGAACAGATTCTGAGGAATTTAAGAGACAATAACAAAAGATCTAATATTCATTTCATTGGAGTTAAAGAAGAGAAAGAATACTGAAAAAGTATTTGAAGGAATTACGGCTGAAACTTCCCCAAGAAGTTGAATACAGGAGAAACCCATAAGTCTACACTGAAAGAAAAGGAAGGAAAAAGGAAAGGCTCATATTGTAGAAGATGAAACACTATATTTAAAAAAAAAAATATGATTTTCAAAAATTATCAATGACTGCTAAAATTCATTGAGAGAAAGTTTATTGAGGAATGGTTATTTACATAATGTCAAAGTATCTCCTCACAAAGTACTTTTTTAGTTACAAAGAAAATAATACTAACTTTATAGCGCAGAAATCTGATAGACAACACTTTAATCAAGTAATTAATGTTAACATAAATGTGATTGGGATAAACTAACACCATTTAGTCTTCTGAGATGATGTACTGAGAATCACACAACATCGTATCTTGTCATTTCTACCAAAAGTTTATAACATGAATCTAAGCATTGGAAAATATTATATAAATGCGAATTGAAAACATTTAAAAAAAAAACTTTCACATGTTCTTCACAACTGTCAAGGTCAAGAAAGACAAAGAAAGTTTGTGGAACTGTTTCAGAATAAAGCAGACAAAGAAGACACGACAACTAAATGGAATCTACATTATAAGATTGTATCTTGAACTTGGTAAAAATAAAAACAAAAAAGAATGCTATTGAGACAATTGATGGAATTTGAATTTGTACTATGGATTATGTAATAGTGTTGTATCATTGTTACATCTTCTTAATTAAATAAGTATATTATGGTTTTTACTTGTACTTAGGATACACATGCTAAAGTATTTAGAAATAACCATGATGTCTCTCCAATTTACTCTCAAATCATTCAGAAAATGAGAATATGTATATGTTCATGTCCATGTGCGTCCATGTGTGCATGATAGAAAGTACATTTCTTCAGGGAACATCAAACGGATCTATCATGTCCAAATAGATCTTAGATACAAAGAAAAAATGTGGGGAAAGGGCCTATTGGAGGGTAGAGGATGGGAGGAGTGAGAGGATCAGGAAAAATAACTAATGGGTACTACTAGGCTTAATATCTGGATGATGAAATAATCTGAACAACAAACCCTCAAGACACAAATTTACCTATGAAACAAAGCAGCACATGGACCCCTGAAAATAAAATAAACATTTTTAAAAAACTGAGTGAAAAGAATTGGAATTAGAAAGACTAGCTTTTATTTAGCTCAGTTACTCGATAGCTTTGTAGTTTGGGGAAAGTAACAACCTCTCAGAGTTTCAATGTTTGCATTATGAAATAACATATAGCATTGGTTTTGAGGGAAAAAAATGAAATAAAGTATGTAAAATTGCCAAGCACATTGCTGTCAAAAAGTAGAAAATAATACATTTAATTGAATTAGTTGCATAATAATACTCTGAAATATTTCCTCTGTGGGGATGAGCAAAAACTTCCCTTTTGTAGAGCTTGGGCAAGTTTCCCACCAGTCATGGAGGAGGTCTTACCTTGGTCAGGCTACTATTAACTAATTAAAGAGAAATGTACAGAGAAGAAAGATTTCTGATACTTCAAGAATGGAGCCATTTCTGGATAAGATTCCTGGTTGAAAACATGCATTTATCTCTGCTCCCTTCTAAAACTATACCAAAACGTGGTAAACAATATTTTTAAAGGCATAAATCCATGAGGATAAAGAAGACATGAGAAGATACAAGAGCAATCAACTTTGAAATGTGAAAATTATATAAACCAGATAGTACTGACATTAAACCTGAGAAAACTAGAACCTAAGTTGAAAGTAGGCTAAACTTAGAAATCACCCAATTTACTTTGGAGGATTCCCAGAAGGATCAACCATTGGTGGCTCTATTATCCCTGGAAATTGAGATAAAAATGGGGCTAAAATCAGGAGAATTGCCTGAAAATATGTTTGAGAAGTCCAACTCCTTATCCTCTCTTTTGTTTGGCATAGGTGGGCAACTGTCTATTCCTATCCCCAAAAATCACCAGGATTTTTCCGAAAATGTAAAACAGAAGGTCTCCCAACTGGGAGAAACCAAGCAGAGTTGAGGCTTCCTTTCAGTCAACAACAATACTAAGTGAAAATCCCCATGCTAGATTTTGATAACTAGGCCTTCTTTCTTCATTCAGTGCCCAGAGTTCTGGAAGCTATGATGATGTTCTACTGGCAAGAATGCATCTGACTAGCTCATGGGATACCACCTGAAAATATGAACTTCAGAGTTTCCCCCAACCAATTAGGACACACAGGTCACTTCACTGTGAAGCTCAGAGTTGTCAAGCCTCACCTTCTCAAGTAGAGCTTTCAATCCCTTTTTGGCATTCTAATCTTAAATGAAAGAACACCATGGAGAAGACAGTTGAGTTCAGCTAGGGTTTGTATTTCAAGTGGGTTGAAGAGAAGAGCAAGGGAAACAAAAATATTTCTAAGGAAGAACTTACTATGTTGGACCATGAAATCTAAATTGCTCAGAATGGAGCTTTGAAAGTGAGAGGGTGATTAGGATTCTTTGCAATCTATCCATCTGGCAAAGGGCTAATATCCAGAATCTACAAGGAACTTAAAGAAATTTACAGGAAAAAAACAAACAACCCCATCAAAAAGTGGGTGAAGAATACGAACAGACACTTCTCAAAAGAAGACATTTATGTGGCCAACAAACATATAAAAAAAAGCTCATCATCACTGATCATAAGAAAAATGCAAATCAAAATCACAATGAGATACTATCTCCCACCAGTTAGAATGGCGATCATTAAAATGTCAGGAAACAACAGATGCTGGAGAGGATGTGGAGAAATAGGAACACTTTTACACTGTTGGTGGGAGTGTAAATTAGTTCAACCATTGTGGAAGACAGTGTGGCGATTCCTCAAGGATCTAAACTAGAAATACCATTTGACCCAGTAATCCCATTACTGGGTATATACCCAAAGGATTATAAATCATGCTGCTATAAAGACACATGCACACGTATGTTTACTGCAGCACTCTTCACAATAACAAAGACTTGGAACCAAACCAAATGCCTATCAGTGATAGACTGGATAAAGAAAATATGACACATATACACCATGGAATACTCTGCAGCCATAAAAAAGAATGAGTTCATGTCCTTTGCAGGGATATGGACGAAGCTGGAAACCATCATTCTCAGCAAACTAACACAGGTACAGAAAACCAAACACCACATGTTCTCACTCATAAGTGGGAGTTTAACAATGAGAACATATGGGCACAGGGAGGAGAACACCATGCACAGGGGCCTGTCAGGGGGTGGGGGGCAAGGGGAGGGATCACATTAGGAGAAATACTTAATTTAGATGACAGGTTGATGGGTGCAGCAAACCACCATGGCACAATTGTATCTATGTAACAAACGTGCACATTCTGCACATGTATCCCAGAACTTAAAGTATTAAAAAAAAAAGTGAGAGGGTGGTACATAAAGGTGGTATATAAAGGAAATGGATTGTACTCAACAAGATGGAAATCTCTGGACAATAAGATTATATTAGAGTGAGGGCATCGGAAGAATTAATCTTGAGAGACAGAAGATACTAAAGGATGGAAACCTTAGAATTTTGGTTTGAGAAGTATTCTTTGAGGTTGTAGTGTATAACATGGCTATGGCCATAGGTAAAATTAGGTTAATTAGAAAGGAGACAACTGTGGTTGCGGTAGAGGAGGTCATGTTGCAAGCTACCGACATCCAACCCAAACTATCTTAAGCAAACTATAGGATGCCTTGTCTTATAACTGGGAAGCCCACAAGGGCAGCTAACATCCAGAAATTATCCAATAAATGTCACTGAACTCAGGCACTCTCTCTTTCTTTGCTCTGCTTCCTCTTTGCTGGCTTCATTCTCAGGCAGCTGACTCATAATAAATATTCGTTCAAAACTTCAATGTATAATACAATAATTTTATTATTACTATCAGCACTCTTCACTTTCACTTCAAAAGGTATTTTCCTTAACCTCCACTGCTTCTTCTATTTATCAAAAAAAGGCATGTACCACTCCTTCTTTCTAAACTTCAGTTCTACATGTGTCGTCTAAATTCTCATTTTCTCCCACAACCTCTAAAACCACTTTCTAGAAATCATCCTCTCACAATTTAAGCATCACCCTCTTCTTGATCTTTCTTTGACTTACTGACATAAAAATTTTTATTCCCCTATCCCAAAAATAAAACAATAGAAAATTTATTTCAAGGTTGCTATTCCTCATACTCATATTCCCTTTTCCTTTCCTTGCCAAATTTCTCTAAAATGCAGCCTGTACTTACTGCCTTTAACCCCTTTCTAATCAACCTTTCCCACATAGCCACTTGCAATCCAACTCCACCTCCCAACACAGTAATGAAACGGTATTTTTTGTTTGATTGATATTGAAATCAGTCATGATTTGCCATCTATAGACCTTGGTCCAGGTCTTACCTCAGTTTCTATCTCATTATCCCAACCAGCCTTCTTCAGCTCATTTAAAATTCCTGTCGTTAATATCCTATCAAACCTACTTGTCTTTGACTCACCTATTTCAATAGTGCTTTCAATCTCCCAGGAAACAAAGATGGAAACCTCAGAGTTAGATGGCAAGAATTCTTTGTTTTCCTCTCTCCGCATTACTAACAACTTACTAAGGATTCTCACTTCTGCCTCTGGCATCTGTCCTTTGTTTCTCTTTCTCACTTCCAATAATCTACTTAAATCTCCTTGTGTAGTAACTAAACAATTACATGTACTACACTTTCCTAAATCTACTTGTTTTTCCTTTTCCAAGTCATCCTCCACCATACTGTCAGTTTGCATCCTTGAGGACAACTAAAATCGTACTTCTCTCCACAAGTTTTTTTTTGTCTCCTTGTTTCCTACGGAAGAAAAAATTTCAAATTCTAAAGAGTAATATTTACTTCGTCATGGATTCTCTTTAGCTATAAAGTGATTATAGAAATTGTAACAAAATGCAACAAAATAACAGGAAATTGGAGTCAGAAGACCCAGTTTCAAATCCAGCTCTAAAACTTTCCTTGATATAATATATTTTATCAATATCGTGTGGAAAGAATATCTATAAAATATGTACAAAGCTTCAAGAAATACAATTGAGAGGTAAGAATTAACTTGTCCAAGATTGATCACTTGAAGGCCAACTTACCACAAAAGAAGTATGTCTCCAGCAAAATGCCACAGAAACTGACATGACCAAGTACATAAAATAATCAGCCTTGGTCAACAAATCTTGATTGCAATTGCACCACTAATTATGCCAGGTGAGATGCCAGTGCTTTCCCAAACATGAACACTTAGATAAAGCTACAATCCAGGTTCCACAACATCACGTTCCTACTGTATCTTGGCTTCTATTCTCCCCCAGGAAAAGACAAGGACTTTCCTCAGATTCAGCTTCCATGCATCATAGCCAAGTGCCAGGGTCTCTTTTCAGCAAGCTGACGTCTGGTCCTGCCAGATGGCTGTGCACTGCCTACAGTGTAATGGGAAACTTGGGACTGGTACGTTTTCTACATCTCTGTCTGCAAGTGTTCCCGAATAAAAACTGCTCCAGCAAGTCTGCGATACATTGCTTGGGTATTTTTCCTCATAATTTGATAGCCATGACAGGAACACTTATATATTCCCTCTGCTGTTCTAATGCTCTCCAGCCGGGATCCTTTTGAAAGTCACATAATATCTTGGGACTTCAATAATTTACCAACGTAAAATCAAAATATGTAATGTTTTTGTGACTAAAACATATATCATGTATGAAAGTGCCAAGTTCAGTGCCTAATACAAAATTGAGCTCAAAACAGGTGTTAAATCTGAATCGATAAAATCTAATTCCATAAAATATTTCAGGTCATGAATAAAGGACAGAGAGTTTAGTTAAGAAATTTACTGGACTTCTTAAATACAAGAGATCAGAGCTTATTGAACTAATCAGAGGCAATGAACTTCATGTGTCAATATACTTGCTTCTACTGCCATAAATAGAATACAGAAGAAAAACAAGAAATTACTTGCATTTATGCATAAGAGGCATAATAATGAGAAGGCTTTAAATTAGACTAGATGGCTATAAATTGACATCTATTCTTATATTTATTGCTCCATGTTCACAGTGCTTGTATCCTCTAAACACTGTCTAACTAAAACATCAAAATCACATGCTATCTGAATTAAAGGGCTAATCTTTAATAATATAATACTAAACAATATTTTCATAAACAGCCTACTATTTGCATTGTCTAAGCAAGGAGTTATGAGGAATGCAAATATGTTTGAAATGTAAAATGGGTTATACTCAGAAAAAAATATACAACAATGTGGTATAGGACTTATTCTAAAATATAAGTTGGGAATGGAAAGCGGGTCTCACATGGACTGTCTGCTCTCGGTACCAGAAATTTGTCTGCTGTAATCATTTTTGCCCATTCAGTGAAAATAAAATACTTTAATTCTCATATAACCAATTCATTGAACATTGTGAATTCAATGGGTTATGAAAAGGAAATTTTCTTCTAATATTGCCTTAAAACATTGTTGAATCTCTCTTCTTTTTACCATGGTGATGCCAAAGGTGAATTCCTTCACTTTAGTATCATTATCAGTTATAAGAACAGTGATATTGTAACAATTAAGACTGACTCACTGATTTTAAAAGTTCAAACCTATCTAAATCAAAATTAAATCTACCAAAAAACTCAAAGTTTGTCCCGTGTGATGCCCTGTTATAACCTAAAGTTTGGGAAAGTGGTATATTTTATTCTTTCATTCCTTTTCATTGCCCTTTGTGACTGAAGTGGGGAGGGAAGGATTTTTATTCTTGATTTTTTTTGTTTATGATTCCCTAATTATCTCACTCTTACTAGTTAACACTGATTGGATGTCAATGCCTTTGTCTGGTAGATATTCAAGTTCTGACTATCACATGGTCACTTATGTAGGTTCTTCAGAGGCTTTATAGGCTTTGGAGGCTGACATAATTATTCACTTTTCAGTGGAGCACTTTACTCCTCATCTATATTTCTTGAAAGTACATGCAGCATGGCTCTAGCTTGTCTTCTTTTCCTGGTATTCACTTGTCCCAGAGGAAAAAAAATTTCCCCCTCCTTACCATGCCAAGCAGTAGTGGCACAGGTTGACTCACTATTGCTCTGCCATTATGGGCTACTCCAAATAGTCTATGACTTCCAGAATTCTCTAGCTGTGAATTTTTTTTTGTAGTTTAATCAATACATTATTTTTATTTAATTTTTTTAATACAATACAATTTTATTGAATTTCAATAATTCATTCAAAATTATCAAATTTTGAAGTGGGATTTCAAAATTTCATTTATAACACATTTATTGCTAAAAATACATAATATTCAGCTTTATTATGATATTTTTGTTAAGGTCTGAGGTAAAGCTGCATAGTGCAAAATCTAGCCATTTTTGCATTTTCTCAGATGCCCTTAAGAATGATCTTTTTTTTTTCTTTTAATATTATTATACTTTAAGTTTTAGGGTACATGTGCACAATGTGCAGGTTAGTTACATATGTATACATGTGCCATGCTGGTGTGCTGCACCCAGTAACTCATCATTTAGCATTAGGTATATCTCCTAAAGCTATCCCTCCCCCCTCCCCCCACCCCACAACAGTCCCCAGAGTGTGATGTTCTCCTTCCTGTGTCCATGTGTTCTCATTGTTCAATTCCCACCTATGAGTGAGAATGTGCAGTGTTTGGTTTTTTGTTCTTGCGATAGTTTACTGAGAATGATGATTTCCAATTTCATCCATGTCCCTACAAAGGACATGAACTCATCATTTTTTATGGCTGCATAGCATTCCATGGTGTATATGTGCCACATTTTCTTAATCCAGTCTATCATTGTTGGACATTTGGGTTGGTTCCAAGTCTTTACTATTGTGAATAGTGCCGCAATAAACATACGTGTGCATGTGTCTTTATAGCAGCATGATTTATAGTCCTTTGGGTACATACCAGCTGTGAATTCTTTAGGTATTCTTGTGTGTCCCTTAATTCAGAAAGCATGTGTCTGAGAAGCAGGTTTGCTAATTTCCAATCCCAAAGGAGGACTCCCACTTTATGGGAAACAGCAAAGATCATAACTATGCTAACCACCAGGAACATGGGTTCAAATACTCCTACCTACTGTATCCTGGGCTACTGTTTAGGTTCACTATGCACTTGTTACCTATTTGTCTGAACCTAGTGAGACAGAACACACACACAACAAGTTACATAAAGGGGGTTTATTACTTACAGATAGGCAGCAAGGGACAGATGAATTCTTGGATCCATTGTAGACTGTGTTATAGGCCTTATTCTAAAGTATAAGTTGGGAATGGAAGGCAGGTTGCTCAAGCTGCCCAGAATGGATGGAGTCTTGACTGCATGTGATCCACTTTACACCACAGCTGAGGGACCCTATAAGGGACCTGCCCAGGTTCAGATACCTTGAGGGCTACATGACACACTGGGCAAAACTTTGAAGAACATCCTGCTTCTAGGGGAGAGAGGAACAAAGCCTGGCTTGCCTGGGAAGTTCCACCCTAACTCAAGATGCTACAAGCCGTAGGAGGGATAGAAACAAGGCCTAGGTTGTTGCAAGCAGTACCTCCCTATATCAGGATATTGCATTCCCATTACATTCTAGTTATTCTAGATAACTACATGCAAAAAAAGAGGGAGAGAACTGGGTCAGTCCAAAGCCACCTGGAGAAATGTCTTGCAGTATCAAGCTCTTGTAAGACAGTTTTCCAATGCTGCCACCAAGAGAAGACTAACAGAATCATACACGTTAGCATCCAGCTATATAGTGAAAGGCCAGTTATCCATTGTTCAGCCATTCCCAATTTCTCTGAGTGGTACTTTTCAAAGATCCACCATTTAGCTTTAGAGAAGGGGTGGGACAATAAATATATAGGAAATTCTGTATCCATTAAATTTATTCAAATTTCTAGTCTCTTATATAACCCAATTAGAGTGCCATGGGTAAAAGTTACAAAACCCTCATGTTATAACTAGTAAATTGTGGATATAAAATATTTTTTATATTTTGTAAGTGTTATCTTTATAATATGGAGGTACACATTATCTTGTTATTTTAATTGTGCATATTTAAAGTATACAACAAAACATATTGATATAATTATAAATAGTAGAATAGTTACTGCAGTCAAGCAGATTAATATATCCAGCACCCGTAACTCACATATTACCTTCCTTTTTGTGGTTAGAGCACCCAATATTATAACTATTGCCCTCATGCTGTACACTAGACCTCTAGATTTGTTCACCCTGCATAACTGCAACTTTGTACCTTTTGATTTACATCTCCCCATTCTCCCCACTACTACCCCTAGGTAGCTGAATTGATTTTTTTAATTAAAAAATAAATAGAAATAGTCAAGATACAACTAACTGCTGCTTACAAAAGACTCACTCTAATTTTAAAAATAGGCTGAAAGTGAAGGAATGAAAAAATATATATAATTCAAATGGTAACTAAAATAAAGCAAATGTGGCTATACTTAGATAAAACAGACCTTATATCAAAAACTGTCACAAGAGTCAAAGAAGGTAATTATATAGTGATAAAAGAGTCAATTTATTCAGAGGATATAAAAATTGTAAATATATATGCACCTAGCATTAGAGCATCTAAATGTATAAAGCAAGTATTAATACATCTGAAGGAAGAAATAGACAGCATTGTAATAATAATAGAGGACTTCAGTACTCTTCTTTAAACAGTGGATAGATTAACTAGAAAGAAAATCAATAAGAATACAATGGACTTGAACTAAACTTTAGACCAAACAGACCTCACAGATATATACTAGAACATTTCATCCAAAAACAGCAAAACACACGTTCTTATCAAGCACAAATGAAACATTCCCCAGAATATATCATAAGTTAGGATACAAAACAAGTCAACAAATTTAATAAAATAGAAATTATATCAACTATCTTTTCTGACACTAATTGTACAAAACTAGAAATCAATAACCAGAGAAAAGATGGACAATTCACAAAATATGTGAAAATTAAACAATACATTCCAAAACAACCAATGGGTCAAATAAGAAATCAAAAGGGAAATTTAAAAATATCTTGAGACAATGAAAACTCAACATAACAAAATCCACAGCAAAAGCATTTTAAATGGGAAGTTTATACCTATGAGTATGTATTTTAAAAAAGAAAAAGGATCTTAAATAAACAACCTAACATTATACCTAGGGTACCTAGAACATGAAGAAGAGACTAAACCCAAAGTTAGCAAAATAAAGAAAATAATAAGGATCTGAGCAAAAATAAATCAAATAGAAAATACAAAAATATACAAAAAAATCAACAAAGCCAAGAGTTGTTTTCTTAGAAAAAAATAAAATTGACAAATTCTTGGCTACACTAAGAAAAAAAGATATGATTCAAATAAAATTAGAGATGAAACTGGAGCCATTCCAACAAACACCTCAGAAATAAAAAGGATCATAAGAGCTTATTATGAACTGTTATATGCCAACAAACTGGATAACTTAGAGGAAATGGGTGAATTCCTAAAAACATACAACTACTAAAATTGAACCAGGAAAAAACAGAAAGCCTGTACAGACCAGTAACAAATAAAAAAGGTTGAAGTAGTAATTTGAAATCTCCCAAGAAATCAAGATGTGCATGTTCCCATAACAGAAACATCAATTCAAACAAATACCCACACACAAGAATACCTTCATAAGAGTTAAGGAAATCAGGCAAGAGATTGCAGTACCTAGTTTTAGCAAAGAAATAAGAAAAGATGCATTAAAGAGAGTAGAAGGATGGGTTTACATTAATTGCCTCACTGTCTCCCCAACCCCAGGCAGCCCAGCATGGAGAAAGATACCTTCCACTTAGGCGAAGGAGAAGGAAGTGAGAACTGGACTTTGCCTCAGACTCCAAAACTGGCCCACTCTAGTTAAACCCAGCACCAGGCAAACCCCAACCAGGCTTCAGACTGGTACTTGTGAACTGAACCCCGAGATCCATTCCAGTGCCTGAATAAATCCTGCAGCCCCAGGCTCCAGGCCTGAATGATGGACTCCATCTCCAGGCCTGCTCCAGTGCCAAGCTGACACCAGAGGCCCCAGGCTCCAGACTGCCCCCAGCACCCGGCATCCCCTAGGCCACAGACTTCAGGCCCACTACAGCAATAGACTGGCTCCCACAACCCTAGATATCAGTGTCTAGCTGCCCTGTACTCAAACTGTGTCTATAATAAAAGTAGCTTAAAGTATGTTGTTTTTTTCTAGTGAAACTTAATACATTCCATACTCAATTTTTTAAAAAAGGCGGGGCAGGGGTTGGGCACGGTGGCTTACGCCTGTAATCCCAGCACTTTGGGAAGCCAAGGTGGGCAGATCACGAGGTCATGAGATCAAGACCATCCTGGCCAACATGGTGAAACCCCGTCTCTACTAAAAATACAAAAAATTTAGCTGGGCGTGGTGGTGCACTCCTGTAGTCCCAGCTACTCGGGAGGCTGAGGCAGGAGAATCACTTGAACTCAGGAGGCAGAGGTTACAGTGAGCCAAGATCACGCCACTGCACTCCAGCCTGGTGACAGAGAAAGACTCTGTGTCAAAAAAAAAAAAAAAACCACTGCCAATTTGTCTTTCTTCTTTCCCTGATCTAAGAGTGGTGTGGTCTTTCTTATTTGACTCCTTTCTTTTTTTATCTTTTAATATTTACTACAGATATGCTCAGCACAACATATTTTGAATCTTTTGATTGAGGCATATTCCACTCTGTCTTTTGCTGGGAAAATAACTTCCTCTTAGATCTTACATTAAACTTTTCTCTGGTAGAAATTATTTTCTTTCTAGTATACCCCAAGGATTTCTTTAAATATAGACTCCCCATTTCATCCACTTAAATTTTCCTACTTAATAAGACCATGATGAATGTTCTTTAAACTACTCAACGGTTTTATAGTATAAGTGAGTGTATAAGATATAAAAACATGTGGATCCTATGGTTGGTATAAATTGCCATAATTTGTGATTCATTCCTAAATGCAAATTCTTTTAAAATGTGACTTTACAATATCTTCCATCAAGAGATGGTATTTGTTTCTCCCGCTCTTGAATCTAAGTAGGCTTGTGCCTTGTCTGGCCAGTAGAATCTTTCAGAAGTGCCAGTTCGGAATCTAGGCACCAGGAGACTGTGCATGCTTCTGCACTCTCTCTTAAAAACCTGCTGATCAACCATGTTAACAAGTACAGATTACCCTGCTACATGATGAGAGATGGTGGTCCATTTACCACCATAGCCCCAGGAAACTGCAAGCCAATCATCAGACATGGGAATGATGCCATCTAAAAACACTGAGCCACTAGTCAGCCCACCAGTAGCAGTTTACTGTGGATAAAAAAATTTAGCCCAGCTAAAACCAGAAGAGCCCAGATCAGTAGAGCTTAGTCCAAACTGCCAAACCATTGAATCACAAGCTAAATAAATTATTGTTGTTTTAAGATTGGTGGGTATAACACTGTTCCAATAACCCATGGGAAGGCAGAAAAAAGAAAACAGAGAAAGCAAAAATGGAGATAACAAATAAGAAAAATAAAATGGTGGAAATAAGCTTCAACTTATAGTGATTTTATTAAATGTGAATTGTCTATACCAATCAAAAAAGAGGGTTTGGCAGAGTAGATTAAAGAATGTGACCCAACTATATGTTTTCCATAGGAAATTCACTTAAAAATATAAAAATGTAGGCTTCACATAGTTTGCAGTTCTGTTTATTAGAGCATACACATTTAGGATTACTAGGTCCTCTTGGTGGATTGACCCTGTTACCATTATAGAATATCTGTCTCTGTCTCTGGTAATTTTCTTTGTTTTGAAGTCTATTTTGTCTGATATTAATACAGAGATTCTTGCTTTCCTTTGATTAATGTTTGCATGATACATCATTTTCATCCCTTTACTTTCACCTGAAAAATATGTAAAACAAAACATGGTAGAGTTGAAAAAATAAATAAACTCACTATTTTATGGTTGGAAACTTTCTCAGGCATGGCAGCATGCACTTATAGTCCCAGCTACTCAGAAAGATGAGGTGGGAGGATCACTTGAGGCCAGGAGGTGAAGGCTGCAGTGAGTCTTAATTATGCCACTGCATTCCAGCCTGGTTGCAGAGTGAGACCCGATCTCCAAAAATACATGCATGCATACATTAAAATAAATAAATAAAATATTTATAATATAATATTAGTTGGGGACTTTAACATCCTTTCTCAATAATTAACAACTAGATAGAAAATCAGCAAAGATGTAGAAAACCTCAGTAATATCGTCAACCAACAGGACCTAATCAACACCTAAATAACACTCCACCCAACAACAGCAGAATACACCTCCTTTTAAAGTGCCCACAGATCATATACTAAGATAGGCCATATACTGGATCATAAAACAGTCTTCAAAAGAAATTTTAAAAAATACACATATTGTGCTACCCTATCTCAATGTAATCAAGTTACAAATCAATAAGAGAAAGATATCAGGAAAATCTACAAAACAGGTAGAAACTAAAAACCATATTTCTAAATAAATCATGGGTAAAGGATGAAATCTCAGGGTAAATAAAAAAATACGTAAAAATGAAGATAATAAAAGTACAAAAAAAATGCACGAAACACAACTAAAGCAGTACTGAGGGAAATTTATAGCACTGAATATATATGCATTAGAAAAGGTGGAACATCTCCAATCAATAATCTAAGCTCCCACCTGAAGAATCTAGAAAAAGAAGAATAAATAAACCCAAAGCAGGCAGAAGAAAGTAAATATCAAAGATAAAAGTAGAAATCAATGACATTAGGAACCAGAAAACAGTAGAAAAGAACAATTAATCAAAGTCCTGTTTCTTCAAAAGATCAATAAAATTGACAATCCTCTAGCAACACTGACAAAGTAAAAGGAGAAATGATGCCAATTACCAATATCAGGAATTAAACAGAAGATATCTTTACTGACACAACAGACATCAAAGTAATAACAAGGAAATATTATGAACAAATCTATATGCATAAATTTGACAAATTAGCAAAAATGGATCAATTCTTCAAAAAACAAAAACTACTACAGCCAACCCAATATGAAATAAATTACTTGAATACCATGTGCTAACATAAGAATTTGAATGAATAATTTTAAAACTCCCCAAGACTGAAATTTCATGGCTCAGATGATTTCACTGGATTATTCTCACAAACATTTTAAAAATAATTTGCATTAACTCTACACAATATCTTCCAGAAAATAAAAAGTGAAGAAATAATTTCCAGTTTGTTTTATGAATTTAGTATTATTCTGATACCAAAACTAGACAAAAACAGCACCAAAAAAAATACTACAGACCAATAGCCCTCATGAATATACACCCATTTACCCTTCACAAATATTCACAAATTCTATTTGTGAATAGTACAGTACATAAAAAGAATTATACACTGTGACAAAGCCACACAATTATAGTTAGTGAAATAAGTCAAGAAAGGGAAATAAAAGACATACAGGTCAGAAGGAAAAAAAAAACTGTTATTCTTTGCAAATAATATAATTGTTTGTTTTGGGAATGCAAGGTTGGTTCAGTAGTTGAAAATCAATTCATGTAAGACACCATATTAAGCAGTTAAAAAAAAGAACAATCACATGATTACATACTCAATGCAGACAAAAAACTGTTTGACAAATTATAACACCCATTCATAATGGAAACTCTCAGAAAAACAGGAATAATGATAAATTCTTTAACTTGATTAAAAACTATGTAGAAAAACCTGTAGCTAAAATTATAATTACTCAATGGTGAAAGACTGAATGCTATCCCTGTTAGATGGAAACAAGGCAAGGGTGTCCATTCTCACCACTCCTATTCAACATAGTGCTGGAAAATTCTAGCCAGTGCATTAGGGCACGAAAGAGAAATAAAAGGCAAAGAGATTGGAAAGAAAAAAGTAAAACTGTCTTTAATTGAAGATGATATAGTTTTTTAAGTAGAAGATCTCTGGGAATATATAAGAAAAGCTTCTAGAACTAATATCTGAAGTCAGCAAATTCACAAGATGTAAGACACAAGATAAAATATCAATTATATTTTTATACACTACTAATGAACACAGATATTTAAAATTTTAAATGCAATGCCATTTATAATCACTCAAAAATGAAATTCTATGGTGTCAATCTTACAAAATATATATAAGTCTTGTATGTTAAAACTACACAACACTGATTTTAAAAATTAAAGATCTAGTAAATGGAGAGAAAAACCTCATTTGAGAGTCAGCACAGTAATTATGTCAAGCTTCCCCAAATTGATATATAGGTTAAATAGGTTTAATGCAATTTTATCAAAGTTCCAGCATTTTTTATAAATATAGGCAAGATTATGCTAAAAGTTATGTGAAATGATAAAGGAATTATATTAGCTAAAACAATTTTGAAAAGGAAGAATAAAGTAAAGAAGTAAGTCTATTGAATTTCAAGACAGTATAAAGTATTAGTATTTGCACTGTGTGGTACTGGCAGAAGGACAGAAACATGAATCAATGGAACAGAATACAGAAACCAGAAATAGACCCTCATACATATGCCCAACTGATTTTTTACAAAGGTATAATTAGATACCCATGGAGAGGATAAAATAACTGTAACCTAAGTCTCATATGTTATATAATAATTAACTTAAAATGGAACATGGGCTTAAACATAAAATGTATAACTCCACAATGTTTAGGAAAAAAAAATCATAGGAGAAAATCTTTGGTACCTAACGCTAGGCAAGGAATTCTTAGACTTGATAGTAAAAATACAAATTTTAAAAGTGAAAAATGTTCAACTGGACTTTATCAAAATTAAAATATTTTTGTCTGTGAAAGACCAAATGTTTGGAGGATAAAAAGGCTAACACTGACAGAAAATAATTGCAAACCACATATCTGACAAAGAACTAGTATTCTAAAATATACAAAACTCAACAGTAAAAATAAAAAACAAAACAATCCAATTAAAACCTGGGCTATAGAAATGAACAAGACATTTCTTCAAGGAAGATATATAGACAGAAACTAAGCATAAGATATTCAACACCATTAGCCATTTAAAAAATGTAAATTAAAACTACAATGAAATGCCACTGGAGGAAACAGGGTAAAGGGTATCTTTACCATGGGATCGCTCTATACTACTACTTACAACTGCATGTGAATCTCCAGTTATCTCAAAATAAAAGATTCCATTTTTAAAAAGTTATGTATACTTTGGAAATTATAATGTTAATATACAACAAAAAATGTTCCAGGAAAATTCATTGCTATGCCAACGAACTGACACCATGTCCCACGGATGTGCATAGAAAAGAAAAGAGATAAAGTTAGGGAAGGCCTTGGAGTAAGAGGAATTTGATCTGCTCCTTGAAGAAAGAGAATGCTTTGGAAACCTGTGAGAAGAATTGCAATAGTCAACATGAGATGTCAATCTTGTTAGAGTAGGGAATTTGTATAGGAAGGTAGATTAGGGAACAGGGAATTCTTTTAAGGCAACAAAATAATTGTACTTCTGCTTCCTGTCCCTTTATCCCTTCTATATTTAAAGCTTGATCTTTATCACGTTTTTGTTTTGGCCTTCTCTTGAGAATACTGTTTTCAGGAGCAGATCTTCTTCCAGAAATTCAAGGGCAAAAAAGGTGAAATAGGCCTCCTAAAGCTCACTGTCCATTTTCTATGCACTCAACCTAAAAACTGTACTTATGTGGATAAATAAATATATACTGTAACCCAATCAGTTGGGAGATAGGTCAATTTGATGAAAAACCATGTATTTTTAGAAAGAAGAATTAAGATGTTCTTCCATTTACCAGTTTTGGGTTCTCACTCAATCACATAATTACTGACCTCCAGTATTCTAATCTACAATATGGGGCTAACTCTTTCATATGGTTGCAGGGGAAAATAAATATAATTGGCATATAAAGTTGCTAGTGTAGGCCGGGCGTGGTGGCTCATGCCTGTAATCCCAGAACTTTGGGAGGCCGAGGTGGGCGGATCACCTGAGGTCTCGAGTTAAAGACCAGCCTGACCAACATGGAGAAACCCCATCTCTACTAAAAATTGAAAATTAGCTGGGCGTGGTGGTGCATGCCTGTAATTCCAGCTACTCGGGAGGCTGAGGCAGGAGAATCGCTTGAATCCGGGAGGTGGAGGTTGCCATGAACTGAGATCATGCCACTGCACTCTAGCCTGGGCAACAAGAGTGAAACTCCTTCTCAAAAAAAAAAAAAAATAAGTTGCTAGTGTAGAAATAGCTCAATAAATAAGTTTCCTTTCCTCTAGAGTACCCTATAGTTGCATTGCATATCTAACTTACTTCAACAGATATTTATTTGACCGCTATTATGTGCAAGGCAATGTATTCCAGTGTGTTTCAGTTTATAAGCATTAAACTGCTATGGATTATGCCTTCAATATTTTGCACTAAGGAAAAGATAGCATGCTTCCATTTCTATAATTCCATATAAAAATGGTGACAAGTACTGTAAATTGGCTCATTCAGCTCTTATTTCAACCTCTTTGTTTCTAGTTTCCATTCTTGTGTTACGAAGACAAGAAAAGTAAAACTACATTTCTCAGATGGTTGCAGCTATAGTGCAGCAAATGAGTTAACTTCTACCAAGTAGACACAGACCTGTGATTTGGATGCAAAAGTGACCATGGCAAGAGAATTGTTATTTGATTATGGTCATAGTGCAGACTCTTTGGGCAAGTGAATGGGGAAGAAACATTTGGTATATCTGGGGTGAGTGGAGTTAAATTCTAGAATCTAATCCTCTCATGGATGTGTAGAGGCAGGCAGTGGTAGCAGTGTTATTTTTAAGAATAGTTATTGTGTAGTTGTGTGCCTTTCCTGACTGTGTTGTGTTTGACTTCATGGGTCCTGGCTGAATCCATTACTTCTCTGATCCATTTAAAGATTTTGTAAGCAATTTAATGTTATTTTATACTAGATCTAGTGGTTTCTGTCACCCAAAGGCAAAAACCCTAACAGATGCAAAACTGGTATGTTCTGTTTTAGATTTTGTTGTTGTTGTTTCTCATTTTTGTTTAAAGCTTTTAGGTCATTAAAAGTGCGATACAGGTATTCAGTGGAAGACAATATGAATTCCTGTGCAATTCCGCTTTCCCTTTTTCCTAGATCCAGGTATTGTCAATGATATGGAACATAAAGAGATTTAATAATGCACCAAGGTACATCTGCCAGGCAATGTTCAGTGGTGAAAAGTAGAAAATGTTCCTGTGGAGTGTATTTAGAATGCAAGCAAAAAGTGATTACTAAAACCAAAAGAGGTTTAAAATATACCCCTCTGAATGCTCTAAAGCACAGAACCAGGTTATATCCAAGAAATTCACATCTAAACAGAATTAGAGGCAGAGGAAATAGAAAAACATGATCAGCTCTGCCATACTTACTAGTTGGTTAGCCTTGGGAAAGAAATGTTGTTGACCTTTCTGGTTCTCAGTTTTATCATCTATAAAACTCAGATAATAGTGATAATAGGTAGTCCTACCTTCTATTAAATGTAATAATATATATAAAGAAATTTTACCAAAGCCTGACAAATTGTATCATTATCATCATCATTATCCTTATTATGATCACCAATATAGCTTCTTTCTTAACTATTGTTCACCACACATAAGTATATTTAGTAAACCAAAACTATTTTTTGTCATAGTTTTAATAAGCCTCAAAAATCCTTCATTATCTTTTTAGCATCCCCCTTAATAAATCTGTGAGGTATTTTAATACATTGACAGATCAGCATGAATTTTGTTTGGGTTTCCAGTACCCAAAGTAGGAAAACAGATAAACAGCATTTCTTTAGAACACTTCTTACACATGCTAATTTTTGCCTATGGGGGCTTATGTATTATACATTCTTATGAAGGCAGTATGCAGTAGAGTAATGGTTCTTAACAACTTGGGTTGATTTTGCTCCTCTGAGTACATGTGGCAAGGTCTGCGAAATTTTTGGTTATTATGTTTGGGAGTGGGGGTTCCACGGGCGTCTCATGGATAGAGGTCAGAGATGCTACTTAACTTCACACAATGCAAAGACAGCCCTCACAACAAAGAATTATTCAGCCCAAAACGCCAGTAGTGCTGTGGACAAACCTTG
Source organism: Homo sapiens (assembly GCF_000001405.40). NCBI lineage: Eukaryota > Metazoa > Chordata > Mammalia > Primates > Hominidae > Homo > Homo sapiens. The sequence continues at coordinate 82,335,184 of NC_000011.10, forward strand.
CCATATAGAGTAATGATCAATAGAAAATGTGCTCTTAATCATAACCCACATTTGCTACTTATTAGCTGTGTGAATTGGGGCAAGTTATTTAACTTCCATTGTTTAATTTAATTATCTGTAAAATGGGGCTAATAATAATAGCTACCTAAAAAATTGTCATGGGAAAGAAGAGACTACTTATGAAAGTGACAGCACATAGTTACCACTCAATAGGCTTAGCTATTAATATTATTTTATATACATTATTTGTTAAGCTCTGTTAACCAGTGAAGTGGGTATTGTCCCTGTTTTATTAATTAGAAATAGATTCTAAGAAAGTTTAAATTATTTGTGCAAGTTTACCTAGTCAGTAAGAGGGAGTACTGGATTTAAATTCAAGTCTATAAATCTTCTTTGCACTCTAACCCAATGCAAACAATTACAACATTTTGGGGTATGTTAGATTTAAACCGTATTTTCTGTTTAGGACTCAAAGTTAAGAGAACAGAAGGAACTTATTACCTTTTTAAAAATTGGCTTATTTATGGATTGTCCATACCAAAGAATCTCACCATACTGCCTCTATCCCACATTTCCCTTGAAACTGTTGAAGGAAATGTTCAACAATTATTGATCAAATATCTAGTAAGAAATTATTAAGCACCTCCAGGAAGTACAACAGTTACAAAAATGGTCAAATCAATTGTTTGACTTAATTACACATTTAACCAAAGGAATGAAAAGTAGAATACATTAAAATTTAGATAGCAGTGATAATTGTGCAAAAGTAAAAATACATAGGCATGTCAAAAATGTAAATGCTTGGACATAATTGTGAAGAAAGAGAAAAATTGAAAGTATATACCAAATGCTGTAAATTAATTTCTGAAGAAACGAGCAATGCAGAAGTGGGGAAAATGTACAATGTGATTTGCTCCACATATTCAGAATACAAACAATGTAAATGTGGTCCATGAGGGCAGGGATCTTTGGCTGTTTTGTTCACTGCTTTATTGCAAGTGCCCATACAGTGCCTTCAAGGTAGTGGGAGTTAAATAAACCTTTGTAGAATTTGTGGATTAACGAATACAGTCATATCTTTTTTTAATTTCCCAAATTAATTACTCCCTGGCCTAGAATCAGAAAGTCCAGCAACTCACTCCTGAGAACATGTTTTCGCAAATCTCCCAAACTCAGGAGGGCAGGCTTGATTCCAAAGGTGAGATGGAAAATGAATAGAAGTGGGATTGATCTTGTCCACCTCTCCAGTCTTTCTCTTCTGTCATGCATTTTGTGCCCCACTTAACGACTCACACAAGTCCTCTGCCACCGGCAAACCGTTGCTAATCCAACTCCCTGTCCACACAGGGGCTCCAAAATCACACTCTCCTTCTGATTACCTGAAATGGTTTGATTCTCAGCAATTATTCCTTAGGCACAGCCACTTGCCACTTCTCAGTTGCCATGGTGGCCAGGATGGGAACTACTACAAATATCAGCAACAGGAGGTGCGAAAACAAGGCTTATCCCACAGATCCTGACTTTTATATTAAACCCAATTCACTTGCTCAGACTCCTTTTGAATTCATTATTATTTTAATACACTGGGCATATTCACCTCCCTTTTCATTGAGTCATAAATGCAAACAATTTGGTCCACACTAAATGATTTCCCTTTTAGAAGAGATGGGCAGTAGTAGCTGGGTCTTGATCTCTTCTCTCTCTGGAAAGCCTTGTACAAATAACTGACTTTCTACCTTGTGAAAGTAAATGATACAAAGGTACCCAAAAACGTGATTAGGCTTTTGTTCAGCAAGCGAAGAAAGCAAAGAGCTTGTCGCCCTCTTCTCTCTTAGTTAATGTTGCCTCCTGAACTCACATAAATAAAGATGATCACTCAAGGGATTCTTTGTAGAACATATAATTTCAGGTGTAATCTGATGACTCTTGAGCATAAGCAGAAATAACAAAGGTTGAGATGGTAGGGTAAGGGTCAAACTTCAACAACCAGCTCTCAAAAAATAGTCTGCGCACGGTAGCTCACACCTATAATCCCAGCACTTTGGAAGGCCAAGGTGGGCAGAGGCTTGAGGCCAGGAGTTCAAGACCAGCCTGGGCCGCGTGGCAAAATCCTGTCTCTACAAAAAAAATACAAAAATTAGCCGGGTGTGGTAGCATGTGCCTGTGGTCCCAGCTACTCAGGAGGCTGAGGTGAGAGGATGGCTTGAGCCTAGAAGGTCGACAGTACAGTGAGTGTGACTGCGCCACTGAACTCTAGCTTAGGAGACAAAGCTAGACTCTGTCTCAAAAATAAAATAAAATAAAATAACACAAATATTCTTAATTTGTAGCATTTATAGATTTCCATGGTGCAAATATTCCCATCATGGCCTGCCAATATGACACCATGGTAACATAGTTGGAAACAAATGCAATCAGTTCTCCTCTCTGATGCAAGCCAACTTCAGCACACCTCTGTTTGAAGGAATGAGCATTGTAGAGGGAAGGAATGCAGGCAGCTTCTCTTAAAAAAAAATTACCAATGATACTTAAAATTATAATTTTATAAGGGACATTATAAAAGCATCCCAGTAATCCAAATGCAACAAAAGTTTATATCTTCCTAAAGTAGAACAGATTTCTTTATAAAGAGAAACAGGCTAGTGATTCATACTACCTTTACAAAATTTTTTCAAAGTTGCAAAATACCTTGCAAAATGAACAGTATACCTTTATGTGTAATGTTAAAATTGTTTTTCATTGTCTTTCAAATAAGCTGAGCAAAACAGTTTGAAGAAAAAAATTGTTTAACTATATTTTCTTATTTGTAGTTGATATTTAATCTGTATTTTAAATAATTACACATACATTGTATTATATGTAACAGGAAAATGGAATATTACATCATAATTTGGGGAATATCTACTTGATGCCTTGGAATGGAACTCTTAAAATATTTAAATCAATTCATTTCTTTTGCATCTATGACTGTCATACAAGTTTCTAGAGTACATTATACATGAAAGTACTAGACTGCCTACCTAGGAACACACAGGCAGCCTTGCAGTGACAGCAGGCTTATCATTGTGGAGATCTATAAGCACACAGCTAAGTGTAGCATATACAAGAAGTGTAGGAGAATGGTAGTTTCTAAGATAGATGGATAAGAGAAATAGAAAGGAAAATAAGAAATTAATATTTTTTGAGTTTAAAAAACTTTAAGCACAAGTTGTTAGAATCTCATCTGATTTTCTTTTTATTATTATTATTATTATTATTATTATTATTATTATACTTTAAGTTTTAGGGTACATGTGCACAATGTGCCAGTTAGTTACATAGGTATACATGTGCCATGCTGGTGTGCTGTACCCATTAACTTGTCATTTAGCATTAGGTATATCTCCTAATGCTATCCCTACCCCCTACCCCCACCCCACAACAGTCCCCAGAGTGTGATGGTCCCCTTCGTGTGTCCATGTGTTCTCATTGTTCAGTTCCCATCTATGAGTGAGAACATGCGGTGTTTGGTTTTTTGTCCTTGCGATACTTTACTGAGAATGATGATTTCCAATTTCATCCACTTCCCTACAAAGGACATGAACTCATCATCTTTTTATGGCTGCATAGTATTCCATGGTGTATATGTGCCACATTTTCTTAATCCAGTCTATCATTGTTGGACATTTGGGTTGGTTCCAGGTCTTTGCTATTGTGAATAGTGCCGCAGTAAACATACGTGTGCATGTGTCTTTATAGCAGCATGATTTATAGTCCTTTGGGTATATATTCAGTAATGGGATGGCTGGGTCAAATGGTATTTCTAGTTCTAGATCCCTGAGGAATCGCCACACTGACTTCCACAATGATTGAACTAGTTTCCAGTCCCAGCAACAGTGTAAAAGTGTTCCTATTTCTCCATATCCTCTCCAGCACCTGTTGTTTCCTGACTTTTTAATGATTGCCATTCTAACGTGTGAGATGGTATCTCATTGTGGTTTTGATTTGCATTTCTCTGATGGCCAGTGATGATGAGCATTTTTTCATGTGTCTTTTGGCTGCATAAATGTCTTCTTTTGAGAAGTGTCTGTTCATATCCTTTGCCCACTTTTTGATGGGGTTGTTTGTTTTTTTCCTGTAAATTTGTTTGAGAATCTCATTTGATTTTCATTATAGCTCATTGAGTTGGGTATAATTGATCCTGTTTTATAGATTAGATAACTCAATTTTGTAAAAAAGTATCTACAATCACATAGCAGGGAATGATGAAGTCACGATTGAAACTTGGACCTGTGTGATTCCAAAGCCAGTGTTCTCTCCAATTCACAGTGCTGTCTCAGGTAAGTAGGCAATATCCTTGCAGAGAAAGAATGGAGTAATCAAAGGTTAACAAAATGGGAATCCAGGAACCGATAAGATCCTATATGGGACTTTATTTGGTAATAAGGCAGAAGCTCAAAGATCAGACTTTTACCTGGATCAAAAGTCAAAACCAGCCCAGAAATATGGGTTCATATTACTGAGGCACTTGACTTCTAAATGTGATAGAGTTTCCCCAAATCCCTCTCTTCCTAAGAACAGAATTGTCCCTAAAACTTTGGTAGAACTGTAGGTAGAGTTTTAGATAAAGGTCAAGTGGTCCAGGGGGTCTAGCCAGGCAAACTGCCAAATCAGGGCATAAGCAGGTCCTATGTTACCTTACAGTTTCTTTCAATTCTTTGATTCCAGGTTTTTTAATTCTTCCTGATTCCGCCAGGCATTAGGAGAGTGGACTACACTATATCCAGCACTCTATCAAGTGGTGCCCAGCAAAAGTACAGAGAATTTTTTAAAAAATTGTAAAATAAAATATAGTCTTTGCTCCACAGAATGCATAAAACAATTCTGGGGAAAAGACTCACACATATTAAGCAAATGTGAAAAATATTTGTCCATATCCTTATCATAATTAACAAAAATTAAAAGAAAGTAAACAATAAAACACTATATCTAACTCAAGTGGAAATAATAAGGTACTAAAGAAACAGACTCTTAGTTTTTGGGCAGCCAGATCAATACCCAGCCAGATCGCTCTGGATTTGGACACAGGTAAAGGATTTAAATAAGTGATTGGGGAAATCATATTAATATTCCAAATCATGGAAAACAAATCTAATAAAAATTATGTAGCTTGCTTAAAGTTGATTTCAAATATCCATACCACAATTTTGGCTTTGATGCCCAATGTCATTTTAAAATAGAAAAGAAATGTAAATGTTTAAAATAGGCTTCAAAATTTCTTCTTATTTTTTACTATTGAGAATTTTAGGTGCACACACCATTAACTTCTTTTGTTTGCAACTTTTAGCATTTAATATTGCTCAAATAGGTTGTTCTATCTTATAATAATAATAATAATAATGGCATTTAATTAGTTTTCAAAGCCGTTTCATGTATATAACCTGCATGATTTTCACTAAGACCCTGAATTTGGTAAAGATAGTTAATCCCTCAGTCTTATTTCTCTCCTTTGCTCAGATGGGGGTACAACAATAAGCAGATATTACTGTGAAAATTAACTATCTGATATAAAGTTATCACCTCTCACACTTATTAACCAATAGTAAACTGGCTGTAAATCTGAATTCTCGTGACTCCACTGTTGGAGCCGAGGTGTCAATTGACTCAGTCTTCTGATTTCTTTACGGACCTCCTTTCTCCACACCTCACTTGCTTGGTAGTCATGCTTGGAGAAATCACTGCTCTTCAAATAGCTGCTCAATATTAAGGAGGATCCCCAAATGCAAATGTGAACAGAGAGCCCGTTTTTAAAAAAATGCTTAAAAATTGTTTATAATTTTCAAAGTAACATGGGATATTAAATTGTTTCAATTTGTACTTATTTGAATTCTAAGATAGTTGATTATGTTTCGAGAGTTCACTAACCATTTGTACTTCCTATTCGGGGAATTATGAGAGTTACATTTTTAAAGATTGTTAATTAAGACCAGGAATTTAATAATAGTGCTGAATATAAATGATTAATGGAGTGTCAGAGGGAAAGGTTTTTGAAGGATGCTTGGGATTTGAACAGGCAGAGAAAAAGATAGTGAAATACAGTTTTGTTTTTTCTTTTCTATTCTGTTTTCATATCTACCTTGGAAACTCTCCTTATTTCCACTTCTCTTTTCTTCCACAGGTAACTACTTAGTCTCCTATTTGCAGTTTAATATTTTTTGTACTTTATTAAGATGCATTGTTATTGCAATCTTCTTAATTGCTTCCTAATTGGTTCTTTCTTCCCCTTGGTGTATTTTTCATGCATTATTAAATTCCAACTGGCTTTCTGAAACTCAATTTGAATTCTTTCCAGACAGCCCTTCCAAAGTTAAAGTGTGTGTCTCCTGGTCCCTTGGTCACACAGGAAAAAGCACTGGGGAATTGAAAGGGTCACTCTTTTGAACCTACGTGCTTCCTTATATAAGTACAAAGCTATCAACAACATCAACCATTCTGATTATTGTCATTCACAAGCACCTTCACATAAAGCAATTCATCTGATAACAGTTTCTTAAATAAAGCAAGTATTATTATTCTCATTCAACATGGGAGACTTCTAAGGATTAGAATATCTTTCTGTCCTAAATTCAAAAAGCTGATCCGGGACTTATACCTAAATCTTATTAAGTCCTCTGCTCATTCCAGCATCACTGGTTGTTTGTATATTAAAACAAATGGCAAGTTTACCAATTAACCTCATTAACTGTTTCACATATTGCTCAATAAACTATTTTTCTCTTCCATTCTTGAAGTCCATTAATAGGAAAATCATGTAATAAAATGATTAAATCATCTGGAGTCAGAAGATCTGATTTCAAGTCCCAGGCTGCAACTGAGGAATTGCTTCGCCTGTCTGATCTTCAGTTTCTTCTTCTGTAAAAATTAATTATCGTTATTCTACCTACTTTAAAGAGTTGCTGTGAGTCTCCAATATATGTAACTTATTTTTATAAGGATAGAATTGCTAAGAGGTAAGAGATCATTGGGCTATATGAATTTTAAGGTTCATTTTCAATCCAATATTTTGTTAATCTCTGAATATCTTAAAATGGCATGTGAGTAGAAGCTTGACAGTATTAATGCTTGGAAGAGTTTCTGGACAAAAACAGAATTAAAAAAATAATAATCTCAAGTCATCCAACCAATCAACAAGTTCCATTCTGGAACTCTAGATTCCTTTTATTTCTTTCTCTTGTCTGATTGCTCTGGCTAAGAGTTCCAATACTAGGTTGAATAGGAATGGTGAGAGTGGGCATCCTTCTTTTGTTCCAGTTCTCAGGGGACTAGGTCCAAATAAAATGCCAATGTCATCCTTTACAGAATTAGAAGAAAAATTCTAAAATGTATATGGAACCAAAAAAGAGTCCAAATAGCCCAAATAAACAAAAAGAACAAAGCTGAAGGCATCACATTTTCCGACTTCAAACTATGCTATAAAGTGCACATGTACCCTAAAACTTAAAGTATAATAATAATAAAATAAAATAAAAAGTCACAGGAAACAAAATAGCTTGGTACTTGTCCAAAAATAGACACACATACCAATGGAACAGAATAGAAAACTCAGAAACAAAGCCTCACACCTACAACCATCTGATATTTGACAAGACCAACAGAAGCAATGCACAAAGGACTCTCTACTCAATTAATAGTGTGGGGACAACTATCTAGTCATAGGCAAAAGATTGAAGCTGGACCCCTACCTTTCACCACACACAAAAGTTAACTCAAAATGGATTAAAGATTCTAATGTAAGACCTCAAACTATAAAAATCTTGGAAGACAATCTGAGAAATCTTCTTGACATCGACCTTGGCAAATAATTTTTGGCTAAGTTCCACAAAGCAATTGGAACAGAAACAAAACAAAAATAGACAAGTGGGACCTAATTAAACTAAAGATCTTCTACATAGCAAAAGAAACTATCAACAGAGCAAACATACAACCTACAGAATGGAAGAAGATATTCCCAAACTATGCATCTGACAAAGGCAGAGGAAAACTTCCCCAATCTAGCAAGGCAGGCCAACATTCAAATTCAGGAAATACAGAGAACGCCACAAAGATGCTCCTCGAGAGGAGCAACTCCAAGACACATAATTGTCAGATTCACCAAAGTTGAAATGAAGGAAAAAATGTTAAGGGCAGCCAGAGAGAAAAGTCGGGTTACCCACAAAGGGAAGCCCATCACACTAACAGCTGATCTCTCAGCAGAAACTCTACAAGCCAGAAGAGAGTGGGGGCCAATATTCAACATTCTTAAAGAAAAGAATTTTCAACCCAGAATTTCATATCCAGCCAAACTAAGCTTCATAAATGAAGGAGAAATAAAATCCTTTACAGACAAGCAAATGCTGAGAGATTTTGTCACCACCAGGCCTGCCCTAGAAGAGCTCCTGAAGGAAGCACTAAACATGGAAAGGAACAACCAGCACCAGCCACTGCAAAAACATGCCAAATTATAAAGACCATCGAGGCTAGGAAGAAACTGCATCAACTAACGAGCAAAAGAACCAGCTAACATCATAATGACAGGATCAAATTCATCCATAACAATATTAACCTTAAATGTAAATGGGCTAAATGCTCCAGTTAAAAGACACAGACTGGCAAATTGGATAAAGAGTCAAGACCCATCAGTGTGCTGTATTCAGGAAACCCATCTCACGTGCAGAGACACACATAGGCTCAAAATAAAGGGATGGAGGAAGATCTACCAAGCAAATGGAAACCAAAAAAAGGCAGGGGTTGCAATCCTAGTCTCTGATAAAACAGACTTTAAACCAACAAAGATCAAAAGACACAAAGAAGGCCATTACATAATGGTAAAGGGATCAATTCAACAAGAAGAGCTAACTATCCTAAATATATATGCACCCAATACAGGAGCACCCAGATTCATAAAGAAAGTCCTTAGAGACCTACAAAGAGACTTAGACTCCCATCCCACACAATAATAATGGGAGACTTTAACACCCCACTGTCAACATTAGACAGATCAACGAGACAGAAAGTTAACAAGGATATCCAGGAATTGAACTCAGCTCTGCACCAAGTGGACCTAATAGACATCTACAGAACTCTCCACCCCAGATCAACAGAATATACATTCTTCTCAGCACCACACCACACTTATTCCAAAATTGACCACATAGTTGGAAGTAAAGCACTCCTTAGCAAATGTAAAAGAACAGAAATGATAACAAACTGTCTCTCAGACCACAGTGCAATCAAACTAGAATTCAGGATTAAGAAACTCACTCAAAACCACTCAACTACATGGAAACTGAACAACCTGCTCCTGAATGACTACTGGGTACATAACGAAATGAAGGTAGAAATAAAGATGTTCTTTCAAACCAATGAGAACAAAGATACAACATACCAGAATCTCTGGGACACATTTAAAGCAGTGTGTACAGGGAAATTTATAGCACTAAATGCCCACAAGAGAAAGCAGTAAAGATCTAAAATTGATACCCTAATGTCACAATTAAAAGATTACTAGAGAAGGAAGAGGAAGCACATTCAAAAGCTAGCAGAAGGCAAGAAATAACTAAGATCAGAGCAGAAGTGAAGGAGATAGAGACACAAAAAACCCTTCAAAAAATCAATGAATCCAGGAGCTGGTTTTTTGAAAAGATCAACAAAATTGATAGTCCGCTAGCAAGACTAATAAAGAAGTAAAGAGAGAAGAATCAAATAGACACAATAAAAAAATGACAAAGGGGATATCATCACCGATCCCACAGAAATACAAACTACCATCAGAGAATACTATAAACACCTCTACACAAAAAAAATAGAAAATCTAAAAGAAAAGGATAAATTCCTCGACACATACATCCTCCCAAGACTAAACCAGGAAGAAGTTGAATCTCTGAATAGACCAATAACAGGCTCTGAAATTGAGGCAATAATTAATAGCTTACCAACCAAAAAAAGTCCAGGACCAGACGGATTCACAGCCGAATTCTACCAGAGGTACAAGGAGGAGCTGGTACCATTCCTTCTGAAACTATTCCAATCAATAGAAAAAGAGAGAATCCTTCCTAACTCCTTTTATGAGGCCAGCATCATCCTGATACTGAAGGCTGGCAGAGACACAACCACAAAAGAGAATTTTAGACCAATATCCCTGATGAACATCAATGCAAAAATCCTCAATAAAATACTGGCAAACCGAATCCAGCAACACATCATAAAGCTTATCCACCATGATCAAGTGGGCTTCATCCCTGGGATGCAAGGCTGGTTCAACGTATGCAAATCAATAAAAGTAATCCAGCATATAAACAGAATCAACGACAAAAACCACATGATTATCTCAATAGATGCAGAAAAGGCCTTTGACAAAATTCAACAACACTTCATGCTAAAAACTCTCAATGAATTAGGTATTGATGGGACGTATCTCAAAATAATAAGAGCTATTTATGACAAACCCACAACCAATATCACACTGAATGGGCAAAACTGGAAGCATTCCCTTTGAAAACTGGCAAAAAACAGGGATGTCCTCTCTCACCACTCCTATTCAACATAGTGTTGTAAGTTCTGGCCAGGGCAATCAGGCAGGATAAGGAAATAAAGGGTATTCAATTAGGAAAAGAGGAAGTCAAATTGTCCCTGTTTGCAGATGACATGATTGTATATCTAGAAAACCCCATCATCTCAGCCCAAAATCTCCTTAAGCTGATAGGCAACTTCAGCAAAGTCTCACATATACACCATGGAATACTATGCAGTCATAAAAAATGATGAGTTCATGTCCTTTGTAGGGACATGGATGAAGCTGGAAACCAGTTCTCAGCAAACTATCACAAGGACTAAAAACCAAACACCACATGTTCTAACTCATAGGTGGGAATTGAACAATGAGAATACTTAGACACAGGAAGGGGAACATCACACCCCAGGGCCTGGTGTGAGGTGGGGGGAGCGGGGAGGGATAGCATTAGGAGATATACCTAATGTAAATGACAAGTTAATGGGTGCAGCACACGAACATGGCACATGTATACATATGTAACAAACCTGCACGTTGTGCACATGTACCCGAAAACTTAAAGTATAATTTAAAAAAATCATATAGATACACCTAATACACTTATTCAGAAAACATTATATTTTATTGAGCCTCTTCCTCTTGAGATGCAGAACCACAGTAATGCAAAATAAAAAATTTGGAGAGCCTTACCAGTAAAATGTAAACAACAAAAAAACCCATTATTTTTCAATAAGAAAATATGTAATTGATATTATTTCCAGAATATTTGTTTATACACATAGAAAATCCGAAAAAAAATTTAAAAAAAGAAAATAAGTCAAGCTATCTCTCTTCACTGACAATATGATTCTTTACCTAGGAAATCCTAAAGACTCTGTCAAAAGGCTCCTAGAACTGATAAATGACTTTAGCAAAGTTTCATGATACAAAATAAATGTACAAAAATCAGTAGCATTTATATAAACCAACAACGTCCAAGCTGAGAGTGAAATCAAGAACACAATCCCACTTACAACAGCCACAAAGAAAAAAATATCTAGGAATACAGCTAACCAAGGAGGTAGAAAAATCTCTACAAGGAGAACTACAAAACAACACTGAAAGAAATCAGAGGCAACACAAAAAGATTTTTTAAAAGTCCATGCTCATTAGTTGGAAGAACCGATATTATAAAAACGGCCATACTGCCCAAAGCAATTTACAGATTTAAAACACTTTGACTTCTATTCTGTTCTGCGGTGAGAAGGTCTATGCAAACCTACCACCCTGAAATGCTGAGGGTGCTGAGAGGTCTAAGAAAGAGGATGACAAATGCCTTTTTGTAGAGAGAAATGTATAATAGGGAATTATAAACAGAAGCAATGTCTCAGGTGGTTGTGAGATGGTGAATCACCACGACTCTCCTCAAAAAGTATTCTTCATATAGCAAGCTTTTCGAGTAAAACCCGTGCAGCTGATCACATCTTCAGGCTTTCTTGCCAAGACTCATGACCACTGAGGAGGATAGGTGTGCATATTGATGAAAGGTTATCTATGCTTCAGGCATTGTTTAAAGAACTAACTCCAGAACACTTTGGTGTGTGAAGGTCAAACATCAGTAATCATGGCATCTTTGCTTCAAAACGACATCACTCTTGCCATGTAACACGCTGTTTTCCTACATAATCCCTCCCCTGCCTTTCTACCTGTTCATTTCTTCCCAGACCTTATTTCTTTGCTATTGATCCTGGTCTGCATAAAGTTTATTTCTACTGTCTTCATATATGCACCTACATTTTCTTATACTCCTAGACTTTTCCACTGTGGATCCCTACTAAAATCTATCCTTGTACTGCCATTTTTTTTTAAAGGAAATGTGTCATTTGTCCTGTGAAATGTCCCACATTTTTTATTTAACTGATCATTTTCCCATGGTATTTAGCTTTTTTCTTTTACCTCTCACATTTCTAGAACATTAGTAGTTAGATCTATGTGCTTGACTGCACTCAGGGCTTTGTTTGTTTGTTCATTTTTGTCTTGTTTTGTTTTTGCAAGAATACCTTATACCTCAATGATGAAACTGTATACCTATACACCTTCTATTATATCTTATTAGGAAACACATCATGGTTGATTGCCCTACTTCTAGTTTATAAGTGTTTAGATTGATTATTAGGCTCAAGTGTTTTCAGTGTAATCCATCCATTTTCTTCACCTATTAGTTTTAATACCCATTGATAATCTTTGCATAAACTATTTTTCCCCATTAGGAATCTCAAATAGTAATTTTCTAAATCCATCATTCCTTCTGTGTTTATTAACTACAATTCTTCTACAAATAAGAACATTGCTTTCTCACCATTTCATTGCCCTGAAATAAAATTCACAAATGCCTGATTCATTATTTTATTGATTTTCAGACTAATAAGTTGGTGCCAAAATAACCTCCAAATATAACAAAATATTTTGTGGGTTTTTTTGTGAGTTTTGTTACTCATAGATTTATCTAGGTTGTTATGTTTCAAACCATTGTCATTATTCTCTTTCATGTTCAAATTATTGCATTTTAGCTAGCAGGAGCCCTTTATATGAATCCTAGATCATTTTCAAAAATCCTTGAGACTTTCTGAGAGCTTCTCTGCTTTCTGAAACAATAAGATATTCCAGGCTCATTACATACATTTCCTGTCCCAGACTGAAGTCCTAGCTCCTAGTTTCCTTGCATGGAAAATAATATTCAGAGATCACAAACATACACAAGATGTAACTATTGCTACTGAATTTTCCACTGCTTGTAAGTCCATTTTAGCAGACAAAGTTACGAAATAAGCATTTTTAAGAGAAAACTAAACAACAAATTTGTGCTGATATCTCCAATTCATATATAAAATCATAGTAAATGTTTAATTATCTGATTTTCTATGTTTGTATTTTTTCTCTTATGCTGAAAACCTTGGTTGCTAAGACAGGAACAAAATTACTTACCACTTATTGTGTTATTGCCAATAATAAAACTGCAAAAAAGCCAGTTTGATGTCTTAGTGATTTTTTTTAATGCTTAGCATGTATCAACATATTTAAAGTTATTTAACTTTTTTTGTATATGGTTATGCAACCAACCTGATATTTAAGTTCAGTTTTGCAGCTTTGGGGATTGCTTCAATGCTTCTTCTAACTTACTTTTGTTTTAATTATGTAAAATATTTGCATGGTTTTAATCTCTACATCCATTTGATTTCTATATCCATAGTTTTGATCTCCACAATCACCACTATCCTCATCTCTTCATTCAATGAGATATTCTTTCTCCAAAAGCAAAATCTGTTCACTGCTGCCTTCCTCTAGAATAATGCTTTATTGGCTTCTATCTCTATATAGTCCCCTTTCTACTGGGTTCATTCTCTCTGGTTACAAAGGTGATCAAGTCAATTCCAGTAAAAATGAATACTTTACTCACTCCACCCTGAAACACTCTTGGCACATGACAAACTTTATTACACGGTGTATCCAATGACTTCTGATGGGCCATTTATTTAATAGAGAGCCTGGAGGTGCCCTGTATGGTGATAGAAACTTAATAAAATTGCCAGGAATGAATTGAGTGCATCAAACAAAGCTCCGCACCCTTTCCTATAATCATAAGCACCGACCTACTCCTGCCAACATAGGACACCTGCTTCAGGTACTTAAGATAACCGACCACACAGACTCTGGCATCCCCCACTTTCCTAGCCTAGGTCCGTAGATGATTTTTGAACAGGCTCCAGAAAGCAAAGGCTGCCATTCAAAACTGCCTTTTCTAGGAGAACCTCAGGGTCATTTATCTCCTGGTTACATGAACCAGTATTATGTATCAGTCCCTTAATTGCTGCTTCTGCCTAATCTCAGGTATCCAGCCCTCCATACGGCCTTAGTCCAGGGATACACAGATCACGCCTCAGATTGCAGATTAGGGAATGAACCTAACAACATATACCTTCCAAGCAGAGTTTAAAAACAAACAAAAAACCATTTTAGCTGTTCAAATGAATCAAGGATTGCAAAAAGAAAACAAAGTTGTTTCGCATCTCATCAGAAAGAGTTTCAGCCTCTATTAGATAAGAACGTGCTAAATAAATATCTCTAGGGCTTCTTTATAAGAACCTTTACCTGGACCACTAAAGTATTCTTTCTATTCCATCAATTCAAAAGTCATGCTTGTGCTGAAAGGTAAAAACAAGACTCAAAGGACTCACAGTCAGTGTCCCACTCTTTGTCTTTGCTCATGCAACGACCCCTTCCACTGCTCTTTCTGTGTCCAGGCATCGGAAGATCCTATCAAAATGTGAACAAGTTCCCTCAGAGGGGGAGTATGGTAATTTGTTATCACTATCAATGATTAATGTTTTATCTTTAATGAGCTAGTAAACAGCAAGGCCTAGCTGACTGAAGTATATATAATGGGAAAATTTTGATCCAGGAGGAGAGAGATTGTTGTAAATGAGTAGAGATGTAGTCAGAATAATAATCATATATTATGCATAATATTACATTTATCAAACTATTTGTATGTGCCAGACTTTTGTATAAGCACTTTACCCACATCAATTTATTTCATCGCAAAAACTCTATGAAGTGCATTTTATTGTAATCCACACTGAAATATGAAGAAATAAGGTCACATAGAAAGTGAGTGGTAGGGCTGGAAAGGTGCAGAAAATGGGGCCTTTTGAGCACCCAATTATAGCATAATGAATGAATGATGCATCAGAAGTCTAATATGATTTAAAAAAATAACCTCTCAGAGCAAAATTTAACTTTTTATTACCAACCTAAAAAATTACCATCAAAGCCTAGACTCCCTCAGCTAAAAAAATTTTGGCATTTTTTCTTATCCAAATACCTCATTTAAACTGAGGCCCAGAGAGGGGGGAATAATATACCACTGTCTCCGTGTCAATGACAGAACCAGGAACAGAATGCTATTATACTGAATTTTCAGGCCACTTCTACATTCTTATACCCACTGTCCCCACTCTGAACGTGCATTTTCCTGTCATCTGTCTGAATTTCTTTTAATTAAGATCTATAATTTCAGTGGACAGTGTAGTAGAGTGGGAAGAATATACTATTTGTAGCTAAGCAGACTCACATTTACGTGCCGGCGATGAACCTAAAACCAGGCACTCAACCATTCTGGATGTCCCTTTTTTCCATCAGGATATAACTAGTTCCATAGGATGATCATGAGGTTTTACCCAAAGTATGCAAACGTTATATGCTTAGCATCTGGTTGGTACTGAATTCATGCTTTATTCCTCCTCCCTTTAAAACTCAAGTTCTTCAGCCGTATGAGAAACTTACCAGCATATCCTCCTGACAATTCCTAAGGAGAGAGGACAGAGTCTTTATGCATGCAACTTATTCTCTCCTGATCCCTGCTTAATATCTTTTGCATCTGGGAAGGCGTATGTTCCTGTCATTACCTGTCTCTTATTATCCAAGATCACTTTGAATCAGCTTGGTGTTTATCTACCAGGGGAAGTTCTTAGCACATGACACATTAATTGATGTCAGACCTGGCATCCTGGTTTTGATTTATAAATCATTTCCTTGTTTTCTTTTGAAGAGTTCAAGAGGAGAAATAAAAAGTATTCTTCATTTATCTGATTCTAGTGGTCGTAAAACACCCCTGTCCCAACTCTGAGCCAAGCACTTGTGACAGGGACCACCCAACAGCCTCACATCTGAACCACTTGGTCAGACTTGTACTAATCACTTCATCCAGTTCTCTAAGATTCAAGTCTGTTTGCTCGCCTTACATTCAGCACTGTTTCCCCAACTACATACAGCCTTATTTTTCTCGTGGCCACAATTCACATTCTACCTTGGATGGGAGCCTTGACTCACTACTATAGTGCCCTTGCCTGGGACGTTCATGCTTCACAACAGGTATTGATAAAGAAATGTAAAATTTATGAAAAATTCAAAGTTCAGAAACTGAATTTCTTAGAGGTTTTTGATTATAACACCAACTTTCATGCCTCCATTATTTTTTTTATGGTGCTCTCTCTTTAGAATGCTCACTCGTACTCTTTCCTTACTTAACCAAACCTACTTATCTTTTAAGACTCAGAAAAGGCATAATATCTAAGAAAGAAACCTCTCCAAACTTTCCCTACCCCTAGAGGTTATATTAGGTGTCCCATCTTTGCCCTTTATTAACTTCTTGGGCATATTTCTATTATAGGATATAACATTATTTATGGTAGTAATAGTTTCATCCTGCTAACTTAATAGTCACTACATCTCGTCTATCATTGATGGGCATTTGGGTTGGTTCCAAGTCTTTGCTATTGTGAATAGTGCTGAAATAAACTTACGTGTGCATGTGTCTTTATAGTAGAATGACTTATAATCCTTTGGGTATATACCCAGTAATGGGATTGCCGAGTCAAATGGTTATTTCTAGATCTAGATCCTTGAGGAATTGCCACACTGCTTTCCACAATGGTTGAACTAATTTACACTCCCACCAACAGTGTAAAAGTATTCCTGTTTCTCTACATCCTCTCCGGCATCTGTTGTTTCCTGACTTTTTAATGATCACCATTCTAACTGGTGTGAGATGGTATCTCATTGTGGTTTTGATTTCCATTTCTCTAATGACCAGTGATGATGATCTTATTTTCATATGTTTGTTGGCCACATAAATGTCTTCTTTTGAGAAGTGTCTGTTCATATTCTTTGCCCACTTTTTGATGGGGTTGTTTGTTTTTTTCTTGTAAATTTGTTTCAGTTATTTGTAGATTCTGGATATTAGCCCTTTGTCAGATGGATAGATTGCAAAATTTTTCTCCCATTCTGTAGGTTGCCTGTTCACTCTGATGATAGTTGCTTTTGCTGTGTGGAAGCTCTTCAGTTTAATTAGATCCCATTTGTCAATTTTGGCTTTTGTTGCCATTGCTTTTGGTGTTTTAGTCATAAAGTCTTTGCCCATGCCTATGTCCTGAATGGTATTGCCTAGGTTTTCTTCTAGAGTTTTTATGGTTTTAGGTCTTAAGTTTAAGTATTTATTCCATCTTGAGTTAATTTTTATATAAAGTGTAAGGAAGGGGTCCAGTTTCAGTTTTCTGCATATGACTAGCCAGTTTTCTCAACACCATTTATTAAATAGGGAATCCTTTCCCCATTGCTTGTTTTTGTCAGGTTTGTCAAAGATCAGATGGTTGTAGATGTGTGGTGTTATTTCTGAGGCCTCTGTTCTGTTCCATTGGTCTATATATCTATTTTGGTACCAGTACCATGCTGTTTTGGTTACTGTAGCCTTGTAGTATAGTTTGAAGTCAGGTAGCATGATGCCTCCAGCTTTGCTCTTTTTGCTTAGAGAGAGATTTAAAAAAATGTGGCACATATACACCATGGAATACTATGCAGCCATAAAAAAGGATGAGTTCATGTCCTTTGCAGGGACATGGATGAAGCTGGAAACCATCATTCTCAGCAAACTAACAGAGGAACAGAAAAGCAAACACCTCATGTTCTCACTCATTAGTGGGAGTTGATCACTGAGAACACATAGACACAGAGAGGGGAACATCACACACCAAGGCCTGTCAGAGGGTTGGGGGATAGGGGAGGGATAGCATTAGGAGAAATACCTAATGTAGATGATGGGTTGATGGGTGCAGCAAACCACCATGGCACGTGTATACCTATGTAACAAACCTGCATGTTCTGCACGTGTATCCCAGAACTTAAAGTATAATTTTAAAAAAAGACTTATTCAGACCTAACAAAAAAGAGTTATGAACACATCCTCTTTTAGCTTTCCTCAGTATTCCAGCTATGGAATATATATATATATATTCCACATATATATATATTCCACATATATATTCCACATATATATATTCCAGACATATATATACACACACATATATATATTCCACATATATATGTATATGAATATATATGGAATATATATATAATGACCATATATTCCATATATATGGAATATATATATAAAAGTCACTACATATGGAATATATGGAATACATATGGAATATGGAACATATGGAATAACTATATATGGAAAACATACGGAATATATACATATATAAGTCATTACTTTTATATATAAAAGTCACAACATCTCCTGCACTAGACTATGAACTCACTGAGGATAGGGACATGGTCTTTTTTATACCCATACCATTTGTACTACATTGCCTAGCACAAAGCAACTACTCAATGCTTATCAAACTTAACTAAACTCTAATAAAAGGTCAATATGAAGAATTAAAAGAGCAAAAAAGACCATTGGAGGAATTAGGGATCCTTGCTATAAAGTGGAAACACAACTTAGAAGAATTGTGTCCTACAATTATATGGAAAGTAGAGCTTATAAGCAATAAATTTGAATATTTATCTGAGGAGATTTCTAAGTAAAATATCGAAGGTGCAGCCTAGAGTTGCACTCTGATTTCCTCTTGCTGCTTATAGTAAAATGTGACAAGAAAGAAATAAATTGAGGGAAGAAGTATTGAACAAAAAAGAACCAGCACCTATTGATTTGGGAAATTCTCAAAAGACTGCAAAAGACACTAAATTCAGGAAAGACACTAAATTCAGGAGATTCGCTGTCAGGGAAACATGCTGTAGGAGACAATCAAGGATGGGGCTGGACCACCTATTGTTAGTGCCTCAGAAGGATCAAAGGTCAGAGATTCAATCACACAGAAGGCTCTGTGAAGAGATTAGGCATGTAACTCATGGATTCTCTCAGCCATCTAATCATAAACAAAAAATAGTTGGAATTTTCCAGATTTGCAAAGGAGCTCCTTGTCTAATGGAGTAAATCCCTGAGACATACGTGAGAAACTTGTGAGGTTTCGAGAATGTCATGCTCGCAAAAATATTGCCATCTTGGACTGAAAGGGACAAAGAAAAGATGAAATAAAAGTATTGGACTCCTACAATTCTACAGGCATAAAACAGGCTGATAAGACTACTCATATGCAAACATTTCTTACCCTTCATTAAAAAGAAAGTATTATTCAGAAGTCAGAGCCATGATTCCTAAGGGCAAATCCACAAAGTTCAGAGAGTAGGGCTGTGGGCCCAAAATTTGTAATAATTTGTTATAGCAGCAATGGGAAACTCATACCATATAAATAACTGAAATTGTTTTGTTTTTGTTTTTGTTTTGTTTTTTCAATGCCGGATTCCTTCTTCTAGAAAGTAAGCTTCATAAAAATCAAAGATCTTGTGTGCCTTGTTCACCATTGTATGTCCAGCACCAAGAATACTGTCCAATGTACTGCAGGTACTCAATAAATATTTGTCAAATAATTGAATCAATGTATTAATGAGCATAATATATATTAATAGCACAAGTATGGATATAGTTAACCTAGACTGAGAGAGTCATGCAATTCTCAGATCTAATTTCAAGCATTTCTCCTCATCTCTAAAAAGTATAGCAAAATGTACCACCAGTATAGGAATGCATTTAACATTATCCTTAAATAATTTAAGACAAGTAAGTTATGTGCGGATGTTAGTATGTAACTGTGATGGAAGACAAGTGTACTTGTAATATACCTAAAAATGGCCTAGACACATCACTTTATCATAACACTGAATTTTGGTGACCTTAAAGCTAGGATGCTGTCGAAAGTCATGAGCTTCCTGGATATTACTAACCATAATTGGACCACTTTTCTCCCAATAGATAGAAAACAATATTTTATATAATCTTTGAATTTGCTAAAAAAATCCTGAGGCCATTTGCTATTTAGCTGCTGCAGATTTTATCATAGGAAAGTTTATAAGTTGGTTTGTCCTATTATAAGGAAACCGGAGATAATCTGGAAGTTGGATCATTTGTAAACTTTGCATACTTTTACACGAATGCGGAATGTCCCAAGGCCAATTTAATTTTCCAAATCCAGTAGCTCCATCTGTGGGCCATGCTGAAAGCTACTGCTGCAGTTCTGTGCATTCAAATTTTACCAGCTGATTGCCAAAATCAAGCCCAAGAACCATGCATATATATTTTTCATAAATTTTGCTCGTATAAATGGGCTCAGAGTACACCTGAGACAAGAGTAGAGTCTCAAATGGCATGTTCACCCCTTGATCAAATCATTTGGCTGTGAAAAGTAATCTAACTAAAATATTCTCCAATTAAGTCATGGCATGCATGGGAGAATTTTTAAAGTATATGTTTAAAAAAGCTGTTTTTTAATAAGGAGCTGATTTTGATTTCTGATTGTGTTTTGGAGCACACAGATTGCTTCAACGGGAGCAAAAAAAAAGGACAGAAAAAAATTGTGCGTAGGTATTTAGAAAAGGTGTTTACTAGGGTTCTCATGTATTTTCTTACTAACTCTGGTTGACTCTTGTTTCAACTCTTTAAAAAATGCTTGTTGAGTACCTATCAAGTGCCCTGGACTTAATCTCTGGTTAAAACCCAACACGGCAAGACACTTTATCATCTATTTCTCAATGACATCTCTATATTCAGCAACAACTCCTCATCAAAATTTCAGTGGAAGGAAAGAAGAATTCATCTCAGATATGTGTCTAGTTTAAAGGCCAGATAATAATGGCTCGTGTTGATTATCTGTGGCTAAGTGACAAATTACCCCCAAATTTAGTAATTTTAAAGCAGTGAAAATATATTATCTCATTGTTTCTGTGGTTTAGGGATTCAGGTCTGGCTAAGAAGACTGCCTTTGATGCAGAGTCTCTCTCAAGACCACAATCAAATTTTACATCAGGGACGTGTCAACCCAAGGCCTAAATAAGGGATGACTCACTCCCAAGCTCACTCACATGACAGTTGGCAGGTCTCAGGGCCTCAGTGCTGTTGGCTGGAGACATCAGTTTTCTGCCACAACAGACTTTCCATTGGGTACTCACAACACGGCTGTTGGCTTCCTTAGAATCAACCTGCAAGAGAAGAGAGAACACACAAGATGGAAGCCACATCTTGTGTAACCTAATGTCTGAAGTGCCATTCCCTTACTTTTATGGATTTTTATTGATTAGAAGTTAGTAAGTAGGTCCAGCCCATACAAAAGGGAAGGAGATTACACCAGGGGATGAAGAGCAGGAGGCAGGAATCTTTGGAGGCCATCTTAGAGGCTGCCTACGATAGCTTCCTACTAAAAAATTTGAGATTCTCATATTGTGATGGTTAATTTTATATTATCAGCTTGGCTAGGTTATGGTAACAAGTTATTTGATGAAACACTAGACTAGGTGTTTCTGTAAAAGTACTTTTTCCATGTTATTAAAATCTGCGATCAGTGGACTTTAAGTAAAGCCAATTACCCTTCATAATGTGGGTGGGCTTCATCAGTTAAAGACCTTAAAGAGCAAAAATTGGGGTTTCCAGAAAAAGAAAGAATTTTGCCCCCAGACTGCAGCATAAAAATTCTGCCTGAGTTTCCAGCCTTCAAGCTCAAAACTACAACATTACTGTTACCTGAATCTCCAGCCTGATGCTTACCCTACAGATTCCAGTCTGCCTCACAGTCATATGAGTCAATTCAATAAATTAATAAACTGTCTTTGTCTTTTGGTGTCAGATAGGCAGGTAGATAGATAGATAGATAGATATGCATACATTCTGTTGGTTGTGTTTCTCTGGATGACCCTGTCTAATAAATATATAATATGAAAATAATAGTAATATCTGACCTAATTACCACTCAGGATTAGTGTAAGGCTAAAATATAGTTGCATATTAAACAAACATTGTTTTTAGAGTCACAAGAGACCTGCGTTCAAAACCCAGCACTGTCCCTTACATAGTATTTTTCTGACCTTGAGCAAACTTCTTACCTTCCTGGATTTGTATGAATATTTGAGAAAAAGATATGGTATGAAATCATGAGAGAAAAAAATAGCTTGAATATGGTAGTCATTTGATCAAAGTTTGTTTAAAGAATATATATATATGTTACCAAACATAAACTACGTAATTATTATTTTTCATATACTAATTGTTGCTACTACTACTAGCATAGTTTGCTATCTCCAAATAGTACAGATTTTATGTGGATAAAAGAAATTAGCACCAGTTCTCTTTTCACTGTTTGAAATGTTTTTCCTACCAACTGGAAACACAAAAATAAACACCAAATTGGGCATTTAGAGGTAGAATAAATAAATCACAGTTAAAAGCAGTCAATTAATCAAACTTTTGTTTTTAAATCAACGTGTTCTCACATTTGTTACCACGTTAATTATTGTGGCAAGGTTTTTCAAAGTTGCTTAGAAGATTCAGCCACATTTCAGTCCAGATGTGTGTTAGCCTTAATATGTTTTATATGTAAATATTGACAATGTTTCTTTGGGGGCATTTTAGCTATCTCATGTTTCTATTCAGCTTAACAGAACATTCATTCACTTTTTCTCACTTAGACAGTGAAAGCAAGCATTAGCTTGTAAATCATGTCATTACATGAAAAAAAACAATAGAATCAACAGACAATTGGGATTGTGCAAAACTCTTTGTTTAATCTGTCTGGCAGGGGTGAACACCCTACTGGTAGAATATATGTATAATCCTGCCTTAATGAGCTCTATTTACTAACTCTGTTATTTATGAATATATATAATTTATTCAAAATTGTTATCAGTATTTCTCAGTGGGTACATTTATGGAAGCTCAATGTAATATTGTGTGGTGCACATATCAATATACTGAGGTTCAAACAATGATTCCACTAACCATGCTTGTATCCATGTGGTGTTAAGTTATTTAACCTCTCTCTGAGCCTTAGTTTTCTCATTTTAGAGTGAATGAGTCAGAATAAAATACTTCTGTGAGCCTGAGAATAATTGAAAACTTCAAATTCTTCATGTGGAAAAAAAATACGTAACAAAATGTTCTAGGCCAAATTATATTACCCCTTGCTTAATTTATCTGTAAGTCATTAATAACTACATGTTGAACAATTAATGGCTTCTTATTTACCAAACTGTCAAGTGAGTC
Source organism: Homo sapiens (assembly GCF_000001405.40). Lineage (NCBI taxonomy): Eukaryota > Metazoa > Chordata > Mammalia > Primates > Hominidae > Homo > Homo sapiens. The sequence continues at coordinate 82,358,682 of NC_000011.10, forward strand.
CTCTAGAAAAGCTCCAAGAAAATGAAAAAATAGTTAAATGCAAATCTAAAGGATAATCACAAAATCACCAGGACCAAATAAATTGTGTAATAATACAATATAAGCATAAAGCATACAATTTTTCAAGTAATTGTTTTTATTATTATTACTCATAGTTGATTCAAGACTTAAGTAGTTCTAGTAAGCCCTCATTACCTGCCCTTCCTTCTTTACTTCTGGTAAGGAGTTTTCAGATCTGAAGTGATTTGATGAAAATAAATGGGAGAAGAGACTATTTAGTTCCAAACTAAAGAATTGGAACTGTGAATTTGCTTTGAAATTATCTCTCTTCTTCATCAGCTGTCAGGGAGATGAGAGCACAGATAGAATGCAGCTGTTTCGGCAACACTCAAAACTGCAGGATGATACTAAGGGACCAAGCACAACCATGCAGCCTTGAAGTACAAATCTTATGTGAAGCACTGGATAATAATCTATAAATCTATTAACACAGAGTTACTTTGCAATGAATTCCAAAACATGTTTCATAACCTCTAACTCTAGTTTTAAGAACTAAAAAAAGGGTAAAATTTATTAGAATTTCTCAATCCTGTAGAATCTCTTATAACATTTTCTCACTCTAGCAATTACTCACAGTCTACAGCAGCTTAAGATGGAAGATCTTGAACCACTGGGGTTATTTCTGTCTCCTTACACACTACCCCGAGATGTTGTCCTTTGAGGATGTACCATATCTGTCTCCCTTTCCTTAAAAATGTAACTAACCATCTTCAATATTCTGATGTACATTAACCATCACGAATAAAAGCAATAGTTAATCAAAAGTGTGGTGCATTGACTTCCATGGGTATATCCAGGAACACAGGTAATATTATTGAATAGAATCTAATCACTTGCTGGGCCACTTTAGGGTTACTGTGCACCTTAAGATTAGCCCAAACAAATGCAAGTTGCATTTTCTGTCTTTCTTGCCTCCACGGAATAAGCACGTCTGGGCAGTAAGCCCGTAGGACCTTGAACATTCATTTTCTCTGTTTTGGATTTCAGTCTGTGTCACTAAGTCCAGTCCATGCTCTCCTTGGCATTCAATCTCATATATCCGGGACAGAAAATAAAGAGGAATAGCCTTCGTTTATGTCTCTAGCCTTAGATGTGTTCTCTAGTAGAGTTCACCAGAGTACTCTGAATTTGGCTTGTGTTTGCCTAGTCATTAATAAAGTGAAAGTTTGTTCTCTGTTTGGCTCTTGTTTCCTGGCATATAATCCTTTGTCAGGAACCCAGAATGGGAGGAAATAAGAAGCATAGAATTCAGGCACCAAATCTTCCTCCTGTGTGTCTAAAATGCCCCTTCCTCAAACTTCCATACTACTTTTATAGGATACTTCTTAAACCTATTTTTTTAATTCAGTATTATAAATTTTTATAAAAGAAGCTTTATATAAATACTAAAATTATTTCTTATAACTAATAGGTAACAATGAGCCTTACATATGGATTTTGATAGTTAGAACTAAGTTGATTATGATTAAGTACAATTTAATTTTTGGAATGTTCCCAATCCTCTGTGCAACTCACAGAAATTATTTATAGTCAACAGTGTTTCTGAGATAAGTTATTCAACATTATAGGCAGAATGGATGATACTTCTAACTCAACCCTTTTTCTTACACCCTTCAAAATAATTGCCAAATTATCTATTGCCTCTTAATTTTAAAATGTAAAATATAAGCAATAATAATAGTACCATAAATTTGTTTAATACTTCAGTGTAGTCATTTCCAGTCAAAAGGCAAAAGATGAATGTTTGCAATGAATTTTCAACTCTACAATTAAATGAGAAAAAAATAATAACAAAAATAGGACAAGCAGGTTTCAATTTTGGATCACAAAAGGCCATTTCTCAAATCAAAATAATAAGAAAACAGTGAATAAGGTAAAAAAAAAAATAGAAACTTTAATCTCATCAGAGGGTTGATGTTGATGATGTTAAAAAGGAAAATTTAACTAAATTCCAAAAAGTTATAAACCCTTTCAAGGCGAATCCTGAAAGCTAAGGAGCAAACCCATCATATGTAAGGAGCTTTGCTGGTGTTATGAAAAAGAAGCAAAATATAATGGCCATACATAAATAACATATTGGATATAATTCTGAAGATTCTCAGATTCAGAGCAAATTCCATATATGCTGCAAATTATTTCCAAAAGTGTGCTCACCAATTACACAGTGGCACATCAAAGACCTGAAGTAGGAAGGCAGAAAGAGAGAGAGCATACTGCCAGGGCTCAGAAAGCCATGAGCAAAATTAAAAAGCAGAGAGAGAGCTATTCAATAGCCCACAAAACTAACAGGTTAACTGTAAAACAGAGATAACCAGAATCTCACTGAGGTTTATATCTCAACCCTTGCTGAATGGGAGTCTTGAAAATACCCTCAAAAAGTTTAATTTCAAATTCCATTTTGTTCATTGCTGGCATATGGGAACATGACCAACTTTTGGATATTAAACTTGTATCCTGCAACCTTGCTATATTTCTTATTAGTTACAAGAGTTTTTTGGTCAATTATTTCGTATTTTTTACAAACACAGTTATGCACAGTCAAAGATATTTTGTATTTTTTTCCCAATCTTTCTTTTATATCCTTCTCTAGTCTAATTGTATTGGTGAGTACTTCCAGTATGACATTGAAAAGCAACAGTGAGATGAGATATCCTTTCCTTGAGATAAGACATTCTTTCCTTGTTCCTTATCTTAGCAGAAAAATTCTGACTTTCTCACCATTAAGTATAATGGTGACTATAGGGTTTTTGTACATGCTCATTTTCAAGTTGAAAAGGTTATTTTCTATTCCTTGTTTGCTGAGAGTTTTATCAAGAATGGATGTTAGATTTTGTCAAATATTTTCCCATCTATTCATATAATCATGAATGGATTTTGATAGAACTAAGTTGATTATGATCTAGTACAATTTAATTTTTGGAATGTGCGCAATCCTCTGTGCAACTCATGTAATTTTTTTTCTTTTCAGCCTATTGATGTGAGGAATTACTTAATTGATTTATTGATTTTTAAAACTTTTTTAAAATTAATTTTTAAAATTAATTAATTTTTGAATGTTGAACCAGCCTTGTATACATGAGGTAAATACAACTTTGTCATGGTATATTATCCTTTTTATACATTCTAGAATTTAATTTGCTAAGATTTTATTGAGGCTTTTTGCATTTGTGTTTATTAGAGGTTTCAGTCTATAGTTTCTTATAATGGGTTTGTTAGGTTTTGGTATTAGGGTAATGCTGGCCACATAAAATGAGTTAGGAAGTATTCCCTCTACTACCTTCTGGAAGAGATTGTAGAGGGTTGGTATAATTTCAACCTTACATGCTGGATACAATTCACCACTGAACCCATTTGGGCCTAGTGTTTTCTATTTTGGAAGGCTATTAATTATTGATTCAATTTATTTAATTGATATAAATTTATTCATATTTTCTATTTAATTGGTGTGAGTTTTGGTAGATTGTGTCTTTCAAGGAATTATATATAGTAATATATAATTATATATTATAAATTATATATTTAATATTAATTATGTATTATAATGTATTATATAATATTCCTTTAAAGTGACAAAAATATTTCTTGAAATATTAAGCAAATATAGCAATATAATATATAACTATATTCTATTATAATGTATTTTATAATATACAATACATTAAATCAATCAATCAATATATATCATAAATTATATATTTAATATTAATTATATTCTGTATTATAATTATATAATATTCCTTTAAAGTGACAAAAATATTTCTTGAACTATTAAGCAAATATAGCAATAGAATATATAACTATATTCTATTATAATGTATTTTATAATATACAATAGATTAAATCAATTATTAATGACTCTCCAAAATAGAAAGCACTAGCCCTAGATGGTTCCACCAGTAAATTTTCCCCAACATTTAAACAAGAAATGATACCAATTCTCTACAATATCTTCCAAAAAATAGAAGCTGAGTAAATACTTTCTAACTCATTCTACAAGGCTAACATAACCCTAATGCCAAAATCAGGTAAAGACATTAAGGAAAGAAAAAGTACAGACTAATATCTCTTGTAAATATAGATTTAAAAGCACACAATACAATATTAACAAATCAATTAGAATATGTATAAAAGCAACTATACACTAGAAACAAGTGAGATTTATTCTAGGTATGCAAGACTGTTAACATTCAAAAACTGATCCACTGTAATCCATCCCATCAATCTGCTAATTAAGAGGAAAAGCATACAATCATATCGGTTAACGCAAAAAAAAAAAAAAAAAAACCCAGCATGTGACAGAGTCCAGCATCCACTGCTGATAAAAACTTTTAAACTAGGAATAGAGGAGAAATTCCTCACTCAATAAAGAATGTTTGCCAAAAACAAACAAACAAACAAAACACAAAAAAAATCCTACAACTAACATTATACTTAATAGCAAGAAAATTTACATTTTCTTACTAAGAACAGAAACAAAACAAGGTTGCGTTCTCTCACCACTCCTAATTGTAATAGAGGTCCTCACTAATGCAATAAGACAGAAAAGAGAGTAAACATATATAAATTGGGAAGGAAGAAAAATAACTGTCTTGATTCACAGCTGACATGGTTGCCTATGTAAAAATTCCTTTAAAAATGACCAAAAAAATTCTGGAACTAATAAGTGAGTATAGCAAGTTTCCAAGATACAAGGTTAATATAAAAAGTTAAATTGCCTTTCCATATGCCAGCATTGAACAATGAAAATTTGAAATTTAAAAAGCAGTAACATTATAACATCACCAAAAAATAAAATACTTAGATATACATATAATAAAATACATACAGCTCTATATGTGAAAAACCATAATACTCTAATGAAAGAACTCAAAGATTTCAATAAGTAGAGAAATATACCATGATCATGGATTTAAACATAATATTGTTAAGATGTTGATTCTTCACAATATGATCCATAAAGACAATGTAATCGCAGTCAAAATCTCAACAAACTATTTTGTAGATCTCTACACACTAATTCTAAAGTTCATGTGGAAAAGCAAAATACCTAGAATGGCAATACAATGCTAAAGAACAAATCTGTAAGACTCACACTACCCAATTTTAAGACTTACTATAAAGCTGCAGTAATCAAAATAGAACTACCTCATTGAAACAACAGACACACAGACCAATGGAACAGAACAGAGAGCCCAGAAGTAGATCCAGACAAATATAATTAAGTGATCTTTGTCAAAGGAGCAAAGGCAGCTCAATGGAGGTAGTCTTTTCAACAAATTGTGCTGAAACAATTAAACAACAACAGAGACCCCACAAGAACAGAACAAAACAAAACAAAAACAACTAGAACAAAATCCTATAGCTTTCACAAAAAATATTTTAAGATAGATCATAGCCTAAATGTAAAACTCAACATTATAAAACTTCTAGAAGAAAACACGAGAAAAATCTAAGTGACTTGGGGTTTAGCTATGAGTCTTTACACACAACGCCAAATGTTGAAAAAAGTTAACAAGTTAAAATATATTAAAATTTAAAACTTCTCTGCAAAGTAAACTGTTAAGAAAATATTTTTAAAGCCACAGGTAAGAATAAAGTACTTGCAAAATATAATATCTGGTTTTTAAAAACTTGTTTCTTAAAGTTCTACTCTTACCTTGACTAAAAAAAAAAAAAAGAAAAAACTGGTTTCTAAAATACATAACAACCCTTAGAACTCAGCAATAAGTAGACGGCTTAACTTTAAAACATGCAAACAACCTGAACAGACACCTCTATAAAGTAAATATATAGATGGAGAATAGCAAATGAAAAGACGATTAGCATAATTTGTCATTAAAAACTGACAATACTAATTGCTGGCGAATACTCAGAGGAGCAGGATCTCACATTCACTGCTGGTGGAAATGCAAAATATTAATAGTTCAGTCACTTTGAAAGACATTCTTCTAGTTTCTTACAAGGCTAAACATAATCTTACCCTTTGATCCAGCCATCATACTCCTAAATATTTAACCAACTGATTGAAAACTATGTCTACAGAAAATCCTTTATGCAAATCTTTATAGTAGTTTTAATAACCCCAAACTGGAAGCAATTTAAATGTTCTTCACAAGGTGAATGAATAAACAAACTGGGATATCTGCACAAGTGAATATTACTCAGCCATGAGAACAAATGAGCTACTAAGTAACAAAAAGAGATGGATGAAAATGAAACGTTTATTGCCAAATTAAAGAAGCCATTATGAAAAAGCTACATACTGGACTGTTTCATTTATATGGCATTCTAGAATTGACAAAATTCTAAAAAGATCAGCTGTCTTTAAGGGTTCCATGAGAGAGAAGAGAGGGTTAAACTGGTGAAGCACAGTGTAGTTTTAAGGGTGGTGAACATATCCTATATGATACTTTAATATAGGATACATGACACTGCATTTATCAAAACCCATTGAATTTTACAGCACAGAGAGTAAACCTTAATATATGAAACTTCTTTAATCATTTAGAAGGTCAGAAGTCCCAGAATGGAATGCAAAAATGTGACAAAACAACCTCACTATATGTATAAAATGTATGATGTATGAAAAAACGTGTGAAATAACAACACTGAGGGAGTTGTGGAAAGAAACACAGGCATAAATAACTTTGGAAATGAAGAGAATCTACAAGACTAAAGTAAAAGACACTTATATAAGTACGATAGTCTAGTTGATAGCTTTTTCCCATAAGAGTATACATTAACAATTCTGATGCCACTACGCATGTATAATGAATTGAGCAATTAAGTAAATGAGTGGCAGATGGTGGGAGCCAGGTTCCTTTCTGATGGAGTAGGAGTTCACAGATAAGTAAGGAAAGAGGCTAAAATGATCCAAGTGGTAATAGATTAGAATTGGAGATATGAACTCATGCTTAGTTTCTTATAGATATATATGCTTCTGTATATAAATATCTAAAGGTACATGTATATAAATGGCTTATTAGACACACTTATATTCCCTTGCTGTGCCAGCTTAAGAGAGCTGGAAGAAATGACACACTCATAGCAGAAGCACAACTGGCACTGAGATCTTGGTTTGTAATACCATTCACCAACAAAAGGAACCAGGGACCCTTAGACAAATGACTGATTCTACAACTGGGGTAGCAAATGATGGTAGGAAATGGGATACAAGATGAGCCTGGAGCATGTTGTGCCAGGAAGTAAGTGCTCATAAAAATTATCTCTATAATTACATGGATATATCAAAGGGACACAGAAGCCAACTAAAAGAACTGCTAATGGCCAAAACATGAACAATTTGAGCAATAAAATCAAGTAGAAATGGATTATAATTCAAAGTATAAAAATAAATATTCATAAGTCTATACTGATATAATAATTGAACAAATAAAGATATGAGGAAGAAAAGATAAATTTTCCATGCAGAAGAATTCTAAATCACTTATATGCCTAACTCCCCACTCCTAAAGTGTGTGATATGCATAGTGACTTTCTTCCAAAGAATATGGTCTGGAAATGGGGGAGGTGGGAGAGTAACTTTATGACTTTATTATGGAGAAAACTGGCAAACACTAGCTCAGTCAGTAATAAAGCTTAACATTAAAAAGGATGTTATGTTGATCATGTGTACCCTTGATAGGATGTGAAGAAAATGACATTTTACCTGTGTAATCTTCCTCCCCAAAACCCTTAACTCCAGTCTAATCATAACAATTAGACAAATTTCAATTCTAGTACTGGCATTCTAGAAAATACCAGTACGCCTCAAAACTATCTATGTCATCAAAAGCCAAGAAAGTCTGAGAAACTATTATAGTGAAGGGGAGCTGACAGAGACATAATGAATACATATAATGTGGTACTCTGGATAAGATCCAGATTATAAAAAGAACATTAGGAAAAAATAAGGAAATCTGAATAAAGTGCAGACTTTTTAATTAATAATAATAAATCCATATTGGTTCATTAATTATAATAAATGTACCAGTTTGATGTAGGATGTTATTAATAGGGCAAACTGGTTATGGAATATATGGGAATTCTCTGTACAATATTCAAACTTTTTCTGTTAATCTGCCACTGTTATAAATTAAAAGTATTTTAAAAGGTAAATGAATAAACCGTTAACACCATGTAATTTCCTTAATTTTTAAAATGTTTATCTGATGATGATATCCCAAGACTGAAAATGCCTGTTTTGGACCTTCTGAAGCCTTCCTAGAAGGATTGCCCTCTTTGATATTCATTATAATTCTCTGATCTATCTAAATCACTATTATTATGAGGCCCATTTTAGGGAATAGGATAATAAAGTCAAGAGACATTATATGGTTCTCTTGAGGGCAATCAGCAAGGAAGTCACAAAGACAAATTTCTGACTCTCTTTCCAGTCCTTCTTTAATTACACCATTCTGTTACACACTTCACATCACAACAAATTACTGACCTGTTTATCCTTGTATCATCAGTATTTTATGCAAGGTATAATTAATAATAGATTCAGAAAATAATGTGTACAATAATCTGTATTTCATGTTTAGAATTTTAAAAATTTACGACTGAGAGAAGATTAAGAGATAATCTTTTCAGCTCAAGCCCTTCTAGTTGGAAATGAGAAAAATGAAACTCAGAAGGCTGAGCTAATTTTCACAGTGTCATTGCATGAGTAGTATCTGTGCCAGGGATGAAACCCAGTTCTATCTGATGGCGAACTTTGGTTCTTTCTTGAATAGTATGCTAGTTGACAGGTTGTGGTACTGGAGAAATTCCTTCATCTATGGCTGAAGAGTTATGAAACAAATTGCTATAATAATTATAACATTTTTTAAAGTTTATGAAAACTTCTAAACAGATGTTGCCTAAAGAGCAAAAATAAAATAAAAATTAATGTAAATAAAGAAGAACAGTTGTAGACAAATACTCTAGGGCATTAGGTAATAGCACATAAAATCTATAATTTTAAACTACTTTTTACTTATAAAAATGGCAATTTTGTATGGCTCAACTAAATAGTAAAACCTCAGGATAAACCTGCTTATCATATTGGCGTGTATATTAAAATGCTACCAATGGCATGAACCCTTATTAATATATTAAAAATGCAACAAAAACAAAAAAATTGACAAATGGGACTTAATCAAACTAAATAACTTCTGCATAGCAAAAGAAACAATCAACAGAGTAAACAGACAACCTACAGAATGGCAGAAAATATTTGCAAACTATGTATCTGTCAAAGAGCTAATATCCAGAATCTATAAGGAGCTTAAACAAATATACAAGTAAACCCCAAGTAACCCCATTAAAAAGCAGGCAAAGGCCATAAACAGATACTTCTCAAAAGAAGACATACGAATGACCAACAAACATAAAAAATGCTCAATATTACTAATCATCAGAGAAAAACAAATGAAAACCACAGTGAGATACCATCTCACACAAGTCAGATTGGCTATTGCCAAAGTCAAAAAATAACAAATTTTGACAAGGAGGTGGAAAAAAGGGAACGCTTTTGCATTGCTGGTGGGAACATAAATTAGTTCAGCCCCTATGGAAAGTAGTTTGAAGATTTCTCAAAGAAATAACAGTGGAAATATTCAACTCAGCAATCCCACTACTGGGTATGCATCCAAAGAAATATAAATCATTCTACCAAAAATACACATGCACTCATGTTTATTGCAGCCCTATTTTCAATAGCAAAGACATAGAATCAACCTAGGTGCCTGTCAATGGTAGAGTGAATAAACAAAATGTGGTACATATGCATCATGGAATACTATGCAGCCATAAAAAAGAATCACAACCTTTCTAGCAACATGGATGCAGCTGGACGCCATTATCCTAAGTGAATTAACTCAGAAACAGAAAATCAAATATTGCATGTCCTCACTTATAAGTGAAAGCTTTTAAAAAGCTGCAAATGGACACAAAGATGGAAACAATAAACACTGGGGTCTCCAAAAGGGAGGAGGGATAGAAGAAGGAGGGTAAGTGTTGAAAAATTACCTATTGAGTACTATGTTCACTATTTTGGTGATGGGTTCAATGGAAGTCCAAACCCCAGCATTATGCAATATATTCATGCAAGAAACCTGCACATATACCCCCTTAAACTAAATTAGATAAAAATAGTATTCATTTATTCATTTATTAAATATTTATTGAGCAATTTCTATGTATAACATTGAGTTTCATGTTTATAGAATAAAAGATGAATATAATCCAAACCCTGCACTGATGGAGAATGTTAACTTAGCACTAGGACAAAATATGGATAGCATTATTATAAAACAATAGCACCTCTTCATTAATCAGAATGTGAATGGGTCAGAAGTATAGTATAGTCATGTGCTGCATAATGACATGTGAGCTAACAATACACCACATATACACCAATGCTGGTACCATAAGATTGTAATACCATATTTTTGTCGTATCTTTTCTATGTTTGCATATGTTTAGATAAACAAATACTTACCATTGTGTTACAGTTTCCTACAGCATTCAGTACAATAACATGCTATACAAGTTTGTAACCTAGGAGCAATAGGCTATATAACATATAGCCTAGTTGTGTATTAGGCTATACCATCTGGGTTTGTATAAGTACACTCTATGATGTTCACACAAGGACAAAATCGCCTGATGATGCATTTCTTAGAAAGTATCCCCATCATTAAGCAACACATGATTATATATCCTTACATGCATATCTCATTTTAATTCTCTAATAATCTTCAAGGTTAGAAAAATATTCTTATTTTCCAAATGAGGAAACTGAGTTTCAGAAAAGTAAAAATTCTTCAGACAAGTTACAGGGTTTTTAAGTGCCAAAGCCAGTATCTGAATTCAGGCCTACCTGTCTCCAAAACCTATATTAATTCTAGTTAATAATGCTGATAAAATCTTATGCATGGTGAGGTTGTTGAGCAAATAAAATGATTACACTCTACTGCTGAGAAGATAAATTGGGAGACTGTTGGCCAGTATCTACCAAAGCTGAATACATGCATACTGTATCACCCAGAAATTCCAAGGTGTATTTTTTATGATCAATTTTGCCATAGGTTAGTCTATTTTTTTTAACCGTTTAAGAAACCAGTTTTTGGCTTTGCTTATTTTCTTCAGTTTATCTTTGTCATTTTTTGTTATATTAACTACTGTTTTTGTTTTCATAACTTTTTTCTTTCCTTTGAGTTTAATCTGTCATGCTTTTATCAGTGTGCTGTTGAACACTTTCTAAAATTTCTGTTTTTCTTGCCAGCTAATTTATTTGCCATTAAACTTTTTTCTTACAGTAACATTTTGATTACATTCACAGGTAATTGTACTGTTTTATTAATATTCAGTTCTAAGTACTTTCTAATTTCTCTAGGATATCTTCATTGACTTCAGATCAATGTAGAAATGTGTTTTTAAACTTCCAATTGTTTGGGGGCGTATTTTTAGTTAAATTGTTATTGATTTCTAATTTAATTTTGTTATGGTCAAAAAATATAGTCTAAGTAAAAAAGTCAGATACTACAACAGTACAAAAATTTATGTCAGTGACCATCTATGGCTCCTTAATATTAGGAGAAAAGATTGCAAAAACCCGAGAAATTATTTGCTACAGTAGTCAATTTCTGATTTCAAAGTTGGGATGAAGCTTCAGTCTTAGCTGGAGCTCTCTTGAAAGTCAGAGCCTGATGCTATCCCTCCCCTGACGAGTTAATGGGTGCAGCACACCAACATGGCACATGTATACATATGTAACAAACCTGCACGTTGTGCACATGTACCCTAAAACTTAAAGTATAATAATAATAAAAAAAAGAAAGTCAGAGCCTGAGACTTAAGCATACATGCTTATAGTTTGGGAATATGATCCAAAGGAGCAAGAATACAGGATAGGGAATGTGAAAAAGGAAAGGAAGAAAAGGCAATACAAAAATATGCACTGATTGGCCATCCCCAGGACTTTTATAAGGCTCTTGTAAGGACCTTCATAAGAATCTTTCACTGGAAATTTGTCTCAGAATCATGTGCCTTAGGAGACTAATGTCAAGGAATTTATCTATTGCCTATGCCCCTCTTGGTCAACTGGCATTATCTCCCTGCACTTCCAGCTTGCACATACATAAATGCAGAAGAGATCCTATGATACTAGAAAGCTCCAAGGCAGAATGTGAAAGATGCAAGGTGCAGGTCTGAGCCATGCACTGTCCTATTGCACCTGCAAAAGTCTGGTCAAAAACCTCAACAAAACAAAAGCATTGCTAGAATAAGAGGTACGGTCAAGGACATGGAAGTGCCAACAAAAAGATGTGCCTAATATTGCTCCTAAAGCTAACAAAATTTCATTTTGCTTTCCTTTGCCTTTTTTGTGCTTTTGGTCTCCATAGTCCCTTATGAGGAGAAAGGCCAATAAGGCCAAAGGATTTAACTATTCCTACATCCTCTGCCTGTAGTTACCTTCTGGAAATTCAGATGAAATCTTGTCATCTCTTTCCTCCCATTTTAAACCACGTAATCGTTTTTCATTCTCTTGGAATAAACACAAGACACTTTTGGTGCCTTTCTGCATAAGTTAAACCTCATTTTTCACCAATCTCCCCTTGTCTCTCTGTGCTCCAGTCACACTGGTCTTTTTTCTTTTTTTTAATATATATAATTTTAATTATACTCTAAGTTCTAGGGTACATGTGCACAACATGCAAGTTTGTTACATATGTATACATATGCCATGTTGGTGTGTTGCACCCATTAACTCGTCATTTACATTAGGTATGTCTCCTTTTTCTCACCCTACAGAGCTATGTTTCTTTTTCCTCAGTACCTTCATACATTCTATTTTGTCTTCTCTCTTTACTCATCTTTCAAGTCATATCTCAAATGTCTTAGAATCATCCTCTAAGAATCTGTGTCTGCTTCCACAGACTTCCTCGTGTCCCCCTATTGTTACATGTCTTTACAATCTTTAATACCATTTAAAACTATGCATTTATTTGCATGCTAATATGACCCATGGCTATCGTATCTATTAAACTGTAAGCATGTGAGAGCAGAAAGTTTGAATGTAATTCACCATAAGCAACTTAGTACCTGGAATTGACTATTGTGCACATAAGGAACATAAACATTTGTAGAATCAAACGTTTCTTAGAAAATCATCAATGTTCTTCCTACCCCTATTGAGTGTAATTTGAAGTTCTTGGCCCTTACCATTCAGCAACTTTCTCAGAAACTTCATGCTTTCAGACTGCTTTTGGTTTTGTCCCCTTAAGCATACTTTGTTAATTTGTTTCTCCTTTTAAACCCTTGCTCTCACTGTATTGCCTCCATACTTGAAATGTCCCTCTATTTTTCTACCCGTCATAATTCTTTCATGCATTGAAGTCCAGCCCACGTTGCTCCTTTCGCATTCATAGTAATATTTCTACAGAGCTCCTGAAGCCATTTTTGTTTCGTGTGTGTGTACCTCCAGATTATCAGTTCCAAGGTCTAATAGGCACATCTTATTTCAAAACCTGGAGCAAGAGGTCTTTAGTATGCAGATGAGAGCAAGGGCCATAGTTGTCTTTTTTAAAACCCTACACAACCACTCTATTGACAAATGCCAATAATAGGTAATAATTGGTAGAAATACTTGATATAGAACAATCGGAGTAAGTCAAACAGAGTTTATGTGATGGTTAATGAGTGGTGACTTGATTGGAATGAAGGATGCAAAGTATTAATCCTTGGTGTGTCTGTGAGGGTGTTGCCAAAGGAGATTAACATTTGAGTCAATGGGCTGGGGGAGGCAGACCCACCCTTAATCTGGTGGGCACCATTTAATCAGCTTCCAGGGAATATAAAACAGGCATAAAAACATGAAAAGGAGACACTGGCCTAGCCTCCCAGCTTATATCTTTCTCCCATGCTGGATGCTTCCTGCCCTCAAACATTGGACTCCAATTTCTTCAGTTTTGGGACTTGGACTGGCTCTCCTTGCTCCTCAGCTTGTAGACAGTCTATTGTGGGACCTTGTGATGGCCTAAGTTAATACTTAATAACTTCTATTTATTATATGTATATAATAATATATATACTTAATATAATACTTAATAAATTCCATTTATATAATACATATATTTATGTTATATATACATATAATACATGTTATATATACATATATATGTATTATATGTATATATAAACACCCACATTTATATATACATATATTATATTAATGTATTATATTTTTATAATATATTGTATTATAATTATAATTATATAATATATTGTATTATATATTATACTTATAAATATATATAATGTATATATTTATATATACATACAATATATGTATATGTAAATTTGAGTTATTAAATATATATATATGTTCTCTAGAAGGACAGAACTAATAGGATATATATATCCTGACTAATACAGTTTACTTACCTGAATTATACAATCTGAAATCAGCATATCAAGATACCCAGCAGAGAAACAGCCAGTGTCTCCAAGGCACAGAGGTGTAGATTTCGAGACCAAAGGCTTGCAGTTTCAGATGACAACGTGTATGAGCAATAATCCCATCAGAACTCTTAGGAGCATAATGGCCACCTTTTTTCACTTAAACTCATATGTATATGTGCAACGACCACCTCATCTTGGCCTGGAGCATCTATCAATCTTTAAGCTCTATAGTTCACAATATCAACATAAGCTACATGGCACATAGCTCTCACACACCACCCTCACACACTCCAGGCTATATCAGGCTAGAATAAGAACATTCCAGTGCTGCAGAACCAGAAAAAAAATTATTTTGACAGACATCTCTGGAGAATGATGATGAGCTCCACTATTAAGCTCATTCTATAGATCTGTGTATTGTTACTGTTATTATTATTATTTTGGATTTTAGTTTCCAGTATCTAAAAGTAAGAAGATACACACAAAAATCCATATTTCTTGTTTCTCTTAAAAATTCAGAGGGCAAGAGCGAACATATCTTCCTCAATGGCTATAAATAGTTGAGTAGTAACTGTCCTTTTTAGAAGAGAAATGCATGCTCAAATTTCTCCTGTTTCCCGCCATCTACATTTGCATTTCCATGGACAACTGCATTCATTTCTAATACCTACCAGAGTGCTATGGACCTGGGCCCATTTGAATCCCCATCTAAACTGCAAGCTCTTTATGCACAGGGGCCTTCCCTTACTTAGATCAGCTTTCTCTAAGACTGCCTCATGCGTGGTGCTGCCTATAAGGATTGGAAAGAACAGAGTTGTGTAAAGAGCAGTAGACATAGAGTTCAATTTTCAGTCCTTCCCCTTGGTAGTTTTATGATCCTGGGGATGTTTCCTCATTTATCAAGCAGAATAGCTACAACACCCATTTGATAGAATTACTGTGAATTAGATAACATTATGCAAAGTATAAGAAATATAGTAGGCCCTCAATAGATGCCCGTTTATCATTTTTATTTGTACTTGATTGATTGCATAAAACCTGCAAAGAAAAATGAAGCCTAGATCATCAGGTCAGCAAGAGACACATTAAACAGATGGCAAGGCAACAAGGAGATGAGGCATGAGAGAGCAATTTGAAGAAGCCAGGAATGGTGAGGTTTAATCAATATGGAAATGTGGGCACAAAAGGACCTGGATGATGCTGAATACATTTTTATCTCTAATAATGAGGACACAGAGCCACCCTAGCAGGCTGTGCAGATCTCCCAGTCTATTATCCTAGAGTTGTTATTGCCCTGTGCTATTCTGTAATTTGCACGGTAAATGAAAGTAGGGTCTGAGACAGGGACACAGAGCCCACTGAGGCTGGTGCACTCTCACAGGCCAGGTGGGCAGGCCCATCTGCACAATAAAATGATAAGACTCATACCCTTCATAGTTGCTTTCCATAAGAACAATAATGGCAAACACACAGTAATTAGTATTGCATTTGTTCAGATATTATCACTCTTGTTGTAATTTGTATTGCTTAGGCGAAGGTATATTGAGCATTTGCTATGATTAGGTTCTATGCTAAATGCTTTATGTATTTTTTCTACAATTAATCCTCTGCACAATTCTATACAGTAAGCTGGAATATGTACTATTATTGTCCTTTTAAAATGAGAAACTAAAATTCATAGGAACTAAATAACTTGGATTTTCTGATGTGGCTGGCAAGTAGTGGAGCCATGATTTGAACTAACGCCTGTCTGATTTCAGAGCCCTTGCTCTTAATCTACTTAAAAGATAAATCTTGTCATCACTGCATCATTAGCATAAGTATCACAACCAATATTATTGTCCAGGGTTATCAAATGCACTCACTGACCTTGACTGGTTCATAGTCTACCAAAGGTGAAAAATCATGAATATCAATAAAAAGCTATGGCTTCCTTGCCTTCCATGAATATTAATGAGTATATTGTTTTTAGTATATTTTCTGTCCTCCTATCCCTATAAAGGCTGGTAAAAGAATCAGTTAGCCTAAGGACATCAAAAATTAAGATCCAGTGTTTATGTTCCCCACTGCAACACTCCCACCAGTGGTCCTCCAATCTTAACATTAATACTGACAGATAATATATTACTTAGTAACTCAGGTTAGCTAGAGAGTCCTTCCCCCATATCTTCATCCACTGACCCAAGTTCTGTTTTCTAGGGTCTCATGGATCAAATCTAGCTGTGCTGAAATAGGGAGAAAAAGATAAAATAAATAAGCAGAATAAACAAAGGAGAAAAAGATTATATAGGTACAAAAACTAGAGCAATCCCTATAAAACCATTACCTTTTGCAAATCTGACAAAAGCACTGCATTATTAGTGGCCTCCTGTAGGCATTGCTTAGGGCAAGCAAATAGCTGTTTGGATAATTACTTTGAATTGTTCAGTTTTGAAGATTTATTTAGCTTGTCAAAATTGAGTCTGCAATTCAATGTCATTCACTGGTTTTTGCAGTTCTTCCCAAGTACAAGAACTAATGTGCCTGATACTAAGACTACGCCCCCTTCTTGAGCCAATCTTGGCCAAGACAGTGAATCTATCAGTACACATTAATTCATTTACCAACAAATTTATTGATTATTGAGCATGTCCTAGGTACTGTGATAGGTGCTGGGAATAAAGTCAACTTTATTAAACAAAGCAAGGTTGAAAGAACAACATTCTTGCCAACGCAGGAGTTTACATTTTAGGGGGATAGAATTACAAAATAAAAATCAATATTTAATTTGATAAATGCTACAAAGAAAAATGAAGCATTTAAGAGGACTGAGGCTGACTAGGATGCAATGCTGTTTTACATGATGTCCTTGGGATCTTTCCTCTAATGAGTCCACATTTGAGCAAAGACTTGCAGAAAGTAAGAGAGAAAGTTCTGTGTATCTCCAGACAGAGGGACCAGTAACACACAGTCCCTGAGTTGGGTGTATGCTTGGTAGGGTATTCACAGAATAGGAAGAAGGAAGGAGTGAGCCAAGGGGAGGGTGGTGAGAGATAAGAGAAAAGCAGCTGTTAAGAGACAGGGTCCTTATAGTCCAGGGTATTATTATTTTTCAATTTTATTCTGGAAGCCATGGAAAGATTCTGGGCATAGGACAACTGGTCTGGCTGCTGAATACAAATGATTAAAAATATGAAGGAGAGGGGCAGGAATTTCAGTTGAGAAGATTTAGAGCCAAATAAAAGGTGTGGTGACTTGATTATAGGAATGTGGGAAGTGATGGGAAATGGGCATATTTGAGATACACAAGAGAATATGCTGATAGGTTGAATGTTGTATTAATTTTCTAGGACTACCATAACAAAATACCACAGACCAGGTGTCTTTAAACAACAGAAATTTATTTTCTCACAGTTCTGGAGGCTGAAGTTCCAGAGCAAGGTGTCAGCAGGTTTAGTTTCTTCTAAGGCCTCTCTGGCTTATACATGTCTGACTTCTCATTGTGTGTTTACATGGTCATGCCTCTGTGCACAAAATGTTTGTGTCCTAATCTTCTCTCATAAGGACACCAGTCAAGTTGTATTAGAACCCACCCATAGGATAAAGGCCCTGTCTCCAAGTATAGTCACATTCTGAGGTACTGGAGGTTAGAACTGCAACATATGAATTTGAAGGGGAGCACAGTTCAGTCCATAACAGATAAAGAACATCAGAGGAAGACAGGACATCAAAAGACTCTAACATTTTTTTCTTTCCTAAACACTAAGGAGATGGGTGTTGCCGTTTACTGAGAAAGGAAGAATAGGGGAATAGCAAATTTGAAGATAAAAATCAGTGGGAGGTCATATTGAGTAGGCAGTTGGATTTGATGCTGGAATTCAAGGAAAGGCCAGGGATAGAGATACATTAGGGTGTTTGACAGAAAATATGTGGTATTTAAAATGTGAGACAGTTGAAATTGCCTAGAATGTGTTCAGATAGAGAATAAAATAAGCATGTAGACTGAGACCTAAGCCACTCCAATATACGAAAGTTCTAGAGTAAAGGAGACTGAGGAGTAACCACAGAGGTAGGAGTAGGACCCAGAAAGTGTGTATCTGAGAAGCATAGCTAACAAAATGTTTCAAGATGAAGTCTCAAATGTATTACAATTTGCCAATAAGACAAGTAAAATGATGACCAAGGAGAGGCCACTGGATTTTTCTACCTGAAAGTTGTTGTTGACAAATCAATATTGGTGAAGTAGTAAATATGAATTCTTAATTCCTCACATACGGCAAATCAATTCTCCAATTCATTTTGCGATCTCACTCCTGGTATTCAGAGCATGTAGGTGGACAGAAATTCTCTGCATATTCACCTGGATTCAGTTTTCTTCTGCCTCCCCTGTGATCAAGTACTCAAGTTCCTCAACTTGATTAGCAAACTGATAGTTCACCTAGCTCTTGCCACCTTATTCCTTCCATGTGATGAAATCAACTGCTCCTTGAGGTTTTGCTCTGAGTCAAATGAATCACCTAAAACCACAATTTTTCCCTGACCTCAAACTAAGAATCCCAGTTGCTTGCCTAGAACTACCTGTTGCCATTTTAAACACTCTGTATCTGACTATAGATACAATAGATTATTTATCTAGAAAGCCAAGTACAGGAAACATTCAACCACAAATTCTCCTTAAAAAATCTTATTTTCACAATTATCCATCTGATAAATTAAGTCATTTAAAAAATTAAGTCATTACTTGCTATAATGGATAGCACCTGAAGGTGGTTACATCCACCAGGCCATGAATAACTCACTGGTGATGGTGTGGTGGTCCAGTATCTATTACATGGATATGGTGGTATGTTTCATAACAGATCACTGAGATGATTGCATACTGATAACATACAAATTGTGGTTGTTGTTAGTTATTTTATGTTTTGAGCAGTAAAATCTATTTTGGAAAATAAATTGCAATCAGGCAAGTGTACAGAAGTTATACTAATTTTAAACAAGTTGGGCTTAGGAAATGCAATCGGAAAAAAAACTATTTTTTCCTTCCCCACTGTCCATTCAGACATGCCCTGTAGGCCTATTTCAAAACTGCTCTTTTGTTTCTAAATCACAAAACAATAATCGTTTGGTAGCTATATGTACAACTAAGTAAAAGAATAAAAGAAAAATCTAGACTTTTTAAGATTTAAAATGTTTGCCCTCCTCCAGCTTAGGCCTGCTTCAGAGGTATGTGTTTGACTTATTTCCAACTTCTGTAATTTTATTCTCTTTCTCTAATACATTGCTTCTGGTATCATCAGGGTTAAGAACAAAGGAGGGAGAAGAGATTTGGAGGCAGAAAAGTTCTAAAAGGTAGAAAGGTGGCAATGGCATGTCATATGCTCATGCCTGGGCTCTCTGGGTTTAAGAGATATTTCACCTGGCTCTTTCTTTCATAGGATGCTTTAGCAGGCTCATCAGAGAAGCCCCATTCAATGGATTGATTCAGTCTCCTCCTACAGTGCCTGAACATGGATAATACACTTCTCTTTCAAACCCTGGTTGTATGTGGACATTCCTATATATACTCTTTCCTGTTCCCTTGAACAATGTCCCTTTAATATTGCCTCAGGTGCTCACACTTGTGTTTACCAGCTCTTATTCTCTCTCTATCCCCCTTACAAAGACACACCTTTGTTCCTCAGTAAATACACCCTGACTTGTCATTGGTAGAAGCACAGCACAGGTGCTTCTAAAATGTAGCTACCATCTTTCTTTCTGCTGTCAGCTAGGCAACTCCAGCCACAGGTGTTCACTTTCGGACCTCCCAGGCATAGATCCAGTAACAGGCTCTGCATCTTGACATACTCCAGGGACATGGAATCAACTTCTCCAAGTGGCCACCTTGAAGCCCCTCTCACTTGGCATAAAAAGAAGAGAAGATTGCTAACACTGCTGCCCCATGAGTGCTCCATCTGTGTCCATGTATCATATTAACAATGTTCTTTTAAAAATGCAGTTCGAATTGCCAACAACTCTTTGGCCACTATAATGCCTTTGGAAAACTGAGACTAGAGGTGAACTAAAAGTTGAAAAACTAGTTCTTGATTGCCTGCTAGGTAAGCTCTATTCAGGTAGATTTGTACCTCACTTTGGAATGTGGGAGTATTTGCCACCTATTTCACTTATTTTCTTGAGGTTTTAGCAAATAATGACAGAAAATGTCTCATTTTTTGTTTTTTTATTTTTTATTTTTTATTTTTGTTGGTACATATAGTAGTTGTATATATTTATGGGACACATGAGATGCTTTGATACAAAAAAAAGTTAGAAAGAATGAAGACCTATTGTTTGATAGCAACTGGTAACTATAGTCAATAATAACTTAATTGTACATTTTTAAGTAACTAAAAGAGTATAATTGGAATGTTCATAACATAAAGGGGACCCATTCTCCATGATGTGATTATTTCACATGGCATGCCTATAGAAAAGGTCCCATTTTGATGTCTTGTTAATTTAGCATAAAAATATAGTGCATAAAGAAAATTTGGGGGAGAGGAGGATGTATTAATCCATTTTCACACTGCTATAAAGAACTGAGAGTGGGTAATTTATAAAGAAAAGAGGTTTAACTGACTCACAGATCCACATGACTGGGGAGGCCTCAGGAAACTTACAATCATGGCAAAAGGTGAAGGAGAAGCAAGCACCATATTTACAAGGCAGCAGGAAAGAGAGGTTGCGGGGACTGCCACATACTTTTAAACCATCAGATCTTGTGAGAACTCACTCACTATCACAAGAACAACATGGGGGAATCCATGGAAGATCCCATGATCCAATAACATCCCACAAGATCCCTCCCCTGACACATGGGGATTACAATTTCAGATGAGATTTGAGTGGGGTCCAGAGCCAAACCATATCAGAGGACTAATTAGTATATTTAAACTCTAGAAAAATGTTCAGCCAACACTGATCATTGACATTCTAAAGAAAATTCTACTGGCCTTTAAAATATGGCCCAGTTATATAATAGAATACTGCTCAGCAAAAAAGTAAATAACTAGAGATGCATGCAACAACCTTGATCTATCTCAAAAAAAAAAAAAAAAAAAAAAAAAAAAACCACTATGCAGGGCAAAAGAAGCCAGCCACAAAATAGGACATATTACCATACCATTTACATGAAACTCTCAAAAACAAAAATCTAAATCATTACTGACAGACAGAAAATCAGTGATCGCTTATAAATGTGAGGGAGTTTCACTGGGTTGAGGTACAAGAATTTTCTTGGTGACAGAAATGCTTATGGTGGTGAATATATATGTATATGAGTATATAAAGTTATCAAAACTCATCAAACTATAAACATTTAATGTCTTTTTTTATTTTAGGTAAATTATACTTCAATAAAGTTCATTTTTAAATATATATATAATATGCACACGCCCACAAATATATACATATATTTAGAAATTTCTAAATATTAGAAATCAGAAATACTAGAAATATATATTTCTAAATTACATGTATACATAGCTATATATGCATATTCCTAAATTCAGTGTGAGAGATATATACTCAAACTGTATCATATTTGCCTTTATAGAATTGCTTTCCCTGAATTGTACTATATCTTTATGCTTTGTCATAAAGCTTCCAAAGAACATGGTAAAAAGTAGCCTCATCAACTCAAACTGCATTTTCTGGAGGGATGCTTTCCAGTTAGTTGTTCACCATGTAATACAATATTCTTTCCATGAGGACAAACAAGAGAAATTTCAGCAATATGTGAGCTACTTGCAAACAATGTGTTTGTTTGTACCCTATGGACACTGAATCACATAAACGATTATCTTTTTTCTCTCCCTGGTTACTTTTTCAAATTGAGAGGTTTGCAACCTATGGGTTTCATGGCATGAACTCTATATATTAACAAAATTTTTTATTTCTCTTATTTCCCCCATTAACATTAAAGTCTCTTGTATTAGCAGTGATTTATTATTGTAGAAAGGAATAAATAATGTATAGTAAAAAAGATATTCTCAAAAATATCTGTTGAACAAAGAGAAAGACTATAAAGGATAATAAATGCAAACACTCCAATAATTCAACTCTAAATGCTAAAGAACTGCCCAATTGCTTTTGATACATGCAAGACAAAATTTTGTCACAGAATACAGGCATCCATAAAGAGAAACCTGTTTTATGCCATGACTGGAAAGACTCTGTGTCTTGTCTTGCAAATCAAAGGAAATAATTATATAAAAGTCATTTCAATGTTATTAACTGGAGAAATTGGGATTTAAAAAATGCTCATCTCACTGTGTTGATTTAAGCATTAATTAAGATAATGTGTGTACAAGAGCCTGGCAATGCTGGTGTTTTTAAAATAAATTAATGAAATTAAATTATACAAACAACATCTAAGAATACAACAGTTGGTGACATTTATGAAGAAAAAGTAAGGCAAGTAGAGTGTGCACACTACATATTAGATGCTTCTAAGACAATCGGAGCTTGAGATAAAAAAATGTATAACTATATTAGTATTTTCTTCTTCTGGCACTTTTTCCAATTGTTATTGTTTTATATTCATTTCTTTTGCAGCTGTTCTCAAGTTCACTAACCATCTTGTTTGTGTTTTATCTTGTCAACACATTTCTCACATCCTCATGCAACTACCCTTCTCAAGCATCCCCAGTAGAAGCTCATATATACAAGCAACATTCTCTTCACATTTTCCTTTTATTTCTAGTTTACTCCCAGCATGGCTTCACAAGGAATGGAGCAGGACTGCCAAGACTTTCTCCAGCTTTAGTGAAAAAAGCTGTTAAACATGCTCCAATTTGTCTTTCTAGGTCCACAGGAGGTAAAGCCTTTATGTTCATTTACTAGCTCATTTGACAAGGAATAATCGAGCATTTTCTATGTGCTAACTGATGTGTAACCAAGGATTGCAAAGTGATTTCACAAACACTGCCTCAGCAAGCCTAAACATCATCTTCAGGTGGACTTATTAGTGTCTCCATTTCACAAAGGCAAAACTAACTGAAGAGTACCTGAGGTGGAGTGACTTTTCTAGCCTAGAGATTAGACTCTTGACTTCCACTTTCTGCAGTATGGCAGTGTAGAAGGACCCTACCATGACGATATAACTAATTCTTACATGTATTTCAACAAATTTTATAATAAATTGCAAAAAAAAAGCAAGTAAGGAAAATAAAGGGGGGGAAGAAAAGAAAGAAGGAAGGAAGAAAGAAGAGCAGCAACAAAAACAAAGAGCTAAAATAAAAGTTGAGAGTGGTAAGCTGTTAAGAGAATATGGAAGTCGGGTTACCCTAGGGTAAATGCCTGCATCAGTGCGAGGCTGTTTTGAGTCAACATGAAGTTAGAAAAGATAAACCTGGGCAGTCCCCCACTTTAAGCTCAGCACCTCAGAGGGAACTAATGTAGTACTAAATCAAAAGTGCCCACCAGCCCTCAACAGAAACAATAAAACCCTCCAAAGGAAAGCATCATCAATTTATATCCTCAGGTTGCACACAGATTAAGTTGAACCAATAAAATATTAACAAAAACAAAAGGAAGCAAACCACCATATGATACAGCAGAAATAACAAAAAATGGATTTCTTTAGGTGACTGAAGTTCTCAGATATAAAGTGTAACGGTATAAAAAATATATATATTTAATGTGTAAGGGAAAATATATAATGGGTATTTAAGAACCCAAAAAGTAAAACTAATTGATTTCAAGGAAGGAGAAAAAGTGGCAGCAAAGATGGTACCAAAAGGCCAAGAAGAGAAAGGGGCAGAGCAAGATGGCCAAATAAGAGCCTCCACCAATTGTCCCTTCTGCAGGAACATCAAATTTGAAATCTACACAAAAAATACACCTTCATAAGAACCAAAAATCAGTGGGAAATCACAGTTTAACTTCCTATCACTGAAAGAGGCATTGAAGAGGGTAGGAAAGACAGTCTTGAATCACCAACACCACTCCTACCCCATTCCCTGGCAGCAGCTCCATGGTGAGGAGAATCTGTGCACTTGAAGGAGGGAGAGCACAGCAACTGAGGGACTTTTCATTGAACTCAGTGCTGCCTTCTCATAGAGGAAAGAAAAACCCAGGTGAACTCAGTCAATATGCACCCATAGAGAGATAATTTAGACCAGCTATAGCCAGAGAGAAATACCCATCCCAGCAGTCAGAACATGAGTTTCAGCAAGCCTCACCACCCCACATGGGCTAAAGTGTCTGGGGTCCTAAATAAACTTGAAAGGCAGTCCAGCCCACAAGGAATGCAATTCCCAAGCAAGTCCTAGTGCTGGGCTCAGAGTCAGTGGATGTGGGGGACACATGACCTAGTGAGTCACCTTGTGCCACTCTTTCCCCAACATCAGGCAGTGCAGTTTGCAGAAACAAAAGTGATCTCTTTCCTCTTAAGAAGAGGAGAGGGAAGAGTAAAGAGGACTTTGTCTTGCATCTTGGATGCCAGCTCAGCCACAGAAGACTAGGGCACCAGGCAATGTCATGAGGCCCTCATTTTAGGCCCTAGTTCCTGGACAATGTTTTTATACACACCGTGGACCAGAAGAGAACCTGCAGCCTTGAAGGGAAGGACCCAGTCTTGGCAGGATTCATCTCCTGCTGACTAAAGAGCCCTAGGGCCCTGAATAACCAGCAGCAATACCCATATGCCATGGGCTGTGGGTGAGACTTACTGGCTTCAGGTGAGACTCGGCACATTCCTAGTTATGGTGGTTATGCTGAAAGACTCCTCTGCTTGAGAAAAGTAGAGGGAAAAGTAAAGATTTTGTCTTGTACCTTAAGCACCAACTCAGCCACGGTGGGGTAGAGTGCCAAGCAGGCTTTTGGGGTCCCTAATTCTAGGCCTTGCCTCTTAGACAGCATTTCTGGACCTGCCCTTGGCCAGAAAGGAGCTCTTTGCCCTAAAGGGTGAGTCCCAGGGCTGGTATCATTCACAACCAAGCTGACTGAACCCTTTGGCCTTAAGTGAATATTGGCAGAACCCTGGCAGTACTCCCCATGGGCCTGTCTTGGAGGTGGCTACTGAGAGAGGCTCCTCTGCCTGTGGAAAGAAGAAGGAACAAAAGGAAAGACGAGGGAACAAAAGGAAAGATGAAGAACAAAAGGAAAGACTGTCTTGTAGTTTGAGTGCCAGCTTAGCCACAGTAATATAGAGCACCAGGTAGATTTCTAAGGTTTTTGACTCTAGCCTCTGGCTCCCAGATGGCATCTTTGACCCACATGGGGCCTAGGGGAACTCGTGACTCTGAAGGGAAAGACAAAAGCCTGACTGGCTTTGCCACCTGCTGGTTGTAGAGTCCTAGGGCCTTGAGCAAAAATAGGCAGTAGTCAGGTAGTGGTTTCAGTGGGCCTTGGGCAAGACTAAGTGCTGTGCTGGCCTCTGGTCTGACTCAGTACAGTCTCAGTGGTGGTGGCCACAGGGGGGTTTCTGTCACCCCACTCCCAGCTCTAGGTGGCTCCACACATAGAGATAAACTCCATTTGTTTGGGAGAAAGTAAAGGAGGAGAACAAGATTCTCTGCTTTGTGATCAGGAGGATTCTTCCAGATCTTATCCCAGACCACCAAGGAGCTACAGCATTACAGGGCTGGGGGTGCTCCCTAACACAGATACAGCTTACATCACAACACCTACGACCCTTCAAATACCTGGAAAGTCTTCCCAAAAAAGGAAGGTATAAACAAGCCTAGACTGTGAAGACTACAATAAATATCTACCTCTGAGACTTACTGGCTTCAGGTGAAACTCAGAACATTCCTAGCTGTGGTGGCCCAAGAGCCCAAGGGCTCTTCAGGATAACACGAAGAAATTCAGAATTCTATTAGACAAATTTAACAGAGAGATTGAAATAACATTAAAGAATCAATTAGAAATTCTGGAGCTGAAAAAATGCAATTGATATACTGAAGAATACATCAAAGACCCTTAATAGCAGACTTGATCAAGGTGAAGAAAGAATTAGTGAACTTGAAGACACAAAGGAGACAGAAGAAAAAAGAATAAAAAACAATGAAACGCACCTATAGGATCTAGAAAACAGCCTCAAAAGGGCAAAATTGGCCTTAAAGAGCAGGTAGAGAAAGAGATAGGAGTATAAAGTTTATTCAAAAGGATAATAATACAGAACTTCCTAAACCTAGAGAAAAATACCAATATCCTAATACAGGAAGGTTATAGAACACCAAGCAGATTTAACCCAAAGAAGACTACCTAAAGGCATTTAATAATTAAACTCTCAAAAATGAAGGATAAGGAAAGGATCACTAAAAGCAGTAAAACAAAAGAAATAAGTAACATACAATGGATCTCCAATAGATCTAGCAGGATTTTCAGTGGAAACCTTACAGGCCAGGAGAGAGTGACATGACATTTTTAAAGCATTGAAGAGAAAAAATCTTTACCCTAGAATAGTATATTCTGCAAAAATATCCTTCAAATGTGAAGGAGAAATAAACGCTTTCCACACAAACAAAAGCTGAGGAATTTCATCAGCACCAGACCTGCCCTACAAGAAACAGTAAGGGCAGTACTTCAGTCAAAAAGAAAAGGATGTTAATGAGCAATAAGTAATCACCTGAAGGTACAAAACTCACTGGTAAGAGTAAGTACACAGGAAAACACAGAAATTATAACACTGTAACTGTGGTGTGTAAACTACCCATATCTTTTGTAGAAAAAGGAAATGATGAACCAATCAAAAATAATAACTATGACAACTTTTCAAGACATAGACAGTACAGTAAGATACAGATAGCGAAAACAAAAAGTTAAAATGTGTGGAGATGAAGTTAAAGAGTAAAGTGTTTATTAGTTTTATTTTTGCTTGTTTCTTTATGCAATCAGCGTTATTTTGTCAAAGTTTAAGATAATGGGTTGTAAGATATCTCTGCAAGACTCATGGTAACCTCAAATCTAAAAACATACAAGAGATGCATGAAAAATAAAAAGCAAAAAATTGCAGCATACCAACAGACAAAATCAGCTTCAATAACAGGAAGACAGAAAGTAAAGAAAGAAGAAAGAGAAGATCAAAACAACCACAAAACCAATAACAAAATGGCAGGAGTAAGTCCTTACTTATTAATAATAACATTGAACGTAAATGGATTAAACTTTTTTTTTTTTTTTTTTTGAGATGAAATCTCACTCTGTTGCCCAGGCTGCAGTGCAGTGGCGCAATCTCGGCTCACTGCAAGCTCCGCCTCTCGGGTTCATGCCAGTCTCCTGCCTCAGACTCCCAAGTAGCTGGGACTACAGGTGCCTGCCACCACGCCTGGCTAATTTTTTGTATTTTTAGTAGAGATGGGGTTTCACCGTGTTAGCCAGCATGATCTCGATCTCCTGACCTCATGATCTGCCTGCCTCAGCCTCCCAAAGTGCTGGGATTACAGGGGTGAGCCACTGCTCCCAGCCTTAAACTCTTCAATTAAAAAAAAAGAAAGCAGAAAGAGAAGACCACAAAACAACCACAAAACAAATAACAAAATGACAAAAGTAAGTCCTTACTTATCAATAATAACATTGAATGTAAATTGACTAAATTCTTCTGTCAAAAGACATAGAGTGGCTGAATGTATTTAAAAAAACAAATGTAATGATCTATTGCCTACGAAAAGCACACTTATTAGAGATACACATAGACTGAAAATAAAGGGACAGAAAAAGATATCCTATGTCAGTGGAAACCACAAAGAACAGGAGTAGCTATACCTATATCAGACAAAATAGATTTCAAGACAAAAACTGTAATAAGAGACAAAGAAGGTCATTATGCAATGGTAAAGGAATGAATTCAGCAAGAGGATATAACTACTATAAGTATAAATGCCCCCAACACTGAAGCACTCAGCTAGTTAAAACAACTATTATTAGAGCTAAAGAAGGAGACAAACTCCAAAGCAATAATAGCTAGAGAGTTCAACAACCCTCTTTCTGCCTTGGACAGATTATCCATAAGAAAAATCAATAAAGGGATATTGGACTTAATCTGCATCATAGAACAAATGGACCTAATAGATATTTACAGAACATTTCATCCAACAGCTGCAGAATACACATTCTTCTCCTAATCACATGGGCCATTCTCAAGGATAGATCATATGTTGGGTCACAAAACAAATCTCAAAACATTCAAAAAAAATTGAAATAATATCAAGCATCTTCTCTGACCACAATGGAATAAAACTGGAAATCAGTAACAAGAGGAATTTTGGAAACTATACAAACACATAGAAATTAAACAATATGTTCCCAAATGACCAGCGGGTTAATGAAGAAATTAAGAAAATTGAAACATTTCTTGAAACAAATGACAATGGAAACACACATACCAAAACCTACTCGATACAGCAAAAGCAATACTAAGAGGAAAGTTTATAGCCGTAAGTGCCTACATCAAAAAAGAAGAAAAACTTCAACTAAAAGGACAAATGGGATTGCGTCAAGTTCAAGAGATTCTGCAAAGCAAATAAAAAATCAACGAAGTGAAGAGACAACCCACAGAATGGGAGAAAACACTTGTGAACCACCAATCTGACAAGGAATTAATAACGAGAATGTATAAGTAGCTCAAACAACTCTATAGGAAATAAATATAATAATAGAATTTTAAAATGAGCAAAATATCTTAATAGACAGTTATCAAAAGAAAACATAAAAATGGCAAATAGGTACATGAAAAGATGCTCAATAACATTAACCAAGAGAGAAATGCAACTCAACACTGCAAAATATATCTCACCCCAGTTAAAATGGCTTTTATCCAAAAAACAGGCAAGAACAAATGCTGGTAAGGATGCAGAGAAAAGAGAACCCTCCCACATTGTTGGTGGGAAAGTAAATTAGTAGAACCACTATGGAGAACAGTTTGGAGGCTCCTCAAAAAAACTAAAAGTAGAGTTACTATATAATCCAGCAATCCTCTCCCAGGTGTATACACAAAAGAAAGGAAATCAGTTGATACATTTGGCTGTGTCCCCACCCAAATCTCATCTTGAATTCCCTCATTTCAGGAGGGACCCAGCAGGAGGTAATTGAATCATGGGGGCAGGTCTTTCCCATGCCGTTCCTTTGATAGTGGATAAGTCTCATGAGATCTGATGGTTTTAAAAAGAGGAGCTCCCCTGCACAAGCTCTCTTGTCTGCTGCCATGTGAGACGTGTCTTTCACCTTCTGCCATGATTATGAGGCCTCCCCAGCCACGTGGAGCTGTAAGTCCAATTAACCTCTTTCTTTTGTGAATTGCCCAGTCTCAGGTATGTCTTTATCAGTAGTGTGAAAACAAACTAATACATCAATATATTGAAGAGGTATCTGCATTCTCATGTTTATTGGAGCACTGCTCACAATATCCAAGATTTTGAAGCAACCCAAGTATCCATCAACAAACTAAATGAATAAAGAAAATGTGGTACATTTACACAATGTATTGCTATTCAGCCCTAAAAAGAATGAGATTCTGTTGTTCGCAACAACATGGATGGAACTGGAGATTATTATATTAAGTGAGATAATCCAGGAACAGAGACACAGACTTTGGATATTCTCATTAATTTGTGAGAGCTAAAAATTAAAACAATTGAACTCATAGAGATAGAGAGTAGAAGGATGGTTAATAGAGGCTGGGAAGGATAGTGGGAGTTTGGGGAGTGGGAAAGTGGGGATGGTTAATGGGTAAAAAAAATAGAAAGAATGAGTAAGAACTAGTGTTTAATAGCACAACAGGGTGACTATAGTCAATAGTAATTTAATTGTACATTTTAAATAACAGAGACCTTATTTAAAAATAAATAATATAATTGGATTGGATTGTTTGTATCCAAAGGATAAACACTTAAGGTGAAGGATACCCCATTTACCCTGATGTGATTATTAAGCATTGCATGCCTGTACCAAAATATATCATGTACTCCATAAATACCTGCGCCTACTATGACCCACAAGAATTAAAAATAAATTTTTAAAATATACAAAGTTTACAAAGGCCAAGAGGTGGCAAGGGAAGAAATACTCATGGAGGCAATGGCATGCCCAGGGCTGAGACAACCAGGCAGGTGGTGGTGAGCGGCAAGGAAGGAGGAATTACTGCAGAGGCTGCACCAAGCCCACTAGACTTTAGCATATATTGTAGTGCAGGTTTCCTGTTAACAAGTTCTTTCAACTCTTGTACAGTTGAAAATGTCTATATATCACCTTCATTTTTTCAAATATATTTTCATTTGACTAAAACGTTTACCTGAAAAACTGCTTTCTTTCAGCATTATAATTATGTCATCCCACTGTCTTCTGGCACTATTTTTGTCTCAGGAGAAATCAGATGTCATTAAGATTGTTTTACCGTTGCGTAAAATTTTTTTCTCTGGCTACCTTTAAGATATTTTCTTTATCTTTGATTTTTAAACTGTTTGATTATGATGTAGTTTTATTCGCCTTTACTTAATTTTCAGACTTTCTTCGCACTGTGTCTGTTTTTGTTTTGAAAAAAAAATGTTGACTAATGGTTTTTCAGATAGATAGACCCAACAATTCTACTTTTAGGTAATAACTCTAGAGAATTTTTTTTAAAATTCTGCATGTTTTATACACACATATGCACAAAAAATAAGAAATATTATAATAGCCAAGATATGCAAATAATCCAGATGTCCATTATCAGATGACTGAATTAACACATTGTGGCATATTCAAACAATGAAATGCTACTCAAAAATTTAAAGCAATGAAGTACTGATGAACACAGCACCATGCATAAATATGAAAAACATGATGCTCAGTGAAAACCAGACAAAAATAACATACTCCATAGGATTATGTACAATTTTTGAGCGGAACAGACAAAGCTTTAGTTGTAGATATGAGCACAGTGTGGCCTGGTGAGGAAATAGTTGACTGAAAAGAGGCACACCAGAATTTAGAATATACTGGGTTATGAAAATAGTTTAGACACTAATTGGAGTGATGATTATACGTGTGTGTGTGTAAACTCAGCAAACTATATACTTAATATCTTTGGATTATGTAACAAGGTACTTATGTGCCCCCTAAAATTTCACTGGAAGCCTAAACAAACAACTGATTAAACATATCTAACTGGATAAATTCAGAAATTGAAACTAGATCAGAAGAAATGGCACAAACTGAGGCACAGAAAGATCAAGAAAGAAAACGATAAAAGGAAAGTTAAGACACAAAGAAGACATTTTCTCTTTCTGTTAACTTGATAGGTCAAATATGTGAATCAAACTTCGATAACAAATAACAAAAAATTCAGGTTAAAACATTATACGAATCTTTTTAAAATAATGTAGAGTTGACAACAGACTTATGAATCATAACCCTAAAATCTAAGCAAAGGGAGAAATCCAAGCAGGTGAGCAGACCACTGAAACCACTTTAATTCTGAGGGATTTTGCCATACCTAGGAAGAGCTTAGATTTTGAGAGTTTCCCAGGACTTTCGGTAGAGCAATAAAATCTCAGAAGTAATAAAGTCTCTGTCTCGAAGGGCAATTCATTTAGGTAAGAATGGCTTAAATAAACACATCTAACCCTGTCCCAATCCAAGGCTAATGCAAGGAAAGTTGCCTTGGCTCTGATGAGAAAGGGGGATGGGATATGAAAATAATTCCACAAAGTCTTCAGGATTGCACGTAAATCTCAAGCTTATTTGTGGCTGACATTTACAGCATTTTATAGTTCTAAAAGCCTCAAATTAAAAGTGGTCCGTGACAAGAGGTGCCCTTTGGTGCCTGGAAGTAGCAAACACAAAGGCTGTAAACCCAAAAATGCCCACAAATAATTTTATGTGGACACTAAGTATTTCATAATCAAAAATGAGCCCAGAAGGAAACAAGACACACTAGGGGAGAATCATCCAAAAGCTGAATAAAAACCAGCAGAAACAAATTCACACAAATTTCAGAAATTTGTTATAATTTTGCAATTATCAAATATGAAGTATTTTAAACATATATTTAAAATGTTTAAGAAAATAAAAGAAAAGAAAGCCTTATAATAACTGCAGGAAAAAACTGAATTTAACTTCTGGAATTAAAATATAGAATAGTCCAAAGTAAAACTTTAATGTGCAGTTTTAATAATATATTAGACACAATTGAAAATAGAACTGAAAATCATTTTTAAAAAATTATTCAGAAGGCCTCACAAAGATTAAGGAAGTGGCGGAAAATGTGAAAGAGTGGGTAAGAGAGACAGAAAAAAGGAAGCGAAGGTATAATGTATGTGTCTATTCCAAGTTACATAATGAAAATATAGATAGAATATAGAATAGCAGATGTTGGAATGATGACATAGTCAATGTCTCAGATTCATGAAGTCCAAGAAATATAAAAGAAAATGAACAGAAATTTATTCATATACACATAATAGTAACATTGAAATACTAAAGATGAAGAAAATACATTAATAGCCTCTTTGGAGGGAGGGAAGACAGATTACCCTTAGAGAATCATTGATTAGACTGACAGCTGACTTTTTAACAAACACATTCAAAGCTAGATGACAGTGTACTTACCTCTTCAACATGTTGAAAGACTGTATTTTCAACCTGGAATTCTATGCTCAACAAAAATATTTCAAGAGCGACAGATAATTAAAGACATTTTTAAACAAACAAGTACATTTAGAAAGTTTGGCACCATATGATTCTCACAAAAGGAAGTTCTATGACATATAATCCCAGATGAAAGGTCTGAAGTACAAGAAAAAAAGAGTAAAATAAAGGTGAAGTATATGTAAATAAATCTGAAAGAAGATTGACTATATAAATCATTATAATAATATTTTATAGAATAAAATAATTGAATTAAATTCACAAATATAATACAAAAATTGGAAAGAGATAAAGTATTCAAAGGTCCTATGTTTTCCAAAAGGAGGGTAACAGTTTTGATTACTTTCAGATATTATAAGTGAAGATATGCATGTTGTAATTTTTTGGGTGACCAATGGAGCATTCTCCATTGGAATAAATTGTGTAAATTTTATGCTAGTATGGTCCTGAATAGTGGCTACCAAAGATATATATGTTCTAAGCTTTGGAACCTGTGATAGTTACTTTATATGGCAAGAGGGAACTTGCAGATTGATTAAATTAAGGATCTTGAAATGGAGAGATTATTCTGTATTATGCAGGCAGTCCCTAAATATAATCACAAGTGCTCTTGTAAGAGGGAAGCATTGGGGGATTTGAAGAGGAGACTACAGACATATAGAAGAGGAAAAAAGGCGGGGCGTGGTGGCTCATGCCTGTAATCCCAGCACTTTGGGAGACCGAGGAGGGTGGATCATGAGGTCAGGAGATCGAGACCATCCTGGCTAACATGGTGAAACCTTGTCTCTACTAAAAATACAAAAAATTAGCTGGGCATGGTGGGAGGTGCCTGTAGTCCCAGCTACTCTGGAGGCTGAGGCAGGAGAATGGCGTGAACCCGGGAGGTGGAGCTTGCAGTGAACCGAGATTGCGCTACTGCACTCCAGCCCGGGCGACAGAGCTGGACTCCATCTAAAAAAAAAAAAAAAAAAAAAAAGGAAAAGATATGTGATGATAAAAGCAGATGTTGGAATTATGAGCTTTGAAGATGAAGTAGAGTCCTAAAGCAAGAAATACTGGTGTCCAGTAGAAACTGACAGGGGCAAGGAAACAGATTCTCCCTTCCATACCTCCAGAGGAATTAGTCCTGTTGACCTCTTGACTTTAGCCCAGTGAAACTGATTTTAGACCCTGCCTTTCATAAATGTAAGAGAATAAATTTGTGTTGTTGTAATCCACTAAATTTGTGCCATTTCTTATAGCAGCAAGAAGAAAGTAATATATATGAAAAACATGGATGATAAAAGTTATTGAGCCAATCCAAAAGGAAGCTGTCTTAGCTGTACCAAGATACCATAGACTGGGTGACTTAAACAACAGACATGTATTTCTCACTAGAGGCTGAGAAGCCCAGCAGATTCTGTTTTTGTCTTGCAGATGGCTGCCTACTTGCTATATCTCCACATGGCAGAAAAGAGAGGCCTGATATCTCTTCCCCTTCTTACAAGGGCACTAATCTACATAGAGGATCCACCCTCATGACCTCATCTAAGCCTAATTACTTCCCAAAAGCCATATCTCCCAATACCATCACATTGGAGGATAAGGCTTCAACATATACCTTCTGGGGAGCACATCCAGTCTATAACAAAAGCAAATGGCACAGAGAAAAAAATGATAGAAATGGTAGAAGAAAAAGAAAGCATAAAAAATGTAGATACAAGCCCATATATATATTATTCTATTAAATATTAATGAGCTACTTTTCTATAGATAAAAGATAAAGACTGCCAAGAGATTTTAAAAAATAGATCCACAACTAAAATGCAAGAATAGAAAAATATCAAAAATTAAAGAATGAAGGAAAATATGGTATGCAAATACGAACAAAGGAAAGATGATTTAGCTATGCACCAAAGAGAAAAAAAATTCACTAAAGATAACCACTCCACAAGATAAAATATTCAATTCATCAGAGAAAAGCACATGAAAAATGCTCAACATTGTTAGTCAGTATGGATATACAAGTCAAAACTACAGTGAGATACCACATCACACCCATTGGGATGGCTATAATAATTTTGGGGGGAAAAAAGCAAATTATTGGCGAGGATATGGAGAAACTGGAACCTTTGTACATTGCTGGCAGGAATGTACAATGGTACACTCACTATGGAAAACAATTTGGCTGTTTCTCAAAAAGTTAAAAATGGAATTACTATATAACCCAGAAACTCCTCCCCTAGGAATTCACACAAAAGAAATGAAAACAGGGACTCAAACAGATACAACAAAAAGGTATGAATAACTTAAGTATACATCAATTTTTAAATGGATAAACAAAAATTAATATATGCATGCAACTGAATATTATTCAGGCATAAAGAGCAATGAAGTTCTGATACATGCTACAACATGGATGAATCTTACAAACATTCTAAGTAAAATAAGTCAAAAACAAAAGGGTGAATGTTATGATTTATCTTACATAAAAAATTTAGAATAAGCAAATTTGTAGTGACAGAAAGTAAATTAGGGATCAACAGAGGCTACGGAGAGGGGAGAATGGGGGAAGTATTGCTTAATATATACCAAGTTTCTGTTTGGAGTGATGAAAAAGTTTTGGAAATAGACAGCTGTGCTGGTTGCACAATATTGTGAATATAATGAATGGCCACCCAATCGGATACTTAAAATGATTAAATGGCAAATATATTTTATATATACATATGTATTGTGTGTGTGTATCTGTTTTAAAAAAAAAATTAGAATTAGAAGCCCAGGAAATACAATCAAGAAATACAGTGTCTTGGAATCCAAAGACAGTATGCAGGGTTCCCAGAAGAAAGATGGGGTAAACATTGCCTAAGATTGACAGGTATTTAAACAAACACACTCTGGATTCAATCCCAGATCTGTCACTTCTGAAGTCTGTAATAGTGGCTGATATGGTTTGGATATGTGTCTCCTCCAAATCTCATGTTAAAATGTCACCCCCAGTTTTGGAGGTAGGACCTAGTGGGACGTGTTGGATCATGAGGATGGATCCCTTAAGAATGGTTTAGCATTAAACCCTTGGTGATGAGTGGGTTCTCTCTCTGTTAGTTCAAGAGCAGGTTGCTTGAAGGAGCCTGGCATGTCTCTTGCTCCCTCTCTGGCCATGCGACACACCTGCTCACCTTTCACCTTCTGCCATGAGTTATAAGCTTCCTGAGGCCTCACTAGAAGTTGAGCAGATGCTGGTGTCACACTTGAACATCCTGCAGAACTGTGAAAGAAATAAATCTCTCTTCTTTATAAATTACCTAGTCTATGGTATTCCTTCATAGCATCATAAAAACGACTAACACACTGGCTCAATCAACTAACTTTTCTTAGGTTCAGTTTTTTGTTTCTGTTTTGTTTTGTTTTGTTTTGTGTTTTTGGAGACAGGGTCTCTGTCACCCAGGCTGGAGTGCAGTGGCATGATTTCAGCTCACTGTAGCTTGACCTCCCAGGCCCAAGCAATCCTTCCACCTCAGCCTCCCAAGTAGCTGGGTCTGCAGGCACTTGCCACCAGGCTTGGCTAATTTTTGTATTATTTGTAGTGATGGGGTTTCACATATTATCCAGGCTGGCCTCAAACTTCTAGGCTTAAGCAATCGGTCTGCCTCAGCCACCCAATGTGCTGGGATTACAGGCATGAGCCACCACACCCAGCCAGGTTCAGTTTTTTAATCTATTAAATAGGAATAATAATAATAATAAAGAATAATAATCTATTAAATAGAAATAATATAACAACTATAGCGATGAGTAAAGATCCAAGGGCCAAGCCTAAAATAGTATAGTTATTTAATAAATGATAACATCTGATATTCTATTTTATTTGCCTACATGTCTATTTTCCTGGAGATCATACACTCTCTCTATAATTCTATTTCCAGTTTCCAACACAGTAGCTGGATATATTAGGCTTAACTCTAATCTGCAGCTGTCAGGGAGATCTTCACATGTACAACTAAAATTCTGACTCACACACTACCATAGGCATCAGTAGAATATAGAACAGAATCCACTTGCCAGTAGGGTAGCATCAAACATTCCTCACCATCAGGAATCCTTGCAGTGATCCAGCACATCAGTGTTGGTCCAGCATAGCTCTCTGGGAAATACATGTTTCCCAGATGACTGCTCAGATGCAAGGAGATGAAACTTGCAGACATATAGGGTATTAGTTATCTATTGATGCATAACAAATTGGCCCCAAAATTGCTGGCTTAAAACAACAAACCTTCTTTTTTTTAATCTTGCAGTTTCTATAGGACAGGAATCTGGGTGCAATTTACCTGAGTCTTCTGGCTCAAGGTATCTCACAAGGTTGTAATCAAGGCATCAGCCAGGGATGCAGTAATCTCAATACTTCACTAGGGGAAGATTCACTTACAAGCTCATTGCCTGATTGTTGGCAGAGTTCAGTTCCTTACAGGTTATTGGACTGAAGGCCTCAGTTCTGTTCTTGCTGTTGGCCAGATGCTTCCTTCAGTTTCTTGCCACCTAGGCTTTCTCCATAGGAGAGTAGCACACAACGTACTAACAGGCTTACATCAGAGCGATCAAACAAGAGCACAAGAGAGGATGAACAAGAAGGAACCTAGGGCCATTTGTAACCTTATCTTGGAATTGGCCATGACTTTTGTTATATCCTAGTTGTTAGAGATGAGTCACTAAGTCCAGCCTACACTTAAGGGAATGAAATTACATAAGGGCATGAATACCGGGAGTCAGGGATTTTTTGGATCCATTTTGGAGGCTGCGTACCACAGGCATTGTGGTAAACAACCTAGCTTAGAAGCCTCACTTTCCACAGAAATCAATAGCTCTTGTAAAACTCCACAAGCTTAGCTTCCAGGCTCCCCTCAAAAGACATGGCATTACAAGAGTTAACATACTAAGAAAGTCTAAGATATTGCCTTCACATAGGGTATTTATAATTCATATATAGTTTCTTCTATAATAGTAGTTGCTCAATCTTCTTTTTTTTTTTTTTTTTTTTTTAGATGGAGTCTTGCTCTGTCACTAGGCTGGAGTGCAGTTGCGCAATCTCGGCTCACTGCAACCTCCGCCTCCCTGGTTCAAGCAATTCTCCTGCCTCAGCTGCCTGAGTAGCCTACCTGAGTAGCTAAGAGTTCAGGCACGTACCACCATGCCCAGCTAACTTTTGTATTTTTAGTAGAGACAAGGTTTCACCATGTTGGCCAGGATGGTCTTGATCTCTTGACCTCGTGATCCACCCACCTCAGCCTCACAAAAGTGCTGGGATTACAGGCGTGAGCCACCATGCCTGGCCACTCAATCATTTTTATCACAAGCAATGTCACTTAGCAATATATTAATAGTTGTCATACTACCCTTATCAGATCACCAGGAAAATAGGTAGAAAGATTAAGAAAAATCAAACTATCTTTGCCCACCACATAAAGTAAATATTTTTGTAAGTCAAGGATATTCAAATATTTGCAAATTAATATGGTGCAAACTAACATTATATTTTAATTAATATATATGGCTATCAAATTTAACTGAATTGGACTTGCAAACTCAAGTTTGCAAACAAACAATCAAACAAACAATATAAAGCCAGGAAACAGTATAGGATGCAAATATTGACTTTTCTGGAGAGAAAACTGGGAAAAATCAGGCCTGCAGTAGCTGATAGCTAGCAGAATGAATTTGTCACACACTAAGAATAATTGGATAGATATACCTAATGTAAATGACGAGTTAATGGGTGCAGCACACCAACATGACACATGTATACATATGTAACAAACCTACACGTTGTGCACATGTACCCTAGAACTTAAAGTATAATTTTAAAAAAAGAATAATTGGAGAAAATCTGCTGCACTGTAGTTGTACTGTAGTACAGGTGATATATTCATAAAAAATTAATTATTTAACAAATGTTTATTGCTGTGGAGGCCCAATTTCAGTTCAGGTGACTTAAACAAAATTGTTTGAACACCACTATATACTAGGAAGTGTGGTAAGAGCTAGAAATAGAAATGTATAAGGCATGGTCCCTGACCTCAATAAACCGATGTGCTTATATTTAGTGAACTTCTATTGTATTGCAGACATTATGCTAGCAGCTAAGGAGAAAAAAGATAAATGAAATATGGGCTCCACACTCAAAGTATTTATGAACAAACAGAGCTAGACATAAAAAGTTATCACTTTATAAACAAGGCAGGGAGTGCCAGAAATGTGGCTGAAGAGGTGGGAATAGCACGAATGACAGGGAGCTTTGTAAGCTAAGCTAAGGCAGTCAGTGAGAAGTCATTGAAGGTTTTCATCAAGATAATAATGTGATCAAAAATATAATGTTTGCTGCTGTGTGCATGATGGGATATAAGGGAGATCAGTGTGAATTCAGAAATATACATATTTGTAGAGAGGAAAAGGATCTAAATTAAGGCAATGGGAGAGGAATGGAAACTTTCTTTCTTCAGCTTCTGCTCACAGAGATACACAAATCAATCCAGAAATTCACCTCTCCCTTAATCAGCCACCATACACAAGCACTGCTGCCTTAGCTCTCCCCACTCTGCCCCCATCATTACTTCCACCGATGGCAAAGTCCCATCACATGACTCATTCAGGCAGACTTTTGCCCAGTGTCTAGTAAATAGTAGATACCCAAAACAACTGTTTTGGCTTGACCACATGAATCAGGGAAGTGCTTCAGAGTGGACACATGCCTTGCCTCCTGTTTTGCTGACTTCCTCATAACTTGGCAAAAGTTCATGGCCTTGGAATGAAGGAACTTGGGGAAAAAAAAAAAAGCATCTGCATTCTGTGTATGCAGCACTGTTTTGAAATCTCCTGTCCCTGCTTCAAAAAGCTAGACAGCAGCCAGAACCAACTGTTAGGTTAATGAAAGCTCAAAGTCTAAAGGAAAAAAAAAAAAAAGTCTCGCTCTCATCCCCCAGGCTGGAGTGCAATGGTGCGATCTCAGCTCACTGCAACCTCCGCCTCCCAGGTTCAAGCAATTCTCCTGCCTCAGCCTCCTGAGTAGCTGGGATTACAGGTTCTTGCCACCATGCCCGGCTAATTTTTGTATTTTAAGTAGATACGCGGTTTCACCATGTTGGCCAGGCAGGTCTAGAACTCCTGACCTCAGGTGATCTGCCTGCCTCGGCCTCCCAAAGTGCTGGGATTACAGGTGTGAGCCACTGCGCCCAGCCAAAAAATAAAGCTTTTAACTTCCTTCAAGATTCAGTGTTTACAACGAACTTCACTGCTCAGAATTTTTGCTTTATTATTCAGTTGTTTGGCCACCTACTATCAGTGGAGATATTGCAGGTTCAGTTTCATACCACTGGAGTACTGTAAGTCATACATATTTTTTGGTTTCCCAGTGCATATAAAAGTTATACCATGTTGCAGTCTTTGAAGTGTGCAATAGCATTATGTCCCAATATAATGTATAGATCTCAATTTTAAAATATTTCATTGATTTAAAATATGCTAAAGATCATCTAAGCCTTCAGCAAGTCATCATATTTTTGCTGGTGGAAAGTCTTTTGTAGATGTTGATGGCTGCTGTCAGATCAAGAGGTGGTTGCTAAAGGTTGGAGTGGCCATGGGAAATTCTGAAAATAAGAAAGCAGTGTAGATTGGTGCATCAAGTGACTCTTTTTTTTTTTTCATTAAAGATTTATCTGTGGCGTGCAATGCTGTTTGATAGCATTTTACCCACAATAGAACTTCTTTCAAATTTGGAGTCAATCCTCTCAAACTCTGCCACTGCTTTATGAACTAAGTTTATGGAATATGCTAAATCCTTTGCTGTCATTTCAATGTTCACAGCATCTTCACCAGGAATAGCTTCCATATCAAGAAACCACTTTTTGGCCAGGCATGGTGGCTTATGCCTGTAATCCCAGCACTCTGGGAGGCCGAGGTGGGCAGATCACCTGAGGTCAGGAGTTCGAGACCAGCCTGGCCAACATGATGAAATCCCATCTCTACTAAAAATACAAAAATTAGCTAGGCATGGTGGCACATGCCTGCAATCCCAACTACTCAGGAGGCTGAGGCAGGAGAATCACTTGAACTCAGGAGGCAAAGGTTGCAGTGAGCCGAGATCATGCCACTGCACTCCAGCCTGGGTGACAGAGTGAGACTTCATCTCA
Source organism: Homo sapiens (assembly GCF_000001405.40). Classification (NCBI taxonomy): domain Eukaryota; kingdom Metazoa; phylum Chordata; class Mammalia; order Primates; family Hominidae; genus Homo; species Homo sapiens. The sequence continues at coordinate 82,399,937 of NC_000011.10, forward strand.
AAAAAAAAAAAAGATATCACTTACTTTACTCATCCATAAGAAGCAACTCCTCATCTGCTCTGCTTAACTTTTATCCGGGATTGCAGCAATTCAGTCATATCTTTAGGCTCCACTTTTTGAATAGTAAATGAGCATTGGCTTCAACTTAAAGTCACAAGCTGCATTATCCCCTAATAAGAAAGTCAATATGCCTTTTGAAGCTTTGAAGACAGGCATGAACTTCTCTGTAGCTGTGAAAGTCCTAGATGGCATTTTCTTTCAATAGAAAGCTGTTTTGTCCACATTGAAAAACCTGGCATTTAGTGCAACTATCTTCATCAACAATCTTGGCTGGATCTTCCGGATAAATTGCCGCAGCATCTACATCAGCCCTGCTGCTTTGCCTTGTACGTTTATGTTATAGAGATGGCTTCTTTCCTTAAACCTCATGAATCAACCTCTGCTAGCTTCCAACTTTTCTTCGGCAGCTTTCTCAACTCTGTCAGCCTTCATAGAATTAAAGAGAGTTAAGTCCTTGCTCTGGATTAGTCTTTGGCTTAAGGGAATGTTGTGGCTGGTTTGATCTTCTATCCAGACCACTAAAACATTCTCCATATCAGCAATAAGGCTGTTTTACTTTCTTATCATTTGTGTGTTCACTGGAGTAGCACTTTTAATTTCCTTCAAGAAATTTTCCTTTACATTCACAACTTGGCTAACCGTTTAGCAAAAGGGGCCTAGATTTTGACCTATCTTGACTTTTGACATGCCTTCCTCACTAAGCTTAATCATTTTTAGCTGTGATTTAAAGTGAGAGATGTGCAGCTCTTCCTTTCACTTCAATATTTAGAAGCCATTGTAAGGTTATTAACTGGTCTAGCTTTAATATTGTTGTGTCTCAGGGAAGAGAGAGGCCTAAGGAGGGGGGCATGGAGGGAGAGAGAGAGAGAGAAATGAGAGTGAGAGAGACAGACAGAGAGAGAGAGAGAGAGAGAGAGAGAGAGAGAGAGAGAGAGAGAGATGGAGGAACAGCCAGTCAGTGGAGCAGTCAGAAGACCCACAACATTTATCTGTTAAGTTTCTTATCTTCATAGGTGTGGTACATGGAACCCCAAAACAATTACCGTAGTAACATCAGAGATCACTGATCACAGATCATCATAATAGATATAATAATAATGAAACATTTGAAATATTGTAAGAGTTACCAAAATGTGACAGAGATATGAAATGTGACACAGAGACATTTTTCCACATGCTGTTGGAAAAATGGTGCCAATAGGCTTGGTCAACACACGGTCACCACAAATTTTCAGTTTGTAAAAGATGTGCAATACAATTGAATTATGTGGCTGTGGTTGTTCATGCCTGTAATCCCAGTTTCTCAGGAGGCTAAGGCAGGAAGATTGCCTGGGCCCAGCAGGTTGAGGCTGTAGTGATCTGTGATCACACCACTGCACTCCAGCCTGGGCAGCAGAGCAACCTCAGCTCAAAGAAAAAAAAAAAGGTATGCCTATATGTGCCAAGAACTGTAGGACAGGAAATTGAATCATACACAGGACTCACCTTATTAGATGAGTTTGCATTTTAATAGGAAAGATATGATGAATAAAATACATAAATAGATGATGATGAATGATTAGATAGAACAGATAGAAGATAGATTATAAATTGATTAGTGGTCAAACATAGCAGGTTTTAAAATATAAGAATAAAAAGAGTTTTGTCAGGGCATAGAGGGAAGACAGATTATCATCTCTGCCAAGAGTAGACGAGTTAATTTCACAGAAGGGCCCTGTCAGAGCTGGATATTGAAAGATGAAGAGTAGTTTAACAATTAGAGAAGAGAATGGGAGAAAATCCAAACTTGTTCAAAAAGAAGCAACACACTAAGCAAGAACACACAATTATGATTAAGAAAACTGCTGGCCGGGCACGGTGACTCGCGCCTGTAATCCCAGCACTTTTGAGAGGCCGAGGCAGGCGGATCACGAGATCAGGAGATCGAGACAATCCTGGCCAACATGGTGAAACCCCGCCTCTACTAAAAATATGAAAATTAGCTGGGCATGGTGGTGCGTGCCTGTAATCCCAGCTACTCGGGAGGCTGAGGCAGGAGAATCGCTTGAACCCAGGAATCGGAGGTTGCAGTGAGCCGGGATCGTGCCACTGCACTCCAGTCTGGCAACAGAAAGAGACTCCCCTAAAAAATAAAGAAAGAGAGAAAGAGAGAAAGAGGGAAGGAAGGGAGGGAGGGAGGAAGGAAGGAAAAAAGAAAGAAAGAAAAAGAAAAAGAAGGAAAATTACTGGCCAGATTGTGGGCAATGATGAATTCACCAAAATTATTTTTTTTTCTTCTAAAATCTCAGAGGCTTCCTTCCCCACATGATTTTTTTATGAGAAAAAGATATAGTTAATTTGTTCCTCTCATTGATAATCATTGTGTACCTAAATTGTGAAGTCCAATCTTTATCTTAGTTTTTTCATCCCGTTTCTAAACCTCCGTACTATTTTTTGACTACTTAGGTTTCCCAAGAAGGAAGAATATAAAAAGTATACCCTTCTCCCTCTATCAAATGGTGGCTAGGAAACACCATGTCTTTTTCAGAGACAATGGAACATTGTTCTAGGTAGAACAATTATTAAATGTGCATTAAATGGCAAGGTTATACAAGAAGATTTCATCATAAACTCAGTAAAAATCTTTTGTTTTTCTGCTTGCAATTATCAACATTTCTTAATCCCCAATGTAGATGTTTAATAAAATCTCTGGCTCCAATTTGGCAAACACAGAAAGACCCCTACTGTGCGGGCAGTACAGGATCTGCAACATAAATCTCCAAATGGGTCCTTGAGTCAAGCCACAGATGACAGGATGGCCCCAGAGCTGTCTGCTGACCAGCCATGTGCTGAACATAAAATGTAAATAACTGTCTCCATGATGACCACAGAGTTCTCCTTTGTCGTCCAAATGTACTGCAGCCCACTTAGCAATACAGTCATCCAGTTCTTCATGAATATAATATAAAAATTTTGTTATTAAAACTTTCCAAAACAATGATTGTTAGTTGACCACTACGAAAACAGTTGAGAATTGCTTCAGCCACTTGGAAAGTAAAAAAAAAAAAAAAAAAAAAAAAATCAAGAATGCCAAGTAACTCACGCTGTCAGCGATGTGGTGGGACGCACAAAGAGTTTATAAAATCAGCCTGCCAGCATTTGCCCCTCACCCACATATAAGATACATGAGGGAAGGTTAGGGAAATTGTTCCAGAGGCTTCAAAGTTAATCTGTACTTTTGGCATTTACCCAAATAGTAGCTGGGGGAAATTGGCCCTAACCAACTGACAGAAATTACCCTATGTGGTCTGGGTAATTACTGATCATGTTCTCTGATGTACCTGTGGTTATTGCCTACTGGGAGAATCAAATGGGTAGTGATTGCTTTCCTCAAGGAAAAAGTTTAAGGAAAAAAAAAAGGAGCTTGCAGTGTCATGAAGAAAAAAGTGCAAGGTAGAATCACTCCTAAAAATGTAAAGGAAATGTACAGGTATTAGACTTGATAAGATAACGGGTCCATCTGGAAATCTGTGAGGAGAAAACAAAAATTTGGACTTTCAACTACAGACACATGGAGGTGAGAAGAGATATGAGGAAAGCATGTGGAAATGATATCCTTTATCGAGTTTTTCTTTCATTCCATTATTGCCTGAGGTCCCAAAAGTAGGAAAGAAATTCAAGAATGCCAATAACTTGCACTCACCTCTTAGGGAGGGGCTAGATCCCATATACAAAACTGCTATTGAGAGGTGACAGCCTGCTAGCAGCCCTGGCAGCCCTCGCTCGCTCTGGGCACCTCCTCAGCCTTGGCGCCAACTCTGGCCGCCCTTAAGGAGCCCTTCAGCCCGGCCCTGCACTGTGTGAGCCCCTTTCTGGGCTGGCCGAGGCCGGAGCCGGCTCCCTCAGTTGCGGGGAGGTGTGGAGGGAGAGGCACGGGCGGGAACCGAGGCTGCGCGCGGCGCTTCCGGGCCAGCGCGAGTTCCGGGTGGGCGTGGGCTCCGCGGCCCAGCACTCAGAGCAGCCGGCGGAGCCGCCCGCCCGGGGCAGTGAAGTAAGGCTTAGCACCCGGGCCGGCAGCTGCGGAGGGTGCGCCGGGTCCCCCAGCAGTGCCGGCAGGCGCTCAAATTCTCACCTGGCCTCAGATGCCTCCCCGCGGGGCAGGGCTCGGGACCCGCAGCCCGCCATGCCTGAGCCTCCCCCACGCCGTGGGCTCCTGCACCAACCAAGCCTCCCGGACAAGCGTCGCCCCCTGCTCCACGGCACCCAGTCCCATCGACCACCCAAGGGCTGAGGAGTGCCAGCGCACCTCACGGGACTGACCCACAGCTCCACCAGCTCCCCGGTGCGGGATCCACTGGGTGAAGCCAGCTGGGCTCCTGAGTCTAGTGGGGACTTGGAGAACCTTTATGTCTAGCTAAGGGGTTGTGAATGCACCAATCAGCGCTCTGTGTCTAGCTCAAGGTTTGTAAATGCACCAATCAGCACCCTGTGTCTAGCTCAGGGTTTGTGAATGCACCAATCAGTACTCTGTGTCTAGCTAATCTAGTGGGGACCTGGAGAACTTTTGTGTCTAGCTCAGGGATCGTAAACACACCAATCAGCACCCTGTCAAAACGGACCAATCAGCTCTCTGTAAAATTAACCAATCAGCAGGTTGTGGGTGAGGCCAGATAAGGGAATAAAAGCAGAATGCCGAAGCTGGAAGTGGCAACCCACTGTGGTCCCCTTCCACAATGTGGAATCTTTGTTCTTTCGCTCTTTGCAATAAATCTTGCTGCTGCTGAGTCTTTGGGTCCACACTGCCTTTATGAGCTACACTCACCGCGAAGGTCTGCAGCTTCTCTCCTGAGGCCAGCGAGACCACGAACCCACCGGGAGGAATGAACAACTCCAGACACACCGCCTTAGGAGCTATAATGCTCAACACAAAGGTCTGCAGCTTCACTCCTGAAGCCAGAGAGACCACAAACCCACTAGAAGGAAGAAACTCCGAACACATCCAAACATCAGAAGGAACAAACTCCGGACACGCCACCTTTAAGAACTGTAACACTCACCACGAGGGTCCGTGGCTTCATTCTTGAAGTCAGTCAGACCAAGAACCCACCAATTCCAGACACACTATGAGATCATGAAATCAGTTTTTCCAGCACTCACACCTCATCCGCATCTAAGCAGCAAATCATGAGAAAAAAAAAATCACTATTTAACATCTTCCACATCTCACAATCACTATGTTAGTTAGCAATATATTGCCTCTTATCTCAGAATACACTTTTCAATATATGCTCTGTGATGGTAAAATTTCCTTAAGCATTTATCCTTTAAAGTGAGCACAGTATGAAGCTATCTTAGTAGAGGAATGTAGGAATATTGCAGGAGGAAAAGTCTGCCCTGTAGTTTTCACCATCGGTCAGGGGTGAGTGGCATGAGTGTGAGGTCATCCAGTGAAGCACTGCCCCAGCTATCGGCTGAGAATGTAGTCCCTCTGTGACCTTTCCAGTCTCGCCTGGTGATAACCTTTCCACAGCCTGGAAACCAGAGCCCCACTCAGACCTGTGCTCTAAAGGCCTCCTGCCAGGACCTGTCCCAGGCCCCACTGTGAGCCCACACCCCCAGCTGCTGATCCCCTGCTAATCCCACTGGCACTGTGGAAAGTTGTCTATCACTTGCCGGCAACTCCTGCCAGCTCCAGGCTAACCAATTGAGGGAACGTCTCTGCTATCTAGTGGGCTGAACCATTCCTTCTCTTACAAGAAGACCTGAATCCATTCCAAGTTTGCTGTCGGTTATGCACATTCCCTCAGCCCTAGCATGCTGTATAATTTCCTTACATCTCATAGTTACTCTTTTATCATCCTTAATTCTTTATATGAAACATCCCTTGTTTAGTCTACTGTGTTGTTTCTATCTCCTGATTAGACCCAGGATGCTACAGTCACCAATGTACTTTTATAGCTATACAAATCAGGTAAAAATTTCTGCCCCTTACCTCTCTTCCTCATAATCTCTTCCAACTCTGTGGGCACTAGATCAGCTCTATGAGTGGAAGGTGAAGGAAAAGCAGAAGAGAAAGTTGATAAAATAAAGAAATCACAAACTCCCTGCCCCATGGTAGTTTTCTTCAATCACTGCAGGCTTGATCCAAGAGAGATTAAGGGGAGAATAGAAGCTTCAGTTAAATAAGCCTTGGGAATTATTATATATGATTGTGAATTTCTTAGTACCTAAAGCTAACTGGAAAAGCAACTGGATCTTCCTGAGACCTTATCCAGGGATAAGGAAGAAGAAGGCAAGAGAGAAGGACCAAAGAGGCTATGGTAAGAAAGAGAAACATCACTTTGTACTTGCACTTTGCCATACAAGCTAATTCAATATATTTGTTAAATTATTCTATTCTGAGATAAAGATTTCACAGAACTATTAAAATTGTACTCTGCTACTCTATAGACTACATGACTTTGCCAGTCATTTTCACCACTAGATCATTCAGCTACTAGCAAATAAGATTGTCAATTCCAAATAATACCCTTTTTAATATTGTTGAGAGAATTGTTATAGCCAAAGGTCAAAGAAGATATGAAGAAAATATAACCAATATTTAGTCAGAGGAAAACAACCTCATTAAGTAGAAGTAGGAGTCTTAAAGTGAACCAGATTCCAATAATTTTTTTAAAAAAACTAAGTCCTAGAGTGAAAGAACCCACTGGATATTTTTATCAGACTACAAAATTTATTAAGTAAAGGGCATCCCCTGACAAAGAATCATAAAATGTTTTTTAGACATAGGATATCTTCTTGTCCTTACCCCTTTCCCTAAAGATTCTATTCCTCCCACAACAAACCTGGACTACTGCCAAACAGCCAGAAACAAGGAACTCTTTCTCTCCCAAAAAGAGCTCATCCTAGTTTCAGATAGAACAAATATTCAGAAAATGCTTTCTCTAATTAAGTTAAAAATCTAACTACATTTCTAGTCATGCTTTCAGGAGAAACACAAAGATAAAACATATATTTTCCTTATGACAGCCCTTCAAATACCTTACTTGTTATATGCTTGGAGATTTTCCTTTCTCTAGGCAAATGAGCCACTATTTTATTTCTCATATGGCTTAGAATAGAGTTTTCTTACTCTTCTCTAAACACACACCAGTTATAAATGTCTTTTATGTATTTCCTTTAGATATCTTTTTTATTTATATAAAATGAGAACTCTACAGTTGGCACAATATACAGGCTACATGGCAGAACAGAGCAAGGCTGTCATCTCTTATGCTCAATATAGTCTACTTCTATAAGAGTAACACAATCAATATTCTCACTCTACACATGCTTCCTGGGCAAGCTCATTCATTTTTGGTGGTTTTAACCACCACAAATATGATCCCCTAGTGCCTAGTGCATATCAACAACTCAATCCTGTTCTCACATTATTGATGCATTATCCTAGCATCTACTCATTATCATTTCTGGATATCCCAGAGATACCTCAACCTCAACCTGTCCCAAATTATTCATCTCAATTAAAATCACTAATATTATTCCAGCCACACTAGCTAAAATGCAGGGGCAAATATTAATCAGATATTTTCTCTTTGTCACCCTCTACATATCCATGATAAATATTTATTTTCACCCTCATGCTATTTAATTATTTACAGTATTCTTCATATTGTCTTCTATGTCTCTGCTATTTTACCCCCAACCCCACTTTTTCTGCTTCTCATTCAATGCTGAACCCAGGCATCATCTCCTCCAGGAAGTTTGGATGGGAACAAAGTCAAGATCTTGGCTGGATCCTAGATAGAAATATAGCATACTTGGTGGTTTATGTCTACCACATCTCTCTCCAAACCATTCTCCTCTGATATAAATACACAACACACATTCCTCCCACCTCACTCTAAAATGCACTTAATTTCTTTTTTGATCTTGCACTGATTCTTTGTTCTTTTTATGCATTTTCTGAGACTTATTTTACTTACTTTTTACTTCCTTCATCCAAAGTGAGATATACCTTTCACTAAACTTGTCTTTTACCTATTTTCTTGGATCAAGAAACTGGAAACCTTCATTTATTACGTCCTTACCATATCTCAGGCAGCAAAAGAATCCCTTTCTAACATCATGGGGACTGAAGTCCTGTATTTCAAAGTTTCCACAATACCTATTTGATACCACAAATGCATCAATTTACCCAGAAAGATATAAAAATAATTCAGAGACACATAGCAAGTAGATAAAAAGGCGCTTAGAGATCACTGATTCCAAAACAGGCCCTCACTTGAGATATCAGGGTCAGAACATAAACTCCGGAATGAGGTAAACTGGGTTGGAGTCCTGGAGTCATTATTCCTAACTGTTTCTAGACAAGTGCTTTAACTTTTCTAAGTTTCAGCTTCCTCATCTACAAAATTAGGATAATAATTAATAGTACATAGCTCATAGGCTTTTAATGAGGATTAAATGAGATATAAAGTACTAGCACAAAGCTCAAAAGTGTTAACTATCAGATATATTCAAAATCAGCAAACTAGCTGGGGATTTAACTGGAACTCAGTCTCATATCTCCTTGTCTAATATTCATGACATTTTTAGAAATATCTGATCTATTTTAGAAACAAGATATATGACAAAAAATGACGCTAACTCTGTTTTTCCTTTGCATGACTGCTTCAGCTACAATTTAGACTCATCGAAATTGCCAAGGGAAATTACTCAGTTAGAAGTATGATACTGGGCTGTGAAATATAGCACATACAGTCCATAGTACATCAAACTCCTGAATGCAATGAATTTTTAATTAACATAAACCTCCTTCATGAGCCTTCCTTTCTCCAATGTGGTCTCTGTAGGTTGTAACTGCTAAAAGAAAAATAGCAAATCATTTCTTAGTCTTATCTGGCCTTGTCAACATTTTTATTTGTCTTATCCTCTCACAGTTTGTCAGTTTATGAAAGAATTTATTTAACACCTATCATATGTCAGGTATTCTCTTAGGTAATAGTTTAGGTATAACCACTGCTCCAGAAGAGTCCCAGCTAAATGGTGAGGAGGAGGATGGGTGATATCATGAAAGAGTGGTGAAGGCATTAATTACTTATCTCACTTATTTGGCCATTGTGACCAAATTATCTATATTATCATTAAGAAATAGCATCTCTCTTGTTATAAAATACCCCTAGGAAACCCTAAATTAAAATGTTGCGCTCTACAAAAGACTACTGTACTACAGTTTTAATATAAAATCTACATATAGGTACAGTGACATCAGCTAGAGTTGCCTGGTGCTCATTCTCCTCCACTCCCCAACAAAAAAGGACCAAACAACAAACTATATTTTTGCCTCGAGTGATGGAGGAAGTACAGAGCACCAGGGGGAGGCTAAATCCCTGTGCAGCACAGAAGCCCAGGCCAGCAGGACAGAAGCCCAGGCCAGCACCACAGAAAGGGGAGCAAGGCATCCTGACTCTAACACACTATCTACCCTGCCAGTATCAGCTCTGAGCCAGGGAAGACTTCTAAAATAGGAAAGGTAGCCAGGGGCAGTGGCTCACGCCTGTAATCCCAGCCCTTTGAGAGGCCAAGGTGGGCGGATTACTTGAGGTCAGGAGTTTGAGACCAGCCTTGCCAACATGGTGAAACCCTATCTCTAATAAAAATACAAAATTAGCCAGGCAGAGTGGCACACGCCTATACTGCCAGCTACTCAGGAGGCTGAGGCAAGAGAATCGCCTGAATCCGGGAGGCAGAGGTTGAAGTGAGCTGAAATCACCCCAAAGCACCCCAACCTGGGTGACAAGAGCGAAACTCTGTCTCAAGATAAATAAATAAATAAAATAAAGTAGGTAGGGGTAACCTGGAGACCATCAGCGGCCTCAATCACCACTGCAGATGCCAGAAGTCATTGCTACAAAAGAGTTACCCAGTCCCTACAGGCCCCAAATCCAGTCTGGAGAGTTGCTAGGAGTCTGGGCAGCTAGGCTTCCCTAGAGCAGGAACCCCACAGGAGCCCCACAGCTTGAGTGCATACTGCCCTGGAGGCCAGTAGCCACCAGCCCTCTCTAATCCTGAGGCCCTGTCATCATTCCACTACATTTACTTCAGTATCTTGAGCACCCATACCCCAGCTGCCTGGTGTCTAGGCTTGAAGAAATGACCAAGACCCTGATGTCTTAATTCACGAGACATCCTATCCCACAGAGAAGCAGGAGAACTGCCACACCCAGGAATTCCCTGCAGTCACCAAGTTTGAATGCTCTGGCCCCCGAAATGACAGCGGGCATGGAGGTGGCCCTGTCTTCCCAGAGAGATTCCTGCACAGCTCCCCAACACACTCCAATTTCACCTGAACTAACAAGTAGTCCGGTGGTGCTTCCACCTGCCCAGAGAACCCATCACTCAGCATGCCAGCCTGCTGCACCCAAATGCACCTAGACTGACAACTAACCCAGTGCGCCCACTCACAGCACATGACTATACCACTGCCATCACAAACTTCTGCAGCATAAGCGACTGAGACAATTGTAGACATCACATACAAAGATTATAGCTGAAGAATCTAGTTAAAGACCATGCTACTGAATCCACACAAAGCCAAAGCCAACTCCCAAATGAGTGCACCATTCCCAAATGAAACCCTTGGGTGCATCTACAGGAAAACAAAACAAAAAAAAAAAAAACCCTTTCTATGAAAGTTACTCCATAAAATGTGAAATAAGAGAGTGTTCTAATAGATGCACAGACATCAATGTAGGGGCACAAGAAACATGAAAAAGGAAGGAAACCCGATACCAATAAAAGGAACACAAGTCTCCAGTAATAGACTCCAAAGAAAGGGATATTTACAAAATGTCTCAAAATAAATTCAAAATAATGATCTTAAGGTAACTCAAAGATACACAATACAGACAAATAATTCCAGGAAATCAGGAAAACAACTTATGATCTGAATGAAAAATCCAATAGGTATCATTAAAAAGAGAACCAAACAGAAATCTGGCATCTAAAAAATTCAATAAACAAATTTTAAAAATACAGTGGAGAGTTTCAGCAACAGGGTAGACCAAGAAGTAAAAGAATTTCTGAACTTTAAGACAGGTCTTTTGAAGTAAACCAGTCAGAGGAAAAAAATAACTGATTAAAAAGACTGAAGAAAGCCTATGACACTTGTGTGATAGCATTAAGCAAACAAAATCACATTATAGGAATGTCAAAATAATGAAGAAAGGCACACAAAACCTGTTTAACAAAATAATAGCTGAAAACTTTCAAAGTCTTGAGAGAGATATGGACATCCAGATTCAGGAAGCTCAAAGTTGCCCAAAAAGATTCAATCGAAAAAAATCCTCACTAACATACATTATAATCAAACCGTCAAAAGTCAAAAGCAAAAGAGAGGATTCTAAAAACTGCAAAGGAAAAATGTCAAGTCACCTACAAGGGAATACCCATTAGAATATCAGATTTCTCAGCAGAAACCTCTGGGCCAGGAAGAGAGAATGGGATGATACATTCAAAGTGCTGAGAAAAAAACCAAAATAGCCAAGAGTTCTGTATCTGGAAAAGCTATCCTTCAGAAATGAAGAAGAAATAAAGATCTTCATAGACAAGTAAAAACAGGGAATTCATCACCACACACTGGCCTTATAGCAAGTGCTTAAGAGAGTGCTACAAGTAGAAATGAAAGAACAATAATTATTACCATAAAATGCATGAAAGTATAAAACTCACCAGTATAGATAAATCTATAATCATACTCAGAATAACTCAATGCTATAATGGTGCCATGTAAATCCTTCAATCCTCTAGTGTGAAGATTTAAAGTCAAAAAGGCCCAAAACATCAACAGCAACAATTAGTGGCTAAGGGACACACAAAAAATAAAGATGTAAATTAAGGCAATTAAAATACAAATTATGGGGAGAGGAAAAAAGTCCAGAGTATTTTTATGTAACCAAAGTTAAGTTGTTATCAGCTTAAGATAGTCATCAATTTTAACTAAAAGATTCTTTTTTTTAATTTTATTATTTTACTTTAAGTTTTAGGGTACATGTGCACAATGTGCAGGTTTGTTACATATGTATACATGTGCCATGTTGGTGTGCTGCACCCACTAACTCGTCATTTAGCATTAGGTACATCTCCTAAAGCTATCCCTCCCCCATCCCCACACCCCACAACAGTCTCCAGAGTGTGATGGTCCCCTTCCTGTGTCCATGTGTTCTCATTGTTCAATTCCCACCTATGAGTGAGAACATGTGGTGTTTGGTTTTTTGTTCTTGTAATAGTTTACTGAGAATGATGATTTCCAATTTCATCCATGTCCCTACAAAGGACATGAACTCATCATTTTTTATGGCTGCATAGTATTCCATGGTGTATATGTGCCACATTTTCTTAATCCAGTCTATCATTGTTGGACATTTGGGTTGGTTCCAAGTCTTTGCTATTGTGAATAGTGCCGCAATAAACATACATATGTATGTGTCTTTATAGCAGCATGATTTATAGTCCTTTGGGTATATACCCAGTAATGGGATGGCTGGGTCAAATGGTATTTCTAGTTCTAGATCCCTGAGGAATCGCCACACTGACTTCCACAATGGTTGAACTAGTTTACAGTCCCACCAACAGTGTAAAAGTGTTCCTATTTCTCCACATCCTCTCCAGCACCTGTTGTTTCCTGACTTTTTAATGATCGCCATTCTAACTGGTGTGAGATGGTATCTCATTGTGGTTTTGATTTGCATTTCTCTGATAGCCAGTGATGGTGAGCATTTTTTCATGTGTTTTTTGGCTGCATAAATGTCTTCTTTTGAGAAGTGTCTGTTCATGTCCTTTGCCCACTTTTTGATGGGGTTGTTTGTTTTTTTCTTGTAAATTTGTTTGAGTTCATTGTAGATTCTGGAGAAAATTTTCACAACCTACTCATCTGACAAAGAACTACAAGATTCTTTACGTGAGCTTTGTGGTAACCACAAAGAATGAACATACATCAGATATGCAAATGAGAAAGACAAAGAAAACAAAGATTAGCACTAGAGGAAATCACCCAACCACAGAAGTAAACAAGAAAAAAGGAAAAAGGAAACAAAGGATTAAAAAAAAATGCAGGAATAACTCCTTACTTATAAATAACAACCTTGCATGAAAATAGATTAAATTATCCAATTAAAAGATGTAGAGTGGCTGAATGGACAAAAGCAACAAGACCCAAGTACATGATACCTACAAGAAATTCACCACACTGTTAAAGAAAAATATAAAATGAAAGTGAAAAAATGGAAAAAACTATTCCATACAAACAAAATCAAAAGTGAGTAGGAGTAGCCACACTTATATAAGATATAATAGACTTTAACCCAAAATCTACAAAAATGACAAAGAAAGTCATTATATAATAGTAAAGGTGTAGTCCCAGCTACTCGGGAGGCTGAGGCAGGAGAATGGCGTGAACCCGGGAAGCGGAGCTTGCAGTGAGCCGAGATTGCGCCACTGCAGTCCGCAGTCCGGCCTGGGCGACAGAGTGAGACTCCGTCTCAAAAAAAAAAAAAAAAAAAATAGTAAAGGGATAAATCAATAAGAGGACATAGCTATTGTAAATATATATGTACCCAACACCAGAGCTTCCAAATATATAAAGCAAATATAATTAGATAGTAAAAGAGAGATAGAGTTAAATACTATAATAGTAGGGGACTTCAACATTCCGTTTTCAACAATCATGCCATCGAGACAAAAGATTAAGATAGAAATAGCAAATCTAAACTATACCAGAGGTCAAATGGACCTAACATACACTTATTAAGACAGAAACAGATTTAAACTATACCAGAGTCCAAATGGAGGTAAATACATTTACAGAACATTGCATCCAATAGCTGAATATACATTCTTCTCAACTGCACATGGAACATTCTCCAGGATGGATCATGTGTTAGGCCACAAAACAAATCTTAGCAAATTTCAGAAGAGAGACATCATAACAAGTATCTTTAAAGACCACAATAGTATAAAACTAGAAATTAACTAGAAAAACTTCAGAAGTCTTACAAATACATGGAAGTTATACAACATGCTCCTAAATAACCAATGCATCAATTAAGAAATCTAAAAATTCCTTGAGATAAATAAGAATGGAAACACATCATACCAAAACCTAGGAGATATAGCAAAAGCAATTCTGAGAGAAAAGTTCATAGCAATAAATGGCTACATCAAAAAAGTAGAAAATAACTTTCAATTGCAAAACGGTAGCATATAAGCAAGCTGGCTTCACTTTTCCCACAGAAAACCAAAACTTAATATGCAATACTGAGATTACCACCAGCAATATCCAGAATTCACATATGAGGATGAGTAAGTTCCAGGGGTCACAGAGAACTGAAAAAACTTCAAGCATATGGTAAGGAAATCCAATTTCCTTCAATAACCTTCTCCACAATCCACCTAGCCCCAAAAGTACAGAAAACTTCCCTGACTCAGTTTCTACATTAAAAAAAAAACACCTTAGATTGAGGTAGACAACAAACTTATCCACCATCTTGTGTTCCCTGGCAGAAGACATGTCCCTGCCTCAACCCACAGGAAGCCTTGTGAGTGCATGAAGAGAGAAATATCCCTGAGGATAGCCAGAAACAAAGGTGGGAGGCAGGACTACCATCCCCAGCCCTGGAAACTCTGCTCTGTAACTCAGCCAAAGAAGAGGCCAAATCAGACTTGCTTTTTAGCAGCACCATGCTGTAGGAGGTACATTCTTCAAGTTTCCTAGGCACGAATCCCACACTGCCAGGGTGGCCCCTGTGGGACCTCTCCCATTTGGGCCAGCAGTGCTTCAATGGTTTGCTAGAGCCAAAGCAAACCTGGGCTTAAGGTGTCATCAAGTGCCAAAAAGGAGAAAGCAATCTAGCAGGAAAAATAAATAAATAAGAAATTCAACATGTAAATTACAAAGAATATCTCACCAAATATACCCAATTAAAAAAACAAAACAAGCTAGACAGAGAAGACTTAAATAAATAATACTTCAATGCAAAGACATAGATGTACATCTACAAGATACAACAGCAAACAGGGAAACCTGTCCTCCCCAGACAAAGCAATGAACCAGTAACTGACCCTAACAAGATGGCAATATGTGAGCCCTCTGACCAAGAATTCAAAATAGCTGTTTTAAGGAAACTCAGTGGTGTTCAAGATAACATAGAAAAATAATTCAGAGGTTTATGAGAAATTTAACAAATATCAAAATAATTTTTAAAAATCAAACAGAAACATTGCAACTGAGAAATATACATTTGCTGAACTGAACTACTAGAAGAAAACATTGGAGAAACTCTCCAGAACATTGGTCTGGGCAAATATATTTTGTGCAAGACCTCAAAAGTACAGGCAATACATTGTGGGAGGCCAAGATGGGCAGATCACTTGAACTCAGGAATCCTAGACCAGCCTGGCCATTATGGTGAAATCCCATCTCTCCTAAAACTACAAAAATTAGTCGGGCATGGTGATGCATGCCTATAGTCCCAGCTAGTTAGGAGCCTGGGGCAGGAGTATCCTTGGAACCCAGGAGGCAGAGGTTGCAGTGCATGCCACTCCACTCCAGCCTGGGCAACAGAGTGAGATTCCATCTCAAAAAAGAAAAAAAAAAAAGGTATAGGCAATAAAATCAAAAAATAGACAAATGGAATTACATCAAGCTAAAAGGCTCCTGCACAGCAAAGGAAACAATCAACAAAGTGAAGAGACAACCCACAGAATAAGAAAAAATATTTGCAAACTATCCATATGACAAGGGATTAATAGGATTAATAACCAGAACATATAAGAAGCTCAAACAACTCTATAGCATAAAAACAAATAATTTGATTTAAAGATGGGCAAAAGATCTGAACAGACATTTTCTAAGAAGAAGACATACAAATAGCCAACAGGTATGTAAAAAAATCTTCAACATAATTAATCATCAGAGAAATGCAAATCCAAGCCACAATAAGATATCTCACTCCAGTTGGAATGGCTTTCATCAAAAAGGGAATAATTGACACTGGCAAAGATATGGAGAAAGGGGAACCTTCATATAAAGTTTGGGGAATGTAAATTAGTACAGCCACTGTGGAAAACTGCATGGAGTTTCCTTAAAAAAATTACAAATAGAACTACCATGTGATCCAAAAATTCCACCACTGGGTATATATCCATAGGAAATGAAATCAGTACATTGGAGAGATATCTGGACTGTAATGTTTATTGCAGCACTATTCACTACATTCAAAATATAGAATCAACCTCAATGTCTAACAGATGAATGTATAAAGAAAACGTGGTGCATGTGTGTACATTGTGTGTATGTTTACATATACACACACACATATATTGTGTATTCATATGCATATATATACACACACGCAATATGTATATATATGAATGTGTGTATATACCACATATGGTATGTATGCATGTGTGTATACACACATATATGTGTATACACATATATGTGTATACACATATATGTGTATACACACATATATACACATATATGTGTATACACACATATATACACATATATGTGTATACACACATATATACACATATATGTGTATACACACATATATACACGCATATGTGTATATATACATACATATACATATATGCGTATATATACATATACACATGTGTATATACATACATATACATATGTATGTATATGTATGTATATACATATGTATATGTGTATATACATATATGTATATGCATATACACATACACGCATATGTGTACGTGTATGTGTATATATACATATATGTATATGTATATATCACATATACATATGTGTGTATATATATACATATACATACATGTATACAGTATTTATATATACATACACATATATATACACACCACATATGGTATACACACATGTATATATATACAGATTGTGTGTATGCATATATATACACAAAATGTATAGTATTCCATTCTATATTTATATACACACACAATGGAATACTATTTAGCCATAAAACGGAATAAAATCCTGTCATTTTCAACAACATGGTTGAACCTGGAAGACATTATTCTTTTTTTTTTTGAGACGGAGTCTCGCTCTGTTGCCCAGGCTGGAGGGCAGTGGCGTGATCTCGGCTCACTGCAAGCTCCACCTCCGGGGTTCACGCCATTCTCCTGCCTCACCCTCCTGAGTAGATGGGACTACAAGAGCCCACCACCACGCCCGGCTAATTTTTTGTATTTTTAGTAGAGACGGGGTTTCACCGTGTTAGCCAGGATGGTCTCAATCTCCTGACCTCGTGATCTGCCCGTCTCAGCCTCCCAAAGTGCTGGGATTACAGGTGTAAGCCACCGCGCCTGGCCCTGGAAGACATTATTCTTAAGTAAAGTAAACCAGATATAGAAAGACAAACACTGCGTTATATCACTCGTATTTGGAATCTAAAAAAAAAATTGGTTTCATAGACATACAGGGTATAATAGTGGTTACCAGAGGTTGTGGAGAGTAGGAAAAAAGATGGCACTGGAAAAGGTTGGTCAATGATATAAAGTTACAATTAGACAGTAAGAATAAGTTCTGGTGTTCTTTACACAGTAGGGTGGCTGTAGAAAATAACAGCGCAGTAAATATTTCAAGCTAGTTAGAAGAAAGGATTTTGAATGTTATCACCACAAAGAAATGATAAATGTTTAAAGTGAGGTATATGGTAATTACTCTGATTTAATCATGTAAACATGTATTGAAATACCACAGTGGGCCAGGCAGGGTGGCTCATGCCTGTAATCCCAGCACTTTGAGAGGCTGAGGCAGGAGGTTTGCTTTAGCCCAGCCTGCACAACATAGCAAGACCCTGTCTCTTCAAAATATCCAAAAACTAGCCAGGCATCGTGGCCAGCACCTCTGGTTGCAGCTACTTGGGCGGCTGAGGTAGGAGGGTCACTTGAGCCTGGGAGTTTAAGGCTGCAATGAGTCATGATTGTACCACTGCACCCCAGCCTGGGCAAACAGTGAGACCCTGTCTCCAAAATAAACAGATAAATTAAAAAATTAAAAGATAAAAACTAAAAAAAATCACACTGTAACCCATAAATATATAATTATTATGTGTCAGTTATAAATAAAAAATAAAAAATGAAAAAATACTCACTAGATGTGAGAGAGATGAGGATACAAAAATAGCAGTAAAATGACACAAACATATACAAATGCTAAATTATGGCATATATAAGTGGCTTTGAGAAAGAAAATAGATAAATTTTGTTTGGATAATCAAGAAAGTCTCCCTAAAACACTTACATTTGGAATAGGTCTCAAAGTTTGCAAAGAATAGATAGGCCAAGGTAGGTAAAAGTTTCTAGACAAAAACAATAGAATAAATACAAGCCTATAATCTTGAAAGTACTATGTTTGCGACTAGTGAATGGACAAGTGGGTGAAGATACTCTTACAGTAACCCAGAGTTCAGGGCTTAATGCGACACACCTATGTTATATTCATCTTTGAACACCTAGCTTCTCTCATATACTGGCACCTGCCCCACAGTAAATAATTGAGGGAAGAAAGAAAGGAGGAAAGGAGGGATGGGAGAAGGGAAAGAAGGAAGATATCAGGCATAAGCACCGATCTGAACAGACATCTCAGAAGTGTCAACTTTGAATCCAAGTTCAAATAAATCAACTTGAAAATGAAGAAGAAAATTATATATACATATATATGTATTGAAGAAATAAGAACACTGACTATGTATAATGATTTTAAGGAATTGTTCATTTTTATTCATGGTAGTGGCACTGTGGTTATATTTTTAAACTCCTTACCTTATACAGATTGATGCTAAAGCTATCCATAAATAAAATGAGATAATGTGGGTAGTACTTCAAAATAATTTCATGGCGAAGGGCAAATAGTGGGTTAGAATACAAATAAAACTGTATTAGCCATGTATTGATAGCTGTTAAAAACAGTTGATGGATACATGGAGGTTCACAATATATTTTCTTTACTTGTGTATAAGCTAGAAATGCTATATGACAAATGTTAGCAAGAAAGAATAAATGCCTTTAGAAAACTTTTGATAAAATATTCCGCAGAATTCTACAGTAAAATTAATGTTCTACAATAATTTTACCATGAAAAACTGCTTCATGTAAATTATGCCAGCAGATTTTACCCTCACTTGTAGTATTTAATTTTTATAAGAATACTTTCATGTATTTTTCTACAATAAAAATAAAATTTAGAAAATAAAATATTCAATTTGAAATTAATTGTCTTGTCACCTTTTACTCCAAAATATTCCTCTACCTTCTTTACATGTATATTAAATTTTTGATTGTTTATATTTTGGCTATAAGCAAGAATATTCACTCAATATATATGTGTTTAATGCCCCCTACATGGCAACTATGTGCACAATATATGAATAAGTCATAGCGCCTACTCTTAAGGAATGCATTAGTCAGTGAAAGAGTCTAGTGTCATTGGTCAGTTATAGATTTATTCATTTTAATGGCTGAGTTGAGCATGCCCCTAGATTCTTACAACTTTAAGCTGAAAAGATAATATTCAAAGGATTTAGTTATCAGAATCAAATGAATGACATTTTTTAGTGAAACCTATGGAGAGCAACAGTCAATTATACATCTAGGGAAACTTCTGAAAGCATGTGTATGGTAATTTCAAACTATGACCACTACAGATAAACTTTTGGAAACATTTAGAATATTTCTCGGGTTACCTTTATATAAAAGGTGATGTTTTAGGTCTGACTAACTCAAACAGACATCCATGCAAATACCAAAAATTAAACACTGAAGATTGCTACTTTCCTAATTTAATTTTGAGAGATTTGGAAAAGCTCATGGGTTTTGTTCAATTATATTGAGGAAATTTTTTCAAAATTTTTTTAAAAGAATTTTTAAAAGTTTATCAAAACTCATTTGTTCCATTTGTTCCAAACTCTATACACAGAATTCAGAATTACAGAATTTAATAGTATCTGTCTGGCTCCCTGTCTACTTTTTTTTCCCCCGCATAGGTGAAAATAATCTGAGATATTTTAGGTTAAAAAAATATATCCTTCAGTTTGTTAATTTTGAGCCACCACTATTCAGAGTGATTCATTGAAGCCGTGAATAAAAAATGTCACTGAAATAGTGAGATGGCCTGAACCACTTTAGAAATTAATGGATTGACTGTGATATACTGGTGTCTCTTTCATGCATCTGTAATTGGAGTGCCAATTTATTTCCAATCATTTCAAGCACTGTAATTATAAAGCATCACCGTTGCCTGTTTAACGTTCATATGGGAAGCTGCTACATGAATGCTAGCCAGGGACCAATATTTTGCAACTGAGATACATGAACAAAATATGAGAAAATATAAAGTCTGTTTTGTTTTTCAAAGCATGAACCTTGGTCAAGGTGGGCAGCGTTCAAGGAGGCAGTAGAGCTGCTCATGAATTTTTCTTTTTTTTGAGACGGAGTCTCACTCTGTCGCCCAGGCTGGAGTGCAATGGCGCGATCTCGGCTCACTGCAAGCTCCGCCTCCCGGATTCATGCCATTCTCCTGCCTCAGCCTCCCAAGTAGCTAGAACTACAAGCGCCTACCACCACGCCTGGCTAATTTTTTTGTATTTATAGTAGAGACGGGTTTCACTGTGTTAGCCATGATGGTCGCCATCTCCTGCCCTCGTGATCCGCCCGCCTCGGCCTCCCACAGTGCTGGGATTACAGGCATGAGCCACTGCGCCCGGCCTGAAATTCACTTCTATAACACCATTCACATTCATCAGTTTCTTCCCATCCCACTTCTACCAGCTAGACAACATCTTCAGCCTAACTGCCCCCTGTTCTCTACCTATGCAAGGAAGAATTAAATCTTGCCAAAACACCTTTAAGTATGCCACAAAACCTTCTCCAAAGCTTTCAATTATTCTTCATTGTTTGAAAAATAATAAACCACCTCCTTTACCTGGTATTTAGAAACCTACACAATTCATTTGTAATGTACCCTTGTGAACTTATTTCTACTAATGTGAAATAAATGTTGTTCTGTAAAAAGCAATTAATAATTAGTGTGACTTTTAGTTGTAATATTTGCAGAATTTGAATTTCAATTCATCAAATATTTAGTACCAATTTAAATGCCATATTTTCATACTCATTATGAAAATTATAATAATGGGAATTTTATGGGTACATAAAATTGTAATAATGATAACTAACAGTGAGTTAGGAAATAATTAGTTGTCATTAAATCAATATGAAAATTGAAAGCTTATATGAGAGGGTATGAAATAGAAAAGGAAACGGGGAGACTTTTAACCAAAATGCATATTCAAAGCTCACATTCCTCCCTAGGAACAGCAAAATTGACAAAGCACTCTGGTCCCAATTATAGCAACTAAGAAGATAGTAATACAATCTTTCTTTTGATCTTGACTGGTAAACAGCAATCCATATGAACTATACAGAGCTGGGTCATAACAGTGACTAAGTAGTGGTAAATTTATGTGGATAATTAGAATAGTGTTTGCTGATATCAATTTATATGAGGAATCTTGTTAGTAGTAAAGCACAATGGAAATTATGAATAGTGATTAATATAAGTAAATCTATAATTGAATTTATACTGATGGTCTAATTAGAAAGATAATCTAAAACCATAAATTTGCTGTGAAAAGGAAAGACAGAGGGAATTAAAATTATTTAGTCCCTGTATGTGCTCCCAACTCTGCCAGCTCTTCACATTCAGTATTTCACTTTAACCTCACAGAAGCCTTAAATTGTCAGACGTGAGTAAAAAAGTTCATCAAAAATAAACAACTTTCTCAAGGTCAATCAGCTAGTAGATTGAGAACTGCCATTTGAACTCAGGTCTTCCAGACTCAAAAGTTCTGTCTTTCATTTCACTAAACTTTGAAAGGAAATGATAAACAACTGACTAAAGAAGATATAAACTGAAATTTGGACATTTCATATTCTCATGCAATAATAAGCTGAGGAGAAAGTATTTTATAGAGAGGAACCTTGAAAAGCATAGTGGCTCCTTTCTTGTGGACCAAGCAACTATTAATCCACTGATCCATGTATCCATTCATCCACTGAAGCTTCCAACCATTCCACTGTGACACTAACCGGACACTCTGGATGCATTTTGGAAAAGATTAATTATCAGTGCAGAAGGGCCAATTTCGTTATTGGACATTAATGTGGCTGTGAGTGTGCCTATGGATAAATAAGAAAGCAACTGCTGAAAATCAGAATTCTAAATACTTTTGCCTTTTACTATAAGTCTTCTTCTTTATTGCATTACTAAAATATATGTATATTACATTTTTACTTTACATGTGTTCACCATATTTTCTAATTTTCCAAGGAGTAAACAAACTAATATAGTATAGATCATCTCAGGGCACAAAAATAGACTGTGTACAAGGAAAAAAAATAGTGGTTACTTGTGTGTGTGTGTGTGTGTGTGTGTGTGTGTGTTTTAAGTATTTAAAACTAGTAGTTCCGTCCAGGCATAATGGCTCACATCTGCAATCCCAGCACTTTGGGAGGCTGAGGCAGGCAGATCACTTGAGGCCAGAAGTTTGAGACCAGGCTAGCCAACATGGCAAAACCACATCTCTACTAAAAATACAAAAAAAAAAAAATAGCTGTGTGAGGTGGCACACGCCTGTAATCACAGCTACTCAGGAGGCTAAGGCAGGAGAATTGCTTGAACCTGGAAGACAGAGGCTACAGCAAGCTAAGATAGCACCACTGTACTCCAGCCTGGGTGACAGAGCGAGATTCTGTCTCAAAAAAGAAACAAAAAAACTAGTTATTTTGTTCATAGAAAAATAAACCCTACTTTAAAAAATCATTAATTTCAAAGGCCCCTGAGCTTGGGAAACAGGGAATACCCTTATTAATACCCTTGGTACTTAGTATTCCACTAAGATGTCAATTATGTCTCTCATGCTATGTTGTTAACATAATATGACAATGTTGGAGGATGAATAAATAAATGACCACATTTATAGTTCTAATTAATGTATTTATAATCAGGTGAGTTACAAAATATACCTGTTCAATTTTTCCTGGTCAGTTTTTAAATTTTTTTAAATCAATCACTGGAAAAAAGTTCAGAAGACAAAATTATCAACTCAAATTAGGGAGATGCTACTGAGGACAATAGACTGAAACATCTCGACATCCTTGTAAAGCAAGCCAAATTACCACGATGAAATTTAATGAAGATAAATGGAAACAATCCACTAAGCCTCTAAAAATCAAATACACACATACATTATGATTAAGACATTAAGTAATTGCCAGTTATGTATAAAAGGCCTAGACAAAAGCTGACACTAAGCTCAATAAGAGCCGATATTATGATATCAAAACAGCTCATTTAATCTTAGACTACAGCATTAGAAATGCAATCCACAAATAGAAGAACTACATTCCCACTGTATTTTGTGCTGACCACATACATAAAGTATTACTTTCAGGTATGGGCAAAATATTAAGTGAGGCACATTAAAAACAATATATAGAAACAAGGTCAAAGGACAAATAATTATGACGACCTTAAAAAAAAAAAAAAACGAATGCTGTGCTGACATATTAGGAAGACAGCAATATGGAAGCTGAGCTACCCAGAGGCAGAGAGCAGACCTAGGACAAATGCAGGCGAAGGGAATACATTTCAGTGACCTTTTTGGAGAGGCAGTGAATTCTTAGGCATTGACATAGCAGAAAAAAATCAGGTTTCTATCAAATGGTTTGCACTACATCTATTGAGGTGATTATAAAGCTTTTTCACCTGAATAGAAACATGTTTTATTACATTAATTGATTTTTAAAACGTTAAGCCAGTGATACACTCTTGAAATAAATCTGGCTGGTCATGCTATATCATCTTTTTTATGTATTACTAATTTTAATTTATTATTTAGGATTTTTGCTTCTGTGTTTATTTTTTCTTAATTCTCACAATAGCAACCTCAGTCTGGTTTTGTTCATAGATGAGGAATCTGAGGCTCACAAAACTTATTAGGCATTTACTCAAGGTCACATAGTGAGCAAATACAGTAGTTGGACTTTAACCCGGATCTGTCTTGTTCCAAGACTTGGATTCTTCCCATTATATTACACATAAACCAGCATCTTTCTGGTTCTAGAAATGTCAAGGATAAATCAAGTGCAAATTATTCACACAAGACACACACAGCATGTCCCAATCGTATTTTACTTGTGTATTCTCACAATATGACAGTACATGTCAAATTAATAGGAAGGCAAAATGGTTAATGCAAAGGGCAAAGACAGTAGACTTTTAGATTCTGGCTCTCTCACTAATGAGCCACGCGATTTTAGCTTCCCTGGGCCTTCAACTTTTTAATCTAAGAAATGAAGCTAAGACTTCCAGTTTCTGGTTTGACAGGTTAAAATCTTGAAAATCATCACCCCATCCTACCAAGTAGAAAGCTGAACAAACTAAAAATACAACTCTTCTTAGATTTATTAGAAAAATTAGGTCACACAGGCCGGGTGCGGTGGCTCACGCCTGTAATCCTAGCACTTTGGAAGGCCGAGGAGGGCAGATTGCCTGAGCTCAGGAGTTCGAGACTAGCCTGGGCAACACGGTGAATGAAACCCCATCTCTCCTAAAATACAAAAAATTACCCGGGCGTGGCAGCATGCATCTGTAATCCCAGCTACTGTGGGGGCTGAGGCAGGAGAATTGCTTGAACCCGGGAGGCAGAGGTTGCAGTGAGCCAAGATTGCGCCACTGCACTCCAGCCTGGACAACAGAGCAAGACTCAGTCTCCAAAAAAATTAAAAAAAAAAAAAAGAAAGAAAAAGAAAAGAAAGGAAAAATTAGATCGCAGAACAAAAATTAGATCACAGAACAAACTGCTGCCCCCAAAACTGGAGAGACAAATGGGCCCCTACAGGGTAACACAGCTTGACACAGCAGAAACTCATAAGCAGAAACCTCCATGGGAACCAATACCAGGTAGAAAAACCTGAGCTCTAATTGATAAATTATTGAAGTCTTAGTGTGGACAAGCCAGAGAGATAAAAGAAAAAATATAAGAGGACGAAGTCACATGGGAAACCTACATTTTGGGAGTTTTACCTCCAGAAAATCTACCAGGTTCTCACAAGAAATATTGTAGAAAAATTTCTTCAAGCTTCCTGCATAGGGAGGGTAAAAGTAACCTTTTGAAATATGCCAGACCATCTACTCTTCTTAACAAGGCCATCACACACAAACACACACAAAAAACTATTCCCATTTTCTAGAGTCTAAAGTACTAAAGTATTGGGAGTTTTATGAGAGCCTAACTAAATTAGTGGAAGAGAAATATCCAACTCCAGCCTGCTCTAGCCTCCCATGTGAGAGAACTGAAAAACTCAACCCCAGCCCTCTCTAGACTTTTATGTGGAGGAAGGGATACATCCAATAGCAGCCAACTCTAGCCATTTTGTTTCACTTAGGGAAGTGAAAAATAATTGAGGATCACTTGTGAAATTCACAATCCAGCGCAGAGGCTCACCCAAAGATTACGACCTAATCATAGAACTATAGAATGCTATCCTTTGCCCCACACCTTACCACATCTCTAAAGGCCTATTTATTACAGTTTTTTTCATCCAGCACATCATGTCTAGCTTTCAACAAATAATTATAAAAAGACAAAACCGCATTTTGAAGAAACAGCAAGCAACAGACTCCAAATCAGATATGACAGGGATGTTAAAATTATCAGACTGTAAATTTAAAACAACTACCATTAATATGCTAAGGGCTCTAATGGATAAACTAGGCAACATGTTAGAATAGATGGGCAATGTAAGCACAGAGATGAAAATTCTAAACAAATCAAAAAGAAATGCCGGGGATTAAAAATACTACAACAGAAATAAAGAATGTATCTGATGGGCTCATTAGTAGACTGTACATAGCTGAAGAAAGAACCTCATCAGCTTGAAACTCATCAACAGAAACTCAGACAGAAAAGAAAAGAGAAAAAAACTGAAAAAAATTCCCAGAATATCTAAGAACTTTAGGACTAAAAATAATGTAATACGTCCATAAGGGGAATACCAGAGGAGAAAGAGAAAAGAAAAGAAAAGGAAAGAAAAGAAGGAAGGGAGAGAAGAAAGCGAAGGAAGGAAGGGAGGGAGGGAGGGAGGGAGGGAGGGAAGAAGAAAAGAAGGGAAATATTTGAAGCAATAATGACTAAGAATTTCTCAAAGCTTTAATTTAGGAAGCTCAGAGAATGACAATAGGGGTAAATGCTGAAAAAAAGTATTAAGGAATATTCTACTTAAGTTAGAAATAAAGATAAAGAAAATTCTTAAACCAAAGGAAAAATATCTTATTTTTTGAAAAGCAAAGATATGAATTACATCCAACTTCTCCTCAGAAACCATGCAAACAAGGCAAGTGGAGTTTAATGTTTAAAGTGTTTAAAGTAAAAATCACCAATCTAGAATTCTCTGTCTTGAAAATTATCCTTTAAAAGTGAAGGACAAATAAGTCTTTCTCAGACAAACATAAGAGAATTTGTTGACAGTACACCATTCTTAGAAGAAATGTTAAAAGAAGTTGTCAGAGAAAAGAAAATTTGCTCAGAAACTTGGGTGTATATAAATGAAGACGACTAGAGAAGAAATAAGTGAAGGTGAAATAAGAACTTTTTTCTTAATTGATTTGACAGATAACAGTTTATTCAAAATAATAGCAAAAATATAACTGACTACGCATATATGTGTGTGTATACGTATATGTATATGCATGCTTAGGCGTAAAATTAATGACAGCCATGATAAAAACAAAAGGAATTGGTATTATTTCACTATTATAATGTATGTGCACTATCCATGAAGTGGTATAGAGTTATTTCAAAGTGGACATGCATTCATTATAAATGTGTATCACAAACCCTAAGGCAACCACAAAAATGTATTTTAAAAGGTATAATTAATATGCTAATAAAGGAGATAGAATATAATTATATAAAATGTTCAATTAAAACCACAAAAAGAGGCTGGGTGCGGTGGTTTACACCTGTTATCCAGGACTTTGGGAGGCCGAGACAGGCAGATCACAAGGTCAGGAATTTGAGACCAGCCTGGCCAATATGGTGAAACCCCGTCTCTACTAAAATTACAAAAATTAGCAGGGCTTGGTGGCGGGTGCCTATAGTCTCAGCTACTCAGGAGGCAGACACAGGAGAATAGCTTGAACCCAGGAGGCAGAGGTTGCAGTGAGCCGAGCTCACACCACTGCACTCCAGCCTGGGCAAGAGAGTGAGACTCCATCAAAAAAAAAAAAAAAAAAAAGAGTAGAGAACAAATATAGGAACAAAGGTAAAGGGTAAAAAACAAAAAAGCAGTAACAAAATGATGTATATTAATCCAACTATATAAATAATTACGTTAAACATCAATTATCTAAATAAATTAAAATAAATTGAGGATCAAAAAACAAGAGCCAGTTATATATTGCCTAAAAGGATCCTGCTTTAAATATAAAGACACATTATAGATGAAAAGTAAAAGACAGAGAACAATATACCATGCTAACACTAAACAAAAGAAAGCTGGAGTGGCTACATTAATTTCAGACAGAACAGACTTTGGAACGGGGAAAGTTTATCAGAGATAAGGAGGATCATTACATAATGATAAAGGAGTCAGTTCTCCAGAAGACTTAATCTTTAATCTTACGTGCCTAATGAGAGCGTGTCAAAATATGTGGGGCAAAAATGACTAAAACTCTAAGGGGACATAGATAAATCCACAATTACTGTTGGAGGTGTCATCACCCCTCTATTTAAAAAAATGCACAGCTCCAACAAGCAGAAAATCATTAAGGACATAGTTTATACAGCACAATCAAACAACTAGATACAATTTCATCTATAGACAACTACATTAACCAACAGCAAATTACATGTTCTTCTTACTTTCACATAGAACATGAACCAAGACAGACCACATTCTCAGCCATGAAACACACTTTCCCATGGAGGTTTCTGCTTACAAAGCCTGTAATCCCAGCACTTTGGGAGGCCAAGGTGGGTGGATCACGAGGTCAGGAGATTGAGACCATCCTGGCTAACACGGTCTCTACTAAAAATACAAAACAAAAAATTAGCCAGGTGTGGTGGCGGGCGCGTGTAGTCCCAGCTAGTTGAGAGGCTGAGGCAGGATAATGGCGTGAACCTGGGAGGCGGAGCTTACAGTGAGCCAAAATCGCGCCACTGCACTCCAGCCTGGGCGACAGAGCAAGATTCCGTCTCTAACAATAATAATAATAATAATAAGCATTTGATTAAATTCATTATATATATTCATGATAAAATCTCCTAGCAAACCAGGAATAGAGCCAAATTTCCAAATTTGATGATGAACATCTACTAGAAACCTATAGCTAACATTATATTTAGACTCAAAGCTTTCCCACTAAGATCAGGAACAAGGCAAGGATTTCCCTCTCACCACTTTTCTTCAGTATTACCCTAGAAGCCTTAGCTAATGCAATTAGATAAGAAAATATATATTGATTTGGAGGGAAGAATTAACAATTTATATGTTCACAGATGATGCGATTGCCTATGTAAAAAAAATCTGAGACAATCAATATCCTGGAACTAATAAGCAACCATAGCAAGGTTGCATGATACAAGGTTAATATTCAAAAATCAATTGCTTTCAAATATGCCAACAATGGACAAGAGGAATTTAAAATTAAAAACACAATACCATTTAAATTACCACACAAAAAATAAAATACTTAGGTATAACTCTAACTGAATATATATATAATCTACATGAGAAAAACTACAAAACTCTGATGAAATAAATTAAAGAAGAATTAATTCCATATTCACCGGTAGAGTGACTCAATATTGTTAAGTCAGTTCTCCCAACTTTATTTATAAATTCAATGTAATCCCAATCAAAATATCAACAAATTATTCTGTTAATATCAAAACTAATTCTAAAGATTTTTGTGAAACAGCACAAGACCCATAATAGCCAGTGAGATATTGGAAGAGAAGAACAAAGTCACAGAACTAATTATAGTAAGACTTAAAAGTCTTACTATAAAGCTAGAGTAGTCAATAGAGTGAAATATTTGTGAAATAATAGACAAATAAATCAGTGAAACAGAACAGTGGACCCAGGAAATGACTTACACAAATATAGCTAACAATATTTGGCAAAGGAGCAAAGGCAATACAATTGAGTAAAGATAATCTTTTCAACAAATGATGTTGGTACAATGATATCCACATGCAAAAAAAAGAAAAAGAATCTAGATAGACTTTGCACATTGCACAAAAAATAATACTAAATGGATAATAAACCTAAATCTAAAACACAAAGCTTTATATCTTCTAGAAGATAACACAGCAGAATATCTAGATGACCTTGGATATGGTGATTAAGCTGGACTTCATTAAAATTAAAAACTTCTGTTCTATGAATAACGGTGTCAGGAGAATAAGAAAATAAGCCATAGATTAGGAAAAAATAATTGTAAAAAATTACCTCTGATAAAGAAATGATATTCAAACTATACAAAGAAATCTTAAAACTCAACAATAGGGGCCACTCTGCCTATGGAGTAGCCATTTGTTTATTCCTTTAAAAAAAAACTAAACAATAGGGAAATGAACAAGCCAAATAAAATTGGTCAAAAGATCTGAACAGGTACGTCATCAAAGAAGATATACAGAGTCAAATACATTTATGAAAAGATGCTTAACATCATATGTTATTAGGGAGTTGCAAATTTTTAAAAAATGATAAGCTATCGCTATATATCTATTAGAATGCCCCAAATCCAAAACATTGACAAAACTAAATGTTTGCAAGAATATGGAGCAAAAGAAACCTCATTCATTGCCAACGGAAGTGCAAAATTGTACAACCACTTTAGAAGACAGTTGGCAATTTCTTACAAAACTAAACATACTCTTACCATATAATCCAGTAATTGTGCTTCTTGGTATTTACCCATATGAGATGAAAATTATGTCCATGCAAAAACTTCCATATGAATGTTCAAAGCAGCTTTATTCATAATTACCAAAATGTAGAAGCAACCAAGATGTCCTTCAGTAGGTTAATGAATAAACTGTGGTGTATCCAGACAATGAGCTATTATTCAGTACTAAAAAGAAATGAAAACACTGGAGGTAACTTAAATACATATTACTAAGTGAAAGATACCTATCTGAAAACATTATATACTGTATAATTCCAACTCTATGACACTCTGCAAAAGGTGAAATGATGGAGACAGTAAAATGATCAGAATTTAGAGGGACTAGGAGATAAATAAGCTGAGCACAGAGGATTTTTAGGGCAGTGAATCTACTCTATATGATACTAGGATGATAGACACATGTCATTATATATTTGTTAAAACCTATAGAATGTACACCACCACAAAAGAATCCTAATATAAACATTTACTTAGGTGATAATGATATGTCAGTATTATGCCACTATAGTGCAGGATGTCTATAGTTGGAAAGCCTATGCATTTGTGGGGGCAGAGGGTGTATAGGAATCTTTACCTTCTGCTCAATTTTGCTGTGAACCTAAAACTGCTATAAAAATAAAGTTTATTTTTAAAATGAAGCTAAGAGTACTTACACTTTATGTGGTTGTAAGAATTAGAACTAACATATATTAAGTATGGAGTGCAGAGTCTAGCTGACACATCATAGCTGCCCACTAAATTGTGGGTATGTAAGGTATTCTGTATTAAATTTATCTGTATATACCTCTCCATTCCCCTTGATTTATATTGTACAGATAATGCCAAATCCCCTTGAGAGAAAACATCCTCCAGGATCCAGATTTCCCCATAGCTAAGGTGTATCCTGTGGAAATTCTCTCATCAAAACAAAATATTAATTTATTTCCCTCTTCATTAATGTATCACAATGGTAGTAAAAGCTAATGGCTTGATACCTAACTGTAGAAGTTATTCTTGCCTGTACTCCCTGCCTGAGAATTAGAAACCTGTAATAAAATAAAATAAAATAAAATGCCTTGACTATTAGTTGGCATTAATTTTAAAAACTAGATGCATTTTCTAGCAGTCTGTCTGTGACCCTGGGCAAGTTATTAAACCTCTCTTTACCTTTGTTTCCTCCCTTTTATAATGAGGTCATGATACTACCCTCAGGAATAACAGAAGAAACCAATAAGACACTAACTGCCTATGGGGACTTGGCAAGAGAGACCGAGAAACTATCAGCCAGGCATGGTAACCCCAACAGCTTTACAATTTCTCCAGAACTGTCATAACTTTCTCTACATGTAGCACTCTAAACTGTCTGCCTCCCTGCAATGTTTAACAGTACTGCAGTAAAAAGATAACGTGCTTTTGAGTTTGACAGACCTGTCACTGCCTGTATGACCTTGGGTACATAACTTCTATGAGCCTTGGTTTCCTTATTTGCAAGATGGTAAGAATGATACCTATTCTATTAAATTTCCATGAGCAGTAAAGAAGGAATACGGTGGTTGAGTTATACTCAATATTTATTATTTGTTTCTATACAATCATAACAGAAGGCCTGCAGGTATTTGGGTTTTTTCCCCCTTTGGTTGTTTGGTTGGTTGGTTTTCAGACAGATGATAAAGAGTTGATGATTATCGCCAAGATCGCAGCCAAGAGGACAGTTATTAAAAAAAAAAAAAAAGGTGGTGACCAGGCTTAGTTCCTGAGATTAGAATCTCAGAACAACAGGATTTAGGTAAAGACATGCTCAAACAGTAAGTGGCCTACAATATGGTCTTCAAACATAATGGTAGTAATTATCTCTGAGAAAATTTCTAATTCAAAACTTGGTGATTCTGGGTCTCCTCCTATGGAAGGCTGAATAATGCATGCCAAGTATATCCGGTTCCTAATCCCCGGAATCTGTTAACATTATGTCATATACAAGAAGGAGTTTGTACATGCAATTACACTAAGGAGCTTGAGATGGAAAGATTAACCTGTATTAACTGGGTGGGCCCTAAATGTAATCATAGGTGTCCTTATAAGAGAAAGGCAGAGGGAGATTTGACTACAAGAGGAGAGAGTGATATGATGGCATAAGCAGGTGTGGAAGAGATGTGCCTTGAGCATGGAGGAAGTAGGCACAAGACAAAGCATAAAGTCAGCCCCAAGATGCTATGAAAAGGCAAGGATACACACTCTCCCTTCAGAGCTCCAGAAGCAACCATCCTTGCCTATACCTGACCTTTAGGTGAAACTGATTTTAAACTTCTGACTTCCAGAACTGCCAGAGAATAAATTTGTGTTGTTTTAAGCTACTAAGTATTTGTTACAGTGGCAACAGGAAACTAATATGCTTCCCATTTTGGAAGACGGTTCTTACACAATGAAACATAAAGTCCAACAAGCAAAGAAAAGCAATGATGACTGGGGCCTTTAGAGAGCATGTATTCTGGGGTGATCATGCAGACGTCTCAGGACAGGAGGAATGCGCCCAGCTGGCAATCAGGTACTGAGATGAGAGGCCCTGGTGGGTCCTTCCTTACCAAAAGACAGGAGAGGATGCTCTGAAAAGTAAGCCTGCGATACATAATTGGTTGCATTTGTTTTAGCTGGAGCTTAATATGAATTGTCTGTATCAGTAGAAGAGCTCATATTGGTTTCTTTAAAATTTAAAGGCATCTCTTTTTGTACCCTCCAGATTTTTCAAACCTGAGATGAATATTGTTCTTTCATTTGTTTGCAGTGAAAGAACCAAATAGTAAATTTGGGATTTTATAGCTTGAGGCTAAAATATTGTTTGCATATACAAATATTCAAAGTCAGTTAAATCTGTTCACATTTTCCTCAATTCACTGCTCATCTTCTAAGTTCTAGCTACTTTGCATCAATATTCAAAGCCTTTCATGACTTGAAACATACCTCATCTCACTGTACCTGGCAACCCATCCTGTAGACTGTCCAGATAGTTGCAGTTTCTTAAATGCACCCTGCATTTCTTGCTTCGTTGTTTTTGCAAATACTATGCCAATTCCCCGAAAGGTTCTCTCTTCCCTCCATCAACCCCCTCCACTAGTAGACCAGAAAAATGTCTAATAATACTCATTCTTTAAGGCCCAAATGCGAAATATCATCAATTCCATGAGGCTTCTCTGAACTAGAGTTCTATACTCCCTCCTTTGTGTTCCTATGTATTATGCATACATTGTTGACTACTGATTGTCCTCTATTTAGTATAATGAATTGTCTCAACATACTGCCCAAAAGAAAGTCTAAGAAGAAGGTTGCCACCTGTCAGGATGGTACATGTACCTATTTTGCTTTGTATAAAAATGTATATAATGAGGGATAATGCCACTTGATCCAACTGCGTATGTCCTTGGTCCCTTCATTCACAGAGTCCACTGTTCTGCCAAGAGATATCCTTATTTGGTCTCTTTTTTCTACAAGGTTTTGTTCATATCTACATTTTTTTAGCTTTACTAACAAATTATTTTGTTTCTGCTAAGTAACATTGACAGCTGCCCCCTCTTCCTATAAAATAGGTTTTTCCACTATATTCTTCCTTCGATCAATACCTCACACTCATTCTTCTATCTTCTACCTTTTGAATAGGTTTTTCTAAACTTTTCACCTTCCTTTAACAAAAGTTTGCCTCAATATTTTTCATATCCTTTTGATCTGATCAACACTCTTCTCATTTCCCATTTGCCCATAATTTGTGGTTGATAGCCTAATTGTTAGTCTAACTCCAATGTTGAACTCACAAAATTTAGGTTGGACTATATCTAGCATATATAGCCTTTTAAATGCATGATACTAGAAATGCTTCTATGTATTATAATCATGTTTATCCCATCCTCTGTTACTTTTCCTATTTTGTGTTATTAATTCAGGGATTATTCAAAAGATTTAATTTAATTCTGTTGACTGTAATAATTGTATCTTATTTTCAAATTATTATTATTTGGCAACTGGGAATCCTCTTTCCAGGCTGATTTTGTTGTTGTTGTTTTTTCCAAAAACAGGATGACTCGAACTCAACATTTTCTGCTTCAAGATGTGAAATTAATTGATCCCCCCCAAAAGATGTAACCCTTTTTAGTTAAAAATGGCATCACTGAACAAAATACAGGCCAGTGGTGTACATTGTATTGTTACACAACATTACCGGCAGACAGCTATAATAACAGAGGAGAAGCTGCCGAAATGCCTTTCTGACAGAAGAGAGATTCCTTAGAGGTGGAAGGGACAGTTTATAACTTTATGTTTATGACTAACATTGATCACTGTTTCTTTTTGCTTTACTCCAAAATAAGAGTGTGTAAAATTCACTGTATTCTTTTATAAGCCTCTAGTTTTGTCCTCTAGAATAGGAATTCTGTCCTGTGGAGCAGGGCTATCCAAAAAACTTTCTGTGATGATGGGAAGGTTCTATAACACAAAATATTGTCATCCAAGGCAGTAACCACTAACCACATGTGGCTACAGAGCACATGAAATGTAGCTAGGGCAAAGAAATAAGTGAATGTTTTAAATTCTTAGGTAATTTTAATTAATTCAAATTTAACTTTAATTAACTTATAGTTAGTAGCTACTGTATTGAACAACACAGCTATAGAGGATTGTCAAATAATATTAGGGTTGAACAGTTTTCCTTTCCTTTTACATCCTCCTTTTTGACCCCAGCCTATATGAAAAGTGGATAAATCTGCATTGCTTGTGCACAGCACCATTGTCTGAAATAGAAGTGCAGCTTCAATAGCACTCTCCCCTAGAGAAAAACCAGGTGACAGAAACACATAGTTCATTTAGCACTTTAAATAATGTTGCTGTGCACTTAATAAAGAATAACAATAAACTTTGTACTTTGAGGTTTAACCTAAATTTCTCCTCTAGCTCCATTTTATATGAAGTATATTAGCCAGATATATTTTATTATGTTATATGTTATATAATATATAATATCATTTTCCATTTCTTTGTTACACTTATTTTTAACATTGGTTCTTAACATTTTAGAGTCATTGAGAATCACGATATCTAATGTCCACAATGTCACAACATAATAAGTTTCTTATTGGAAAGTGAATTGTCAACAAAACTAGGATCACAAAACAAGGAAAAATTTACAAATGCCAACAGTTTAAAGTTGGTGGTAGGTTAAGAAAGGCTCTGACTTAAATTCCTTCCCCCACAAAAAAAAATGGTTCCTAAAATGTTGCAAGTCAAGACTCATAATTGGTAATATTTTGTTATAAATGTGTCTGTGTTGGGAGGGGAACGTCACACATCGGGGCCTGTCAGGGGGTGGGGGGCAAGGGGAGGGAGAGCATTAGGACAGATACCCTATGCATGCCAGGCTTAAAACCTTGATGATGGGTTGATAGGTGCAGCAAACCACCAAGGCTCGTGTATACCTATGTAACAAACCTGCATGTTCTGCACATGTATCCCAGAACTTAAAGTAAAATTCAAAAAAAAAAAATGTGTCTGTGTTAAGACTCTCTCCTTGCAGGCAACAAGGAGTCTTGCAATTCTCATTTAAGCAAACAATTGAAACTAGTTGGATTTTTAAGCTTGTTTAGTGGTTTCATAGTTGATTTAAGTGGGAACACAGCATTTTCACTGATAACTTTTTAAACAACATCTAACTGAATTTTATTTATGAATGTGTGTGTGTGTGTGTGTATTAATGTGGCCCAGCTACATGTTTGTACGTGTGAGAACTTAAAAATTGAGACACTTGTCATTTTCAAGAAGGCTCATAGATCCCCCGAATACTAAATTGAAATGATCTTAATACAACTTAATGAGAATATTATCATATATTAATCTCTATTTAATAACAGTATCTTGTGTTTCAGACACACATTTGTACTGTAAAAGACTACTCTGCTGAATTAGAACTAATAAAGATTAGGGGTGGTATGGACAAGAAGACAATCTATCCAGAACAATAATTATCAGTCTTTTCCCAAAAGTTATATTTTAGAAGGGGAAAAATAGTCCAAAAGTCCTTTGGGTCATTTTAGAGTTTAGCTGTGACACTATGACTCTGTCTGCCCTTGAGCCTATTAGTCTCTTCCTCCACTCTGACCTCCTCCATGAGCATCACTTATCTTGAGTCTTGTAGGCAGTGCTCAAGGAATCTTTAAGAATATCTATTTTATGGTTTATAATTTACCTTCCTGTTCTTATGGGTGCTGCCTAGGATGCTACCCCACCTGGTTTTCTACTCTGGTTGATGACTATGCACTTGAGAGGAGGTCCAGACATAATAACAGGAATGTATACTTCCTGGCCATCAGAGCCTTCATAAAACTTGCGGTCTTTCTCCTCCCAAAATGGGAAATTCCTTTCTCAATTGGTCCTTGTAGGCTTTCTCTGATTCAGCACAGAACTTGAAACTGGTTAGTCAGCTATTGGACTTATAAAAATATTTAGGGCTGGGTGTGGTGGCTCATGCCTGTAATCCCAGCACTTTGGGAGGCAGAGGTGGGCGGATCACTTGAGGTCAGAAGTTCGAGACCAGCCTGGCCAACATGGTGAAACCCTGTCTCTACTAAAAATACAAAAATTAGCCGGGCATGGTGGCACACACCTGTAATCCCAGCTACTCAGGAAGCTGAAGCAGGAGAATCGCTTGAACTTGGGAGGCGGGGGTTGCAGTGAGGCAAGATCGCCCCACTGCACTCTAGCCTGAGTGATAGAGCAAAACTCAGTCTCAAAAAAATAAAAATAAAAATAAAAATGTTTGCTACCAAGGTAGTCATCCCTGGCTTTCTTGTTAAATTGACTTTTCAGTTATTCCAGTTATCATCTTGTCCAAATTTTGCAGACTTGCTGCCCCCACATTCCACACCCCATCCATGTAAAAACACTTGTTCCGCTGCTCAAAGATCATGCCAAATCTATTCATTGAACACTCACTCCTTGCAGGTTTCTTTATGAATGTGAAAAGCTATACCCATTTCTAAACCAAGTAAGTATTAAATCAAATATATGTGGCTGACAGACGGTATTTCAGTGAGAATTCCAGACGGATTCATTCCTGAAGTATCTGCATTCAATTCAGTTGCATCTGCTGAAGCTCAATTTAGTTGAGCTGGATAACAGGGCCCCCAGAATGATTGGCTCACATCCTACTAGACATCAAATCATTGTTTGTTCAGATTCTAATCATACATCCCCATCTGGGTGATTTTTATCTTCCAAGACCAAAGTAGGAGATAAAAGGAACAATATAAACAGCATATGCTAAAATTGATGATTTCCCAAACAAATTCTACAGAAGTAACATCCTAGAACTTTTGAGCACTTTTGTGTTGCAAAGTCCATTGCAGATATCAACCTCAATGGGGAGAATGGGCAATAGTACATAAATACATCTGGTACCTGACTTATTGATACTTCATGTAACCAAACCAGAGGGAGAGATAACAAGGAGGCATCATTCACAGAACCCCTCCCGATGGTCCAGCAAAATTTAACCTTTTAATATATAATTTGAATTTTTCTCTGTCAATATTACATGACTTAAATCTCTCCTAAATCTTCCTCAGATTTTTCCCAAAGGACAACTACCTTTGGCATATGTAACTCCACTATCTCATATACTCCATTTGTATCTAATTTGTCTAATTACAACATTATAATTATAAGTTGGAGAACTTAACCAGAACAATCAGAAATGGTATATGGCAGTTCATGGATTGTGGAATTCTTAACTCTAACTGGAGAAACTTGGTGATCTTGTTCCCTTTATTCATACAGTCAAAAGAATGCAAGATATCCTGCCAACTTTATTTTGGTCTGGTTTATCTGTCTTTCTACTAGGTCTTGTTAACCTGTTCTTTTTTTTCTCACCTACTAAATTTATTTTTTATTAGATAAATTTATTGCCCTTCCATCCTACTACAAAAAAATGATTTTGTCTCTGAATTTCCTCACTGATCAATACAATACAGTCAATTTCTAAAGGCCAATTAAGCATCCTTTACAACATATGTGTTTGCATGTTACTGGTCTAGCAACAACATAAAAGAAGCATCAGACATTATCCTTTTAAATGTAAATATAATAATATTTAAGATAGATGCTAGAATATGTTTTTAATGTATTAGTTAATTAAATGACATTTTTTCAGCACTGTGAGAGTCAGCATAGCAGGAGTGGAAGATCCTAATGTGAAATTCGTAGTAATTACAATATTTTCACAAGCCACAAACTCAGGGCTACAAAAATTAAACTTTATTTTTCCATTTCTAAACTTGATTTTTATCTCATGTTTCCATTTGACTGAAGGTGAAGGGTGACTTCTGGTCCAGTTCTTGTTTTTCTTACTGCAGTGAATTCAGGATTTGAATGGAAGTTCAAGGTCAAGTTGCTCTGAGTTGCATCTAAGCTGTGGGAGGAATGGGTGAGTGACTTTCATATATCAAGGTACTGGGGAAGAACAGCGTCTGAGCCTAGACATAGTCTGTCCACATGGGTATTCCTTGAGACGTGATCATCTAATCTGGTTTTCAGCTATCCTCATCTGCTCACTCTGGTATATACAGAGATGCTTGCATTTGCATCCGGTGATGGTCATAAAGTCCACCCTGACATTGAACTGCTCCACTTGTCCTGACTGAGAGCTCTCTCAGGCCCAGCAAATCACGGCAGCCCATGTCTGTCCTGCCTGAGGCTGCACAAGGTGGGGAGGGGGTGGCAGGAACAGTAGTGTACAGGGCCCCTTCATAGAGACAGACAATGTCATCAAAAGATATTCCTTTCTTCTTCAGTAAAAGAGAAAGAACTACTTGGGACAGTACTAGATGCTTCAAGGGGAAAAATGTCTTCTCGGCACAAATAAATTTGTCAATTTAACTTCTAAACACAATTAAACAAATTTTCTTCGTGGTGGCATTGCTTAGGAGCTTTAAGATGGGAACGTACCTTGTGAATCTCCAACAGTGGGAATGTATCAAGGCAGCAAATCCACCTTACTTGAGCCTACTGCCTGGAACAAATGTATCCTGGAATACTATTTGGAAAACACTGTTAAAATATGCTTTGTAATTGTTGTTGTTACATCCTGTTGTTGCTACCATTCACCTAATCGCCAACACAGCCCAGGGGACAGTCCAGGGTGTGAGGACAGTTTGACTCTATGAGAATTTGGTATTTCATTTTAATTCAGTCAAATTCTCCTTTACATCACCTCCAACATGGAAAAGGGAACTTCCAGATATAAGTGGGAATAGAACAGGTGGAGCAAACTTCCAGCCTTCTCCGGCTTCTCCTTTTCTAATTGCTCATGTCAAGCCACAACACTATTAATCATTTAATAAGGTTAGAAGGAGGGTTGTTTTGGAAAGAATATTGGGCAGGAAATGGAGAATTGAGTCCTAGACTTCCCCTAAATAGCTATGTGATTTTCATCAATTTGCCTTACTTCCCTAGGACTCAGTTTCTTCATTTTATAGTGGGGAACGTAAAGGGAGAAGTTGGGCTTAACTCTCCATTCTAATGACATAATGACATTCCGCCTAGTGACCATCTTCATTGGTTGGTGGGTCTGTTGTCTGGCAGACTCTTAGGTAAGAAATCACTTTTCATAGTGCATCAGCACAGCAGGCATTAATATTGATAACCATCTATATTTACATTGTACATTAGAGTCATTCAATCATTTCACAACCATTACTTCATTTGATCCTTAAAAGAGCCAACAATACAATCCAGGGATTACTATTCTTTTTAAAAACGAGAAAACCAAGTTTCAGATACTTTTCCAAGGTGACCCTACTGTTAAATGACAGAACTGGGCTTGAACTCTGGCCCTGAGACTTAAGAGTCCCATGTGTATTTAGTGATACAATGTTTTCTTTCCATTCTGAAACCCCAGCAAGGAGTAATTTTGCTACATTTTCCTTTGCTGCGAGACAATCACCCTAGGAAAGGCAGTACTCATTATTTTTATGAAGGGAAAACACAATCTTAACTCAGGCAACATAATAATTTTATGGTTTGAGTGAAAAAAAAGGTTTGCTCCTGTCAAATTCAATTTATGTCACCAGACTAAATAAAAATTTTATGTACTGGGTGAAGGAAAACTAGAAAGAAAATGTCCTGAGTGGACAATCTTAAATTATCTCCCATTTGAATGAGTTCATTTCC